>NC_000015.10:74526874-75776874 GCF_000001405.40 Homo sapiens
ACTCCTGGGCTCAAGTGATCCTCCCACCTCAGCCTCCCCAGTAGCTATGACTACAGGTGTGGACCACCATGCCCAGCTAATCTTTTAGTTTTTGTAGAGACAGGGTCTTGCTTTGTTGCCCAAGCTGGTCTTGCATTCTTGGCTTCAAGCGATCCTCCCACCTGGGCCTACCAAAGTGCTGGGATTATAGGAGTGAGCTACTATGTTTGCTTTTTGAATAGCTTAAGTACCACATGTTATTTTGCCCGTTCCCTACTGATGGACATTTAGTTTGTTAACAGTCCTTTGCTATTGTCCTTGGTTCAAGTTCTTTCTTTCCTTCCCTCCCTCCCTCTTTCTCTCTCTCTCTCTCTCTCGTTCTTTCTTTTTAATGGAGTCTCGCTTTGTCGCCCAGGCTGGAGTACAGTGGCACCATCTAGGCTCACTGAAACCTCTGCCTCCCAGGTTCAAGCGATTCTCCTGCCTCAGCCTCCCAAGTAACTGGGACCACAGGCACCCGCCACCATGCCCAGCTAATTTTTGTATTTTTAGTAGAGATGGGGTTTCACCTATTGGCCAGGCTGGTCTCAAACTCCTGACCTTGTGATCCTCCCACCTCAGCCTCCCAAAGTGCTGGGATTACAGATGTGAGCCACTGCACCTGGCCGATTCAAGTTCTTTCAATTGGCACTCTGCAAATGCAAAAGACAGGTCAGCTACATGTCCAGCATTATCTAGTTCTATTCTTTAATTTAGGACTTCCCTTAGATTCTTTTAGCCAAGTTGCAAAGATAATATGCTCTATTGATTCTCTGTGGTCTACTATTGTAAAATACATATTGAAAAATAAACTCAAGTGATTACAAGTCCAATACTTACACAGGTAGGAGGACTATAACATGGTGACCTAACAGCATGATTACAATGAGACAGCCCTGGGTTCAAATCCCAGCTCTACTACCTATAACATGTAACTTAACCTTACACAATTTACTGAACTGTAAGCATCCATTTTCTCACCTGTTAAGTGGTGACTATTGTGAAGATTAAATGATAATGAAGTGCTCAGTACATGATATTCAGTTAACAAGTACTGTAGAATTTTTCTTACTACGTAACTTTAAAAAATTACCAAAGAAAGCCAAAATTAAGGCCAGGCACGGTGGCTCACGACTGTAATCCCAGCACTTGGGGAGGCCGAGGCAGGTGGATCATCTGAGGTCAGGAGTTCGAGACCAGCCCGGCCAATATAGCGAAACCCTGTCTCTACTAAAAATACAAAAATTGGCTGGGCGTGGTGGCTCACTCCTGTAATCCCAGCACTTTGGGAGGCTGAGGAGGGCAGATCACGAGGTCAGGAGTTCGAGACCAGCCTGACTAACATGGTGAAACCCCGTCTCTACTGAAAAAAAAAAAAAATTAGCCATGCGTGGTGGCGGGCGCTTGTAATCCCAGCTACTCAGGAGGCTGAGGCAGGAGAATCGCTTGAACTCGGGAGGCAGAGGTTGCAGTGGGCCAAGATTGCATCATTGCACTCCAGCCTGGGCGACAGGGTGAGACTCCGTCTCAAAAAATAAATAAACAAATAAAATAAAAATAGAAAAATTAGCCGGGCATGGTGGTGCATGCCTGAAATCCCAGCTACTAGGGGGGCTGAGGCAGGAAAATTGCTTGAACCTGGGAGGTGGAGGTTGCAGTGAGCTGAGATCGTGCCACTGCACTCCAGCCTGGGCAACAGAGCGAGGCTCCGTCTCAAAAAAAAAAAAAAAGAAAAAGCCAAAATTAAACTTTAGTCTGAAGATGGGACATGTATCATAACTGTCTTTATTGTTAAGATAGGAAATAGGGGCCAGGTGCGGTGGCCCATGTCTGTAATCTCAGCACTCTGGGAGGCCAAGGTGGGCAGATCACCTGAGATCAGGAGTTCAAGACCAGCCTAGTCAACATAGCGAAACCCTGTCTCTACCAAAAATACAAAAATTAGCCATGCATGGTGGTGGGCGCCTTGGTTTTCAAAAGGTTAAATCATTGTTCAGTTTTTTCAAAATGATTTTATTTTACATACTTCTCTGCAACTTGCCAGTCTCTCTCTCTCTCTTTTTCTTTTTTCTTTTTTTTTTTTTTTTTTGAGACATGGTCTCACTATGTTACTCAGGCTGGAGTGCAGTGGCATGGTCATGGCTCACTGCAGCCTCGACCTCCTGGGCTCAAGCAACTCTTTTACCTCAGCCTTCTGAGTAGCTGAGACTACAGCCACCATGTCCAGCTAATTAAAAACTTTTTTTTTATAGAGATGGGGGTCACGCTATGTTGCCTAGGCTAATCTCCAATTCCCGGGCTCAGGTGATCCTTTCGCCTCAGCCTCTGAAAGTGTTGGTATTACAGGCGTGAACCACCTCTCCCAGCCTGCCAATTTCTTTTCTTTTCCTTTTTTTTTTTTTTTTTTTTTTTTTTGAGACAGAATCTGGCTCTGTCGCCCAGGCTGGAGTGCAATGGTGTGATCTCAGCTCACTGCAAATTCCTGGCTTCAAGCAATTCTCCTGCCTCAGCCTCCCAAGTAGCTGGGATTATAGGCGCCTGCCACCACTCCCAGCTAATTTTTGTATTTTTATTAAAGATGGGGTTTCACCATGTTGGCCAGGCTCTTCTTGAACCTCTGACCTCATGATTCACCTGCCTCCGATCCCAAAGTGCTGGGATTACAGGTGTGAGCCGCCACACCTGGCTGCTAATTTCTCTTTAAATTGTACTGCTGACATCTTCTCAGTCAGTAGAAGTATATCGACTTCATTATTTTTAATACCTTTAGTCATTTTTTTTGGTAATCATTCATTTTTAATAAAGAGGGATTCTTCAAATTTTTTGGTTCTTTTTTTTTTTTAAGGGAGTCTCGCTCTGTTGCCCAGGCTGGACTGCAGTGGCGCAATCTCGGCTCACTGCAACCTCTGCCTCTGGGGCTCAAACGATTCTCCTGCTTCAGCCTCCCAAGTAGCTGGGACTACAGGCATCTGCCACTACACCCAGCTAATTTTTGTATTTTTAGTCGAGACAGGGTTTCACCATGTTGGCCAGGCTGGTCTCGAATTCCTGACCTCAAATGATCTGCCAGCCGTGGCCTCCCAAAGTGCTGAGATTACAGGCGTGGGCCACCGCGCCCGGCCTCAAATTTTGTGATTATTCATTTAAATTTTGTAATCAAACATTAGGGTGACGTGTTGGAGCTGATCCCATACTGTAGGTTCAGGAAATACAGTCATTGCAGACATCATCATTAACGTTAAAGCAAGCAACACAGAGGCTTCTCTCTTGGGACTGAGAAGGGAAAGAGGTGTAGGAAACATATACAAATGTAAAAACTATTCTCCTAGTACTTGGCTTCTGGAAGTGAAACTGAAGGACTGTACTGTCCATATTAGGAAATGACTGGCTGCTGGATGACCACAGTGTTAAGCTTTTTGTCCCTTTTTGTGGGGAGAGAGATGAAAGGGAATTGGTCAGGAGGACATCAGATCAGTTAGCTTTATAATCAATCTCTTCTCTTCCAACACAATCTCAGTAGAGTTATAAGCATTAGGAAATCAAACTTTCACTTTAATTAGAGAGATTGAAAATCTGGCTCCATTTTTAAAGGTGAGGGTTCTAAATTGTATTCCTAAATGATGTTAACTATTGTTCCCCGAAATTGCATCAGGGTTAAAAATTTGTGTTGAGGTTGGTTTGAATTAATCTAAATATTCAACATGTGCTCTTGCCATAAAGCAGAAAGCAAAGGCCTGAAGTAGACAAGCTTTTTAACCTTTCTGGCATTTCATAGATTTCACCTTAATAAAATTCTGAAAACTCCCATTATAGTATAATTAGCTTCCTTTATTTTATTTATGTATTTTTTTGAGACACCTGTGTAGGTATCTGTGGACACATTTATGAGAATCGGTTGGCCCTGCAACTCTCCCAGTCAAGCTCACTGCCAGGCTAACTTTGGCTTGTGTACCTTCTCCTCTTAGTTTCACCAATACTTGACAGAGTCTGGCTCAGCACAGCTCTATGGGATGGAGGGCCAGATGGCTCCCAAAGAGCCCTGACCAGAGGCACAGGCCTGTGACCAGGTGTCCTATTCTAGGACAGATGGCTTGAATTGCCTCCTGCTCCCTTTTGCTCTGACAGTCTCTGGGACTACTGAGCGCTGGGGCCACTACAGAAATTGGATGATGCTTTGCAAAGATGGCTTTTAATTAAGTATCAGGGAGAGTGAGACAATCCAATATTTTCAAAGATGAGTCACTCTGGGATTGGCCTTTTTGCTTGCCTTAGAGGTCTAACCTCTTCCATTCACAGGTGAGAGACAGAACAATGTAGTCAAGTCAGTTCATCAGCATGTTGGCAAATCGGAGTCCCAGGCTTGGAGAAGACCTTTGCAGTGAAGGCATGTGGAAAGAGAATGTGGCAAGAGAGCAGCTATCTTCAGGGGAATGTTGGTCTGCCCACTGCCAGGAGGGCTTGTTACTCTGAAAAAGTTTTCAAAGTTTACCTTTGAGCCTCAGTAACTAGGTACTGGCATTTCCCCAGGGTTTAGTGGTTAGTGGAGGCTGACACTTCACATAACCCAGGTCACCAGACACCAAATACCAATTGTCTGACTTAAAATACAAACAGTTCTATGAAAGAGGACACCCAGTAGTCAGCCTGATGGTCGTATCCCCTACCCACAGGAAAACACACTGAAAGCCCACTCAGGCTGCAGATACGTTACTGACGCATCCACCACCACAGCTAGAGAGATACCCTCAGGAATGTGTTGACTTGATATACCTCCTTGCTGGGCCCCCTAGTCACATTCTTTCTTTACACAAGTTAATACCATTTACTCAGCAGAGGCTTTACACATGCTAATAGAGGCTCCTCAGGCTACACCTTCATCTCAGGACAAGTGGAAACCTTAATCATCTGGTTTCATTTTAATTTTCCATGACAGTAAAAGGTACAGTGACTACAGGACAGTCCTTTCCTGCCTTCCTGGGGTAGTTAATCCTAAAAAACCTCTTGTGGGGCAATTCAAGTTGAAAATGTAATCAGTACTTAATTTCAATGGGAAAACATTTTATATGTGCACAGTGTCCCAAAATTAACACCCACTCATGCTAAAACATCAAATCTCATTAAGACAGACACAATTACATTAACAATTACACTGGCTATCATAAACAAAACTAAAGGCATTTTCCCTTCATTAGTTATGATCTCATTAGTTACGAGATTATTATCCCATAATATGGCCATTTACCCGTTGTTTCTTAGCTTTTATGCACTGTACATTTAAGACTAAATTTAGGCCAGGCTCAGTGGCTCACACTTGTAATCCCAGCACTTTGAGATGCCAAGGCAGGTGGATCACTTGAGGTCAGGAGTTCAAGACCACCCTGGCCAACATGGCGAAACCCTATCTCTACTAAAAATACAAAAAAAAAATTGGTCAGGCACGGTAGTTCACGCCTGTAATCCCAGCATTTTGGGAGGCCAAGGAGGGCAGATCCCAAGGTCAGAAGTTCGAGACCAGCCTGGCCAATATGCTGAAACCCCATCTCTACTAAAAATACAAAAAAAAAAAAAAAAAAAAATTAGCTGGGCGTGGTGGCGCCCACCTGTAGTCCCAGCTACTTGGAAGACTGAAGCAGAAGAATCACTTGAACCCGGGAGGCGGAGGTAGCAGTGAGCCGAGATTGTGCCACTGCACTCCAGCCTGGCAGCCTGGGTGACAGAGCGCGACTCCATCTCAAAAAAAAAAAAAAAAGGTCAGGCCTATCCCAGTACTTTGGGAGGCCAAGGCAGGCGGATCACTGAGGTCAGGAATTTGAGACCAGCCTGGCCAACGTGGTGAAACCCTGTCTCTACTAAAAATGCAAAAATTAGCTGGGTGTGGTGGTGGGCACCTGTAATCCCAGTTACTCGGGAGGCTGAGGTAGGGGAATTGCTTGAACCCAGGAGACGGAGGTTGCAGTAAGCCAAGATCGCACCACTGCACTCCAACTTGGGTGACAGAGCGAAATTCTGTCTCAAAAAAAAAAAAAATTAGCCGGGTGTGGTGGTGCACTCCTGTAATCCCAGCTACTCGGGAGGCTGAGGCAGGACCCGGAAGGTGGAGGTTGCAATGAGCTGAGATCGACAGAGAAAGACTCCGTCTCAAAAAAAAAAAAGATATATACGGCCAGGCGGCTGGGAGTTCGCGACCAGCCTGACCAACATGTAGAAATCCTGATTCTACTAAAAATACAAAATTAGCCAGGCCTGGTGGCACATGCCTGTAATCCCAGCTACTCAAGGGGAATCGCTTGAACCCAGGAGGGCAGAGGTTGTGGTGAACCAAGATCCTGCCATTGCACTCCAGCCCGGGCAACAAGAGCGAAACTCCGTCTAAAAAAAAAAAAAGACTAAACATGCAAAACATACGTAAAAAATGATGTCCAATGTTTATACAACTTAACCTTTTTTTTTTTCTGAGACAAGGTCTCATTCTATTGCCCAGGCTGGAGTGCAGTGGCATGATCATAGCTCACTGCTCAAGTGATCCTGCCTCAGCTTCCCATCAGAGTAGCCAGGACTACAGGCATGCACCACCATTCCTAGCAGTTTTTAAAAACTTTTTTGAGGCTGGGCACGCTGGCTCATGTCTATAATTCCAGCACTTTGAGAGGCCGAGGCAGGTGGATCACTTGAGGTCAGGAGTTCGAGACCAGCCTGGCCAACATCGTGAAACCCCATCTCTACTAAAAATACAAAAATTAGCTGGGTGTGGTGGCAGGTGCCTGTAATTCCAGCTACTCAGGAGGCAGAGACAGAAAAATTGCTTGAACCCAGGAAGCGGAGGTTGCAGTGAGCAGAGATTGTGCCACTGCACTCCAGCCTGGGTGACACATTGAGACTCCGTCTCAAAAAAAAGAAAAAAAAAAAATTCTTTTTCAGGCCATGTGCAGTGGCTCACGCCTGTAATCCTAGCACTTTGGGAAGCCGAGGCGGGCGGATCATCTAAGGCCAGGAGTTCGAGACCAGCCTGGCCAACATGGTGAAACCCCATCGCTAATAAAAATACAAAAATTAGCCAGGCGTGGTGGTAGGTGCCTGTAATCCCTGTTACTCAGGAGGCTGAGGCAGGAGAATCACTTGAACCCAGGAGGCAGAGGTTGCAGTGAGCTGAGATCAGGCTATTGCACACCAGCCTGGGGGACAAGAATGAGGCTTCGTCTCAAAAAAAAAAAAAAAAAAAAAAACCTTTTTGTAGAGACAGGGTCTTGCTATGTTGCCCAGGCTGAACTTGAATGCCTGGCCTCAAGTGATCTTCCCATCTAGGCCTCTCAAAGTGATAAAATTATAGGCAAGAGGCACCGAGCCTGGCCTTAACCTTTGTTTTAAAAAAAGAGTAACAAGGGCCGGGCACAGTGGCTCACACCTGTAATCCCAGCACTTTGGGAGGCTGAGACGGGCGAATCACGAGGTCAGGAGATCGAGACCATCCTGGCTAACACAGTGAAATCCTGTCTTTACTAAAAATACAAAAAAAAATTAGCCGGGCTTGGTGGCGGGTGCCTGTAGTCCCAGCTACTGGGGAGGCTGAGGCAGGAGAATGGCATGAACCCAGGAAGCGGAGCTTGCAGTGAGCTGAGATCGCACCACTGCACTCCAGCCTGGGTGACAGAGTGAGACTGTCTCAAAAAAAAAAAAGAAGAGTAACAAGGGCCAGGCACGATGGCTCACGCTTGTAATCCCAAACACTTTGGGAGGACAAAGCAGGAGGATCACTTGAGTCCAGGAGTTCAAGACCAGCCTGGGCAACAGGGTGAAACCACATCTCTACAAAAAATACAAAAATTAGCTGCGCGTGATGGTGCACACCTGTGGTCCCAGCTGCTCGGGAGGCTAAGGTAGGAGGACCGCTTGAGCCTGGGAGGCAGAGGCTGCAGTGAACTGAGATCATGTCAGTGCACTCCAGCCTGGGTGAAAGAGAGAGACCCTGTCTCAAAAAAAAAAAAAAAAAAAAAAAAAGTAACAAGTCTTGGCACAGTTGTTTGTGCCTGTAATCCCGGCACTTTGGGAGGCTGATGCAGGAGGACTGCTTGAGCCCAAGAGTTCCGGACCAGCCTGGGTAACACAGTGAGACCTCGAGGCTGACACAGGAGGATCGCCTGAGCCCAGAAGTTCAAGACCAGTCTGGGTAGTACAGTGAGACCCGGCTCAATTAAAAAAAAAAAAAAAAAAGTAATAAAATGAATGAAAACCTTGCAAATAAAATTACCTTCACTGAACAAGTGAAATAACAAGAGACTTGATGTGTATTATTAAGCCTTAAATATGTTTTGCTATAAATCAGCAAAACTATGAGAAATCTGATGAGATAACTTAAGGTAACACAGACCAGCTCTGTGAAGCTGATGCATGTTGGCTTCAGGCACTCCAAGAAGTACACCAAACAAATCCATCCTGAGAGCTGCAAAGACATGCTTTGTGTTTCAGTTTTTATTGCAGAACAAACTACCTCAAAACTTACTGGTTTCACTCTTAAACAATAAGCATTTATTCTTTTTCATCAGTCTGTGGGTTTGCTGGGGAAGTCTTCTGGTCTGGGCCAGCTTAGCTGGGCCTGGATGGTCTAGAATGCTCTTGTTCATATGTCTGGTAGTTGCTGGCAGGCTAGCTGGTCTAAGGGGCCACACTCATACATGTCTGGCAGTTGGTCAGATGTCAGATGGGGTGATGACTATGTGTCTGTCATCATCCATTAGGTTAGTAGGAGTTATCCTCGTGGTAGTGGAAGAGGTCACAGCAGCAAGAGAAAGCAACCCCCTGTTGTAATCACTTCTCAAGACACTTCTTGCTTTACATTTGCCAGTGTCCTACAGGACAAAGCAAGTCACACGGCCAAGCCTAGATTCAGTGAATGGAGAAACAGACTCCACCTCTGCATTGGAGAAGCTGAAAAACACTGTGGCTATTCTGTTCAACCCACTACCCTTTAGAAGCTAAAGTAGAGATTAAATGATATTCCTTGTAACATGAATGGGCACGTATCTCAGGGTTTAATCATCTAGGTTTCAGGGCATTCTACATTTTCTGTTACTTATATCATATTTCTGTGATGGGAGGAGCATGCTTTTCTGTTTCAGCTACTGAGGTCAACTAGTAGGGCCACTTTCCTAGGACCTTTTCTATACCTTGAGACAGAGATAAAACTGAAGAGGTAGGCAAGAAGCTAGATCTTCTTAGGGCCCTGTAGGCCACATAAAGGAATTTAGGACTTGATCCCAAGAGCAATGCGAAGCCATAGAGCATTTTAAGGAGAAAGATCCGATCACTTGAGCTGTAGTGAAGACAATAACTCTAGAAGTTTTGCCAGGAAGGGGAATTAGTGAGATAAGGCTTTAGTCAACAGAATGTGGGATTGAGGGAAAGGCTTTTTTTTCCTTCTTCTTTTGAAAGCAAAAGATGAGTGAAACTAGAGTTTGCTTGAATACTAATGAAAGGATCCAACATTGCAAGAGGTTAAAGGGAGATCCCTAAGAATTGTGAAGGGAAACTTGAACAGCTATGGAGTTTGGCTTTTTTGTTTTTAGACGGAGTTTTCGCTCTTGTTGCTCAGGCTGGAGTGCAGTGGCACCATCTTGGCTCACTGCAACCTCTGCCTCCTGGCTTCAAGAGATACTCCTGCCTCAGCCTTCCGAGTAGCTGGGATTACGGCCAACTGCCGCCATGTCTGGCTAATTTTTGTATTTTCAGTAGAGACGAGATTTCACCATGTTGGCCAGGCTGGTCTGGAACTCCTGACCTCAAGTGATCTGCCCGCCTCGACCTCCCAAAGTGCTGAGGTTACAGGCATGAGCCATTGCACCCGGCCTGGAGTTTGGCTTTTAAGAAAAAAACTTCATACAATAAAATTGACTTTATTTTTGTTATATACAGTCCTATGGATTTTAACACATGTACAGATTGAAGTAACTACTACCAAAATCAGGATTCAAAAGAGTTCCATCACCCTAAAACCGTCCTTTTTGCTATCTCTTTAGTCATTCCCTCCACCCCCTTAGCTCCTGGCAATCACTGACTTACTCTCCAAACTATAATTTCAATATTTGTATGTGTGTCATTTGAGACTGACTTAGTTTACTTGGCATAATCCTTTCATTATTATGTAGTTATAATGCCTACTTGTTGTGTATATCAATACTTTATTCTTTTTATTGCTAATATTCCATTGGTGTTGGCTTCTGCTGGTATTCCTTAGGTCAGCAAATGATACCATTATTCTAACAATTACTTGGGCCAAAAACCTTGGCATCATCCTTCACTCTCTTCTCTAGCCTATACAACCAATCCATCAGCAAATCTTAGTGGTTCCACTTTCTTATCTTTTTATTTAGTTATTTTTTTTGAGACAGCGTCTCTCTCTGTTGCCCAGGCTGGAGTGCAGTGGCATGATCATGGCTCACTACAGCCTCCATCTCCTGGGCTCAAGCCATCCTCCCATCTCAGCCCTGACTAGCTGGGACTACAGGCACACACCATCGCACCTGGCTGATTTTTGTATTTACTGATAGAGACGGAGTTTCACCATGTTGCCCAGGCTGTTCTCGAACTCTTAGGCACGAGCGATCCACCCGTCTCAGCCTCCCATAGTGTTGGGATTACAGGTATGGGCCACTGTGCTCACTGGCTCGCTCAGCCAGCTCCACTTTCAAAATACACGTGGAATCTAACCACTTACCACTACCTCCACTGCTGTTACTTAGTTCAGGCCACCATCATCTTCTGCCAAGATTAGTGCTTCTACTCTTACCCCTTACCCTCATAGTCTATTCTCAACACAACAGCTAGAATGATCCCTTTAGAGATATAAATCTGATCAAGTAGCTCTTGTGTTCAGAACTCTCCAGGGCTTTCAGTGGTGACCGGCAAAATTGTTGCCATAATTGAGAAGGCCCTGCATGGTAAGGCCCCAGCTACCTTTTTTATCTGGTCTCTTAGCACTCTCCCCATCACTCACTCTGAATCAACATAGTGATCTCCTTGCTATTCCCATAGCACCTCAAGCAGGCTCCTGCCTCAGGGCATTTGAATTTGCTGTCTCCTCTGCCTGGAACACTCTCCCCCTAGATATCTACATGGCTTACACCCATTAAGTCAAGGCCAGTTTCTGCTTAAGGGCTCCTTATAAATTCTTCTCTGACTAACATCTAAAATAGCAGCTACCTGACACCACTGTCTAATCCCTACCCTGCTTTGTTTTCTTAGCATATATCCCTGACATTACATACTTGTTTTCTCTCCTCGAACTAGTAAAGATCCTTGCGAGCAGGGAATTTGTTTTGTCCATTGCTCAGTAAGCACCTACATGAGTGCCTGGTCTGGCATATAGTGGGAGTTGAATGAATATTTTTGATTGAATAAATAGGAGGTAAGGACAGGATGGGAAGGCAAGTAAGTAGGTTTCTCGATTTCAGGACATTCTACATTTTCTGTTACTTACATGATAAGGAAGTCAGGGGAAGTGGTAAGGGTATAGGTCAGAGATTTGTAGAGATCGTGGAGAGCAAGTTGACTAGAAAAATATAATGAAATTTCTAGTCACAGTTCACAGTCCTTTTTTTTTTTGAGACGGAGTCTTGCTCTGTCACCCCGGCTGGAGTGCAGTGGCGCGATCTCAGCTCAATGCAAACTCCACCTCCCGGGTTCAAGCAATTCTTCTGCCTCAGCCTCCAAAGTAGCTGGGATTACAAGTGCTTGCCACTGCGCTCAGCTAATTTTTGTATTTTTAATAGAGACGGGGTTTCACAATGTTGGCCAGGCTGGTCTCGAACTCCTGACCTCATGATCCACCCACCTCAGCCTCCCAAGTGCTGGGATTACAGGTGTGAGCCGCCGCACCTGACCCACAGTCCATTTAAAGTTGGTCTTTATTAATGTAGTGACGCCAATCTGTTCAGCAGGACACTTTTTCTTTTTTTGAGGTGGAGCTTTGCTCTTGTTGCCCAGGCTGGAGTGCAATGATGCAATCTCAGCTCACTGCAACCTCTCCTCTCAGGTTCAAGCTCTCCTGCCTCAGCCTCTGGAGTAGCAGGGATTACAGGTCTTCACCACCACGCCCGGCTAATTTTTGTATTTTTAGTAGACAGGGTTTCACCATGTTGGTCAGGCTGGTCTCAAACTCCTGACCTCAGGTGATCCACCCGCCTCGGACTCCCAAAGTGCTGGGATTACAGGCATGAGCCATCGTGCTCGGCCTCAACAGGACAATTTTTTTGTTTTTGAGATGAAATCTTGCTCTGTCACCCAGACTGGAGTGCAGTGGCGTGATCTCGGCTAACTGCAACCTCCGCCGTCCAGGTTCAAGCGATTCTTCTGCCTCAGCCTCCCCAGTAGCTGGGACTACAGGCATGCGCCACCACACCCAGCTAATTTTTGTATTTTTAGTAGAGACGGGGTTTCACCATATTGGCCAGGCTGGTTTCTAACTCCTGACCTCGTGATCCGCCCACCTCGGCCTCCCAAAGTGTTGGGATTACAGGCATGAGCCACCACGCCCAGCAACAGGACAACTTTCTATGACAAGGTACAAGCAAGGAGAAACACATAGGTCCATCCAGGGTGAGGGATTTCGTTGGGGAAAAAGGAGTGTTGTGGTGGGATTAAGATTAAGTAGGGGCAGGACTGTATTAATGTACCACTGAATCTAAAATGGATAAGGAAGGAAGTGAAGAGGGGATTAATGTATAAGAGATAAAGTAGAGGCTTTCAACCGATTAGATGCTCTGCTCTGATAAAGTGAAAGAACAGGCCGGGTGCAGTGGCTTACGCCTGTAATCCCAGCACTATGGGAGGCCGAGGCGAGCGGATCACCTGAGTTCAGGACTTCGAGACCAGCCTGGCCAACATGGCGAAACCTGTCTCTACTAAAAATGCAAAAATTAGCTGGCTTGGTGGCGCACACCTGTAATCCTAGCTACTCGAGAGGCTGAGGCAGTAGAATTGCTTGAACCCAGGAGGCGGAGGTTGCAGTGAGCTGAGGTTGCGCCACTGCACTCCAGCCTGGGCGACAGAGCAAGACTCCTTCTAAAAAAAAAAAGTGAAATAACAGTAATAACAGTTATGCTGTAATTCTATTTTTTTTGGGGGGGGGGAACAGTGTCTCTGTCACCCAGGCTGGAGTGCAGTGGCACAATCATGGCTCACTGCAACCTCCGCCTCTCCTGGGCTCAGGTGATCTCCCACCTCAGCCTTCCGAGTAGATGGGACCACAGGCATGCGCCAAAACGCCTCATTAAACTTTGTATTTTTTGTAGAGATGGGGTATCGCCTTGTTGCCCAGGCTGCTCTCCAACTACTGGGCCCAAGAGATTCGCCTGCCTCAGCCTTCCAAAGTGCTGAAATTACAGGCGTGAGCTACTGCATCAGGCCTATAATTCAAAAGTAGTCAAGCTGAGAGAATAGCAGGCTGTGGTTGAAAAGAGGGTTGTTCAAATTACTGAGTCGTGACGCGATAGCGTTTGGAGGGACAAGGTCCAGGTTTTAACTGGGATTGGGAGGCTGATATAAGGGTCGCTAAAGACGAGGCCCGATGTTGAATGGGTTGGCCACATAGGCTCTGAAATTATCAAAGATGGTCAGACGGGAGACAGACAAGGAGCTGGATACACAGATCGGCAGATTATCTCCAAACGGGGTGAAGTAGGTGACAGAGTCTAAGGGGAAGGGCTGAAGAAGCAAGTGTTTTTACAAGAGGTGACAGCACCTGGCACATAATCCCGACCTCTGCAAACTGAGACCTGAGAATACTAATTCATGTGAGAAAGTTTCAAGGGACGCAACATTCTCGGGACAGCCAGGTCTCTGTCCCAGGAAGGAGCGGAGAAGTTTAGAGACAAGCTGATCTAAACACGAGAACCTCTGAGGAAGACCGGCTTGAAGGCAGGAGATTGAGGAGGGGACCGAAGCGACGGCAAACCCTACACTCCTCTGCTCTTTAGTTACTTTCCTCCCAGCCAACCGCCCAAGCCACACCAACCTCCGCAATAGAAAACGCTCGGAGAACACGATCTCCCGCCCAGCTCTTTTCAACTCCCCGCGGAAGTGCTCACACCGGAACCCCTCTGTGTCCGCACTTTGCCATTGGCCGAGGCTTCCGCCCGCTTCCATTCGCTTCCTCCCACAACTCAGTCGGGCTGCGCGGTCCGTAGGAGTCACTTCCGCCTCGTCCCACCCCGCCCCCCGGTCCCTTTCTAGCAGCTTCCGGCTTCGGTCCCGCCCCGCCCCCTGTGGCCCCGCCCCGCCCCCGCCCCCGCCCCTGGCTGGCGGTCCAGCCCCGCGGCGCCGCTTCCGGTGCGGGCCCCGCCCCGGCTGTGGCCCCCGGCTGCGGAGGAGTCCGAGACGCAGCTGCCGCGCCGGGGCCTGAGCTGCCGCCTCCTCCGCCGCCCGAAAACCCGGAGTGCCCCGCACAGGTAAGTGGCCCGGGTCCGGGCTCCCTCAGGCATGGCGGGAGAGGAGGCTGCGACAGGTGGAGGGGCCGAGGCCAGGAGCCGAGGCAGGTGTAGAGAGAGAGGGGAATGCGCGAGTCGGGGGCGCGGGGACCGCGAAGGAAAGTGAGAGCGCCGCGGGAGCCCCGAGCGCCCTGTGCCCATTAGGGCATTTGAGATAAAGCGTTTGAGATAAAGCGATGAGAAGGGTGAGGGGCCCTGGAGCTGAGTGGGCGCGCAGATAGGTGGGGCGGGGGCCATCGGAAGAGCCAGCGGATTGGCTGGGAGGGTTGGTAGAGGTAAAAATGATAGGGCTGAATGGGGGGAGGTGAATAAAGAATGGGGGGAGGCGTGCAGGGGTGACCGGGAAGGTGGGCTGTGGGGCTTACAGGGGCCCGGGGCCAAAAGAATCCGGCAGCAAAAGCAGGGGAATGGTCAGCAGGCCGGGTTCAAAGCTGCAGGTAGTCCGTTGTACCCGGCTTGGTGGTCCGGGAACTTTAGGGGAAATGGGGGAGGGGCCCGTGTGAAGGGATGAAGAGGTTTAGATTTGAGACATAAGTTCTCCAAATGTAGGCAGGTGGCATTGTTTGGATCGCTGGCTGCTTAGGGACTGCGGGAAAATGGGCTCTTTGGGGGAGGGTGTGTGTATTGAGTTGTAGAACTGAGTCATCTCAGTCTTACTATAAGAGGCTGTGGGAGGGACACCTCCCCCTCTGCTGGGGACAGCATTCAGAGAAGATGGTGCCACAAGACAAGAAGCAGTTGTTCAGTGACTGGCAGGACTTGGTTGAGAAGTTATTCCGATCGTGATTGATTGACTGTAATGACTATGAGGACATTTAAAATGAACACCGAATTATTTGCTTTATTCTGTAATTTTCTTTGACCCAAATTGTTTTCATTTTAAATGAACACTTTTGCCAACTGAATTTAATGTGGATGTAAATCTTGTCATGCTTTTTTACACTGTAAGAAGAGCTAAAGCAGAATGAAAGTATTGCTGCAAGCGTAACTCACACTTTCTGAAGTGCCAAGAGAGGAAGTAAAGGCAGTAAGAGGCAAATTGGAATGCGAATCTTTCACAGAACACAAAAGGCACAAACAGGGCTATAAGATAAACAGAAAATGAGAATTTTTAATCTCTACTAATTGGCCTAGCTTTAAAAATTGTACCCTTTTTTACTCTAACCTGGAAAAAATCTTAAATCCAAGCAGTTTTTATTGCTGAAGATGTGATTACTTCTCCGTGAATTTTTGAAGATACTAAAGACACTTTGTTTTTTGTCTTTCGACCCAATCCTAAAACACTGGAACAATGCAGATATCAAGTCCCAACATGTGCAGTGCAGCTTCTTTCATGTGATGACAAAATTGTACGCCATGTTGCAAGTCCTGTTCACCTAAAATTGCCCTTGCATAGTAATCCATTCAGTTATGGAGACTTGCTGAAGAAACATAACTCAAGTGAAGTTTGTTGGGGGTGAGGGCCTGCAGGGGAGAGGTGGGGGAGTAAAAGGAGAAGAGGGTGTGAAAGTGATGTGTGTTTGGAGACTGATTGGTAAGAATGCAGATAAACCTGCCCCCAGAATGCTTTTGGCCCGAAAGACTTTTCTTTTTGTGTTTGTCAGAGAATATCATAATAGAAATGAATCAGAAAGAAAGGGGATGTGAAGAGATTTACTTCGCTGTTTATAAAAAAGAAGCAGCATTAACTTGTTGTTCAGACAATGTTGATATCTGTTTCAAATTAATTAACTTTAAAATCTCCAGAGGAATTCCCCCGTTTGCTTTTGAGTGACGATTGCAATTTGAGACTCTTGCCTCCTTGCGTGTTTCTTTCATGTTGTTGAAATTGGATTCTTTTTGAGGCTATAATGTCCAGTTAGTATGGCTCAGTCCACTCAACAAGCAGGCTGGCAATTTGATCAGGGAAATTTGAAAAGCTTAGACCCAAGAGCAGCTTGCTTGGTCTTGCTTTTTCTATGAGAGTAAAACTGTCTGCCTGATAGTTCTGTGTCTAGCTTAGAGGTGATATCTTTCTCCTGTGGGCTTGGGAACATACTCTCTCCTTTGCAGGCAGGTCCTTCTTTTCCTTTATTATTGTTGTTTGCATAATTATGCTTCTGCTACAGTGCAAACCCAGTTACCTTTTCAGTAATTAATGTTCAGTAACATTAGTTCAGTAACAGATTAATGTTTGATAATGTAGAGGAAGAGAGATCAGAACACGTTAGCAGACTAGATATTGGCTGGATGTACTTCTTTTAAAGCCTGCTACTACTACTGAAATTCATTCCCTATTTCCCCTCTTAGATCCTGTTTCTCTTCTTCACACCTTTTCCTACCCACCCACGAAACCCCCACCACTCACTCATCTTAAAACTCAGGTTTAGGAGCATATGTTTAGCGTTCGGAACTCATGGCCCTCTACTGGAGAAAAGGAAACCTTTTTATACCTGCTTAACATGGTTGTTTTTTCCCCCTCCTTCTTTGTGGTTTCTGTTAATCACTAAGGTTTAGACCCAGTGTGCCTGGTGGGCTGTGCCCAGGTTCAGAGTCATGCCACTCTGTGGGTGAAGCTTGAGGCAAAAATGGAGCCACTTCAGCAGCAGCAGCAGCAGCAGCAGCAACAACAGAAGCAGCCACACCTGGCTCCTCTGCAGATGGATGCCAGAGAGAAGCAGGGCCAGCAGATGAGAGAAGCCCAGTTCTTGTATGCCCAAAAGCTGGTCACACAGCCGACTCTCCTTTCCGCCACAGCTGGGAGACCTTCTGGCAGCACTCCCTTAGGTCCCTTAGCCAGAGTTCCACCCACCGCAGCAGTGGCCCAAGTGTTTGAACGGGGCAACATGAACTCAGAGCCTGAGGAAGAGGACGGAGGTTTGGAAGATGAGGATGGGGATGATGAAGTTGCAGAGGTGGCTGAGAAAGAAACCCAGGCTGCTTCAAAATATTTTCATGTGCAGAAAGTAGCTCGCCAAGATCCCAGAGTGGCACCCATGTCCAATCTACTTCCAGCACCAGGGCTCCCACCACATGGACAACAAGCTAAAGAAGACCATACCAAAGATGCTTCCAAGGCCTCACCTTCTGTCTCCACAGCAGGACAGCCGAACTGGAATCTGGATGAGCAGCTCAAGCAGGTCAGTCTTTCTGGTATTGTAGGTCATTTGGTCTTCCTGAAGGCCAGAGAGGGGTCATGGACTGACAGGGTCAGGGGCTGTGCCAGTCTGTGCCTTCTCACCCCACTTCGGTGACCAACAGCCTAGACATGAATAGACTTTGGATTTTTTTCTTATTTAATATTTATTTTCTTCATTAAAGCAATGAAATATATGTTACTCTTTTTTTTTTTTTTTTTTTGACATGGAGTCTCACTCTGTCACCCAAGCTGGAGTGCAGTGGCATGATCTCGGCTCACTGCAACCTCCATCTCCCAGGTTCAAGCGATTCTCCTGCCTCAGTCTCCTGAGTAGCTGGGACTATAGGCGCGTGCCACTATGCCTGGCTTATTTTTTGCATTTTTAGCAGAGACGGGGTTTCACCGTGTTAGCCAAGATGGTCTCGATCTCCTGACCCCGTGATCTGCCTGCCTCGGCCTCCCAAAATGTTGGGATTACAGGCATGAGCCACCGCCCCTGGCCTGTATGTTACTCTTAATATAGGTTTTGCCAAGTTTGATGTGAAAGAATGTCAATACAATCTTCTTTTTTAAAGGAAGGATGAAGTTGCAACAGTGTTGTGAGGAATATCTAAAATGAGATGTGTGACTAATTACAGCTTTTCTAATAATAATGTTTCTAACAGTAATGTAAAAGAAAGTTCTTGCCTAAGACAGTTTCTTAGCTCCAGGCTAACCCTCTTTAAGGACAGTTGGTTGTTTTGGAGCTAAACACAGCTGACAAGAAGCACTTGCATTGTATATATTTTCCAACAAAGAGCCTTGTAGACATGATTTCATTTCACTCTTACATCATCCCCTTGACAACAGGGAAGGGTAGACCTCAAAATTTCCTTTTTAGTCAAGGAAAGCTGAAGTGACTTCCAAATGGCTGAGTATCAGAGTCAGTTAGGGAGCTTTTTAAAAAATACAGATTGCTGAGTCCTAATGAATTATCTTGGAGGGTGGAGCCTAGGGAATCTTTGTTTTCAACCAAGCCTCTTCTCTTTGTGACCCATAATATAGTTTTTCCTCGCCCAAAGGATGGGAGTGATGATAAGTTGTTCCAGCTTAAGTGACTTGTTGGTGCTTAGTAAGGGAGTTCATGGGTACCCTGCAGAAGCACACACACTTCTTGTGATCCAGTGGTACTGTTTAGAAATCATTTGTGAAAAGCTGTGGGTTTTCACAGGGCAACTGAGAAGTCATATAAGAAAGGTCCTTTGGAACCCAAAAAATCAAACATCTTGGATCAGGAGGTCTGTACAGTAGATCTGAGTTTTACAACAATAGTGTTTGCAGCCAGCAGTGGGATTCAAATCCCATCACTTCCAAATATTGCCCTTGTGATCTTTTAGTAGGGCTCTGATTTGCTCTGAGCCTGTGTCTTCTCATCTGTGAAATAAAAAGAGTGCCACTGCCTCCCATGGATGTTGTAAGGATTAACCGAGCTAGCACATGTGAAAGCTTGTCCAGTGCCAGGCACATGGTAGGTAATAGTGCCCGGGGGAGCTCTTTTATGTAAACAGTGCCATCCTCTCCTGCATCACATAGACATGCCTCTGAAGTGGGAGATGTACTGAGATACACAGAGGTTTTCACTCATCACCCAGGGAGATAGTGGCAGAGCTAGGACTAGAATCAGAGAATCCCAACTTCCACGACAGCAGCACCCTGGCCGCCAGCCCAGACCCGCCTCCCACTGATTGCTTTGGTTTAGCAAAACATCTGTGAGTTGCCGGCTGCCCCCGCACTGCTGTGTGGTTGGCAGAGTTCCATACCGGCCGCTGAGTCAGCTCATAGCAGGATCCTGCCCTGACAGCGCTGGGAAAGTTCAGGCCCGAGGCGGCTGGGCTGCCCCCGCCTTGGCAGCTGGCCAGCGTCTGCGTGTGTGCGGTCGTTCCTAGAAAGTGCAGCCGCATGCGAGGAACAAGTGGAGCTCCAGAGCCTGTCTGTCTTCAGGAAGTGTAGCAGGTGTTGAGGTCAAGCCATTAGAGGTTTAAAAAAAGACTCTTCAGAACTGGCGTGTGCATGTGCACACGTGTGCACCGTGGCAGGGCACCCAGCATCATGTTATCTAGATGGTGGCAGCCCTATGACTACGTAGCTCAGTATTCAGGGGGCTGGCTGTTGGCATTTGAAACTCTTTGCGTTCACTTTATGTTTCTGAGGCATATTCACTAATTATAGACTGCTTGGCAGAGCACCTGCCAAAATGTTTTATAAATACCACAGTAGCTGAGGTATAATCCCTCACCCAAAATTTACCTTCCCCCAGGATTTGGAGATCAAGAACTGAACTGGGGGGCTTTGGGTAGCAATGACTTAAACCGTCAGATGTGCACGTCCTTTTCCCCTTTAATTTTTAACATTGATTTGATCTGTGCTCTCCTTTTCTATAAATCCTGATTTTAAAGGAGTAAATCATATGCTTGGGGATTTTAAAACTTTTTTTTTAGTATATTTTAGAAGGGCCAAAAATAATAATATTCTTGGGGAGAGCCTATAGAAACCATTACAGATCATTAGACTAGCTTGTTTTGTTGTTCAAAATCTTTACTTTATGAAACTTAATGGAGTGCAAAAATAGAATATCCCTTGCTCCAGCAACAATTACAAAGACCTTTACAATTGACACAGATCTTTCCCCCCCGCCTTCCCCCTCCCCCGCCGACACAGAGCGCACTCTGTTGCCCAGGCTGGAGTGCAGTGGCGCGATCTCGGCTTCCTGCAACCTCCGCCTCCTGAGTTCAAGTGATTTTCGTGCCTCACCCTCCCTAGCAGCTGAGATTACAGGCATATGCTACCATGCCTGGCTAATTTATTTTTTTATTTTTATTTATTTTTTTGTATTTTTAGTAGAGACAGGGTTTCGTCATGTTGGCCAGGCTGGTCTCAAACTCCTGACCTCAAGTGATCCGCCCGTCCTGGCCTCCCAAAGTGCTGGGATTACAGGCGTGAGCCACCGCGCCTACCCTGACACAGATCTTATTGTTAATGTGATACAGTGTCCATCTTGTTCTTTTGAACAACAAACTTTTACAGAGGCTTCTTTGTGCCAGACCTGTGCTGTATGAAACAAGGCATGTTTCTCTCTCAGGGAGTTCAGGTCTAGCGGTGGCAGTGTGGGAACCTCAAGGGGGATTCGAACTTGGGTTACAATAATTTGATTCTGTCCTGAGTCTACTGGAGCCCAGCCACCCAGTCTGCTATGGCAGAGATATTTTAAAACAGAGTTTTGTTTCAAACATTCACATGCCAAAGTTTAAAAAGTTAATTTTGTCTACAGCATAGCATAGCTTGGCAAACCAACAGGAATACTCAGAAGTATTTTGCAAGATTTTGGGGTAAGGGAGGACAGGCATCTGCTAACTGAAAAGTGAAACTGGGAAAGCTTAAGGGTTCCAGAGATTATTCTTTGCATCTGAAATCCCTTACTTAGAACATGTAAAGTCAAAATTATTTCGTGGATTCTCTTTGAAGAAACTCTTAGAAAATATTTGCTTCTCAAGGCCTGGATTGTTAAGGTGTGGTATTATTCTCTGACACCACAGTGATGGGAAGATGGATAACGCCATTGAGCCAAGTGTTCTAAAACCCATCAGATTCCTATGGGCAGAGTAAATAATTGTAAAACAAGAAAACAGACAAAGAACTGAGTGTTCCTTTTCTCAAAGGAGATCATACAGCCAACTAGGGGATGTTGCTGGCCTTTTGGGGGTGGTGTTCTCCCCCTCTGGTAGAAGGTGGTTCAAGCAGTACAGGCTGGGTCTGTCTTGAGCCCATTGGTAGAGCTAGGTTACTAGAAGGGTGTAGACCCCCTTCGATAGAATAGAAAGAAGAAAGATGGCTTGGCAGGCATGTGGGGCCAGGGTGCATGTGTCCGATTTTCTGCATACTTTGGCAGTCGCTTTGGTTACTGCATGTGGCTGTGATCCAACCACGGGCTTAACATACTTTCACAGCCAATTCAGTTGAAAGCACTGGGAGCCATTGCACAATAAATGTTGGCCCCCTCCTCTACCCTTCCCCTTCTAGCATGTTTTACAAGATTTTGTTTTGTGACTGCCTTCTAGGATGGAAGGGTTTAATTTCAGAATATTTGCAATTAAAGAATTCCTAACGTCCTAAAGCTTGCTAATCACATGTGTTAACAAGGACAGGGTATTACCAATTTCAAACACCTCCAAGCCGCTTGGGGCACCCTCAGCTCATGACAGCGTGGGTTCTCTCTGAATTTGTTGGAGAAGCACTTCTGCAGTACAGAAGCAAAGGAAGCTCCATGACAAATGGGAAGAATTGCCATGTTAGATGGGCACTGGGAGAGACAAAGGGAATGTGATTTGAGAAGAGGGAGTTTCGTGTTTGTTTTTGTTTTTTTGGGGTTTTTTTTGCCTATTCTTAACCATGAGCAAAATCAATCTCATCTTACCGTGAGAGTCGACTTCCTGCTGGGCAATTAGTGGAGACTACTGTCCATTTCTTCTAATGCCATGACTGACTGACTGGTGTCCAGAAGCCATCCCTCTAATTAAGGTGTAGTCCCTTGGGATAGGCCTACTTTTCTTTCTTTTTTTTTCTTTTTTTTTAGACGGTGTCTCGCTGTCACTCAGGCTAGAGTGCAGTGGCATGATCTCGGCTCACTGCAGGCTCCACCCCCCGGGGTTCACGCCATTCTCCTGCCTCAGCCTCCTGAGTAGCTGGGACTACAGGTGCCCGCCACCACGCCCGGCTAATTTTTTTGTATTTTTAGTAGAGACGGGGTTTCACCGTGTTAGCCAGGATGGTCTCGATCTCCTGACCTCGTGATCCGTCCGCCTCGGCCTCCCAAAGTGCTGGGATTACAGGCGTGAGCCACTGCGCCCGGCCGGGATAGGCCTACTTTTCTTGGTAGATACTGCATGACTATCATTAGCTGGGTGTGGTGGCACACGCCTGTAGTCCCAACTACTTCGGCAGGCTGAGGCAGGAAAATCACTTGAACCTGGGAGGCGAAGGTTGCAGTGAGTCGATATCATGCCACTTGCACTCCAGTTTGGATGACAGAGTGAGATGGTGTAAAAAAAAAAAAAAAGGGAAAAAGAAAAGATACAGCATGACTATGGAACATTTGAGGCTTTTTTAAAAAACTGTGCAAAGTATTGCCCAAAAAAGAAAATGTTCGTAGGCTTTCCTCATGTTCTTTATAGAGCTACCTTGCATGCCCTTGCCTTCTGCAGTCACAATGGAATCCATCTAGTTGAGTGGTTCTCAATTAGAGGTGACCCCTGCCCCTTCCCAGGGGACATTTGGCAGTGTCAGGAGACATTTTTGATTGCCATGACTGGAGTAGGGGGCAGTGTGCTATGGGCGTCTAGTGGGTAGACCAGGGATGCTGCTAAACATCCTATAACGCACTGGACAGCCCCCCAACAGCAAAGAGTTATCTGGTCCAAAATAACAGTAGTGCCAAGGTTGAGAAACCGTGCTCTAGATTGTGCAACCAGAAAGAACATAAGCTTCGCTATCATCAGACAGCACCAGAGACTCTTTTCCTTTGTGTTTCAGTCTCAGTAACTGAGGAGTTTGGCAGCCTTGAATTTTCTTGACTTCTGCTTTCAATATCTGTACCGAGCTCATGTCTTTCCTCTAGTCATCTAGGTGAACAGACTGTCACTTGGGAAAGGTTTGGGGCCTAGAACTTGAGATCTCTTACTTGACTCTATCAGTGATTCTTTCAGCCCAGCACTCCATGATATCTTTGATATCTTTGGTGATATATGAGAGAGCTTGGTTGCCCTTGTAGACATTAACCCCAAAAGGTTAAAGTGTAAATACTTGGCAGACTTGTTACCTAGTAACAGATTTAATTATTAAATCAGCATTGGTTTTGGAGCCAGAGGATGTGGATTAAGACCCTACTTCCCGCCAGGCGCAGTGGCTCACACCTGTAATCCCAGCACTTTGGGAGGCGGAGGCAGGCGGATCACGAGGTCAGGAGATCAAGACCATCTTGACTAACACAGTGAAACATCATCTCCGTCTCTACTAAAAATACAAAAAAAAAAAAAGTTAGCTGGGCGTGGTGGCAGGCGCCTGCGGTCCCAAGCTACTCCGGAGGCTGAGGCAGGAGAGTGGCATGAACCCGGGAGGCAGAACTTGCAGTAAGCTGAGATCACACCACTGCACTCCAGCCTGGGTGACAGAGTGAGTGTCCATCTCAAAAAAAAAAAAGGAAAAGAAAAAAGACCCTGCTTCCACTGCTTGCTTGCTCTAGTACTTTGGACAAGCGTTCTAATCTGCCTCTCTGAACCCATGCATCAATCTATTCCAGAGGATGATAATCCTCTCCCGCTATCCTCAGGAAGTGATTTTAAGGATATTACAAAGGTAGAAGAAAAATATGAGTGTGAAAGAGCTTTGCAGGGTTAGGGCGAATTGTCATCAACACCTAAGTCCTTTTTGAAGCTACCGTCGTCCCTCACATGCAGGGGATTGGTTCCAAGACCCCCACATATACCAAAATTTGAGCATACTCAAGTCCTGCAGTCAGCTCTGTGGAACCCACATATATTAAAAGTCAGTCTTCCATATACATGGGTTTCACATCTCGTAAATTTTGTCTTTGATCCAAGTTGGGTTGAAAATAGTTTACATATAAGTGGACCCAGGCAGTTCAAATCCACGTTGAAGGGTCAATCATAATTTTTCAGTCTTTATGACCTTTGTAGATAAGATGCTCCATAAATCCTACCCACTACTCTAAAACAACTCCTTTTCAGGTTTTCTAGAGCCCTGACCACACTCTGGTGTTCTGAAGTTCTCTGAAACCTTTCAGGATTATGTGAGCTTAAACCATGGCGCTTCTGAAGCTGTATCTTTCCGTATTAGCATAGGGATATGTGTGTATTGTTCTTTAGGTAGAAGTAAGCTTTATAGATACTAAGTCCTTATAAATACACAATCACTGACTTGACTTGGGTCCTTACCCTCTCACCAGAGGCTAATTTCTCTACATGTGTCCCAGATCCCATCCCCTTCCAGGTTTCCAGGGACTTGCTCCATCAGTGAACCCTCCATTTCCTGACTCTTTGGGCTCATTCTCTTCCAGGCCTTTTCCACGTTTACGCATCTTCTCTCTGTCAGACTTAAAAACAAGCAAACAACAACAAAAACCTTTAATCTTAAATTTTACCTGAGTCAGTTGTTAACAAGGAAATGAGAGACCACTTTTAAAAAATTTCCTCTTGATTGCACATTATTGCCAGCTTTTTTTCTATTCCTAACTATCCCCCACATCCTTGCAACAAAGCTTCTCAAAGGAATTGGTTTTACTCTTTATTTCCATTTGTCACCTCCTACTCACTCCTCAGCATACTCCAGTCTGATCTCTGTTTCTTCCATGTCCCTGAAGTTCCATGTTGCTAAGCCCAGCCTTCCCTGACCTCATTGATTTCTCAGCATTATTGAATACAGAGCACTCCCTCCTTGAATATTCTCTTCTTTTGCTTTCTATAGTCCTTCATTCTGCTTATGCTTATTTTCTTTTCCTTTTCTTTTTTCTTTCTTTCCTTTTTTTTTTTTTTTTTTTTTCTGAGACGGAGTCTCGCTCTGCCGCCCAGGCTAGAGTGCTGTGGCGTGATCTTGGCTCACTGCAATCTCCGCCTCCCGGGTTCAAGCGATTCTCCTGCCTCAGCCTCTCAAGTAGCTGGGACAACAGGCGCATGCCACCACGCCCAGCTAATTTTTTGTATTTTTAATAGAGATGGGGTTTCATTATGTTAGCCAGGATGGTCTCAATCTCCTGACCTCGTGATCCACCCGCCTTGGCCTCCCAAAGTGCTGGGATTACAGGCATACACCACCACACCCGGCTAATTTTGTATTTTTGGTAGAAACGGGGTTTCTCCACGTTGGTCAGGCTGGTCTCGAACTCCCGACCTCAGGTAATCCACACACCTTGGCCTCCCAAAGTGCTGGGATTACAGGCATGAGCCACCACGCCCAGCCTATTCTATGGATTTTGACAAATGTGTAATGACATGTATCCGCCATTGTAGTATCACACAGAGTAGTTTCACTGTCCTAAAAATTCTCTGTGCTTCACCTATTCATCTTTCCCTCCCCCTTAACCCCTGGCAGCCCCTGATTCTTTTCCTGTCTATGGTTTTGTCTCCTCCAGAATGTTATATGGTGGGATCATTAATGTAGCCTTTTTAGATTGGCTTTCTCCACTTAGTAATGTGCATTTAAGCTTCCTCTATATCTTTTTATGGCTTAGTAGCTTATTTCTTTTTGTGCTGAATAATATTTTGTTTTCTGGACATACCACAGTTTATCCATTCACCTCCTGAAGGACGTCTTGGTTGCTTCAAAGTTTTGGCAATTATGAATAAAGCTATCATACACATCTGTATACAGGTTTTTGTGTAGATATAAGTTTCAGTTTATCTGGGTAAATACCAAGAAGCGTGATTGCTGGATTGTGTGGTAAGAGTATTTTTAGCTTTCTAAGAAACTGCCCAACTGTGTCTCAAAGTGGGTGTACCATTTTGCATTCCCGTCAGCAGTGAATGAGCTTCTGTTGCTCCACATCCTCACCAGCATTTGGTATCGTTAGTGCTTTGGATTTTGGCCATGTTCCTTTAACTGAAATTTTTATTTAGCTAATTATAGATTCACAGGGAGTTGAAAGAAAGCAATGTCATGTACACTTTGTCCAGTTTCCCTATGGTAACAGCATATACAGGTATAGTATGCTGTCATACCTGGATATTGATGTTGACATCATCCACTGATCCTACTTAGATTTCTTCTTCAGTTTTACATGTACTCATTTGTGTGTGTTCTGTTTTTAAGCCATTTTAGTTTTACGTTGAACACATTTTTTGAAATTCTTGTTACTTAATAAATGCATTCAAGGCTATAGAGTTTTCCCTGGATCTCACTTTTGCTGTACCCCACAAGTTCTGATGTGTAGTGGTTTCATTGTTGGCTAGTACTAAACATTTTATAATTTCAGTTTTAATTGCTTCTTCAACTCATGGGTTGTTAAAAGTATTTTTTGGTTCCCAAATATGTGGGTTTTATCTCTTTTCCAGTATTATTTTATAGCTTGATTACATTGTAGTTGGGAAACGAGCATGGTATCAATTCTCTGAAATTTAAGATATTCTTTATGTTGGCCTTATGTGTGATTAGTTTCTATAAATGTTCCATGTGTGCTTGGAGAGAATGTATGTTAATCCATTTCATTATAAGGATTAGTGATACATTTGGATCTATTTCTGCCCTCTTTTTTTTGTTTTGTTTTTTAATTTTTATTTATTTATTTATTTATTTATTTATTATTTTTTGAGACAGAGTTTCGCTCTTGTTGCCCAGGCTGGAGTGCAATGGCACAATCTCGGCGCACTGCAACCTCCGCCTCCCGGGTTCAAGAGATTCTCCTGCCTCAGCCTCCTGAGTAGCTGGGATTACAGGCATGCACCGCCACACCCAGCTAATTTTGTATTTTTTTTGTTGTTGTTTATTTTTTTTGAGACAGAGTCTCGCTCTGTCGCTCAGGCTAGAGTGCAGTGGCACGATCTTGGCTCATTACGAGCTCCGCCTCCTGGGTTCATGCCATTCTCCTGCCTCAGCCTCCCAAGTAGCTGGGACTACAGGCGCCTGCCACAACGCCTGGCTAATTTTTTGTATTTTTAGTAGAGAACGGGGTTTCTCCATGTTGGTCAGGCTGGTCTCGATCTCCTGACCTCAGGTGATCCACCCAACTCGGCCTCCCAAAGTGCTGAGATTACAGGCATGAGCCACCATGCCCAGCCCTGTTTGTTTTTGAGATGGAGCCTCTCTCTGTCACCCAGGCTGGAGTGCAGTGGCATGATTTCTGCTCACTGTAACCTCTGCCTCCCGGGCTCAAGCAGCCCTCCCGCCTCAGCCTCCCAAGTACCTGGGATTACAAGCATGCGCTACCACACTCGGCTAATTTTTGTATTTTTAGTAGAGACAGGATTTCACCATGTTGGCAAGGCTGGTCTTGAACTCCTGACTTCAAGTGATCTACCCGCCTCAGCCTCCCAAAGTGCTAGGATTACAAGTGTGAGCCACAGTGCCTGGTCATGCCCTCTTATTTTGGATTTTCAATTTAACTATACTTTTCTTGTTTTCTCTTTTTCTGTCTTGTATTGATTTGATCGAGTTTTATTTATTTAGCCTTTATGTCCTTTGCTGGTCTAGAAATTATACTTTTCTGTTTTTATTCTTCTATTGGTTACTTTTAGATTGTAATTTATATTCTTTTTACACTAAAGGCATATCTCAGAGATATTGCAGGTTCAGTTCCAGACCACCACAATAAAGCAATATTGCAATAAAATAAGTCATACATTTTTTGTTTCCTGTATAAAAATTATGTTTATTCTCTGGTCTATTAAGTATACAGTAGCTTTCATTATACCTAAAAAAAAACAACAATGTACATACCTTAACTAAAATGTTTTATTGCTCTTGAATGTTCCCAGCACAAAGAAATGGTAGATGTTTGTGGTGATGGAGATGCTAATTACCCTGATCTGATCACTATACATAATATGTATGAAAACAACTCTGTGTACCTCATTAATATATATAATTATTATTTGTCAATTAAAATTAAAGTAATACTTTATTACAAGAAAAACAATAACAAGTATCTGAGCCTTCAGCGAGTTGTAATCTTTTTGTTGATAGAAGGTCCTGCCTTGATGTTGATGGCTTCTGACTGATCTAGGTGCTGGGTACTGAAGCTTGGAGTGGCTGTGGCAATTTCATAGAATAAGACAACAGTGAAGTTTGCTACGATTGACTCTTTTTTTTTTCTTTTTTGAAGCAGGGTCTCACTCTTTCACCCAGGGTGGAGTGCAGTGACGCAATCACAGCTCACTGCAGCCTCGACCTGTTGGGCTCATGTGATTCTCCCACCTCAGCCTTTTGAGTAGCTGGGGCCACGGGCATGTGTCACCATGCCCAACTAATTTTTAAAAATCTTTTGTAGAAACAGGGTCTCACTGTGTTGCCTAAGCTGGTCTCAAAACTCCTGGTTCAAGCAATCCTCCTGCCTCAGCTTCCCAAAGTGCTGGGATTACAGGCATGAGCCACCATGCCTGGCCCCAGTTGCTATTTTGACCTCCTCCCATGAATCATGAAATATTCTTGATGACACCTAGAACAGTGAATCCTTTCCAGAAGGTTTCCAATTTGCTTTGCCCGGATCCATAAGAGGAATCCCTGTCTATGGCAGCTGTAGCCTTACGAGCTGTATTTCTTTTTTTTTTTTTTTTTTTTTTTGAGACGGAATCTCACCTTGTTGCCCAGGCTGGAGTGCAGTGGCACAATCTCCGCTCACTGCAAGCTCCGCCTCCCAGGTTCATGCCATTCTCCTGCCTCAGCCTCCCGAGTAGCTGAGACTACAGGCGCCCACCAGCATGCCCGGCTAATTTTTTGGTATTTTTAGTAGAGACGGGGTTTCACCGTGTTAGCCGGGATGGTCTCGATCTCCTGACCTTGTGATCCGCCCGCCTCAGCCTCCGAAGGTGCTGGGATTACAGGCTTGAGCCACCGAGCCCGGCTATCTGGGCTTTCAACATGCCTTCCTCACTAAGCTTAATAATTTCTAGCTTTTGATTTAAAGTGAGAGACATACAACTCTTCCTTTCATTTGAATACTTAGAGGTCATTGCAAGGTTACTAATTGGCCTAATTTCAGTATGGTTGTGTCCAAGAGAGTAGGGAGGCCCAAGAAGAGGGAGAAAGATGGAGGAACAGCTAGGGTGGTTGGTGGAGCAGTCAGAATACATACAACATTTATCAGTGAAGTTTGATATCTTATATGGGTGTGATTCTAGGCTCTCCAAAGCAATTACAATGGTAACATCAAAGATGACTGATCACAGATCACCATAACAGATGTAATAATTTTTTTAAGTGTGAAATACTACGAGAATTACCAGTATGTGACAGAGACACAAAGTGAGCACGTGCTGTTAGAAATTAGGTGTGCTGTGCTTTCAAACATTGGTACCTTAGAAATTCTAGTTTTAACATCTACCTCTCCAATCCTATTTACCAGTTTATAGTGGCCAGTATTTTAGTTCTAATTTGTTTTAACCCGTCCCCAAATTAGTTTTTTTCCCCTCACAGTTATTATTTATTTAGACTTACGAAGTTTATCCATTTCTTTTCTCACCATTACTTGATCCTACTCATTCCCTCTGGGCTCACTTTCCTTTTCCTTTTTTCTTTTTTTTGTTTTTTGTTTTTTTTTTTTTTTTGAGACGGAGTCTCACTCTGTTGCCCAGGCTGGAGTGCAGAGGTGCAATCTCGGCTCACTGCAACCTCTGCCTGCCAGGTTCAAGCGATTCTTCTGCCTCAGCCTCCTGAGTAGCTGGGACTACAGGCGTGTGCCACCATGCCCAGCTAATTTTTGTATTTTTTTAGTAGAGACAGGGTTTCACCATATTGGCCAGGCTGGTCTCGAACTCCTGACCTCGTGATCCACCCGCTTCGGCCTCCCAAAGTGCTAGGATTACAGACGTGAGCCAGCATGCACAGCCTCCTTTTTCTTTATTTACTAACTTTTTTTAGCAGAGACTTATATGTAATAAAAGTCTTGGCCAGGCATGATGGCTCATACCTATAATTCCAGCACTTTCGGAGGCCAACGCAGGCGGATTGCTTGAGCCCAGGAGATCAAGACCAGCCTGAGCAACATGATGAAACCCTGTCTCTACCGAAAAAAAAAAAAATTAGCCAGATAGGTTGGTACCTGCCTGTAGTCCCAGCTACTTGGGAGGCTGAGGTGGGAGGATCTCTTGAGCCCAAGAGATGGAGGCTGCAGTGAGCTATGATGGTGCCATGCACTCCAGCCTGGATGAGAGTGAGACCCTGTCTCAAAAAAAAAAAATTGTGGTATGTTTGAAACTTTCAAAAAATCTTTTTATTTTGCCCTCACTTTTGTACAGTTGTTCATAGCTTTAGATTCTACATTGACCATTATTTTTTTCTTCACCCTTAATGATAAGATTTCATTGTTTCCTAACAACTGTTTTTGCTGTTGAGAAATCTAGTGTCAGTCTGTTAATCTTTTTCTAGCTTTTTATTTAAAGTGAGAGACATACAACTCTTCCTTTCGCTTGAATACTTAGAGGCCATTGCAAGGTTATTATTGGCCTAATTTCAATATGGTTGTGTCCAAGGGAGTAGGGAGGATCTTTTTCTCTCTTGTAGCTTTTAAGATTTTTTCTTTTTGACTCTGCTATTCTGCACTTTAATTACAGTATTCTAGGTTTCGACTTACTTTTTTTTTTTTTTTTTTTTTTGAGACGGAGTCTCACTCTGTCGCCCAGGCTGGAGTGCAGTGGCATGATCTCAGCTCACTGCAAGCACTGCCTTCAGGGTTCATGCCATTCTCCCGCCTCAGCTTCCTGAGTAGCTGGGACTACAGGCGCCCGCCACCACGCCTAGCTAATTTTTTGTATTTTTAGTAGAGACAGGGTTTCACTGTGTTAGCCTGGATGGTCTCGATCTCCTGACCTCATGATCCGCCCACCTCGGCCTCCCAAAGTGCTGGGATTACAGGCGTGAGCCACGCGCCCGGCCTTTCAACTTACTTTTATTCCACTTGGGTCTCTGTCTGCTCCTTCAATCTGGTTTGTGTCTTTTTTTTTTTTTTTTTTTTGGGTACTATTTTTTCTTAACCAGTATTCTAATAGAAGTATTTGAACCTCCTCATTCAGTCTCCTGTGCGTCTTTTCTTTTAAAATCTTATGTATTTATATCATTCTCCTGCATTCTGGATTATTTTCACATTTAATTTTCTAATTTCTAATTCTGTCTTCAGCTCTATCTGTTCTACTTTATGGCTCTTTAAAAAATGGTTTGTCGTAATTATTGTGTTTGTTTATAAATTTTTTGGCATTTAAAAATCTGCCTGTTTTTACTTTATGGTTTCTATTCCTTCAGCTCTTTGAACATCTTTGACTTTTTAAAACTTTATATTGGAATTGCTAAAACTCATTTATGGAAATTTCATACATACAAAAAAAAAAGAATAGTAATGAACCATCTGTGTTCTTTAATCAGCTTTCAACAAGTATCAACAGTCTGCCATTCTTTTTAAACATGCTTATTTTAAAGATGCTTTTAGAGTCTATTATTATCTCTAATTCTTGGGGTGCAAGTTCTTCCTGTGTCATGTTACTGTCCCTTAAGATGGTTTATTTCCTCTTGGTTTGTTTTTGTTTTTTTTCCAGTGTAAATTCATTTTGAGTGGGGATTTGTTTCTGTAGGAATCCCATGTGCCTTGGATGGTGGAAGCATTCCTAAGGGGAGTTTTGTTTTTCCCTCTGCTGGGGCTGCACAAGTTTAGCTCGTTGCATTGGTTTGGGTAGTGTGAATTTGAAGCCTACATCTGTGCCTAGTGAGAGCCCCTCAATATGAGTCCCCTGCCAGATGGCACGGTTCCTTGCAGCTTCGCCGGGCTGGTGGGCAGTGTTTTTAGGCCCAGTTTATGGCGGGCCATGTAGTCTCTCATGGCCTCTGGCTTTATGCAGTTGTTTCTGTTCTGGTTCCTGGCATGCAGGGGCCTACAGCCTGGACTCCCTTCTCTTGGGGTTGATTCAGTCTCCAGCTCTCAGTTCAGCACTCGGCTCTTAAGAACCCTATTCGGGTCATGTTCTCCCTTGAGCCCTTCAGCTTTGCCACTTGCTCACTGATTGCTACCATTTTGTTTCTGCTGCTGTGGACTCTGCTTTCTTTCTGGGTTTCAAGCTCAGCTATGTATGCAACGGGTAGAGTGTTAAATGTTATCCAGCTTTTCTATGTGAGGTTTTCTTTGGGGAAGAAGCGAGGGAGATGGTGGAGTTCCTTCACATCAGACTATCCTCACTCACAGTTTTGTTTGCTTGTTTTCTTGTTTTTGTTTTTTAATAACTAAGACTTTTTGACCTCTTATGTGCCAAGTACCTTATTTCATTTCATTGTGTGAGGCAGGTCCTAATATTATCCCCTTTATGTGTTTGTTTTATTTACAGATGAGGGAAAAGGTCAAGTGGGAAGCTTGTGGTCTCACAGTTGGGAAGCTGGCTAGTGAACCCAGGTGGTCTGACTTCTAGCTCCATATTCCCTCTTGCTCCCTTCCAGATAGAACAGGAGAAAAATAATCTTTCCTTAGTGGTTTTATTACTCTGCAAATGACTTTTACTTATTTTTTCTGATTGTCAAGGTAATGCAGGCTCATTTTAGAAAACATGGAAAATGTAAAAATTTGTAAAGAAGAAAATACAATCACTACAGCCACATAACTTAGATTTAATATAACTATAAACATTTGTTGTACTTGCGTTTTGAAGAAAAATGCCTACTATAGATACAGTTTTAAATTTTATATACAGGCTGGGTGCCGTGGCTCACACCTGTAACTCCAGTACTTTGGAAGGCCAAGGCAGGTGGATCGCTTGAGCCCAGGAGTTTGAGACCAGCCTAGGCAACATGGCGAAACCCTGTCTCTACTAAAAAAAAAACCACACACACAAAAATTAGCCGGAGTGGTGGCACACACCTGTAATCCCAGCTACTCAGGAAGCTGAGGCAGAAGAATCACTTGAATCTGGGAGATGGAGATTGCAGTGAGCCACGATTGCACCACTGCACTCCAGCCTGGGCAACAGAGCAAGACTGTCTCAAAAAAAAAAAAAATTTATATACAATTTTGTGCTTAACTTTTATCACCTAACAGGCCTTGAGCAATTTAAAGTATTACTTTAAAATATTTTAGTTTTCAAAGTATATTACAGAAGTAATAATAACTCAAATAATTTTAGAAATTTGGAAATGTATGAAATAAAAGTCTGACTCTTCAGGTGTAATTGTTAACAGTTTGGTCTACACCTTCTTGGAGCTTTTTCTTTTCACAAATATATTTTGTCTGTTCTACATATTGTTCTACCACTTGCTTTTGTACTCTGCTCTGGCAGTCCTCCATGAGTGTTCATGAAGATCTATTTTTCGTGTTTTTATAATTATTTATTTAAAATCACATAAGCGGTATGAATAGGTGCTCATGAAAATTAAAACAATATGGAAAAATACAGAGTAAAAATTCGTAGTTAAAAAAATACCATGGTGTCCTGTTGCCTGTCCTGTGTCCTTACACCTCACAAGTAGGAGTGAATCAGCTTCTAGGACTGTTTCTGTGTATTTACTGACTGAAGTGTGCAGTCACAGAACATGTGAGTGTGAATGTACTTGTGTATGTGTGTGTAGTATGTGTAACCCTATGCCCTGGTATATGTATTTCTGTGGTGGGATAGATTATTATAGATGTTGATTAGGTGTCTATGTATATGTTAGCTTTTCAATATATACTGTTAATTACCCTCAAAGATATTACTCCGCTTTGCTACCGGTGATATATTTTCCCAAACCCTTGTCAACATTGGTTATTATCAGTCCTTTTATTTTTGCTGTCTTTTCATATGTTTATGAAACTCCTGGGCTCAAGCAATCCTTGTGCTTCAGCCTCCCAAAGTGCTGGGATTATAGGTGTGACCCACCGTGCCCAGCCCGTAGTTTGTCTTTCAACTTGATGTGTGGTTCTTTAATCAAGTAGGGGTTTAAAATTTTGATATAGCTAAATTTATTGATTTTTCTCTTTATGGTTTCTGTCATACTTGAGAAGGCCTTTCCCTAAGATTACAAAAAATATTCTCTATTCTTAATACTTTATGGTTGTGTTTTTAATCGTAGCTCTTTACTACATCTAGAATGAATGAGAAGGATGAATAGAATGAATAGGAATCAAGTGTGTTTAAAGAGTATTGCTATTTTTGATGGCTGCATAATGTTTTATCACATGGATAGCACCTTCATGTGTTGCCCATTCCCTTAATGTCAGACATTTAGACTGCTTTAAATTTTTTACTCTTATAAATAAAATTATACTGTATTTCTAGTTATTTCCTTAGGATAGAGTCATAGACCAGAATTACAAGATCAGGAGGAGACTAAGAAAGTGAGGCAGTTATAAGCAGGGACTTAAAGCTGCCCTGCCTGCAATTGATTCCCAACTCCACCATTTGGTCACTTTGTAACCAAGTCACTGGACTTCCTTTTGCTTTGGTTTTCTCATCTGAAGAGTAGGGATAATAATAGTACCCACTTCAGAGCACTGTGCTGAGGATTAAATGTCAATACATATAAAATGCTGGAATAGTGCCTGGCAGGTAGTTAGCACAGATAGTCCCTGACTTAAGATGGTTCAACTCAACTATTTTTCAACCTTATGGTGGTACAAAAGCCATGCACACTCAGTAGAAACTACTTCAAGTACCCATACAACTATTCTGTTTATCCTCTTCCATTGTAGTATTCAGTAAATTACAAGATACTCAACATGTTATTATAAAATAGGCTTTGTATTAAATGATTTTGCCTAATTGTAGGCTAATATATGTGTTCTGAGCACGTTTAAGGTAGGCTAGGTTGCACTCCAGCCCTGGCGACAGAGCAAGACTCTGTCTTAAAAAAAAAAAAAAAAAAAGCAGGCTAGGTTAAGCTATGATGTTTAGTAGGCTAGGTGTATTAAATGCATTTCCGACAACGGTATTTTCTTTTCTTTTCTTTTCTTTTCTTTTTTTTGTGAGTTGAAGTCTTGCCCTGTCGCCCAGGCTGGAGTGCAATAGCACGATCTTGGCTCACTGCAACCTCCACCTCCCAGGTTCAAGCAATTCTCCTGCCTCCACCTCCCGAGTAGCTGGGATTACAGGCATCCACCACCACACCCAGCTAATTTTGTATTTTTAGTAGAGACTGGGTTTCACCATGTTGGCCAGGCTAGTCTCGAACTCCTGTCCTCAGGTGATCCGCCCACCTCGGCCTCCCAAACTGCTGGGATTACAGGCATGAGCCACCATGCCCAGTCCAATATTTTCAACTTCTGGTGAGTATATTGGGTTGTTAACGCCATCATAAGTATTTTTCTGTTTTCTGAGACAGGGTCTCACTGTCTCCCGGGGGGAATGCAGTGGTGTGATTGCTGCTCACTGCAGCCTGGAACTCCCAGTCTCAACCAATCCTCTCACCACAGCCTCCCAAAGTGCTGGGATTACAGGCACGAGCCACCTCACCTGGTCCCCATCATAAGTTGAAGAGCACGTGTACTCAATTATTAGTTGTTGCTGCTGCTGTTTTTATTGTGATAGGCATTTTAAGGCAAGTGACTTTCCAGAAAGTCATACTATTTTATATTTCCAGTATGGGAATATGGGAGATCCCATTGTACCAACCCTTGTTGTCACTGAAAATTATTTTTTGAAGCTTTGCTAATTTTACATATGAATCATGGGCCCCTTTTTTAAAAATACAAATTCTTATGTTTAGCTCTTGGGCCTTAAAATTTACCTGCTATCTTTAGGAAATGACTTATATTGCCTTCTAGACCCCTTTTCTAGAGTTGTCGTTTAGAACTAGCAGCCCACCTTCTTTTAAGTGTGTTCTGATTTTCCCCCCAGATTATTCACTTAGCTTGTGCTGAGTCTCCTAAGTTTATTCCCGTTGGCTTGTTCTTCAGGTATCAACATTCATTTGAGCCTCGACCACCTGTCAGGCCCTGTGCTTGATGCACCAGCCTCACAGAGGAGTCAATCACTATCCCCATGTGAGAGAGCCTCAGCCTGGTAGAGGTGGCCGGTGGCATAGGGACAGTTGTCATCAGAGAAGGAATGTGTATATCATAGTAGCACCCCAGGATGGGGGTGTGGACCTGGAGGAAGCCTTAGGAGAAGCTCTGAGAAATCTGTGAATGCAGCTGACTTTTAAACACAAACTGTGACTGTGTTCTGCCTGAGGACACCCAAACTTGTGGAATCCCAAATTTGAAAATAAAGGAGGGATTTTTTAACTTTGTAAAGTAACTTATGATAGTAATTTTTAAAAATGTTGTTCTTCCTATACATTTAAAATGTGTTGTTTGGGGGGAAAAAAAAGTTTTATGAAACTTTTGGGCAAGTTTCCAACCTCTTAGGTCTGTTTCCTTTCTGTCACCAGCGGGTCCATTGAAGTGTTCTTGTGCTGGGCTCTCCAACTCTGACTTTGTGCAACTCTGTGTGGAGCCTCTGTGGTGTGGATGGATGTCAGCAACCATTGTGGAAGTTCAGGTGGTAGCTCAAGGGTTGGAGTAAGCCGTAGTGCTGCCAAGTCAGATTCTGCAGAGAAAAGGAGCTAGGACTTACTTACCTCTGTGGCTCTCGGACTTGGACTTGGCTGGGCCAGTTCATGCCTTGGTATCAGGGTGTCCTCATCACCAACAATGTATTTTAGTTTTTCTGCCACCTTTGGTAGGAACATCTATTTCTGGGAAGTCTTCTTGATCATTGCATGGAGTGATTCTGTGCTTAGTGGAAAGGTGGGACCGCTGCCCTCTCTTCCTCCCCTGCTCTGCCCGCTTTCTACAGCTTAATCAGAGAAGTGTCCTTTAGCTCTTTTCCAAGCCACTGAGTTTGAATTGATCTCCGCTGCTAGCAAGAGGTGGGAAGGCTCTTTCTGGTTCCTGCTAAAGTTACCTGACAGCGGAAGGTGTGCATCTGATAATTATAACTCTAGTGTTTCCAAGGCCTGAGCGATTTAGTTAAGAGCACTAATCCTGATCTTATCAAGAGGGTTTTGTAGTCCAACAGTGTTGCTTATAACAGTATCTGTTTTACTTCCTGGGGCTCCCCTCCCCTCTTAGGATTCTCCTGTAATCCTGCCCATTATGCCTTGTGCATGTCTCATTACCTCCTGAAATCAGTTAAAACTGGTATGAGGGCAAAGAGCATTTTTTCTTTTCTTCATACCAAGATCTGAGAATTGGATTTTTAACATTACATCATTAATCAGGCCAGCAGTAGAGTAGTCACAAATGTGGTATACGTAATGCCTGCAGAGCCATGGATCTGGCCAATGATAAGATAGTTTATTTGTTGCTTATTAAAAACAACAACAGCCACAGTCAGCCCAAATGCTTTAGTTACATTTTGTATTTTGGAGCAGTTAGTTGCCATCCATGAGCTTGGGATCAGCCCCTTTGAAGTCTAACGATTTTCTTTTTCTTTTTCTTTTTGAGACAGGGTATCACTCTGTCACCTGGGCTGGAGTGCAGTGGTTCAATCATGACTCATTGCAGCCTCCATCTTTCAGGCTCAAGCAATCCTCCTATCTCAGCCTCCCAAGTAGCTTGGACTACAGGCACATGCCACCACACCCAGCTAATTTTTTAATTTTTTGGTAGAGATGGGGTTTCACCATGTTGCCAGGCTGGTCTCAAACTCCTGGGCTCAAGTGATCCACCTGCCTCAGCCTCCCAAAGTGCTGAGATTACAGTCATGAGCCACCATGTCTGGCCTGAAGTCTAGTGATTTTCTAATGATTACTTTGAGGTTCAGGTCCTAGGAGTTTGCTTAAATCCTTGACCTTGGGATTCATAATCTATTTGATTTATAGAGAATAGACACATTACTGTTCTGTGTCTTTTTTTTTTAAATTAATTATTATTTTTTATTTTTTTGAAATAGGGTCTTGCCCTGTTACCCAGGCTGGAGTGTAGTGGTACAATTGTATCTCACTGCAACCTCAGCCTCCCAGGCTCAAGCGCTCCTCCCACCTCATCCTCCCAAGTAGCTGGGACTATAGGCATGTGCCACCATGCCCAGCTAATTTTTTTATTTTTTTAATTTTGTAGAGATGGAGTCTCCATATGTTTCCTAGGCTGGTCTCAAACTCCCGGGCTTAAGCAGTCCTTCCACCTCAGCCTCCTAAAGTGCTGGGATTACAGGTGTGAGCCACCGCACCCTGTTCTGTGTCTTCAGAGAACTCTCAAGAATCTCTATAAAAGTTGTCAGTATGCACAATGGCAATTTAAGGACAGGGCAGTTTCTGAGAGGTTCCAAAATATCAGGAACCCAAGTGAAGACTTGTTAGCTCAGCCCCTGGGCTTTAAACCCCAAGGAAGGGTTAACCCTTGCCTTGGGGAGGAATGAGGTATGGGAACTAAAATTGCTTTGGACATCTGAGCTGTGCTTTAATAAGATATTCCAGGTGGTCAAGGAGTAATCCTAAAATAGCCTAGATACTTAATTGCTTTTAAAGTCAGGCGCTTCTGTCTCTGGGGAAGTGCAGCTCTAAGGAATGCAGAGCTGGCTCCTAAGATCTTAGAAGCATGGTCTCGTTGTTTTTTTTGTTTTTTTTTTTTTTAATCCCAGTAAAAAGAAAAGGCCCAAGGTAGCCTTCTTGGATCAGGAGACCTTTGTTAAATCTACCTCTTTCTTCTCATTGGAAGATTGGCAGTAAGCCATTGGCTTCTCCTGCTGCCAGGTGCCATAACCTGGCTTCTTCCAGGGCTGTGAGATTGGTGTTGTCACCCCACCTCACTAGGCAGTGGTCTGTTTTCATTAGTGCTTAAAGGCTTCCTGCTTGATCCCCTGTCCAGCCTCTGTTTGCATCAGAACATACCTTTCTCACTATAAGAATTCAGATTAATCCTTCTCTTTCTCTTTCATCCCCTCAATCCAGATCCAGTTGATTCTCCATTTATGGCACTGATTTCTCCCTCATTCTGCTACTCTCCGTCTCCCCCAGTCCCACATTCTCAGCTTGGGCTACTGCACAGCCACCTACCCCCAGTGCAGGCTTTCCCTCTCAGATTTTCAATACCATTTACAAAATCTGTCAGCATTACAAGTCATTACTGAGGGGCATTAAAAATATTTTTGATTAAATGAAAAATCATACTACTCTCTTACTTGTAATTGAAAGACTAAATAGGCCAGGCGCAGTGGCTCACACCTGTAATCCCATCACTTGGGGAGGCTGAGACGGGCAGATCACCTGAGGTCAGGAGTTTGAGACCAGCCTGGCCAACATGGTAAAACCCGTCTCTACTAAAAAAAAATACAAAAATTAGCTGGGCATGGTGGCGCGTGCCTGTAATCCCAGCTGCTCAGGAGGCTGAGGCACCAGAATCACTTAAACCAGGGAGGCGGAGGTTGTAGTGAGCCCAGATTACACCACTGCACTCCAGCCCGGGTGACAGAGTGAGACTCTGTCTCAAAAAAAAAAAAAAAGAGACTAAATAAATTTTGTGAAGGTGTCCGTTCTATGAGAAATTCTCTATGATTTCAGTGCAGCCTGGTTCCAAATCTTCATTGTAGGGTGGAAAGCAAATGATAAGTCGTGACAAATGGTTCAGATTAATCTAGAAAATAATATAATTTTTAAAATAAAAAAAGAGCATAATTGCATTTTGTAATTGTTTGTCTCTCTCTCTCTCCATTAGACAGTAAGCTCCATGAGGTGATCATCTGTCTTGTTCCTTTTCCTTCAGAACCTTTTACCATAACTGGTAAATTCTAGGTGATCAAGTGTTTGTACATGAATGAATATAATGGAAAAAAAAGGAAAAGTGAAAATCCCCCAGTTCCAATCCGATTAGGTGTCTATGTACATTTGTATGTTTCTGTTATTTTTTTTTTCAACAAAAATGGGCCACTAAAGCAGTCTAAAACATTGATTTAATCATGTGCTTTCCTGTCCAGAAAACATCCACTGCCTCCCCACTGTTCACAGTTCAGAGTTTAAATTTCCTTCTGGTATTCAAGGCATCTCACAGCCCCTTTCAACTTTAACTATTCAGACTTTCTGTCCTTATATCCTCCCTGTCAAAACATGCCTTGTTTATACCCCACTCCATGCTCATTTAGACTGCAAATCTCCCTTCAACCCATTCTTCAAGGCCAGCTTAACCTCCACCTCTAAGCCATCCAGCCTTTTCTTCTACCTCCTGAGTACCTTGGGTTTTCCTATTTGTTGTCTTGCTATTATATGCTATATGTGTTCAGTTTGTTTTTCCAACTTCATGGTAAGACTCCCAGTGGTGGGAACAATTTTTTTTTTTTTTAGTGGTATTCTCAGCAGCTTGCACAATGCTCTACCTGGGGTAGGTTCTCAGGAAATCTGTGTTGAATAAACTTGTCATCAGGTCTTTGCTTCTCAGGACAGAAAGGGCCCCTAGAGACCATCTCATCCACCCTGTCTCATGTTGGATTCCACGCCATGACATGCCATACAGATAGTCATCCAGAGACAGGAAGTTGCCCACCTCCTGGGAAGCTCACTCCATTACCAGGCAGTTCTACTTGTTTTAAAAAGTCCTTCTGTAGACCTGAAATCTTCCTCAGGGTAACTTCTGCCTATCACACTAGTTGTGCCCTCTGGAGCTTTAGAAGAAAGGAGGAAAAAGCCTAGTTTCTCTTCACTCACTACCTTTAGATTTTCAAAGATAGTCTGTTTATTTCCCCTGTGTGCTGTTGAAATGGGTTCCAGGGTTGAGATGCTGGAGAAGCACTATTCTAATTTTGAGTAGCAGTCAGGTCAGACCTTGATTCATTATTTTTGAAGGCCTGTGTGTGCATGTCACAGTGTAAGCTGCCATCTTCCTCTGGTCCATTCAGAGGTGTAGCCCTCTTCTCTTTTTCTCCTCTCCCCTGATCCTCTGTCTTCTGGGGGAAGATGGGCCCATTCTACTGGAATGGTCTATTTTGGAGGGAGGGGTAAAAAGTTAGCAATTCTTATTTCAGTACCGCCAGATAACTCTCCTGGGCAAGCATTGTGTGAGGGCTGCTTTTCGTTTGGCTAAAGTGCCCAGGTGAAGCCATGAGATAAAGCAAAGATAAAAGAGTCTCCCATTGATAGGAGCTGCCCAGTGCCATGACATGGGCATTTCAGGCATCTCTGGACAGAGGATTTTATTCTCACTTCCTTTTCTTCTTTTCTCCCTTCCTGATCTCCTTATCCAGAACACTTCGTGTTATTCTTTCAAACTACAAGTCAGTATGGTGTAACAGCGAGAGCCAGACAGACCTAGGTTTACATCCTGGCACTGTCACTAAGAAGCTCTGAGACCCTGAGCAGGTTATTTGAGCTCTTTGAGCCATTGTTTTCCCATTTCTAAAATAACCACTTCTACATTATAGAATTAAGTGAGAAAATGCTTGTAAGGCTCCTGGTACAATCCTTAGTATGCAGAAGGCACACAAACACTAGCTTCCTGCTACCTTTTCTCTTTCCCCCAACCTTCTTTTCCTGGGGAAAATTAGCTGAATGTAGGTATAGTAGCCAAAGCTAGTCTTGGGTGTGTATTTGGGAGCAAACTATCAGTTTCCTGTGAGCTCCTGGAGAGATCAAAGATGTTAAAAGACAGTTCTCAAGTAGGAGAGGCTGAGAAGGCTGTAAATGGCAGTAAGTGGCCACTCTGGCTACTGTTGACTTCCCACACACGTTTCTGGGCTATATAATACTGCTGCCTGCTGCTGATGGTGTAACAAAGCCTGTTCCCTGGGCAGGTTAAACTTGCATGCAGCAACCCTTCAACTGAAATGCTTTCCTCATCAACCTCTTTTGATCCCTAAAATGTTGAGCTGTCTCTTTTTGGGTTTGTTTTCCCCACCCTCCATCTGCCTCTGCTGTTCCCTGCTTTCTTCCACCATTACAGTCTCAGTCAGCCACAGTCAGCATCCGAGAAAAAATTATTTCTGGGCTGATAATTTTCTAGTAGTCACACCCATACTCTATTGATAGGCCAAGAAACCTGCTGCACACAAACTTGAATTGCATAAGTGAGCCATGTTTTACAGCAGTTGATCAGAGTTAAGAACCAAGAAAATAACTGGTTAAGCCTGTAACCCACCCAATGAAAGGGGGAGGGGAAGACGGAGGAGCTGTGGGGTTGGAGGTCCCACAGGGGAGCCCATCTCTGTCTTTTAGCAGATATATCGGTGCTCCCTCTTCATTATTATTATTATTATTATTATTTTTGGTAGAGATGGAGTCTCCCTGACCAACCTGGCCAACATGGCAAAACCCCATCTCTACCAAAAATACAAAAATTAGCCGGGCGTACTGGCATGTACCTGTAGTCCCAGCTACTCAGGAGGCTGACGCAGGAGAATCGCCTGAACCTAAGAGGCAGAGGTCGCAGTGACCTGAGATCATGCCACTGCACTCCAGCCTACAAGAAAGAGACAGTCTTCCTATATTGCTCAGGTTGGTCTTAAAGTGCTGGAATTACAGGCAAGAGCCACCATGCCCAGCTGGTCAGTGCTTTCTATGTGCTCAGGGCTGGAGATACCCAGACGAGTAACTGAACACAGGTGGTAGAGCCCAGAGGAGAAAGGTGTTGAATCTGCCTGGTGGGCAGAGGCAGGAGGCTCTGCTAGACTGCGAAAGGCAGGCAGGGCTCAGGAATTACTCTCACCTCAGCCAGAAGATCCTGTGAAGTGGGACCAAAGTTTAACTGCCTTAAGACAAAGAATGGAATGCACGTTGGACATTTTTACATCAGCCCCAGCTGAATTGACCATCCTTGCCTTGGAGCTGGACGAAAGAAAATACCTCCTCTCTGGGCAACTATTTTCCCCACATTTTCTTTAAATAGAGTAACTGACAGTTCCTATCTGTGGAATGGGTCCAACAGTGGGATTACTCAAAGAGTTCGGTGTCTCATTTCTTTCCTGCTCTGGCAAGTCTTCCTGACCTCTGTGGTCACCAAGCTGGAGGCATTTTAAGCTAAGTGGGTCACACTTAGTGGGCTCTGTGCAAGGCCTCACCATCTGACTGTCAGATTCTCTTGCAGGTTGGACAAAGCTGGAGAAGCCAAGAGGACCCTACCAGCCCCAGCCCCCATCCTGCCAAGGCATTCTCCATGTGTGGAGCCGAGCGCTCACACTTGGGTGTTTATTTTCACACATAGTCACATAGTGGTCACACTAGCGTGCTTGTTTTCACACTGCTGTCCTTCTGTGGAAAGCCCTGTCTGACTTTTTAGGTTGTGGATTCCACCCTTTCCACCCAACTGAGTGTTAAATAGTTTTTGAGTGAGCATTCAGAGTGCTTGGAAGTTACTATAATTAGCAAAAAAAAAAAAAAAAAAAAAAAAAAAAAAAAAAAGTGTTTTCATCTCTCTTGGTGACTGATAGAGAAAGAGTCCTTCTGTGAATGAGATCAGCTTCAGAGCTCTCGCCAGAGAATTGGGAATTGAGCTGCCGCAGTAAACAGCTGACATAACAGAAGCGGCAATGATCCCCCATTAAATGTCTTTCAACTGATAGGGGCTCCTGGGATAATTGACTTTCCAGCAGGAATTACTGGCTCAAACAAAATCACTGGGCATTAGGGCAACCTACTGCATCCTTTGAAAGGGGGAATGTAACTCTGTCTGGTTTTGCTGACCTGACAGGCATAATTCATCTTGATTATTCATTGTGCTAGTTGCCACCAGATGACACCAGATTTCTGGTGACTGTAATTACAATGTGGGATGAGCTTTAACTTTTTTTTCTTTTTAAACAATGTTCCTCCCACTTGGCTATTGGCTCCCCTGTGCTGAAGGTGCTGTAGGAAGGGATCCAACAATGTCTGCCTTGAGAGATGATGAGTGCATGGTCAGATAGCATTTACCAAGCACTTCCATACACACATCTTTTACTAGATAAGCAGGGAAACAATTTGATGTAGTCTGTTTCATTTTAACTGACAGAGTGTCACTTCTTAGTTATACTTATGTCACTGTGTGCCAGATTGCTGCTATCGGAAAGTGGGTCTTCATCTCAGAGCCCACTGTGAATAGGGGAAGCAAAGTTGGCCCCAAAATATAACTGCATAATGCCTTCTGCTTTCAGACAAGCTTTATTAAAGGGGCAGGTGGAAGAGAGTGGAATTCAACCAAGCTTTTATTTCGTTGACATGGTTTTAGAAGAAGATTCCTGAGTAGTCCAAAGAATGTTCTCCCAAGAAACCACTGCTCCCCAGCCCCACATGTCCTTTCCTCACCACATACACACCCCAGCCAGCTGGGTGGCATGGTACGCATGCACCTGTGGTCCTGTGGGAGAAATGAATATGACAGGTTCAGTGTGTCCAGGCCACTGGGACCTCCACTGACCAGTGGGTCGGGGTGAACAAGAGAGTTATACTGTGAGAGTTCATACCCTCACTAGCACAAAGACTTTTTGACCCCCCTGTAAGGTATGTGTATGTTTTTTGAAGAGGTGCTTAATTGGTGTGCCAGGCAATGTGCTATGTGCCTGATGACAAAGATAAATAAGATACCTTTCCTTTCAAGGAGCTTACCATATGGTGAGGATGACAGATACTTCCCAAGTAATATGTTAAAATCTAAGCTAGAAGTGAACAGAGATTGCTTTTAGAGGGTTGAAGGGAAGGCTTCCTGCTGAAGAGATAACTGATTGGAGGAATAAGAGTTACTGGACTTGGCTGGGCGCAGTGGCTCATGCCTGTAATCCCAGCACTTTGGGAGGCCAAGGTGGGCGGATCACCTGAGGTCAGGAGTTCGAGACCAGCCTGGCCAGCATGGTGAAACCCCATCTCTACTAAAAATACCAAACAAAAATTAGCCGGGCGTGGTTGCGCACACGTGTAATCCCAGCTACTCAGGAGGTTGAGGCAGGAGAATCACTTGAACCTGGGAGGCAGAGGTTGCAGTGAGCCGAGATCGTGCCATTGCATTCCAGCTTGGGCAACAAGAGCGAAACTCCATCTCAGAAAAAGAAAAAAAAAAAAGTTACTGGACTGATTAAAGATAGGAAGCAAGTTTAAAGAATATTTGCCATCCCTTCCTATTTAGTTGAATGGTGTTGCTTCAACCCAATCAATTAAGTTGGGCTTAGATTTTCACTGTTTCTCTAATAAAAATGAACTCTCGCCCTAGTGGCACAGAGTCTGTACCTTGGAAACAATCTCAGGCCATGGTGGCCCTCATATCACCATGAGTTCTTGCCATGCGGCTTAGGGTTTTGAATGGTGAGGCTTGACTAAGAGACCAACTTCAGGATGTATGTCCTGCTCGCTTTGACCCTTATCACTTACAGTGTTGTATAGGAAACCAGGCAAGGTGTCTTCCCAGTCTGCAGGAAAGTGGTGCATCTCAGAGTGATGGCTTCTGGCGATCAGCCGGGAATGAGCCCCTTCTAAGCAACGTGGGCCTTTGTGTCCTCCTCTTCCAGGATTATCAAGTATAAATGACACCCACGACACCTACCCTTCTCCAACAAATGGAGATGATTCTTCCACCCGATTCCCTCTTTATTTTGGAACCAAATCAAAAGCCAAAAAAAAAAAAGATGTCCCTGTAAGGGTGGCAGAATTAGTCTTCTGAGTTGTCTTTTATAGTATGAGTGAGGATAGCACAATTGCTAAGCATCTTCATCTTTGCCCTAAATGATTGCCTTGCCCTCTGTCCTAACTCTTTCTCTTCCTTTGCCCCTCTCAACTTTGTGTTTTGTTCCCTTTTAGAATGGTGGTTTGGCCTGGAGTGATGATGCAGATGGAGGCCGGGGAAGAGAGATCTCTCGAGATTTTGCCAAGGTCTGTAATACTTCCTTTGTGATACAGATAGGGGCAGTTCTGCAGTGGCTTGTTACAGCTGATTCCCAAGAAATAAGGACCAAGGTAGCCAGTGAGTTGCATTTGTAGTGATTCAGATGGTCATAGTATATCTGGTATAAGACTTCAGCAAGATGGAATTTTTCACTGTGTGTTTTTCTTGGGGGATTGGGATTGCAGCTGTATGAACTGGACGGTGATCCTGAAAGGAAAGAGTTCCTGGATGACCTCTTCGTCTTTATGCAGAAGAGGGGTGAGTGTGCATCTACTCATCATTCCAATTCAGGGAATACTGATAGAGTGCCTACTGTGTGCTAGTCACTGTTAGACATCCTGGCCCACTAATCCTCATCCAGGAGGAGAAGAGGCATTTACTGCCAGTTGGTTCTGGATTTAGCCAATTAACCGATAGCCAGATTGAAGAGGACAGAGAAGGTGTTGGCACAAAGTAGATGGAATGATCGTCCACTTTTGGCCCTGCCTGATTTTGTCTCTTCTTCCAATTGACTGGTCTCTGGAGTCACTTCAAATTCAAATATGCCTTTTTTAAGCCTTAAAGCTACCCTGGACTTCACTTAATCTAGCATGTGGGCCTTCTTGTTGGCATATCTAGTCTCATGGAGAAAGGTAAGTGAAAGAAAAGAGGCCCCTCAGGATATTTTGGAAGGGTCTGAAATGATCCATGGAAAGAAAAGGCCAACACTTTCTTCTTACCCATTGGCTTTCGATGTTTGTATTTGCTGGCTTGGTTAGAACATTCCTGCAGTTTAATAGTCAGGTACATAGGCATCTGCCTTTTTTTTTTTTTGAGATGGAGTCTCGCTCTGTTGCCCAGGCTGGAGTGCCATGGTGTGATCTCAGCTCACTGCAACCTCTGCCTCCCGTGTTCAGGCAATTCTCATGCCTCAGCCTCCCAAGTAGCTGGGACTACAGGCGCGTACCACCACACCTGGCTAATTTTTGTATTTCTTTTTTCAGTAGAGTTGGGGTTTCACCATGTTGGCCAGGCTGGTCTCAAAATCCAGACCTCAAGTGATCCACCTGCCTTGACCTCCCAAAGTACTGGGATTACAGGCATGAGCCACCGCGCCCAGCCGGCATCTGCTTTATAATGCACCCTCCCAATTCTCTTTCCTTCTCTCCTCACTCTGCACATCCCCAAGAGCCATCTTCACTGTAGACTATGGTGTGACTGAGTTTAGAGCTGAGTGACTCAACTTCCTGGCTTTGTATTCAGTCATAGCAATGGGTTCACCAGCCAGGTCAGCCCTCAGAACACATGGCCAGCACCCCAGCCTCTCTAGGAGAAGGCCTTCAGCAACCTGTGTGGCTCCACCTTCGTCACCCTCAGGACAAAACCATAGGAGAGAGCTACTCCCAGTAGCCTGCTCCCAGCATCCTGTTATAGCTGATCATGCATCCCTTGGTGCCTGTGTCAACAACTTTATTGAGACCTAAGAATGAAATCTTCCTCTTTATCCTGGGCCAAGCTGTAATGGCAGCCCCCAGCAGCTAAATATTCTAAGTTAACTTCTCTCTCTCTCTATTTCCCTCCTTCCTCCCTACTCCTTTACCTTTGGCAGCCTTATTGCCTTCTTGGTGTAGCCTGCCTGTTACTGTTGGTTTGCGTAAAAAAGGCAATCGAAAGTTTTGAATCTTGGTTTTCCCCAGTCTCTAAGCCCATCAAAGCAATCTGAGCAGCCTTAATTAGTTTGCTCCTCCAGCTGTTACCTGGAACTGCATGTGTCAGTAAAAAACAATATAATCCTGAGGCTGGGCGCGGTGGCTCCTGCCTGTAATCCCAGCACTTTGGGAGGCCAAGGTGGGTGGATCAGGATGTCAAGAGGTCGAGACCATCCTGGCCAACATGGTGAAACCCGTCTCTACTAAAAATACAAAAATTAGCTGGGCATGGTAGCGCGTGCCTGTAGTTCCAGCTACTCAGGAGGCTGAGGCAGGAGAATTGCTTGAACTCGGGAGATGGAGGTTGCAGTGAGCCAAGATTTCACCACTGCCCTCCATCCTGGCGACAGAGCGAGACTCCATCTCAAAAAAAAAAAAAAAAAAAGAATATAATCCTGAAAGATAATGTGACTGGCAGCAATGAACCTCCCCGTTTGCCCTGAGAGAGAAATCCACTTAATACTTTGGTCTCCCCTTCCAATTACCTTTTAATTATTTACAAGCTCCACAAGCCCAGCTGGTGCAAACCCAGGAGCTGATCCTGTCTCAAAGGGGCTGCCATAGCAATATAGATTTTAATCAGCAGTGGAGCTCCACTGCTTTATTTTCCACTTTATTGTTTTTCTCCCTTCCCTGAAGGATTTTTAAAGGAAAATGGAAGTGAGATCAGCCAAGCCGATTGTGAAGATCAGTAATTGTTTACTACTATATGTCCCCACTAGACTAGGAGCTCCTCAAGGAGGGCCACTTTGTCATTCTTTCATGTCCCCAGTGCTAGCACAGGGCCAGGCAGGAAGGTGCTCAGGACATGTTTGCTGTGTGAGCAGTCTTGTTGGTTTTCCTGGCTCAGATTGCAACATGCAGGGTATTCAAGCTGCCTTGAGGTTTGGGTGCATCTGTGTCCTTCAGCCAGCTGCCCCGTAATTGAGAGTCAGCAGTAGAGAACAGTCTTTGCTGCATATCCTGCTGTTCTGTGGCAACTGGGACTGCCAGATTGCCATCTAGTATATTTCTGAGTGAACCCAAAGCAGGAGTGAGTGACTCCCTTTGATAATGTCACTTTATGATTCTTCAGGTCCTGAGTAAATCTTTGTCCTGTCTTCAGCACTTACGTCAGGTATTTCACTGTTTGCTGGCATTACCAACAGAAGGGAAACGGTTCTGTCTGCCACTTGTTACTTTAATAAAAGGTTTCTCAGCCTCAGCACTGTTGACTTTGGGATGGGTAGTCCTTGTTGTGGAGACTGTCCTGTGCACTGTAGGATTTTGTTTTTAATTTTGAGACAGGGTCTCACTCTGTTGCCTCAGCTGGAGTGCAGTGGTGCGATCATAGCTCACTACAGCCTCAAAGTGCTGAGCTGAAGCCTTTCTCCTGTTTCAGCCTCCTGAGTAGCTGGGACTATAGGTAGGCACCACCATGCCTGGCTAACTTTTTTGTTCTGTAGAAATGAGGTCTCACTATGTTGCCCAGGCTGGTATTGAACTCCTGACCTCAAGTGATCCTCCCACCTCGGCTTTTCAGAGTGCTGGGATTACAGGTATGAGCCACCGCACCTGGTTACTGTAGGACGTTTAGCAGTATCCATGGCCTCTATCCACTAGATACCAATATCAGCCCCTCAGTCACAACAACCAAAAATGTCTCTAGATGTCATAAATGTCCCCTGGAGGGCAAAATTGTCCCGTTGAGACCCTCTGGCATGGAAAGATGAGAAAGAGAATAAAGATGTAAAATATCCTCTGCAAGAAAAACTCTTAGCTGAGTGTGGTGGCTCACGCCTGTAATCCCACCACTGTGGGAGGCTGAGGTGGGAGGCTCAGGTGAGTCTCAGTAACATAGTGAGACCTTCTCTCTACAAAAAATGAAAACAAAATTAGCCAGGCATAGTGATGCATGCCTGTAGTCCCAAGCTACTTGGGAGGCTGAGGTGGGCAAATTGCTCGAGCCGGGGACTTGGGGGCCGTCATGGAGGCCAACATTGCGCCACTGCCCTCCAGCCTGGCCAAAAAGTGAGACCCTGTCTCAAAAAAAAAAAAACTTTTTATGAAAATCATCTTACCTCCAGTCAGGTACATGAGAGCAAGCCGTGTTAGGTAGCATTGTTTCCTGTGACTGAGTGCCAAAGGAGTGAGTGCTGGGGCCTCACCCTGGCCTGCAGTGCAGAGAAAGGCTCTGAGAAGAGCTGTGGCTCTAGTGTATCAGACCCAACCATGGAGGTGGAGGAAAAAATGCTGTGACACATGTGGCCCTGGTGTAGCTGGAAGAACCCTTGTTGATGGCCCAGAGCCAGGGGCCATCCTGGATGGGTCAGCTGGCATGAGACTCTGAAGAGCCATGTTTGCCCAAAAAGCGCTTCAGTCTGTAGATATAGCTGAGTTATTGAAGGCAAAATATTGGCTTTCAGGAAACTTGCCGTGGCAGTGTATAGTTGGGCTAGAGAGGAGAGACTGAGGCAGGAAGATAGTGTAGAGGTTGTTATTCCCAGCGATCTCCTTTCTAGAAAACTCTTATCTGGTAGTCCGAACTAGAGTGAGTGGTTCAGGAGGGTTGGGAGTGGGGCATGGTGGCTCATGCCTATAATTCCAGCACTTTGGGAGGCCTAGGTGGGAGGATCACTTGAGACCATGAGTTTGAGATCAGCCTGGGCAACGTAACAAGACCCCATCCCTGTAATTTAAAAAAAAAAAAAAGAAGATGTAATCCCAGCTACCCAGGAGGCTGAGTCAGGAGAATCACTTGAACCCGGGAGGCGGAGGTTGCAGTGAGCCAAGATCGCACCATTGCACTCCAGCCTGGGTGACGAGCGAAACTCCATCTCAGAAATAAAAAAGAAGAAGAAAATTTTAAAAGAGGGGTGGGAGCAGATTGCACTTTTATTTTAATTAATTATTTTATTTATTTTTGAGACAGGGTCTCACTCTATTGCCCAAGCTGGAGTGTAGTGGCGCAATCATGGCTCATCGCACCCTTGACCTCCCCAGGCTCAGGTGATCCTCCCACCTCAGCCTCCTGAGAATCTGGGCCTACAGGTGTGCACCACCACACTCAGCTAATTTTTCTGTTTTTTTGTGTGTGTGTGTGTGGAGACGAGGCCCTTATGTTGCCCAGGCTGGTAGCAAATTCCTGGGCTCAAGTGATCCAACTGCCTGAGCCTCCCAAAGTGCTGGGATTACAGGCATGAACCACCACACCGTGCTGGGCCTCAGATTACAGTTTTAATCATGTGAGGCTTGCTGTCTTTGTTCCTTTTTTTGAGACAGAGTCCCAGTCTGGAGTTCAGTGGTCGATCTCAGCTTACCGCAACCTTCCCATCCCGGGTTCAAGTGATTCTCGTGCCTCAGCCTCCCAAGTAGCTGAGATTACAGCCATGCACCACCATGCCTGGCTAATTTTTATATTTTTTAGTAAAAACAGTTTCACCATGTTGGCCAGGCTGGTCTCAAACTCCTGGCCTCGAGTGATCCGCCTGCCTCCGACTCCCAAAGTACTGGAATTACAGACATGAGCCACCGCACCTGGCCTGTCTTTTTTTTGTTTTTTTTTGTTTTTTTTGTTTTAAGCAAAGTCTCCCTCTGTAGCCCAGGCTGGAGTGTAGTGGCACCATCTCGGCTCACTGCAACCTCCACCTCCTGGGTTCAAGCTATTCTCCTGCCTCAGCCTCCCAAGTAGCTGGGATTACAGGCATGTACCATTGCACCTGGCTAATTTTTTGTATTTTTAGTAGAGACAGGATTTCACCATGTTGGCCAGGCTGGTTTTGAGCTCCCAACCTCAGGTAATCCGCCCGCGTCGGCCTCCTAAAGTGTTAGGATTACAGGCATGAGCCACCGAGCCCGGCTGTCTTTGTTCTTAACAGAATGGTGAGAACAAGGGCCCTTAGACATTTGTGACTTGTCACTTGTGGAGTGTCTGGGGGACACAGGAGGCAGATCTTGCTAGTTGGGACCAAGGAAAAGCCTCATAGACCTCAGCAGCAGGTCAGGGACTTGGCCTCCATAGCTAATATGAAAGGTAAGCAGTAGATATCACAGGAGTCACTGGAAATAGCCTGAGTTAGCCTGGACAACATAGTGAGACCCTGTCTCTACAAAAAAAACATTTTTTTTTAATTAGCTGAGTGTGGTGGCATGCGCCTGTGGTCTCAGCTACTTTGGAGGCTGAGGTGGGAGGATCACTTGAGCTTGGAAGGTCAAGGCTACAGTGAGCTGAGTTCATGCCATTGCACTACAACCTGGGCAACAGAGTGAGACCTTGTCTCAAAAAACAAAAGAAAGAAGGAAAGGGAAAGGGAAATGCAAGGAAGAAAGAAAGAAAGAAACGAAAGAAAATAGCCTGAGTTTGAAAGGCCCGGAGACACCCAGGTGGGCTGTGAGAGGGGCCAGCAGCTTTGACACAGCAGGCTGTGCCCACAGAGGAAGCAGACAGCTCTGAGGGATGCAGCACACAGCAGGCCGCCCCGAATGACCGCAGCTGCAGGTGATAAAATGGCTGTCCAGTGGGAGACAGGGACGGGCCATAACTGCTGCTTTGTGCTGTATCTCTTGCTTGTTAACATGTTTGGGTGAATTGACTGCAACAGATGGGCCTTTCAGCCCTCAGCACCTTGGTTTCTAGGCAAGACCGGGGTGACTTGCACCTTGGCGACCCCCTCCCCTCCCTGAGCAGCAGAGCAACCTGCGCATAAAGAAGCCTGAGAAGATTGGAGTGGGACGAGGCGCAGTGCCCTGTGGGGGTGGAAAGAGCTCTGGACTGGCAGTGCAAAGCCAGGGCTAACATCCCTTCGTTCTCCTGATCTTGAGCACATCCTCCCCACTCTGGTGGCCACAGTTTCCTTATCTATTGAATGAGAGGGTTCAATTAGTGTCATCTTGGAAGTTTCTATTGTCTGTATTGTGTGTCCATGATTGTGTCTATCGAGCTACCCTTGATGAACAAAAAATAAAAGAAGAAAAGCCCCTTTAGCAGTTTTCTATCAAAGTAATTGTATGAAACATCACCAGGAATCTCCGAGACCAAATGCTTCTCTCCTGTCCTTGCTGTGTAATATATTTCCTCTTTTGCTGACTGAAGCCAAATTCAACTAAGCAAGTTGCCCTCGATTGTCCCCCACCACCCTATTCCCGCCAGAATATTTCTCTAGAAAAGACTGGTTAGGTTTAGAACTCTGATGCCCCTTTGGGCTCACCTGTTGCCGTGTGTGTGTGTGTGTGTGTGTGTGTGTGTGTGTGTGTGTGTGTGCGCGCGCGCGCACACGCAAAAAATACACACGTTTCAGCTGGACGCATTGGCTCATGCCTGTAATCCCAGCACTTTGGGAGGCCAAGGCAGGTGGATCACTTGAGGCCAGGGGTTTGAGACCAGCCTGGCCACCATGGTGAAACCCCATCTCTACTAAAAATACAAGAATTAACCAGGCATGGTGGCACATGCTGGCAATCCCAGCTACTCGGGAGGCTGAGGCAGGAGAATCGCCTGAACCTGGGAGGCAGAGGTTGCAGTGAGCCAGGATTGCACCACAGCCTGAGCAACAGAATGAGACTGTCAAAAAAACAAATAAAAAACAAAAAACGTGTTTCTTTGGCAAACATAAAGCCAAAACAGTTGTAAATAAAATTGTCTGGCTAATTTAACTCCCTGTGGGTGGTTTCTGAAATACCATTCCCTCATAGATTTTCCATTTAGTCTTTCAGTGCCCAAGGGGAGGGACTAATTTCTAAGTCTAATAAGCAAAGGCTATTATAAACAATTTCATTTTTCCTTCATCAGTGAGGAAGAAAAGCTTGTTTTTTGTTCCCTAGGAGGTGAAACAGAAGTGTGGTTTCATTAAAGAGTCAGGATGATGATGACGATAATGGTGATTTTACTGTTACTTGCATTTTTATTATACCATACACATTACAGAACCCTTGCAACCCATTATCTGATCTGCTGCTCCCCTCAGCTCCAGCTCTGTAGAGTAGAGAGAGCAAAGGTTATCACCTGTAACCCTGAAGAAGCAGCCCCAAGGTTAAGTGACTCACCTAAGGCCACAGAGCAGACTTAGCACGCGGTCTCCTAACTCCCAGGCCAGTGTGCTTTGCTTCTCCTGCCTTATCTTTGAGAAACTTGTTCCCTAGAGCTAGCAACCCCATCACTCCCCTTTGGAGAAGCAGGCAAACCTCATGTCTTCGGCAGCATTCACCGCCTCCAAGAGGGTGGTGGCCTGCCTCCACAGGCCACCGTTCAGTAGCGCTTCTGAGCATCTAGCTGATGAACACAGGGTAGAACCTGATGTGCAAGATGGGTCTTCATCTCAGGGTCAGGGCTGTTTCTCAGAGAAATAGGGAAGGGCAGATGTGACAACTCAGAGTGGCACAGAGGCTGCCATCTGTCAAGGCAGGATGGGGTAGGGCTTGGGAGACACAGGAGGCACCCAGAATGCCCACAAGCAAGGCTCTCTTTTCCTGCCCCTGCCCCATCTGGGCACACCAGGCTAAGGAACTGCCTGGTCACATGGAAGACAAGTTTTGTCAAGCCCTCACTTGTAGACCTGCCCTCCCGCCCCCATCAGTTCTCTTCAAGGCTGCAAACTGACCTTGGTTTTCCCAAATGGATTGCTGGATCTTTTTTGATGTGTATATACAAAGAATTTACTGTGGGAAAAGGGCTTGGTCTGCTTCAAAGTGCAACTTGAGTGTTTTTCCTTCTGTTGTGTGCTTATCTATCCATCTCAGGCAAGGAAATGTTCATGACATATATTGCTTTGCCTTTTGGTGGAGGCAATTTCTTGTATATTCTTTGTATCTTACCATAAATGGTCTGTGCCCTGGACACCCTTCCTGGCAGACGAAAATATGTTGTCTTTTTCAGACGATATAGGCTTTGGGGCTTCATTTTCTAACTTTATCCCGAAATGAAAGTCTAAAATGCAAATCTTTTAGTGTCTGGATTAGCCCTTTGTCTCAGGCCAGATCCTTTTCTCTCTCTAGGTGACCCAGCTGCTGTTAAAAAAATATACTGGTTTTTCCCCCATTTTTAATAGTCATTATAATACTCTATAAATACCCAGTTATCCACGATCATAGGAAGGGAGTCTGGTTTTTGAAAGTCACAATTAATTTGAATAGCCTGCTTTTGTCGTTAAATTCAGCCTCTTCCCCTTCAAAATCTTTTATTGGTATTTCTAACACATGGGAAAATTGAGTTATTTGATAGTTTTGCCTCTTTTGTCCCAAAGTGAACCAATATTCAGTAAATCATCTAAGAGTTGGTATGGTGAAAAGTTGCAGTGAGTGTTTGGCCTGCTTACACCATGGGGAAGTTCTGCTGGGTTTTGAGAGTCTAGTGGCACAACAGCATTGGAAACTCAGACAGCCGTGCACTGCTCAGGCCAGAAGGCCCATGAGGTGTGCCCCAGCCCAGCCAGCCTTCCACTCCTCTCCTGGAGATGCCAGGCAGATCTGCCCAGTGGCAGGCAAAGCAGGGAAGACCCTGCAGTCCACCTCCTTCTGACTCATTGGCCAGTTTCTCCGAATGCAGTTGTCATAGCCATAATCTTTTTTTTTTTTTTTGAGACAGAGTCTCACTCTGTCGCCCAGGCTGGAGTGCAGTGGCGCGATTTCGGCTCACTGCAACCTCCGCCGCCCGGGTTCACGCCATTCTCCTGCCTCAGCCTCCCGAGTAGCTGGGATTATAGGCGCCTGCCACCACGTCTGGCTAATTTTTATATTTTTAATATAGATGGGGTGTCACCATGCTGGACAGGCTGGTCTCAAACTCCCGACCTCAGGTGATCTGCCCACCTTGGCCTCCCAAAATGTTGGAATTACAGGCGTGAGCCACCGCGCCCAGCCACCATAATCTTATTGTTAGGCATAGCAGAATACAATATTACATTTACCGTTGAACTTCACCTAAAGAGATTAGTCCAAGCTGGAGTAGCAAAAAAGGTAATGAGTTTAAAATTAGCCTCCAAGGTTGTAGAACCACCAGCTCTCCCATGCATTACAGCTGGGAGTGTAAAGGGATACAACTACTTTGGAAGTCTGTTTGGCAGTGTTCGCTAAAGCTAAACATACCTGGACCTTGTTACCCAGCAGTTGCACTCCTGGGTGTATTCCCAACAGAAATGAGTGCTTGTGTTCACTGAAAGATACAGGTAAGCATATTCATAGCAGCTCCATTCATTATAGCCAAAAACTGGAAAGAATTCCAATGTCCATCAGTAGTAGAATGGATAAATAAATGTAGCATAGTCACATATCGGAACACTACACAGCCGTAGAAAGTTATGAACTAGCCGGGTACGGTGGCTCACACCTGTAATCCCAGCACTTTGGGAGGGTGAGGCAGGTGGATCACTTGAGCTCAGAAGTTCAAGAGCAGCCTGGGCAACATGGTGAAACCCCATCTCTACCAAAAAAAAAAAAAAAAAAATTAGCTGGATGTGGTGGCACCTGCCTGTAGTCCCAGCTACTTGGGAGGCTGAGGTGAGAGAAGTGCTTGAGCCTGGGAGGCAGAGGCTGCAGTAAGGCGAGATCATGTCACTGCACTCTAGCCTGGGCTACAGAGTGAGACTCCACCTAAAAAAAAAAAGTTGTGAACTACTGCTTTACGCAGCTGGGATGACTCTCAGACCTGATATTGAGCAAAAGAAGCCAGACACAGAATATATACTATGTGAGTCCATTTATATAAAGTTCAAAAAAATATATGTCAGAATAGCATTTTATTTCCAGAGTGGGTAGGGTGGAGGGATGGATATTGATTGGAAAGAGGCATGAGAGAGTTTTCTAGGGGTGCTGTAAATGTTCTGTGTTTTGGCCAGACATGGTGGCTCACGGCAGTCATCCCAGCACTTTGGGAGGCTGAGGCAGGCGGATCATCTGTGGTGAGGAGTTTGAGACCAGCCTGGCCAAATGGTGAAACCCTGTCTCCACTAAAAATGCAAAAATTAGCCAGGCATGGTGGCAAGCGCCTGTAATCCCAGCCACTTGGGAGCCGGAGGCAGGAGAATCGCTTGAACCTGGGAGGTGGAGTTTGCAGCGAGCCAAGATCACACTACTGCACTCCAACCTGGGCAACAGAGCGAGACTCTGTCTCAAAAAAAAAAAAAAAGTTCTTTATTTTGATCTGAGGGATGGTTGTGGAGGTGTATTTGGAAGTACACATCTAGTGAGCTGTATGGTTAAGGTTAATGCACTATACCATATGTAAGTTAGACCCACTCAGTGGGCAGTTGGAGGTGGAAGGCTTAAGGATTCTTGTCAGTCTATACTAGCATATTGGCACATGCTTGCCTCTGGCCTGTCTTGTGGAACAGTGCAACTACAAGCTGCACGGCAGACTACCAGACACTGCTGCCTGATTTCCCAGTGGGAGACCTTTTTCCTTTTCCTTTCCCGTTTCTTTTTCCTTTCCCTTTCCTATTAAAACTTTTGTTAGAGGTTCAGGTGGTACATGTGCAGGTTTTTTACATGGATATACTGCAGGGCACTGAGGTTTGGGGTACGATTGATCCTGTCGCCCAGGTTGTATGCATAGTACCCAATAGGTAGTTTTTCAGCCCTTGTCCCCTGTAGTAGTTGCCAGTATCTGTTGTGATATTCTCTATATGAACAAGTCATGGGGGGAAATCAGCAGTCATTTCTCTGCTGGCTTCTGGGGAGCAGTTCTAGAGCAGGGCAAGAATGAAGATGCAGAGGAATGTTCAGGAAGCCTGCCTGCCTGCGCACATTCCCTGCTTAACACAGGTCTTAACTCTTCCAGGCTCTCTGGTCAGCTCTCTTGACAGTCAGGCTATGGAAATGATTAATGATCTTTCTCAAAGCCTGGAAAAAGCAGCAAGGGTCCCTGGCAGGGCCACACCCTGGGTCCTGGGCCCTCACCCCTGCCCAGTGGGCAGGAAGGCAGCCATATGAGTCTGTCTGGGGTCCCTGCCCCTGTTTGCTTCTGGACTTCCCTGGAACCGGCCCATTCTCTGCAATGGGGAGGAAGTGGCTTTCCCTTCAACACTCTTACCATCTCTCATCTTTGTCTCCAAAGCCAGAAGAGGCCATCTCTTCTGCCCTCACCCCTATCCCCAGCTACATCTTGGTTGTCTGAGTGGCAGGAAGGAAAACAAAGTACCAGGGAGCAGCTTTTGTTTGGCCACATCTGCACTGGAAGCTCCTGATCACAGCTGTGGCCTGCTAGTGCCAGCGCCCAGCGGCATTCCCACCAACAAGGGTTAAAGCCCCAGGAGTCCCGCCAGCTTCACTGGGTCCATGGCCCTCATAAAAGCCTTTTACATCCGTCCCTCAGGCTGCAGGCTCCCTGGCTGAAATCTGATAAGGGGCCTCTTTGTTGCAACTGTCAGTCTCCTTTATTGAGGAGGGAACTGGAGACCAGTGGCACTTCTTGGGGTGCAGATAAGGCCCTGGATTCCTGTCAGAGAGAGCATGATTAATTACCCTCAATCCCAGCTCCTGCTTTGATAGCAGTGACTGACAGTCCACAGGCTTCCCCATCAGGTGCTCACCCCCTTCTGGGAGGCATGATGGGGGTGGAGATTTGGTCTCCTGTAGGGCCAACACCAGTGACCCACAAAGATCTCTCTTCAGTGGGTGTTTGCCTCCTTCCTGGTGCTCTGTGGGTTGCTTTTGCATTTCTTGTGGACAGAGGCCTCTCTCTCTCAGGTGAAGAGCTTCCTTAGAGGAAGATAGAATACAGCCCAGAGAGCAGGCCAGAGACCCCTTGCTCCCTCCCGCAAAGACTGGGAAAGGAGCCATTGCTTGTGGACGTGAACTTCACAAATCTGGCCTTAAGCCAGGGGCCCTTCACAGAGAAAATCTCAAACTATCTGTATCAAGGCCACTTGACAATATTACTCTCTAATTCAGGCAAGTTCCTAAAACCATGTGATTCTCCCTTTGGTAATAATCACAACTGTCAATTTTTGTTTATCGATTTATATCTTGCTGGTTTGAAGGTACATCAGCAGAATTTTTGTTTTAATTTTTTATTCATAGACTTTAGAACTGAAAATCATCTAGTCCAAATTCCTCACTTCACATTTGCGGAAACTGAGGCCTGAGTCTGTCGATTGCCTATTGGTTCTTGTTCAGCAGGTAAACTTAGCTTAAAGGCCTTCTCTCTTTCTTCATAGTAGAATCTACTTTGGACAAGAGAAATGGCTACCAGGTCCATTAAGCACAAAGCAAACTGCTGAGACCAACCTGCAGATTCTGCTTCTCTCAGTTGTTAGAAGAATCAAAGACGCGGCAGGCTTTTGTGTCTGGATTATCTGATGGGAGAAAGCGCCACTGTCATCTAGAGAGCCCTCGGCATAGCCTCCGCTCTGTTTCTGATGGCACCAAGGGCCAGCCTGCACTGGGAGCCACTGACAGTTTCACAGAGGGCCAGCCACAGGGAATAATGCGCCCAATCTCCTTATCAGCTTGATCTCCAGAACCAGGGTGCCTGATCAGGGCATGGGGGCTCGTGTGAGGAGAGTTCACTGTGGAGTGAGGAAAACAGCTTCCCAAGTATGCCCTGGGTGGAGCTGGGCCACACAGCAGGGTGCAGGGGCCACCACCACGGTTTCCAGTGCACCTCTTACCTGCGGTTTCTCTGTAGTGTGATGACAGTTCCCAGAAGAGTACACTTTCCCCTCTGGGAAGAGATCACTTATTAGTTAGGTTACAACCTTGACTTCAGACACCACTGTGACCCTTCCTTGTCTCCTCAGGTTCTGTATCTGCCATTGTTCCCCTGGCCCTAAGCAGTTCTCAGTCTAATATAATACAGTCACGTTGTGTGTGACTATAAAGAGGCTAATTTTTAATGAAATTTCTACATCTATAACAATGTTGTCCTTCAAAGATGCCATCTCAAACAGCCAGGCAATTAGTCCAATGACTACTCAAAATGAATTTGTAATTCCTCTCTGGGGAGTTGCCTTCAGAGGCAGTTTGAACCACACTAGAAAATCTCAGCCGGGTGCGTGGCTCACGCCTGTCATCCCAACACTTTGGGAGGCTGAAGTGGGAGGATTGCTTGAGTCCAGGAGTTTGAGACCAGCCTGGGCAACATAGTGAGACCTCGAGAAACATTTCTGGGTAGGTTAATTTATTAACACTATAAGGCATGGTAGGCATGGTAAAGGAAAGACAACCCCTGCCTTCATAGAGCTGACAGTCCTCCTGGGATATCGGATGGACAGATGTGAAACAATTAGAGAAGGACAATTTGCTAAACTTATAGGGGCATGATAGAAATTCTGAGAGGGAAGAAACCCACATGAACTGGGGTAGTGAGAACATGCTTCCTGGAAGGAGTGGATATGGAAGAACACTGTGAAGGATTTGAGGGGAGGCACAAAAGAGCGTGTTTTGGGGGCAATAGGGAGAAGGCCCAGTGAGTTGGAGTACAAGAGAGTTGCTTGGATATGCCAGGAATACTTCACATGTGATCTTCTAAGGGAGTGTTGAGGAACATGGGTCATGCGATTGGACATGTGAGATGGGCTAGGTAAGCAATAAGAGTTTTCATAGGTTTTTAAACAAGGAGGTGAGTAATATGGTAAAAGTAGTATTTTAATAAGATTGGCTGCAGTGTTCAAGTTGATCGTATGGCTAAGAGGCTGCTGCAGGCATCTAACTGTGGGCCAGAGAGGGCCTGGACCAGGATGGTGGCTGCAGGCCAAAAAGGAAGATGCCTTTGAGAGGTACCTCCAAGGACGAATCATGAAGCCTTCTAACACCCTGAAAGTGGGTGATAGGGAGAGGAGAGGAGCCAGTGCTGACACGAGGTTCCTGCCTTCCTGCCTAACTTCCAAGGGTGGTAGTGTTGCTGGGAAAAAATGAGGTGTGGGGAAAGGGAGCTAGTTTAGGGGAATGAAGATGAGCCCAGCACAAACATTCTGACTTGGAAGTAAACGGGTCACACGTGTGAAGATGCCCTAGGAGCTTCCGGAAATGTGAGCTTAGGAGCCCTGTGTGAGGGGACCTGGGGAGTGGTCCTCTCAGACACTCCAGGTAATGCCTTGGAAGGTGTGGACTCAAGGCCATGGGTGTGTTTGGGCAGATAGGCCTCCAAAAGGAGGTCGACGTTAGCCCTGTCCTGCTGGGGGCTTTTGTCTTTCTGGTAGGGGGAAGGTTTACTGTCCAGAACAGCACTGGGAGAAGTCAACCAGCACATGAGCTGTGTGTCTTAGGAGTATGCCCGTAATCCTCTGTTATTTTACCTATGAATTTGTGGATCTAATTCCATGACCCCTTTGTCCTTGACCCTCCAAGGACCAGCAGGTCAAGATAAAGGTCTTCAAGGTCACTAACCCCCTCCCCACACTTAGGAAAGAGGCCTAAGCCAGGTGCTGTGGCTCACGCTGCAGTCCATGTGCTTTGGGAGGCTGAGGCAGGAGGATTGCTTGAGCTTAGGAGTTTGAGACCAGCCTGGGCAACATAGGAAGATCCTGTCTCTACAGAAAATGTTTTTAAATTCCCTGAGTGTGGTGGTGTGTGCCTGTATTCCCAGCTACTTAAGAGGCTGAGTGGGAGGATGGCTGGAGGTTAAGTCTGCAATAAGTCATGATTGCACCGCTGCACTCCAGTCTGGGCAACAGAGTGAGACCCTATCTTTTAAAAAAAAAAAAAAAGAAGAAGAAGAGGCCTGGTCCTGCCGCAGCAGCCCCACATATCCATGCCCACAGTGCTTCCTTTTCATTCTCTGGCTTGAACCATCCTGTAAAAGAGTTGGTGAGGCTGCCATTCAGAGCTGAGAAAACTGCTGTGCCTTTAGGGAAAGAAGGCGGATGGAGCAGAAACAAACAGCTCTTCCCTGCTCAGGTTGGTTTAAGGTCCACCAGGCAGCCCAGTGAGACCTCAGCGAGACTGGGGCAATGGGAGGGGGCAAGGCAGAGGAGCAGTAGTCTGTGTACAGTAAAAGGAGTTTGCCATCAAAAGGCAACAAGTCTCATACCCTGCCCTGGACGGTGACCCTTCCCTGTGGAATTCTCCCCTCTGACCTCCAGATCATTAATCCCGAGGCTGCCAAATGACAGTCATCCATCACGCCTCCTGATGAGCATCCCAGCCGGCTGTGAAAGGACTTGCCCCGCCCTCACCATATCCCCTGGTGCTCATTAGTAGCCCTTCCTCCTCGGTGCCAGGTTTCCTAATCAAGTCCCTGGCTCCTCTCACTTCCCCTCGGGGCCATTGGGTGGAAGCTGCTCTGACCCTCCCCCTTTCAGAGGCCAGGGAGTGGGTGGAGTGATTGGTGTGGGGAGAGAATTGAGTGGCTTTTCATTCCTCTGGAGACCTGTGTGTCCAGCAGCTCCTTTGACATGGCGGGGCACACGAGAGAGAAATAAACCATTTCTCCATCAAGCAGGAGAGGAGAAAGCAGGCATGTGCAAACAAGCACACTCTTTTTTTTTTTTTTTTTTTTTTTTTTTTAAGACAGTCTCACTGTCGCCCAGGCTGGAGTGCAGTGGTGTGATCTCGGCTCACTGCAAGCTCCGCCTCCCGGGTTCATGCCATTCTCCTGTCTCAGCCTTCCGAGTAGCTGGGACTACAGGCGCCTGCCACCATGCCAGGCTAATTTTTTTTGTATTTTTAGTAGAGACGGGGTTTCGCCATGTTAGCCAGGATGGTCTCGATCTCCTGACCTCGTGATCTGCCCGCTTCGGCCTCCCAAAGTGCTAGGATTACAGGCGTGAGCCACCGCACCCAGCCAGCGAGCACACTCTTATAAGCAGCACTGAGCGCTGCCAGGAGGGTGACTAGGCAGGGCTCCCCTTCTAGGAAGTCAGAGAAAGGCATCCCAGAGGAAGCTGCCGCTGAATGGAGTCTGAAAGCTGCAGAGATAAGTCGCCAGATCACTAGGAATAGTCTGGAATCATACTGCCAGCAAAACAAAAACAAAAACACACACACACGAACTAAAAAACAAGCACCTTTGAAATCATCTAGTCTGGCCCTCTTATTTACAGACGGCAAAACAGAACCAGAGAGGCTAAGTGCTTTGCCAAAGGCCCACACAGCCTGTGCGTTGGACCTGTCCTGACAGCTAGTCTGAGTGTTCAGGCTTGGGGAGTTTGAGTTAAATTACACTTCCAGGTTGATGAGCATTGTTTCCAGCTCGGCTAAAGGTGGGCATACACGGAATCTTTCTTCTCAGCCTGATGATGATCCCGCTGTCTCTTTCTCTCGTTGGACAACCACAGGGACCCCCATCAACCGAATCCCCATCATGGCCAAACAGATCCTGGACCTGTACATGCTGTATAAGCTGGTGACCGAGAAGGGAGGCCTGGTGGAGATCATCAACAAGAAGATCTGGAGGGAGATCACCAAAGGCCTAAACCTGCCCACATCCATCACCAGCGCCGCCTTCACCCTCAGGACGCAGTGAGTGGCCAGGGCCTGGGAGAAGGAAGCTGAGGCTGGAGAAAGGGGATGTTGTAACCTAGAGGAGAGGAAGGAAGGAAATTCCTTTGTATGGTTAGCAAGATGAGTGGATTCCCGAAACAGTGGGGAGCTTTCTGAGATGAATCCCTCACTAAACCAAGTAGTGATGAGAACCACCATTTACCAAGTGTCTACTCTGTGCTGGTACTTTACTATTTCATTTAAACCTCACAGTCAACCCTGTAAAGTAGGTATGCCCCCATTTCCCACATTACAAAAATGAAGTCTCCATGGTTAAATAATTTGGCTAAGGTCATATACCAGCCAGTAAGTGGTAGAGCTGAGATTCAGACCTGGGCTTCTGTCTCTAAGACCTGTGCCCCTTCCAGGACATTGTCTTCCAAACAGCATCTCCACCCCAAGTGGCCCCTCTTACCTGATATTCAGCTTACCCAGCGGCAGAGGACCCAGAGAAAGGCAGGCAGGAAGGCCCCCTTGGATTGGTGACCTGGTTTTGTCAGCATTTGAGTTAATTACATGGGTGATGGAAGCGGTGAAACCAATAGTAGCACTGAAGAATGAGGGCCAGAGAGGAATCTTTTCTTCTGGAACACTCTGGAAGTTGTTCTGTGAAGAGTATGCAATGAACAACTGACATCAGTTAGGTAGCATGTTGTAGCTACAACCAGAATGGCAAGGTTCTTGGGTAGAGAACTGCTTCTTGGGACCTAAGACACAAAGAATGACAGTGTCTAGGTCCCATGCACAATGGGAAGAATTGCTCCTATCTGACTAGCCCAGCTCTGAATGGTTATAAGATCAAGAAGTCAGAAAGCCCTTGTAAAACATGGGCCTAATTTTTCCCAGGGCTTCAAAACAAATGTGAAAACGCCAACTAAGATGTTATTTATTTCCCCTAATGAATGGTGCTTCAAAGTAGAGCCTATTTAGGATTGAGTGGCAGTCAGAGGAGGCTGGGGCAGAGTGTCCGGCCATCCCAGACTTTTCTGCCAAGTATACCAAGGTTGCAATCCTTTGCCCTAGAGTCCTGCCCAACAGAGACTGCTTCCAGAGACCCACCAACCTCAACTGGGTGGTCTCTGGTGCTGTTTTGGATTATTCTCCCTGCTTGCTTCCTTTCCTCCAGGTACATGAAGTATCTGTATGCCTATGAGTGTGAGAAGAAAGCCTTGAGTTCCCCAGCCGAGCTCCAGGCAGCAATTGATGGCAACCGCAGGGAGGGCCGGCGGCCCAGCTACAGCTCCTCCCTCTTTGGCTACTCACCTGCTGCGGCTACTGCTGCTGCCGCTGCCGGGGCCCCTGCCCTTCTCTCCCCACCCAAGATCCGCTTTCCCATCCTTGGGCTTGGCTCCAGCAGTGGTACCAATACCAGTAGCCCTCGGATATCCCCAGCAACCACTCTCAGGAAAGGTCAGCAGGGCTCCTGGGGGAGAAGGAAGAAAGGGAGGAAGGGATGCCAGTTCCCTGTGTTCAAGACTGGGGTTTTGGGGCAAGAGGGTCAATTGTGGATTGGTCCAGCTCCAGTTCCTTTGCAGGTGATGGAGCCCCAGTGACAACAGTGCCTGTGCCAAATCGTCTGGCTGTGCCCGTGACCTTGGCAAGCCAGCAGGCTGGTACTCGGACCGCCGCACTGGAGCAGCTGCGGGAGCGGCTGGAGTCAGGGGAGCCTGCTGAGAAGAAGGCATCGAGGCTGTCTGAGGAGGAGCAGCGCCTGGTGCAGCAGGCCTTCCAGCGCAACTTTTTCAGCATGGCACGGCAGCTCCCCATGAAGATCAGGATCAACGGCAGGGGTGAGCCAGGCTCAGGGCCGGGCCTTCCCTTCCTGGAAACCCCAAGCCCATTCACGCCTCCTGGGACTGGTGGGGCAGGGGTGGTGAGGCACATACTCCTGACCTGGAAGAGGCCCCTCCAGGTTCTGCCTTCCAGGCCCCTAGAAGAGAGGCACTGAGATCTTAGTTCACCAAGCTGAGGTTGTTTGGTAGAGGGGACCACATGTTGCCTCAGGCAGTGCCCTGTTCTCTAGTAAGAGGGAAAAGCAGTTATTCACAGAGGAGGAGCCAGAGGCCTTCAGAGAGCTGCTGCGTTTCCCCACCAGCCATTACCCCAGCACCTCACTGGATGTAGGCAAGAGCAGGGCACCGTCTGCAGGTCTGGGAGGAAGACACCCCATGTTCCTGAGGCTCAGCGAGGGGCCAAGTTGCCCCGGGCTGGACAGTGGGACTCAGGAATATAGACAGAAGGAGGAAACACAAGTTTGGCAGCATAATTGACATCCTTTCCCTTCCTCTTCACATTGTTCTGGTGCCCCACATTCTCTTCCTCAAGCCACACGCCCCTTTTCCCATTCACACACATTCTTTCCCATTCTGGTCCTGATGCTATCTCAAAGCAAACATGAATGAGATGTGTGGGAAGGAGCCAGGTGTGAAGGGAGCTATACATATTCCCAGGCTGCCCCTCCTACCCCATTGCCCTTGGGGACCAGAAGGAAACTGGGAGGTAACAGCTCATCCAGGGCCAGGTACCCTGCTCCTGCACAAAGCAAAGGGCTGTTAGAAAAGACAGCTCACCGGGAAGAATTCTGAGTCTGGGGTGAGCCAGCCAAAGGCCGTGTGTGCCAGCACTTGCAGGCTTCCACAAACGCCAGCTGCCTGGGTGGTCATGGAGGGGAGGGGCTGAGGGCGTAGACTCCTCTCTCTGAGGGACTCAGAGTCAAAGGAAAGAAAGGGCAGGTGGGTCCTCAAAGTTGGGGCTGGGTCTCATTGATCTCTGATTTCCTGGGCCTGGTGTATAGTGTAGTTCAGGGTTTGCCCGTCACTTGGAAAGTGCCAGTGCAGAGTGGTGGGGCCGGAGCCGGCCTCCTTGCCTACTGTGATTCCTTTTCTCTGGGAGCAGAGGTAGTTGAGGGGATGAACTGGGTCAGTGGAAAAAGCCAGCAACAGGAGATTGGCGAGCCTGGGATCTCCTGCCATACCCTACACTCAGGAGAAGGTTACATAGATGCCTTTTAACAGCGTGAGGCTTTGACCAGGGGTGGCCAGGCAGCATCAGAGAGGACAACAGGAGTGCTGTGGAAGGCTTGACCAGGCCCACTGTCTCCCTGTCCCCAGCAGAAGACAGAGCAGAGGCCTCGGCTGCAGCACTGAACCTGACCACGAGTAGCATTGGGAGCATTAACATGTCTGTGGACATCGATGGCACCACCTATGCAGGTGAGGCCCTGGAGCTCTGGGGGAGGCCCACGTGGCCGCAGCTAGCCACAGGGCAGCTCTGCGGCTGGCCCTGCCTCTTACCCTCTGTCTGAACACCTCCCACAGTGGCTTCCTTTTTCCTGGTCTCAGAGTTGCAAAGGTCAAGTGGTCCTCTGGACTAGTAGACTGTGGATTGTTAACAGGATGATAGGTCCCTCCCACTTTGGCAGAAACCCTTCACCTAACCCTTTTAGACCAGTGGTTGGCTCGTTAATTGAAGAAGTCAGTCAGTGTCCCACAATCCCCAGGTCTTCTCATGCACAGCCTTTCTCTGACTGTAATTCAGCTCTTCTCTTCCTTTTGCAGACTGAGACACAGGCAAAGGAACCCCAGTATAGGAGAATCAGCTTACATTGTTAAGCTCCCTGCCCCCCAGTCTTTTACAGTTATCTTTTCCTAAACCTAATTTGGCAACAGTGTTTTGTTGGTTGGTTGATTTCGCACCTTTACAGAGTCTTTCTAAGGGTTTAACTTAGTATTCATGACTGGGCACGGTGGCTGATGCCTGTAATCCTTGCACTTTGGGAGGCTGAGGCAAGAGGACCACTTGAGCCCAGGAGTTTGAGACCAGCCTGAGCAACATAGCAAAATCCCAAATCTACAAAATACAAAAAAAAATAGCCAGGCATGGTGGTGCACACCTGTGGTCCCAGCTACTTGGGAGGCTGAGGCCAGGAGGATCACTTGAGCCCAGGAGGTCGAGGCTGCAGTAAGCCGTGATTGTACCACTGCATTCCAGCCTGAGTGACAAAGCAAGACCTTGTCTCAATTAAAAAAAAAAAAAACAAAACTTAATATTCATAAAAACAGCAGTCCTTTTCCCATTCCCATTTCATTGGTTTACGGACGAGCTTGGGAACAAGCCCACCTGACTCTTGTTAAGCACAGCATTGCTGGGCGCGGTGGCTCACGCCTGTAATCCCAGCATTTTGGGAGGCCAAGGCGGGTGGATCACGAAGTCAGGATATCGAGACCATCCTGGCTAACACAGTGAAACCCCGTCTCTACTAAAAATACAAAAAGTTAGCCAGGCGTGGGGGCGGGTGCCTGTAGTCCCAGCTACTCGGGAGGCTGAGGCAGGAGAATGGCGTGAACCTGGGAGGCAGAGCTTGCAGTGAGCTGAGATCGCGCCACTGCACTCCAGCCTGGGCGACAGAGTGAGACTCCGTCTCAAAAAAAAAAAGCACAGTATTATGAGTGGGGGCCACCAGGCCTGGCCCAGGGCATCACCCACCTGTTTTACCAAGGGCCCAAGGGCATGCGGAGTGTCAGCCAGCCTGGCAAGGTGTCTCGTGGAGACAGGCGAAAGCCCTACAACTGCACCTTCTATCACAACTGGGAGTGTTTCCTCAGGGCCTACTCCCATTCTAAGGGCCACACTCCCTCAGAGCACCGCCCTGCAGGCCTCCTGGGAGCATGCTCTGGATCTCTGCTGGGCCACTCACTTCAGAGAGAGGACAGAGTGTAGAGGAGCAGTGGTGCCAAGTGGGCTCACCAGTCATGCTATGTCTGCAGACTCTGCTCAGAGGTCTCTACCTGTCACAGGAGGCCCCTGGAGGAGGTGGGGCCTGGTGCCCTTTGCCTCTTCATTGTGCTGTGGTTTGGGAGGGTTGGGGGTTGGAATTAGGTCCATGGAGAAAGCAGGGAAGTAGGAATTCAAGGCCTGGATCTTGATATCCTTTTGTCCTCTGTCAAGGAGAAAGGAGAAGGTAACTCCTTCCCTCTCAGAATGAGGAAGGGTCAGAAGTTGAAGGCTCCTCAAACCCCTGACAAGAAGGGAGCCAGTCACCCACCCCACCTGGCTCTGTCACCCAGGCTGGAGTGCATTGGTGCGGTCATAGCTCACTGCAGCTTCAACCTCCTGGGCTCAAGTGATCCTCCTGCCTCAGCCCCCTGAGTAGCTGGGACTACCCATGCCCAGCTAATTTTAAAAAAAATTTTTATAGAGACAAGGCTCTTGCTGTATTGCCCAGTCTGGTCTCAAACTCCTGGCCTTGAGCTATTCTCCTGCCTCACCCTCCCAAAGTGCTGGGATTATAGTTGTGAGCCACCACACCTGGCCTTGGTGTTCCTCTTTGTGTACCCTGGGTACACCTTGTCTCAGAGCATTTATGACATTTTAGCAAAATTACTCTGTCGACCTATCTGTCCCCCTCCCCAGCCCATCAGCACTTCAAGGCAGGACAGCATTTGGATCTTCTCCCATCACCCCCTAGCACAGTGTCTACAGCGGAGTCAGGCACAGGCTAGGCCAGCGGTGAATACTTACTGAAAGGAGCTGGCCCTCCCCTTCGCTCTTCCTCTGCCCACACTTGCTTCTCTTCCACCCACCAAGGTGTGCTGTTTGCCCAGAAGCCTGTGGTCCACCTCATCACGGGGTCTGCTCCCCAGAGCCTCGGCAGCAGCGCCAGCAGCAGCAGCAGCTCTCACTGTTCACCAAGTCCTACCTCATCCCGGGGCACCCCCAGCGCAGAGCCCTCCACCAGCTGGTCCCTCTGATGGGCAGGACCCAGCTTCCCACTTGCCACTCTCCTGTCGAGAGTGAAGGAAGTTGATGCACAGAATTTACCTCATCTCACAGAGCCCACGTCGACGAGCACCATTTGGCCAGACATTGAGAGTTTGGACGTGTCCGTCTGTCCAGGCTCCATTCAGGTCCTGCTGTACTCTGGGGGCAGGGAGAGGCTAGAGGGGCAGGACAGACAGCGTTGTCCAATCAGGGATTGTCCTGGAGAACTGGGTGGGGGTCTGTGGGTGTCCAGCTTCCTCCAGGGTTCCCCAGCCACCTCCCAGCTCAGGGCACAGTGTATCGACAATCTGTCAGCCGACGCAGGGCTGGAGGCCCTCCATTTCCCTCCCCTTTTAATTTATTTCCCTGACCCTGCCTTCTGCCATGACCCCAGGGCCACTAGTCTCTTCCCCTGTTTTTAAGTCCCATGTGGGGCTGCCAGGAGCCAAGAGCATGCCTTCATGCCCTTCTCTGCAGAGCATGGGATGGGGCCCTTCCAGCCCACTTTGCCTACTGTTAGGTTCCTGGGGTACGGGTCCCTCAAACACAAGTCTTGAATCAGTCCTCAGGGCCCCAGATCCCCCTTCTAATAGTCTGAAGGAAGAGGCTGTGAGGGCAGTTCAGGGCCAGGGCCCACAGGGCATCTGCTGATGGGAAGGCAGAGCCTCGGGGCTGCCCAGCCCTGGCACCTGCTTCACACGGACCATTCTCTGACCGCCCCCGCCAAACCTCATGCTCCCCACTTGCCCTTATTGGCCTGCTTTCCCAAAAACAGCCCACTCATCCTTTCCCCAGCCCTCTTCAGCCCTCCCCAGTCCTCCCCAGCCTTCTTCAGCCTTCTTCAGCTCAGCCCTCTTCTATTTCTTATGGGGCCATCTTGGCCTCACCATCCCCACACGTGCCGATGTCAGGTTCATTGAAATACCTCAGATTTGTAATTGTTGATGTTTGAGTCTTCAGGAAGTATTTGCATCTCTGAAATCTTTTTTATATGTGTTTTGCTGACTTTTGTTTTTTTTTTATTTTAAAATTTTTATCGTAGCACCAAAGAAATGAAAACAGATCACCCCCAAAGCCAAGCAAGTGATTGGGTAACCCGGCCCCTCTGGCCCTTCCCTCAAGCCCAGTGAGGAGGTGGGTGGAGGCATGCAGGGGAGACGACTCAGGGATCGCGGGGGCGGGGAGGTGGAGTGGAGAGGCCCGCTCTCACACCGGGTCGGGCCCTGAAACTGTACCAGTTCTGAAGACCGTTTTCTGCCACACCCCCACCCCCAGCTGACCAGGGAGGCAGAGGACACCTCCCCATCACTCAGCATTCCCAGCTCAGGGCACAGGCAGGCTGGGGTCCTCGCTGGCCTTGCCAGAGGTTGAGCCGCCCCAGGGTATGAGGAGATGAATAACTCCACAGCTCCTCCTGGACCCTGCGCGGGAGCAGGCAGCTCCTGTGCTGTAAAGAAAATTGATTCGCTTGCGGCTCACCTCAGTCGAGGAAGCCCTGGAATGTTCAGCAGAACACCACCACTGTGACATGGGGCTGTGGCAGTGGGAGACACCGCGCGTGGCGTGGGTGTGTGTGGCAGCGTGGCTCGCATTCAGTCCTGTGTAGGAGAGGAAAGGGAATCAAAAGCTTGAGCACAAACAGATACCTCAGCCCGGTAAGCTGCAGCTCTGCTCAACTGCGTCTTCTCTCAGCCCTCCACACACACTCACCCCCACTCCCACACACATACACACACACACACACATACCCCATCTCCCGAGGGCTGACCTCCTCTGGCCTCAGCCTGCAGGGTGTGGGCAGAGAAGGGCATCTGGGACGTGGTGCCAGTGAGGAGCCCAGTTGGCTGGCACTGGGCCCATTTGAAGGTGTCTCAGACATTTGGCCAGTATGTCTTTCTCAGGGGTTTGGTCACAAAGGATGGACTCTTCCCACCCAGAGGATGCAGGGAAAGCACACTGTGTCTTTCCGGTCATTGGATCCTCTCCCTTTCCCCAGGCAGCTCGCCTGGCCACACCGTTGGAGTGAACCCTCACTGCCCTCAAGGACAACAGCAGGGTGTCACCCAGAGCCCGATGAGGGGTGCCAGCAGGTGCCCCCACGAGTGGGGCCTTGGCCCAAGCAGAGCTTCCCCTGAAGGTGCCATCAGCCAGGGCAGCTCTGTCCCCTCCTGCTCTCCATCTTATATGTATTCTAACCAGGAAAAATGTGATAGCACATGGGTAGCCTAGGCAGTGAGTAAATACCTCAGATGTCCTCCTGCAGCAAGTGTCTATATGTTGTGGTTATTTTCTATCTTACATGTTCTCGAATGTTTATATTTCAATAAACCTCTACCTCTTCACACAAGCAGGTCTCTCTCAGTTGCTTTGAGTGGCCTTTCCACTGGACAGTACTGGGGAGAGGTGAGCTCCTTCAGAGTGAAAGGGGACTGAGTGAACTACTCCTGACCCCTTGATTTCTCCTGAACCTTCTCCCCTTCACCCACGCCTTCTTCAAAGGGAAAGCTCACTGAGCTCACTCTCAGCTAACCTTGTGTGTTAGCAGGTTTCTCTGGCGTTACCCCAGAAGCTCCTAGAAAAGCCTGCCCGGCAGCAAGCCACAGGCCCCGCCACGCCATTGGCCAGGATTGAGTCACGTGCCCTCCCCAGAGCCAATGGGAGCGAGGGGGCAGGGTGACCGGGAATGACCTTAGACTGCCCGCCCTGCGCGGAGGGAGATCCACTACAGGCTGCGCCTCTGCCCCTGCGAGGGGCACCCCTGGGTCTCTGGGAAACGGAATGGAGGGTCTTATGGAAGAGAAGGTTTGGAACCACCGCTGGAGGGAAGGGGAGAAGAAAGCAAGCAGGAGTGGCGCGAACAGGAAGGGACTAGGGATAGAAGCCGGGCTTGGACACAGTGAGGCACGAACCCCGACAGACACAGAGACAGACAAGGGGTGCTGATCTCCTCACTGGGCGGGGTGGGCAGGAAAAGGAACAGGAGCTGGAGCTAGAGCGAGGGCTGCGAGCGGCGAGTGGATACCCGGCCTCAGGGAGGAGCTTCCAGGAGGGCAGGGGTCTCCTTTGGAGCAGCACCGGGGACGTTTGCTCGGCAAGGGCTTTTTGTGCGAAGTAACCGAAGCCAGTCAGGCTAATGGCGGCAGAGAGAAGGATTTATTCTTGCACCCAGGGTGTGCGGAGGAGCCCAAGGGCATTTGGACCTGTGTTGACGTCCGGAAGGGCCCGGAACCCAGGAAGCTCTGCCCGCAGAGGGTATTCCTCTCCCTCTGAAGACCACCTCAAAGCTCAACTTTATCACCTCCACGCATGAGACCGCCGGCGGCTGAACTAAAATCTCACCATCCCAATTCCAGTTTCTGGGAATTGTCACCTCCATTCGCTCTCATTAGAAATCCAGCTTTTTTCACGAGGTGAATAACAGGGCAGTTGACAGTTCCCAAGTTTTCTGTGTCCAATCTTCAGCCCTGGAGGGACTCTTCTGCTCCAAGTCCAGCGATCCCGGGAGGGGGCCCACTGGTCCAGTACGGCTCAGTACCCAGCCCTGGATCCACCAGCTGACGCTGGAAGGAGTGGGTCATGAAGAACTCAGCACGAACGCAGCTGGGTACGAATTCCCAGAGATGTCCTGTCCCTCCACGGTACCAAGGACCCCTCCTTTAAGAAACTGCTTCACTGAAGGCGCAGATGGAGGGAGGGATCGGCAACAGAGTTCAGAGGGGTTCCGGGGGCACATGGCTCAGCCGGAGGAAGCAGGCTGAGGAGGGGCGTTCAGAATGGCCAGATGACCTCGAGGGGAATGCCAAGCCTCAGCCCACTTTGCCTGTGGCTCCTGAGGATGTTCATGCTGTCAAGCTCAGAACAGCTGAGAAACTACCTTTCTGGGGCAGATTAGGGGACCAGGGGGCTTAGTTGCTGGTTTGCTGTGTGACCTATGACAAACTCTGGGCAGTTTGTCTGTGAAATGGGGACTCTAGTGTGATCGGAGACACAAGTGAATGAGAACTCACTTTGAAATGTCTAAAGCCCAGTGCCTAAGGCCTTCCTTGGCAAGACAGAGAGTCCCTGGTGGGCACTGTCCGATGGCATTAGGGCAGTAATTGGGCCAACCAAGCCTACAGGCCCGCAGCACCCCCTATGGTGTTGGGCAGTGCCTGCCTAGCTCTACTCTTAGCCACAGGGTCCCCTGGGAAAGTGCCAGGTGGTCTCATCCACCAAGAGCCATATTGGCAACATTGTGCCAACATGGGCATTTCAGGCCTGTGTCAGGGAGGGGACAAGGAGTGGTTTCTGCCAGGGAGGCCTCAGACTGCAGTTGCCTATGACAGGCTCCAGGCTTCAGGCCTCATAGAAACCCTGGCCTTGGGGGCTGAAGGCCAGCCAAACGGGCCTCCCCTCTTCCCAAGTCCTTGCCCAGCCGCGGTTGCCTAAGGCCTTTTTTTTTTTTTTTTTTTTTTTTTTGAGACAGAGTCTCACTCTCACCCAGGCTGAAGTGCAGTGGTGCGATCTCGACTCACTGCAACCTCCACCTCCTGGGTTCAAGCGATTCTCCTGCCTCAGCCTCCTGAGTAGTTGGGATTACAGGCATGTGCCACCACGCCCAGCTAATTTTGAATTTTTTAGTGGAAACAGAGTTTCCCCATGTTAACCAGGCTGTTCTTGAACTCCTGGCCTCAAGTGATCCACCTGCCTCAGCCTCCTAAAGTGCTGGGATTGCAGGTGTGAGCCACCATGCCCAACTCACTGAGGCCTCTCAATTCAGCTTTTCTATGCCAGGACCCTTCAGCTCACTGGGCGGGGGTGCAGGGCCTGACCTCAATCTCTTGTGCTGCAGAGTGAGGCTGTGAATCTGCCTCCTGCTGGCTCTGGGCACAGTCTCTACACTGCCTGGGCACTGCCCCTGGCTTCCAACTTTTCTCAGATGCCCTTCTTTGGGCTCCAGGGCCATGGCTGGGATCTGGGGGCAGATGAGACAGAGGCTGATACCATGGGGGTCAGAGAGGCAGGGCAGGGGGTAGCTTCCGCTCTGTCCAGGGATGGGGAGGCCAGCTCAGGAATCCATTTAGAACCAGTAAAAGCCTGAGCTGGAAGGGCCTTTCTAGCCTTCTGTTTCCCCTCTACAACCTGCAGATGGGAAGGCCACGGGACAGAAAGGAACTGGGCAGAGGTCACTCCCCACCCCATCTAGAGGGTCCACATATGCTACCTTCAGGGGCTGCAAGGTGGAGGTGGCTGGAGGCTCCTGTCCTGGTGCTGGAGCCCTTGGTGCTCAGACCTGCAGCAGCTCCCACTCCCTGAGGACACAATTCTCAGCCTGACCATCAGAACTCTTAGGGTCTCCTAGACCCCATCGGCGGCTCTGACCCTCTTTTATGAAAGCACCCAAAGAGCACCTGAGGCAAAGGACAGCATCCCCCACCCTATTGAGCTCCTCATTGCAGGAGCTCAAAGATGATGACCTCAGTCAGAATGAAATGGTATTTAAGCACAAGCCAGTAGCTGTTGCCATCCTGGGGAATGTGCTGTATTGTCTGTCACTGGCAGCATTGCATTACATCAAACTATTGCCTGAATATCACAAGAAGTGCAAACAAAGCCTTATGGATTGAACATTGCATAAAATAGGCCTTGTGTGTGGCGCAGTGGCTCACGCCTGTAATCCCAGCACTTTGGGAGGCCCAGGTGGGTGGACCACCTGAGGTCAGGAGTTCAAGACCAGCCTGGCCAACAAGGAGAAACCCCATCTCTATTAAAAATACAAAATTAGCCAGGTATGGTGGCGCATGCCTGTAATCCCAGCTACTTGGGAGGCTGAGGCAGGAGAGTCGCTTGAACCCAGGAGGCAGAGGTTGTGGTGAGCCGAGATCACGCCATTGCACTCCAGCCTGGGCAACAAGAGCAAAACTCCATCTCAAAAAAAAAAAAAAAAAAGGCTTTGGGACTAAAGCCCGTATGCAGCCGCCCCTGGGCACATATACGTGGTTTTATGACTTTGGTACTGACTCAGCCTAACTGGACCCCAGATACAGGAGAAACTGAGAAGGACGGAGAACATAAGCACTGTCCCCGGTGCACTGTGTCCCATGTCATCCTCACATCAATCCTGTGTCATAGGTACTGTCCGTGTTTCCATTTTACAGAGGATAGTGAGGCTTAGTGAAGGCAGGACTTGCTCATGCTCGCCAAGCTGGGGAGTGGTGGAGAGTGAAGTGTAAGACTTCTCGGTTCTACTGCCATTCTCCTTCCATCCATTGCTCCAGGCCCAGGGGCCCAGATGGTCTGATTCCCTGTGCCCCACAGCCCACCCTCCTGCTGCTGCTTTCCCTGGCTTCCCCTCTTCAGAGAGAAGAAGGCAGACCAGGAGATAGGTCAGGCCTCAGGCCGCTGCTCAGCCCCACCCATCCTAACCCCTGAGGGGATGAGAGGGCAGCCTCCACAACGTGTCCCTAAATGCCCCTGCCCCCCTGCCCCCTGCCCCAGGTTCTCAGAGAAGAGGAAGAGCTGTGGGGGCTGAGGAGCATCTCTGGGAGGGAGGGTGGGGTTTCTCCCCAAAGAGCCCCTCAGATGCAGGCACCCCTCACCCCGCAGTCACTGCTTCTCTACCAGCTCCTTTTCAGCTGCTGCTGCAGCCTCAGTTTCTCAGGGAGGCTCTCCACCAGCTTAGAGGTGGGCGGGGGGAAGCAGTGAACACGTTCCAGGCTGAGCCCTCCCAGTGGGCAGCAAGGGCTTGGGAGGAACTTGAGTGACGGAGTGTGGGGAAGGAAAGGTCAAGGCCTGCATGGGCACCATGCGGCAGGCAGCAGGGATCGGGCATGGGGGAGCCTGTGGGAGCCATGCAGGCCAGTCGGAAGCACAGTGCAGGGGGGCAGCTGCTGAGCACCTGGTCCTGGGCAGCCTCCAGGGCCCACTGCTCAGCTCTCAGCTCTGAGTCTCAAGCTTCCAGCACATTGCAGACCTTCTCGAGCTCAGTCTGCATCTCAGCCAGCTCTGAACCCACCTCCTGCAAAGAAGTCTGTGATGGAGGAGGGTGGGGCTGGCGCGTATCTTGATCTGCAGGCTCCCCAAGAACTTCGCTCCCCCTTGGATTCAGAGCTCCAGCCTCACAGGGGCCTTCCTAGGGACTGTTCTTCGCCCCAAAGAGGCCACCATGGCGGCATCAGGTGCAGTGCTGACGGAACAGCACCAGGGGAGGGGGCAAGAGGGCTCACCTTCCCCTCCAAGCTGTGCAGGTGACTGAAGTCCAGAACACTTGCCCTGAACCCCTGATCCTTCACTCCCTCTTTTACCCTGAGTCCCGCAGCGCTCCCCATACGGGTAGTACTGCCTAGCCCAGGAGCCCCTGAGGGCAGGCCTCACATCGCCCTCCATCTCCACATCCTTTCCAGGGTCCCTGCACAGTTTGCCTGCACAGGGCTGGGCCCGCAAAGCCTCGCTCCCCAACGCACTTGTTTCATCACTTCAATTGGTGAGTCCACCCTGCCAAGGAGTGAGGCCTAGTCCCCTCTCAGGGCCACGCTGAGGTTGTACGAGGACAGGGCAGCCGGGGTTACGGGCCTGGGATGAGTCTAGGCTGAGTCCTTGGTGCTCAATGGAGAACCCCCATCCCAATTCATTGGTTCCAACAAGCCAGGCTTCCTACTCCAACCCCTGCCCCCCGGCCCAGGCCCTGCCTTCACTTCACATGGTCCCTGTCTCAGCTCCTCCAGCTCCTGGAAACAAGGGCCCAGTGTGGTCCCAGAGGGCCCAGTCCACATGGCAATGGGAGACCAGAGCCAAGTTCTCTGCCTGGGAGGTCCCACCTCCATCCAGCCTGATCTCAGGGAGGGCAACCAGGGCTGCCCCACACCAGCTCTCACCCCTGGATGGGGCTGTCCCAGCTCCACCCCAGTCTGCCCTTGAGCTCACCCATTGGCCTCTGGTGGAGTCCACACTGCAGACTCCAGCTCCTTGGCAGACCTGGGCTCCCACAGCTCCTGGGGGATGGGAGGCAGAAACGCTGCTGGGGTGTGGCAGGGACAGCAGGACCCTGTCCCCTTGCCCCCACCCCGTTCTGTGTTCTGTGCATCATTAGCTCCACCAAGGCCACTGGGTAACTCAAATGTGGCACAGGCCCAGTTCTATACAGCTGGGGAGACCGACGCAGGGACAGTGACCCAGTGAGTAAACTGAACAGGGTCATAGGATCACTGAGTGTCAGAGCTCCCCAGAGTCCCCCCAGCACCACACCCAATGTACAGATGGAACCTGAGCCCCAGAGTAGTGAGGGGCTTGGCCAAGGCCACTGGCCAGTTTGTGGCAGAGCTGGGACTGCCACAGTCCCATCAGTGTTTGTGGAACCCGTCGCTTTACTGGCCAGTGAGGATTCCCAGCGGCCCCACCCACAGGCTGTGGGGCTGGAGGTGTGTGGGTGGGTCTTGGCTGGTGCCCACTCAGGTAAATGCCTGTGTAGTACCCAGGAGAAGCCACAGTGGGCTGGGTGGGGCAGGGGTGAGGTGGGACCCACCTTTCATTTGCAGACTCCGGGGGCTGGCCTGGGGTCTCTGCTGCGGTCTGCCCTGTGGGCAGAGGGGAGGTGGCAAGGACTCAGGAGCACTTGGGCTGCTCCAGGGTGGCTGCCCTCCCTTCAGGCTGGCAGGATTGTCCAGATTCTTATGTCCCTGTCCTTGGGTGGGCAGGCTCAGGCCACCTTGACCTGGGGGCACCCGACCCTCACCCCTAGCAGCTGGTGCTGAGGGTTCTGGTGCCAGTGGTGGCCAAAGTCCTGCTTCTGTCCACAGGCACCCAGCTCAAGCTGGAGGGCAAGGCCCTTTCTGTTCACGGACAGATGGGCCATAGTAGCCCTGGAGGCCCCACACCCCTGGGCCTGAGCTCCCCGGTACTCAGGGCCAGGGTGGGGAGCTTGGGACCCATTAAACAATCAGGAAGCTGAGGCCCCATGAGAAGAGCTGTGGCTGTGGCACAGCCCGGGCCTCCACTTTATTGCACAAGGCCCCTGACTTCAGGCTTGGGGAGGGCTCTAGGGTACTTAGGAGGGGTTCTTTGGGGGCCCTGACTGTAGGTGGGGCCACCTCACACCACCCCAGGCAGCCCAGCTCCTGCCCACCTTTTGCCTCTGGATCCCAGCAGCCATCTGGTCATTCTCCCTCTCCAGAGCCTGCATCCTGCTCCTGTGGCTGACTGGGGAGGGGCCAGCTGCATCCCCATCTAGGGGCCCTGCTCCCCCATCCTCTCATGCCTGCAGAAACCTTCACCCTGGCTCTTGGGTTTGGGCAGGTCCAGCCTGCAGAGGGGAGCGGATCTCCTCCTGGGCCCTGGCCTGCCCTCCCTGGCTGGCATGTGGACTAGGGGCCTGGGGGCTCACTGGATGGTGCCCGCCCAGACTCACGGCAGCTCCTCCTGCGTGCACTCTGGCCTGTGCAGCTGTGTAAGGGTCCTGCGGTTACATGATGGGAAAAGCAAGAGGGAGCATCTGGGGCCCTGAAGTCCCAAGTCACACCCAAACCAAACCACCCAGCCAGGAAGATAGCAGGAAGCAAATTGGAGGCGTTCTGGGTTGAACTGTATCCCCAGCAACAACAACAAAAAGATATATTGACATCCCCAGTACCTCCTAATGAGACAGAATCATTACAGAGGTAATCAGACTAAAATGAAGTCAATAGGCTGGGCTTTCATCCAAGGTGACTATACAAAGGGGAAATGTGGACACGGGCACACACAGAGGGAGACACCACGCGGACATCCTGGAGGAATGTCAAAGCCTGCTGGCAAAGCACCAGAAGCTGGGGACAAGGCCTAGAACAGACCCTCCCTCACAGGCCTCAGGAGGAACCAACCCTGCCGACACCCTGACCTGAACTTCAGCCTTCAGAACCAAGAGACAATGAATGCCTGCCATTGAAGCTACCGTCTTCAGCACTTTGTTATCACAGCCCTAGCAAACTCACAGAGGGTAAGTGGGATCCAGCCCCATGTGGCAGCTCTCTGGCCCCAAAAGGACCCTGACTTCGAGGAGAACTTTCTCCTCAAAGTGACCACACCTGCAGCAGCAGGAACTGTGCAATCATAGTGGCTAATGCTTCATGACTGAATGCCATGTGTTTTCACGTGCTTGTCAAATGTCATCCTCTTAGGCACTCATTCAGGGAGGATAACTGTTATTTTCACTTTTACAGATAAGGCCCAGAGAGGCAGAGGAACTGCCCAAGGTCACACAGCTAGTATATTGTGGAGCCAAGATTTAAACCCACAATCTTAGCCACTAATCTGGGGACAGTGCAGACTACTGAATCCTTGGATGGAAGACAGACTGAGGTAGACACCCAGAGAGGGTTGGGTGGAGGAGCTTGAGGCTGGGGATGGGACTGGAGGTGGAGCATGCCAGAGGCCCTGGGAGCGCTGGGTGCTGAGCCCGTGAACCCCCTGGCCAGCCGGACGTTGATGCAATATGGCTTTGTCCAGACCCTATCCAGCTGCTGCCCCATCTCCAAGAGCCTCGCCCTGCTGGAAGTGCACTGCTAGTCTGGTTCATCAGCCACTCTGCACAGGACCCCTGCCCAGGACCCAGGGTCTGCATTTTAGGCCATCCTTGCTGGATAGGCCCAGAGCCCAGGGTCCCCACCTGCCTGTAGAAGGTGAGTCCTGGGTTGGCCTTCTAGGGGTCCAGGGAGGGAGTAAAAATGGCCTGGACAGTCTCTGAGGGGCTGGAAGGCCCTGCATGTGGGGCCCAAAGTGGCACTGGCTTATGCATCACGTGCAGGTTAAGTGCATCCGGCTCACCTAGCACCTCTTCCTGCTAGGAGACAAATCTGCCGAGGGCCCAGCCCTCTGTCACTCCACTACCTTCTCACTGACATTGCCCACTGCAAGTCCTCAGACTTGACCAAAGAATATAGCCCATCCAGGCGCTGAGGATATATCTTCTGACCCTCAAGGGTCTGGTTTGAGAAATAGACAAAAACAAACAAACAAAAAAAAAAAACAACAAAACAAAAAACTGAGATTTTCCTCTGTACAAATATATAGTGGCAGACTACACTGCAGACTTAAGGAACAGCCCCCTATGAGCACAGTTGTGTACCCATTTGAGATACACTGATTTAGACCAACTCAACCTTTATGAGGCCCAAAGCCAGCTAAGCTTTCTCTCCTTTTCCTTCCATCGAGATCAGCAGATCAGCTTCAGTCAGGTGCCTTGTGGCAGAGCGTGGATCCCACATGGGGTCCTTAGAATACTACTTCCCTATGGCTCCCAGGCACCTCGTTGGTGTCTGTATCTCTCTCTGTGTCTGTGTGTGTGCATATCTGGGGGTGTCTGCAGATGTCTGATGTGTATCCTGGGGGTGTGTGTGTGCATGCATGTCTGTGTGTCTGTCTGTCCATGCACACATACACTTGCCCAGGAGACTAAGGGATGCTGACCAGGAGAAGGCAGCCACCAAGCTGGAGGTGAAGTCAGGTGGACAGGAGCTGGGACATCTAAACCCTAGATCTGGCCCCTGTCCCATGTCCATAGTAACCCCCTCACCCACTCTCCTTCTCAAGTGGATCAGGGGCTATTTACAACACTCCTCCCCTGTCTCTCTGGGTATATGTATGTGCAGTTTCCTCTTGCTGAAATGCCCTTCATTTCCTCTCTCCTCCTGGAAAATGCCTGTCTATCCTTGTGTGAGGGTTCAGAGGCTCAGAAACCCCTTCTCTGGGAGGGACTCTCCTATCTGCCACCCCTTAACCAGCTCCCACTGTGCCTCTTCCCTCATCTGGCACATTAAATTATTACTTGCAAAATAGGCACAGTGGTTCATGCCTGTAGTCTCAGAACTTTGGGAGGCCAAGGTGGGAGAACTGCTTGAGGGTCAGAAGTTCAAGACCACCCTGGGCAATGTAGTGAGACCCCCATCTCTACAAAAAAAAAAAAAAAAAAAAAAACTTAGCCAGGCATGGTGATGCGTGCCTGCAGTCCCAGCTACCTGAGGCAGGAGGATCGCTTGAGTCCAGGAGTTTGAAGCTGCAGTGAGTTATGATTGCACCACTGCACCTCAGTCTGGGTGACAGAGACCCTGATGCAATCAATCAATCGATTATAAATCAATCAATAATAAATAAATAATTGCTTACTCAATTACCGGGTGCCCCCAAACCATAAGCTGTTGAGGACAAGGAGTGATCTGATTTGACATTGCTTCTGCACACAGAAGAGGGCCAGGCATGTAGCAGATGCTCAATAAATGCATGCTGAAAACATGGATGGAGAATGATGGGGCATGATGAGGAAGAGGCAGAAAATGGGAAGGAAGTATAGGATCAAGATGGGGGCATCCTAAGGAGGGGTAAGAGACTAATTGGTTTGTATGGGAAAGACTGGGCAGTGGGGAAGACAATGGGGAGAACGGGGTTGAGGGGGTGGAGAAGAAGGTGGGAGACAGTGCCCACCTGGGGAGGCCAGGTCCCACTCTGCCTCTGGAGTCTCTGCAGTTCCTCCTCTTTAAATTTCAGGGCAACTGCCAGCCGGTGCCAGCGTGCCTTCCAATATTCAGCCATCTCCTCATGAAGCCTGGGATGTGATTCTTGTGCCTCTAGCTCTTTCCTGAGGGGCACTGGTACCTCCAGGACCTGGAGTGTACTGGAAGAAATGGTGCAGTCCAGGTACAGCATGGACCCCAGATCACCCCCACCCCACTCCCTTTCAGTGATTATTGTCTTATGAACTAGGAGGGGGAGTGGGGCAGAGATGCCTCTTTCATGGCTCCCTGCACACACAGAACCCCTTTGTACTGGGCACTTCTACTCCCAAGGACCCTGACTTGCACCCAGCAGCTAAGGTCATCTCACCCCCACCTCCCACCTGCCCCTGGGCCAGCAGGAGGGGCTTGGCCATATGTAGGCGAGACAGGACTTCTTGAAGCTGAAAGATTTCCCACCCCATAAAAGAGCCAGAATGTGACAACCAGGAGCGCTGATACCTGGGGAAGGGAGACTGGCTCTGGTCGTGTGATTCCGGGTTTAGGGCTCTGGGCCATTCCCCCTCAGCCAGCTGGTGACAGAGACTGGCCCACCGCCTGCTGAGAGGGCCATCTCACCTACAGTGAGAACAGAGCCCCCACCCCAGCCTGGCTTGGACACTCTGAGGATGGGCCCAAGCAGCCACCTACCAGGACTCTTGGCCCGGGGCCACACCCAGTGCTGCTAGCAGCCCCACCTTCTCCTGAAGTAGCCAGGTGTGCTCTGCCTCCAGGGCCTGCAATGGCCCCCCAACACCATCTGCTCTCCCTGCAGATGCTGCAGCTGCTCCAAGCAGGCCCCTAGTTGCTGGTGGCTCTGGCCCAGCTCTTCTGAGTCTCTTGTTCACCTGGGGAGATCCCCACCCCACCGAGTTGTGGCTCAGCCTCCACCAGGGTTGTGGAGCTCCAGCCTTTACCCATGCAGCCCCTCCTCAGAGGCCCCGAACTCCACTTCCTCTGGGTCTCAGCCCTTCCAGGAGGCCTCTCTGACCACCCCAGCCCGCAGAGGCTTCTCTACACTCCAGGCTACGACTCTGGACCAGTGCCTGGCTGCACACTAGCAGGGGGGCCAGTTATGTGAAGATGAGGATGGTGCTCTCTGGAGTGTCACTGTGTGGACGCCCTGCTAGAATCTCTCTCTCCTGGTCATTCTCCTTTCCTCTGTGCCCCTAGAGCCCCTTGCCCTACATTGGAATCCCCCAGGAATGGGGCCCAGGCTCCCTTGCCTCTGCCCCCTGGTACAGATGGGCATGGCCTGGATCAGCTAATGCCCAGATTCCCTTTCCTGTGGGGCTGCCCCTGCCAGCTGTCTTGACCAACCTCAGTGAGTATCAGCAACTGCTCCTGCAGACGGACTGTGTCCTGAGCCTGGGCAGGGGTCTCAGCTGCTGGCATGGAGACTCTGGGTCCCGAAGCTCCTGGGCCCTGCCTCCATCCCAGCTCTGCTCTTGGATCTGCAGGCCTGGCACCAGCATCTCCTGTAGATACACTTGGTCCAGAATCCTGGGGTCTCCTTCCAGCTTCCAGACCACACTGGGGTGGTCTTGGCAGACCGTTGATGCCTCAGGGCATGTTGTGGCAGGGTCCTGGCCCCAACTCAAGTTATGACTCTGAACAAGCTCTCCTCTGCTCTCTGGTCTCAGTTTTCCCATCTGAACCAGGAGGGAAGTCACTGAATGATCCCAGGGTATTCCCAAATGTTGGAAGAGGATCCCTCTCTTGGCTGGACTAAGCCCCTGCGCTGCCTTCCTTCTCTAGATAATGCTTCAATAATGAGGACCAGAGAATAAAGTGTGGGGCAGAGTCAAAGGTACAGCAGGGCCAGTGCGCAGGGCCTGCCATGCACCCACTTGGGGGATCCCCAGGCTGGGCTCTGGGCCAACAGGCTGTTGGGTCATTTGGTCCAAATGCCGCTAGGCCTTTTCCACTTCTGTCTGCAGCAGCAGGATCCTGTGGGTAGAAGGGATGGTCTGCCTGTTCCCTGCCACCCCACCCCTCCCCCACAGCCCAGCCCCACTCACTTGTCTTCTATGTTCTGGTCTGGCCTCCTCCACTCAGCCTGTCCCTGGGATCCCTGCATCTGGTGCCTCTCCTGCTCCAGGCAGGCCAGGGAGCACTCCACCTGCTAGGAGGAGGCTGAGTGGGAGGGCTGAAGGCAGCACAGAGCCTCAGATAGGTAGGGCTAGCTTCCCTGCCTCCCACCAGGCAGGGCAGTGTCTGCAGCCTTTGATAACGCAGGCGGACTGGCAGCCAGCAGCCCAGCTGACAGCCCAACATGGACCCATGCCCTGGCTTATATACAAGGGACTGTGCCCTGGGGCCCTGAGGGGCTGCTTTTGGCTGTTATCTATCACGACAGGCTCCAGCTGTGCATCTCTACCTCCAGCTGGGCCCGAGATACACCGCCTCTCCAGCTGCTCTCCAGCTGCTGACAGCTTCAGGGTGGAGGCCAGCAGGACTGCTGTGGCATGCTAAAGGGCAGGCAGACATGAGGTTGTCAACTGGGTCCCAAGGGTCCCCCAGGCCTGGTAGGGAGCAGTGGCTCCAGGTGGGCCAGCTGTGAGCTAAGACACAGAGTCACTGAAGGCTTGCGTAACTGGGCCATCACACGGTGTCCCTTTCCTACCCTCACATGAGGCAGAGATCCTGGTAACCTTCCCAAGAACCCTCAGCTTGCACAGCCATCTCCCCCTCTCTGGGGCTCGCCTGTTTCACTCGGGGAGATTGGGCTTCTAAGGAAGCTCTTCAGTCTATGGAGCTAAAACCAGCCCCTCCCTCCCTCAGATTCTCCCTGGGGGGCCACAGGGACCCTGGCCCTTCCTTCACCTCCAGCAGTGTCCCTAGCCACCCCCAGCATATGCCTCTCAGGCAACACCCTGCACCCTTCCAGGGGCACCATTCAGAGACATCTCTGTTCAACACCGCAGCCTTGCTGGGGACTCCATTTCCCTTTCTCCTCTGGGTGCCCCAGACCCCGGAAAGCCTCCCTGAGAATATGGCACCAGATGTGGACACCAGCTCTGGGCATTCTGGAGCTTCAGCCTGCTAAGGGGATCTTGCTAGCTCAGGGGACCTCCTTTCAGCTACAGAAAGCCCAGGAAGAAGGAATGGGGGAGGACAGGGCCTCACTTTCTGCTTTAGGGACCAGCCAAGTCCCAGCTTGTGCTCCCGCCTCTGCAGCACCAGGGCTTGCTCCGACAGGGCCTCCGGCACTGCCCGAAGACGGCTTGCCAGCTCGGCCCTCTGCTGCCTGCTTTCTGCCAGCTGCTCCCACAGGTCCTTCTCTGCCCGCCTCCAGTCCCGCTCGGGGGCCCTGTTGGAGCACATGCCAGGGAAAGAGGAGCCAGACTTCAGCCCAGGCCCCAGGGGGCTGCCATGCCCAACTTTCCTATGCTCACCTGCACCCTTCAGTGGGGCTTGGTGGGCAGACACGGTCCAATGCCCCGAGGAAATAGGAGTTCCAGAGACAGCGGGCAGGGCTGGGCATCAAGTCCATGGGCTCTGCCTCAGTGGGACCTGAGAACAGGACAGATCCTGGAGCTGGGGTAGTCTTGGCTTCCCAAAGCACCAGGCTCTGAGGCCTCTTCTCAGACTCAGAATTGAGGCCCTTTGGCTGAGCACGCACTAAAACCCTTCAACCCTGATCCTCTGGCCCGAAAGTCTCCTGGTGATTGGAACTTCACTAAACACCAGCCTCAACTCCACTAAACAGTTCTCAGTTCCCAGTGGTTTCCATGAGCTGTGGGTGCTGCCAGGGGTGGCCACTTGCTGAACACAAACCCCATTATCCTCACAGCAGCTGGTCTGGGGAGGCGCAGCAGGCACTCCTGAGGGGAAATTGGTGCCCAAGTCCGGCAGGGAGTCCCGTGAGGAGCTGCAATCCCCACCCAACACTGTCTGCACCAGAGCCACGTTCCCCCTTCCAGTGTGGAAGTCTGGAAATGGCAGGGGAGCATTTGGGGGCCACCACAGTTTAGCTATGATGTGGGGGTCAGAGCCCTTAAGTCAAGTCACTGCTCAGGTACCTCTCTGGCTTCCATAGCTTCAGCTGTAATATGGAGGCCCTGACGGACCTCTCACCCACCAGCTTGGTGAGGAAGGTCAGAGGGTAGACAGGGGCTATTCTGCCAGTGTTGCCATCCCTACACCCCTCACCATCACCCTCCTCACCTCTAGGGTCTGGGCCCAAGTCCACTGCCTCCCAACTCCCAACCCTGGGCACGAGGCACCCTGCCCTGGCTCTGAAAGGGCACAGGAGTTGTCTTCACCTAAGCAGTGGTTACACCTAGCACCTCTACCACCCCCACCCTGACCTCCCCACTCCTCACATTCCCAGGCCTTCTCCACTCAGGATGGCACCATCGCCCACCAGGCCTTCTCCCCACTGGACAGCTTGACTCTCCTCTCCCCTTACTCCAGGCCCAGGCTCCTGCAGCCCCCTCCAAAATTGTCTCCCCTCCAAAATGTCACTGCCACACAAGGCTTCTCTAAGACAGACCATGAGGACTGGCCGCTGCCCCCACCTCCCATACTGGGTACAGCTCCCACAATGCCACTCTACCTGGGTGCTCTGTCTTGCCAGTTAGAAGTGACAGGCTTTCCATGGCAGCCCCCTGCCCTTAGTGAGAAGCTGAGCTGTGCCCAGCTTGGTCCGGGAGGGGCTCATGGTCCACAGAATGGAGTGCACATGCAGGCCAGATTGTCCTGAGCAGGGGGGCAGGCCAGGGCAGCCCCAGGAAGGCTTTCCAGGGAGGTGACCCTGGGGCCAAGGCTCAGAGGTGAATTAACTGCCTCCAGAGAAGGCAAAGTCAGATGAGGCAGACAGAGGAGACAGTAAGGACAATAGAACAAGGAGGGCATCAGAGCAGCTGGGCCTGGCGGGCAGTGAACTGAGCCCTAAGCTTGGTGGAAGTGGAGGTGGGGGGCAAAAGGGAGACCAAAAGGGGTGAGAGGAGCTGTGGGGTTTGGGAGGATGCAGGGCAGCGGCACCTCCCCAGTGCCCTTGAGATATGCTACAGACCTCAACTCCACAGAGGCTGAGGACCCAGACAGGAGCTTGGGCCTGAGGGGCAGTGGAGGTGGAGCAAGCCTCCTCTGAGGTGGGGATGGGAGTGGAGGAGTTACCCAAACCTCACCTGGGGGCAGATCTTTCTCCAAGTTTCTGAAAGGTGTGAAAGTCACAAAAGAATGAAGCTCTAAGGGTAGAATCTCAGGCAGGATGGCCTCCAGGCTGCAAAGTGTGGAGAGGGAGACAGCTGGGAGATGGCTTCTGTTCCACCTCAGAAAAAGAGAGTTGCTTCGTGGCTGGGAGGTAGGGACTCCTGGATTCTCAGTGGTGGGCAGTTTTGTGGGAAGGTGACTAACTTACCCCATCAGAGCCTATAGCTCAGGGCAGGGCTGGGGACAGAAGCTTCTCTGAGAACATCCATCCCGGGGACAGAAGCTTCTCTGAGAACATCCATCCCTCAGGGCTAGTATCCTGGAGCCATGGAAACTCAGGCAACACTAAGTGGTGGGAGGAGGAGACACCAGAGAGGCCTCCTACTCCACCTCATCTGAGCTGATGAAACCCCGAGATGGAACCTGGCTAGTGTGGTCGAGGCCATGGGTACCAGGCAGGAATGGCATCTCAGATGGCCTGGGATTTTTCAAAATCTTCAGCTTTTGAGATAGGACCTTAGGGGGCAGGACCTCAGCAGCCAATCTGGGTCACCCACTGTACACTGAAGCGGCTCCTAACTTTCTTTTTTGAGACGGAGTTTTGCTCTCTTGCGCAGGCTGCAGTGAAGTGGCGCGATCTCGGCTCACTGCAATCTCTGCCTCCCGGGTTTAAGTGATTCTCCCACCTCAGCCTCCCGAGCATCTGGGACTACAGGCGCGTGCCACCACGTCTAGCTAATTTTTGTATTTTTAGTAGAGACGGGGTTTCGCCATGTTGGCCAGACTGGTCTCGAATTCCTGACCTCAGGTGATCATCCACCTCAGCCTCCCAAAGTACTGGGATTAGAGGGGTGAACCACCGCGCTTGGCCGATTTTTTGTTTATTTTTTGAGACAGGGTCTCCTTCTGTCGACCAGGCTGGAGTGCAGTGGTGTGATCATAGCTCACTGCAATCTCAACCTCCTGGGATCAAGCGATCCTCCTGCCTCAGTCCCCTGCAAGGAGCTGGAACTACAGGCATGCGCCACCCAGTCCGGCTAATTTTTGTAATTTTTTGGAAGGGGACCCAGTTTTGAATTAGCTTCTGTTGTTTACTTCGGATAGCCATGGTGGAGCTGGCAGAGATTTAGGGGATACTAAACACCCCTACAAATCACGCCTTGAAACCCCCCGTTTCAGGGAGAGCCGCTGGCGAAGGACTTGATGCGCAGCCGCAGCTCGGAAGCGGGGGGCTCCCCTGCGACACCTCCCCGCTTCAGGGGCGGGCCCAGACCCGCGGGGAGGGGCATGGGCGGGGCCGCGGCTGGCTGGCGGCCGCCGGGGCGGTGCTGGGGAAACCCTTGGCGCCCCCGCGGAGCGGTCCCAAGGAGGGGGCGGTGCCTGGAGGGATGGTCCGCCCCGACTGCGGGTTTCTAGCCCTCGCGTGGCGTGGGGACAATTAGGCGCCACGCCCTGTCGCTTCACTGCGCGACGCTCGCGAGGCCGGGGACGCCACTCCCAGACCGGGCGGGACGCGCACGCTCACAGTGAGGTCTCAAAAGATCCCCACCTCAGTTTTCTCATCTGGAAAGTGGGGCCTCGTAATCCTGTCCGACCCGGCGCGGGACAGTAGGTGTCAGGGATTTTGGTGACCCCACGCTCGAGGCCTCTGCAAAAGGGGGCTGTCCAGTGGCCCAGAGACGCAGCCGGCGGGGCTTTTGTCTAGCGGGGGAGTCTTAACTGAGAGGCCACGCAGGCCGGCAGGAAGCCGCTCCACAGGAGGGGGCTCAAGGAGAGGGGATCTCCTCCCTCCAGACTCCGGCCCCGCCAGAGTAGCTCTAGGGTATCTTCCCAGAAACTGCCCCGCACGCACTGGCGAGCTGGGAGCGCCACCACGGCTTTCAAAAAACCCGCACACACCAAGATAATAATGTGTCGTTCGCTCGTTTCGCGCAAGCGGAGTCGCGTCCGCCTTCCCGAGCTCCGGCACACAGACCTCAGGCCGCTCTCGCGCTCTCCGGGGCCCCGAGAACAATGCCCGTCCTCTCCGCGCGCAGGAGGGAGTTGGCGGACCACGCGGGGTCGGGGCGACGGAGCGGGCCCAGCCCCACGGCCAGGTCGGGGCCCCACCTCTCGGCTCTGAGAGCCCAGCCGGCCCGGGCCGCGCACCTGTCAGGTCGGGGGACCTACGTGCGCCGCGACACGGCGGGAGGCGGGCCGGGCCAGGCTCGTCCCCTCGGCCCTCCCGGAACTAGTCTCCTAGGCCGCGGCGCCCGCCGGAGCGGAGAGGGCTGGTGCCCCGGAGCCTTCGAGTCGGGGGCTAGAGCGGCCAGGCCTCCGAGCCGGGTCGAGCCGAGGCTGGCGACGGCTGCGTCACGCGAGGGGGCGGGGCTGCCACGGGCGGAGGTCGCAGCCGGAAGCGGAAGAGGCGCTCGGAGCGGGGAGTGGGGCCTAGCTGCAGCCGGAGCCTGGGAGACGGTAAGTGTGGGCTGGGGTCCGCGGCGGCGACAGCGGCGGCGGCGGCCGGGGGTGAGTCGGCGGGGCAGGCGCGCTGGTGCCATTCGGTCTCGGCCTACTCCCTTTCTTTCTCCTCTTCGGCCCATATCGGGCCGCGACCTCTCACCCCTGACCCGCTGCTTCTGCCCCGGAGGGCGGTCACTGCAGACCCTGACCTCGACCCCACGGTGTTGAAGGCGGAGCCTGAACGGCCTCTGGGGCCGCTCAAGGGTCCAGTTTGGGCTCTGTGCCTGCCCGCGGAATGGGGTCGGGGTCCGACGTAGAAGAGCCAGAGAAGCCCTTCAGACCCCTCCCCTACCCCTGGCTTCAGGCTTAGTCCGCAGATGACTCCTCCCTTGGCGGCCTGGAGTTTGATTCTGGCCCAGTCCGGCTTTCCCTCTGTCCCCGGGTCTCCCCTCGGCGCCACTGGTGGCGGTTACAGGGGATGGGACTCTGAGACCCCCTGGGACCTGGGGCGGCAGGAAGGGACGCGAACGAGGGCGCAGGCTCCCCTGTGTGTTTTGTTGTGGTGGTAGAGCCACTCCAGCCCGGAGGATGGGCTAGGCCAAGCTGACAGTTCAAATCCCCTGGCTGCTCCTCCGTCCCGCCCGGGAGTCTCTAGCTTTAGTTCCGGGTGTGGGTGCCCTGATGTGGAGCTGGGGTGGAAATTGCCTGAACCAGGCCCCCATCAGAGGCGGAGTTGGCGGCCTTCCAGCTTCCCTTCTTGATGCCCTTGAAAAGGAGGAGCGTTTCACCGTTGGTGGTGGAGGCTTGCGAGGTGGCAGGTTTGAGGTTGCAGTGGTAGGGCAGTCCAGCCAAAAATAACCATGGGTGCTGGGGTGGCTGGAATCCGGGAGGGCAGCCGCTGACCTGGCTGGCTGCACTTCTAGTCAGCCCAGTTCTCTGGCCAGGAACAGCAAATGAGAAGCCGACAAGGCCTGTGCTCAAAGTTGACATCCTTGGCTTGGTTTTCTTCATATCACCTTTTTCCTCATTGTGCAGAGCAGAGCTTCCCAAAGCATAATTGTGGCCTTTAGCTGCTTTTTAAACAAGCTGTTTGCTGAGGTTTTCGAGAATCAGAGATAATTGAGAAATGGGCCCTAGAGCCCTGGCTGGGAGGATGATATCTGCTATTTCCAATATTTTACTTGCCTAGAATGTGTTAAAGGAAGGATACTCTTCTCTGTTATTGCTTTGTGTGTGGTACCTTATAACTCTCATGCTTGTCATCTCTTTTGCCAGGCTGAGAGATGTTATCTCCATTTTCCAGGCATGCTAACCAAGGCCTAGAGTGACTTGTCTAAGGTCATGAGGCTGGTATGTGACAGCACTAGGATTTAGTTTAGTTTTCTGCCAGAGCTCTTGCCTCCCAGTTTCCTTGGAAGGGACTTATAAAATGTCTGTAAGGCATTTAACACAGCCCTGAAGTGTTACCTGGAACTTTCAGATGTTCATGAAAAGCTGCCACTAGTACCTCTGTGGGCACAAAGCTGTGCTAGGCATTTCACTTATAGGAGAGAGATATTTAATCCTCACAGAACCTTGTAAGAGATTACTATTCCCTTGTTGCAAGATGAAGCTGACGGTCAGAGTAGTGTAATAATTTGTTCAAAGGCACACAGCTAGAAGTGGCAAGCCATGATTCAGATTGACATCTATATGACTCTGAAATTTTGTTTTCCATTGATGTGAATATGTATGGACATAAGAATCTTCTAGGTCCCAGGAGGTAGTCTTTGGCGTGGTGTGACTGTGACTGTGTCCTCCAGCTCTGGTGTTTGTCTGCCCAGTGAGGATGGGCAGGACCATACTTGCCTTGTGGCACGACATGTGCCCTGGCCAATAGAGCATCTTCTGGGTCAATTAGTGGGGTGTGAGTTCCTGCTTTCATTCCATAGCTTGGGCACCTGACCCAGAGTAATTGCAGGAAAACAGTGAAATATTAGTCAGCTGATTACCAAAACAACAAATCTAAGCTTTTGGGGAGGTGATTTCACAAAATATTTATCTCCAAAGACTTCCCAGGTACACGGGGGAAGACAAGTTAGTGGGGAGATGGAGGGCTTTCTTAGGGACACGGAGAGGCTCCCAGGGGTTTGGTCACATAGGCCTCACTGTCCTGCTCAAGCATGGGGAGCTGTTCTATGCTGCTTTTCTCCTGACAGACCCTGCTGGTGAGATGGGGCAGCCTCAGTGGGTTTGTACAAAATGTGCTTGGCCAGGCAAGCTCAGGACTGACCATGACTGGAGGTTGGCTGTGGCCAAGTGTGAGTGTTGGGAAGAAGGCTGGCTCCATGGAGGCAGTCAGGGATTGACGTATGGGTGGAGCAGGTTGCTGGCCTCACATGGCCAGCTTTCTCCGCTGGTGGCAGATCCAGCCTGGCAATTTCATTTGGTGGATATAAGTCCTCACTGAACAGGGATAGTGAGGTGGGGCTCTTTTACCTGCCAGATGGCTAACCCTCTGGCTATCCTGGGATAGGCGGAGGGTAGGATACTAGAGCCAGAGAGCTAGAAGAAGGGACAGTAACGGTACTGTTGGATAAAGGCAAGGCACCTGGCAGGGCACTGTGGGGGTCTAAAAGGGTGCTAAATGGGCCTCTGGAAAGAAAGTTAGATGCGCTGGGTCCACGTCCCCTTGGGTTGACCCTCAGGAGGGCTATGGAATGTTTGTGAGGCCTGTGTGCCTCTTTCTCCAAGGGCTGCTCTTCTAGTCTCTTGTGGCTCCTCATGCTCACTTGTGGTCCTTACTCCCTTGAGTGGGGTCCAGTTCAGGGCCCTAGCCAGACAGCGTTCAGCTTCTCAAACTTGAGGGCTTTGAGCCCTCGCCTCCTGTGTACAGCCCTTTGCCTGGCCTTTGGCTTTACAGAGCATTCACTTCACGGGACCGCCCCCCCGGGCGGGAGGGAATAGAGTGCAGGAGGCTCCCCTTTCTCCTGCCTTTGATCTCCCTGTGGTAGTGTTCACCGTCCCCACCCAGGGTTACTGCCTCAGCCCCTGGCCCTGGCTCACCCAGTTCCCTGAGCACCCAGGCCACCAGGCTAGTGATGCTCTGCTGGGAGCTGTTTGTTTGTTCACTGGCAGAGAAAGTTGTTTCCTATTGTCTGCTGTTTGACCAGTGTGACCTCAGAGTTCTTCTTCACTTCATAAACCTCTGGGAGGGGCCGCCTTCAAACAGAACAATGGGCCTCTTCAGGAGCAACCGGGAAGCCCCAGCAGCCCCATGGCTGGAGGTGGCTGGCTGTGTGTTTAGCAGGGCTCTCTGTTCCTCGTGGCCTAGATGCATCACTGTAAGCGATACCGCTCCCCTGAACCAGACCCGTACCTGAGCTACCGATGGAAGAGGAGGAGGTCCTACAGTCGGGAACATGAAGGGAGACTGCGATACCCGTCCCGAAGGGAGCCTCCCCCACGAAGATCTCGGTCCAGAAGGTGAGAGGGAACTAGATAGGAGGGAAAGACTCCTTCTGTCAGCTGGGCTCAGCTGTGGCAGCTCCAGACTCCTTGAGATGACTCCATCCCTGCCCAGCTGTCCCTGGATCCCTGCCCTGTCCTCTTTGGGCTCCTCCACTAACCTCACCTGCATGCCTTGGCCTCAGCAGTAGCTACCATCCTTGCCGCCCACTCTTTCTCTGTCTTGGAGTGCCTTTTCTTCTCCCCACACATTCCCCCATTTTCTAGGCCAGCATCTTTCCGCTTAACCTCCTAAGCCTTCCTTGGTGAGGATTAGGAACATAACCTCACCCCTGGAAAGTTTGCTCCCTGGGCCTATCTTAGCTCCCAGGTCAAACTTAGAGTTGCAGCAGGCCACAGGGAACTCTGGAAGGGTATAGAACCCTTGGAGGCACTCTACCATACTCCCCTTCCCCTGTACCCCTCCTCCTACAGCTGGAGGATGCTGTCGTTGGACAGGGCTCTGGAGGGCGGGCTTAGTACCTTTGCACCCTCCCCTCTCTGCCCACTTCCCACCAGTGTGGATGCTTTTAGCACAGGCTGTCCCCCTTTAGCCCTTTACAGTGGCCTTACCACAGGTCTCTTGCTTGCTAACAGCAAGGACCCAGCTGACCAGCGTCCCCATCCCCCTTTTGGCAGCCATGACCGCCTGCCCTACCAGAGGAGGTACCGGGAGCGCCGTGACAGCGATACATACCGGTGTGAAGAGCGGAGCCCATCCTTTGGAGAGGACTACTATGGACCTTCACGTTCTCGTCATCGTCGGCGATCGCGGGAGAGGGGGCCATACCGGACCCGCAAGCATGCCCACCACTGCCACAAACGCCGCACCAGGTCTTGTAGCAGCGCCTCCTCGGTGAGTGGTAGCCAGAGTGTGCTGGCTGGGGCTTAAAGGCCTCATCTCTTCCTAGCCTTCTCTCAGGCTGGCTGGTCCGGGTGAGTACTGCCAGCCCTGTGCACGTGCACTGGTGTGCGTGCATGTGTGTGTGTATGTGTTGTCTGGTCCAGGTGTAGGGCTGATCACAGGGTCCTGGCCTCTGTGTCTTCTGGCTCTTTCCAGTGGCAACTGTAGGAACTCTGGCTCCGATGCTGGCTGGCCCCTGGCCTGTCTATGTCTACACAGTGCTCCAGACAAAGGCCACGTGGTGCAAGTGGCTGGGGACACTTCTTAGGACACTTCTTAGGGATCCTAGTAGAGTGGCTGGTATGGTGGTCTGCAGCTATATGGCCTGGTCCTTCCCACCCAGAGACTGCCTCCTCGTGTAACTGAGTGCTCTGATGTGGACTGCACCCACCTCTGCGTCTCATCTGCACACCCCTTCCCAAAGGCCCCCAGTCTGGAGTGCCTCACAGGACCGGAGGATTTGCCTGTCAGCCAGCTCAGACTGGGAACTTCCCTTCTGATCTCCAGCCAGGCCCTCTCCAGCCGAGCCTCTTTACGAGGGGCAGTCGCGGTGAGGAGGGGCAGGTGCCTGTGTGATGGGGCATGTGAAGAAATGGCAGAAAGGCTGCCGCCCCAGGCCTCGTCCAGTTGCAGGCCACATGCCCAGAGCAGGGCCTGGCCAGTATTCCTAGCATGGAGGGTTGTAAGGTCTCTGGAGCCCACATTGCGCTCAGTCCCCTGGGGAAGCAAAGCCAGTTGTGTATTTCCGAGGTTACGTGCGGTCTTCTCTTCTCCCCCATCCCTCTTCCCTGCCTCCCTCCTGCCGGCCTTGAGGCCCCTGAGGAGCAGTGGAGAGGCCAGGTGTCTTCTCTGCCCAGCGCTTTCTGTGACTTCTTTGAGTGGCTACAGGTTGAGGGTTGACTGTGCGGGCGATTGCAGCGTGGCCCTTTCACCTCTTTGCACACTGCCACATGCTGCCACAGGATGGCAGTGCAGGTCTGGCTCTGTTTCTCTGTTTGGTGCCCTCTATCGATCGTCGTGAGGCTTGGGATGGGCCTAGATTGTGAGCAGCATGGGTGCCAAGGCCAGGGCAGGAGCTGGCATGGGGCCTGTGTGGGCCATTGTGGTAGGAAGCCTGGCAGTCGACTGGCCCAGAGGATCCCAGGCTGCTTTCCTTCTTGAGGCTGGTGGCAGGAGGGCTGCTGACGGAAGGCTGTTTCTGGTAGTGATGGTGAAATCTGGCCAAGGATGCCGTCTGGAGGCAGGTAGCAGCTTGGCTGTGAGTGGCAGCTGTCAGGCATGTGCAAGTCTGCGTGGGCGAACAGAGGCAGGCAAGGACAGGCTGGGCATTCTGCAGCTGAAGCCGGAGCAGCCGCTGACCAGTCTGGATGGTTGGACCCAGGCGGGGCCAGCTGCCTTCTTGCGCCGCCGTTCTCACTGCATCTTCCGCTCTGGCCCAAAGCCACATGGGAGGGTCTGGGAGGGAGAGACTCGGAGGAGGAGGAGGAGGGAGTCGGGGCGATGGCTCTCCTCACAGCGTGGCCCTCAGCAGCAGAGGCAGGTCATCTTCCTGAGCGTTTGTGGCGCTCCTCTTAAAGATAATGTCCGAGTTTTCTTTACATACCTGTAGCTGTTTTTACTTTTCTGTTTTTGAAGTCAGTTTGTGTCTTGACGTGTCCCTTGCAATATCCCTATCGTTATATATGCTGTGTGCCTTATGAAATGCTGGGATCTGGAAAATCCAACCAACCAACCCACCGGCTCCTCACCGTCTCCACCTCTGCCTTTGACTGACACCTCAATCTGTCAATCGGAACCGCCTACCATGCGATTGGTCGGATGGCGTTTCGGGGGGCGGTGCATGCAGAGAAGCCAACAGAGCAGTAAGCGCAGCAGCCGGAGTGTGGAAGATGACAAGGAGGGTCACCTGGTGTGCCGGATCGGCGATTGGCTCCAAGAGCGATGTACAGCCACCTTTCGTAAAACTTTACCTCTCTACTTTCTACCCCCCTTGTTAGACGAGACCTCTCCTGCCTGGAGGGGCCTCTAGTGCGCGTGGTGCCTTAGCGGGGCCACCAGTAATTGCCTGAATGACACAGACACTAGCAACTTCCATTTTTAAGAGTGTAGCAGTGAGAGAGAAACCTTTTTTGTTTTTGAGAATTTGAATGCTGTGAACTTGCAGGAGCTGCCAACCCCCTGCCCTCCAGATTCTCATGCCCAATTTCTTTTCTCTCCTAGATGAGATTGTGGGGAACCTGGGTGAAGGCACCTTTGGCAAGGTGGTGGAGTGCTTGGACCATGCCAGGTGAGCGAGCTGCGGCAGTACAGCTGGCTCCGGATGTGATCTTCCTGGGAAGAGCTGGCCTGAGGTTCTTGAGGGTGGCAGCTATCAGAGCTTAACTTTTTTCTTTTTGAAGGGTGGCATCAAAGTAGGGTTCCGACCTGTCCATGTTGGGGTTTTGCTGACCCCCTGTAATAAGGGAGAAATTCTTGGGTCCTGCAGTTATGTGGCATCCCTACCCAAGAATTGTTGGTCAGTGAAAGGTTCTGCTCCAATCTCTTCACTTCTCCAGGGCTGTGGTGGTGGATATCAGAACAGGGCCAAGGCCCCGGCTCCCCTGTGGCTTGGAGCTGCTTCCTGTGATAACTTTTAGGTTCTTGGCTTAGCAAGGGGCTAGGAGTACCAATAAGCCCAGCCCAAGCATAAGTCCCATTCCCTGAGGGTCTGCCTGAGAGGCTGTGCAGATCTCAGTCGAGAGAAACATGACCCTGGGCTTTCTCACCAAGCAGGCTGCTGCCTTCTTCAGTGTGACTAGGGTAGTGTGTGGTCTCCGCTGAGTGTGCCTGGGAGAGTGGGGTATACCTGTGTGTGTCATGCTGCACCTCACTCTCTCCCAAGCCCAACAGTACAATAGTTTTTTCCCCTTACCATTCCACAAGACTAGAACATTTGCTTCCTCTCCTATAGGTCTGGGTTGGGGAGGCCACCTCCAGGGAGCCAGTTGCCACCCTGCCATAGGCTCTCTAGTTGGTTTGGCACTTCAGCTACAAAGTGCTTGTGTCCTCATTGGAGCCACATGCCACCCATATGTGGCCCTCTCGCTATTTCAGAGATGAATAAACATGCTCAGGGTTTGCCTGCATCATACTCCAGTTAACAGCAGAGCTGGCCACCACTGCGCTGTAGTGCTCCTACATTAAATGGGGTGTTCAGGTCATTCAGACCCAGGCGTCCAGCCTTTCCTGTGGCCACGAGATAGACTGAGAGGAAGTGTCCATTTGCTCCAAGTTCCTATGTAAATGCCTGTACGACTCAGCGTGGCCCAAGAGGTTAGGGTTGGGACCAGTGGGTGGAGGGACATGCACAACCACACCGTGGCCAGGTGGAGACATGGCAGACTCAACAGCCGGGATGCATGTAGGCATTCTGGGCTGCTCCTCTCTCAGGAGCTGGAGGGAAAATGAGCCTCTGGAGTCACTAGGGGGCAGGTGGAGGGTCCAGGGAAACTTTACGGGACTCAAAGGGAGCCAGGGCCAGTGGGGGTTGTCATGCAGAGGCAGAATTCAGCTCAGCGAAAGGCAGGGTCTTATTCTAAGAGCAGTGCAACTCTGACAGGGGCTGCCTTGGAAGTGATGAGCTCCCTGTGCTGAGGACTGGAATGCCACGGAGGGACCCTGTTTTAGGAGGAGGCCGGAGTGCATGGCCTTTCCCCTGAGGTCCCTTCCTGCCCTGAGAATCTGGGAAAATAGGTAGGGAGAAAAAAGCAGGGGATTCTCTAGAAGGTCCCTTTATCCTGGGCCTGTGAGCCTTAGGCACCACAGTCAGCCTCCCTGAGGCCTCAGAGGACACGCCCTTCCAGGCTAGGACTGTCTCGTTCCCCACTGGGCATCTGAATTCTAGCTGTCCTTTCCTGACAGGGCCTGGCAGTTGAGCCTCAGCAGGTTTCCTTCTCTGCTGGCTCCCTGCAGATGGCCTCCTGGGGTGAGGTTGGGGGTGGGAGGCACAGAGCAGGGACTGTTAAAACCTTCTTTGGACACTTAAGAAGGGTTCCTGGCATTTTGTGGTCACTGATAAACACTGTGGCAGGTAGGTGCGGCTGGAGAGGGGTGTGGTAAAGGGAGTGGCCCTGGGCCTCACAGTGAGAGGTACCCTTGCTGGTACCCCTACCTCTTGCCAGATCTTTACTCGATCCTGGAACCCCCATCCCTGTTTGCTCAGACTTGCAGACAAGCTCAGGAAGGTCAAGAGGCGCCGCAGGAGGGTTCTCGGTGGGACAGCCTGGCCAGGGTTGGGGCTGCCTGGCCTATAGGTTAGGTCACTGTGTGAGCTCTTGGACTGGCACTGGTTAAGCAGGATTGGCCTCTACTCTCCCACACTCCTTTGGGAGCTGGCAGTGGCTGAGAACATAAAAGCCTAAGGATGGCAAGGATGCTAAGAGCATTAACTCACAGATCTCAGGGAGCTTGCTGTTGGGTGGGCAAAGGTCTGGTGTTGCATGGGGCAGGCTGGGCATCCAGTATCTGCTCTCTTCAGTGCCGGCTGCTCCTGGAGTGGTGTTTGTTGGGAGTTGCTGGGTTGGGGTGGAGGGTTGGGGAAGGACTGGGCAGCTGCTGATGAGAACCTCTGTTTCCTTCCCGGGTACCAGAGGGAAGTCTCAGGTTGCCCTGAAGATCATCCGCAACGTGGGCAAGTACCGGGAGGCTGCCCGGCTAGAAATCAACGTGCTCAAAAAAATCAAGGAGAAGGACAAAGAAAACAAGTTGTGAGTATCTGCAAGGAGTGGGAGGGAAGCCTTCAGTGGGGCTGCTGGACCCCCAGGGGCTTAGTAGTGTGCCTTCACCCATCCGCACTGTGCCTTCTCCCCACACTCAGAACCAGGGGAGTGTGGCAAAGGTCTTGCTGGAAGCCTTTAGACTGCAGTCCAGTCTTCACCCCAGCTGTCTCTGTGTCCTGAGGAAGGCCTCCCAGCCCTGCGTTTTGTGAATTGGGGAGCTCACTGGGTTATGCTGGGCATAAAACAAGATAAAAACATGAAGTTGGGGCTCTCACATAGTAGGAGATACCCAAAGGAGGGCCTTTCTGTGGCAGACACACTGAGCACTCTCCTCCACGCACTGTGCTGAGCCTGGGCAGATGGGTGAATCCAGCACAGACCCTCACGAAGCTCAGCAGAGTGAGCAAGTGGAGAAAAGCAGCACCAGTCCTGCGGAGTGCACTAGCACTTTCCATCTCTCCCTCAGCAACTCTGAGGCAGGGCTGCTTCCATATCATAAGTAGGGAAGCTCGGAGGGCTTGGACCAGAACCGTGGACATCTCCCCTACCCCCCGCAGGAAGCTTAGTCCTTGCCCAGAGCTCATCTGGGTATTGGGTGATGGCTGGTGGGGAGAGGTGCTCTTGCTCTGATTTCTCTTGCACTGTGTGTATCTGCATTCTGGTGTGTGACCCGGTGGCCTAGGAGAGAGTTGGGAACTGTCTTCATCTGAGAGAGGGGGTGAGGCAGGCCCCCAGCACACAGCCTGAGCCCTGCCCATCCTCCTCCTCCAGCCTGTGTGTCTTGATGTCTGACTGGTTCAACTTCCACGGTCACATGTGCATCGCCTTTGAGCTCCTGGGCAAGAACACCTTTGAGTTCCTGAAGGAGAATAACTTCCAGCCTTACCCCCTACCACATGTCCGGCACATGGCCTACCAGCTCTGCCACGCCCTTAGATGTAAGTGTCCACCCTCAAAAGAAGCATGGGCAGCCACATGCCTGCAGCCAAGTCATCTGGTTACTTGTTGTCCCCATTCATTCCAGCACGTTACTAACCATTCTCCTGGGCCTGAGGGACACCAGATCCCCTTTGGCGGAAAGGCCTGTCTTTGGGTGGGAATCTCAGTGTGAGGATGGAAAGGCTAGGGCTCCCTCCAGGGACCTCCTGGACCAGCCTCTCTACCCCCAGGCACTCAGGAAGAAAACAGAAACGAACTGCTCTGGAATTGGCCTAACCACCAACCCTGCCTCCCTGCTTCATGCATGGGATAAAAAGGTAGAAGCCTGACCTGACAGATAGCACCACAGGTCCTGCCCACATGGAGACCCTCGGTCTAACCCTGACTTGTCATCTCCCTGCCAGCCTGGAAAAGCATTATTTGGCAGTGCCAGGGCTCAGCGCAGTAGGATTTGCAATGGTTGCAGCAGTACAGAAAGGCTCCTTGGTGAAGTTGGTAGGCGTTGAGCTAGAATCGCTCAAGGTCACCCCGCATCGCTCCCCTACCCTGAGCACTGCTACTGTGATAGGCTGCAGGCCACTGGGGTGGGAAGCCCCACATGGATGAGAAGACAGGTGTCTTCCTCCTCCCACAGGATCTGCAAGATGGGACAGGGACAAGGATTCCAAGCAAGGGGAACAGCTTGGTGAGGCCTGGAGCCTGTTAACGGGCTGAGAATTGGCTCCAGTGGAGTAGACTGCCACTGGGGAGTGGTGGGCCACATAGTTGTGAGGGTCTTGAGTGCCAGATGGGATCCTTGAGCTGAAAAGTGACTACTAGCAAGAAGCCACTGTCAGAAGGGGCTGGAGGGGAAAGGCTTGCCTGCTTATGACTAGCAATGAGAGGCGGGGCTGTCTTCCTGGGTATGCGACCTGTGCACTCAGTCGCACAGGACCCTGTGCTTGATTTAATGTCCTTTTGCCACCACCTTAATATTCTTAGTAACTTGAACAGGGGACCTGCATTTTCATTTTGCAAAGGGCCCTGCAAATTATGTAGCTGGTGCAGGGAAGAGGGAACCACCTCGAGGCTGTTGCTGTAGCTCTGCTGAGAGACAGGTGAGGAGGCCTGGTCTCTGCAGAGGAGAGGTGGAGGGAGGTTTTTCGAATGGCAAATTTCTTTCCTACCCCCCTGCTAAAGTATCAGAACCCTCCAAGGCCTCAAGTACAGAGAACCCTTGAGAGGGAGGCCAGCACAGAGGCAGGCTGTAGTCCAGCTCCCTGCTGAGGTGGGGGTGTGAGGACCTCTGGCAGTTGCTGGCATTGGAAGAGGGGTCTGGCCTAGAGCTGGCAGGAGAGCCAGCTTCTCAGTGCCTACTTCCCCTTCTTTCCCTGCTACCTTAGTTCTGCATGAGAATCAGCTGACCCATACAGACTTGAAACCAGAGAACATCCTGTTTGTGAATTCTGAGTTTGAAACCCTCTACAATGAGCACAAGGTATTGGTGGGGGTAAGGGTGAGGCCCTGTTTCAGGGGTGGGTTACCCGCTGGTGCAGACTCCTGACCTGGCAGGCCTGCCTTGCCTTTCAGAGCTGTGAGGAGAAGTCAGTGAAGAACACCAGCATCCGAGTGGCTGACTTTGGCAGTGCCACATTTGACCATGAGCACCACACCACCATTGTGGCCACCCGTCACTATCGCCCGCCTGAGGTGATCCTTGGTGAGTGACTGTATGGCCTGTGACCTTGTCATACTGGACTGTTGTTGGGAGGGTATGAGCAGAGGCAGTGGCATGCCTGTCATTCTCTGCCACCCAGGGCAGGCAGAGTTTCTCAGACCAAGGGGCCAGTGTCATGAGACACAGGTGACTGACCTGGCTTTATCTGTCAGCCTTACTGAGAGAGGGCCTCGTACTGGGATTTGGGCAAGAGTCCTGCCAGCCGGTGTGGTGGCTGCCTTGTGACTTCCAGGCTGGAAGCATAAGGCCGGATCTCACAGCCTCTCCCCATCTTGGCTTGCAGAGCTGGGCTGGGCACAGCCCTGTGACGTCTGGAGCATTGGCTGCATTCTCTTTGAGTACTACCGGGGCTTCACACTCTTCCAGGTACAGCCACCCTGCATTGGTCCCCTACCCTGAGTACTGCTACTGTGATAGGCTGCAGGCCACTGGGGTGGGAAGCCCCACATGGATGAGAAGACAGGTGTCTTCCTCCTCCCACTAATCATCATGTGAGATTCAGACCCTTTAAGGATGTAGATGCTAAAGGGAAGGCAGAGGTCAGGGTAGCTGGAACACTCAGAGGAGTCTTATGCTAGGCCATCGAGGATGGAGGATGGGGTAGGAGGTGACCTGACCTTCTAGATAAGGGGCACAGATGACTAAAGGCATCGGGATGGGCTGGGACAGGGCATGTTCTGGGCAGGGAGTGAAGAGCTAACCAGAGAGAAATGTAGTCACAGCCCAGTCCACCTCCACCCACAAGGGCTGAGGAGCCTAGGCACAGGCTGGCAGGAGAAGCTGGGGCTGCCGCTTCATTGGTAGGTTTGCATGTCCTGGGGCAGTGAGGGCACTTGCCCATCTTTCTTGTTCCTTTTTCTCCTTGAAGGGGCCAGAGCTAGTACTGACCCCCTTGCACTGTCCCTAATCTTCCACAGACCCACGAAAACCGAGAGCACCTGGTGATGATGGAGAAGATCCTAGGGCCCATCCCATCACACATGATCCACCGTACCAGGTAAGGACCCCAGTAGCCCCCTCAGGGTTGGTATAGAGGCCTTTCTCTTCTTGGCTGTGGGTCAGCAGGGTACTGGATGTGGTGAGTCTTTGCTGGACAGTCCATGGTTCCGCAGGCTCCTAAAAGCCTTCCCTGTGTGCCCCTGCAGACCTGTTGCCCTGGTTCTGCTGCTGTCTTGGGAGCTGCTCTTCCCCACCTCCCACCAGAGGCTTGTCCCCTTACTACTCCCACACTTGACTCCACCCCCTTAATTTTCAGGAAGCAGAAATATTTCTACAAAGGGGGCCTAGTTTGGGATGAGAACAGCTCTGACGGCCGGTATGTGAAGGAGAACTGCAAACCTCTGAAGGTCAGTTTCTGGCTACCCCCAGCTGAACTCATGCCAAGGAGAGACCCCAGGCACTGGGCAGACATACAGCAGAGACAGGCCAGGCCGCTAAAGGCTGCCTCCTTGATCCAGCTCTATGGGAGGCGGCACCCAAGACTGCTGGGTGCTGGCAATGGGGCTTCTTGCAAACTGCCCCAGAGGGGCCCTTAGCCCTACCCCTTCCCCATAGGGTGGCTATGAATGTAATTGGGGAACACCAGAAGAGCCAGATGTCAGAAGCCCTGCTGCTTCCTGTCCCTCTCTCTCCTCGAAATTTTGGGAAGAACTAGGCAGGACTGAGGTGAGGGGGAGGGAAGACCTAGACATGGCCAGGAAGCCTCTGTCAACTGCATTTGGTGCTCGGACAAGTGAATTTCGCAGAGGTGATCTCTACCCACCTGTCAGGACTTTGCATGTGGGGGCAGAGGCATCAACCCAGCAAGACACCTAGTAGCCTGGCAAGTTCCGAGCAAAACGTTAAACAGGCATGAAAGGAAAGGAGCTGCTCATTGTCCAGGAGGGCGGAAGTAGAGTCCTCCAAGGAGGCATCACTGCCTCCTCGATCCAGTCCAGCAAGGCGTCCCAGAGGCAAGGGGACCTGCTGTGGCTTCCCACGACCCTGCCGTCACACTGAGGCACCTTGTGTCCCTGAGCAGAGTTACATGCTCCAAGACTCCCTGGAGCACGTGCAGCTGTTTGACCTGATGAGGAGGATGTTAGAATTTGACCCTGCCCAGCGCATCACACTGGCCGAGGCCCTGCTGCACCCCTTCTTTGCTGGCCTGACCCCTGAGGAGCGGTCCTTCCACACCAGCCGCAACCCAAGCAGATGACAGGCACAGGCCACCGCATGAGGAGATGGAGGGCGGGACTGGGCCGCCCAGCCCCTTGACTCCAGCCTCGACCGCCAGGCCCCAGGCCAGAGCCACCCAATGAACAGTGCAATGTGAAGGAAGGCAGGAGCCTGCAGGGGAGCAGACTTGGTGCCCAGCTGCCAGAAAGCACAGATTTGACCCAAGCTATTTATATGTTATAAAGTTATAATAAAGTGTTTCTTACTGTTTGTAACCCCTGGTACCAGTGTGTCCATCTCCAGGCTCCTTGCCTTCCCCTTACCTGACCTTATTAATAAAGTCTTTCTTAGCAGTTCAGCTTGTGGAGAGCTAAGTGTGAACTGGGCCAGGCACAGAAGAGCTAGGCAGGGGTAAGACCAGAATTGGGGACATCCTCTGGGCCCAGGCTGCTGAGCAGTCCTAGATGGCACCTCTGCCCTGCTGGCTTCTGTACCTCTCAGCCCCAGAGAACCTAAGGGAATCAGCCCACCGTGGCTAGCCAGGTGGGGTCTGGTTTTCCACAGCCTGCCAGTCCCATTACTGGCCAGGACTTTAGGCTGTATGTGCCCAACAACTATGGCCTGCTGAGGGCAGGAGACGAGTGGGGCGGGTTCCTAGGCTGGGACAGACAGCACCTCATGACAGCCTACAGAGCAAGTCACACGGCACAGGACTCAGTCAGTCATTCAGCTTTATTTCAGTGCTGGTTTTTGGTTCCCTAAGAGCTGCATGAGTGCTAGGCTTCACCACGTGACTGGGGGCCCCTTGGGAACTGGGTACTATGGGCAGGATGCCCCTGAAAAGAACTGAAGACAGAGGAATCATACTTCTCTTTAATACCTCTGGGGAAGGCCCAGGCTAAGGATGAGGGCAGGGACCAGTCCCAGTGCCCCCTGGGGAGAGAAGAGGGAGAAGCTTGGGCACAAACTCCCAGTGGCCCTGCAAGGCTATCATCCCTGGATCTTGCTGGAGTGGACAGTCTTCTGGGCCAGGGTTGTTCTAGCTTGTTTCTCACTGTACCTAATCAGGGGGCCTAACTGCATTAACAGGCAGCCAGAACCTACCTACCAAAAAGCCTGTAACCTAGACTGCTCCTCAGATTTTGGCCAAGAGAGGGCCCCGGCTTGGGAGCTGCTTGGCCCTGAGAGTGAGCAGAGGCTCAGAGAATACACAGCACAAGGGTTACAGTCCCTGGCCTCTTCCCATCGCTGGAGACAATTTAAGACTGAAGGGAAGATGAGAGGAGGGGCCAGCCCTCTACCCTGGCTCATCTGCTTCTGGCTATGTTCCTACAAGGGAAGTGATAACAGCCTGAAACCCGTGGTACCAGGGCCTACCCTATGTCCACAATCCTTGGTGAGCCCTTCTGTCCACCCATCCACCCGCTCAGCCAGCCTGGGCAGACACAGAGCAGAAGCAGCCTGAAGCCCTGAAGCAGGCTTAAACACAAGTCCTTGACAGGAATCCCTGCCAGGATTCCAGGCATAGATCCTGTTCTACCAGCCTCCAGGGCCTAGAGCTTGGCACCTTAGGATTTGAGCATCAGTGTGTTCCTATGGTTGGAACCCACACCAGCTAGCTCATCCAGAACTAGCCTCATTTTGCCATCTTTGAGACAGGGTGCTGGCCCCAAGCCTACTCATCTAGACTGGACAAATGTAAAAGGTTCAAAGCCCAGATGATGTAAGAGCTGGGGTGGAGCTCAAGCACGGGAGCCCATCTGCCTGCTCTGGGATGACAGCTGCAAAGGACCGTTTCAGGGGAAGGGCAGAGGGGATGAAAGAGTAGGTGGGGCATGTATGTGCGGGCAAAGGGCTGGAGGAGTGGTGGCCTAGGACAGAAGCACCAGGAAGCCTCTTCTGGTTCAGCACCAGGCTCCCCCAGGGATATCCCCATCTGAGGGGTCTGGCCCCAGACTAGGCAAAGGCTCAACCTGCTCAGCTTTGAGGGTGGGGGCGGGCACTGCTGGCAAGATGGGCACTGTGGTTCTACAGTAATATAACCTTATACTACCTGTGCTGAAGACGACAGAACAACATAAAATCCCAATACAGTAACACCATCCTAATGCCGCCCCCTTCCCTACCTCTGAGTGATGGAGGGAAAAGGAGGGAGAGATCCTTGGAAAAATCAGCATAAAACTTGGATCAGCTCAGGAGTAAGGGTCAAAACCCCCCAAATCAACTTGTGGGGCTAGGGGAAGGCCTGGTCTGTCACAGCCCTGGACATGAATGGAGAGTGCAGGTCTGCCCTCTGGTGGACAGCTGCCGTGCAGCTGGTTCTACAGAGGAAGGGCTGTCTGCGTGGGGAAAGCAGGGGAGACACAAAGCCACAAGCTCTGAAATAGAGCAGGTACAGGCCCCCAGACAGGACCTGGCCCACTCTTCAATGTGTGTGCCCAGGCCCAGTGGCTGTAAACCTGAAACACAGTCTTGAGAGCTGCCTACGGCTGTAAACAAAGGCCCACCTGGCCGTGCAGGGGGCTGAGGGTAGAGATGCCTGGAGTTGCTGCACGCTCAGCCTGCCACCCAGCCCGGAACCCAGTGGGAAAGACTTCCCTGGCTAAGAGCAAGTGACAGGTCAGTTTTAAGTAAGTTCTGTTCTCTCACAGAAGAAACAAACCCAAAAGAGAAAAAACTTTAACAAGGTCCATGAAGCTTCATATCCTTAAGGCGTTTGTTATCAGGAGCAGCAGGGGACAGCAGAGTCCTGCCTGCGCAGGAACCCTCTAAGCAGAGTGCAGTGGGATAACAAACTTGCAGCCAAAGGGCGAGTGGTAGTTGATGCCCACCTCCTGGAAGACCTGCTGGGGAATGCCAATGTCGCACAAATAGATACGGCCTGCGTGCTCCCCCAGTGGCAGAGGCAGGCCCAGTGCCAGTGACCATTTGGCATCAATGCCCTGTTCGACTTCATGCACAGGAGGGTCTATGCTGAGTACTGGTGCCCGGTTCTGGTTGGCCCAGGCCACAGCTGCCTTGTACCAGGGTTGATCGCGCAGGAAGACGTTCTCAGGGCAATCCAGGCAGTTGATGACCAGGTCCACAGGGCTAGTGGGCAGATCTGCAGGTGGAAAGAGTGCCATCTGAAAGTCCCTATGAGCAGAGAGCAGCCCAGGCTGGGACTAGGGCCCAGGTCACCCCAAGGGTGTCTTTGTTTTCCAGACACCACTCGAATGCCTCTCCAAAGGCTGGCCTTCTTAAAGCTGGGCCAGGGCACAGGCCCTAGGAGTTGCAAGCTGGCTGGGCTGAGTGCTAGAGACCAAGTGCATGTCAGCCCAGCAGACCACTGCCCTCCTGGAGTTCTCAGGATGAACCATTGTCGTCCTGAGTGTGCAGAGCTTCTCAGGGCACAAAGCCCTCACCTCCTCTGCCTTCTCAGGCATGCCTCTGTATATCCAACTAATGCCCTGGGCACCTTATGACCTCTGGGAAGGCAGAGTCCACTGTCAAGGTGGCCATCACAGGGAAACCCCACTCAGGTCCAGCAAAAACAGGAGCTGACTGCTATCTGCTGACCCAAGAAGGGTGAGCAGGTGAGAGCATGCTTATTCTATTCCAGCTGGCCTACTCATTCTACTCTAGCAAGCCTGTCCCCTCTCGTACTCATTATCTCACAGGAATGGGTCCTCCACTCAGCCCAACCTTAATTAAGAATTAAGAGGGAACCTATTACTATTCTCCCAGGCTCCTCTGCTCTAACCAGGCTTCTGGGACAGTATTAGAAAAGGATGTCTCAACAAGTATGTAGATCCTGTACTGGCCTAAGAAGTTAAACTGAGAATAGCATAAATCAGACCAAACTTAATGGTCGTTGAGACTTGTGTCCTGGAGCAGCTGGGATAGGAAAACTTTTGGGCAGCAAGAGGAAGAACTGCCTGGAAGGGGGCATCATGTTAAAAATTACAAGGGGAACCCACACCAGGCCCCCTTCCCAGCTCTCAGCCTAGAGTATTAGCATTTCTCAGCTAGAGACTCACAACTTCCTTGCTTAGAATGTGCCACCGGGGGGAGTCCCTGTGGGTGATGAGGCTCTCAAGAGTGAGAGTGGCATCCTATCTTCTGTGTGCCCACAGGAGCCTGGCCCGAGACTTAGCAGGTGAAGTTTCTGGTCCAGGCTTTGCCCTTGACTCACTATGTGACCTCTGGTGGAGTCCCTTCTCTGGGCCATATTTGCTCTCTCCAATTCTTCTCCCTGCTGTTCTCATTTAAACCCATTCCAGTCAGACTCTGTCCCTACCACTCCACTTAAGACCACTCATCAAGCTCACCAGGAGCCTCCACAGAGATGCTAAATCCAGTGGTCGATTCTGTCTTCCTTTGACCTTAACCTAGAACGGGGCTTGCTGACACACTGACCACATGCTCCTTTCTTCACTTGGCTTTCAGCTACCATACTCTCCTGGTTTTCTTCCTCCCTCACTGACCATTCCTGTCCCATCTCCTTGGTTAGGCTCTTTACTCCCTGACTTCTAAATAAAGAGCTCAGTTTTCCAACTTCTGTATCTACTCTCTTCCTATGTGACAGCATATCCAGGCTCCTCATGGCTTAAATATTCCCTATGGCTTGTAACTCTAGGCTGAATCCTTTCACTTCAGATTCATATAACTCGTTCCCTATCAACATTTCCACCTGCATATCCAATAGGTGTCTCAAGCTGAGCTTCTGCTGTTCCTCCCCAAACCTTCTCTATCAAGTTTTCCCATCTCAGTGATCGCACCTCAGTTACTGAGGCCAAAAACTTTGGAGCCATTGCCAACTCTTCTCTTTCTCCCACCCCCCATACATCCAGTCTGTGGATTCTATCTCCAAAACTGATTTAGAAACTAACTACCTTCACCACCTCTGGCACTACCACTCTTGTCTTAGCCACCATAATCTCTCTCTCCCATGATCACAACAGCATCTTGACACTTCTCTGTACTCCTCTGTGTAGTCTACTCTCAAACAGCACCCAGAATGATCATCTGGAACCTAAATTTGATTATATCATTTCTCTACTTATTCCTTCAATGACTGCCCATCTCACCAGAGTAAAAGCCCAAATCCTTGTGGTCATCCCCAAGGCCCATCATGACCTGACCCTGAAATGTCCAAGTCTCCTACTCTCCACCCAGTCCTCCAACATGCCTCCTTTCCCTGCTTTGTTTTTATCCACATCACTTACTACAACTACACAAGTATGTTACATGTCTTTTTGTTCCTCCTAACCAGAATATAAGCTCCACAGAAGAATGGATTTAAAAAAATCTGTTGCCATATCCCTAGCATCAGGAAGAGTGCCTGTTCAACGAATATTTGTGGAATGGACCAATGGGTCCCCAGCTCTTCATGTGAGTAGTTGGAGAGGGAGAAGCATAAGGGGATGGGAAGTAGTATATTACTGTTCTAAGACTCCTTAGAGGCGAAGCACCATCCTTACACACGTAGTGCCTTTCCACCTGTCGCCACTGGGTGGCATGACGAGACCATCAAACTGCTAAGGAGGGAGGAGGCCTTCAGCCCAGCCCTGCCTAAGTGCTCACCTTTGAGGCTAGACACTTGTTGGCCTTGGGTCTTGCTGAAGAGCGACAGCTCATTGGTGATAGATTCCAACATCTTGACAAAATTGGGCAGGAAAAGGATGACCTGGACATCATGGTTGGCTAGGTGCCTTCCACAGCTGATACCCTGAGCCCCCTTCACATGAGGTCCACACAGTAGAGCCACTGTAGGCCTCTGGTGAACATTTTTGGGATTCAACCTGGAAAAGAAGGTGAAGAAGCAGTATCAGCTACATACTTGCCAATCCCTTGCACCCTATACCAGACAATTGCCTGTAGCACCTATTGGTCTCAGATCTCTTACCCACTGCTCACCAAGTCCCAGGCTCCAGAGGGGGACAAAATCCACTGCAGGCCAGGTCTATAGGGTGGCACTCCTGTTGTCCCAAACCCCAACCTCACATCATTGCTGGGTCCTCCCACTAAGTGGTTCACCCAGATCTTGCTCCACACAACACTGTTGCCACAACACCGCTTTGCTGACCCATGAACACTTAATAGTTCCTCTGCAGCCTTGTCTGCTCTTCTTCCCCAACGTGTCTGCTTCACTCCAGCAGGGCTGGTCTCATCCTCTCCTGCACTTGTAAGGCTCTTTCCTGCTTATGCTCAAACTACATCCCCTGCCCAGAAAGCCTTTCACTTTCCAAACTCTGAACCGCCTTTTCTTGGAGATCCAGTTCAAGACTTACCTCTGCTGGGATTACTCTGGCTCATGCCTTTACCTCTCCTCAACTCCTAATAAGCTCACAGCAAGTACCATAGCTCTCCATTCTCCTCAGTCAGTTGCCAATGGTTCTCTTTACTGAGCTTAGTAGCTTACTGAAGTTAATGAAAGCAATGCTGCAGGCATTAACAGTATCTATTTCATAGGATGCTGTGCAGATTATCGGATGCCCAGCACTTAGCAGTGCCTAACACAAAGAAGGTAAGGTACTCAGTCAGTGCTGACCATGGCGGAGGCAGCAGGCCAAGGGTTACCTGGCCTCCTAGGCTAGCAGCTGCCTTGGATGAAGTTGTCACTTCCAGTTTTCTGCTATTCAAAGCTGAGACTCCTCTAGACTCAGAGAAGCCACAAATAAGGAGATAAAGAGGATTAGCCCCAGAGCTGTGCCCAACTCATAGGCAGCACAGTTGGCTCACGGGGCAGCAATGTAGGGAGGAGATGGACGGCAAGGCCATAGGTCCCTGCCTAGTGGCAGAGCAATGATAGTCACTTACCGGTTTCCCAAAGGGAGGAAGATGACAAGATGTTGTCAAGCTAAGAGGAGCTTCATAACTGCCCCCATTCCCAAACACATTTTGGAGAATTTAACAATCTACTCTATATTCCAGACACCAAACCATTCGCCTTCCCATTTCTGCATTTAGAGGAAATATGATGAGAATTGCTCCCTTCAGAGGATGCTGCAGAGTTGTGGAATCTGACTCACTTTGTTCTCTAAAAGGGTTCTTCCTCTCAGGGAGAACCTCTCCCACCCCCAATCAAAAGAAGCAGAGCATGGCATTCACACACCCAGCGGCAAGGTGTAGAGTATATGGGCACTGGAAATGGACCTATGTGGATTAGAGGCCTGGCTGGACTGTGTACCAGCAGTATCATGTGGGCAAGTCCCTCAGCTCTCTGAGCCACAGTGTGCTTATCCAAAAACACAGGGCTATTATTTAGCTTTGAGGTGAAGTTATGAGGACCACATTAAATTATGTTGTGAAAGCACTGTGGAACACTGCATGGCACCTGACATACATTAAACTTCAAGATTACTAACCACGGGTCTGATTTCTCAACATCAGCAACTGCTACAAAGGACAGGAGATGGACCTTTGGATAGTTCAGACACTAAGAGAAAAGACTGGCACAAGGACAGCCAGCCCCAAGAAGCTGGCTAGAGAGGAGTGTGATTTGGTAAGGACATTCAGCTCCTGCTCCAAAACTAATGTTTCTGGGAAGCCACTTAATGGTCTCAAAGTGCCCCCAACAGTGGCTCTGGGAGGAGGTGCAGGAGACACCAGACACACGGGCCTGATGCTCTTTCAGAGGGCACCTCACACTACCCCCTCCTGTAGGCATTTCCCTGGCTCTTCCCTGGCACAGGAGAGCCCAAGGATCTAACAGCTAGGAAGCAGGCCTAAATCAAAGAAAAAGGAAAAACTAACACTCCAACCCCCAACTCAAATAGGATGAGGGAGGTGGAAATCTTACATCTGGCTTGGAGTAAGCCTGCTTGAATTAAGATCACTTCAGAATCAGGAGATGCCTTCCATCCAAACACATTATCAGGCCCAGAGAATGAAAATAGGCTGGAGTGAGGAGCTACAGGATTTATCTGCAATATCAGTTTTCTGGCAAGCACTCCCAAACACCATGGCTGGAAGCACAAGCCAAGGACCAGGTTCCATTTTGCAAATAGGGAAGGGGCCCTGTGGGAAGCAACATCCTATCATGTGAGGCTTTGGATCTGTGAGTGCTGCTCAGGGAAAGGAGGCTTTCCTTGCCCCAGTGAACCCAGATCTGCCCTGCTCTTTGGAAGTGGCCTCCCCACTCCAGACACCACTCTCCCACAAGGTTGCCTACATCCTCCTCTTTACCGAAAAATCCAACAGGCACTTGTCAACTCTAATTTTGATTGATCTCTCAGCACTACCATTGCCGGCCGTTCCTTTTTTCTTCAAAGACTATTTCCTTGGTTCTTACACGCTACCCTCTTGGTTTCTTACCTCTCCTGCCTTCTTCTTCATCCTTCTAACTGTGCCTTACATGCCGACGTTCCCCAGAATCCCACCCTAGGCCCTTTCTGTTCACACCTTCTCCTTATATGATCTCATCTACTCTTACACCATCTACAAGCTGACAACTCCTAAATCTCTAGCATCAGCTAAGACCCTTTTCTGAACTTCAGATCTTTTTTTTTTTTTTTTTTTTTTTTGAGATGGAGTCTTGCTCTTGTTGCCCAGGCTGGAGTGCAGTGGTGTGATCTCAGCTCACTGCAACCTCCTCCTCCCAGATTCAAGCATTTCTCTTGCCTCAGCCTCCTGAGTAGCTGGGACTACAGGCACCTGCCACCATGCCTGGCTAATTTTTATATTTTTAGTAGAGACAGGGTTTCGCCATGTTGGCCAGGCTGGTTTTGACCTCCTGACCTCAAGTGATCTGCCCGCCTTGGCCTCCCGAAGTATAGGGATTACAGGTGTGAGTCACTGCGCCTGGCCTAAGTTTCAGATCCTTATAGCTAAGAGACTATTTGGATATCTCACAGGTATTCCAAACTCAACACATCCAAAACAAAACCCACCATCTCTCCCAAACCTGCTCTTCTTCCCATGTTTCCTATCACAGTGAATGTAACCACCATCCAATCAGATGTCCAGGCTAGAAAACTTGAAGTTCACTGATTTCTGACATTATACTTTCCATTACCTCTAAAATCCATTCAATTACCTTGCCCTGCTGAATTTACCTTAAAAACAACAACAACAACAACAACAACAACAACACCCATCTGTCCACTTCTCTTTCTAAGAGACAAAAAAAAAAAAAAGAGACAGACAAAGTCTCACTACGTTGCCCAGGCTGGCCTCGAACTCCTGGGCTCAAGCAGTCCTCCCACTGCAGCCTCTGGAGTAACTGGGATTATAGGCATGCCTCACCAAACCTGGTTTGTCCACTTTTCTGATCCCTGCTTCCCTAGTTGGGCCACCATCACTTGGGCCCTGGCTCAGTTTTCTAAGTTTTGCAGTTTTCTACCTGATCTCACTGCCTTCAGTCTTGCCTCCATTGAATTGACTGTCCTCATTGTAGCTAAAAATCATCTTTTTAAAACACAAGACTAACTATGTCATAGCTCTACTGAAATGTCTTCAGCAGCTCCCTACCACTCAGCTGTACTGAGGCCCTACTTTCCAGCCACATAGTGACTTACGGATTGCCAACAACCATGTGCCATGGTCTCTCGATTCTCTCTGCCCTTGGCACATGCTACTCCCTGTACTTAGAATACCTTCTTCTTGGCCAGGTGCAATGGCTCACACCTGTAATCCCAGCACTTTGGGAGGCAGAGGCACGCAGATTACCTGAGGCCAAGAGTTTGGGACCAGCCTGGACAACATGGCGAAACCCTGTCTCTACCAGAAACACAAAAAATTAGCTGTGCATGGTGGCACATGCCTGCAGTCTCAGCTACTTCATGAGGCTGAGGTGGGAGAATTGCTCAAGCTCAGGAGGTGGAAGTTGCAGTGAGCTGAGATTGTGCCACTGTGCTCCAGCCTGGGTGACAGAGTGAGAACCTGTCTCAAAAAAAAAAAAAAAAAGAATGCCTTCTTCTTTCTTGCTTGCCCCTGTTAATCACCACTTGTTCGTCAGGGCTCAGCTTGGATGCCACTGCTCCAGAAGGGTGACTGGTTTCTCCAGCCTGGGGCAATAATATGGCTTACTGGAGAATTTTGTTTCCTCTACTACAGCACTATACTTTCTAGAGACCTCATTGGGCTACTAGAGGAAAGGCACAGTATTTTATTCTTCGTGTCCCCGGTGTCTAGCAGAAGGTCTGGCACCTGGTATCAGTCTGTCTACAAATAAAATAAGGCACTGCCCTTGATATATGAGCATAAGGGGCAGGTGGGAAGGTGCCAAACTCCAGCTCCCCTACTCAGTTGTCAGTGTGGTTCTGGAAGCTCTCAGGTATGGAGACTGATTTGCATCCCAGCCACGTAAAGTAAATGATGAGTGCCAAAGGCCAGGTCTCCGAAGGTTCCTAGAAGGAAGGCTTCTGATAGTTAGCAGGAGTCTCAGGCCCGATGGCTGCTATCAGGAGAGAGTCAAAAGGCAGCTTGCCAGAAGAATAATGAGGACATCTAGGAGATGGGTCTGAGGAGGGGCAAAGAAACCTCACAGCATCCAGGAAAGTGACTTCAGAGAGACACTCCCATCAGATGAGCAGAAACTGCCTAATGAACTCGTATGTGTGTATGGGAGGCACTGTGGTGGTGGCCAGGCAGAGCATCCTTACTCCACATTGAGTCCCTGCCAGTTTATAGACATTTACCTGTTAGGTCCTCCGAGGAGGGTCAGTGCCATCTGACTGGCACACACACCTGTCATCTCCAGTCTCCGCTCAAGGGTCAGCCCATGCTTCTCAGCCACGGACAACAGCTTTTTATGCAGCTCATAGGAAATACTTGGGACAACCAGGCCAGAGTCTGCAGTTCAAAAGGAGAAGAGAAAGGGAAAGTGACTACAGAAACCAAGTCCAAACCGGGTATACTCTATCCAAGATTCTGCAAATGCCAACATTTTACCATGGATCACCCCTGGCCCATCCTCTTCATCTTCCGGGACTAAGGCACGCTCTGCAGCTCTGCAGAGCTCAAGTAGTGACTGGTGAACCAAGTAACAACTTGTTCCAGGTCACCACAGAGTGGGGACAAACTTAAGCTCCCTTAGCAATTTAGCTTTAGACCACAAAGGCCAAATCTACCAGGATATATTTAGTGCTATCGAGACCAGCACACAGCCTGTAACAGCAACCTATCAGGCACATGAGAAGAGAACATGATTTTCCCAAAGTGGGGGAAATGCCATCTTGGGCAGCGGGGCTTCCTCACAAGCAGGCCCCTTGTCCTTCCTGAGAAGTGGAACAGACACTAGCTAACCCTAATGGCCCTCTGGTCCCTGCTGTTCTCCTCAACTGTAGGGCAGGAGGACTTGTTCCATCTGCTTCCCTCTTCCTCTTCCTTCTCTCTTCTATTTACCCCTTCCTTTTTGATTAAGAAACTTAGCTAGCAAAGTTGTTTTCTCAAATAATTTATCATTTTCTCCCCATCTGAGTTGGGTGTAACCCAGTACTCACGAAACAGGGAAGCAGTACAAGTTAAGTAAGCTATGGCTGGCTTTAAAAAAGGGTAACTTTTATAAAAGTTGGGGAGAATTAGTCACTGAAAGTACACTGTGGAAAATACTTGGTTTTTCAAGGCTCAAAGCCAACATCTACAGCAGCTGGTGTATGTGAAGAAGTCTATAGTATTATTATATGCACCAGTGTCAACATACCAGGAAAGAAACAGCAAACCCAAAAATTTGGATCTGCAATGGACAGCTCTTACCTTGACAACCAAGGTATTGCTCCCTCCAAGAAGCCAATGCCATCTTACAAATGCCAAAGCCACTGGGCTAACCAGCAGACCCTTTCCCAAAGAGCCCCACTTGGCTTCACCGGCCAGTGGACCAACCAACGCAGATTCCAATCAGCAAGCCACTGTGGGACTGCACGTCACTCACTTTGTCCAGCTAGATCAGGTACCTTTTTAGATCCTGTGTCCTCAATTATACTGGACTGTCAACTGCCTGAGGTAAGGAAATTAATCTTTTACTTCTTCAGCCTTCGCCTTCTCAACTTGTTCCAGCTACACTTATCAACGGAGTTGAGTTCTTATCAGGTCCTCAGACATATAAATGATGCAAACCTAGTGCCATTTCTGGTCTGGCCTAACTCTAAGGTAGAAGAGTTAGGGAATAAAAGTTAATAAAAGTTTTCAGTACATTTATCTCCTTCCATTGTTCCAGAGCCTTGTCTAGAAAAATCTGTTTTCTTCACTGGTCCTGTCGGGAGAAATCTCTTGAGGTTATCTATCAGGTCCAGTCCTACCTGCATATTCCTAAAGCCACAGAGAATGAGGCTATAGCTTCATGTTTTAACAACAGGAAACCAAGCACAAAGACTGAAACTATAGGACCCAGGTCTGTATCCTCTCAGGGAAGGCAGAATAACAATGTCATGTAATGATGATGATAAAAAAGGTCTAACGTATCAAATAAACACTAACACTATCCTGTTGGCTAACTGAGCCCCTCTACCTGCCCAAGTCCTATTCCTGGGCTGGGGAGAGGCAACAAACAGTGCCATTAGGAGCACTGAGTCTCTCCTCCCACCTCTTTCTGAAATGTCAGTCATTGGTATCTCAGGTGCCAGTGCTGGAGGCTGCAGACTGACCTTGCATGTCAACAGCTGATTAAAACAGCCATTTTTATGGCCTGCTTCAGACACGCACATATTATCAGAACTAATTAGGCTGAACAATTTTCAAAAGTCCTAAGCCACGAACAACTCAAACCTGTCAGACAAGTCATGCACCTGACTACTTCAAACACCCTCTTTACCTGCAGAGTCACGCAAGGCAGAGCTTTCACTCGTCTATGCATTTCTTCACCTATTTATCAGGACTCTTTCTGTTAGATTTGAAATGGGTCAGGGCAGTGAGTCTTGGGCCTGCTACTCCACAAATCAAGCATTCTTTCTAGGTCTGGCTCTTGTGCTACGTGTACAGGCAGGCAGCCCCTCCCCTGCCCCCTCATTCTGAGGGCTCTCTGGGAGCAGGCAGAAGCATTTTCTGCTAGCTGTGCCCTCACAGTCCTTAAGAGTACAAAACTTAATGGTACAGGAGAGGAGACATCACCCCCCACCGGCTGGCTAGATGCTGCTGCTGGAAGCTGTGAGTCTCTTACCACCTCCTCACTGATCTTTGTTGGGGGAAGGGGCACTGTTGGTGAATCAGCATATTTTTGCAGCCTAGAGAAAGACAAAGCCAAGAGCCTTTCTGCTCAGAGTCTGGCAGTTATGGGGTCTAGAACTCTACTCTGACTGTTCCTCTGAAAGGAACGTACAAACACCACAAAATGTTCCTTTTAAACATTTATACACGTAAGTCCAACAAGTTGGACTGGCTTATCAGAAACAGACCAAGGGAATAAAATAAATTCCAAAGGAAAGGAACCAAGAACATAGCGTGTAAATTGCAAACAACAACACTGCCACTGCCAAAGCCTGAACATGGGCCAAGTCTAATTATGTTTGAGTTGGAAGGTAGATCTTTATTGTTCGGGAATCAAGGCAGTAAAATCAGTTGGTAGGGTTTCTTTGAGCATTAATATGTATTTTACAGCTGCTGGTGAAACAAGAAAGGGAGAGATAATTATAACCAGATCGTGACAAGCAGAGAACTTCTTAGGATCTGATTGACCTTAGGGTATCAAGGAAGACAACAAGTACACTCAGTACAGGCCAGGAAAGAAAACTCCTCCTTGCACACCTGATTTCCACTGCATGAGGCTGAGGCTGTCTCTTCGGACCATGGGACGCAGTGGTCCAGCAGTGCCCGTGCCGGCTGCAGTCTGCCCCTTGTCAGGTCATCACTTTGGCACTGCTCATTCCAGCACACAGCATTTCAGGCCTTTCCCTCCCTTATGGACACATATATGCGTCCCCACTCCCCCTGACACAGACACCCTTCAGTAGTACCATGTCCAAGGTTCCTCTCTCCTTCAGACCTGCCCAGTCTTTCTGTTGTGTAACAAAGATCCCACAACAAAGTGTTATCTCAGATCTAACTCAATCCTCTCACTGATTGGCCCTTTAATTGGAAAGGCTGCATGTGTCCCAAGTCTTATCAATAAGGAGCACAGCTCATTTACAGGCATGGGATTTCTCCAGGACTATGACTTCTGATTCTCTTCTGTGGCAGTCAACAAAACTGAGTGCTGATGTCACACTGGTTCCTTTAGGGATATAAATCCACTGGTAAATTTATACCCCCTGACCAGCAATGTACAGAGTCCCTGGAGATCTACACTAAAGCTACCACAAACTGGTAGTAATGCAATTTAGTGTCAAGTGTTCTCTGAAGGAAGGATTTGTTATAAGAAACCTAACTACACATTCACGATACTCTTTATTATGACCCACAAGACCTGCTGTGATCTGGCCTGTCTACCTCACTACCTTTACCTGGTACCCAACATGTACCCCAGACCCCTTGGCCACCTTCTGGTTCCTAAATTCTCCAAGTTCCTTCTGGCCTCAAGAGACAGTTCGCTTCACATGCTTTCTCCATCCCAACACTTTATTCTCTCTTCTGGGGCTCTATTCTCTCTTCCAATGCTACCCCTACACAGCGGGCTCCTCATCTGTCAGGTGTCAGCACGCTGCTTACTTCCCTTCATTGCATTCAATACATCTGACTCCACTCTTAAGTGGTAGTTGAACAATGAGAACACATGGACACAGGGAGGGGAACATCACACACCGGGGCCTGTCAGGGTGTGGGGGAGGGATAGCATTAGGAGAAATACCTAATGTAGATGACGGGTTGTTGGGTGCAGCAAACCACCATGGCACGTGTGTATACCTATGTAACAAACCTGCACATTCTGCACATGTATCTCAGAACTTAAAGTGTACATATATATATATATATATATAAATAAATCTGACTCCCCACCTCTTCCCTTCCCCACTTACAACTAGACCAGCCCCATGTCCACAGTGGACCTCATTCCTTCATACTAAAGCTCCACTGGAACAAGCTTTGAACTTTAAGAGGCAAAGAACTGCTCAACAAAAACCTACTAATTATGAAGGGAAAAATTATCTTTACGAGGAAGAAATCTGGTGGTCAACACCTTACCAAGTGGTCAAACAGCCCCAGTGATGGGACAAGGGGATACAATGTACTCCCTGATGTGACGTACTCCCTGATGTGACGTACTCCCTGATGTGACGCCTTGAGAAAGACACAGCCCTACCAAAATCCTAGAAAACATGTTTAACATGAATCAGATCAAAAGGAAACAAACAATACATCAAAACTAAGACATTCTGCAAATCAATTGGCCTAGATTCTTCACTAATATCAGTATCACAAAGGACAACAAAAGTTGTAGGAACTGTTCTAGTTTAAAGGAAACAGAAGAGATATGACAGCTGAATGTAATGTGCAATGGATGATTAAAAATACAGCTATAAAGGATATTACTGGGATAATTGGGAAGTTTTGCATACGGAGTATATTAGATAGTATTTTTGTAATAATTTAAATTTTGCTGAGAGCAATCTTGTAGTGTGGTTGTGTAGAGCAATATATATCACACTGAATTTATGTGCTGTGGAAGTATTTAGGGATGAAATCTAATGATGAGTACAACTAAATCTCAAATGGTTCAGAAATATGTGTGTGTGCTCGTATGTATTTTACATAAAACAAATATGTCACAATGTTAACTGGTGAATCTAAATGAAGGGTATATGGTTGTTCATTATACTATTCTAGCAATTTTTCTGTAAGTTTGAAATTTTTTTCAATAAAAAAAGTTGGGGGGGGGGGGGTGCCAGGCAGGTGGCTCATGCCCGGCCAAAGAGTAATCCCAGCACTTTGGGAAGCCAAGGGTGGGCAGATTACTTGAGCTCAGGAGTTCGAGATCATCCTGGGCAACATGGTGAAACCCTATCTCTACTAAAAATACAAAAAAAAAAAAAAAATTAGCTGTGGGTGGCAGCGCATATCTGTGGTACCAGCTACTAGGGAGGCTGAGGTCAGGGGAGCCCAGGAGGCAGAGGCTGCAGTGAGCTGAGATTGTGCCACTGCACTCTATCTAGCCTGGGCGATAGAGAGAGACCTGTCTCAAAAAAGAGTTGGGAAGGAAAAAGGGAAACAAAGTTAAGTGCTTCCAAATATGATTTAAAAATGTTTATAGAGTAACAGTACATCAAGCAAGTCAGTGGTGAAGTGGGGAACAGCCGGGGAAACAGAGAAAATAAAACGAGTAGAAATACAGAGACCGTTCCCAGTCTTTTTGTTGTTGTTGTTGTTTTGTTTTTTTTTTTTTTTTTTGAGACAGAGTTCAGAGTTTCACTCTTGTTATCCAGGCTGGAGTGCAATGGTATGATCTCGGCTCACTGCAACCTCCGCCTCCCGGGTTCAAGTGATTCTCCTGCCTCAGCCTCCCCAGTAGCTGGAATTACAGACGTGCACCACCACGCCCAGCTAATTTTTGTATTATTAGTAGAGACAGGATTTCACCATATTGGCCAGGCTGGGCTTGAACTCCTGACCCCAGGTGATCCACCCGCCTCGACCTCCCAAAGTGTTGGGATTACGGGCGTGAGCCACTGTGTCCGGCCCCCCAGTCTTATAATCTAACTAGAAACAAAAAAATACATAGGTGCAAACTTCAGAAAATAACACAACAGCCTTAAACTGTGTTATCCTGAGCACGAGTGCAAAGTATCAATTTCAAATCAGGAGCTACAGGTAGGAGATGTCAGGTCTCAATTTGAACTATGCCTTGAAAGACAGGCAGGACTGTAGTCACAATGAATAGAAGAGGGACTCCAGGTAGGAGTGGAGAACCATGAACTTCTCAGAGGCCAGAATGCATGTGACATGTGCAGATGAATATGTCCCTGCCTGAAGCCCAGAGGGTGGTATGAAGGCTCAGTGTAGAGCAGTGGGCAGGGCCAAGGTCAGAAGGTTTTAAAAGCTGAGCTGTTTTATGCAGGATAAAGTTGACAGGGGTAGAAAGTAAGAACAGAAAGACCAAGGAGAATTGATTTCAAGGGACATAGGGAAGCTATAGGATAGCATAAGGAACTAAAAGGTCATGAAAATTTCAAATGAAATTTTGAAGGAAGGAGAGACTCTGGGGCCAGAATGAATACTACTGAGGATAAAGAAAAATCTGTTGCCAAGGCTGCTACAGAACACAGTGTCTGCATATTAAATTAGAAAAAATGACCTCCCTAGTCCTTTCCAGACCTTTTTTTTTTTTTTTTTTTAAGAAAGGAGTCTCGTTCTGTCGCCCAGGCTGGAGTGCAGTGGTGCGATCTCGGCTTACTGCAAACTCCACCTCCTGGGTTCAAGTGATTCTCCTGCCTCAGCCTCCTAAGTAGCTGGAACTACAGGCATGTGCCACCACGGATAGCTAATTTTTATATTTTTAGTAGAGACAGGGTTTCAACATGTTGGTCAGGCTGGTCTCAAACTCCTGACCTCAAGTGATCCATCTGCCTCAGCCTGATTGCTAAATTTCAAGAGAATGGTATATACATAGAAATCAAACTCCTTTCTCACTCTGTCTAGGCACTTGTGGCTCTGGAATGGCAAGAGGGCACATATTAGCAAAGCAGTCACATTAGCAGGGACCAGTGCATTTCTGGAATGACCAATGGGCAGTTTCATAAAAACTCAGGTGTCAGGCTTTAATGCACTAGGCTCCAGATCCTCTAGCCCTTGGTTTGAGCTTAAACTCTTGGAAAACATGTAAGAAGCACAATGGTTCATTACTGGGGTAGGAGTCCAGCCAAGACACCTATCTTAACAGTACTGCTCTAAAACCTCATGAGATCACCAATGATCATAACCAAGCCCTTCAGGCCTATGACAACCATCCACCCGATTATCCAGGCCCAGGAACTCTGAAGGATTCCAAGGTAAAGAAAGGGACTGATACATTCTTCCACACCTGGCACTGAAGGATCTGCTAGAGCCTGAGGTTCCCCAACTCAACCAAGTCACTGGCAGGGAAGTCTGCCTGCTGGAGACACAAATTTAGAAACTAGGCTCATTAGCTGTGTTCAGTGAAAAGTTGTGACACTTCGCAGAGGAGCACAGGTTTATCCAGTGCAGGTGTTCTGTCCAGAACACCACCCAGAATTTATTTCCTGATGTCTCCCAGAATAACATCCTTGTGGCACCTGATCTAATCCATACACATACCGTTGGGGAATGAAGTTGGGGAGGGGGTTATGGGGAGACAAGGCAGGACCCTGCATGGGTTGGGTCTATGGGTGAGAAGGCAATGAGATGCTGACCAGCTCCATGGTGGTAGACACTTGATTCTCTCAATGGGAAGAATTATCTGCAAGAGTACAACAGCTGCCAAAGGAGACCTCACTACCTCCAGGTAAAATTCTTCAGTGGCACTTCTAAACTCCAAGATTTATTTCTTCCTGAATTCCTTTTGAACACACATGCAAAAAAATCAAAACAGATTTCTTGACTACCTATTTTTGAGGAGATAAAAACACTGCTGGTCTTGAAAGCCTTAGATTACTTCTAGAGGGACTCTTGGTGACAAGAAGCAGAGGAAGGCAGCTACGGCTCAGAGGCAGGAATGGAATGCCAGCTGTGAAAGAGACAACTGCTAGCCTGGAATTTTCTGAAAGCCAAACTTGTCCTAAGAGCTAGATACATCCCCACCAAGGCTCAAAGACTTAGCCGGCCAGCGTGAGAAGAGTAGAGTCACAAAGCCACAGGAACAAATCATTTGTGGCTTCACCAGCTGCCTCCCTTCCTAGCAGAAACCAGAACTGCCTTTTCCAAAAGAAATGAGTATTGGTAAAAGGTGCTGGAGCTCAGACCAGAGCACCTCACTCAAGCTTAACTGGATCCTTTTTAAGGAAATAAATAGGAACTCTAGTTCGGGTCATCCTCACACACTTCCTGTTCCCTAAATCTCAGCGCACAGTGTGGAAGTGGATCATCCTTCAGGCAAAGCTGCAGAGATGCCTGCACCAAGAGCACCCTACTGCCTCCCATCTGGGCTTTTACATACTTGAGGACAGAAGAGGGCTGCACAGTAGAAAACAAATGGTGGAGGTTAAAGAAGTCTACCCAGAAGGAAAGGCTCATGAATAGAGAATTTATTACAACAGAGGGAAGGAAGAATTCTAGTCATTTTTTTTAAACGTTGAGATAGGATCTTGCTATGTTGCCCAGGCTGGTCTTGAATTCCTGGCCTCAAGCAATCCCCCAACCTGTGCCTCCCGAGTAGCTGGGACCACAGGCACATACCATCACACCCTGGCTAATTTTTTTTTTTTTTTTTTTTTTGAGACAGAGTCTCACTCTGTCGCCCAGGCTGGAGTGCAGTGGCACAATCTCAGCTCACTGCAAGCTCCGCCTCCCAGGTTCACGCCATTCTCCTGCCTCAGCCTCCCAAGTAGCTGGGACTACAGGCACCTGCCACCACGCCCGGCTAATTTTTTTTTTGTTATTTTTAGTAGAGACGGGGTTTCACCGTGTTAGCACCCTGGCTAATTTTTTATTTTTATTTTTTTGTAGAGATGGGGTCTCATTATGTTGCTTAGGCCAGGCTCAAGCGAGCCAGCCTCCTGCCTCAGCCTCCCAAAGTGGTGGGATTACAGGTGTGAGCCACTGCAGCCAACTACACTTCTGTTATTAGTATATTTACATATTTGGTTCAGTTATACTCAGAGGCCCCTAAGGTGATGAACTATGACTTACCCAGAGTATTTAAAACAGTGTCTGGCACATAGTAGGTATTCTATAAATGCTGATGCTTTGAAATAATCTTACTGAGGTGGCCTTTGCAAATTCACATTTGAAGTCAAATATTTACTGAATAATAATTACAGATTGGGTATTGTGCTAGCTACTTTTCCACATAATCTCATTTAATCCACAGTATTAGCCCACTTTATAGATAAGGAAACCAGCTTAGTAGCCTCTCTTTGGCTATATAACTTTTAACTCCTCATTAAAGCTCTTAATAACCAATAACTCCCACATCTCCCTATCCCTCATTGTAGCAACTCTTGCCTTTGCTTTCTCTGGGCTCAGGCACAAAGCATTGCAGGAGGGAAAAAAAGGGGGGGGGGGTCACAAAACCATGTAGGCTTGGCCCACTATAAATTCGTGCAATCTCATGATAACTTGACTTGCTGCCATTCTTCCTGCCTCACAGGTTCAATACCTCCAAATCCTCCTGTTCACTCAACCCTGTTTTCAATCATCATAGCCTATCAAATTGCCCTCTGTTGCTTCCCTCATATCTTTGTGTTCCTTTCCATTCAATGGTCTAAATCCCTAGTATGTAAACTACATCATGAGCATGACTGGTCCTGCTCTGGTCTCTTCTCTCCCCTCTCGTTCCACCTGGAATCCTACCACAAGACCAGTCTTCCTAAAAGAGATTTGGATCATGTCATTTTCCTATCCAAAAGCCTTCAGTTGTTCCCTATGACTACAGGACAAGGATAGCACTGGCACACAAGGCCCTCTATGCTCTGGTCCAAAGCTATATTTTAGTTCCTTCTACTCCCCAGCACAAACTCTCTGCCCTGGCCAAGCCAGCTAATGACCAGTCTCCCACACAGCCCTTTACTCATACTATTCACCTGCACCTGCCTAGCCTACCCATGAATATCTTCCTCTTTCTCTCTGCCTGGTGAAATCCTGCCCATGTTTCAAGGCTTCCATCATGAAGCCTTCCTTGATGCAGCCTACAGGACCTCTCCTGCCTCTCAACACCTAGTGCACTTAATGTCCACACTTTCACTGGACTCTGGGCATATATGGAATCTTTCCATCTCCTATTACATTTTCATAACTTAAAGGCAAGGACTATCTTAGAGTCAGTTACACATAATAAACATAATAAACACAGTGTTTTGACTGACCCAAACTGTCTTAAAGTATTTCCTTTAGAATACCATGAGTGTTAGGCCAGGCGCGGTGGCTCATGCCTGTAATCCCAGCACTTTGGAAGGACAAGGTGGGCAGATCACCTGAGATCAGGAATTCGAGACCAGCCTGGCCAATATGGTGAAACCCCATCTCTACTAAAAATACAAAAATTTGCCAGGTGTGGTGGTGTGTGCCTGTAATCCCAGCTACATGGGAGGCTAAGGCAGGAGAATCACTTGAACTCAGTAGGTGGAGGTTGCAGTGAGCTGATACTGCACTACTGCACTCCAGCCTGGGTGCCAGAGTAAGACTCTGTCTCAAAAAATAATAATAAAATTTAAAAAAAAATTAAAAAAAGAATCTTATGAGTGTTGAATAAAGATTCTTCTCTGAAGCCTTACCACTTTACTAAGCAGTATTCTTTGGGGAGTTCTCACCACTGAACACAGAGTGCTCACACACATCTAGTGTTTTATATTTAAACTTAACACATGCACGTAGAATCAGTCTTCAAAGAATTTCAAATTACAAGTCTGGATCCAGAAAGACCCTGGCCAATCCAGAGTGTGATCACTGGACACCATTATTTAGCAGGGCAGGCCCAAGCTAGAGAAATGTCTGATGATCCGTGACTGCGGGAGACAGAAGCCCTGCCAAAGAACCTGAAAGGAATTTCCAGAGAGAAAAAATTGGGGTTAAACAAAGAGCTAAATTTAGTTGCTTCCTGAATGTGTTTTCCCAATCAATAGACCTAAAACAACACTGTTCCCCATCACAACACACACAGCTGGCAAAGAGTACTGCCAAGAGGAGTATGAGCAATTAGTGAATAATAGCTTATGTACTGTTGGTTGACACCACTTAGCATGAAGTCAATATATAGGGCACCAGCAGCAAGCTGTCAGAATCCTAAATCCCAAGCCATCACCAAATGGGTAATAAATATGTTGTTCTTTTGCTACCATGGGGATTAGTACAAAAGTACTTGGTATTCTAGGACATGAATGCCACAAGGCCAGACTGCGGGAGCTCTCCAAGTTACTTCTGTAAACTGCTGGTCCATTCCTGAGAGACTGCAGTACTAAAGAAAAGACTACAGAGATGTCCCTCAACTTACAATGAGTGTTATCCCAATAAACCCATCATAAATTGAAAATATCTAAGTTGAAAATGCATTTAATACACCTAACCTACCAAACAAACATCATAGTTCAGCCTAGCCTACCTTAAACCTGCTCAGAACACTTACACTAGCCTACAGTTGGGCAAAATCATCTGGCAAAACAGTACACTGTAGAATACTGGTTGTTTACTCTCATGACTGCACGGCTGACTGCTTTGACTCCTGCTGCTGCCCAGCATTAGAGAATATCATACCTGCATATCGCTAGCTCAGGAAAAGATCTAAATTAATAATTTCAACTACAGTTTCTACTGACTATTGCTTTCACATCATCCTAGAATCAAAAAATGATAAGTCTAACCATTGTAAGTTGGAGGATCATCTGTAGTCTATTTGCCATTAAACTGCCCTTCTCTTCTTATATTTTTCCTTTTTTTTTTTTTTGAGACAGAGTCTCGCTCTGTCACCCAGGCTGGAGTGCAGTGCTGCGATCTCCGCTCACTGCAAGCTCCGCCTCCCAGGTTCACGCCATTCTCCCGCCTCAGCCTCCCAAGTAGCTGGGACTACAGGCGCCCACCACCATGCCCGGCTCATTTTTTTGTATTTTTAGTAGAGACGGGGTTTCACCGTGTTAGCCAGGATGGTCTCCATCTCCTGACCTCGTGATCCACACGCCTCAGCCCCCCAAAGTGCTGGGATTACAGGCATGAGCCACTGCGCCTGGCCTTTTCCTCATTTTTATTCACATTTAGAAGAGAAAAGGAGATGTGATGGGTAAGGTTTTTGTGTTTTTTTTTTGAGACAGGGTCTGACTCTGTCACCCAGGCTGGAGTACAGTGGCATGACTTTGGCTCATTGCAGCCGCAACCTCATGGGCTCAGACGCTCCTACTTCAGCCTCCTGAGTAGCTGGGACTACAGGCACATGCCACCGTGCCCAGCTAATGTTTTCTATTGTTTGTAGAGACAGGGTCTCACTTTGTTGCCCAGGCTGGTCTTGAACTCCTGAGTTCAAGCAATCCTCCCACCTTGGCCTCCCGAAGTGCTGGGATTACAGGCATGAGTCACTGCACCTGGCCAATGGAAAACCCTTTACCAGCTGGGCGTGGTGGCTGACGCCTGTAATCCCAGCACTTTGGGAGGCCAAGGCAGGCAGATCACTTGAGGCCAGGAGTTTGAGACCAGCCTGGCCAACACGGTGAAACCTCGTCTCTACTAAACATACAAAAATTAGCCAGGCATGGTGGCAGGTGCCTGTAATCCCAGCTACTCAGGAGGCTGAGGCAGGAGAATCGCTTGAACCTGGGAGGTAGAGGTTGCGGTGCGCTGAGAGCTGAGATCACGCCACTGCACTGCAGCCTGGATGACAAAACAAGACTCTGTCTCCAAAAAAAAAAAAAAAACCTTTACCTCTCTGGGCCTCATGTCCTCATCTGTAAAATGAAAAAATCATACTAGGTGATCAACTAACCTAACACTAACATTTTATGCTTTTAGACTGTTTCCCTATATATTCTAGTTTGCCTTTTTTGATCCAAACATTTGGATAGCAGATCCAATGGAGAAAGTGTCCCCAGCTCTGCACTGACTGCCCCTCAGTGAAAACCTGCTTGAGGATTGTGCCTTGGAACTCGAACACAGAGAAAACCCCCCTGTAGAAGAAGTTGCTCAGTAAGATAACTGCCTGCTTGCTCTATTTCCAGCACAGACGCTGCTTGGCAAAAGGGCTTCCTTTCCACTCCTTGTCACTGTTAAGAACAAAGAGAAAAACCAGATGGCATGAAGCTGCTGGGCTTCTTTCCCCCTCATTGTCATGAACCAGTGGAGTGCAACTGGTCACTACATACCACAAGACGCCACACCCAAGTTTCTGGCTAAGGACCAGCACATGTGGTTTGTGGTATGTTTATTGATAGGAAAATAATTTTATATGACAGAACTTTTCACTTCAGTCATTAAAAACAAAAGAAGTGTGAAGATCAAGTTGGGGAGCCAGAGTGTGTAGCAGAAAAAAATTTCTACCTCTGCTTTTGTCCATGTTAGTAAATATTTTCTCATGCTCTGTTAGTTCTGAGAATTCTCCCTGATTCTCACTGTTATTCTCACTCTTAGCCACTTGACTCCAGGGCAGATCATAATCTTCCCAAGTTAAAAAAATCCTGCAGTGTAGGGCTGGGCGCGGTGGCTCACACCTGTAATCCCAGCGCTTTGGGAGGCCAAAGCAGGTGGATCACGAGGTCAGGAGTTCAAGACCAGCCTGGCCAACATAGTGAAACCCCATCTCTACTAAAAATACAAAAAAATTAGCCAGGCATGGTGGTGTGTACCTGTAGTCCCAGCTACTCAGGAGGCTGAGGCAGGAGAATCGCTTGAACCCAGGAGGTGGAGGTTGGCAGTGAGCAGAGATTGCGCCATTGCACTCCAGCTTGGGCAACAGAGTGAGACTTCGTCTCAAAAAAAAAAAAAAAAAATCCTGCAGTGTAAATAGTTCCAGGGAAATCACACGCTGCATAAACCAACAGCCTCAGCAGCAGCACTTGGACTACAGATATAGAGAGCTAGCAGCAGGAGCAGCTTCTTTTACAAAGAGGGCAGTAAAAAAGGAAGCAGTCAGAGGTAGATAGTTGGCTGATCTGGAGGAGTACCAGACTTAACAGATGATAACTGCCTTTGAAAGGCTTAAAACCTAGCAATTTAAATTAAACCCGATTCTGAGCTAGGCTGTTTGCCTTTACACAGGTGTTAAAAATCGAAGGACTTCGGCAAGTTACAGTGTCACTGTCACTGCCACTTAAGGAAACCACCTTAATAAACAGGCATGCCTACCAGAATCTGCCAGCAAAAGACTGACACAGTTCAGCAGCTTGTTTTTTTTTTAGCAGTCTTTCTTAGCCTGACAGTTGGCCTATTTTTTTTTTTCACATGGAAAGCACATGCAAGCTACTATACTCAGCGAAACCAAATACAACAGAGTCCTACTATTATCTATAAAAAAAAAGCCATGTCTGGCTTTCCTCCAAATGCAATTAGCTGCGTCCACAGTTCTCCTTATAGCAGCTACCAGCATTCAAGATTTATATTCCTTATATTCCAAACTTCAAACCAAAATAAAAATATTATACTCAATTCCTTCTCTACTTACTAAAATGATTATGACTTCCCCTTTAGCTCTTAGGATCATTCAATAACAATGGTTTTCAAACCATATTCCAAGAGGCCCAGTTAGTAATGTGGTTTGAGGGGAAGGGATGGGACACGGATGTGATGAATTACCTCTCTCACACTGCTTTAATCTGTTTTATATGCCATAGGTTTGAAGAAAAGGTTCTAATGCTAAAAAAAGAAACAATAATCACTGAGGTAATAGAACTAGATTATCATCTACAATGACCTACATAAGGCACTACACTGTTACATGAAATTAGCCAACTTTCAATGTCCTGGGCTAACAGGAGATAAGAACAGCATAGTAAAGAAATGTAATTTATTAAAACTCTATTTTTAGCCAATGATTCCAATCATCCATCTTCAACTGTTTTTTTGCAACAACAAATAATTAGTAAAACAGAGTTGAAGTCTGGTGAAATGTATGGGCAGTAATAGAGAAGCCAAAGTGAAAATAGATCTGAATATTTGAATCTACATAGCAGGCCCTTTGCCTTTAGTTGTTACTCACAGCATACTAAATAAGTGGCAGGCCATATCCTACCAGATACAGGATATACACAGACATCTACAGAAATTACCCCTCCACCATGGCAGAATGCTGTTATTGGCTGCAATCCCCAAGAGACAATAATACCGGGCCAGCCACCAAGCCACTTAAATTAATTCCTAGTGTGAGATTCTGACTCAGAAGCCAGGTCTTTCTGTTTCAAGCATAATAGAAAGGCAACAGCAACCAGCAGGATGTGGGACCTGATGCAACTCACCCGTGCAGAACTCCTTGCTCACGTTGTGGGGCACTATGATCCGTCGATAGACAATGGGCTCGGACTCCAAGATGTTCTCATCATGGCGGTACCGAGTGGGCCTTTCATTTGGGATGCCCCGGGAACGGGTACCACTTCTCCTTTCATAGGTATCAATCTCCTCAAACACAGCTGCCTTGTCAAAAAGAGCCAGGTTCCCTTCAAAATCAAAATCTGTGTCTGGGATCTCCTCAATATCATCCCCGAAGCACTCGTCATCTTTATTCTTCATCTGGCCATTCTTTAAACCACTTTTCTTGGGAGTTGCCTGATTTGGGTGCCTGCTACTAGATGACCCTGGAGAAAAAATAGGGACTAAAGTCAGTGTATCCACAGAAAGCGCTCAGTGAACGTGGAAAATACATTAGTCTTTTGTGGAGAGTGTTACAGGAACCAATGTGAAAATGGTAAAGGTAACTATTGCAAACTCATATTAAGTAGCACAAACAACAAATCTCATGTGCAATAATAGGTTTCAAACATCACCCAATCTGGGCACAGTGGCTCACGCCTATAATCCCACATTGGGAGGCTGAGGCAGGAGGATCGCTTGTGCCTAGGAGTTCAAGGCTGCAGTGAGTGATGATCACGACACTGCACCCCAGCCTGGGCAAAGAGCAAGAATCTGTCTCAAAACACACACACACACACACACACACACACACACACAAACAACAACAAATATTACCCAAGTAACTTGTTAATGAATATGAAATAAGCAGTACTCCTGGAAATCTTAACCAGTTATCCCCTTCATAAGGAAACTGGTAATGACAAAAGTTTTTCTGACAACTTACTATTAGCAAACAAGAGGAAGAGTAAGAATATAGCATGGTGGTTTTGACATAATGACAGAGGCAGGAGGCAGAGAAATTCTAGAGGCGGGTCCCTGGCGAAGCCCCACCTTTGAAGCTGAAAAGGCTGAGACTGTGGCCCAAAGTGAGAACTTATATCCCTGTTTTCCCACTAGAATGTTGTCTTTTCTTAAACCACCCATGGCTCTGCCCCCACCCTATCCTGTGCCTATAAAGACCCCAGACTCAGTCAGCAGAGATGAGAAACAGCTGGATGTTGGAGACTATGGCTGGATGTCAGAGAGAAGTGGCTTGACTTCAGAGGGATAGCTTGACTGTGTAACTATGGAGAAGAATTTGGCTGGAGACAGCCAGACTTAAGGGGAAAATTACCTACCCACCACTGACTGTCCCCTTTTCAGCTCCCCTTCCCACATAAATAAAAATAAAATCACCCACATTTACCATCCTTTAATTCATTCATGTGACCTCATTTTTCCTGGACACTGGACAAAAGCTCAGAAGCCATGAGTGCAGATACAAAAGACTGTCACACTGATCCTTTGCCCTCACTGGCAGAGGGCAGCTGCAGGCCCACTGAGCTGTTAACACTTAAGCCATCTGTGGATGGCAGAGCTAAAAGAGCACCATAACACATCCTCTGGGGCTTCAGGAGTTGTAGACACCCCACCTAGATGCTGCCATATGGCCTGCACAGAGTTCGCTCCTGCTGGTGCCCAGAAGCGCTCATTCTGGCTCCTGCACCGGCTCACATGTGCACTCCCTCCCACAATGGGTAGAACACAGTGGGTCTGAGTGAGTGGAGTTTGATCCCACTGGCACTGAAACAGACAGCCAGGTTCCAGTGCTTGTGCACTCCAGTTCCTGCCTTGTTCTCTCGCACACTCCCTTCTGCAAGGAGTTGAGAGCAGTGCGTGGAGTAAACGGGGCACCCCTGTCATGAGTCCTGTGAATAGGTCAGGGAAGGGAAATATCCTGCTTCAGTTTGAGTCTGAGTGTCTGGCAGTTGTTTAAGAGAGAAATACCCCCAGAGTAAAAGAAGGCCTGGTCTTATAGCCTGAAGCTTGTAGGAAAATACTATTCAGCTAGTCCTTAAATCTATGCTTACCCAGCAAGCAATCTTCTGATTTTTAATTTGGTCTTAGGCTAGATCCCAGCAGCAGGGAATCCCTGGTTTGCTCAAAAAATTCTACATTCTGAGCCAGGTATACACCTACCACTACAAATTGCTATTCTGACTTACAAACCTTTCTTTAGACCTTTCGGTTAACGTGATCTCTTTTCTCAGAATTTTATCTCTTGTGGGTAAGCAGTTTCTGAAACACCAAATAATGACAGGGTCCATACTGAACTGATCCTGTAGAGGCCACACTAATGCACATCCACAACAGAGTAGCCAGCCACACCCTGTCTCTGACACCTTATTTGGCTACTACACATCAGTCAACAACTACTCTAGCAGCCAAGGCAGAAGGTCTCACAGAATTCTCCAAACCACCCACCCCCAGAGAATCAAGCTCTGGTCTCCATCTGACTACCCTGAAAACGTGAATCAGGTGACTGGTATGCCAGACTGAACCTCTATCACAGTCTAAATAAATGGAATGTACTTCCTTCTGAAAGACTGGGCTCTTCAATTACTGAAAACACTCAAGTCACGGTTAGAATGATCCCAAGCAAAGCCCCTCACATATACTAAACCAACTATGCTGCCCTAACTCTTCTCATTGCAACCTCCTTCAACCCAAAGGACCAAGAGTTTGGAGAGCTAGGATCTAGTTCTCTCACCAAAATATTATATAATCTTATACCATCATCTAACTTCTCAGGGTCTTAACTTCCTGTATATAGAATGCTCACTGTGGTTATCTCCAGTAGAGTTTCTAGCATTAACAAATTAATATCAGCAAGATCAATTACAATAATTATTCTGAAAGGTATACACTATGCAAATACAATTTATGCCCAAGTATTCCTAATGCCTTGTACTGGTGTGGAAAAAGTGGTGATGGCAGTGAAGATGCAATTTACGTCTCTGAAAAAAAAAAAAAAAAAAAAAAAAAAAAAACCAAGGCCAGGCGCGGGGGCTCATGCCTGTAATCCCAGCACTTTGGGAGGCCGAGGCAGGCAGATCATGAGGTCAGGAGATCGAGACCATCCTGGCTAACACGGTGAAACCTTGTCTCTACTAAAAATACAAAAAATTAGCCAGGCATGGTGGCATGCGCCTGTAGTCCCAGCTACTCAGGAGGCTGAGGCAGGAGAATTGCTTGAACCCAGGAGGCGGAGGTTGCAGTGAGCTGAGATGCACCACTGCACTCCAGCCTGGGTGACAGAGTGAGACTCTGTCCCTAAAAAACAAAACAAAAACAAAACACTAAGGCTGACCAAAATTATGAAGGTAAGGCAGAGTGGTTGAGACACCACAGCCAGCTAGATGATGAACCACTATGAAGCTAGCCACAGTTTGGGTTAAGTTCTAGTTCCAATAATTTGATGAAGCACTCTGTGAGAGCACACTTATGCCATAGCTAGGTGCTAGGATGATAAAATACAACCAAGACATGCTGCTCAACAAGGAGAGAGAAGAAATATGTTGGGCACAGTGGCTCAGGCCTGTAATCCCAGCACTTTGGGAGGCCGAGGTGGGTGTATCACCTGAGGTCAGGAGTTCAAGACCAGCCTGATCAACATGGTGAAATGCCATCTCTACTAAATACAAAAAATTAGCCAGGTGTGGTGGCGCATGCCTGTAATCCCAGCTACACGGGAGGCTGGGGAAAGAATTGCTTGAACCCAGGAAACGGAGGTTACAGTGAGCCAAGATTGTGCCATTCCACTCCAGCCTGGGCAACAAGAGCAAAACTTCGACTCAAAAAAATAAATAAATAAAAAATAGAAATATATATATATATATATATATATAGGCAAATAATGAAAATATGATGTGATTAGAGTTAGAAAGAAGTTTATATAAAGTGCCATAGAAATATGGATGAGATGGGCTGGGTACAGTGGCTCATGCCCAAATCTCAGCACTTTGGGAGGCCAAGGTGGGCAGATCACTTGAGCCCAGGAGTTTGAGACCAGCTTGGGCAACATAGTGGGACCCCTGTCTTTATAAAAAAATAAAAAACCACATGAGAACACATCCTGGCTAAAAAATAAAATAAAAGAGGGCTGGGAGCGGTGGCTCATGCCTGTAATCCCAGCACTTTGGGAGGCTGAGGTGGGCGGATCATGAGGTCAGGAGATCGAGACCATCCTGGCCAACATGGTGAAACCCCGTCTCTACTAAAAATACAAAAATTAGCTGGGCATGGTGGCGCGCACATGTAGTCCCAGCTACTTGGAAAGCTGAAGCAGGAGAATCGCTTGAACCCAGGAGGCAGAGATTGCAGTGAGCCGAGATCACGCCACTGCACTCCAGCCTGGTGACAGAGCGAGACTCTGTCTCAAAAGAAAAAAAAATAAAATAAAATAAAGAGAAAGAAATATGGATGAGACTACTCAGGAGGCTGAGATGGGAGGATCACTTGAGCCCAGGAGGTCATGGCTGCAGTGAGCCACAGTCCACACCACTTGCACTCCGGCCTGAGCAATATATATATGTATATGACCAGCCTGACCAACATGGCAAAACCCCGTCTCTACTAAAAATACAAAAACTAGCCAGGCATGGTGGTGTGCACCTGTAATCCCAGCTACTTGGGAGGCTGAGGTAGGAGAATCGCTGGAACCCAGGAGGTGGAGGTTGCAGTGAGCTGAGATCAAGATTGCGCCACTGCACTCCAGCCTTGGGGACAGAGTGAGACTCCGTCTCCAAAAATATATATATATATATATATGTGTGTGTGTGTGTGTGTATATGAAAATATATGCATATATAATGATATTTATATATATGAAAATATATACATATATTTTACATATGTGGGTGAAAAAGCAGAGCTGGATCAGGAAGACAGAATGGGTATGAAAATACAAGGTCAGGATAACACCATTAGCAATATACACAGACAAGGGAAGAACAAAAGAATAAGGATTATCAACGTACTGCCTCAATATTAAATCAAAACATCCTATTAGAAATAGGTCTCTTGCCCAGTGGTCACTCTTCAGTGGGTATGTGTTTCCCCAGGGGTGGACAGAACGATTCACCAGGATGTAGGAAGAAGATACGGAATATTCTATTTATTTTTATTTTAACTAAAAACAGTAGAAATTAAACTTTATGAATTTTAATGTATTGATGAAAACCAGGACCCTTATGAAGTTCCATGCCAGCCAATTGCTGCCCATATTTGAGATATCTGAGGAAAATGTGACATTCCATAACAAGAAGTCTATCCATGCAAGTGGTTATACATCAATTTTTTAAAATTGCAGTAAAATATACATTACATAAAATTTACCATTTTAACCATTTTTAAGTGTACAGTTCAGTGGCATTAAGTGCATTCACACTATACAACCATGCCAATTTTTAACTAAAGCATACGAAAATGAGTATGTGGCTTAAAAAGATACTTGTAAAGAAACTATATGTTAAATAACGATAATACTAATGTAATCATAAGTAAACAAGAAAATGGCAGAACACTTTCCCTATTCCTCTTACAGGCCTTCTTTAGCTAGAATGAGGTTGTCAAAAATTAATTAAATCTATGAAGATGGTCTCCCAAATTATAAAGTATCAAGAAGGTCATTCCAAACATGAATCCACATTAACTATTATGAATTAACTTCACCCTAAGTATATACTCTACATCAAAACTCTGCAAACTATAGCTCATGGGCCAAATCCAACCCACTGCCTGTTTCTGTAAATAAAGTTTTATTGGCGCACAGTCATGGTCTAGGCAAAGTGAAAAGAACACAGAGGATAATGTCTAGAAAATGTACACACGGCCAGGGGTGGTGACTCACACCTGTAATCCCAATACTTTGGGAGGCCGAGGTGGGCAGATTACCTGAGGTCAGAAGTTCGAGACCAGCACTGGGCGTGGTGGAATACACCTGTAATCCCAGCTACTCAGGAGGCTGAGGCACGAGAATCGCTTGAACCCGGGAGGTGGAGCTTGCAGTGAGCCAAGATCGCGCCACTGCACTCCAGCCTGGGCGACAGGGCGAGACTCTGTCTCAAAAAAAAAAAAAGAAAAAGAAAAAGAAAAAGAAAAAATGTACACACAATGCAAAAATGAAAAACAATTCAGTACAGCACAATGGTCAAATAAATAATTCAAAGGTAATAGGAAAGGAGTATTCCTTTTTAAAAATAATGTTTGTTAACAGATGTTCATACCAAATATGCAGAAAATTCTAAATATTCACATAATATTTTGATTTTCTTTTAGTAAAAAATTTGCATCCATCTTATAAAGTTTTGTATCCTGCTTTCTCGCTTAGGAGCATCCTCGAGTTTCATGAAAAAATTCTTCAAATACTGTATCTTACTTTTTATGGCCACATAAATCATAGATCATACCATATTGATATACAGCACATGGATCATACCTACTGATTAACTTTTAAGTTATTTCTCATTTTTGCTATTACAGACTCGGCCCAAACACACTATCTTTGACTACCCTTGCTAAAAAAATCACTCCCATCTGACCACTTACAACAGTGTGCGTTACCACTGACCTAGCACTTATGCTACATTACCTACTTTGTTCTGTAGTTAATCTGTGTTCTTGCTCTAACTTCCCAAGGAGTTTATAAGCCAACAGAGGGCAGGAATGATGTCATTCATACCTGTCACCCAACACTATGCCCAGTTCAGCGTAAGTACACAAAACTCTGCTGAATTAAGAAATAAAAACAGCAATATATATATATATATATTTTTTTTTTAAAAAGCAAACACTAGCCAATCAAAAGTTAGAAGTCTAAAAAGAGGTTATAAAAAAAGGGCAACTTGAGATTAACTACAAGAAAAAGCAATAAAAATCATGCCAACTTTGTTACATGACTGAAAAGGCCAGGAAGATAAAGTTGTTGACAATAATATAATATAAAAGAGTTACGAAGCAAGGGCTTCAGTGGAAAAACTTCAGTCATGTCCAATATGAACTGAAAATGAACTATCCTGGAACTATTACAATGACTGATGAAAATAAGCAGTTGATCAGTGAAGGAGAAGACAGGGTTAAGGAAGCAAAATGGGAAATCACTCCCATTCAGATAAAACCCAAAGCTCCTGAAACCAGGTGACCAAGAATAAAGCTCAGAGGAAACAGGATACAGACACTGCTAAAGAGGAACAGGTAGAGGCACAAAAACAGTTATAGGAGAAAACAGGAAAGAATCTAGAATCCAAAGACCCAAATACTCTGAAGGCAGGTCAGACTTGCCAAATGACACTGGTAGAAGGCCAGTTATCCTGGAACTAAAGTTTGAAAAGCATGAGCTGGCCTGGCGCAGTGGCTCAACACCTGTAATCCCAGCACTGTGGGAGGCCAAGGCGGGTGGATCACCTGAGCTCAGGAGTTCGAGACCAACCTGGCCAACATGGTGAAACCCTGTCTCTGCTAAAAATACAAAAATTAGCCAGGTGTGGTGGCAGGCACCTGTAATCCCAGCTACTCCAGAGGCTGAGGCAGGAGAATTCGCTTGAAGCCAGGAGGTGGAGGTTGCAGTGAGCCGAGATGGCGCCACTGCACTCCAGCCTGGGTGACAGAGCAAGACTCCGTCTCAAAAAATAAATAAATAAATAAAAAATAAAATGTAAAGAAAAAGAAAAAGAAAAGCATAAGTTGCTTCTCTAACCACTAGCCCAGTATTTGTTAGCCCTAAGCAGTGCGCTAACCACTGAACACCAATATGAATGTTCAAAAGCACAAGCTGAGCATCCCTAATCCAAACATCCAAAATCCAAAAATTTCTGAGCGCCAACGTGATGTTCAAAGAAAATGCTGATTGGAGCATTTTGGATTTCTGGATTAGGGATGCTCAACTGGTATGTATTCCAGAAATACTCCAAAATCCTTTTTAAAAAATCCAAAATCTGAAACACTTCTGGTCCCAAGCGTTTTGCGTTAAGAGATACGCAACTTTTATTTGGGAGGAGAGAGTGCAGCATAGAAAGAAAACTTTTGTTCAGTTTCAAAAAAAAAAAAAAAAAAGCTAATAAATAGTACCCACTTCATATCATGCCACATGATGAGGAGCTATTGAAATGCAAAGTAGAAAAGTAAAGAAAACAAACATGACTAGCTGTAAAGTTCGTTCACAGCATGTTGACAAAGTGCCCCACTATAAAGACTAACAGGGTCCACAGTGGGAGACGCCTTAATTCTGCCTTAATGATGCTGGGCACTGGTCATCATTTTCTGGCTCAACTGTAGGACTCTACAAACATAACTTACAACAAAACCCAGAGATGTTGTATGAAGAAGGTTTCAGGTGTTTTCCTGTACTCCTCTAAATGCAGAGTTGATTCATTCATTTGAGACATAGACACTAAGGACTAGCTATGTTCTAAACACTGTCAGGAAAGCAGAGTGTGAAAAATATTTCCCAAGAGGAAATACTGACATCACAGGTCAGTAAGAGAAAGATAAGAGAACATAAAATAAATGCAAGGCAGGCTAATGTGCTCAGTTGTCTCTTATTCTTCCCTTTCCTCATACTTTAATACAAATATTAGGAAGTCCTGAGTGAACAAGCTGTCTCAGTACTTGGCTTACTCATCCCAAAGGGCCTGGCTCTGCATTAAACTGGCCTTTGGCCACTGCGAGAGAAAAGCACTTCCCTTGGAAAAGACAAACAGTCTTCCCAGATTTCTTTACCTTTCAATTACAAGGGCCATGCAAGTACTGCAGGCTGGCTGCCTTCCTGTGCCGTTTTTCTGCCACCCTTTGGCACAGAGGCCCTTTGGCCAGGACAACTTGTAACAAACCCATTGTTGTGTAACCCTCAGTGCCACTTATTTATTGGTTTTTGTCACACACACACTGTAAGTGGGAACTTTGTCCTGCACTTATCACACTAAAGGGTACCTGAATGTTAAACTACAAATGTTTTACTGCCAGATTAAACAGGCATCATGAGAAGGTGCCTGAGAATATATGGGACCTTCTTCTCAACTCTCAAATTCTAGGCCCTGGGTTTTCAAGCCTATTAGATATATGAAGCACATCCAAGGAAGTTTAAAAGTCAAGAAAACCTCAGTAGAACCATGAAAACCTGGCAAAATTCACTTCCTGCCTCAGGTGGTGGGATGACTGTTAAAATGAACAGACCGTTAAAGCCCAACCATACTGCAACAAGATAATATCGACCATCTTTCCATTTAAAAGGTTCAATTCCATCCCTCATTTCTCTCCACCTCCAGTAACAAAGAGAAAAAGGGAAATCAGCACTAAACAGAGGCACTGTCATGCCTATAGGACCACCTCTCTCTAAATATAAATGAGTTAAAGGCCAGCTATCTACTTTGTTTGTTTTGAGATGCAGTTTCACTCTTGTTGCCCAAGCTGGAGTGCAATGGCACGATCTCGGCTCACTGCAGCCTCCACCTCCCGGGTTCAAGCAATTCTCCCTGCCTCAGCCTCCCAAGTAGTTGGGATTACAGGCATGCACCACCAGGCCCAGCTAATTTTTTGTATTTTTAGTAGAGACAGGGTTTCGTCATGTTGGCCAGTCTGGTCTCGAACTCCTGGCCTCAGGTGATCTGCCCACCTCAGTCTCCCAAAGTGCTGGGATTAGAGACATCAGCCATCATGCCCAGCCTCAGCTATCTACTTTCATGTTCTACAGGCAAAAGAGCCTTAACTTAACTGTTAAATTTTTATTCAACTGCATGTTACAATGACTATTCAAGCTCATAGACTAAGATTTCAGAGAGGGATGCCTTTCATCTGCCCCTCATGGTCACCATTTTCAGCTGTGACATGGGATTTGATAAATATGAATTATACCCATACACAGAGCTGCACCCTAAACAAGGCTTGGTTTCCCTCTGCTCCCTGGGACTGATGTTATGTCTATTTGACAAACATTCTGAATGGTCACAGAAAAACTATTCTTTACATGATTCTTTAAACCCACTCCCACCCGAAAAGAGATTAAAATCTGCTTGTGCTAAATCATCAGTGTTGGATTAGCTAACTATTATAAACCAACAAATTCCTCAACTCCTTATTGCAATCCTGAAAGAACACTTAAAAGCCAGAACTGAAGACAGATTATATTTCTTTCTTTCCTTTTTTTTTTTTTTTTTGAGACAGAGTTTTGCTTTGTTGCCCAGGCTGGAGGGCAGTGGCACAATCTCAGCTCACTGCAACCTCCGACTCCCAGGTTCAGGCAATTCTTGTGCCTCAGTCTCCTGAGTAGCTGGCATTACAGGCACCCACCACCACACCCAGCTGATTTTTTGTATTTGTGTACAGACGGGGTTTCACCATGTTGCCTAGGCTGGTCTCAAACTCCTGAGCTCAGGCAACCTGCCCGTCCCAGCCTCCGAAAGTGTTAAGATTACAGGCATAAGCCACCACACCCGGCCGACAGATTATATTTCTATAGCTTCATCAATCTACTAGTCTCAATATCAATGTACATAAACTGGAGAAAATTCTAAGGCAGACCTTTTTACTTACAGGGCTCAATGAGTGGAAAAATAATTATAACTCTACCTTCTATCAGAAACCTATTCTGAGCCACGTCTTATTGCCATTCCCAGGCCACAAACATTTTCCAAACTAATCTGGATTCTACATAAGTTTCTTGAAAAATAGTAACATTTTACTGCCCTATGATCTCTTTACCTCATTTATGTACAGTTAACAATCTAGAAAAAGGAAACTGACAAAACAGCAAAAGCAGAATAACCAAAACCTGGAAGCCACCAAGATGTCCTGCAATAGGTGAATGGGTAAACAAATTGATATATCCACACAATGGAACATTATCCGTCAATTAAAGAAATGACCTATCAAGTCACAAAACGACATGAATGAATCTTAAATGCATCTTGCTAAGTGAAAGAAGCCAGTCTGAAAAGGGCTACATACTGTATGATTTTAATTATGTGATATTCTGGAAAAATGCAAAACTGCAGGGATGGTATAATAAAAAGATCAGTAGTTGCCAGGGGGAAGTGGGGGAAGTTGAACAGGTAAGGCACAAGAGATTGTTTAGGACAATGAAACTATTCTGTTTAATACTGTAATGACAGATACATGATGCTATGTATTTGTCAAAACCCACAGAATTTTACAGCACAAAGAGTGAGCCTTAGTGTTTGCAAATTTTTAAAAATCATTTAGGAGGTTAGAAGATCCCAGGATGGAATGCAGAATGTGATAAAACAAATTAATTGTATTATGAATATATGAAACAAGTCAATGAAGGAAATGGGAGACCTAAATAACTCTAGAAATGAATGGAGTCAGATGAAAGGCAAAAGAAACAGTACGTAAGCACCACATTCTGTTTGATAGTCTCCCACAGGAATGGCGATACAAGTTAATAATTCTGATACCACTATACATGTATACTGGAATTGAATAATTATGTAAAGAATGAATGACAATAGGAGACAGGTTTCTCACTGTTGGAGTGAGAAGTAACAGACAAGCAAAAGGAGAAGGCTAGAAGGATCCATGTGGTAATGGATTAAAGTTGGAGACATCAGTATGAACTCATACTTAGTATAGTACAATATACATAGTTACATATAGAAATATTTAAATATGTATATATATGCTGGTTAAATATACACACATATATTTTCTTTTCTGTGAACTCTGCAGAGAAGTATACACATTTTCTTGCTGTCAGCTATAAGGGTGACACCCAGGAGCAATGAGCATCCCTAGTGAAGAAGAAAGAAAGGAGAAGGGGGGAGGAGGGAGGGGGAGAGGGAGGGGGTGGAGGGAGGAGGAGGGAGGAGGAGGAGGAGGAGAAGCAGCAGCAGCAGCAGTAGTAGTAGTAGTAGTGGTAGTAGTAAGCATCTTTCAGTGTGAGAAAGTACCTAAGTACTAAAAAAAAAAAAAAATAAAATCCACAATGATTGGAGTATGTCAAAGGGACATGAGATCCAAGTGAAAGATTGGAGACTAGCCAAAACTGAAATAATTTGAGTACCAAAATAAAGTAATATTGAATTATAAGCCAAAGTATAAAATAAATACCCATGAGTACATGCTGATATAAATAAATGACTGAATAAATAAACAAATGGGGGAGAAGAGAGGAATCTCTGGCATAAAAGAATTCCAAGTAATGTCTGAAGATGCTGTGTCCTCAAGGAGAGGGGACATAACTTCTCACTCCCTGGGTGTGGGCTGCACATAGTGATTTCCTTCCAAAGAGTACATATGTAAAGGGGAAGAAAGAGTCACTTTACAGAGGAGAAACTAGATATATCCTACTTTAGCCAGGTGATCAAGGTGAACATCAAAAGTTATAAACCATGGTGATAATATATACACTTGACACAAGGTGATGAAAATGGTACTTTACCTCTGTTGTCTTCCACCCCCAAACATATAACCCCAGTCTAATCATGATTTAAACATCAAGTACCAACTGAGAGACATTCTACAAAATACCTGACCAGTATTCATCAAAATGTCTAGGTCATCAAAAACAAGGAAGGTCTGAGAAACTGTAAGAGCCAAGCAGAGAAATGACTACCAAATATGATGTGATATGCTGGACAGGATCCTGAAACAAGGGCATCCGGGTAAAAACTAAGGCAATCTGAATAAAATATGGACTTTGTTTAATGATAATGCATCAACATTGGTTCAATAATTATAACAAGTATACCATACAAATGTAAGACGTTAATAACGGGGAAAAATGTGTAGAAAAAAATAATATGAATTGCTAATAAGGGTCATCTTCAAGTGCACGGAAGATTATAAACTGCCTATTTGAACTTCTAACAAATCAACAATTTCTGCTAAAAGAAAAAAGATTTTCAGACAGGGCAACATAGTGAGACCTTGTCTCTACTAAAAGTAAAAAGACTAGCCAGGTATGGTGGCACACACCTGTAGTCCCAGCTACTCAGGAGGCTGAGGTGGGAGGATCATTTGAGCCTGGGAGTTCAAGGCTGTAGTGAGCTGTGATCGTATCACTGCATTCCAACCTGAGTGACAAAGCAAGACCCTGTCTCAAAAATGAATGAAAGAAAGAAAGAAAGAAAGAAAGAAAGAAAGAAAAAGGTTAAAGTCTAAATGGAAAGAATCATTTTCTATCCAAGCATTCTACAGTTTTTCTAAGGATACAGAAGTCACAACTGAATTTCAGTCTCATATTTGCAAACATCGTCATTTCAGATAGTTGTTTCATATGCACCAAAGGAAACTACCTTGAAACTGTATATTACATACATTAAAACATTTTTTTAGGCCAGGTGCAGTGGCTCACGTCTGTAATCCCAGCACTTGGGGAGGCCGAGGCAGGCAGATCAACTGAGGTCATGAGTTCGAAATCAGCTTGGGCAACATGGCATTATCCCATCTCTACTAAAAATACAAAAATTAGCCGGGCGCAGTGGCTTATGCCTGTAATCTCAGCACTTTGGGAGGCCGAGAGTTTGAGACCAGCCTGACCAACATGGAGCCCCGTTTCTACTAAAAATACAAAATTAGCCAGACGTGGTGGCACATGCCTGTAATCCCAGCTACTCGGGAGGCTGAGGCAGGAGAATCTTTTGAACCCAGGAGGCGGAAGTTGCGGTGAGCCAAGATCACGCCATTGCACTCCAGCCTGGGCAATAAGAGCGAAACTCTGTCTCAAAAAAAAAAAAAAAAAAATTAGCCGGGCATGGCAGCAAGTGCCTGTAGTACCAGCTTCTAGGGAGGCTGAGGCAGGAGAATCACCTGAACATGGGAGGTGGAGGTTGCAGTGAGCCAAGATCACACCACTGCACTCCAGCCCGGGCAACAGAGCAAGGCTCCATCTCAAAAAAAAAAAAAAATTAGTTTTAATTTAGTTGTTTATTCACTTGAATCAGGCATCTCCAAAACTTAAAATGTTGGCCCCTGACACAGGTGTCACACCACAAGCTACTAATAGAATTCACCCAGCACACTAAAACCTTACTACATTGCCACCAGGACCACAGTGTGAGGAGCAACAATGGTAGCAAGAAGTATCCGGAATTTTATGTAATAAACTTTCTGAGTGGGGTCTAGAGAGACCTAGCTCACTCTAAATTGTGCCTTTTAGAAGGTATTGCCATAGCATGACTCTAGCTTATAATTTTAAATGAGTTAATGAATACTCATTTAAAATTTCTTTTGGTTGTTCATTTTGAGACAGTCTCACACTGTCACCCAGGCTGAAGTGCAGTGGCATGATCTTGGCTAATCACAACCTCCGCCTCCCTGGCTCAAGCCATCCTTCCACCTCAGCCTCCTGAGTAGCTGGGACCACAGGTGCACGCTGCCACGCCCAGCTAATTTTTTTTTTTTTTTTTTTTTTTTTTTTGTAGGGATGGGGTTTTGCCATGTTGCTCAGGCTGGTCTCGAACTCCTGGGCTCAAGCGATCCACCTGCCCCAGCCTCCTGAAGTAGTGAGATTACAGGTGTGAGCCACTTGCACCCAGCCTCTCACTTAAAATTTCTAATACATTCTGCTACCATCTGTGAGTACAAAACCATCTAAGTAAAATAAGAATAGTTTGGCATTTGGAAGTAATTTTTTAAAACAACATTCATATTAATTTAAGGAGCATAACAGATTCCAGTGAATGTTATGATTCGCTATTGTAACATTATTCTAGTAAATATGTTGGAGAAGAACAGTTCTAGTGAATTAACTATGGTTTTGGAAGGCAGCTATGCTCACCATCATACCACCAACACAACTATGGTTTTATTTTATATTATTTATTTTATTTTTGAGACAGAGTCTCGCTCTATCGCCCAGGCTGGAGTGGCACAATATCAGCTCACTGCAACCTCTGCCTCCTGGGTTCAAGGGATTCTCCTGCCTCAGCCTCCAAAGTAGCTGGGATTACAGGCATGCACCTCCACGTCCGGATAATTTTTGTATTTTTAGCAGAGACGAGGTTTCAACATGTTGGCCAGGCTGGCCTCAAACGCCTGACCTCAGGTGATCTGCCCGCCTCAGCCTCCCAAAGTGCTAGGATTACAGGTGTGAGCCACCGTGCCTGGTCACAACTATGGTTTTATAATCAGCAAATGGCATTTAATAATGTGTTAGTATCAAACAAAACTGGGCAGCAACAGAGACCAATGCACATTCTTCTTGGTGTGTCAGTAGGAACAAATACAGCAAATTAAAAATTGTCTGCTAGAAAATCAAAGATCACAGAGATGTTTGGATCAGTCCCCTCCTCTCTTCTGAGGATGAGACTCAAATCACAGGAAGAAAAGTTACTCAAGAATCCTCTGGAACAGCCCAAGTGCAGGTTCAACTCAAACACTACTACCAACATCAGTAACAGGATTTAAGTTTTTTTTTTTTTCTTTTTCAGAAACAGAATCTCACTATTTTGCCCAGACTAGCCTTGAACTCCTGGGCTCAAACAATCCTCCTGCCTCAACCTCTCAAGTAGCTGGGACTATAGATGCGTGCCACCACGCCCAGTAGTTCCTGGATTTAAAACATCACTGTTAGTAAACTCTGGGCAGACTTTTCCTGAAGGAAGTGGTAAGAGAGGGCAGGAAGCTCACAGGCATCCCTAACAGCTTATTTCCTTTCCCTTAACATCTTGAGGAATGAGGCCTGGAGGAAGAGAACCATGTTGTATTTCTGTGACGCTCAGCCAGCATCCATTTTATTGGAATAACAAAGGATTTGTTTAAAGAGCAGCAGTGCTTATGGCTTATAGCCCTGAAACACCAGATTGAGAAGAAATATCAACTTGACCCTACTTACAGGAGTTGTGCCGACGACGGAAACTTTTGGACTGACTCAAGGATTCCATGTGCCTGTCGACATAGCTCTTTGAGCACTGTTGCTGCTGCGGGGAAACGGCAACATCCTGGCTCTTCACATCTGTCCTCTTAGGGATATTCTGAGGGGCACTGCTGGAAGAGGCTGGCTTCTTGACAAACTTGCCTGTGCCATTCTGATTGATGCCCACTTGGCAGCCAGCACCAGAGGGGCCTAATTCTGTTTGATGAAGGTCTCCAAAATGTTGGTTGTCTCCAGGTCCTGGTATCTCCAGAATTTTTAACTCCGTAATGTCACCTGCCCTGAAATACACAAAAAAGCCAAGTCTCAAAATTATAATAGTGGTAAGAATGATGAAACTGAGATCATTAGCAAACAGCTACCCCTTTGCAGGACTGCATTTTATTGAGTTATCAGAGGCTAGGAAAGGGGGCTGTGTGCTTAAGGACAGGGGTCAGCCACCAACTATCCAACTGACACAATGCTAGCCTTTAAAAAGAGGCTATTGGCCGGGCACGGTGGCTCACGCCTGTAATCCCAGCACTTTGGGAGGCCGAGGCGGGCGGATCACGAGGTCAGGAGATCGAGACCATCCCGGCTAAAACGGTGAAACCCCGTCTCTACTAAAAATACAAAAAAAAAAAAAATTAGCCGGGCATAGTGGCGGGCACCTGTAGTCCCAGCTACTTGGGAGGCTGAGGCAGGAGAATGGCGTGAACCCGGGAGGCGGAGCTTGCAGTGAGCCGAGATCCCGCCACTGCACTCCAGCCTGGGCGACAGAGCGAGACTCTGTCTCAAAAAAAAAAAAAAAAAAAAGAGAGGCTATTGCTAACAACAAAACTGTATTAATCTTACATTCCCACAATGTTTAATGGCTTTTGTTCATTCATTCACTCCCTCGCTCATTCAACAGGAGTATATAAAATACTTACTATGTGGTAAGCCCTGCACTATGAACTATTTTGATCTGGTATATAGAGATGAAAACCACTACGTGCCCACAGGAACTCAGTCTGGTCAGTGGAAAAGACAAGTACATATTCAATCAAAAGTGTTAAATGGACTGGGCACCATGGCTCATGCCTATAATCCCAGCATTTTGGGAGGCCGAGGCAGGCGAATCACTTGAGGCCAGGAGTTCGAGACCAGCCTGGTCAACATGGCAAAACCCTGTCTCAACTAAATAGAAATGATTAGTCGGGTGTGGTGGTACGCACCTGCAATCCTAGCTACCCAGGAGGCTGAGGCATGAGAATCGTTTCACCCTGGGAGGCAAAGGTTACAGTGAGCAGAGATCGCACCACTGCACTCCAGCCTGGGCAACAAAGTGAGACTCTGTCTCAAAAAAAAAAAATTTTTTTTTTTAAGTGTTAAATGTTATGACAGAGGTGTGCATAGGAGACTAGAGAGCCTAAAAGCAAAATATTTAAGTCAGTCTGGTGGAGATGAATGCAATACTTAAGCTAAATCTGGCCAGGGCAGGGGGAATGAGTGGCTAAGCAAAGAACAGCAGGGAGAAAGGCATCTCAGGTAGGGGCTCAGAGACTGAGGAAATGTAGAAAATATGGCCCACGTGAGGAACTGCAAGTGTTATGGTGATACTAAAGGGACGGATGTTGTGGAAGGCCATCAGGAAGTAAGGTTGCAGAGGTAACCAAGGACCACATCATGATCACAATGGATTTTCCTGGTGGCTATAGGGAAGGAGAAGAAAAAAGAGGCAGTGGTACCAGTTAGAAGACCAAGCAAGAAATAAGAGGGGATGAACCAAGCAAGCGGTAATACAAAGGGAGAAGGGATCAAGAGACATTTCGAATCCATACGATTTTGGCAACTAACTGAACACGAGGATTAAAGAGAAAGAAGAGTTTATTATGACTCCTAAGTTTCTAACATAGGGGAAAGGTGTTATTAGTCATAAATAATGGGTATGCCCTTGGAAAAACAAATCTACAGGAAAACATAACGAGATTAGCTCCGAAAATCTTGCATTTAAGATATCTTGTGGGATGTCCAATGGAAATGACCAGCAGACAAGGTGTCTGTCTCATAATGGGACTAAATTAAAGATTTGAGGTCTTGGCTGGGGCATGGTGGCTCACACCTGTAATCCCAGCACTTTGGGAGGCCGAGAAGGGCAGATTACAAGGTCAGGAGATCGAGACCATCCTGGCTAACACGGTGAAACCCCGTCTCTACTAAAAATATAAAAACAAAATTAGTCGGGCATGGTGGCGGGCACCTGCAGTCCCAGCTACTCGGGAGGCTGAGGCAGGAGAATGGCATGAACCCGGGAGATGGAGTTTGCAGTGAGCCAAGATCGTGCCACTGCACTCCGGCCTGGGTGACAGAGTGAGACTCCATCAAAAAAAAAAAAAAAAAAAAGATTTGAGGTCTCATTAACATATAGAGTACACAAGAGTTTGTCTAGAGAATAAAAGCTGAGAAAAGAACCAAAGATAGAACCCTGAGTAATTCAATCTTAACAGGTGAGTAGAAGAAAAGGAACATAAAAAACAACAAAAAAAGTAAAGGAATGGAGGAATATGTGGAATACATGCAAAGAAAAACCAAAGAGGTGACAGGGAAACTAAAGGACAGTACTGTACTTTAAAAGATAGGGAGCATTTTATTTTTATTTATTTTTTTACAGACAGGGTCTTGCTCTATTACCCAGGCTGGAGTGCAGTGGTGCTATCATAGCTCACTGCAGTCTCCAACTCCTAGGCTCAAGTGATCTTCCTGTCTGAGCCCCAGGAGTAGCTGCGATTACAGGCACATGCCACCACACCCAGCTAATTTTTAAAATTTTTCTTTTGTAAAGACGAGGTCTCACTATGTTGACTAGCCAGTTTTGAAATCCTAGCCTCAAGTGATACTGCTGCCTTGGCCTCCCAAAGTGCTGGAATTACAGGTATAAGCCACTGCACCCATCAGGGAGCATTCAAATGAGATTGGGATTGAGATACTGTCAGTGAATTTGGCCATTAGGTTATTTGTAACCTTGGCAAAAACTAATTCAGCAAGATGACAAAGTTAGAAAAAAAGATAATGGTAGGGTACGGAGGTTCTAGAGAATGAAGCCACAAAAGATAGAGAAAGCAGATTATTTGGCTCTGACAAGGATTATGGGTTAAAGGGAAGGGAAATGACACAACAATACCTAGTGGCAAATGCAAGATCTAAGGGAGAGGGTTGTTTTTAATAAAGGGGAGGCCAAGGAATGAATATCGGAATGCAAAGAGGAAATAAACAGTATAGGCCGGGCATGGTGGTTCACACCTGAAATCCCAGCACTTCGGGAGGCCACAACGGGCAGATTACTTGAGGCCAGTAGTTCGAGACCAGCCTGGCCAACACAGTGAAACCCCATCTCTACTAAAAATACAAAAAGCGGCCATATGCCAAGAGAATACTAGCAATCAGACCTAGGTTCAAGCTCCACAGACCACCAGGTTGGATTCAGAAGAGTCAGTCAGGACACTCACCTGAAGGTGACTTCTGGAACAAGACACTTCACTCCATTATGGAAAGGCCGGGTGAGAGAAATGGTCTGGCTGACCTGATCCACAGCTGACACTCTTCCCTGATAGACACCCAAGCTATCTCCACAATTGATGGACACAATACTTCCCAGCCAATCTGTAGCCATGTTTCACACGTGAGACCACTGTGAAGAGAAGGAACTATTCAGTGTGCCTTGGTGAAAAGACAAACTTTTAATTAAATTCAGCAAATATATCAGGCTCTGTACCAAGTGTTGGTTAATAAAACATATTCTATCACATTGTTAACTGAGGTAATAAATCTTAAAAAAATTAAAATTTTTTTTCAGGAGTATGAATATTAAAAAATAATATTATTTAATACATATAAAGATCTTATAATTGCTTTAAAGCGCATACATTGGATAAAGATATTTATTACACATCAAATCACACAAACTATAATCTGTTTATATTGTATTTTAATAAATCTGCTGTCAAAATGTTTTCAAAGAGAGTATGTTGCTGAGAAATAATATATTAAAAAAACAAATTACTGATAATGCCACTCTTGCTGATGATGATAATAATAATAATAATTAATAATAATAGTAAATTCTGGATAGTTGTTTTTTTTTTTTTTGAGACGGAGTTTCACTATTGTTGCCCAGGCTGGAGTGCAATGGTGCGAGGCGGGCAGATCACGAGGTCACGAGATCAAGACCATCCTGGCTAACACGGTGAAACCCCGTCTCTACTAAAATATACAAAAAATTAGCCAGGCGTGGTGGCGGGTGCCTGTAGTCCCAGCTACCCGGGAAGCTGAGGCAGGAGAATGGCGTCAACCCAGGAGGCGGAGGTTGCAGTGAGCCGAGATCACACCACTGCACTCCAGCCTGGGCGACAGAGAGAGACTCTGCCTCAAAAAAAAAAAAAAGAAATTTTTTTAAAGCCAATTGAAGGTACTATAGAACACTAAACCTAACGACTACAGAATATATATCCTTTTCAAGTCTACATAGAATGTTCACGCATATATGCTGGGCCTTAAACAAGTATGAATAAATTTAAAAAGACTGAGATCACATAAAATATATTCTCTACCCACAACAGAATTAAATTTGAAATTGATAAAAATAGATATTTAGAATATTCCCAAATATTTGGAAATTAAGCAAGACATTTCCAAATAACCTATGGGTAAAAGAAGAAATCAAAAGGGCAGTCAGAAAATAGTTCTAACTCAACGATAATGAAAACACAACATCAACTTTTGTATGACATGCTTAATATAGTGCGTAAAAGGGGGAATTTATAACTTTAAGTGCTTGTTAGGAAAGAAAGGTCTAAAATCAATTGTCTAAGCTTCCATCTTAAGTATTAGTAAAAAAAGAACAGATTAACCTGATGTTAATAGAAAGGAAATCAAGAGCAGAAACCAATGAAACAAGAAACAACTAAGAAAAATAAAACAAAAATTAGCTCTTTGAAAATATTAATAAAGTTGGTAAACACCTAATAAAGAAAAAAGATAAAACACATATTATTAATATCAGAAATGAACAAAGAGACATCATAGACATTAAAAAATAACCTTATGCCAGCAAATTTGACAACTAGACAAAATGGGGAACTTCTTAGACAAAAGTTATCAAAACTGACACAAGAAATTAAAAATCTGAGTAGCTGCATGTCTATTTTAAAAACTGAATTTATCAAGAGAATAAGACAAGACACAAATTAGGAGAAAATATTTGTGAAAGACATATTTGATAAAGGTCTGTTATCCATAACATACCAAGAACTCTTAAAACTCAACAATAAGAAAATGAACAACCTGATGAAACAATGAGCAAGAGACCCAAAAGGATACTTCACCAAAGAAGACATGGACACGGCAGGCAAGCATATGAAAAGATGCTCTACATCATATCATCAGGGAATTAATGGAAATTAAAACAACAATAAGATGCCACTACACACCTGTCAGAATGGCCGAAATCCAAAACACTGACAACACCAAATGCTGACGAGGATGTGGAGCAACAAAAACCGTCATTCATTGCTGACAGGAATGCAAAATGATGCAGCCACTTTGAGTATGCATTTTTCTTTTTTTTTTTGAGATGGAGTCTTACTCTGCCGCCCAGGCTGGAGTGCGGTGGCACAATCTCAGCTCACTGCAACCTCCACCTCCCGGGTTCAAGCAATTCTCCTGCCTCAGCCTCCTGAGTAGCTGGGATTACAGGCATGCACCACCACACCTGGCTAATTTTTGTATTTTTAGTAGAGACGGGGTTTCACCATGTTGGTCAGGCTAGTCTTGAACTCCTGACCTCATGATCCACCCGCCTCACCTCCCAAAGTGCTGGGATTACAGGCGTGAGCCACCATGCCCAGCCTTTTTTTTTTTTTTTTTTTTGGAGACTGAGTCTCACTCTATCTTTATCGCCCAGGCTAGAGTGCAGTGGTACAATCTCAGCTCATTGCAGCCTCTGCCTCTTCAATCAATTCTCCTGCCTCAGCCTTCCAAGTAGTTGGGACTACAGACACGTGCCACCACACCCAGCTAATTTTTGTTGTTGTTTTTTTTCTCAGTAGAGGGGTTTCACCATGTTGCCCAGGCTGGTCTCGAACTCCTGACCTCAGGTGATCTGTCTGCCTCGGCCTCCTAAGTGCTAGGTTTATAGGCATGAGCCACTGTGCCTAGCTTGCATATGCATATTAATAAGGTAGTTTCTCACAAAACTAAATATACCATCTGATCCAGCAATCACTCTCCTTGGTATTTACCCAGATGAACTGAAAACTTACATCCACCATAAATCTGCACGTGGATGTTTACAGCAGCTTTATTCAAAATTGCTCAAATTCGGAAGCAATCAAGACATCCTTCAGTAGGTGAATGGATGAATGAACTATGGCACACCCAGACAGTGGAATACTATTCAGCACAAAAAAGAAATGAGCTATCAAGCCATGAAAAGACATGGAGGAAACTGAAAAGCACATTACTAAGTGAAAGAAGCCAATGTGAAAAGGATACATACATACTATATGATTCCAGCTACAAGGTTTTCTGGAAAAGGCAAAACTATGGAGACAGTAAAAGGAGCAGTGGGTGCCAGTGGTTAGTGGGGTGGGGGTGGGAGGTGAACAAGAGAATTTTTAGGGCAGTGAAACTATTCTGTTTGATACTATAATGGTAGATATGTGTCACTTCAAAACCCATAGAATGTACAACACCAAGAGTGAACCCTAATGTTAACTATGGACTCTGGATGACAACGAAGTGTCAGTGTAGGTTCATCAATTGTAACAAACACGACCGTGGTGTGGAATGTTGACAGCAGAGAGGGCTTACTGGGGGACAACAGTGAGATATATGGGAACCCTCTGTATTTTCGGCTCAATTTTTCCCTGAAACTAAAACTGCTCTAAAAAATAAAGTCTATTTAATAGAAAAAACCAAATTGATTATGTAATTTAAAACCTTCCTACAAAGAAAAATCCAGGCCTAGATGGCTTTACTGGCTTTTTCTTTTTAACTAAGTCTGAACTAGACAGCTTTACTCGTTAATTTTATCCAACATTTTAGGAAAAAAATAATGTCAATCTCATACAAACTTTTAGAAAACACAGGGGAATGAGGCTGGATGCAATGGCTCATGCCTGTAATCCCAGCACTTTGGGAGACTGAGGCAGGTGGATCACTTGAGATCAGCAGTTTGTGACCAGCCTGGCCAACATGGTGAAACCCTGCCTCTACTAAAAATACAAAAATTAGCCAGGCATGGTGGCACGTGCCTGTAATCCCAGCTACTCAAGAGGCTGAGGCAGAAGAATCGCTTGAAATGGGGAGGTGGAGGTTGCAGTGAGCTGAGATCACACCATTGCACTACAGCTTGGGCGACAGAGCGAGACTCCGTCTCAGAAAAAAAAAAAAAAAAAGGCTGGGCACAGTGGTTCACACCTGTAATCCCAGCACTTTGGGAGGCTGAGGAGGGTAGATCACTTGAGTTCAGGAGTTCAAGACCAGCCTGGCCAACATGGTGAAACCCCATCTCTACTAAAAATACAAAAAAAAAAATTAGCCAGGTGTGGTGGTACACACCTGTAATCCCAGCTACTCGAGAGGCAGAGGCAGGAGAATGGCTTGAACCCAGGAGGGGAGGTTGCAGTTAGCCAAGATCGCGCCACTGCACTCCAGCCCAGGTGACAAAGCAAGACTCTGTCTCAAAAATAAAAATTAAAAAAAAGAAAGAAGCATTTCCCAATTTGTTCAATGTAGCTAGTATAACTCTGACGTGAAAGCCTCCCCACAAAGGCTTTATAAGAAAAAGATCAACATCCTGCACAAATATAGACCAAAAATCCTCAACAAGATATTAACAAATCAAATCCAGCAATAAATTTTAAAAGTCTAATATATCACATATATTTAGGTCCCTACTCCTAGAATGCAAAATTGGTTTGATATTTTAAAAATCGATCAATTTTAAATCATTTTAACAGAATGAGAAAATCATAAACGTTATCACATCAGTAAATACAGAAATATTATCTTGATACCAAGACCTGACAACAATAAGACAAAAACAAAACTACAGAATACTATCCCCCATGAATGTAAACATAAAATTCCTTATCAAAATATCACCCAACAATTCAACAATAATGATCCAGGCTCAGTGGCTCACACCTGTAATCCCAGCACTTTGAGAGGCCAAGGTGGGAGGATAGCTTGAGGCCAGGAGTTTGAAACCAGCCTGGGCAACACAGTGAGACCTTATTTCTACCAAAAAAAAAAAAAAAAAAAAAAAAACAGGTGTAGTGGTGCATACCAGTAATCTCAGCTACTTGGGAGCCTGAGGCAGGAAGGGAGCTTGGGCCCATGAGTCAGTGGATGGAGTGAGCTATGATCACACCACTGCACTCCAGCCTGGGCAACAAAGCAAGACACCATCTCTAAAATAAAAGTAAAAAACAAAACAATAAACATAAAGAATTATACACCACACCCAGCCAGGTGTGGTGGCTCACGCCTGTAATCCCAGCACTTTGGGAGGCCAAGGTGGGCGGATCACGAGGTCAGGAGATCAAGACCATCTTAGCTAACATGGTGAAACCCTGTCTCTACTAAAAATACAAAAAATTAGCCAGGCGTGGTGGCGTGCTCCTGAGTCCCAGCTACTCGAGAGGCTGAGGCAGGAGAATGATGGGAACCCAGGAGGAGGAACTTGCAGTGAGCCACAATCACACCACTGCACTCCAGCCTGGGTGACAGAGCGAGACTCCATCTCAAAAAAAAAAAAAAAAAAAAAAAAGATTTATACACCACACCCAGGTGGAGTTTATTCCAAGGATGCAATGCTGACTCAAGATCAGAAAGCCAATCAATGTAATCTACCATATTAACAGGCTAAATAAGAAAAACACATGTTCATAGCAACTGACACAGAAATGCATTTGACAAAATCGAACACCCATTCATTCTTTTTTTAAAAAGCCTCTCAGAAAAATGGGAATAGAGAGGAACTTCATCAATCTGGTAAAGGGATCTAAAAAGTCCCTACAGCTAACATTATACTAAATGGTGAAAGACTGAATGCTTTCCCTATAAGAACATGAACAAGGCAAAGATATCCACTATTACTCAACACAGCTCTAGAAGTTCTCGCAATAAAGCAAGAAACAGATAAAAAAAGTATACAGTTTGTAAAGGAAAAAACAAAACTATCCCCATTTGCAGATGACATAACTGTCTATGTAGAAATTCCCCGTAATCTACAAAAAGTCTTAGAACAAGTGAGTTCAGCAAGATTGTGGGATACAAGATAAACATACAAAAGCCAATCTTATTTCAGTATATTAGCAATGAACACATGGGCAATGAAATTTAAAATACAATACCATTTACAATTGCTCAAAAAATAAAGTACTAGGTGTAAATCTAAAAAAAAAGGGTACAGGATTTGTATACTGAAAACTATGCAACACTGAGGAAAAAATCAAAATGCTAAATATAACAGATATAACATGTTCATGGATTAAAAGACTCGACAAAAAGTACATAAATCCTCCTCAAATTGGTATAAAGGATCAATGCAATTCTTATCAAAATCCCAGCAAGATCTGTAGATATAGACAAGGTTATTCTAAAATTTACAAGGAAAGGCAAAGAAACTAAAATAGCTAAATCAATATTTTTTTTGAGACGGAGACTCACTTTGTCGCCCAGGCTGGAGTGCAGTGGCGCAATCTCGGCTCACTGCAACCTCCACCTCCCGGGTGCAAGCAGTTTTCTGCTTCAGCCTCCCGAGTAGCTGGCATTACAGGTGCCCACCACCACGCCTGGCTAATTTTTGTATTTTTAGTAGAGACAGGGTTTCACCATCTTCGCCAGGCTGGTCTTGAACTCCTGACCCCATGATCCACCCACCTCAGCCTCCCAAAGTGCTGGATTACAGGCGTGAGCCACCACGCCTGGCTGCTAAATCAATTTTTTATAAGAAAGTGGGAACAATCAGTCTACCTGATTTCAAGACTTACACAATTATGATAATCAAGACTATATAGTATTGGCAGAGGGACAAACATGTAAATCGATAAAATAGAAGGCAGAACCCAGAAACAGACTCACAAAAATATGCCCAACTGATTTTTGACAAAGTGCAAAAACAATTCAATGCAGGCAGCATAGTTTTTACAACAAATAGCGCTGGAGCAAATGTAAATCCATCAGCAAAAAAATGAACCTCAAACTAAGGTTCACACTTTATACAAAAATTTACTCAAAATGTATCATGAACTTAAATGTAAAACATCAAACTCTAAAACTTTTAGAAAAAACATAAGAGAAACCCTCAAGATCTAGGGCTAGGCAAAGAGTTCTTAGACTTGACACCAAAAGCACAATCCATAAAAAGAAAAGCTGGTCAACTAGACTTCTTGAAAATTAAAATTTTTATTCCACAAAAAACAAGTCACAGACTGGGAGAAAATACTTGCAAACCACCTATCTGACAAAGACAAAGGAGTAGTATCTAGGAAATATACACCTTTCAAAATGGCTAAAATACAGTGATAACACCAAGTGCTAGTAAGAATGTGGAAAAAATGGATCACTCATACATTGCTAGTCCAAATATTGAATAGTACAGCTACTCTGGAAAACATCCTGGCAGGTTATTAAAAAAACTAAACATGCAATAATTAGCCAAGTGTGGTGGCGCACACCTGTAATCCCAGCTATTTGAGTGGCTAAGGCATGAGAATCGCTTGAACCTGGGAGGCGCAGGTTGCAGTGAGCCGTGATCCCACCACTGCACTCTAGCCTGAGCAACAGAGACTCTGTCTCAAAAAAAGAAAAAACCCAAGGCTGGGCACGGTGGCTCACGCCTGTAATCTCAGCACTTTGAGAGGCCAAGGCGGGTGGATCACAACGTCAGGAGATCGAGACCATCCTGGCTAACACGGTGAAACCCCGTCTCTACTAAAAATACAAAAAATTAGCCGGGCATGGTGGTGGGCTCCTGTAATCCCAGCTACTCGGGAGGCTGAGGCAGGAGAATGGCGTGAACTGAAGAGGTGGAGCTTGCAGTGAGCCGAGATGGGGCCACTGCACTCCAGCCTGGGCAACAGAGCAAGACTCCATCTCAAAAAAAAAAAAAAAAAAAACCAAAAAACTAAACATGCAACTACAATATGACCCAGCAGTTGCACTTCTGGTCATTTATCCCAGAGAAAGGAAGACCTAGGTTCACACAAAAACCTGTACGTGGGCTGGGCGCAGTGGCTCACGCCTGTAATCCCAGCACTTTGGGAGGCTGAGGCAGGTGGATCACCTGAGGTCGGGAGTTCGAGACCAGCCTGACCAGCATGGAGAAATCCTGTCTCTACTAAAAATACAAAACTAGCTGGGAGCGGTGGCGCATGCCTGTAATCCCAGCTACTCGGGAGGCTGAGGCGGGAGAATCGCTTGAACCTGGGAGGCAGAGGTTGTGGTGAGCCCAGATCGCACCACTGCACTCCATTCTGGGCAACAAGAGCGAAACTCTGTCTCAGAAAAAAAATAAAATAAAATACCCTGTACACAAGTGTTTATATCACATTTACTCAAAAAAGCCACAAACTGGAAACAACTCAGATAACCTCAATGAGTGAATAAACAAACAGTGGTACATTCATACCACAGGGCAAAAAGTAAAAATGCCAACCCCAAGAGGTTGTGTTCTGTATGATTCCATTTGTGTAACATTCTTGAAATGACAAAGCTATAGAAATGGAGAACAGGGCCGGGCACAGTGGCTGATGCCTGTAATCCCAGCACTTTGGGAGGCTGAGGAGGGTGGATCACCTGAGGTCAGGAGTTCAAAACCAGCCTGGCCAACATGGCGAAGCCTCGTCTCTACCAAAAATACAAAAATTAGCCCGGCGTGGTGGCAAGCGCCTATAGTCCCAGCTACTCGGGAGGCTGAGGCAGGAGAATCACTTGAACCCAGGAGGCGGAGGTCGCAGTGAGCTGAGGTCAAGGTCGTGACAGTGTACTCCAGCCTGGGCAACAGAGTAGCAACATGGGGGACTCTTGTAGTAATGGAAATATTTTACATCTTGACCATATCAATGTCAATATCCTAGTAGTGATACTGTATTACAGTTTTGCAAGATGTTACCAACAGGGGAAACTGGGTAGGGCATAAGGAATCTCTCTGTATTATTTCTTACAATGGCATGTGAATCTACAACTATCTCAGAAGTTTAATTAAAAAAAAAATCAATGCCTTGCATCACATTAACAAAATAAGTGATGAAATCATGTATAATCATATCAATAAATGCAGAAAGATAATTGGACAAAATTTAACAATCATTCACTATATTTAAAAAGGGGAGGGAAAGCTGGCATCTACAAAACAATTACAGCTAACATGATACTTAATGGTGAAATAGGCCAGGCATGGTGGCTCACACCTGTAATCTCAGCACTTTCAGAGGCTGAGGCAAGAAGATCACAGAGCTCAGGAGTTTGAGGTTACAGTGAGCTATGATTGTACCACTGCACTCCAGCCTGGGCAACAGAGCCAGACACTGTCTTTATTTTATATATTTTGGTTTTTTGTTTCTGTTTTTTTTTTTTTTTTTTTTGGCTCACTGCAGCCTCCTGGGCTCCTGGGCTCAGGTGATCCTCCCGCCTCAGCCTCCTGAGTAGCTGGGACTATAGGTGTATGCTACCATGGCCAGCTAATATTTTCTGTTTTGTAGAGACAGGGTCTCACTTTGCTGCCCAAGCTAGTCTTGACCTCACAGCTCAATTGATCCTCCCACCTCAACTTCCTGAGTAGCTGGGACTACAGGCCCACACCACCACACCCAGCTAATTTTTGTATTTTTTGTAAGACAGGGTTTTGCCATGTTGCCCAGGTTTCCAACTCCTGAGTTCAAGCTATCTGCCTACCTCGGCCTCCCAAAGTGCTAAGATTACAGGCATGGGCTACCATGCCCAGCTGAGACTTTGTCTCAAAAAAAAAAAAAAAAAAAAAGGTGGGGTTGAAATAAATGCTTTCCCCAAGTACTGAGGATGAGGCAAGGATGTCCACTCTCACCACTTGTACTTATATTCAACAACTGTAGGTCCTAGCCAGTGTAATAAGACAAGAAAAAGAAAAAAAAAAACCCAGAAAGTTAAATAAATAATAAAGTTAAATAAGACAGTAAAACTGTCTTTATTTGCAATGACATAATTAGCTGTTTACAGTCAATCCATAAAAAGTCCTACTAGAACTAATAAGGAAATTTAGCAAGGTCACAGGATATATGCTCGATGTAGAAAAAACAACAACAGCAGCAAACAACTGAAAATGAAATTTTAGGCCAGGCATGGTGGCTCATGCCTGTAATCCCAGCACTTTAGGAGGCCAAGGCTTCCCAAATTTTACACAAGTTATTCCTAGAACACTTTCCCCAGCTCTATGAATGGTTAGTTCCATCCTGCCTTTCCGACATCTGGTAAAACATGACCATCTCAAAAAAGCCTTCCCTGTCTACCCAATCTAACGTGGCTACTCATCGTTATTCTCCAACACCTTAAATCCTGTTATGATCTCAAAATCAATCACTATATGAATTATCTTGTTTCTTCATATTGTGTGTGTTGGTCAGGCATGGTGGTTCATGCCTGTAATCTCAGCATTCTGGGAGGCTAAGGTGGGCAGATGGCTTGAGTCCAGAAGTTTGAGACCAGCCTAGGCAACATAGGGAGACCCCATCTCTGCAAAAAAATTAAAAAAACTAGCCAGGCTTGGTGGCACATGCCTGTAATACAAGCTACAGCTACTCAGAATGCTGAGACAGGAGGACCACTTGAGCCCGGAAGGTCAAGGCTGCAATGAGCCATGATCAGGCCACTGCACCCCAGCCTAGATGACAGAGTGAGACCCTGTCTCAAAACAAAAAGTATATAGATAGATAGATAGATAGTGTGTGTGTCACCCCACTAGAATAGGACAAATGACATAGTCTTGTTCAGTCAATAAGAGTGCCTAGAGTGGAAGAAGTCAATAAATATTTAATCAATCGATGAATGAATTAGAAATAATAAACGTGACAGAAGTTACTCAAAATCTAGAGTACCTACATGTTTATATCTAAATGTCTTGGCTCTTTTTGAAAATGGTTCTAAAAAATACAGTATCCTTGGGCATACTCTATGCAAAATCCTATATAAGGTATGAAACCTAACACTTCCCCACTCACACGAGGAAGTCAGAAAACAGCTAGCAGATGATAGCAGATGAATATAAATACACATGTTAAGCACAAAGTGAAACACTGGTTCAGTGTTTTTACATTAAAAAAAGAAACCAGCACTTGAAACTGTTTTCAAATACTAATTTCAGACATAAAGGAGCAAAAAAGCATATAAAGCACCCCTCTGGTAAAAGAGTATGTCCTGACTGAGTGTGGGGGCTCACGTTTATAATTCCAGCAGTTTGGGATGCCAAGGCAGGTGGATCACATGAGGTCAGGAGTTCGAGACCAGCCTGACCAACATGATGAAACCCCATATCTACTAAAAATACAAAATTGGCCGGGCGCAGTGGCTCACGCCTGTAATCCCAGCACTTTGGAAGGCTGAGGCAGGTGGATCACAAGGTCAGGAGTTCGAGACCAGCCTGACCAACAAGGTGAAACCCCATCTCTACTAAAAATACAAAAATTAGCCAAATGCGGTGGCATGTTCCTGTAATCCCAGTTACTCAGGAGGCTGAAGCAGGAGAATCGCTTGAACCCGGGAGGCGGAGGATGCAGTGGGCTGAGATCGTGCCATTGCACTCCAGCCTGGGCAACGAGAACAAGACTCGGTCTCAAAAAAAAAAAATTAGCCGGGCATGGTGGTGCATGCCTGTAATCCCAGCTACTTGGGAGGCTGAGGCAGGGGAGTCACTTGAAATTGGGAGGCGAAGGTTGCAGTGAGCTGAGATCACACCATTGCACTCCAGCCTGGGCAACAAGAACAAGACTCCATCTCAAAAAAAATTAAATAGGCCAGCCACGGTGGCTCACTCCTATAATCCCAGCACTTTCAGAGGCCGAGGCAGGTGGATCACCTGAGGAGTTTGAGACCAGCCTGGCCAACATGGTGAAACCCCATCTCTACTAAAAATACAAAAATTAGCCAGGTGTGGTGGTGGGTGCCTGTAATCCCAGCTATTTAGGAGGCTGAGGTGGGAAAACCACTTGAACCCAAGACGCAGAGGATACAGTGAGCAGAAATTGCGCCACTGCACTCCAGCCTGCTAACAAGAGCAAGACTTTGTCTCAAAATAAATACATAAATGAAGGGAAAGGGGCAAAAAAGCATATACAGCACTCCTCCAGGCCAGCCGCAATGGCTCACGCCTATAATCCCAGCACTTTGGGAGGCCGACGTGGACGGCATGGTGGCATGCACCTGTAATCCCAGCTACTCAGGAGGCTGACAGGATAACTGCTTGAACCCAAGAGGCGGAGCCTGCAGTGAGCCGACACCGCACCACTGCACTCCAGCCTGGGCAACAGAGCAAGACTCCGTCTAGAAAAAAATAAAAAATAAATAAAAATAAAGCACTCCTGGCTGGGTGCAGTGGCTCACAGTTGTAATTCCAGGAGTTTGGGAAGCCAAGGCAGGAGCATCACTTGAGTCCAGGAATTCAAGACCAGGCTGGGCAACACAGCAAGACCCTGTCTCAAAAAAAAAAACAAAAAACAGTATGCCCCATTAGAAACACTAAGTCTGAAAGAGTCCAGCTCTAGGGATTAATCAAACTCTAGATAGTTCTCTAGTGATCTAACTGAGCCAGTATCATAAAACTATGCGGACAGAACCGAAGATTAAAAGAACAATGAATTAGCAGGCTCATACAGGCTTTTTTTTGTTACATTTATTATAGAATGAAACAGAGCCTTGCTCTGTCGCCCAGGCTAGAGTGCAGTGGCGCAATCTTGGCTCACTGCAACTTCTGCCTCCCAGGTTCAATCAGGCAATTCTCCTTCCTCAGCCTCCTGAGTAGCTGGGACTACAGGCGCCCGCCACCACACCCAGCTAATTTTTGTATTTTTAGTAGAGATGGGGTTTCACCATGTTGGCCAGACTGATCTCGAACTCCTGCCTTCTGGTGATCTGCTCACCTCAGCCTCTGCACTAGGATTACAGGCATGAGCCACTGTGCCTGGCCCTTGGGTAAATTTTCAATGCAACACAATTTCAACAATAATGATGATGGTAAAAAAGCACAAAATACACACATTTTAGGCTTCTTTTCCCTTCCTGATCAACCTTTGCCTAATGTCACAAAAGCATGAGTTTCCTTTCCTATCATTTATAATCCATCATAATTCTACTCAGATGCTTAGATAGATGCAGAATAAAAAGCACCAGAAATTAACCAGATATGAAAAGGCTTTTACTGTTTTATTTAACATATATCTTTAAGACACTGATGTTGTGCATTCAAGTTTATATTATGGTAGTAGTAACTGAATAGAATTTTTAACACTTTGAAAATGTGGATACTCGTTTATAAGTGTTCTTCTATGTAGTTAATATTAATAGAAACTTTTAAAAATATAACCACTGAATGTGTAACAAACTTCCCTTTCCTCAGAAACTTCCCTTGGTAAAATAGCATTATTCAAAACTCCTCAAACAGGTTTATTCTATAAAGAAAATTATGCTATTTACAGAAAACAGTAAATCTAAAACAAGTACAGTGCCCATCAACTGGGTTCCTAATCGGACTAGGGAAGGGGCTCCATCAATTATACAGCTAACACCTCCACGTCAAAAGAAGTACAGGAGATACAGGAGCTACAAGGAACCAATCTTGTCTTTTATTTTCTACTTTTCTATCAAGGTATAACATATACAGTAAGTCAGTCTACATATTTTAAGTGTACACCTCCCTGAAATTTTACATATCAATTCACCCATGTGACCACCACTCAAAACAAGACAGACTATTTCCAACACCTCAAAAGGCTCCATTGTGTCCTCCTACAGGTAGTTATTATTCTGACATCTATCATGAAAGATTATTTGAGCCTGATTTTGAGCTTCACATAAACAGAATCATAAAGGTTCTCTTTCAGAGTGTTTGTCTTCTTTTGCTCAAAAGTACATCTGTGAGGCCAGGCATGGTGGCTCATGCCTGTAATCCCAGCACTTTGGGAGGCCACGGCGGGTGGATCACTTGAGGTCAAGAGTTCAATACCAATCTAGCCAACATGGCAAAACCCTGTCTCTACTAAAAATACAAAAAATTAGCTGGGCGTGGTGGCACATGCCTGTAATCCCAGCTACTCAGGAGGCTGAGGCACAAGAATCGCTTGAACTGGGGAGGCGGAGGTTGCAGTGAGCCAAGATCCTGCTACTGCACTCCAGTATGGGTGACAGAGCGAGATGCTGTCTCAAAAAAAAAAAAAAAAAAAGTACATTTGTGAGATTCATCCCCATTGTTGCATGTATCAGAAGTTTATTCTTTCTCATAGCTGTGCTGTTTTCTGTAAGCATGCCTCAATGTATTTATCCATTCTACTGCTGATACATAGTTGGGTTATTTCTAGTTCTGACTTATTACAAATAATATTCTTAAACTGTATACAGTATATTTCTGCGATGGACAAATACATCCATTTCTACTGGGCATATAACACAGGAAGTCATGTTATATTTATGACTTTATTAGGAACCACTGAACAGTTTTCCAAAGTGGTTGTACCATTTTGTATTACCATCTACATTTATACAACCCACCATACGTGAGTTCTTTCTGCTCCTCATCTTGCCAAAACTTGGTACTATTGTTCTCTTCAACTTACTCATTCTGGTGGGGTGCAATGGTTTTGGTATTTTCTTAAACATACTTCTTATTTACTCTTGCTTCATTGATACTGTTATTCTCCCAATAAATTATTCCTAAAATTGTAATGACTACTGAATTCAGAGATGTTGTGAATTACTATTCAGTCAAGAACTTGCTACCAAAGTTCATTTAGTCTTATTTGTCTTCCTTCTCCCTCCATTTCTTTTTTTTTTTTCTTTTTTTGAGACGGAGTCTCGCTCTTTCGCCCAGGCCGGACTGCAGTGGCACTATCTCAGCTCACTGCAAGCTCCGCCTCCTGGGTTCACACCATCCTCCCGCCTCAGCCTCCTGAGTAGCTGGGACTACAGGTGCCCGCCACCGCGCCCGGCTAATTTTTTGTATTTTTAGTGGAGATGGGGTTTCACCGTGTTAGCCAGGATGGTCTCGATCTCCTGACCTCATGATCCGCCCGCCTCGGCCTCCCAAAGTGCTGGGATTACAGGCGTGAGCCACTGCGCCCGGCCCTGCCTCCATTTCTTAAACACCTCCAGGTAAGAATACTTTAATTCATTTACCACTTTGTTCTTATACAAATAAACAAGTTGCCAATTACAAATCTAGCTACTTTGGAATATCCTTCATCTCATTAATACATTACTAGTGTAAGTTTGCTGACAGGATTTGATGTACAATAAAAAAAAATACATCTTCCCTGTAAAGCCTATTCATGACAATAAATCCTTCAAACAATTCCACTTCTAAAAAAAACTAATTTTTCTGTGTAGTATTCAACAATGTTAAATATTTCAAAAAAATGCAATGTTTGTGCAGCTAGCTAACCAACACTTATTTTGCCAACTTGTTATTAAAATCTATCCTAACAATCTGTGTAGCTAGGAAGGGAGCCACAGATGTGACATAATCAAGATTTTCCAGATTACTTTTAATTATGGGACTATTTTGCTCAAATGCTGAACTATCAGGATTTCCAGACTACTGAATGCCAGATAAGTAATGGGACTTTATCATTATTCTGATAAGCCTTTGGATAACAAAGTCAGGTAGCGCTAAACACTCTTCCATCTATTATATTACTAAGGCAGCGCCCAAATGATCCATAAATTACAAATAAACAAGTTGCCAATTACAAATCTAGCTACCTCCATCTCTGTGCCACATCAGACAACTCACAGCATTCAGATCCAATAAACAACCCTTGGCCTGCTAAAAACAATTATAATTAACAGCTGTGGATGAGTGAGTAGTTATAGATTTCTGAAAAACTAGGAATTGTTCCACACAACAGGAAAGGTGTTTGTTTAATCAAAATATTGGGAAAGGCAGAGATCTTAAAAGAAAATATGCAACCCAGCATGATGGCTCAGGCCCTACATCCCAGCACTTTGGGAGGCTGAGGCAGGAGGATCACTTGAGGCCAGGAGTTTCAGACCAGCCTGGACAACATAGCAAGACTGTTTCCACCCCCACCCCGCCTCAGAAAAAGAAATCCAGCACAATCCCCTATCTAAATCCAGTACTAAACCCATATCTTCCATAAAAGGCAGCACGGTGAAAAGAGAATAAAATTCTGAAATCACACTGGGTGTGGTGGCTCACGCCTCAGGTGGCTAGTGTCTGCAATCCTAGCACTGTGGGAGGCCAAGGAGGGCTGACCGCTTGAGCCTAGGAGTTCAAAGCCAGCCTGGGCAACATGGCAAAACTCTGTCTCTAGAAAAAATACAAAAAATTAGTCAGAAGTGTTGGGAGGCGGAGGTTGCAGTGAGCCAAGATTGCACCACTGCACTCCAGCCTGGGTGGCAGAGCAAGACCCTGTCTCAAAAAAAAAAAAAAAGAAAAAAATGAAATCAGACATCACAGCCCCTGGTTCACTTCTGAACTTCCTTACTAACCAGCACTACGACCTGGGCAAATTACCTAATCTGAGTCTCAACTGCCTCATCTGTAGGGAATTATGCCAATTATACACCTATCTCATAGAACCACTATATGAATTATTTTAAGATACTATATGGATTATTTTAAGATACTATATGGATTATTTTAAGATTAAATGAGATAATCCATATAGTGTCTACAACATAAAAAATTTTAGTTCAAATGTCTCCTTTTGCCAGAAAGAATACCGATCACATAGGGAACTTAAGTTATGGCGCTGTGAGGGCCACCTCACTTCTCACCCAAACAAAATTACAAAAATACATGAATTCCCTCTACAACATCTTGGAAATCAAGTCCTGGTCTTTACACTGGAATACACATGTCCGTAGGGGGTACACAAAGATATGCAAGCAAGGGAATCAACTTCCATGCTACTCTCATAAACCTGATCTGTGTGGATAACTAGATGATCAATTTTAAATTTTCAGGCATAAAATTTATTACTTTAGGATGGGTAGGAAAACTACAGCCCTAAACCAGATCTGGTCTGCTACCAATAAAGTTTTATTGGAACACAACTACACAAAAATACTTGCATATTATCTACGGCTATTTTCTGGGTTTTTTTGGGTTTTTTTGAGACAGTCTTGCTCTGTCGTCCAGGCTGGAGTGCAGTGGAGCGATCTCGGCTCACTGCAACCTCCACCTCCCGGGTTCAAGCGATTCTCCTGCCTCAGCCTCCCAAGTAGCTGGGACTACAGGCGCCCACCAACACGCCCGGCTAATTTTTTTTGTATTTTTTAGTAGAGGCGGGGTTTCACTGTGTTAGCCAGGATGGTCTCGATCTCCTGACCTCGTGATCCGCCTGCCTCAGTCTCCCAAAGTGATGGGATTACAGGCGTGAGCCACCGCACCCGGCCACATATTGTCTATGGCTGTTTTCTCACTACAGTGAGAATTAAGCAGTAATCACAGAAACCATGTGGCCCATAAAGCCTTTCATCTGGCCTTTGACAGAAAGTTGACTTTTGCTTTAGGATAAAATTCTGTGGGAAAAGTGGAATGGATACAAGTTCAAAAAGAAAAAGGAAAAATATGTAATGGACAAACTCCCAAAATGATAAAAATGACCAAAACTAACTCAACTAACTATATTAAGAAATTGAATTAGTAAAATCTTCCCAGAGAGAAAAACCCAGGCCCATAGGACTTCACTGGTAAATTCTATGAAACACGTAAGAAATAATACCAATCCTACACAAACTATTTCAGAAAACAGAGGAGGAAGGAACACTTCCCAATTCATTTTATGAGGTCATAATTACCCTGCTACTAAGGCCAAAGATGACATAAAAAAAAGGAAACCTCAGACCAATATCCATCATGAACACAGTCACAAAAATTAACAAAATGTTAGCAAATTGAATCCATCTATATGTAAAAAGTAGTAGATACATTACTAAGCAGGGTTCATTTCACAAATGCAAGATGGGTTTAACATCTGAAAATCAAGTAATGTAATAAGCTATGTTATGTATTTCTTACAGTCTTTGTTTCAAAAGTTTAGTTGTATGTTTTTACAACATCAAATTGATATTGTATTTAGGTAATTTTATATTTATTTTTAAGAAGTCAATATTTACTTGTCAGAAATTACATCCTAAACTATTTAAAATTAAATACTTACACTATGTAAATCTAGGATGAAAAGTTTCAGGTGCCAACTTAAAAGTATATAAGATCTAACAGATTCCACAGTCTTTTAGACATTCTCAAGAAGAAATGTTTTAAGACTAGTGACCCAGCCTATACCTGAAAGCCTGAAATGACAAGGAGAAAAATAATCATTCATGCCAAAGCAACACCACCATATCTTCAAACTTTTGACTTCTGCCCATAAATTTACTCTTAGCACATCTAGATCTAAACCTAATATTCCAGGTACAAGCCTACCAGTGATGCAACCTTTCTCATTCTAGATTTTGCATTTTCCTGATACAATATACTAATGCAGGTCACATCGGTTCTTCTCACAGCCTTCTTAACCACACCACTGATTGGTGATTAAAACATCACATCTTTTTATTATAGAACTCCTGTGAGGTCACATCTCCACCCTCCCCTAATAGGTATAGTTGATTTTGTTTGGACCCAAGCGCAATTTCTCACATTTATACATGCTTCCTTCATTTCATTAAACAGCACTGAGCAAATTATATTGAGATCTTTTCCCATTCTGGCAATCACCAACCAAATGACTCTTTCTTTACTTCACAAAGGCACCAAATCCAATAAGCAAACCTTCTAGATAAGGTCTCAAATACATGAAGTATATAAAGAAAGTGATGAAACCCCAGTTTAGATCACCGGAATTCCAGCTGTAAGTAGTGTCCACAAATCAAACCTCTCCATACATAGATTTTCAAACTCATGACTCCATCTAACTACCACAATCTGGCAAATTCCTCCATCTCGCCCACTCAGTTATAGTAAGACTCAGTAAGACCAGGCGCGGTGGCTCACACCTGTAATCCCAGCACTTTGGGAGGCTGAGGTGAGTGGATCACCTGAGGTCGGGAGTTCGAGACCAGCCCGGCCAACATGGTGAAACCCCATCTCTACTGAAAATACAAAAATTAGCCAGGCGTGGTGGTGCATGCTTGTAGTCCCAGGTACTTGGGAGGCTGAGGCAGGAGAATCGCTTGAACCAGGAGGCAGAGGTTACAGTGAGCAGAAATTGCACCACTGCACTCCGTCCAACCTGGGCAATGGAGTGAGACTCCATCTCAAAAAAAAAAACAAAAACTTCATAAATGCCTTGCTAAAATTCTGACACACTATCATTATGGTCACTACACTCCTTTGAGCCACAATTTGGATGTCCTGTCCTGTTGTTCTGGCTGAATTTAGGAGAACTCTAGTAAGCCCTTCTCTGGATAAGAAAAGAAAAATGATACATCTTCCATTTTGTATTAATTACAGAATCTCACAAATGGCAAGGATTTTAAACATTTTCTAATGTTGTTTTTCTTAGACAGAGTCTTGCTATGTTGCCCAGGCTGGCCTTAAGCAATCCTCCCACCACTGCACTCGGCCCTAGTCTAATATTTTTCTTTTCTTTTCTTTTTTTGAGAAGTTTAGTTCTTGTTGCCCAGGCTGGAGTGCAGTAGCATATCTTGGCTCACTGCAACCTCTCCCTCCCAGGTTCAAGCGTTTCTCCTGCCTCAGCCTCCCAAATAGCTGGGATTATAGGCACCCACCACCACCCAGCTAAGTTTTGTATTTTTAGTACATACGGGGTTTCACCACGTTGCCCAGACTGGTCTCCAACTCCTGACCTCAGGTGATCCACCCGCCTCAGCATCCCAAAGTGCTGGGATTACTGGCGTGAGCCACAGTGCCCGGCCTTAATATTTTTCAAACTATACGTCATGACCTATTAGGGGTCAGACTCAATTTAGTGAGTTGCAACCAATATTTTTTTAGAGTGCATCTTCTGTAGAAAGGGTAAGTAAACTTTTCATTGGTGTGTGTGTGTGTGTACACACTGAGTGTGCAGGGGCACAATAAGTCATGATGTATAATATATCTAACTGTGGGTCACAGGTAAAAAATTTTGAGACACTTTTCTAGCCCCACAGCCCTATGCCAAGGAGGCTCTACCAAGAAATTGGTAATAAACAAAATGTCATGTTTTTACATCATACAGAGAAACTAGCTAAGAGGATTTTGTGCTCAGTACACGTAATCTGCCATTCATTAAAAAAAAAAAAAAAGATTAGGATCCATCTGGGTGTCCAGTTGAAATACTAAACTGCTTGGAGACAGCCATTTCTGTTTTGGTGGGGTGAAGACCTGTATTTGAGACAGCAGACTGAAATCGGTTTGGTCTGTGGCGAAGGAAGAGAAGAAAAACCATTCTGGGTCGCGAGTTCCTCACCTGTAACCACAGGAGAAGACTGTTGGCTTGGTCAGTTGATTTTCAACTAATCTCCCAATTGAAGAGTTAGGCGAAGCAATTGCTATTGGGAGATTAACTGAAAATTAACTGACCAAGCCAACAAGGACTATGCCTCCCACAAACCAAAACACTTTAACCACTCAGCAAGTCAAGTATTGATACATACAATCAATATCACACAAAGTGTACTGAAAAGAACCACAGACTTGCATCAAAGGCAGAAATGAATCCAGGGATAACTTCCTGGGATTCGAAGATGTGACCTGGTAGGTATAAATTTCTCAGGCATCCTCTTTTTCTACCCTCCAGTTCATCTCCGTCCTCAAGCTATCAGTCATGGATGTGGCACTGGCGTTCTTCTCTGCCACCGTATCTCATTATGCAAAGGGAAACTGAGGCACGAAGAACAGAGTGAGTGAGCCAAAGAACTGCAGCAGCCACCAACAAGGCTGGACTAAGGGCCCAAGCAGCTAATGCCTCACTCCCCACACAATCCCCATACTATTTAGAATCCTGCAGTCCTCAGCCTTCCACCTCAAACCAAACTCCTGGGGCCGCCCGTAGTACGTGGTCCCCTGCTCATCCGATGAAGCCCCCAGCTCTTGCCTGCCTGCCTGCCTCTATAAAGGTCTACGAGGCCTGGAACTCTGAAGCCTAAAGCAACCCCGGCAGCCCCCTCCCACGACCGTCCACAAACCAGTAGCCTCCCTTCGCTCCCACCTCCGCGCCGACGGGCCTGGAGCTCCTCCGCACACCACACCAAGCCGACCACTCAACACCAGAGGACCCACAGAAGAATTCTCTCCACGCCCACCCCCACAGCATCGGCCTTCACCACCGCCGCCGCTGCCGGAAGCGCCCCCACGTCTCCACGCCACCACCGTGAGGTCACTTCCGGCGCGACACCTTGGAATCCAGGGCCGTCAATTGAGGGGCGTGGCACCCGGGAAATTTAAGAGGTTGGAAGAACGTCCCTTCGGCCTTACAGAATTGCGCTTGGGTAGTCATTTTGCCCTCCACGCTTACTTATGTCCTGTGGCGTCTTGGCTGGAATCGGGGCTCTACCCACGACTCCCCAGCCTCGATGCCTGGGCCCCCCTCTTGCAGGCTCGATGAAAAGCACCCGCTTCCCCTCCTGTTACCCCAGCGCCAATCGCAGAGCTGGAGCGGAGGACTTTCAGGGAGGCCTGGTGACGTGACAGCCCCTCCGTGCTAAACTGCAGCTGTGGGACTTAATAAGTGCGACAACCCCCTGATGGATTAAAGAAAACAAGATATTCCTGCCGTGGTCGATCTTCAAAGCGTATCAGCTTCAGCCCTTTTGGGGGTTAAAATCAGCCAGTCCGTGCTTGACTGCTCTCCCTTCCCCCATACTCAGTACACAGGAAAGTGCCGCTCTTCTACCCCTGGCATTTTAGAGTCTTGATTTGTGGGGAGACGGGAAAGCATGCGTTTAGGGCCAAGACCGTGTAATGAGGAATATTGCACAGCCTTGAAGCCTGACACCTGGTTTGGGAACCACTACTTGGGCGAATAGCATAGAGTAGGGTAGCAGTTCCAAACCTAGCTCTACAAAATCAGTTGAAGAACTTTGTAAAATCTACACTTTCTAGGGGACTGCTTCACCCTTCCCCCTCCATCACCAGAGATTCCCTAGGTCAGAAGGGGTCCTTGTCTTTTAAAATTACTGTTATTAATGAACACTTATAGAGCAGTTTTTGGTTCAGGGCAAAACTGAACAGAAAGTACAGAGTTCCCATATATCCCCTGTACACACAGGCACATACACAACTTGTCCCCTCATGGACATCTTGTGCTACAGTGGTACATTTGGTAACAATTGATTACCCAACTTTGACACATCATTATCACCCAGAGTCCATAGTTTACATTAGAGTTTACTCTCGGTGTTGCACATTCTGTGGGTTTTGACATATATGTAATGACATGTATCCACCATTATGGTATCATACACGATAGTTTCACTGCCCTGAAAATCCTCTGTCCTCTGCCTATTTATCCTTCTCAGTCCCCTAACCACTGGCAACCACTGCTCCTTTTACTGTCTCCATAGTTTTGCCTTTTCCAGAATCCCATATAGTTGGAATCATACAGTATGCAGCCTTTTCACATCGGATTCTTTCACTTATGCACTTAAAGTTCTTCCATGTCTTTTCATGGCTTGATAGCTCATTTCTTTTTTGTGCTGAATAATAATATTCCATCGTCTGGATGTGCTGCGGTTTATCCATTCACCTACTGAAAGACATCTTGGTGGCCTCCAAGTTTGGGTAATTATGAATAAAGCCGCTATACATCATGTGCAGATTTTTGTGTAGACATGAGTTTTCAATTCATCTGGGTAAATACCAAGGAGTGCAACTGCTGGATTGGATGGTATATTTAGTTTTGGGAGAAACTACCAAACTGCCTTTCAAAGTGGCTGCATCATTTTGCATTCCCACAGCAGTGAATGAGGGTTTCTGTTGCTCCACATCCTTGTCAGCGTTTTGTGGTGTCAGTATTTTGCCGTTCAAGTAAGTGTGTAGTAGTATCTTATTGTTTTAATATGCAATTCCCTAATGACATATGATATTGAACATCTTTTCATATACTTACTTGCCATGTGTATATCTTCTTTGATGAAGTGTTCATTCAGGTATTTTGCCCATTTTTACATTGTGTTATTTTCTTGTTGTGATTTAAGAGTTCTGGGTATATTGTAGATAACAGTCCTCTATCAGATACGTCTTTTATAATATTTTCTCCTAGTCTGTGGCTTGTCTTCTCATTCTTCTTTTGAAGAGCAGAAGTTTTAAATTTTAATGAAGTCCAGCTTATCAATTATATTTTTCACAGATTATGCTATTGGTATTGCCCTAAAGTCATTGCCATTCCCAAGATCAGTTAGGTTTTCTCCTGTGTTGTCTTCCAGGAGTTTTATAGTGTTCCATTTTACATTTAGGTCTACAATCCATTCTGAGTTAATTTTTATGAAGGGTGCAAGGTCTTTGCCTAGATAATTTTTTTTTTTTTTTTGAGACGGAGTCTCACTCTGTTGCCCAGGCTGGAGTGCAGTGGCACGATCTCAGCTCACTGCAATGTCTGCCTCCTGGGTTCAAGTGATTCTCCTGTCTCAGCCTCCCAAGTAGCTGGGATTACAGGCACCCGCCACCACACCTGGCTAGTTTTTGTATTTTTAGTAGAGGCAAGGTTTCACCATGTTGGCCAGGCTGGTCTCGAACTCCTGATCTCAATTGATCTGCCCACCTCGGCCTCTCAAAGTGCTGAGATTACAGGCGTGAGCCACCGTACCCGGCCTGATACATTTTTATGTGTGTGAAAATTCAGTTGTTCCAACATAATTTGTTGAAAAACCTATCTTTGCTCCATTATATTGCTTTAACTCCTCTGTCAAAGATCAGTTGACTACGTTTATGTGGGTCTACTTCTGGATTGTTTATTCTTTCACCAATACCACATTGTCATTATTACTGTAGTTTATAGTAAGTCTTGAAGTTGGGTAGTATCAGTCCTCCAACTTTGTTCTCCTTTAATAGTGAGCTGGCTCTTCTAGGTCTTTTGTATCTCCATATCAATTTTACAATCAGTTTGTCGACATCCACAAAAATAATATGCTGATACTTGGATTGGGATTGCATCGAATCTATAGATCAGGTTTGGAAGAACAGACATTTTGACTATATTTTCTTTCTATCTGTGAACATGAAATATTTCTCAATTTATGTAATTCTTTTATATCTTTGATCAGAGTTTTGTAGTTTTACTCATATAGCTCTTGTATATGTTTTGCTGTATAGATTTATAACCTGATGACTTTTTTTTTTTTTGAGACAAAGTTTCACTCTTGTTGCCCAGGCTGGAGTGCAGTGGCACGATCTCAGCTCACCGCAACCTCTGCCTCCTGGGTTCAAGTGATTCTCCTGCCTCAGCCTCCCGAGTACCTGGGATTACAGGTATGCACCACCACGCCCAGCTAATTTTGTATTTTTAGTAGAGATGGGGCTTCTCCATGTTGGTCAGGCTGGTCTTGAACTCCCGACCTCAGGTGACCTGCCCGCCTCAGCCCCCCAAAGTGCTGGGATTACAAGCGTGAGCCACCCAGCCTACCTTTTGTTTCTCTAAATCTGCTCTTTCTGAAGTTAGTATACCTACTCCTGCTTTCTTTTGATTAGTGTTATCAATGATATATCCTTCTCCACCACTTTACTTTTAATCTATGTATGTCTTTATATTTAAAATGTGTTTCTTGTAGACAACATATTGTTGGGTCTTGTTTTTCATCCATACTGAGAACCTCTGTCTTTTAATTGGTGTATTTAGATGACTGATGCTTAATTAATGATATAGTTGAATTAATGTCTACTATATTTGTTACTGTTTTTTTTTTCATTTTTTGTTGTTGTTGTTTGTTTTTTGAGACACCGTCTCGCTCTGTTACCCAGGCTAGAGTGCAGTGGCATGATCTCAGCTCACCACAACCTCCATCTCCTGAGTTCAAGCGATTCTCCTGCCTCAGCCTCCCGAGTAGCTGAGATTACATGCACATGCCACCACAACTGGCTAATTTTTGTATTTTTAGTAGAAATAGGGTTTCACCATATTGGCCAGGGTGGTCTTGAACTCCTGACATCAAGTGATCCACCAGTCTTGGCCTCCCAAAGTGCTAGGATTATAGGTGTGAGCCACCACACCAGGCCCTTTTTTTGTGTGTGTGTGAGTTGGAGTTTCACCCTGTCACCCAGGCTAGGGTACAGTGGTATGATTGTGGCTCACTGCAGCCTTAAATCCTGGGCTCAAGCAATCCTCCCACTTCCCAAGTGGTGGTACTATAGGTGCCCACCATCACACCTGGCTAAGCTTTTTTTTTTTTTTTTTGAGATGGAGTCTCGCTCTGTCACCCAGGCTGGAGTGCAGTGGTGCCATCTCTACGAAGTGAAACCCCGTCTCAATGCAAGCTCCGCCTCCCGGGTTCATGCCATTCTACTGCCTCAGCCTCCCGAGTAGCTGGAACTACAGGTGCCCGCCACCATGCCTGGCTAATTTTTTGTATTTTTAGTAGAGATGGGGTTTCACCGTGTTAGCCAGGATGGTCTCGATCGCCTGACCTCGTGATCTGCCCACCTCAGCCTCCCAAAGTGCTGGGATTACAGGCGTGAGCCACTGCGCCCAGCCTGCTAAGCTTTTTTATTTGTTTGTTTGTTTTGTAGAGACAGAGTCTCACTATGTTGCCCAGGCTGCTTTTCAATTCTTGGTGTTAAGTGATCCTCCTGCCTCAGCCTCCAAAAGTATTGAAATTGCGGTGTGAGCCATGGCACCTGGCCTTGTTACTATTTTCTGTTTGTTACCCTTATTTTTTATCTGTATTTGTCTTCTACACATTTTCTGCCTTTGGGGTGTGTGTGTGTGTGTGTGTGTGTGTGTGTGTGTGTGTGTGTTTATGTGTGTTTGAGATGGAGTCTTGCTCTTGTTCCCCAGGCTGGAGTGCAGTGGTGCCATCTCAGCTCACTGCAACCTCTGCCTCCCAGGTTCAAGCGATTCTCCTGCCTCAGCCTCCCAAGCAGCCGGGACTACAGGCATGTGCCACCACACCTGGCTAATTTTTGTATTTTTAGTAGAGATGGGGTTTTGCCATGTTGGCCAGGCTGATCTCAAACTCCTGACCTCAGGTGATCCACCCGCTTCAGCCTCCTAAATTGCTGGGATTACAGGCGTGAGCCACCACACCCAGCCACCTTTTGGGGTTTTAATTAAGAATTTTTATGATTCTCTTTTCTCACCTATATTAACATACCAATTATTCTTTTCTTTTTTTTTTTGTTTTAGTGGTTGCCCAAGAATTTGCAAATATGCAATTTACATTTTCAAATAATCCAATTCAACTTTCAAATAACACTATACTACCTCATGAACAGTGCAGGTACCTTATAATAACAAAATATTCCTAATTCTTCCCTCTTGTCCCTGCTATCATTGTTGTCATTCATGCCACTTATACATAAGCATATATTATTAACTTTACCAGCATTTCTTAGTTTTCACCTTAGGTGGGACAGGATGGCTAAAGAGGCTAAAGTTGGGTATTTTTCTTTCCACAGCAAGGTTAGGCTTTAATAAAACCCCAGTAGGTTAGGCTCCTACCACTTCAGGCCTTACTCCCAGAGACTCTGATTCGCCTAGTCTGGGGTACAAGCCAGGGATCTGTATTTTAAAAAGCTCCTCAGATTAGCTGGGTGTGGGGGCTCACACCTGTAGTCCCAGCTACTTGGGGGACTGAGGCAGGAAGATAGCTTTAGCCTAGAAGGCGGAAGTTACAGTGAGCTGAAATCATGCCACTGCACTCCAGCCTGGGCGACAGAGTGAGACCCTGTCTTAAAAAAAAAAAAAAAAAGAGCTCCTCACAGAATTCAGATGCTTATGGCCAGAAGCAGAAGACCACACTTTTGGAGCTGCACCAAGCTCTTTGCTTAACATTACAAGGGAAAGCCTCATATCACCACCATTCCCTCCTCAAGACTCTCAATACCACCCCATGCCCCATTCACGCAAAAAAATCTGGAGGTTCATTGCTCCAATGTCTAATTTGGTTCTTTCCTTCCCCACCTTTTTCCCTGGGCTCTTATCACTCCCACACTAATGCATATCTAGTTTTACACAAGAGGATGTTTTCGCAACAGAATCTAGAACTTGGGGTGTTTGTTAATTATACAACAAATTCAAATTAAAGATCAACATCATACAGAATTAGGGACACGTGGGTCATGCTATGACATATTCCAGATACCTGTCTTTTCAACAATCACCAGCAATAGTGTGTTAACATTGAATACAAGTTGGGACAAGAAATATACATCATGTGCCTGGAACATCTTGTCATACAAGACAGCAAATAAACCATCACACTACAAGATTTTTGTCAAGAGCTCACTGTAACCTCCGCCTCCCAGGTTCAAGTGATTCTCCCACCTCAGCCTCCCAAGTAGCTGGGACTACAGGCACACGCCATCACACCCTGCTAATTTTTGTATTTTTTCGTAGAGACAGGCTTTCACCATGTTGGCCAGGCTGGTCTCAACCTCCTGACCTCAAGCGATCCACCATCCACTGGGATTACAGGCGTGAGCCACCTCGCACGGCCTGTGTAATTCTATTTATATGACATTCTGGAAAGGGCAAAACTATAGGAACAGAAAACATCAGTGTTTGCCTGGGGTAGAAAATGGGAGGGTATGACTGTAAAGGATTTGGCGAGAGGGTTGGAGGAGTGGTAGAACTAAATCTTGATTATATGCATTTGCAAAACTCATGGAAATGTATACCTGGAAGAATAGATCTGGAGCTCAGGAAAGAAAGATGAGGTTTGGAAGTCAATTACCAGGCAATAATTAAAGTCCCAATAATGGGCACTATAGTCCAGGGATAGCATATAGCATGAGAAGAGTCAACAGCTAAGGACAGAACCCTGAGGAACACCGACATTTAAGGGATACGCACAGGACGAGGTCTATTCAAGGGCAACTGAGAAGCAGCAGCTAGGAACATAGAGGAAAATCCAGCAGTGGGTGATGCCAAAGAGACCAAGAGGATCTTTAAGAGAAGTCAACAGTGCTAAATATTCCAAAGAGCTCAAATCAGAGGAAGACTGAAAATGTACATTAGATTTAGCAACTAGGAGGTCCTTGGTGATTTTGACAGAGGTTTTAAATCGGAGTAAAGGCCCCAGAAGTCAAATGCCAGTGGTTTGAGGAGAGAACGGGAGGTAAGCAAGTGGAAGCACTGAGCGCAGTGGCTCACCCCTATAATCCCAGCATTTTGGGAGGCCAAGGCAGATGGATCACCTGAGGTCAGGAGTTTGAGACTAGCCTGGCCAACATGGTGAAACCCCATATCTACTAAAAATACAAAAATTAGCTAGGCGTGGTGGCGTGCACCTGTAGTTCCAGCTACTTGGGAGGCTGAGGCAGGAGAATCACTTGAACCTGGAAGGCAGAGGTTGCAGTGAACCGAGATTATGCCACTGCACTCCAGCCTGGGCGACAGAGCAAGACTCCATCTCAAAAAAAAAAAAAAAGTAATTATCTACTTCACCCCATGTGTATAGCTGAAAGCTTAGCAAGTTAATGCTGAATCTGACATTAGAACTCAGGTCTCTTATTACATATATGTAGGGGAAACATATGTTCCAGTTTGGATGGAATAGTCCCTGTTCATGCCTGTTACCTTATTGTAATTATTAATACCACCTGCTTTTATTCTCAAATACATTGAGAAAAATTTGATTAAAGGTGATAACTTTCTATAGTCAGCCTACTTATATGGCATAGGCTTTGAGGCTGGCAAGCATTCTTGGTTACTTAAGATCATTTTTCTTTTATATTATCTCAAAGATTTAAGTCTCTTACATTCTCAAATGTCACTTTATAAATGAAGTAATGCACATACATAAAAGCAGGCCCCAGACTATAAAGTGCTAAACAAAGGTTAGGATTAAAAAGAATAATAACCTTTTAGGCAACAGTTTCTTAAATGTAACACCAAAAGCACAAGCAAAGCAAGAAAAAAATAAACTGTACTTCATCAAAATTAAAAACTTTTGTGCATTAAGAGATATATCAAGAAAGTGAAAAGACAACCTACGGAATGGTAGAAAATATTTACAAATAATATATCTGATAACGGTCTGGTATTCAGAGTATGTAAAGAACTTTCTTTTGGTCAATAAAGGGTTTAAAAAATAAAAACAAGAAATAACAAAAAAGAACTCTCAACAACAAAAAGATAAACAACTCAATCTTAAAATGAGCAAAGTACTTAATAGACATGTCTCCAAAGAAGATACACAAATGGCCAACAAGTACATAAAATGACACTGAACATCAGTAGTCATTAGGGAAATGAAAATGAAAACCACAATGAAGCCAGGCACTGTGGCTCATGTCTGTAATCCCATCACTTAGGGAGGATGAGGCAGGAGGATGGCTTAAAGCCAGAAGTTCAAGGCCAGCCTGGGCAACAAAGTGAGACCCTGTCTCTACAAAAACAAAAAATTGGCCTGTGGGCCAGGTGGGGTGGCTCACGCCTGTAATCCCAGCACTTTCGGAGGCTGAGGCAGGCGGATCACTTGGGGTCAGGAGTTGAAGACCAGCCTGGCCAACATGGTGAAACCCCATCCCTACTAAAAATACAAAAATATGCTGGGCATGGTGGCGCGTGCCTGTATTCCCAGCTACTTGGGAGGCTGAGGCACGAGAATCGCTTGAACATGGAAGGCAGAGATTACAGTGAGCCAAGATCGTGCCACTGCCCTCCAGCCTGGGCAACAGAGCGAGACTCTGTCTCAAAAAAAAAAAATTTATCCTGTGCAGTGATGTGCACCTATAGGCCCACTTACTTGGGAGGCTGAGGCAGGAAGATCCCTTGAACCCAAGAGTTCGAGGTTGCAGTGAGCTATGTTTATGCCACTGCACTCCAGCCTGGGTGACAGAGGGAGACCCAGTCTCTAAAATGAAACACAGCCAAAAAAAAAAAAAAAGGCCCAAAACAATGAGATACTACTTCACACCCATTAGGATGGCTATAAATTTTAAAAAGGAAAATAAATGTTGGCAAAAATGTGGAGAAATTGGAACCCTTGAATATTGCTGGTGGAAATGGAAAATGAGACAGCCACTACAGAAAACAGTTTGAGAGTTCCTCAATAAGTTAAATGTAGAATTATCATGTGACCCAGCGATTCCACTTCTAAGCATACATCTAACAGAATTGAAAACAAGTGTTCAAATAAAAACTTACACATGAATGTGTATACAAAATGTGGTCTCGCCATATAATGAAATTATTCAGTCATGAAAAGGAATGAGGCTGGGCGCAGTGGCTCATGCCTGTAATCCCAGCACTTCGAGAGGCTGAGGCGGGCAGATTGCCTGAGGTCAGGAGTTCGAGACCAGCCTGGTCAACATGGCAAAACCCCATCTCTACTAAAAATACAAAAATTAGCCAGGCATGGTGGCACATGCCCATAGTCCCAGCTACTCAGGGGCTGAGGCAGGAGAATCACTTGAACCCCCAAGGTGGAGGTTGCAGTGAGCCAAGATCGCACAACTGCACTCCAGCCTGGGTGATAGAGCAAGACTCTGTCTCAAAATAAAATAAAAAAATAGAAGGGAATGAAGTACTGCTACATGGTAAAACATGGATGAACCTTGAAAACATTATGCTAACTCAAAGAAGCCAGTCACAAAAGGCCACATATTGTATGATTCCATTTATATAAGATATTCAGAATAGGCAAATCTATAGAGATCCCTGTTCCCCCTTCCCCTTAGATCCTGGGAACCACTACTTTACTTTCTGTCTCTGTTTATCCATTCATCTGTTGATGGACATTTAATGTGTTTTCATCTTTGCCTATCGTGTACAAAATTTTCTTTCAACATGTGCTTTCCATTCTCTTGGTATATACCTAGAAGTGAAATTGCTGGGTCATATGGTAATTCTATGTTTAACTTTTTGAGGAACCGCCCAGTGTTTTCCACAATGGCTACATCATTTTACATTCCTACCAGCAATGCATGAAGATTCAATTTTCTCCATATTCAGCATTTATTTTCATCTTTTTAAATTATAGCTATCCAAAGGGATGTGAAGTGGTATCTCATTGTGGTTTTCATTTGCTTTTTTCTTTTCTTTTTTTGAGATAGAGTCTTGCTCTGTCACCCAGATTTCAGCTCATTGCAACCTCCATCTCCCAGGTTCAAGTGATTCTCCTGCCTCAGCCTCCCAAGTAGCTGGGATTACAGGTGCCCACCACCACACCCAGCTAATTTTTGTATTTTTAGTAGAGACGGGGTTTCACCATCTTGGCCAGGCTGGTCTCGAACTCCTTACCTCATGATCCACCTGCCTTGGCCTCCCAAAGTGCTGGGATTACAGGCGTGAGCCACCGCACCCCGCCTTCATTTTCTTAATGATTAATGGCAAGTATCTTTTCATGTGCTCTTTGGCCGTATCTTCTTTGGAGACATGTTTATCAAGTTCTTTGCTCATTTTAAATTGGGTTGTTTGTCTTCTTGTTATTGAGTTGGGTTTTTGTTTTGTTTTTTGAAACAAGGTCTTGCTGTGTCCCCCAGGCTGGAGTGCAATGGCTCGATCTCGGCTCACTGCAGCCTTGACCTTTGGGGCTCAAGAGATCCTCCCACCTCAGCCTCCCGAGTAGCTGGGACTACAGGCAGGTGTCACCATGCCTGGCTAATTTTTGTAGTTTTTGTAGAGATGGGGTTTCGTTACGTTGCCCAGGTTGGTCTTGAACTCCTAGGCTCAAGCTATCTGCCTACCTTGGCCTCCCAAATTGCTGGGATTAGAGGTGTGAGCCACTTCGCCAAGCCTGTTTTGCCAGGGAGGGGGGAATGATGATGAAAACGTTCTGGAATCAAATAGTGCTGATGGCTGCATAACATTGTGAATATACTAAAAATCATGGAATTGTACACTTTCAAATGGTTAAAAGGGTGGATGTTATGTTATGTGAATTTTACTTCAATAAAGAAAAATTTAAAGAAGAATATACTTAATGAACAACGAATACTCAGTTCTTTTTTTAAAAATGTTAGTTCTGCAGCCAGGTGCAGTGGTTCACATCTCTAATCCCAGCACTTTGGGAGACCGAGGCAGGAGGATTGCTTGAGGCCAGGAGTTTGAGACCAGCCTGGGCAACAAAACAAGACCCCATCTCTACAAAAAAAAAAATTTTTTTAATTAGCCAGACATGATGACATGTGGTCGCAGTCCCAGCTACTCGGGAGGCTAAGATGAGAGGATTGCTTGAGCCCAGGAGTTCAAGGTTACTGTGAGCTATGATATGGCCACTGCACTATAGCTTGGGCAACAGAGTAAGACCCTGTCTCTAAATAATAATAATAATGTTATCTCATTGTTAGCATTATTGTTGCAATTATTTTTGTTTGCAAGGCCGGAAACTCTCTTCATCATTCATCAATTTTTGTCATGGAAGACAATGGTGAAATGGGATTCTTCTCATAGAAACTTGTGTCACCATCAAACTTGTTGTAATTTCCCCATTCTATTAATCAAGAACTCCCCAAGTAAATGAATCCAGATTTGCTAGCTGGTAGCTTTGTGTTTTGGCTGCAATCATCTGAAAATAGCTTTCCCTTTCGACCTCATTTTGTTGAGATAAGTTTAGGCATGAAACAGTAGTCAGGTGCAGTAAGTGGGGATCCTGAATCCCAGCAGATGAGGCTGGATGAGGACCTGACCTCAAGGATTCTTGTTTGTTTCCTCCACCCATCCACAACAGCATGCCTCTCTCCCTTATGCCCTCCCTCCTGCTGCACCCTTCCCACAACATCCTGTAATCCTTGCTTCTTCCTTGGCCTGCTTTCTCATGCTCCATTCTCTATGTCTAAACTAGAGAGAATTCTCTTAATTAAAACTGGAGCAGGGATGGATATTGAACATAAAGAACGGGATGGGGAGGGAGAGTGGGCTGGTGCGGTGGCTCACGCCTATAATCCCAGCACTTCAGGAGGCCGAAGCAGGCAGATCACTTGAGCTCAGGAGTTTGAGACCAGCCTGGGCAACACAGCAAGACCCCATCTCTACAAAAAATACAAAAATTAGCCAGGCATGGTGGCATGCGCCTGTAGTCCCAGCTACTTGGGAGACTGAGGTGGGAGGGTTGCTTGAGACCAGGAGGTCGAGGTTGCAGTGAACCAAAATCATGCCACTGCATTCCAACCTGGGTGACAGAGCAAGACCCTGTCTCAAAAAAAAAAAATTAAAAATTAAGAAAAAAAAGAACAAGGGGGAATCCAGAACGATGCTAGCTAATAGAGGCACGTGTGTTGCCAATTTGAAAAGACATCTGAGGCTGGGCATGGTGGCTCATACCTGTAATCCCAGCACTTTGGGAGGCCAAGGCAGGTGGATCACCTGAGGTCAGGAGTTTGAGACCAGCCTGGCCAACATGGTGAAAACCCATCTCTACTAAAAATACAAAAATCAGCCGTGCATGATAGCACGCACCTCAGGAGGCTGAGGCAAAAGAATCGCTTGAACCCAGCAGGCGAAGGTTGCGGTGAACGGAGATCGCGCCATTGCACTCCAACCTGGGCAACAAGAGCGAAACTCCATCTCAAAAAAAAAAGACATCTGAGAAGAGAACAGACAGCTGTCACTGCTGTGGCAGCAGCCCTGCCTCAGGTGTGTGGCCCCTCCCAGCTCCAGCCGCTTGACCTCTGCTGTCTGCCCTCTCCCATTCCCCTCCTGGGATACACATTTAGAGAACAACTGGCTCAGCAACAATTAGCCTTTTCAGAAATGCCAGTGAGTTGCCACTTCTTACTCCTGTGCTGGGGCTTTTAACCGTTTCAGGAGTGCCAGCTTCCCCATCTCCTCTCAGCTTCACAGGCAAGCCTGAGGGGCTGCGTGAAGACAAGTGGCTCTTGGTTTTCCTTACCTGGACCTGCAAGCCAACTATTAAAGTATTCAGGAGAGATGATCTTGCTGTGCAGGCACAGAACTGGACCAGACACAAGCCCAGATGGTGGAGGAGAGGGGGTGGGTTGGGGAAGCTTCCAGGGTCATCATGGGAAATAGCACAGAACATGGGCTCCCTTCTAGATTCCGTGTATTCCTGGGGACCTAGAAGCCAGGTGTCCTCCCCAAGCATCACAAGGGTTAGACCACTCTGCAGGGTATTTAGGAGTCCAGGGCACTTCTGTGTGTTACCCACAACCCAGATGGATGAAAATTGCAAGGTGTATACTTATTTGCTGCCTTGTTCTCTGAGGGACCCGTCTGCCTCCACTACCACACACTTCAGTCTTACATCCTGAAATATCTGACATCTGACATTCCCCCTGCAAGAGAAGTACAGAGAAAAGTGGAAAGTGAATGAATTATTTTGCATGCTGGGTAAAAGCATTTAAACAAATGGTGATTAAACCCAAAAATGTTTCACAAGACCTGTTTCACAATTTTTCTGCATTTATAATAAAGTAGATCAAGTCTTCTTATGACTCAGTCTTCATAAGACTCAGTCTTCACAGATCCCACCAGGAGATGCTCTGGAAAAGTTTCGACATGGAGATTGACATCTTTATTCATTCCTAATCCAGTTCTTGAAAAGAGTAAACAGAGATATGAACAAGAGACAAATACATTTATCCAGGGAGGCAAAACAGTATTCTCAAAGTCACCCAATCAACCAAGACAGTTTCTAGTGAAGACCTGATTCATCAACAAATCTTTTCTTCTTCTCCTTCTCCTTCTTTTTCCTTCTTTCTTTTTTAAGACAGGGTTTTGCTCTGTTGCCCAGGTGGGAGTGCTGTCATGATCATGGCTTATTGCAGACTTGACCTCCCAAGCTCAAGCGATCTTCCTGCCTCTTTTTTTTTTTTTTTTTTGTATTTTTTGGTAGAGATAATCTCACCATGTTGCCCAAGGAGTCTCACTATGTTGCCCAGGCTGGTCTCAAACTCCTGGGCTCAAGCAGTTCTCCTGCCTCAGCCTCCCAAAGTGCTGAGATTACAAGCATTAGCCATCACACCCAGCAATCAACAAGTCTTTATGTAATGCCCAAAATGTGCTCAATCCCAGTGCTAGGAGCTGGGATGGAGGCAACAAAGAAATTGACCTGCCCCATTTAAGTGTCATGTATGGTTCAAAAATTGTATGAACCATACATATTCAAACCATACATGGTTCAAAAATTAAATTTAAAAAAAAACTGACGTGCCCTGAAGAAGCTTATGGCTCATCCAGGGAAACCAAATTAACACAGGGTATCAATTGTCCATTGCTTTGTAACAACTAACCCAAAATTTAGTGGCTTAAAATAACAACCATGTACTGAGCTCACTAGTCTGTGGTTTAGGTGGGTATACTGCTGATTGGGGTGGGACTGGCTGATCTTGGCTGGACTCACTCAAGGAAGTTGGCTAGAGTCTGGCTGGTCTATGGTGGCCTCAACCAGGGCAATTCCTCTCTGTTTCATATGGTCTTTTATCTTCCAGCAGGCTCCCTGGGTTTGTTGTTGTGGTCGTGGCAGGATTCCAAGAGAAGGTAAAGGTCGATGAGGTCTCTTAAGACCTGGCCTCAAAACTAGCATGCCATCACCTCCAATGCATTGGACTGATCAAGGCAAGTCACCAGGCCAGCCCAGATTCAAGGAGGGGGAAAACAGACCATACATTTTCACAGGAGGATATGTAAAGTCACTTTGTAAAGGGAATAAATACAGGAAGGAAATAAAATTGGGCCACAATGACACAGGAAGTAACAAGAAAAACCAGCAAGTGGCTAAAGGCCACTCTGTGCTGGGAAGAAGTTGACCAGGTCCCAGGGCTAGAACCCAGGCCAGGCTTCTTGTCATAAGTCAGGGTAGCAAACCACTCATACTGCTCCCAGTCCCTCTGGGAAATAGTTAACATTTGTTGTAGGCCGACAGCCAGTGTCAGTTTCAAGAAGGCTTTTAAAGGTGGGTGGTGCTGGAGGTGGTTCCCAGGCTTGGAATGGGAGATCCAGCATCTCCTTTGGAACTCTCTGTGTCCTTCGCTCCTTAAACAAGCTAGATAGGCACTCCTGGGCCCCCCATTTTCCAGATGAAATTGGGGCCCTGTATGGAAGCTGCCAAACCGTTTTTGAGTCACTGAGGAAACCCTTAGATACTCTCTCCTCTGTGGAGACCTACAGACTTCCTGGATTAACCATAGCAGCCTATGCAGCCTGATCTCACATTGACTCTTCTTCTTCCTGTCATCCTTTGGCTATGATTTGGCTAGGAATGGATACAGATTTATTCTGATGGAGCAGGCTTTTGTTTACTCTCCAAAACCTTCAAGGAGTTTTGTGTGTGTGTGTGTTTTGCCCCAAAATTACATTTGTTATCTGTAGGAGGGTTGGTTTGTAAGGAACTTACCCTGCCATAAGCCACATAATTCAAAATAACTGTTAATTTTTTCCCCGAATTAAATCTGCTGTAAAAATTCTATGGTATGAGAGGCATCATACCATAGAATGAACAGAGTACTGGACTTTAAAACAGAATACCTGATTGTAAAAATTCCATATAATCTTGGAATTGAGAAGACCTCCTTAATTGTCGTTCAAAAATCCAAAAACCATAACAGAAAAGATTAAGAAATTCTACTACATAAAAAAAACCTATCCATATTAAAAGCCACCATATTCAAAAAGTCAAAATACAAACAGGGAAAAATATTTTCACATCACAGACAAATATCTAATCTGAATATATAAAGAGTCCCAAGTAATAAATAGGAAAAAGACCAATAACTGAAAAGAAAAAAATGGACAGAGGCTGGGCACAGTGGCTCATGCCTGTAATCTCAGCACTTTGGGAGGCTGAGGCGGGTGGATTACCTGGGGTCAGGAGTTTGAGACCAGCCTGGCCAACAAGGCAAAACCCCATCTCTACTAAAAATACAAAAATTAGCCAGGCATGGTGGCGTGCACCTGTAGTCCCAGCTACTTAGGAGGCTGAGGCAGGAGAATTGCTTGAACCCAGGAGACAGATGTTGAAGTGAGCCAAGATGGCGCCACTGCACTCCAGCCTAGGAGGCAGAGCAAGACTGCCTCAAAAAAAAAAAAAAGGACAAAGAATATGAACAGACTTCAAGAAAAGAAACTACAAATGGTTCTTAACTATGTGAAAAGATATTAAAAGATAAAAGCAAAGACCAGGCGCAGTGGCTCATGCCTGTAATCCTAGCACTTTGGGAGGCCGAGGCAGGTGGATCACTTGAGCTCAGGAGGTAGAGACCAGCCTGGCCAAAATGGCAAAACCCTGCCTCTACTAAAAATACAAAAAAATTAGCTGGGTGTGGTGGCGGGTGCCTGCAATCCCAGCTACTCGGGAGGTTGAGGCAGGAGAATCTCTTGAACTGGGAGGAGGAGGTTGCAGTGAGCCGAGATCATGCCACTGCGCTCCAACCTGGGCAACAGACCAAGACTCCATCTCAAAAAAAGAAAAAAAATTAAATAACTGGTGATCAACTGGATACAGAGTAGGACTAAATACAACTGTGAAAATCTAGGGACGTGAATCAGAATTTTGAGGTCTCATCTTAGATAAAAAAAGGAAAATTGTAAAAAGGACAAACAGGCCATTGCTTCTGATAATGAGTGTCAAGGACATAATATTAGGAACCATGTTTATTGAAATCATATAAACATGAAGGACAATGCTGAGAAATATTATTCTTTTATTACAAGACCCTAAAAAACTGCTGTTTAAAATCATACCAGGGAAAAAGAGGAATTAATTTGGAGGAATCACACTTCCCGATTTCAACACTTACTACAAAGTTACAGTAATCAAAATAGTGTGGTCTTGGCATAAGGACAATTGAGAGTCCAGAAATAAACTCATACATCCATATCCAATTGATTTTTGACAAGGACGCCAAAACCATTCAGTGGGGAAAGAATGATCTCTTCAATAAATGGTGCTTGGTAAAATGTAAAAGAATGAGTTTGGACCGTTACTTTACACCATATACAAAAGTTAACTAAAAATTGATCAAAGACCTACATATAAGAGCTAAAATCAGGATGGGCGTGGTAGCTCATGCCATCTATAGGTTCAGCAGTCTGTAAACAAAAAATGGCATAGTACTTGGGAGACTAAAACTCTGTCTACCAAAAAGAAAGGGGGAAAATGATAACATTGTATTGTAAGATTTATAATGACTCTGCCTCCAAGAAAAAAAAAAATAGGCCAGGCGTGGTGGCTCACGCCTGTAATCTCAGCACTTTGGGAGGCTGAGGCGGGTGGATCATGAGGTCTGGAGTTCAAGACCAGTCTGGCCAAGATGGTGAAACTCCATCTCTACTAAAAATACAAAAATTAGCCAGGCGTGGTGGTGGGCACCTGTAATCCCAGCTACTCCAGAGGCTGAGGCAGGAGAATTGCTTGAACCTGGGAGGCAGAGGTTGCAGCGAGCTGAGATCGCGCCACTGCGCTCGAGCCTGGGTGACAGAGCAAGACTCCCTCTCAGAAAAAAAAAAAAAATATATATATATTATATATATGTGTATATATATAATATATATTATATATGTGTGTATATATATAATATATATTATATATATGTGTATATATATAATATATATTATATATATGTGTATATATATAATATATATTATATATATGTGTATATATATAATATATATTATATATATGTGTATATATATAATATATATTATATATATGTGTATATATGTGTGTATATAAAATATATACATTATATATGTGTATATATAATGTATATATTATATGTGTGTATATATAATATATATTATATGTGTGTATATATAATGTATATTCTGTGTGTATATATAATGTATATTCTGTGTGTATATATAATGTATATTCTATGTGTGTATATATAATGTATATTCTATGTGTGTATATATAATGTATATTCTATGTGTGTGTATATAATATATATTATGTGTGTGTATATAATATATTATATACGTGTGTATATAATATATTATATACGTGTGTATATAATATATATTATATACGTGTGTATATAATATATATTATATACGTGTGTATATAATATATATATTATACGTGTATATATAATATATATTATATATGTGTATATATAATATATATTATATATGTGTATATAATATATATAATATATGTGTATGTATATATTATATATGTGTATGTATATAATATATATTATATATGTGTATGTATATAATATATATTATATATGTGTATGTATATAATATATATTATATATGTGTATGTATATAATATATATTATATATGTGTATGTATATAATATATATTATATATGTGTATGTATATAATATATATTATATATGTGTATGTATATAATATATATTATATATGTGTATGTATATAATATATATTATATATGTGTATGTATATAATATATATTATATATGTGTATGTATATAATATATACATATGTGTGTATATATTACATATATATGTGTATATATTACATATATAATATATGTGTATATATAATGTATATTATATATGTGTATATATAATGTATATTATATATGTGTATATATAATGTATATTATATATGTGTATATATAATGTATATTATATATGTGTAAATATTATGTATATTATATATGTGTATATATTATATATGTGTATATATGTGTATATATTATATATGTGTATATATAATATATATAATATATGTGTATATATAATATATATAATATATGTGTATATATAATATATATAATATATGTGTATATATTATATATATTATATATGTGTATATATTATATATATTATATATGTGTATATATTATATATATTATATATGTGTATATATTATATATGTGTATATATAATATATATTATATATGTGTATATATAATATATATTATATATGTGTATATATAATATATATTATATATGTGTATATATAATATATATTATATATGTGTATATATAATATATATTATATATGTGTATATATAATATATATTATATATGTGTATATATATATTATATATAGAGAGAGAGATAGAGAGAGAGAGAAAGCAATGAGAAGTCAATGGAAATATTTGAAGCTTGCTATTGTCCTTGACACATACTATCCCAGCAGCAGAACTAGAAGACTATCAGTGAAGAGCATACGACAGGACAGAGCTGAGTACTCAAGAATTGAGGGTCCCTTGCAGTTGTCACTATGTGGGGCTTTCATTTTGGTGAAACTTCCAAACTGTTAATAAGATAAGGAGCCCAACTGAAAGATGCTGAACATATTAAATTTGCTGAGCAGCAGATACCTGCATTAGTTTGGAAATACAGTCTTTCCCCAAAATGTTTCAGCTGTTCATATATATATTATATATAATATACACACACACACACACCCCTCCATATACATTATATATATATATATATATATATATATATATATATATATATATGCACTGGGTATGCACAGAGGATTCTGAATGGCTCTAACAGCGGGTGTGATGGTTAATTTTATGTGTAAACTTGACTGGGCCACAAGATGCCCAAATAGCTGGTTAAACACTATTTCTGGCTGTGTCTGTGAGGGTGTTTCCAGAAGAAATTAGCATTTGAATTGGTGGACTGAGTAAAGGAGGTGGCCCTCCCCAATGTGGGTGGGCATCTGTTGAGAACCTGAATAGAACAAAAGGCAGAAGAAGGTTGAGTGAACTCTGCCTGACCCTTTGAATTTGGACATGGTTCTTCTGTCCATGGTGCTCTCGTTCTTGGGCCTTCAGACCTGGAATGGAATCTAAACCATCAACTCTTCAGCTCTCAGGCCTTTGAAACACACCACTGGTTTTTTTGGGTCTCCAGCTTGCAGATGACAAATTATGGACTGTCTCAGCCTCCATAATCTCATGAGCTCTTATATACATATAAAGAGATATTACATGAGCTCTTTATATACATATAAAGAGATATTATATATTATATACAGATTATTATATATAAAGATATATATCATATATAATATATGAAGATATATTATGTAAAAGATATATAGTATATATAATATATCGATATATAATATATATAATATATTATACATAAAGATATATATTTATAAATGGAAAAAGAATATGAACATATATATTATATAAAGATATGTTACATATTATATTATATATTATACATTATATATTATATATAAAGATATATAATATATAAAATATATATTAAATATAATACATATAAATATATATTAAATATAATACATATAAAGATATATAATATATAATACATATAAAGATATATATTATATATAATACATATAAAGATGTTATATATAATACATCTAAAGATATATATTATATATTACATATAAAGATATGTTATATATAATACCTATAAAGATATATATTATATATATAAAGAGATTTATTTTGAGGTATTGGCTCATGAGAGCCAATTATATATGTATTATATATAATCAGTCTTTTCAAAACCCTCTTGTCGAGATACCCCATGGTTCCCCACTGCAATGAGTAATAAATCCAACTTGTTTAACTACAGGTGTTTTCCTGGTGGCCCTTGACTGGAGGGCATTGACAATATATATTAATTATATTTCTCAAAAGCAAAAAGCAATACAAGCTATTTATATGTTTTTCTTCGTTTTTATAAAGCAAACATTTTTGTAACCACACTGGGTCAAGGAATAGAACTTTATCAGCTATCCCAGAGGCCCTCCACATGTCCCATTTCAATTATCACCCACTCCCTCTCCCAAAAAGTAACCACTCCCCAAACTCTTGTAGTAATCATTTCCCTGTTCTTTACAGTTTCATCACTAAGTGTGTATCCCTGGACACTATAGTTTATTGTTGCTCATTTCTTAAAATTTGGGTTCAAGCAATTTGATGTCTTTTTATAGTTTCTTTTCATCTACAAGTTTTCCCTCCATCCCTTTCTTTTCCTTATAGATTTTCTGTTGAAGAACCCAGGCCTTTTGACCCACAGTCTTCCAAAGTCTGAATTTTACTGACTGCACATTCATGTTGCAATTCACGTCCCTACATCCTCTGTATTTATTGCATATTGGCTGCTGGTTCCGGAGGCTTGGTCAGCCTCTGATGCAATCCCTTTGACAACACTATAGGTGCTGTTGTGTTCTTTCATCAGGAGTCACATGATGTCTGATTTTCTCTCCTTTTATGATGTCAGCAGTTGTTAGGCACAATGTTTAGATCTATTAATTTATTGGTGACTACAAAATAATGACACTAATTCTATAATTTCTTTTTCACATAATAATTGAATTTTTTTTTTTTCGAGACGGAGTTTCGATCTTTGTTGTCCAGGTTGGAGTGCAGTGGCGTGATCTCGGCTCACTGCAACCTCTGCCTCCCGGGTTCAAGTGATTCTCCTGTCTCAGCTTCCTGAGTAGCTGGCATTACAGGCGCCCGCCACCACGCCTGGCTAATTTTTGTATTTTTAGTAGAGACGGTTTCACCATGTTGGCCAGGCTGGTCTCGAACTCCTGTCCTCAGGTGATCTCGGCCTCCCAAAGTGCTGGGATTACAGGCATGAGCCACTGTGCCCAGCTGGAGTATTTTTAAGAGATACTTCTTTCTAATCTATTTGGTTCTTTTTAGGTATAGTTCATATAGGACAGGTAGAATAAATTCTTGATTTTTTTTTGAGACAGATTCTTGCTATATTGTCCAGGCTGGAGTGCAGTGGTGTGATCTCAGCTTACTGTAACCGCCACTTCCTGGGTTCAAGCGATTCTCGTGCCTCGGCCTCCTGAGTAGCTGGTATTACAGGCGTGTGCCACCACACCCAGCTAATTTTTGTATTTTTGGTAGAGACGGGGTTTCCCCTTGTTGCCCAGGCTGGTCTCAAACTCCTGGCCTCAAGTGATCCACCCACCTCAGCCTCCCAAAATGCTGGGATTACAGGCGTGAGCCACTGCGCCAGGCCTTTTTTCTACCATTTAAGCCATTTTGAACTGCATAAGTCACTGGTTTTTAGTATATTCACAAAGCTGTTCAACCATCACCACTATCTAATTCTAGAATATTTCCATCACCCCTAAGTAAACTCTGCATCTCCCAATTCTCCCTGCCCCACATTCCCTGGCAACCTCTCATCTACTTTCTGTCCCTATAAATTTACCTATTCTGAACTTTTCATACACATGGAGTCATACAATACACGGCCTTTTGTGTCTGGCTTCTTTCACGTAGCATGCTTTCATGGCTTGTTTATGTATATAGCATAAATGCAAGTTATAGTTTAAGTAGAAAATATAAATCACTACAAGAATGATTGAGCACCAAATTTCTCATCCCCCCGGCCGCCGCTGCACAAAGCAGGTTGCCGCAGCTGACTTCAGCTTGGTTGTTCCTTGCAGTAGCCTGAAGCTCCTGGTGAGCGGGAGCCACGGTGCATGAACAGCAACTGCTGGCCACTACGCAATGCTTCAGGAAGAAAGCTGGTCTGGGGTGGGGTAGGGAGGTCACATCCCAAGGTGTGTCTCCCTTCAGCTCCTGGCTATGTGGGTTCAGCCTCTGCCATACTTGGCATCACCACCACTCTGCCATCTCAGATGGACAGGGGCTTTCAGCATTGAGATGTGGGTTCTAATGTGATTGTAGAACCCACGCCAGGGCATGAAGAGTGAGCAGCAGATTACAACTGCTGAGCTGAGAACCCCTCTCCCCACAAAACTGTGACCAGAGCCTACCCACTTGGACTTCAGCATCTAATGCTATCAGTCCCAAATGAAAGACTGTCTCTCATCCTTCAAGGAAGGCTTGGCTCAGATAGTCTCAAGACCTGGAGCCGGGCGTGGTGGCTCACGCCTGTAATCCCAGCACTTTGGGAGGCCGAGGTGGGCGGATCAGGAGGTCAGGAGATCGAGACCATCCTGGCTAACATGGTGAAACCCCATCTCTACTAAAAATACAAAAAAATTAGCCGGGTGTGGTGGCAGGCGCCTGTAGTCCCGGCTACTTGGGAGGCTGAGGCAGGAGAATGGTGTGAACGCCGGAGGCAGAGCTTGCAGTGAGCCGAGATCGCGCCACTGCACTCCAGCCTGGGCGACACAGTGAGACTCCGTCTCAAAAAAAAAAAGACCTGGAAATCTCGCGGTGCCCACTCCCCAACCCAGCCTCTGGACCCCACCTCCCGTATGCATCTGTCTGGTAGAGTTCTGACCACAATGAATTGAATGATGTGTTTATGTGTCAGTTCCCTCAACCATTTTGGGAGGTTCTTGAAAGCAGGGACTGTACTATATTCACTTGATACCCTTATTGCCTAATTCGGAGAATACGCTTCATCAATTTGTGATAAGTTAGAGAGGGCGTAAGTCAGCACAGTGATTAGGAGTCTTGTCTCATGCCTGTAATCCCAGCACTTTGGGAGGCTGAGGCAGGTGGATCACTTGAGCTCAGGAGTTTGAGACCAGCCTGGGCAACATGGTGAAACCCCATCTCTACAAAAAAAAAAAAAAAAAAAAAAAAAAGCTGTGGTGGCGTGTGCCTGCGGCCCCAACTACTCAGAGGCTGAGGTGGGAGAATCGTGTGAGCCCAGGAGGTGGAGGTTACAGTGAAACAAAATGGTACCAGTGCACTCCAGCCTGGATGACCTGGGGACCCTGTCTCAAAAAATAGAGTCTTGTCCCTCAAACAGACTGCTTAAGTGCAGCGGCTACACCTCTTCACTGCTACCTCCTCTTCTTCCTCCCTACAGTAAAACCCAACACAGAATGGGGTTCAGGGTGAGTATTTAGACGAGTGATGAATCATTTATGATTCAAAAAATCTCCACCTATAGGATTTCTGAACAATATCTTTATTTAGCTCAGGTAGTTGTTCTTACACATTTTTGGATACCTGGGTTAGAATTTTCCCTATTACATTAAATCAATGGTTCTTAAGCTCTTATGCAAGCATGCAAGCTCAATGCAGGCTAGAATAGAAGGATTGTTGTGTACAAACATTAAAAATAGACATTTTATTACAAGAGTGTAGAGAAGGGAGACCAATAGAAGGTAATTGAAATACCCCCCCCTCACTCCAGCCCTAGTCCTGGTGCCTGGATATGTGCACTCCCTGTGCGCTCTGATCCCCGCAGACACAAGTCCCCAGCCCCTCCAGGACAGCAATAAGGGTCTTACAAGGCCAGAAGGCAGCCCTGTTTGTTCCTGCCTGCAGGAAGGGCAGAGGAATGTGATGTTCCCAGGAACTGTGTCCTAGACCCATAGGGTCAGATTGCTCAGCCTAGTTCAAGCAGTGAGACTACCTCTGTGCCAGTATCCTGGGCTGTCTCTTCCCTTCACTCTTGGCAGCTCCCAATTGTCAAAGATTGGACAGGGTCCTGGTTTGGCTAGTTCTAACTTGCTGAAGCCAGTCAGCACCCTCACAGAGCCAGCTAGGTACTGGGCCCAGGGGCTTCCAGAGAGTTCTTCAGAGCTTCTCAGAGGCCTAAGGACCTCCTAACCCTAGCAGGCCTCCTGGCTCAAGCACAACTTGGGAAGGCTCCATCAGCATCTATGTGGCCCTGTTTTACCTGTTGTCTCTGGAGGGTGTGCAGAGGCAAGTCCAGGGTAGGGGCAGGCAGGATCCCTTAGGCTTGCCCACAGCCCAGATAGCAAAACTGCAGCCAGATCAGTGTCTATGAGTTTCAGGCTGAACCTTAGACCACATAGGCCAGCCTGCTGGTCTGGCTGCCCAACCAGACCAGGTAGACAGAGTCTAGGCCTCAGGGCTCTCAAGCACCTAAGAGCGCAGCTGCATTTGGAAGTGCTCACAGCAGGCATGCTTCATGGTTAGCCCATAGATGGGGGTCATGTCCACCTTCACGCCCAGTGGCACGCTGAATTCCACCCGTTGCAGCAGGATAGCCAGGAAGAGAAAGACCTCCCAGCGGGCAATGGTCTCACCGATACACTTCCGCTTGCCCATGCCAAAGATAATCACCTTCTCACTTAACACCTTGTCGATAGCACCATCAGGGGTGAGAAACCGTTCAGGTAGGAACTCAGATGGGTTGACCCATAGCTTCCTGTAACCAGAGGGAGACAGCTGAAGTGGCAGTTCAGGGCTCAGAAGTGTCAAGTGAGTGGAGCTCCAGCCCCAAAGGATAGAGGACAGGCAAGCAGCCCATGGACAGGAGGATCAATGCAATGATTGTATTAATCATATATAAGAGCTTAAGAGGGTGGACCCAGCCTTTCCTCTGCATCTCTGAACTTACTGGTCATGGTTGATCTGCCACTGGTTTACAAAGACACAACGCCCCTTGGGGATGTAAAAGCCTTTCAAACTTGTGTCTCTTGTTGTGCTAGGGAGAAAGGAAGCTCAGTCAGGCTCAGGGCAACAGGCAAATCTCCCTGTCTCCCATGCCGTGTCCCTCCCACTAACCCTAATCAGGTATGTGGTCCGGAGTAAGATCAGTAACAGACAGCAGTGGCTCCATGGGGCCTTACCTGTGGGGGATGGTGAAGGGGACGAAGGAAGAGTGTCGGAAGGTCTCCAGGATGAAGGCCTCCATATAGGGCAGATGGGATCTGTCAGAGAGCCGGGGCCGCCGTGACCTGCCAATCACTGTGTCTGCAGAACACAGGGACAAGATGGATGCAGGGGCTGCCTAGACCTGGCCAGACCCCTGGCACTGACCCCTTTGAAGGGAGCCACTACCTACCTAGCTCCTCTTGGATCTTTCTCTGTACCCTGGGGTTCATCACCAAATACATGAGGCTCCAGGAGATAGCAGTTGTGACTGTGTCAAACCCTGGACAGGGTAGAACAGAAGAAGTTAGGCAGGCAGCAGCAGGTCAGGGCACTTGAGCACAGGAAGGACACAATGGGGTAACCATACCAGCTCCAAAGAGGTCCAAGACGATGTTAATGATCTTCTCATCTGACAGCTGGACATTGGCGTTCTCATCCAGCTGCTTCTCCTGACAGTGCTCAATCAGGCTGTCTGTGATGTCCCGGATGTGGCCCTTAGGTAGGGAAAGTCCACAGGTGAGCAAGATCTCAAACCCAGAGCTACCTCTCCATCCAGGTCTGGTCCTTCACTATTCCTAGCACATTTGTTCTGGAGGTGATGCCCCCTGAGGCTGTTGTCCCAGCTTCTCTCTGCCTCTGCAAGGCTCTCTCCTACTACCTTAGAATGCTGCTAGCCCCAACTCATGGGACATTTGACACACAGCGTCTTGTACTGTTATCATCTGGATGTGCTCTTTATCTTCTTTCTATTATGAGGCCAGGAGATGAACTCTTTAACTCTTCCTGGCTCCCTCAGCAACTGCCCCAGGGTCCTGCATGTAATGACTCTTCAGTGGCTATTGCTGTCTGTGGAAGCATGGAAGGGTTAGTCAAGATAAAGTTCTATTTCCCTGCCAAGGAAGAAGACTATTCCACAACTGGCTTCAAGATCCCAGGTTGAAGCCTTCCTGAGAACTTGCCAAGCCCCATGCAGTTCCTCTTACCTTTGACCTCCCAGGCCCTGATGCCATCTGCTTCCCACCACCCACCTGCCTTTCCCCAGACTGTACCTTCTCAAAGGTTTTGTAGTGCTCCTTGACCATCTTCTGCATGAAGCTGTAGAACTTCTCATTCAGGTCCTTGAAGGCATTCAGGGAAGGGTTGGGTAGGTAGCGAAGAATAGGGATGAAGTCAGCTGGGTTTCCAGAGCCAACCACCTCCCCGAAATTATTATTCAGGTTGACTAGGCTAAGCAGTTCTTGGTGGTTGTGGTCATAGCGCCGGCCAAAGCAAATGGCACAGATGACATTGGTCACTGATACCACCACATACCTGTAGGGGTTAAAGTGCCCAGGCCCTGCCATCAGCTCCTGCAACGTGCTTATCAGGACCTCAGCCTCCTTGCTCACATGCTCTTCCAGGTAGCAGGAGGTTGAGGAGGCTGGGTCAGAGGCAATGGAGAAACTTTTCAGGCCATTCTGGGCCAGGCGCCGGCGGGCAGCCCACACTGGTCCAGAGTCTGGGCTGAAGGACATGCTCTGACCATTACTGATGAGGGTGAAGGTGTAGAGGTCGGGCCGGCCCTTGAAATCATCGCCCTGCCGCACCAGGGCCTGCCGGATGGTGTCCAGGCCGCTCAGCACCACCACGGGTGTGGAGCCAATTCGGATCTGCAGCACGTCCCCATACTGCTGGCTCATCCTTGACAGTGCCAGGTGCGGGTTCTTTCCCAGGGTCAGCATGTGCCCAATCAGAGGCCAGCCCCATGGCCCTGGTGGATTCTTCAGGCCTTTGGGGACCTGAGGTCTTGAGGCCCTGATTACCCAGAATACCAGACAGAAGATGACAGAGGCCAGAAGAAACTCCGTGGCCGACATGGAGATTGGGAAAAGCATGATCAGTGTAGGGATCTTGGAGGTGGCTGCTGAGAGAAGGTGCAGGAAGAAAAAAAGTCAAGCCGTCAGATTGGGGGATGAGAAAAGCCAATATCTAGAGTGTCAGGGAAAGGGGAAACCTTTCCACCAGAACTGCTTACTGGGCATGAAGAAGAGGGTGAGGTGGGGAGAAGTTGTTGAACTACCACTGTGGGCTAAGAATTTCACAGTCCTTCTTCATTCAGCCCTGGCCACAAATCTATGAAGTAGCCTGCAATGAGGCTCAGAGAAGGTAAGTAACTTGCCCAAGGTCACACAGCCAGAAAGTGTTGGATGCAGACTCCCAAGCCAAGTTGCCTAATTCCAGAACGCTTTCTCTTAACTGCTGTACCAATCTAAACTGACATCTTCCAATGTCAATCTGTGATTTCCACATAGTACCAGTACTGTTATTTACTTCACATTTTCCTAAAATCAACTTTAAATCTACCTACATATCATCATAAACAATATCTATGTGAAAGTACAAGTTTGATTTTTCCCCTAACACATTAAAATAAACACATAATCAAGGTGTATCACCCCGAGTCCTACCCACCACACTTAGGAAAATCATGTTCTCAGGGGAATTAGGGATCATCTGATCCTTTAGCCTCATTTAACATTTGGGGGAAGCAGCGCTGACTTGTCCAAAGTCCCCCAGCAATCAGTGACAGAGCCAGGACTCAGACTCCTTAGGGACACTTCCCTGGAAATTTCCAGCTGCTGTCACATGTACCTCCTTTTGAAGAGTGGTCAGATCAATGAAGGAATTTTCCCAGAACCCTCAGTTCTCTGCTGCTCAATCCCAGGATGCAGGAAATCCCACCAGACCCCAGGACAGACTGAGGAAGAGATAGGGGACAGGATGGCCACTTCCCAAACCACATTGCTTTCAGCCCCAGCTCTCTGAGTTCAACTGATCCACAGTTTAAAGGCAGCTGGAGACCAGCTAGATTGAGCTCTTTAGTCAGAGAAATCCAGGCCAGGGTTTTTTTTTGGCTCAATTCTCAATGAATGAACAGTTTGGACCTCCCCCTTTTGCAGGTTACCAGAGAGCAGAGAATAAATGGAAGGTTCCCACTAGGCTGTAAGAAAACCCCAGACTGGAATCAGGGAAATCAGGAATGGATCTAAACTGAAAGGAAACTGAGGCAATACTTTCTCTGTAAGCTTGACCTAAAAAGGGTGTTTAAATTCATAAACCACTCTCTCCAACATATCAGGCATCTCTGCCTGTTACCCTGGACTAGAGGTCAGTAGACCCAACATTCTAGTCAAAGTGATCTTGGACTGCACATTTTACTTTTCTGGGGTCCAATTTCAACATCTGAGAGAGGGTAAGACAAGATCTCTCAGTTCAGAGTACCCAGCTGGATCCAGAGGGAAGAGAAAACCCAGATCTGCTGTGGGGAACCTGACAGTCTTACCAGTTAGGCTCCCCACAGGAGAACCTCACAAGACAGGGAGATGGATGGTTCCTACCACAAGTATTATAGTGGAGGGAGGCTTCCTGGAGGGGCTAAATATCAAAGCACACTAGATCCCTGAGTCAACAGGGGACAGTGCCAGGCTTTGGTGTGCTATGGTGTCCCCTTCTGCACAGTGGGTATCCCAAGGACCTGCAGCCTTTGTAAGATGGTAGGAGGCCAAGGGAGATGTGACTGGTGAGTTTTTAGGGACTGGTATTTCCAGCTCCCTGCAGTTGGCAATCTGTCACCCTGATTGTCTCCCAGCAAAGGACAAAGAAGATGGTCAATGAGATAGGAAAGGCCTGGGACTCCTGCACAGATCTGCCTCTATTGTCCCAGCTGTCTAGGACATCTCAGCACTGACAAGCCACCCTTAGGAGGGTAAAATCTGCCAGGGGTAGCTTCTTAGGCTAGGGCAGGGTACAGCTGGTAAGAACCCAGCCCACCCCCTCCATCCACCCTGTCCACCCAAGGAGAAGCCCCTGTCATCAGAAAGCCTGAGGGAGGGGCTGCACATATTCCAGCCTGCCAGGTGGCCTTGATGGGGAAGCCCCAGGGTAGGCAGGGAGACACTCACTAGGGGATGGAGCTGGAGCCTGGGTCCTGAAGTCCTGAATGAGATGCCATCTGTATCTAGAGGTCTGGTACCAGCTGTGGGACCATGGGCAAGTCCTCCTCTTCCCCTGGCCTCAGTTTCCCCACTAGGGGGCTAGACTGCCTGGTCACTAAAAACACTCTGAGCCTCCCTTTTTGGAGGTGCTAGACAGGTAGCTACCTAAGAAGTCCTGGAGGCACCAAAATGTTCCTTTTATTGGGAGAGAAAGGGCAAGCCAGAAGTCCCCCAGCAACTCACCTGAGGTACTGAGCTGAGCTGGGAAGGGTGGACTCTTGGAGCCTGGGATCACAAGGATCAGGGAAGGTTCCAAGGAACTGTCACCTTCAGGGTGAGGGTGAAGGCACTGCCACCTTTATAGGCGGGCTTGTACGTGTGGCCACGCCTCCTTCCCTGGAGCGAGCTGAGATGGAGGGAGAAGCAGCCTGAACCGGGCTGGTCTCTCTGGGATTGGAGAGAAAGGTGGCGGAGGGCGGCGGGGGTGGGGGGTCGGGTGGGCAAGAACCCACTATGGGACACATCTCGGTGCCTGTACATAGAGGGGTGAGGGCTGGGAACACCTGGAAGTCCCAATTCCAAGGCGTCCCAAGGGCAGTGCAGAACCCAGCCGAGGAGGGGGCTTGAGGGAGAAGTCCCAGGACAGCCCGAAGAGAGGGTACGGGAAGCTCCATCCTGGGGCGCGGGGACTCCTCTTCGTCATTTTTGCACCCACTGGAACGCTGGGCGTGCAGATGCCTCCCCAGCGCTACAGCCTACCAGGACTCGGCAGGCGGGGGCGGGGCTGCCCCGTGGTGACCTCCTTCCCGGGGTTACTGAGTCCCGGCTCGCGTGAGAAGCGCTGCGACCCCAGCCCTGAGGTCACGGGGGCCGGAAGGCCAGAGGCGCCGCGGGGCTGGACCTGTCCCCCAGAGCCCGGGCGACTAGCTGAGGTTCGCGCCTCTTGATTGAAGGATCGGAATGGATGGCGAAGGGGCAGGCTCGCTGAGCGCTCACTAGCGGCTCCTCGCAGCCTCTAGGATCGCCTTAGTGCTGATTGCAACGCGCGGTCCCTCCAGCCAGGACCCACCGGCCCTTGAGGGTCCCTCTTGGCTCCCGGGGTGGCTAGTGCTTTGATTGGCAGAGCACAGAAATCCGGCGGCGGGGGGCCACGGAAAGACTCGGGCCCAGGGACCACGGAGGGGGCACCTGGCGCGGAGCCCCCACCCTACCCCCGGCTAGCTTGCGTGCGCCGGCGACATCCCTCTAGGGGGCAGAGGTCAGGCGGCCCGTCCCCGCCCCACCTGGCCCGGAGGCGCGGTGCCCAGGCGTTGCGTGAGAAGGACCGGAGGCCCGCGCAGCCACCCAGCCGACCCATTCCCCGGCCCGGCGCGGGGGCTCGCAGTCACGCGAGGGGGGAGGGAGTCGGGGCGGGGCTCTTAAAGGGCCAGCCTCGCGCGCGGCGTGGGGTTGGGGTGGAGGGAGAGGAACTGTCGAAGGGTGGCGGGTGCGCGATTGAATAAGGGGATGCGGTGCAAAGGGTCTAGGTCTGCGTGTGGCTTCTGCCTGCGAGGAGAGGCAGCCTGCATGTGTCCGCATTTTCGGTCCACGCCTGTGGCACGACACGAAGCCCCAGTGCCATTTGGCATGGCCTAGCTGCCTGCCTCCGACGCTGTCCCGCCCTCCGGAACCTTCCTGTTACAGGGTTTCCAGGAAAAAAAAAGTTGTATTTGCGTGCCTAGCTCAACCTGGCCCCAGCTAACATCGTTACGCGCCATCCCCGACGTGCTCCCCAACCCGGTGGCACCACCATCCGTCGCTGGTCCAGGCCAGAAAATAATCCCCTCACCTCCCATTCCGGTCATATGCGGCCTCGTGCATTGCACAAATATTTACCAAGCAACTACTATGTGCCAGGAGCTGTTCGGAGGCGCTGGCGATTGACAGAGAAGGGAACACAGCTGACAGCACTCCTAATCTCGTGGAGTTTACATTCTGATGGAAGGAGACAAGTAATATGCCCCAAATCTAGAGAATGTGAGAGGGTAAAAAGTGCGGTTGAAAAAAATTAAACAGAAAAGGCGTACGGATTATGTGAGGGCAGATTGCAATTCAAAACAAGGGGGTCAGGGAAGGCCTTGCGGAGAGAGGCAGGAGTGTGGAGTCAAGAATCAATGTGCATAGATATCTGGATAAAAAGTGTACCTGGGCAGGTGCGGTGGCTCACGCCTGTAATCCCAGGACTTTGGAAGGCCGAGTCGGGAGGATCGCCTGAGGTCAGGAGTTCAAGACCAGCCTGGCCAATATGGCAAAACCCCATCTCTATCAAAAATACAAAAATTAGCCGGGCATGGTGTTGCTCACCTGTAATCCCAGATACTGGGGCGGTGAGGGGGGTTTGGGGGGAGTGGAGTCAGGCAGGAGAATTGCTTGAACCTGGGAGGCAGATGTTGCAGTGAGCTGAGATCACGCCACTGCACTCCAGCCTGGGTGACAGAGCGAGACTCCATCTCAAATAAAAGACTGCAACTGGCAGAGGGAATAAGCAAAATCAAAGCCTCCCGCCACCCCCCACCACAGTGGTTCTTGAAGGACCGAGCAGTACCAGGGATGTGCAGAGGTCATGTGACTGGGGAGTTCTCCTGGCATGTAGTCCAGGGGGATGGGATGCCCATGAGGCACAGCGCCCTGCCGCATGTGCAGGGAGCACCCCATTGAGAGACATGAGACTTCCTCTGTGCGAGATAGAGACATGGCTGGGGTGTAAGAGAAGCAAGGTCACTCGGGCTACTGTGCTAAGAATAGGAGGCACATTTCTCTGCTTGGCATCTGCTTTGGCATCTGTCCAGCTCCACTGCCACAACTCATCCAGGGCCCATCATTGCTCCCTGGAGCACTTAGCCTCCACCTAGGTTCCCATTTGCCTTTTGCTCCGTCCAATTACTTCTCCATCCTGTGGCACCCAGAGTGGTCCTGTCAAAAATGCAAAATCTCATTCCATCACCACCTTGCTTAAATTTCTTTGGTAGCTCCCACCACTCTGAAGGCAGGAATAAGAATCTTTAGCAGCTCTCCCTCTCCCTCTCCCTCTCCCTCTCCCTCCCTCTCCCTGTCCCCTCTTTCCACGGTCTCCCTCTGATGCCGAGCCAAAGCTGGACTGTACTGCTGCCATCTCGGCTCACTGCAACCTCCCTGCCTGATTCTCCTGCCTCAGCCTGCCGAGTGCCTGCGATTGCAGGCGCGCGCCGCCACGCCTGACTGGTTTTCGTATTTTTTTGGTGGAGACGGGGTTTCGCTGTGTTGGCCGGGCTGGTCTCCAGCTCCTAACAGGGAGTGATCCGCCAGCCTCGGCCTCCCGAGGTGCCGGGATTGCAGACGGATTCTGGTTCACTCAGTGCTCAATGGTGCCCAGGCTGGAGCGCAGTGGCGTGATCTCGGCTCGCTACAACCTCCACCTCCCACCCGCCTGCCTTGGCCTCCCAAAGTGCCGAGATTGCAGCCTCTGCCCGGCCGCCACCCCGTCTGGGAAGTGAGGAGCGTCTCTGCCTGGCCGCCCATCGTCTGGGACGTGAGGAGCCCCTCTGCCTGGCTGCCCAGTCTGGAAAGTGAGGAGCGTCTCTGCCCCACCGCCATCCCATCTAGGAAGTGAGGAGCGTCTCTGCCCGGCAGCCCATCGTCTGAGATGTGGGGAGCGCCTTTGCCCTGCTGCCCCGTCTGGGATGTGAGGAGCGCCTCTACCCAGCCGCGACCCCGTCTGGGAGGTGAGGAGCGTCTCTGCCCGGCCGCCCCGTCTGAGAATCAAGGAGACCCTCCGCCTGGCAACCGCCCCGTCTGAGAAGTGAGGAGCCCCTCCGCCCGGCAGCCACCCCGTCTGGGAAGTGAGGAGCGTCTCCGCCCGGCAGCCACCCCGTCCGGGAGGGAGGTGGGGGTCAGCCCCCGCCAGGCCAGCCGCCCCGTCCGGGAGGGAGGTGGGGGGGTCAGCCCCCCGCCCGGCCAGCCGCCCTGTCCGGGAGGGAGGTGGGGGGGTCAGCCCCCCGCCCGGCCAGCCGCCTCGTCCGGGAGGTGAGGGGCGCCTCTGCCCGGCCGCCCCTACTGGGAAGTGAGGAGCCCCTCTGCCCGGCCACCACCCCATCTGGGAGGTGTACCCAACAGCTCATTGAGAACGGGCCATGATGACAATGGCGGTTTTGTGGAATAGAAAGAGGGGAAAAGCGGGGAAAAGATTGAGAAATCGGATGGTTGCCGTGTCTGTGTAGAAAGAGGTAGACATGGGAGACTCTTCATTTTGTTCTGTACTAAGAAAAATTCTTCTGCCTTGTGATCCTGTTGATCTGTGACCTTACCCCCAACCCTGTGCCCTCTGAAACATGTGCTGTGTCCACTCAGGGTTAAAGGGATTAAGGGCAGTGCAAGTTGTGCTTTGTTAAACAGATGCTTGAAGGCAGCATGCTCGTTAAGAGTCATCACCACTCCCTAATCTCAAGTACCCAGGGACACAAACACTGCGGAAGGCCGCAGGGTCCTCTGCCTAGGAAAACCAGAGACCTTTTTTCACTTGTTTATCTGCTGACCTTCCCTCCACTATTGTCCTATGACCCTGCCAAATACCCCTCTGCGAGAAACACCCAAGAATGATCAATAAAAAAAAAAAAAAAAATAAGGACATGCTTGAAGCCTCCTCAAACCACGAGCAATAAATCCATCCTGCACTCTTGAAAAAAAAAAAAAAAGTATCTTTAGCAGAACCTACCAGGCCTGCCTGCCTCTAGTTCTAGTGTCCCCTACCTTGAGTCTCAGATAAAACATCACTTCCTCTGGGATGCCTTCCTGGATTCTCCCCCCAGAAAATTATGTTTCTCCTGGTCGCTGTTTCCAGCACTTCTCCACGGTAATTCTTAGGACACTGGATACTTGCTATAGCCCCGACCCAACCTGCCACTTCTTTCCGTATGCTCTAACAAGGAAAACCAACCTGCAGGAAATTGATCTGATAAGCCAAGTCCAGGCAAGATATTAATAACTGGTAAAGGAATTAGACACAGCTATACTATACACAGGCCAAATGGCAAGAGAGATGTTGAATCCAAAGTGCTCATGCTATAATGGTGGAATTTAGGCAACAGAACAGGCAGGAGACAAGGGAGGTATTGCTGGGCTTTCTCAGCACCCTTCCAATTATTCTACTCTCTGCATCTTTGATTCAGTCTGAGGAGCTTCATGGTACCCAAGAGAGGTCTGTCCTTCAATCCTAGTTGGAGCTAGAGCCACAGAGAACGAGCCTGTGTGGAAGCCATGGCAAGGAAGTGGAAAGCAAGGCACTCCTAGATCCTCCAACATGCTCTGCAGCACAACCTCTTCTTCAGCTTCCCAGGGTCCCCACCAATGCCCCAGCGCTGGAGAATCATGGCAGCCTGGTCACCAGGGCTGGAAGACCAACTAGTGCTAGGGCTCCCAACCAGGGACCCTTCTCTTGATAGAAAGTGCGTTGCTTTGCTTGCATTATCTAAGAGGCTCTTGACTCCTCAAAAACTCATTAGCTAATAAAACCAATTCGTCTCTCACTTCTTAGGTGGAGAGATGGGTGCCAGAAAAGAAAAGGCCCAAGTACGCATGGCAAATCAAAGCAGAGCCTAGAACTCCAGCTTCTTGCTTCTAGGCCAGGGCCCGTCTCACCATAACTTATCATCCCAGACTATGAGTGAAGCCCCAGGGGGCCAAAGGTAGACAGACTCAGCCCCTGGGCCAGGGCCCCTCACCTCTCCACACCCCTGGACTGGTGCACTGGGGTTACAAGAGATGTTGCACTTCTCATCACCAAGCCGTATCTTGGCTAACAGTTCACAATAACAGGAAGGGGGCCCACACTGAGCACTGGGCAGAGAAGGAGGGAGTCAGGCAGGAGGTTAGAGGACCTTGGCCTGGAGCTGAACACTCATTCCTGGGTCAAAGTTTGCATGCCTTTGCGTGAGAAGCTCTTTGGCTAGGATTCCCTAGTGATCAATACCAGGAGCAGGGGCAGAAGTGCTGGGGAGGGGAAAGGGCTCTGGGCTGGAGAGATCGAGACAGCTGAGAGGCCTTAGCCCAGCAAAATCATCAGCCTAGGGCTTTCAGTGAGCCCTGCTGAAGGCTGTGGGCAAAGGGGACTGGAAGACAAGCAAGATCCACAGCAAACCCCTGCCCCATGGTAGAGATGGGAGTCATACCCTAGACAAGTCCTGTGATGAGTCTGGAGATGCTGCAGGAGCTGTGAGGAGGCTGGGGCAGGAGGGGTGTTAAAGGGATGCTCCCCGGAGAGTGGAGAACTAGAGAAGGCCCCTGGAGTCTAAGGAGCATAGGAAGGGCATTCCTAGCATGGGGAAGAGACACAATGTGAACAACAGATAGTAGTGGGAGGTCGGGGTGAGGCAGTTTGGGTGGATGTGGAGAACTGGGACTTGTCTCCCAATGTGTCCTCTCCCCACCCAGTCATCCCCTTCTCCTACTGAGATCTGAGCCTGAGCATCTTCCCTTCCTCTCCTGCCTGTGCCCAGAGAGCCAGATAGATTGAGTTTGCAGGATACAGGGCTCAGATGGGGCAGCTCTTGGCTCCCTGGCTCTTGGCTGCTATAGTTAGGATGACAGTATTTTCCCAGGACAGTCTAAGCCTGTTGTCATGGAAGAATTGTTAAAAGTGCCCTCTTTCACTCTCAAAAGATCCTGGCTTAGATGATAATAAGTTATATAGTCACCCCAGTGATGGTGGGCATGGGTGGGTTTTGGGGGCCCAGCATCTGTTCTCCCTTCTTTTGGCAATACCACATCAATTGTCCTTTCGGGATCACCTCACCCCTACTCTCAGCCCATAGGGTTACTGTAGCTGACCCACCCCAGGCCAAGCCAATGAGAACCCTATGGGAGTTTCCCAACACCCCCTGCCTTCTGTTGCTCGCCAGAGTGCAGTGGTGCGATCTTGGCTCACTGCAAACTCCACCTCCTGGGTTCAAGCAATTCTTCTGACTCAGCCTCCCAGGTAGCTGGGATTACAGGCGCCTGCTACCACACCCAGCTAATTTTTTTTTTTTTTTTTTGTATTTTTAGTAGAGACGGGGTTTCACCAAGTTGGCCAGGCTGGTCTTGAACTCCTGACCTCAGGTGATCCCCCCTGCCTTGGCCTCCCTGGGATTATAGGCGTGAGCCACCACACCTGGCCCCCTATGGGAGTTTTGATGAAATCATTGGAAAAGAGAGGTTCTCCTTCTGTCAGAGGTGGCTACACTGGCTAGAAAGTAAGTCTGAAGCTGCCAGTAGTCATTTTTTAAGGAAGCCGGCCTTAGAATGATACCTACTCAAGGAAAAGCAGATCTGGGAGATGAGGGGAGGAAGCGGGGGGGAAATTGAAGACATTAAGCCTCTAGATCCAGTTATTCCTGAAGTCAATGAAGTTCACCCATAGAAGGTCCCTGTTAAAAAACCAATATCACCATCACCTCCCCCTTCTCTTCCTGTCTCCCTCTTTTTCCTTCTTCTTCACCCCTGCCTCATTCTCTTCCTCCTCTTCCCTCTCCTCCTCCTCCTCTTCTTTCTTTTCTAGTATGAGGTGGGTTTGGGGGACTTACAACTGCAAGAACACAAACCTGCCAGCCAGGAAGCCTTACCTGGCAGAGCTCTCTGAGTGACTAAAGCCTGGTACTTGCAGGCCCCAAGAAGACCTACCCAGGTTGAACAGAGTCCTAAGAGGTTACTTCTATCTAGCAGCTTCCCACTGGTCTGCTTCTGTACCTAAATGGCCACCATCCGAACCACTGTGGGAGGCAAATTGTATCTCCAGAAGACCCCATGATGGTGTCAAGTTGTTGGCTGGACAGTTCCTGTGAGAGAAGCCATGTGCGTGACATTGTTGATCAGTTGAGTCTGCGCCGTGTCACTGTGCAGTTCCTCCTGCACTCCCAGCAGTCTGGGAGCAGAGCTCACCACCATGGAGGCTGGAGGCTCCTTGGCTCCAAGCAAATAGCCAACAAGGGAAAGGAGGAGAAAACGGAACCCAGAGAGGGTTGCTATGGAAAGGCTATAGACAGGAGCTGTGGCCTTCAGTAGAGGGTCACAGCTAGTGCTCAAAGACCCGCAGAGAAACAGCCTACATGTTCCAACCTCGCTCCATTCGTGCTCTCTGTCCTGCTGGTGACTTCCATGAATGGAACCTAACTGGAAGCCAGGATGCAAAGAGTCCATGAATGCAGCCTGCATAAGTTAGCCCTCTAGGACAGTGGGCAGAGAAGGGTGGAAAGTGAGTCTGGAGAGACAAGTGGAAAGCATCTAGTGCTCTACCCCAGGGCCTTTGCACTTGCTCCTCCCTTCACCAGCAAACTTTTTTTTAAAGCTTGCTTGCATTTATCTTTTCCCCCTTCCCCAATTTTTATTTGTTTATTTTTCATACAAATATATGGGGTACAAGTGCAATTTTGTTACATGCATAGATTGCAAAGTGGTCAGGCCAGGACTTTTAAGGTACCCAAAAGCATTGTACAATTACCCATTAAGTAATTTCTCATCATCCACCTCCTTTACCAGAAAACTCTTCTTTCCCAAAATCCTCATGTCTTACTTCCTCAAATATCACTTTCTCAGTATGCCTTCTCCTATAGTTTTGTTTTTGTTTTTTTGAGACAGTCTCACCGGGTTTGCAGTGGCATGATCTCAGCTCACTGCAACCTCTGCCTCCTGGGTTCAAGCAATTCTCCTGCCTCAGCCTCCCGAGTAGCTGGGATTACAGGTGCCCACCACCATGCTCAGCTAATTTTTGTATTTTTAGTAGAGACGGGATTTCACCATGTTGGCCAGCCTTGTCTCGAACTCCTGACCTCAGGTGATCCACCCTCCTCGGCCTCCCAAAGTGCTGGGATTACAGGTGTGAGTCACCACGCCCAGACTCTCATATAGTTTGGATGTTTGTCTCCTCCAAATCTCACGTTGAAATGTAATCCCCAATGTTGGAGGTGGGGGCTGGTGGGAGGTGATTGGGTCATGGGGTCGGATCCTCATAAATGGTTTAGCACCATCCCCTTGGTGCTAAGTGAGTTCTCACCCTAAGTTCATGTGAGATCCGATTATTTAAAAGTATGTGGCACCTCCCCCTACCCTTGTTCCTGCTTTCTCTTGCACCCGCTTTGCCTTCTGGGATGATTGTAAGGTTCCTGAGGCCCGCACCGGAAGCAGATGCTGCATCCATGCTGGTACTGCCTCCAGAACCATGAGCCAATTACACCTCTTTTCTTTATCAATTACCCAGTCTCAGGTATTCCTTACCTTCCTTGGCCATCCCACCTAAAACTGTTACCCTGACTCATAGTTTCTATCCTTCTCTCTACTTAATTTTATAGCACTTAGAGACTCCAAACATACTGTATATTTTGCGTATTTATGTTGCAGATAGGCTATATCCCTCAACTAAAATGTAAGCTCCAACAGAGCAGGCACTTTGATCTCTTGTGATCAATGCTTCACGAATAGCATCTAGCACATAGCAGATGCTAAATAGATAGTTGTTAAATAATTGAATTTAAGCGTGGCAGGCCCCCAAGTGGGAAAATACACGAGATTTGAAGTGGCAGAGGCCTTGTGTGAGAGTCTGGTTCCTGGTAGGCAGGGCACCAAGTCCAAGACAGTCAGCTGAATGGATCCCCTCAGCTCAGATGCTTTTTTAATGCCTGCTAGATGGGCGTTAATCATTTTGCTCCCAGGAGATAGGTGATCAGGTACACTCCTGCCTTAAGAAGTTCATCTTGGTCTGGCCTAGCTTAGCATCCTGCCTTGTGCCAGCTTCACTCTATCCAAGACCAACATCTGGGCTGGGTCTCACTGCCAACCACATGGCCATGATCCTCAGACTTTCCCAACCTCCTCCAATTTTAAAGTCTCCAGGTTCCTCCCAACAGGATGGCTTCTCTCTACACACCCCAGATACACCACAGTAATCAGGGGAGATCAGGCTCTGCAGCTGCTCTCAGCAGGATTGGGACAAAAATCCTCCATGTTTTGGTGGGTGGGGAAGGGCTATGAAGATCCAGCCTCCGGGATGCTGCCCAGAGAAAGCTGGGGAGCAGGTGGCCCAGAGCTTCTGGACTGACCCTAGATGGAGGGCAGTGGAGATGAAAGGAGATCTTCTTTTTCCTTTCTCTTCTGCCTTTAATAACATCAAATATGATTAATTTAGGTCCATATTATAGATGAGAATTTGACTAATTCTTCTCAGGTTAGCAGTTTATTATTGCACAAATGTTTCCCAAGCCAATGAATTATGAAATAAGCCTTGCAGGGGAATGTTTGAGCTACTGAAGGGCATGTTCGGCATGATCAGAGGAACACTCTGTTTCCAAGTTAGTAATGCCTCTTTACATATAAACACTGATGTTTGTTGATAATGAACATTCATGTCCTCAATCAAAGCAGAGCCTCTGGGGACACTTCTCTATCAGCCAAGTGCTCCTAGAAGTGTTCCGCCCTGGTTAGAATGTGCGCCCCAATTTTCATGTGTTGGAAACATAATCCCAAAATTCATATGTTGATTAAAGGTAGTGAGGGCTTTGGGAAGTAATTAAGATTAGATAAGGTCATCAAGGTGGTACTCCCATGATGAGACTGGAGGCTTTATAAGAAGAGGAAGAGAGACCTGAGCTGACACCACACTCTTGCCCTCTTACCATGTAATGTCCCCCTCTGTGTTTTGGTGTTTTGGCTTGTTTTGTTTGTTTGTTTGTTTGTTTTTGAGATTGAGCCTCACTCTGTCACTCAGGCTGGAGTGCAATGGTGTGATCTCGGCTCACTACAACCACCACCTCCCAGGTTCAAGTGATTCTCTTGCCTCAGCCTCCCAAATAGCTGGGATTACAGGCATGCACCACCACACCCGGCTAATTTTTGCATTTATTCAGTAGAGACGGGGATTTCACCATATTGGCCAGGCTGGTCTGGAACTCCTGATCTCAAGTAATCCACCTACCTCAACCTCCCAAAGTGCTGGGATTACAGGTGTGAGCCACCACGCCTGACCTAGTCAGTGGTATCCTGTTATAGCAACCGAGAACAGACTGAGACATACATGCTCCCATGGTCTTTGCCAAGGAGGTAGCCTATTCAGATCCACTGGGGTGTCCAGCCAGTGAGGGCCACTCAGCCAACTTACGAATCCTTTTCCAACTCAACTGCTCCATCACTTGTAGACACCCAATAGCCCTTCCTCCCAATCTTGATTTTTCCTCCTTAGCACTCACCGCTCTTGTTTTGTCTAGGAACCCTCCATCTTCCTTTCTAGAACTATGTGCTTTAGGGGAAGCTGACCCCAGCCCCAGCCTCACAGAGTGGGTCTTGGCTGATCTGAACCAGTCATTGTTGCCCTGGCTGTCTTGCTGGTGATTTAATTAAACATAGATCTGTGACATGATTCTGGCCAATGATATGGGAAAAAATCTGCTGGGACAACTTTTAGGAGAAGCTTTCTTCACTCTTCAAAGAGACACATGAGAATGAAACTAGACCCCTGTCTCTCACCATATACATAAATCAAAACCAAAATGGATTAAAGGCTTCAATCTAAGACCACAAACTATGAAATTACTAAAAGGAAGCATTGGGAAAACTCTCCAGGACTGGACAAAAATTCCTCTTTTCTTTTTTTCTTTCTTTTTTTTTTTTTTTTTTTTTTTTGTAGAGGCACAGTCTCAACTATGCTACCCAGGCTGGTCTCAAACTTCTGGGCTCAAGCTATCCTCCTGCCTAGGTCTCACAAAGTGCTGGAAATCATAGGCATGAGCCACCTTGCCTGGCCCGGACAAAGATGTCTTGAGTGATATCTTACAAGTACAGGCTGAAGCAAAAATGGACAAATGAGATCTCATCAAGTTAAAAGGCTTCTGCACAGCAAAGGAAACAATCAACAAAGTGAAGAGACAATCCACAGAATGGGAGAAAATATTTGCAAACTACCCATCTGACATGGGATTAATAACTGGAATATATAAGGAGCTCAAACAACTCAACAGGAAAAAGTCTAATAATCTGGCTTTTAAATTTAATCTGGCAAAAGATCTGAATAGACATTTCTCAAAAGAAGAAATACAAATGGCAAGCAAGTATATGAAAAGGTGCTTAACATCATTGATCAGAGAAATGCAAATCAAAACTACAATGAGATATCCTCTCACCAGTTAAGATGGCTTTTGTCCAAAAGACAGGCAATGACAAATGCTGGAGAGGATGTGGAGGAAAGGGGACCTTCGTACACTGTTGAAAATGTAAATCAGTGTAAACACTACAAAGAACAGTTTGGAGGTTCCTCAATAAACTAAAAATAGAGCTACCATACGATCCAGCAATCCCACTGTTACGTATACACCCAAAGAAAGGAAATCAGTATGTCAAAGAGATATTTGCACTCCCATGTTGACTGCGGCATTGTTCACAAAAGTTAAGATTTGGAAGCAACCTAAGTGTCCACCAACAGATGAATAGGTAAAGAAAATATAGTGCATATACACAATGGAGTGCTATTCAGCTGTAAAAAGAATGAGATCCGGCCGGGCGCAGTGGCTCACGCCAGTAATCCCAGCACTTTGGAAGGCGTAGGAGGGCGGATCATGAGGTCAGGAGATAGAGACCATCCTGGCTAACACGGTGAAACCCCGTCTCTACTAAAAATACAGAATATTAGCCGGGCATGGTGGCGGGCACCTGTAGTCCCAGCTACTCAGGAGGCTGAGGCAGAAGAATGGCGTGAACCCGGGAGGCGGAGCTTGCAGTGAGCCGAGACCACACCACTGCACTCCAGCCTGGGCGACAGAGCGAGACTCCGTCTCAAAAAAAAAAAAAAAAAACCAATGAGATCCTGTCATTTGCAGCAACACGGATGGAACTGGAGGTCATTATGTTGAGTCAAATAAGCCAGGCACGGGGAGACAAACTTCACATGTTCTCACTTATTTGAGAGCTGAAAATTAAAACAGTTGAACTCATGGAGATAGGAGAATGATGGTTACTAGAGGCTGGGAAGGGTAGTGGGAGCAGGGAGGGAGTAGGGATGATTAATGGGTACAAAATATAGTTAGAAAGAATGAATAAGATCTAGTATTTGATGGCACAACAAGATGGCTACAGTCAATGTATTAGTCCGTTTTCACTGTTGATAAAGACATAGCCGAGACTGGGCAATTTACAAAAGAAAGAGGTTTAATGGACTTACAGTTCCGCGTGGGTGGGGAGGCCTCACAATCATGGCAGAAGATGAAAGGCACATCTCACATGGTGGCAGACAAGAGAAGACAGCTTGTGCAGGGAAATTCCCCTTTTTAAAACCACCAGATCTCATGAGACTTATTCACTATCACGAGAACAGCACAGGAAACACCTGCCCCCATGATTCAATTACCTCCCACTGGGTCCCTCCCACAGCATGTGGGAATTCAAGATGAGATTTAAGTGGGGACACAGCCAAACCATATTAGTCAATGAAAATTTATTGTACATTATTAAATAACTGAAAGAATAGATGTCTGTAACACAAAGGAAGGATAAATGTTTGAGATGATGGATACCTCATTTAACCCGATGTGGTTATTACACATTGTATGCCTGTATCAAAATATTTAATGTGCCCCATAAACATATACACCTACTATGTACCCACAAAAATTAAAAATTAAAATTAGGCTGGACACGGTGGCTCACGCCTGTAATCCCAGCACTTTGGGAGGCCCAGGTGGGGTTATCACTTGAGGTCAGGAGGTCAAGACCAGCCTGGCCAACATAGTGAAACCTTGTCTCTACTAAAAAGACAAAAGTTAACCAGGAGTGGTGGCATGCACCTGTAATCCCAGCTACTTGGGAAGCTGAGACATGAGAGTCACTTGAACCCAGGAGGCAGAGGTTACAGTGAGCCAAGATCGTACTACTGCACTCCAGCCTGGGTGACAGTGAGACTTCATCTTCAAAAAATAATAATAATAATAGGCTGGGTGCTATTGCTCACGCCTGTAGTCCCAGCACTTTGGGAGGCTGAGGCGGGCAGATCACGAGGTCAGGAGATCAAGACCATCCTGGCTAACACAGTGAAACCCTGTCTCTACTAAAAATACAAAAAAATTAGCCGGGCATGGTGGCAGGCATCTGTAGTCCCAGCTACTTGGGAGGCTGAGGCAGGAGAATGGCATGAACCCAGGAGGCAGAGCTTGCAGTGAGCCGAGATCGCGCCACTGCACTCCAGCCTGGGCGACAGAGTGAGACTCCATCTCAAAAATAATAATAATAATAATAATAAAATAAATTAAATTAAATAATTGCAAGGTGTGGGGAGTTTTTCTGAAAGGGGGATAAGTGGCAAGAGATACACTCTAGTCTCTCTGGCCTTTGTCAGGTGTGGATGATGTGATGGCCAGAGCTACCGCAGCCATCTTGTGACCACAAGGGAGCCAGCGTGGGGGGAAGCTGCATTCAAAGATTAGCAGTGCAAAAATGCAGAAAGATCCTGCATTTTTCAGGATCCTGGTAATAAACAGAGGATCCACTCAAACTGGATTATTAGAAGAATTCAATAAGGGGGCTATTTACAAAAGTGCAGGCAGAGCATAGAGAAACTAACCCAGGATAGTGTAGTACCAATGGACTAGTAACGGAGGGGAGCCCTCACCACCTTGGGCCTGAAGGAGCAAGGGGCAGGAACCCAGAGAGACACTATAAGGAGAGGAGAGCTGCCTAGCAGGTGTCTTCACAGACAGGGTCTGGAGGGGAACAACCCCAAACTCATTCTTCTCCTACCCGCCCATCTTATGCCAGTGCCTTCCATTGGCTGAACCCAACAAGAAGCCAGTGGGCGGGGAGCCCATGGACAATATGCAGAGGTCATCCTCCCAGAACACAGAGACTCGCAGAGTGATCTAGAGGACAAAGGATTTTCAGCACTACCCGGGCCTGCAATTATCTTTTTCATCTGTTTGCCTGCATATTGGCGGTCTCCTCCCTGAAGGCAGGAACTGCCTTACTGCTGTAAGTTTCCTCCTAGAACAGCGGATGGCTGCACAACTTACGCTCAAAGAATATGGTTGAGCACCCACTATGCAGCAGGCACTGTACTAGAAATCAAATGAAGCCGGGTGTGGTGGCTCACGACTATGATCCCAGCAATTTGGGAGGCTTAGGCAGGAGGATTGCTTGAGCCCAGGAGTTTAAGACTAGCCTGGGCAACATGATGAGACCCTGGATCTACAAGAATTTTTTAAAATTAGCCAGGCATGGTGGTGTGTGCCTGTGGTCCCAGCTATGCAAGAGACTGAAGGGGAGGATTGCTTGAGCCCGGGAGGTCGAGGCTGCAGTGAGCCATGATGGTGCCACTATACGCCAGCCTGGGCAACAGAGCAAGACTCTCCAAAAAAAAAAAATCAAATGAATAAAACATAGCGTGCCTCAGTTGTTCACAAGCTGGAGAGGGAGAGTAAAACCAAAGCAATATGGCATCTTGGTGTCATACCAGGAGAGAGACATGCCCAAGGAAGGAGGCTCTGACCAGAGTAGGGCCTGGAGGAGGTGGGCCTGGTACCAAGTGTTGAAGGACTTGTTTTAATGGAGAGGTGAGGATGCTTTGTCATTAATGCATCATAATATTGCAGTATGAGTAAGTATCTCTAACCCAAAAGCAATGCATTTCCTTGAGGGTGTTTGTTGAATGGGGAAGAAGTGGTTGGAAGGAAGGTTGGGTGTTCCAAACAGAGGGAACATCATGTGTGCATGCAGAAAGACAGAAAACTAGAGAAATTGTCCCCACTGGCTGGTGGGAAAATTGTGTGAGGAGGAAGGGATGGGAAATGAGGTGAGAGAAGAGTAGGAACTGGCTCACATGTTGAGCTGAGGAGTTCAAGCTTTATTCTGAATGCCTGAAGAAATTGATAAGGGATTTTGATTAGAGATCTGACATGCTCAGATTTGCAACTTCAGAGACTTCACTTGAGTGGCAGCGTGGAGTGTGTGGATTGGAAGGATGAGGGAGCAGGAAGCCTTAGAGCTTTGTGTGGCTACTTAAATTTAAAATTAGGCCAGGCGCAGTGGCTCACACCTGTAATCCCAACACTTTGGAAGACCAAGATGGGCTTGTTGCTTGAGCCCAAGAGTTCGAGACCAGCCTGGGCAACATGGTGAAACTCCATCTCTACAAAAAAATACAAAAAATTAGCTGGATGTGGTGGCATGCATCTGTATTCCCAGCTATTTGGGAGGCTGAGATGGGAGAATCACCTGAGCCCATGAGGTCAAGGTTGCAGTGAGCCAAGGCTGTGCCACTGTACTCCAGCCTGAGCAACAGAGTGAGACCCTTTTTTAAAAACAAAACGAAAAAACTAGTATTCACCTCACAGGGTGGCTATAAAGCTAAAACAAGGATGGTTCGTGTTAACCATGTAGCACAGAGCTTGGGGCATAGTAGGTGCTCAATAAATCTTAATGCATTATTCCTTGCAATTTCCATAAAACCAATGCAGGAAATGCCCCCAAGCAGAGTCTTCCTAAAGTTCTTGGGCAGGTGAGCATTCTTACTTGTGAACACTAATTGATTCAATAAATGTTTTTCTGAATAGGTGTTCCTCAGTAACTGTGGGGAATTGGTTCCAGGACCTCCCCACTAGCCATGGATACCAAAATCTATGGATGCCAAAGTCCCTGATATACAATGGCATAAAATTTGCATATAATCTTTGCATAGTATTTGCATATAATCTATACTTTAAATCATCTCCAGATTACTTGTAGTATCTAATACAACATAAGTGCTATATACAGAGTTGTTGGCCGGGCGCAGTGGCTCATGCCTGTAATCCCAGCACTTTGGGACACCAAGGCAGGAAGATCACCTGAGGTCGGGAGTTTAAGACCAGCCTGAGCAACATGGAGAAACCCCATCTTTACTAAAAATACAAAATTAGCCGGGCATGGTGGCGCATGCCTGTAATCCCAGCTACTAGGGAGACTGAGGTAGGAGAATTGCTTGAACCCGGGAGGCGGAGGTTGCAGTGAGCCAAGACTGTGCCATTGCACTCCAGCCTTGGAAACAAGAGCAAGACTCCATCTCAAAAAAAAAAAAAAAAAAGATTTGTTAGTTATACTATATTATTTAGGGAATAATGGCAAGAAAAGTAAGTTTGTACATGTTCAGTACCGATGCAACCATCCATCTTTTTTCCGAATATTTTCCATCTGTGGTTGGTTGAATCCATGGAACCTACAGATACGAGGGCCAACTGTGTGGCTGCATGCCAGCCCCTGCGTTGGAGACTAGAGATAGGAAGAAAGGCAGAAGCTGCCTTGACCTTCAAGGAGCTCAAAGTCCAGAGGGGCAACGGTGTTACGGATGCTGCTAAGGAGGGCAGTATGGAGGCTGTGGGAACTTAACTGCGGGGGAGCTGAGACTCAGACAGTGTGGTGACAGCTGAGCAGGGTATAAAATGATGAGCCAAAGTGGCCGGGGAATGCAGGGTGGGGAGAAGGTTTCAAGCAAAGGGATCAGCTTTGGAGAAAGACAGTAAAGGTGGGGGCAAGGGTGACATGGGGGGCAACAGAGCCAGAGAGTGAACAGAAACTGCTGCTGAAGCCTTTGGGTGCTAAGCAAAAGAGTTGGTTTTATCCTGAAATCTCTGGGGAATATTGAAGCACTTTTAAAAGGGAAGTAGTCAACATACCTCCAGAGTGGCTCAAATGAAAAAGATCAAAAATATCCAGTGGTGGCCAGGTGTGGTGGCTCATGCCTATAATCCCAGCACTTTGGGAGGCTGAAGTAGGTGGATCATCTGAGGTCAGGAGTTCAAGACCAGCCTGGCCAACATGGTGAAACTCTGTCCCTCCTAAAGATACAAAAATTAGCTGGGCATGGTGGTGGGTGCCTGTAATCCCAGCTACTCGGAAGGCTGAGGCAGGAGAATCATTTGAACTTGGGAGGCGGAGGCTGCAGTGAGCAGAGATTGTGCCACTGCACTCCAGACTGGGTGACAGAGCGAGACTCCATCAGAAAGAAAGAGAGAGAGAGAGAGAAAGAAAGAAAGAAAGAAAGAAAGAAAGAAAGAAAGAAAGAAAGAAAGAAAGAAAGAAAAAAAGAAGGAAAGAAAGAAAGAAAGAGGGAGGGAGGGAGGAAGGGAGGGAAGGAGGGAAGGAAGGAAGGAAGGAAGGAAGGAAGGAAGGAAGGAAGGAAGGAAGGAAGAAAGAAAGAAAATATCCAGTGGTGGTGAGGATGAGAAGCAGCTGGAGCCTCATACACACCGGGTGGGGGTATAAACTGGTTCAACTGCTTAGGAAAGTTGGAGTTTTTGTTTGTTTGTTTGTTTGTTTGTTTGTGAGACAGGGTCTCACTCTGTCACCCAGGTTGGAGTGCAGTGGCACTATCTCGGCTCACTGCAACCTCCTCCGCCTCCCGAATTCAAACGATTCTTGTGTGTCAACCTCTCGAGTAGCTGGGACTACAGGTGCACACCACCACACCCAGCTAATTTTTGTATTTTTAGTAGAGACAACGTTTTGCCATGTTTGCCTGGCTGGTCTCAAACTCCTGAGCTCAAGCGATCTGCCTGCCTTGGCCTCCCAAAGTGCTGGGATTACAGGTGTGAACCATTGCACCCAGCCAGGAAAGTTGTTTGGTAGAATATATTACTGCTGGACATTCACCTATCCTATGAACTAGCAATTCCAGCCTGAGCAGCAAACATGCATTCAAAAGCAGGTTCGAGAATGCTCCTGGATGGGCACGGTGGCTCACGCCGGTAATCCCAGCACTTTGGGAGGCCAAGGAGGACAGATCACCTGAGTTGGGAGTTTGAGACCAGCCTGACCAACATGGAGAAACCCCATCTCTACTAAAAATACAAAATTAGCTGGGCATGGTAGCCTGTAATCTCAGCTACTCAGGAGGCTTAGGCAAGAGAATCGCTTGAACCGGGAAGGCAGATGTGGTGAGCCGAGATCACGCCATCGCACTCCAGCCTGGGCAACAAGAGCTAAACTCTGTCTCAAAAGAAAAAAAAAAGATGCTCCTGACAGCAGGGCTCATCTTAGCCCAACAGAGGAAGCAACCGAAGTATCAATCAACAGTTGAATGAATGAATAAGGTGTTGGGTATTCATATTATAATGGAATACCGTGCAGCAATGAGAATGAACTATAACTATGCCCAACATCATGAATGAGTCTCATAAAAAAAGAATGTTAAGTAACAGAAACCAGAAACCAGACACAAGATTATATACCGCCCACTGAAATGTATACTTAAAATGGTTAAAATGGTAAATTAAAATTTTTTTTAAAATAGAGATGGGGTCTCACTATGTTGCCCAGGCTGGTCTTGAACTCCTGGGCTTAAGCGATCCTCCCACCTCAGCCTCCCAAGTGCTAGGGTTACAGGTGTGAGCCACCATGCCTGGCCCTATAGTGTTAAATGTTATGTTATGTATATTATTTCACCACAACCAAAAAAGTGTAGGTGGGGGACCATAGAACTGTACAACACAAAGTGCATCTTAATTTAAACTATGGTCGTCGGTTAATAATAATGTATCAGAGGCTGGGCGTGGTGGCTCACACCTGTAATCTCAACACTTTGGGAGGCCGAGGTGGGCAGATCACCTGAGGTCAGGAGTTTGAGACCAACCTGGCCAACACAGTGAAACCCCGTCTATACTAAAAATACAAAAATTAGCCGAGCATGGTGGTGTGTGCCTGTAATCCTAGCTACTCAGGAGGCTGAGGCACCAGAATCGCTTGAATCTGGGAGGAAGAGGTTGCAGTGAGCTGAGATTGTACCACCGCACTTCAGCCTGGGCAACAGAACAAAACTTTGTCTCTCTTTATTTTATTTTATTATTTTTTTTGAGACGAGTCTTGCTCTATGGCGCAGGCTGGAGTGCAGTGGCGCGATCTTGGCTCACTGCAACCTCCACCTCTGGGGTTCAAAGGATTCTCCTGCCTCAGCCTCCTGAGTAGCTGGGACTACAGGCATGCGCCACCATGGTCGGCTAATTTTTTTGTATTTTTAGTAGAGATGGGGTTTTATCATGTTGGCCAGGCTGGTCCAGAACTCCTGACCTCAAGTGATCCGCCCACATCAGCCTCCCAAAGTGCTGAGATTACAGATGTGAGCCTCCACACCAGGCCTGAGACTCTGTCTCAAAACAACAACAACAACAACCAGAATGTATCAATATTCATCCACGAATTGTAACAAATATATTACACCACTGCAAGATGTTAATAATAGGGGAAACTGCAGAGTGGGGGTGGTAAATGGCCACTTTTACCTCCCTCATCATACTTTCCACTCAATTTTTCTGTGAACCAAAGACTGCTCTAAAAAAATCTATTAGCTTTTTAAAATTCCTTGGCTCCCCTCCAAAAAGTGTACATATGACATGATCTCATTTATGTAAAATACAACAAGCAAAACAAATCCATGCAATAGATGTTGGGGTCATGGGTACCCTTGAGAAAGGAACACAACGGGACTTCTTGGATGCTTATGATGTCTCTTGATTAGAGCTGGTTATATGTGTGTTTGTTAAGTTTGCAAAAATTCATCAAGCTACACATGATCGAGCTATACATGACATATGCACTTTTCCATTTATTTATTTATTTTTGAGACAGAATCTTGCTCTGTCACCCAGGCTGGAGTGCAGTGGTGCGATCTTGGCTCACCGCAACCTCCGCCTCTCGGATTCAAGCAATTGTCATGCCCCAGCTTCCCGAGTAGCTGGAATTACAGGTGTGCACCATCACGCCCAGCTAATTTTTTTTTGTATTTTTAGTAGAGATGAGGTTTCACTATGTTGGCCAGGCTGGTCTTGAACTCCTGGCCTCACTCAAGTGATCCTCCCACCTCGGCCTCCCAAAGTGCTAGAATTACAGGTGTGAGTCACCGGTCCCAGCTGACATATGCACTTTTCTATATTGTATCCTGTAATTTAATTTTTTTAAGTTTTAAGAAAACATTAAAAATAAAAAGATAAATAGTCTGTCATACAGGAGAATTTCAAATAGTTTATGGAGATAATCCCCCCTCAAGGAGAAGGAGCGTAATCCCCCACTCCTTCGGTGTGGGCTGTGCATAGTGACTTCCTTCCAAAAGGTACAGTATGGAAAGGTGGGAAAGGAGTAACTTTACAGTGAAGAGACCTGACACGCACTACCTTAGCCAGGTGATCAAGGTCAACATCCACATCTGTAAGTCACATTGATAGGATGTAACCCTGATATGATGTGACGAGAATGGCACCTAACCTCCAAGGTCTTCCCACCAACAAACCATAACCCCAGGCTTACCATGAGAAGAAAAACATCAGGCACATTCCAATAGTGGGCATCCTACAAAATGTCCAACCAGTACTCCTGAAAATTGTCAAGGTCATCAAAAACAAGGATATCCTGAGAAACTGTCACAGCCAAGAGGAATCCAAAGAGACGTGATGACTAAATGTCATGTGATATCCAATGGGTCCTGGAACAGGAAAAGGACATTAGGTAAAACGCAAGGAAATCTAAGTAAACCATGAACTTTAGTTAATTAGAGAGACAGACAGACAGAGAGAAAGAAAGAGTCCATTTTCTATAAAACCGAGCCTAACCTCAAACCTTGACCTTTTTCATTGAGTCATCTGAACCCAATGGAGATATAGACAGGAAACAACTTTCCTCTTCTCCCATTCATGGCCTTCAAACATGCTCTGTTTCTCTATTGGATTCCCCATCCATCTGCCTTGGCATCTTCACAGGTTGATCCCACAGTTTTCTCATTTTCAGGAATAAAAGCCCACTCCAGTCTAAATCAAAACTTCCCTCTCACATCCATGCCGGGCACAGTGGCTCACACCTGTAATCCCAGCAGTTTGGGAGGCCAAGGCAGAAGGATTGCTTGGGCCCAGAAGTTCAAGACCAACCTGGGCAACATGGCAAGACCTCCTCTCTACAAAAAAATGTTTAAAAATAAAAAAATTAGCCAGGCATGGTGCACACACCTGTGATTGTGGTCCCAGCTACTCAGGAGGCTGAGGCAAGAGGATTGTTTGAGCTCAGGAGGTCGAGGCTGCAGTGAGCCATGATTGTGGCACATGAACCCCAACCTGGGTGACAGAGCAAGACTCTGTATCTAAAAAAAAAAAAAAAAGATAGCAAACTTCCTTTTCACATCCAATTTAAGGCTTGTCCTCCTCCTCCTCTTAGATCTGACTGAGATCTGGGTCCATATTAAAGACTCCTTTAGTACAACAAACACCATATATCCTCACGTAAGTCCATGAATATCTGACATTTCTCATATCTACTTTCTCTCGATTTATTGATAGATAGGTATACATTGTTTTAATTTTATGGGTACATAGTAGGTGTATATATGTATGGGGTACATGAAATGTTTTGATACAGGCATGCAATATGAAATAAGCATTCATGGAGAATGGAGTATCCATCCCCTCAAGCAAGGATAAACCTTTGAGTTACAAACAATCCAATTACACTCTTTAAAGGTGTACATTTTTTTTTTTTTTGAGACGGAGTCTCACTCTGTCGCCCAGGCTGGAGTGGAGTGGCACGATCTTGGCTCACTGCAGCCTCCACCTCCCAAGTTCAAGCCATTCTCCTGCCTCAGCCTCCCGAGTAGCTGGGATCACAGGCACATGCCACCATGCCTGGCTAATTTTTGTATTTTTAGTAGAGACGGAGTTTCACCAGGTTGGCCAGGCTGGTCTTGAACACCTGATCTCAGGTGATCCGCCCATCTCGGCCTCTCAAAGTGCTGGGATTACAGGTGCGAGCCATCGCGCCTGGCCTAGAGGTGTACATTTTTTAACAGAACCATTCAAAAGGAGGTTGTGGGGATCATGACACTTCCATGCTACAGCATTAATCTCCTAAGAATAAGGATACACTCCCACATACCATGACACTCTGTTCACACCTAAAAAAATTTACATTTATTCCAGAATATCATCTAATCTCCAGTCCGTGCTTACATGTCCCCAATTGTCCCCAAAACATCTTTTATAGATTTTTTTAAAATTTTGTTTAAATGCCATATCCAATCGATATGGCAATCAAATGCAAATCCATATTGCATTTGGTTATGTCTCTTAGTCTTTTTGCATAAGGGGGGCCTCTCTTTAGGATGCAAAATCTTTATCATCTCTTCTTTTCCACTTGGGGACTTGGGCTGAAAATCAGGAGTGGCTGGAACACGCCCATTTACTGTTTGGTTTTGCAGGTTGTTGGAGGGTACTACAGAAGAACATCCCTCTGGAGAGGGGCCGTGAGCCTGGTTGGCCTAGACTGAGTGCCCTGGCAGAGCTCTTCCTCATGTGTGCAGTGGGAAAGAAGCCCAGATCAGTCCAAAGGCCTAACCCCCACTCCCAGACCCTACCCTACTCTTCAGAGAAATAGGCTCCCTACCCTGAACCCTAAAGACAGCTGTACCTTCATCCCCAGGGACCCAGCACCCCTTCTGGCCTATCCCCAAAGAGTCACCCTGGGTCTTAGGTAGTAGGTGGAGCTGAGGGATAATGGCCCAAGGCCAAGAGTTGATCCTTCCAACTTTGTTCAGTGATCCAGCTTTCATATCAGGTGATCAGGACAACCAGGCCAATCTGATAGGGGGCGGTGTTTATAAAAAGGCCACTCACCTAGAGCCAGAAGCTCCACACCAGCCATTACAACCCTGCCAATCTCAAGCACCTGCCTCTACAGGTACCTTTCTTGGGACCAATTTACAATCTCTGGGATCCCCAACTATAGAACCTGGAAGCTAGTGGGGACAGAAAGACGGGGAGCCTGGGCTAGGTGTAGGGGTCCTGAGTTCCGGGCTTTGCTACCCAGCTCTTGACTTCTGTTTCCCGATTTTAAATGAGCAGTTTGGACTAAGCCATTTTTAAGGAGAGCGATGGGGAGGGCTTCCCCCTTAGCACAAGGGCAGCCCTGGCCCTGGCTGAAGCCCAACCCCAACCTCCAAGACTGTGAGAGGATGGGGACTCATCCCTGGAGGAGGTGCCCCTCCTGGTATTGATAAAGAATGCCCTGGGGAGGGGGCATCACAGGCTATTTGAACCAGCCCTGGGACCTTGGCCACCTCAGTGTCACTGGGTAGGGGGAACTCCTGGTCCCTTGGGTATATGGAAGGTATCAGCAGAAAGCCAGCACTGGCAGGGACTCTTTGGTACAATACCCAGCATGCATGCTGTGCCAGGGGCTGACAAGGGTGCTGTCCTTGGCTTCCCCATTTTGGAGTGGTCACTTGCCTCTACTCCAGCCCCAGAAGTGGAAACTGAGATGATGTGTGGAGGAGAGAGCCAGCGTTCATGTTGGGAATCTTGAGGCTCCTTTCCAGCTCTCAGATTCTGTGATGCTCAAAGGGTGAGCTCTGTGGGCCCAGGACGCATGGTAGATGGAGCTTAGTCTTTCTGGTATCCAGCTGGGAGCCAAGCACAGAACACGCATCAGTGTTTATCAAATGACTGAGGAAATGAATGAATGAATGTCTCCATCTCAACCCTCAGCCTGGTCCCTCCTTTTTTCCCTGCAGTTGGTACAGATGGCATTGTCCCAGTCTGTTCCCTTCTCGGCCACAGAGCTTCTCCTGGCCTCTGCCATCTTCTGCCTGGTATTCTGGGTGCTCAAGGGTTTGAGGCCTCGGGTCCCCAAAGGCCTGAAAAGTCCACCAGAGCCATGGGGCTGGCCCTTGCTCGGGCATGTGCTGACCCTGGGGAAGAACCCGCACCTGGCACTGTCAAGGATGAGCCAGCGCTACGGGGACGTCCTGCAGATCCGCATTGGCTCCACGCCCGTGCTGGTGCTGAGCCGCCTGGACACCATCCGGCAGGCCCTGGTGCGGCAGGGCGACGATTTCAAGGGCCGGCCTGACCTCTACACCTCCACCCTCATCACTGATGGCCAGAGCTTGACCTTCAGCACAGACTCTGGACCGGTGTGGGCTGCCCGCCGGCGCCTGGCCCAGAATGCCCTCAACACCTTCTCCATCGCCTCTGACCCAGCTTCCTCATCCTCCTGCTACCTGGAGGAGCATGTGAGCAAGGAGGCTAAGGCCCTGATCAGCAGGTTGCAGGAGCTGATGGCAGGGCCTGGGCACTTCGACCCTTACAATCAGGTGGTGGTGTCAGTGGCCAACGTCATTGGTGCCATGTGCTTCGGACAGCACTTCCCTGAGAGTAGCGATGAGATGCTCAGCCTCGTGAAGAACACTCATGAGTTCGTGGAGACTGCCTCCTCCGGGAACCCCCTGGACTTCTTCCCCATCCTTCGCTACCTGCCTAACCCTGCCCTGCAGAGGTTCAAGGCCTTCAACCAGAGGTTCCTGTGGTTCCTGCAGAAAACAGTCCAGGAGCACTATCAGGACTTTGACAAGGTGAGCCCGGGGTGCAGGTGGCAAGGGGCACCTTGCAGGGCCTGGGTGCAGCCCCTCCCTCCCAGCTCCAGCATGCCCACACAGCTGCTGTGTTGCCAAGGCCTAGGAAGGCTCTGGACACCTCAGACCAGCTGTGTGACCTGGAGCCGACTCTTCCCCTTCTCTGGGCCTCAGTTTCCTCATCCTTGAAGCCCCCTTCTCAGGGCTCCTCAAAGCCCCCAAGAAAAAAGCCCTGGAAATGGGGCCCTAGCAGAGTCCTGCAATGTGGGGGGCCTATGAGTGAGAAAGCTTTCATTCTGCAGAAACCTAAACCCCAACAGAGGCTAATCCCCAGCTCTGGTGTCACGTTGCTTCCCTGTGTTCACACTAACCTTTTCCTTCTTTGAAATTGGACCCCTGGTGTTATTGGGAGGAAGGGTCAATGGGGCATAAAATGACACTTTAAGCCATACCCAGGGCTGCTACCAGCTCCTGCTGCAAGCTGCAACCCCCTGCCTAGAGACCAAGTTGGGAGGATAGGGGGGTACCCAGCCACCAGGTACAGGCCAGGGGAGTGGAGCAACGTTCAGCCTTTGACCTTGGAAGTGCCAGAGGTGCCCCTAAGCTTGTGCCCCCTCAGAACAGTGTCCGGGACATCACGGGTGCCCTGTTCAAGCACAGCAAGAAGGGGCCTAGAGCCAGCGGCAACCTCATCCCACAGGAGAAGATTGTCAACCTTGTCAATGACATCTTTGGAGCAGGTAGGAACCAGAACCTTGCCCCTCCATCCAACAATGCCTGCTGTTCACCCACAGCCTTGCCCAGCCCCTCAGTCCATGAAATAACCCACCAACCCTACACCAGATGGTACAACATACTGAGATCTGGCTTGGGATCAGGGTTTGAGCCTGGGCTATGCCACCAATTCCCAGTGGAGAAACAGCAAAGTCCTTCTCCTCCCCTAGGCTTCAGTTTCCCCATCTGAACAATAAGGTGTTCTCTGGCCTGTAAGTCTAGGCCCCTATAATTCCAGCAGCTAATTCTGAAACCTGTATCTCAAGTTTATGTTGAAGAGACCCAGCCTCTGTCTTCAGGAAACTCACAGGCTAGGGCCAGAGAAAGCTAATGCTGGATACATACATAGCAGATACTTGGGAAATGATGGTTTCCTTGTTTCTGTCTTCCTTCTTTCCTCACCTTACACTACACGGTTCAGGATTTGACACAGTCACCACAGCCATCTCCTGGAGCCTCATGTACCTTGTGACCAAGCCTGAGATACAGAGGAAGATCCAGAAGGAGCTGGGTACATGGGGGCCCCCAACCCTATAGCCAGGAGAAGCCTTGAGACCCAGGTTGTTTGTTCAGTCTACAAACACCTGTTATGTGCCTGCTGTGTGCAAGCCCTGGGCACACAGTAGTGCCTGCCCTTGCCTAGAAGATGTGGGAGGTTAGTGGGGTCGCAGACTTGTGAATAGACAGTCTTACATAAGAGTGACATGGGGTATAAGAGGGGATAATTCATGGGGCAGTTAGGGCAGCCCCTGAGCTCTGCTTGTCCTCTGTGTTCTACAGACACTGTGATTGGCAGGGAGCGGCGGCCCCGGCTCTCTGACAGACCCCAGCTGCCCTACTTGGAGGCCTTCATCCTGGAGACCTTCCGACACTCCTCCTTCTTGCCCTTCACCATCCCCCACAGGTGAGGCCTGCCGGTTCTGCCCTCCCACCTCTAAAGTGCTTGCCATGTTTTCTCTTCCTGGCTTCTCAGCCCTGGCCCTGGCTCAGCATCTCCTTCCCGACCTCGTTCCCCACAGATCCCGGCCTCAGTCTGCCCCCATCCAGTCCAAACATAATCTAACCCCCAGCTCTCAGGAGAAAGTTCCACTTGTGATCTCAGCGCTCATTCCCCTCTGTTCATATTCCCTCCCTCCCAGTGCCCTCTGTGCCAGTCAGGTCGGCCTCACCCTCACAAGCATGACCCTATTGGCCTCCAATCTTGCTAACGCTGAACCTTCTGCCTGGAATACCTTCTAGCCTCTTCTCTGACCACCAGAATCCTACCCTTGCTCAAAGTCAATGCCGACACGAGCTTCCTCTCCCCAGAAGCCTTTTGACTCATCCAGCTGGCACAGCTTCATTCCTGATGTCTTATAGGACTTACAGCCATCAGCCCTTGATCATGCCCTGGAATTTTAACAATGTCAAGAGAGTTAGTGAGCATTTACTTCTACCCAAACGTTGTTCTAGTTATTCCTGCAGTAAGAGGCCTGAATCCCCAGCCAGGCTAGAAATTCCCCGGGGCTGCCCCAGGCTGCCTGCTGCTTTTTTTTTTTTTTTTTTTTTTTTCATAGAAAATAGAAAAACATTTATCTGAAATTGCCTGCTTCTTGGCTCCAGAGAACAGCCAAGTGCGCAGCCAGGCGCAAAGAGAAGTTTAGTAAATACTTGCTGAAGTTAAAGAACAGGACGCAAGGAAGAGGGAGGATGTTTCTACCTCTTCCCTGTTCCTCCCCTCCCCTCCCAGTGTAGGGATGGAGATGGCGGTGGGCAGGCTGTCTGGATGGGGTGGAGGTAGGAGCAACACATGCCCCAGCTTTCCAGCCCTGAGCCTCACAGTGCCCTCTTCCCTCCTCAGCACAACAAGGGACACAACGCTGAATGGCTTCTACATCCCCAAGAAATGCTGTGTCTTCGTAAACCAGTGGCAGGTCAACCATGACCCGTGAGTACATACCCCTCACGAAAAAATGTGTGCAGGTTCAGCAGTCAGGAAGGCTGTTTGTCCCTGCTAGGAACTGTTTATATAATGAAAGGAGGGGACCTCAATTGCTATAGTCTGCTCTAAGTGACGATATTTACAAAAGTTTCACAAACTTTAGTGCACAGGAATCAACTAGGATGGCCAGGCGCAGTGGCTCAAGCCTATAATCCCAGCAGTTTGGGAGGCCGAGGCAGGCAGATCACTTGAGGTCAGGAGTTTGAGACCAGCCTGGGCAACATGGTGAAACCCTATCTCTACTAAAAATACAAAACAAAAATTAGCCGGACATGGTGGTGCGCCTATAATCCCAGCTACTCCAGAGGCTGAGGCAGGAGAATTGCTTGAACTCTGGAGGTAGAGGCTGCAGTGAGCCGAGATCGCTCCACTGCACTCCAGCCTGGGTGACGGAGTGAGACTCTGCCTCAAAAAAAAAAAAAAAAAATCAACCAAGACGTTTGTTACAGGTGATGGTTCCCCCAGGATTCTACTGTGGTATCTAAGGTGGGGTACCTCAGGCGATTCTGATGTGAATGGCTCAGAGACCTCTCTTTGGAAAGCCCCACTTTAGTGTATAGGTAGGGGGACCATATATATAATTTACCATCCACACTGGGACATTTGAGTGTGAAAATGCTATCAATGTTTATGCTAGTCATCATTACTCCAAAACAATAAACATAAGCCAGGACATACTGTTGAGGCCCCTTAGGAGGCATATTTTGAGTAGGATGAAGAAACGTATGTCTTTCTTTCTTCCTTTCACTTTAATTTTTAAATAGAGACAAGGTCTTCCTATGTGGTCCAGGCTGGTTTTGAACTCCTGGGTTCAAGGGATCTTCCTGCCTCAGCCTCCCAAAGTGCTAGGGTTACGGGTGTAAGCCACCAAACCCAGCCTGTTTTTCTTCTTTTAATTTCTTTTAGATAAAGCATTATTTAAAGTAAATTAATATTAAAAGGCACTATCTTTAAGGCTGGTCATTTTAGAGAGAGCTTTGTAAAAGAAATAAGCATCAGGCCAGGTGTGGTGACTCATGCCTGTAACCCCAGCACTTTGGGAGTCCGAGGAAGGTGGATCGCTTGAGCTCATGAGTCTGAGACCAGTGAAACCCCGTCTCTGCAAAAAAAAAAAAAAAAAAAAATACAAAAATTAGCCGGATATGGTGCCTGTAGTCCCAGCTACACGGGAGGCTCAGGTGGGTGGTTGGCTTGAGCTGGGGAGGCAGAGAGAGTGCAGTGAGCTGAGATCGCACCACTGTACTCCAGCCTGGGTGATAGGAGCCGGAGGGTGTCTCAAAAAAAAAAAAAGAAAGAAAAGAAAAAGAAATAAGCATCAAAGTTCAGTTTGGTTCCTTCCCACCTACCCTTCATTGCTTTCAAAGTGCCCTCACACTTGTGTTCTCAACAGAAGTCTCCCTCCCCCAGGCACCTCCTCCCAGGGCCTCTCCAGCCCTGAGGTCCCATCTCCTCTGTTCCTCTTGCAGAGAGCTGTGGGAGGACCCCTCTGAGTTCCGGCCTGAGCGGTTCCTCACCGCCGATGGCACTGCCATTAACAAGCCCTTGAGTGAGAAGATGATGCTGTTTGGCATGGGCAAGCGCCGGTGTATCGGGGAAGTCCTGGCCAAGTGGGAGATCTTCCTCTTCCTGGCCATCCTGCTACAGCAACTGGAGTTCAGCGTGCCGCCGGGCGTGAAAGTCGACCTGACCCCCATCTACGGGCTGACCATGAAGCACGCCCGCTGTGAACATGTCCAGGCGCGGCTGCGCTTCTCCATCAATTGAAGAAGACACCACCATTCTGAGGCCAGGGAGCGAGTGGGGGCCAGCCACGGGGACTCAGCCCTTGTTTCTCTTCCTTTCTTTTTTTAAAAAATAGCAGCTTTAGCCAAGTGCAGGGCCTGTAATCCCAGCATTTTAGGAGGCCAAGGTTGGAGGATCATTTGAGCCCAGGAATTGGAAAGCAGCCTGGCCAACATAGTGGGACCCTGTCTCTACAAAAAAAAAATTTGCCAAGAGCCTGAGTGACAGAGCAAGACCCCATCTCAAAAAAAAAAACAAACAAACAAAAAAAAAACCATATATATACATATATATATAGCAGCTTTATGGAGATATAATTCTTATGCCATATAATTCACCTTCTTTTTTTTTTTTTGTCTGAGACAGAATCTCAGTCTGTCACCCAGGTTGGAGTGCAGTGGCGTGATCTCAGCTCACTGCAACCTCCACCTCGCAGGTTCAAGCAATCCTCCCACTTCAGCCTCCCAAGCACCTGGGATTACAAGCATGAGTCACTACGCCTGGCTGATTTTTGTAGTTTTAGTGGAGATGGGGTTTCACCATGTTGGCCAGGCTTGTCTCGAACTCCTGACCCCAAGTTATCCACCTGCCTTGGCTTCCCAAAGTCCTGGGATTACAGGTGTGAGCCACCACATCCAGCCTAACTTACATTCTTAAAGTGTCGAATGACTTCTAGTGTAGAATTGTGCAACCATCACCAGAATTAATTTTATTATTCTTATTATTTTTGAGACAGAGTCTTACTCTGTTGCCAGGCTGGAGTGCAGTGGCGCGATCTCAGCTCACTACAACCTCCGCCTCCCATGTTCAAGCGATTCTCCTGCCTCAGCCTCCCGAGTAGCTGGGACTATAGGCATGCGCCACCATGGCCAGCTAATTTTTGTATTTTTAGTAGAGACGAGGTTTCACTGTGTTGGCCAGGATGGTCTCCATCTCTTGACCTCGTGATCCACCCGCCTCAGCCTCCCAAAGTGCTGGGATTAACAGGTATGAACCACCGCGCCCAGCCTTTTTGTTTTTTTTTTTTTTGAGACAGAGTCTTCCTCTGTCTCCTAAGCTGGAGTGCAGTGGCATCATCTCAGCTCACTGCAACCTCTGCCTCCCAGGTTCAAGTGCTTCTCCAGCCTCAGCCTCCCAAGTAGCTGAGACTACAGGCACACACCACCACGCCTGGCTAATTTTTGTATTTTTAGTAGAGACGGGTTTCACCATGTTGGCTAGACTAGTCTCAAACTCCTGACCTCAAGTGATCTGCCCGCCTCGACCTCTCTCAAAGTGCTGGCATTACAGGTGTGAGCCACGGTGCCCGGCCCACAATTAATTTTAGAACATTTTCATCACCCCTAAAAGAAACCCTGCACCCATTAGCAGTCCCTCCACATTTCCCCCTAGCCTGCCTCCCCTGCCTCACCAGCCCTGGCAACTGCTAATCTACTTTCTGTGTCTATGGATTTGCCTTCTCTAAACATTTCATATAAATGGAATTACACAATGAGTGGTCTTTTGTGACTGGCTTCTTTCACTTAGCACAATGTTTTCAAGGCTTATGTGTGTTGTGGTGTGCGTCAGTAAGCTCTTGGTGCTTGAGTCCTGAGACTGGGTCTAGGTCTGTGCTCTCTTAAGTCGTTGATAGGCACCTCCTTCACTCCTCTCCTCTCCTTTCATGTTGTTTGACCCAAGTTTTTTAACAATTGAAGGGAACAAGGAGAAAGGGATCCAGTCTCAGGGGCCAAACCCAGTTGGGTGGATGGGGATCCCTCCTGTCCCATTCTCAAAAGGCAGAACACGTGACTTCTCACAAGGCCTTGATTTCTTCATTCACAGCCCGGGAGGGGATAAGCTTCCCAGAAGTGCTTAGGTTATTTGAAAAAGGCCCAGGTCTCATCAAAGGACACTATCAAGAAATTGAAAGGAGGCCAAGCACAGAGGCTCACGCCTGTAATCCCAGCACTTTGGAACGCCAAGGCAGGCGGATCACTTGAGGTCAGGAGTTTGAGACCAGCCTGGACAACATAGTGAAACCTCATCTCTACTAAATATACAAAAACTAGCTGAATGTAGTGGCTAGCCTCAGCTGCTCAGGAGACTGTAATCTCAGCTGATCAGGAGGCTGTAATCCCAGCTACTCAGGAGGCTGAGGCATGAGAATCACTTGAACTCAGGAGGCAGGGGTTGCAGTGAGCTGAGACCCTGCTGTTGCACTCCAGCCTGGGCTACAGAGTGAGACTCTGTCTCAAAAAAAAAAAAAAAATTGAAAAGACAACCCACAGAATGAGAGAAAATATTTGCAAAACATATAGCTGTTGAAGCATTTATATATAGAATATATAAAGAACTCCTGGCCGGGCACGATGCCTCACCCCTGTAATTCCAGCACTTCGGGAGGCCAAGGCAGGTGGATCATCTGAGGTCAGGAGTTTGAGACCAGCCTGGCCAACATGGTGAAATCCTGTCTCTACTAAAAATACAAAAATTAGCCAGGCATGGTGGCGGGCGACTGTAATCCCAGCTACTCAGGAGGCTGAGGCTGGAAAATCGCTTGAACCCAGGGACAGAGTTTGCAGTCTCACTCTGTCGCCCAGGCTGGAGTGCAGTGGCACCATCTTGGCTTACTGCAGCCTCAACCTCCCAGGCTCAATCGATCCTCCCACCTTGGGACAACATATGCAGGCCACCATGCCTGGCTGATTTTTCTAATTTTTGTAGAGATGGGGTTTTACCATGTTGCCCAAACTGGTCTCGAACTCCTGATCTCAAGTGATCCACCTGCTTCAGCCTCCCAAAGTGCTGGAATTACAGGCATGAGCCACTGCGCCAAGCCAAAAAAATTTTTAAGAGTAAAACCTGGCCAGGCACAGTGGCTCACGCCTGTAATCCTGGCCCTTTGGGAGGCCAAGGCGGGTGGATCACTTGAGGTCAGGAGTTCGAGACCAGCCTGGCCAACATGGTGAAACCTCGTCTCTACTAAAAATACAAAAATTATTCGGGAGTGGTGGCACACACCTGTAATCCCAGCTACTTGGGAGGCTGAGGCAGGAGAATCAAATGAACCCAGGAGATGGAGGTTGCAGTGAGCTGAGATTGCGCCACTCCACTCCAGCCTGGGCAACAGAGGGAGACTCTGTCTCAAAAAAAAAAAAAGGTCGGGGGCGGTGGCTCACACCTGTAATCCCAGCACTTTGAGAGACCGAGGTGGGTGGATCACAAGGTCAGGAGTTCAAGACCAGCTTGGCCAATATGGTGAAACCCCATCTCTACTAAAAATACAAAAAATTAGCCAGGCGTGGTGGCAGGCACCTGTAATCCCAGCTACTCGGGAAGCTGAGGCAGAGAATTGCTTGAACCTGGGAGGCGGAGGTTGCAGTGAGCCGAGATCACGCCACTGCACTCTAGCCTGGCAACAGAGTGAGACTCCAGCTTAGAAAAAAAAACCCATCTCTACTAAAACCACAAAAATTAGCCAGGCATGGTGGCAGGTGCCTGTATTCCCAGCTATTCTGGAGGCTGAGGCAGGAGAATCGCTTGAACACCGGAGGCAGAGTTTGCAGTGAGCCGAGATCACGCCATTGCACTCCAGCCTGGGCGACAAGAGCGAAACTTTGTCCCAAAACAAAAAGCAAAACAAAACAAAAAAAACCTCCCGGCAAGCCGCAAGCAGGCATTGCCATACTTTGCCAATCTAAGAATCAGCAGGGCCCAGCTCCCTGAGGTAATTTCAGGACCGATCTGAGGTGGCTCGATGGTCACCATACAGCCACTGCCCCATCTGGCTCACTGTGGTCTGGAGATGGCTTGAGCTTCTCATGCACACCTGGCCAATCTTTAACTGGTTGGCCTAGAGCTCCCCTCTGGCCAGAGCCAAGGTAGGAGGAATTGGAGACTTCGCCCCGCTGCTTGCCATTCCTGCCTCCCACAGCAGGTACGAGGCAGGTGGGACCAGCCTGTTCTATCTTTTCCTGGTAGGCCCTGGACACGCATCATCTCAGGCTATTCTCACAACAACCACAGGAGATGGGTACTGTTATACCAACTTTAGAGATGAGAAGCCTGAGGCTCAGGAAGCATGAGGAGGGCATGTGTGGTGGAGAGATTCAGGACTGCACCATTTGCCCTATACCACCTCCAGGGTCTCTTCCCTACCTGTGTCTCTCCCTGAGTCAGGATTGTGGGACTGGAACAGGAAGCTTGGAAACACTACATGATCAAGGAACGGCATGGAGAGTTAGAAAGAGCTCTTGGCCAGAGGGCTAGGAGTCCTGCACTCAGGTTCCAAGTGTGGGTGACCTTGGGCCAGTCCCACCCCTCACAGGCCTCGACCCCATCTTCAGCCTTCTGTGAGGTCTTCTCCAGCACCATTAGCCTGAAGTTCAGGCCACTAGCAATGACCCCTGCTCTGCCAGCCTCTTGCTTAATAAGGCTGTGGGCAAATCCAGTGAGTGCCTGGCAAATTTCGAAGTGCAGTGTACCCGGTGAGGGGTGATTTTTGGCAAAGATGGTGGAATGAAAGATGGTAGAATGGTGGGAAAAACCTTGAGCTGGGAATCCCACCTCTGCCTGGTAGGGAAAATTAAGAGACTTCTCTAGACCTCCCCACCTGTTCAGTTCAGATCCCCAACTCCCTTTATGTCAAGCATCTACCACCAACCAGATACCAGATCTTTCGTTTATATCTTAGTACAGGTCTTTCTTGTTTGTTTGTTTTTTGTTGTTTTAAAGAGATGAGGGTCTCCCTCTGTCCCTCAGGCTGGAGTACACTGGCGAATCATAGCTCACTGCGGCCTCAAACTCCTGGGGTTCAAGCAATATCCTCCTGCCTCAGTCTCTCAGTCTCCTGCCACCGTGCCGAGCTAGTTCAGCTTCTTTTTTTTTTTTTTGAGATGGAGTCTTGCTCTGTGGCCCAGGCTGGAGTGCAGTGGCGCAATCTTGGCTCACTGCAAGCTCCACCTCCTGGGTTCATGCCATTCTCCTGCCTCAGCCTCCTCAGTAGCTGGGATTACAGGCGCCCACCACCATGCCCGCCTAATTTTTTTGTATTTTTTAGTAGAGACGGGGTTTCACCGGGGACGGTCTCGATCTCCTGACCTCGTGATCCGCCCGCCTCCCAAAGTGCTGGGATTACAGGCGTGAGCCACCGCGCCCAGCCTAGTTTCAGCTTCTTGAGAGAGGGGTTTGATTGGCTCAGCTCATCTTTTTCAGCCAGGCTACACAGGTCAGAGACCACAGTCAGTCAGTGGTTGGGTCCCCTTGGAGCAATGTTTACCCTGGTAAATAGCCACAGGCAACAGAGTGAGGGTCACAGGGTCTAAGCTACCTCAGCAAGGGATCCCTGCACACAAGTCCTGGAAGAAACAATGGCACAGCGGAAAGCTAGCGGAACACACAAAAGCCTCCATTTGTCACTTTTCTGCTCTGCCCACCTCTCCTCACACCCACACTACAAAGAAAATTATCTTTGCTCTCATCTTTTCCCGTGACTCCCAGGTTGAGACCTCCTAACAACAAATTAGAAATAGCTTTAACACACACCCCATTGCAAACCAGCTTACACTGCTCTAACTAAGGTTGGAACACTGGGTCAGGTGGTCTTGCCTGGCTCTTTTTTCCCTAAGGGTGACCTCCCTCCCAGGATTCCACTCAGTCCCTATGCAAATGAACTCAGTCACTGGGGTCTCCCTCACCCAGATCTGCCCAGATAAATCTCAGCCTCTCTCTCTCTTTTTTTTTTTTAGGTGGAGTCTTGCTCTGTCGCCCAGGCTGGAGTGCAGTGGTGCGATCTCGGCTCACTGAAACCTCCGCCTCCTGGATTCAAGAAATTCTCCTGCCTCAGCCTCCCAAGTAGCTGGGACGACAGGCATGTGCCACCATGCCCAGCCAATTTTTTTTTTTTTGAGATGGAGTCGCGCTCTGTCGCCCAGGCTGGAGTGCAGTGGTGCGATCTCAGCTCACTGCAAGCTCTGCCTCCTGGGTTCACACCATTCTCCTGCGTCAGCCTCCTGAGTAGCTGGGACTACAGGCGCCCGCCACCACACCTGGCTAATTTTTTGTATTTTTAGTAGAGACGGGATTTCACCGTGTTAGCCAGGATGGTCTCGATCTCCTGACCTCGTGATCCGCCTGCCTCGGCCTCCCAAAGTGCTGGGATTACAGGCGTGAGCCACCGTGCCCGGCCAATTTTTGTATTTTTATTAGAGTATGGGATTTTACCATGTTGTCCAGGCTGGTCTCGAACTCCTGATCTCAGGTGATCCACCCACCTCGGTCTCCCCAAGTGCTGCAATTATAGGCATGAGCCACCATGCCCAGCCAAATCTCAGTCTTAAAGTAACTTGCCCCCCAAGGAAGGATTTTCCAGTTGACAAAGGAATCTGAGGAGGGTGCAGACTCTCTGAAAGAATGGTAGTGAGTATACCATCTGGGTGGGGGAACCAAGCAGAGGCTGACTAGACCAGGGTTTATGCAGTTCAGCGTCAGTCCATGAGCTTGCCCTATATCTTATCCCTATCACTGGCTCCTGTCCCTGAGAGGGGACTGCCACCAGAGGTAGCCATACCCTGAGCCAAGCTCCCCATTCTTTAGTGATCCCCCTCAAAATTAGTTCTGAGACCCTGCATTCTGTCCACCCCTCTGCCATGACATAACACCAGGTTCACTAGAGTCCTCTGGAGTACAGCTGCGATGGAGCCTCTCAGGCAGTGCAATGGGGCGGAGGGGGGCACTTTTGGGCAAGGAGCCTGCCCGATGCCCATCACCCTGCACTAATAAGGGAAGCAGACTCTGCTCTGCATTGAGGGACCTGCACTCTCCCTGTGGGCCCTGCAGCCCAGCGGGTTTTTCTGGGTTTAAGATAACATAGTGGCATAGGTGATACTCAATAGGTTCCCCCAGGCCTTCACCTCTGTATTTACCCCTCCACCCCAGGCCAGTATTAAGATAATTACAGGGCTTGGGAAAGGGAAAAGAGATGAGACCAGAGGCTGGCTCACAGATCCAGAAGAAAATCCCAGCTCACCCACTAACCTTGGGCCTGTGACATAAACTTTCTGAGTCTAGACTTTCTCATCTCGCAACTGGGGATGATAATCTTATCTTACAGGTTGGGTGGGAGGTTTAATGAGATAATGTGTGTAAAGTGCCAAATTACAGGTCAGGGTACAACACACACACACACACACACACACACACACACACACACACACACACCAGAAATCCTGAGAAAGGTGGACTCAGGGCAAGATGGACCCCCGACACACGTGTGGCATGTGCAGCTGTGCACACACCAGGCCCACACGTGAGCCAGCATTTCCCCAAACCCTGCGCTCTCTCACTGGGGTCTTGCCAGGGCCTGGGCTCAGCCCACTTCCTTCCACTGCTCCCCCCACCCAGAAGCTGGGGAGGGCTGGGGGTGGTAGCGTGCCAGGGAACAATGGGCCCCCAACCCCTTCCCGCCCATTGCGTGAGAAGGAGCTGCCGGAAGGAAACTCACCTCCCAGTGGGACAGGCCGCCGCCCCCCTGACGTCTGCCCCAGGGAAGTCTGGAGACCCCCATGCTGCTCAAGGGGCGGGCCTCTGTGCACTCCAGGCCTGCCACCCTTGGGACATCCTGTTTTCACCACCTGGACTGGCTTCCCCCGCCCCCTCTTTCAGAGAAGATGGTCCCAGACCCTCTCTCTGGGGCTGGGCTGGGTTCCCCACAAGAGTCTAGGGCCCTGTTCTCATTCATCTCTGTGTCCCCCGTGTGTAGCCTGTTCCGGAGTCGTCTCGAGGAATGCTGGCCAACTGCATGAGAGGCTGAGGGAAAGGAGCCAGACTAGGGGTGATCAGGGACCCAGCAGCTGAGCCAGAAAACATGAGAGAGAGAAGGGCCCAGCTCAGAGTGGCCAAAACGCCTGTGCTGCAGATAGGGGTGTGGTCCCAGAAATGCCTCTGGAGAGCACAGGGCATGCTGTTGAGGGCTGGGGGATGCTCTCCCCCCAAATTTTTGGAACACTCAGCTCAGTTTCATTTGTGTAGTGACACTTCCCTTACAGGCCCGCATTCCTCTCTCTCTCTCATACACAATCACACTCATTCCAGGGGTCTCAGCAGCTCCACCATCAGATGGGGGCTCTTAAAGGCAGGGGTCAGGGAGGAGGCCAGGAGCAGATGAGGAGCTGTTCTTGCACCGTGCCTATCCACACTTAGCAGGATAGCTCAGAGGGTCCCCACCAGGCTGGCTGCTGACCAGAAACTCTGGACATCAATTTCCCCAGCTAGAAAATATGAAGAGTTGGGGGGCCTGGCTGAAACTGACCCTGCCCTGGGCCTTGCTGACCTGGGGTGGCCCAGCTGAAAGTGCCAGTGGGCCGGCAGGGGCTGGGAGCAGGCGTGGGCACGCATTTTGAACCCTAGTCTCGGGTGTGTCGATAAGGCAACAACAGACGTGAGTGCCAGCTCTCAGCGGGTGCATGCGCATGGGCAGATGTGGCCTGGAGTGGTCAGGTGGATGCCTGTGCGTGAGTTCTCCAGGTGTCAGTTCAGGTGGCTCAGCACGCCAGCCAGGTATGTGCGTGTTTGTAGCCAGGCATGTGTTTACAGGTGTGCCTCTATCTCCTGTGCCCTCAGGGCCAAGGGAGCCGCTGGCTCGCGTGTCTGAGAGTCCTTCTTGCCGTGAGAATCATGGAATCTCAAAGTCCCCAGATTAGTGCTTCCTCCAAGGTGGGGGCTGGAGTGGGGTGGCTGGCTGGGTAATCAGGCAGGTTTGGGAAGCATGCTTCTGCTCCTGCTGGCGGGCCATGGTTACATCTGAGGGCTGGGAGACCTGGACTGGTAACTCTACCTCCTTGGACAGCAGTAGTGGGGGGCGGGAAGCTGAGGCCCTGCCCAGAGTTTTGGGGGTCCACAGTGATAAAACAAGTAGCTGAGCACAGTTGGGCAAATTTCAGCAACCATCGCACACCAGACAGGCTGCGCTCTGGGTCAGTGCCTCCACCACAAACTCGGCTCACTGCAAGCTCTGCCTCCCAGGTTCACGCCATTCTCCTGCCTCAGCCTCCCGAGTAGCTGGGACTACAGGCGCCCGCCACCACGCCCGGCTAATATTTTTGTATTTTTAGTAGAGATGGGGTTTCACCGCGTTAGCCAGGATGGTCTCGATCTCCTGACCTCGTGTTCTGCCCGCCTTGGCCTCCCAAAGTGCTGGGATTACAGGCGTGAGCCACCGCACCTGGCAATTTTTTGTATTTTTTAGTAGAGACGGGGTTTCACCGTGTTTGCCAGGATGGTCTTGATCTCCTGACCTGGTGATCCGCCCGCCTTGGCCTCCCAAAGTGCTGGGATTACAGGTGTGAGCCACCACACCTGGCAAGGAATTGATTTTTTTAAAGTAGTATGAGAGTGGAGAAAGCCTTTCTAAGTTTGACACAGGTCCAGAAGCGGCAAAAGAAAAGACTGATTCCACTGCATAAAAATCAATCATTTCTGCATTCCAAAGAATCATAACCAAGTTGGAAGACACACAAGGAACATAAGCCGGTTGGCTTCCAGTTCTCCCCTTCAGTCCCCCTCCATCCCGTGCTCTGTGAGGGGAAGCTGACCTGTGGGGCTTCTATCCACAGACTCCCTGGCCCTCTGGCTCCTAGACGGGTTCATAGAATGGAGGCTCTCACAGGAGATGGGGATGTGTCCTCTGAGGCAATCCTCTCCATGCAGCTCTTTCCCCCAGTAGCATTCTTCAGGCACTACCCTCTCAGGGCCCCCACCGTTCCCTGCCTAACCCCGTGTAATAATCTCTGTATTAATCCTTCCTCGAATTAAACTGTTTCCTGCTGGGGACCCTGAATGATGCACAGATTAAAGGTTAATTTCTTTAATATATAGAGTTCCTATTAAAAAAAAAAAATCCAGGCCGGGCGCAGTGGCTCATGCCTGTAATCCCAGCACTTTGGGAGGCCAAGGCGGGCGGATCACGAGGTCAGGAGTTCGAGACCAGCCTGGCCAATATGGTGAAACCCCCGTCTCTACTAAACATACAAAAGTTAGCCGGGCGTGGTGGCACGTGCCTGTAATCCCAACTACTCAGGGGGTTGAGGCAGGAGAATTGCTTGAACCAGGGAGGCGGAGGTTGCAGTGAGCTGAGATCGCGCCACTGCACTCCAGGCTGGGTGACAGAGCAAGACTCCATGTCAAAAAACAAAAAGCAAAAAAAAAAAAAAAAACAACAATCCAGTAAAAAATAGATGAAAAACATGAACTGTTAACAGACACAAATATATTTTAAAATATAAAGAGATGCTTGGCTGCACCTACAATCGGCAAACTACAATTTTTTTTGAGACGAAGTCTCATTCTGTCGCCCAGGCTGGAGAGCAGTGGCACAATCTCGGCCCACTGTAGCCTCCACCTGCCAGGTTCAAGCGATCCTCCCACCTCAGCCTCCCAAGTAGCTGGGATTACAAGTATGCATCACCATGCCTGGCTAATATTTGTATTTTTAGTAGAGACAGGGTTTCATCATGTTGGCCAGGCTGGTCTCCAACTCCTGACCTCAAGTGATCCACCCATCTTGGCCTCCCAAAGTGCTGGGATTACAGGTGTGAGCCACCATGCCTGGCATCAGTGAACTATAACTTAAAACTACAAATATAATTTTTTACCAATTACATTGGGAAAGATGTATGGTGTTAGCAAGGGTGCTGAAAAGTTGGCATTCATATTTATCATTGGTGGAAGTGAATTTTAGTTGAAAAGTAAAGCTTTAAACATTATGCTAAGTGAAATAAGCCAGTTACAAAAACACAAATACCGTATGGTTCCACTTTTGTGAAATACCTAGAATAGTCAAAACCCTACAGATAGACAGAACAGTGGTTGCCTGGGGCTGGGGAGAAGGGGGAATGGGGAGTTAGTGTTTAATGGGTAGGGTTTCAGGTTTACAAGATGGAAAGGGCTCTGGAGATGGACAGTGGTGATGGCTGCACAACATTATGAGTGCATTTAATACCACTAAACTGTGTACTTAAAAATGGTTAAGATGGAGGCTGGGCACGTTGGCTCACTTCTGTAATTCCAGCACTTTGGGAGTCTGAGGTGGGTGGATCACTTCAGGTCAGGAGTTCAGGACCAGCCTGGCCAACATGGTGAAAACCCCATCTCTACTAAAAATATAAAAATTAGCCGGGCATGGTGGCGGGTGCCTGTAACCCCAGCTACTCGGGAGGCTGAGGTGGGAGGATTGCTTGAGCCTGGGAGGTAGAGGTTGCAGTGAGTTGAGATGGCTCCACTGCACTCCAGCCTGGGCAACAGAACGAGAGCCCATTAAAAAAAAAAAAAAAAGGTTGGCTGGGCACAGTGGCTCACACCTGTAATCTCAGCACTTTGGGGGGCTGAGGCAGGAGGATCATCTGAGGTCAAGAGTTCAAGACCAGCCTGGCCAACATGGTGAAACTCTGTCTCTATTAAAACTACAAAAATTAGCTGGGCATTGGGAGGCAGAGGTTGCAGTAAGCCCAGATCATGCCACTGCGCTCCAGCCTGGGCAACAGAGCGAGACTCCATCTCAAAAAAAAAAAAAATAGCCAGGTATGCCGGGCGCGGTGGCTCACGCCTGTAATCCCAGCACTTTGGGAGGCTGAGGCGGGTGGATCACCTGAGGTCAGGAGTTCGAGACCAGCCTCAACATGGAGAAACCCCGTCTCTACTAAAAGCACAAAATTAGCCAGACATAGTGGTGAATGCCTGTAATCTCAGCTACTCGGGAGGCTGAGGCAGGAGAATTGTTTGAACCCAGGAGGCGGAGGCTGCAGTGAGCCAAGATTGTGCCATTGCACTCCAGCCCAGGCGAAGGAGCGAGACTCCATCTGAAAAAAGAAAAGAAAAGAAAAGAGGAGGGTGGGCGCGGTGGGTCACGCCTGTAATCCCAGCACTTTGGGAGGCTGAGGCGGGCGGATCACAAGGTCAGGAGTTCGAGACCAGCCTGGCCAATATGGTGAAACTCTGTCTCTACTAAAAATACAAAAATTATCCGGGAGTGGTGGCGGATGCCTGTAGTCCCAGCTACTCGGGAAGCTGAGACAGGAGAATCGCTTGAACCCGGGAGGCGGAGGTTATAGTGAGCCAAGATCGAGATCGGACCACTGCACTCCAGCCTGGGAGATAGAGCGATACTTTGCTTCAAAAAATAAAAAATCAAAAAAAAAAAAAAGAGGAAAAAGAGTTCTAGGCAGAGGGACCAACCTGTGCAAAGGTCCTGAGGCAGGAAAGGGGTTACTGTGTGCTTGAAGGCAAATTATCACCCCTCTTAGGAAAGGCATAGCCTCACCTGTGAAATAACCCAAATTTAGAGATGGAGAGACAGAGGTTCAGAGAGGGAAGATGGCTTCTTCAGGAAAGCAGAAGAGCCAGAACTGAAACCTAGATCTTTTTGGCTCTATGAACTCAGAGGTATTTCAGGTATGCATTTGGGGACCTTTTGCAAGATTGTAAAGACCAGGACGGGAAGGAAAGGGCCACCCTCCGGGGGCTTTTCTTTTCCTGGGAAGAAGGTCTTCTTTCCAGGAAGGTGGTGTACGGGCAAGGCTGAAAACCCAGCCTTCATTCTGCCAGGCCAGTCCCCTCCTAGTCCCTGCTGCCCCAGGGCTGCAGAATCCTATCCTGGCTCCTGCCAGGCTCCCCTGCAGCTGGGCAAACAGGCAGTGGGTGGGACTCGGTATAATTTCCTCCTTGCCCGCCTGGGGTCTGCTAGGCTCTGGCTGAGCTCTCTGGCCTCTGCCCTGCACCCCCAACTTGGAGCCCAAAGGGGGTCATGGGTCTTTCTGCCCTGTGTCCCCAGGGATGCACCCGATGAGTTTGAGAAGGGGCTGCCTTCTCACCCAGAGAGAGGTGAGGCCATCCCCTCACCCAGAGAGGGGCTCCAGGCCCCACTCCAAGGGAGAGTCAGAACTTCCCGGTGCCTACAGGCGCACTGTGCTAAACCAGTGTGAGCATCCTGCGCTGATAATGCTACATGCATAAGCTGCGGATGCACAGGGGCTCAGACTCAGGGGACTGTGGGGAGTCCTGGCAGCCACATATACATCGGGCTCACCCCTGTAGCACCCCATCTAGAAAAGCCCATCCAGAGCCAGAAGGGGCTTCTGGGGATGGTTCCTGGAAGGGCTGGGTTCTGCTGTTCTCTGAGTGACCAATCCACCCATTCTTTCCAGAAATGGTCCTATCCCATCTCCTTCCCCTCCAGCCGCTCTCGGTTCCCTGCCCTCATCCACCCAGGATGTCACTGGGCCTGCTGCGAGTGGCTGCCCGGGGAAAAGGCCAGGAGCTCTGCAATGAGCCTGTAATCCCAGCACTTTGGGAGGCTGAAGTGGGTAGATACGCACTACACACAAGCCAGCACCAGGTTCCTCCCACCCAGGGGATGACAGAGGAGCTCCAGCTCACCACCGTGCCTCAAGTCCCCTGCTTAACTGTCCTATGTGAGCTCAGGGCCGCCCTCTGGGGGCTTTTCTTTTATTTATTTATTTATTTATTTATTTATTTATTTATTTATACTTTAAGTTTTAGGGTACATGTGCACAATGTGCGGGGCTCCCTTCCTCCCAGCAGCCATGCTGTCACGTGCTCCTTGCCCCGGAGAGGCAGGAATCTGTCCCGAAATGTCGAGCTGAAACGCTTCCTGGACGCTTGCTACAACCGTGGTCTTCAAATTCTACTAAATTTTTCCAGTGGCAGGATTCACTGTTGAAAGGAAAGCTTCCCACCTTGCCTGTTCCTCCTAACCCCAAAAAAGTCGGGCTTGTGATCTATGGGGAGAAGAATAGCCCCCGCCCCACACCCATCTGATGCCCAATTCTTCCCAATCCATCAGCCCCCAGCCCTGTCCTCATGTCAGGATCTGCCCGCGTCACTCTCCCCAGCCAAGAACTGGAGCCGAAAATGCAGTGTAGGCTGCCCCCTCGTGGGCAGTTAGAGAAACACATGTTTCTCATAGCTGCTAGCCTTTACCCACTGTCTTGGGGACCCCACCCCAAATAAAAAGGCAACCTAAGGAATAAGCGACTTTGTTTTGCAAATACAACTTCAAGACAAGTCTCAAGTCAGTCCTATGCAGAAATTCTAGAGAAGCCACTAAGAGTGGCCAGAGGACAGCCCCCCACTTCCTCTCATTCCCCAGCCTGGTCCTCATAGACCCACCTGGAGTAGAAATTCCTCGTGCAGGCCAGGCGTGCTGGCTCACACCTATAATCCCAGCACTTTGGGAGGCTGAGGCGAGCTGATCACATGAGGTCAGGAGTTCGAGGCCAGCCTGGCCAACAGGGTAAAACCCCGTCTCTACTAAAACTACAAAAAAAAAAAAAAAAAATAGCCAGGTATGGTGGCAGGCACCTTTAATCCCAGCTACTCAGTAGGCTGAGGCAGGAGAATCGCTTGAACCCAGGAGGCAGAGGTTGCAGTGAGCCAAGATCACGCCACTACACTCCAGGCAGGGTGACAGAGCAAGACTCCATCTCAAAAAAACAAAACAAAACAAAAAAAACACCAATTCCTCATCTAACTCCCTGCCAGGAGTTCAACTTCTGTTCTCATACTTTTAAGAACAGAGAGCTCACTACCCTCAAGGCTGATTCATTATATTTTCTGTGCTGGGGCACTGGGAACACTGATGGTGCAGATCCATTTGTAACCTCCTGGGACTCTCACATTGCTCACTTAGCTGGAGCAACAGGTGAGAAAACGAGGGTTGCAGGTGTGCCAAAGGCACAGGGATGAGAGCGGCCAGTTCTTCACGGACCTACACCTCCACCTGCCTCTTCTCAGGGATCTTATATTCAAAGGGATTAAATTCCAGGATCTTGGAGATGGCTGCAGTCCAGCTGCCCCCTTGCTTCTGCTTTCACTTGAGAATCAGCCGAAGTTCCCCGAGCACCTGCTCCATGCCAGGTCCCTCCTGGCACTTTGTCCCACTTAGTCCTTAAAGCTCGCTGTGATAGCGATGTGCTAATGCCCACTGGGCAGATGGGGACAGAGGCGCAGGAGGTCACTTGCCCAGGATGACACCTCTAGTCATTTGCGGAGTTGGATCTGGCCTCAAGCTTGCTGGTGGCTCTTGGAGCCCATGCAGAAGTGACTGGGGCAACACATGACACTCCAACTTGGCATTCCCCTCAAAGGGCCTGGACCAAGCCAAAAGCTGCGGAGAAGGCTCAGGGCAGACTGTGAAGTCAGGAGTTTGACCCCAGCCTGCTATGTCATGCTCCTCCTTCCTGGCCCTGCCTCCACCTGTGCCCTATCTCTGCCTCCCACCTCAAGGTCCAGGACTGTTGCAACCAGACCCTCCTACCCCAACCATGTCCAGCAGGAGATGGTCCCTGCACCAGAAGCTTCTGAAGGTCTACATGGAGGGCTGGCAGGCAGAAGGCAAACATCTCCCCCAACTTGCAGCCCTTCACTGCCGAGCAAACCTAGGACCTGGGGCCTGGGGTCTCTGCAGCTGCCATCTGGTGACCTCCTCATGGGGCAGGAAAAAGAGTTCAGGCTCTGGGGTGGTTCTGTAAATCACCCTCTGTGGGTCTCCCTTGCCCTACAGTTAAGATCTAGATGCTACTGTTTTCCTTGAAGGAAGATGATCAAATGAGAGCAAATGTGCAAACACCCAGCACACAGTAGGTGTTCAACAAAGTGTGCCTTCCTACCTGTCCTCACTTTGCTCTTATTACTCAGGAAAATCTGAGGATGTCAGCAACACTGAGGCCAATCCAGGATCCCCAGGGGCCAGCGTGGTGGTGGCCTTCAAATCAGGGAGCAGCCCACGGTAGGGGGCCCTGTGGGGTCCCAGCAGCCATATGCTGATCTGGCTCACCCACCCCCCAGCACCTCCTCTAGAAAAGTTATTCCACAGCCAAATGGGGCCCCTTCCAGCTCCCTGCCCTCATCCACCCAGGACCTGCCCTGTGATGCTCGCAATCGGGAACAGTCAGCTCTGGCTCCAGCCCTAGGTAAGCCTGGGACATGGTCCTCCCAGGAGCCAAACGGCTCATCTTTCCCAGAGCAGACATGCGCCTGCTCTCCAGGCGTGCCTCTGAGCCTGCCCGACAGGGCAGTGTGACCTTGCCTGCCTCTCTGTCGCTCTCTCATTCCTTCCCCTTGAGCTCTGTGTTGTGGCCACCAGGAGGCGCTGTTCCCCCTCAGACCCGAGTAGACCAACAGCCCAGCGCCACCAGAGACCAGACTGGATTCTAGATTTTCTCTTTTTTTTTGAGATGGAGTCTCGCTCTGTCGCCCAGGCTGGAGTGCAGTGGCATAATCTCCGCTCACTGCAACCTCCACCTCCTGGGTTCAAGCGATTTTCCTGCCTCAGTCTCTGAGTAGCTGGGACTACAGGCGTGCACTATCACGCCTGGCTAATTTTTTGTATTTTTAGTAGAGACAGGGTTTCACCACGTTGGCCAGGCTGGTCTTAAACTCCTGAGCTCAAGTGATCCGCCCACCTCGGCCTCCCAAAGTGCTGGGATTACAGGCGTGAGCCACCAAGCCAGGCCTGAATTCTAGATTCTGAAAGAGGCAGGAGGCGAGTAATCACCCAGAGTGCAAGGGAAGACAATGGCCTTTGTCTAATTGCTGTGAATCTGGCACTTCAAACGCAAGACCTGACCTCATCTTCCCACCCGCCATGATGGGGGTGGGGTCAGGGGGCACCAGTCAGGCTTCTAAGTCACAAACAACAGAGACTGACCTCCAGCTAACATTAGCAGAAAATAAATGCCCCGCTCACAAAGACAGAGAACCAAGCTGGGAATAGGGCAGTCACCCAGGGAAAGTAAGGGCTCCAGTGCGGCTGGAACAGGGCACTGCCAGCAAACATCATCTCCCTGGGCCCCAGTCACACATCCTGGCCCTAGCCGGCCTGACTCATCCCAAGCTTTGGTCCTGTCTCCCCAACATCTATCCTCACTCATTCAGCAAAGCGGGGGGTGGAGGTGGGTGTCAGCACCCGCGCCAGGCCCCACGCAAGGGGCTGGCTCCCAGCAGCCCACCTGGTGGGCCTCCTCAGTGAGCTGCCAAACACACTGCTGGCTGGTCACTTGGTGGAGACAGGCATTGAGAGCTGGCTACACCACCAGCTGCAGAGGACTTGGAGTCGCTGAGGGCTGCAGGCTGCAGGAGGCAACCTGGCTGCGGGGTGAGGGTGGGAATCTTTAGGGGATAAGAACTGGCCCCAGGCTGGGCGCGGTGGCTCACTCCTGTAATCCCAACACTTTGGGAGGCCAACACAGACAGATCATGAGGTCAAGAGATCGAGACGATCCCGGCCAACATGGTGAAACCCCGTCTCTACTAAAAATACAAAAATTAGCTGGGCGTGGTGGCATGCACCTGTAGTCCCAGCTACTCGGGAGGATGAGGTAGGAGGATTGCTTGAGCCCAGGAGGCAGAGGTTGCAGTGAGCTGATATCGCACCACTGTACTCCAGCCTGGGTGACAGAGCAAGACCCTGTCTCAGAAAAAAAAAAAAAGGATCGGCCCTGGGTTCGGTGGCTCACACCGTAATCCCAGCACTTTGGGAGGGCGAGGCAGGTGGATCACTTGAGGTCAGGATTTCTCAAGACCAGCCCGGCCAACATGGTGAAACCCCATCTCTACTGAAAATACAAAAATTAGCCAGGCATAGTGGCACACGCCTGTAGTCCCAGCTACTCAGGAGGCTAAGGCAGGAGAATCACTTGAACCTGGGAGATGGAGCTTGCAGGGAGCCAAGATCGCTCTACTACACTCCAGCCTGGGCGACAAAGTGAGACTCTGTCTCAAAATAAAAGAAAAAAAAGAAAAGAAGGAACTGACCCTGGCTGGAGGGAGAGGTGACTGGGACCTCCCGGGGCTACCTCAATGTCAGGAGAGCACTCCTGGAGACCCAAAGCTTCCAGTTAGGGATTCAAGAAGATAGACTGGGGCGCGGGCAATAGGGATGCAGGCAAGGAGCTTCTCCTTGGAACGGGAGCCCTGAGACCCCCGGGGGAAAATCTGGTCACTCACGTATTCATTCAGCACACATTTATGGCTACAGGCTCTGTGCCTTCCCATGGAGAGACAGAAGAAAGGGAGCCAGTCCCTGTCCTCACGGAGCTCACCTCACCCAAACACACACTCTCTAGAAGGAAATTCTGGGGGTCTTACGGGCCAAAAGGAAGGGGCATTTCCCTCCAGGTCCTCTGGAGTCCCCTGACAAAGGGCCCTCCAGGCCTCATCCCTGACTCACTGGGGCTTCCAAAGTCTCCTCCGGCTCAGGGAGTATCTATCCCTGGCCCCAGCCCCCAGCCCAGTTCCACCCCACCCCCAATCAGGCAAGGAGGTCTTTCAAAAGCTCCTCTGATCTCTGACAGGGACAATGTTGGCACACAGGTTTCTTCACAGGTGTAACACCTGGGCGGGGGCATTTGCATGGGTTTTGCAAAAGCTGGGCCTGAGGCTCACCAGTGCCCAGTTGCTCTCTCTTCCCAGCCCTCGCAGAGCAGACCTCCTGCTCCTTCTCACCTGCCCCACCTTGGGCCAGGTCTCTAACCTTTGCACTGCAGAGAACCCCAGGGCCTCTTTTCCTGCTTTCGCCCAAAGAGTTCCCAGGAGGAAAGCCAGAACAGTGCCAACTGCGGCTTCCAGTCAGCAAGGCAGAGCCTGGGGACTATTGGGTTCAGCACAAAAGTGACCCCTGACAGCATTGAGGGAGATATGTCAGCCTGCTGTGAGCCCAGGACTCCAGGTGGGAACCAGGTAGCTCTGGCTCTGCCCAATTCCAGCTGCTCCAGTGCCTGGAAGGTAGTAAACACGCCCTCAATATTTAGTGAATGGATGAATGAGGGTTTTCAATTCATCAGCCATTGCGAAACTGTAGGCCTAGGAACAGACAAAAGGCCTGGCCCTACCCTTGGAAAGCCCGACTGAACCCAGCAGGGGAGAGCCAGAACTACAAAGCCTGTTTCAGGAGTGAGAGAAAAAATATTCATCTAACTGCCGTGGTGTGAAAGTCTGCCTTGTGTCAAAGAACCCTGCTAAGCAAGCAACTTTACATCATCTCGGTTTAGCATAAGTCCCCTGTGACATGGGTCCTCTCAGTCCCACTTTAGAGATGAGGAAACTGAGGCTCAGAAAGGTTCAGTGACTTTTGCTTAAGGTCACAAGGCTGGGATGGGGTGCAGCCAGGACTCCAACCTGGAAGACTTTGTAATAAATTGAGCAAGAATGATGTGGTGGCATCCCGGGTCCCTTTTCCCCCAGCTGGGATCTGGTGACTGTGTCCTCCTTAAATCCCTCTTTAGTTTTCTTATCTGCAAATAGAAGTAATAATAATATCTACATTGTAAAGAGATTGGGAGGATCAAATGAAACTTAAGACATGTAGAATAGCCAGGCAGGCCCCTGTAGTCCCAGCTACTCTGAGAGGCTGAGGCAGAAGGATTGCTTGAGCCTAGAAGCTCCAAAACCATCCTAGGCACATAGGGAGACCCTTTCTCAAAAAAAAAGTAAACAGCAGGGTGCGGTGGCTCACACCTGTAATCCCAGCACTTTGGGAGGCCAAGGCAGGTGGATCACTTGAGCTCAGGAGCTCCAGACCAGCCTGGCCAAGATGGCGAAACCCTGTCTCTACTAAAAATACAAAAATTAGCTGGGTGTGATGGCACGCATGTGCCTGTGGTCCCAGCTACTTGCTGGGAGGCTGAGGTGGGAGAATCACTTGAACCCAGGGTGGGGGGAGGGGGGTGGCAGTGGAGGTTGCAGGAGATGAGATCGCACCACTGCACTACAGCCTGGGCAACAGAGCAAGACTCTGTCTCAAAAACAAACAAACAAAAAGACACGTAAAATGCTTAGAATGATGCTAGCACATGCAACACCTACATTAGCATTGCCTATTATTATTATTATTAATTGAAATTCATATCACTTATTCATTCAACAAACGTTTGAGTACCAGGATTCAGCCTCCAGCAGCCGATCAGGACACAAATACGAAGTGGGTAGTCAGTGCTATAATACTAAGAAGTGGGCCAGTGAGGGACAATAGCAGAGGGGAGGCTTCCAGCCTTGGGATGTGGGAAGAGGTCATCAAAGCTTCCCGAGGACAGCCAGTCAATTCTCCAACCAGAAGCAGAAGTAATATTTTTAACATGCAAATCTGATCAGCTGAGGCTGTGGTGAACCCTCAAATAGCATGGGGGCGGGGCCCCGATGCCCTAAGGATGAAGTCCAAAGACTCCCCTATTCCACAGGGGATCCTACAGGCTCTGGCCATTTGCGCCTCTGCTTCCAAGGCTCTGACCCCATCCCATCCTGGCCTGTTTTCCTTTTGCCCAAAGCTCAATCCCTTCCAGTTCCAGGGCCTCTGCTCCTGTTGCCCCCTCTGCCAGGCCCCCAGGCACCACCTCTCCTCCTGCAGGGTCTGAGTGCTCAGGTGAGGAGAGGTCTCTGCTCCGCACTCACACTGCACTTGCACAATCCTCTGGGAACTTGCCTCGCCTTGTTGAACACCTCTGCCCCCACAAGACAGAACATTCCAAGAAGATAGGGACCCAGGAGGAGGGAATCGTGTGCGTGGGGGAGGCGCTGGGACAGCCTGCAGGGATCCCAGGCACCTTGGCGAACTCTTGTCATAGACTTGGCTCTGGATCTGCCCTCTCTAGGGAGATATCAAACCAGGAAGCCCAGGACCCAAAACCTTTGCGATCAGGGGTCTGCCAGTTAACCCCTGAGTGCTGGCTGCCTCAGGCCCCGAGGGTGGGGTCCTCCAGTTCCCAGTGGCCTCTCAGTTGGGTCACCACCACACCACTCAAGCCACCAAGCCAACAAATCAAGACTTCTACCATCATCGCGACGGGAAACAAAAACTAACTTCTCAGGAAATCCTCTTGGAGCAAACTGGTGCAGTGGAGAGAGCTGACCTTGGTCTGACATGAAAAGCGGTTGTGCATAGTAAGTGCTCAATAAATATTAGCTGCTATTATCAATGATAATAATAAAGTACCTGGCACATAGTAGGTGTTCAGTAAATGATAGTTCTCTGGTCCCAGGGGGACAGAAATTAGAGGCAGTCAGCAGCCCCTCCCCACCTTACTCCCAAGGTCCTCCACTTGTACACAGGGATTCAGACCTATGGATCACCAAATCCAAACCCTTCAGTTGCTAGGTAGGGAAACAGGCCTAGAGGAGAAGGACTGGCCCAAAGTAAGAAGCAGTGTCGGCCGGACGCGGTGGCTCACACCTGTAATCCCAATACTTTGGGAGGCCAAGGCGGGCGGATCACAAGTTCAGGAGTTCAAGACCAGCCTGGCCAATATGGTAAAACCCCATCTCTACTAAAAATACAAAAATTAGCCGGGTGTGGTGGTGGCGCCTGTAATCCCAGCTACTCGGGAGGCTGAGGCAGGAGAATTGCTTGGACCTGGGAGGCAGAGGTTGCAGTGAGCCGAGATCACACCATGCACTCCAGACTGGGCGACAAAGCGAGACTCCATCTCAAAAAAAAAAAAAAAAGAAGCAGTGTCTGTCCCTAGAACCTGGGTCTCCTGGGCCAATGCCTCATCCTCATAATAAACTTTCCAGCCTTAGGAGGGAGGTTTTCAGTGCCTAGATTCAGGCAGACATGTTTCCTCCAAAGGACAGCTTTGGAAGGATGGGAGCTCAGGCCTTCTCAGGAGGGCGAGAGGGGTTATTGGGAAGGCCAAGGTTTATCTCTGCAGGAGGAAGTCTCAGCTGCTTGACTTGATGGAATCCCCAAGAGCCTGCTCTCCCGCAGGTCAGGCAGGAAGGGGCAGAGGTCACAGGGGAGGCCTGTCCTGGCCCCTGGTTCCCTGAGTCTTTGCTATCTGTGGGCCTCAGCTGGCACTCAGCCAACAGGCCCCTGGCATTAAGATGACAAGGGCTACTGTGGCCTCTTGGCTTCTCCCTGTTTCTCCCTAGAGACACTCAGCCCCAGCACTGGCCGGATCTCCCTGGCCACCTTCCCTGAAGGCCCCTTTCCCCCTACTTTCATGTCTCAACCCATCCCCACAGCTCAGTGAGACCCTGCACCCTGCACCCTGCACCTTGGATTCATGCCAGGCCTGAGTGACCCACGGCCCATGCCTTTTCTGCTTGGTCCCATTGCCTCACGGGTGCCCCCAAGTTCTGCTTCCTGTCTGTGCCACCGTTAAGCCTCTTTCCTAGTGATGACTCCCGCGACAGCCTCTTTCCGGAGGAGGCGCATTCCTTAAGGGCCTGGTGGGGATGGTGATGACAGGGCCAAAGGACAGCTCCCAAAGCTGGAAAGCCAGCCACTGCGGGGGGCCTGGAGGTGCTGTCAGCAAGGGAAGCTGCCCGGCCCCTCTTGCTAGCAGCCAACTCAGCCTGAGCACCTGCTCTGCAGGAAATAGAAGGGGACTTTGCTGGAAATCTGCCTTTAATCTTGGCTTCCTGTTTTCTGCCCTGGGGGACTGCCCAGACGGTCTGAGTTTCAAGCTATTTCACACCAGCTTCTCTAAACTGTCATCTCTGTGCAAAGAGGCTGGGGGAGGGGAGGAGGCTGGGTGGAGAGAGGAGCGGCCCTTCCCTTCCCAGGGGACCCCATAAGGGTATAAATGCACATACATGTGCATAAGCTCTGGACTGCTGGAGGCCAACCCAACTTTGCATGGAGCTATCCCATTTGGCACTTGTATCATCAAAATGCAGCCAGAAGCTTCTCTCTGGTTCCCCACATCCAGGGGTGGGTCTCCAACCTCTCCTCTCTTCTCCATTCCCCTGGGGCAGGCCCAACAGCCAGGCAAGAGTGGCCCAGCCTCAGAGAGCTAGTGTTCAGTTCCCAACACTGCCTTGACTCCACATTTCACAGGCATCCCAAGCTCATTTTGTCCAAAACCAAACTCCTGAGTGTTCCCCCAGCCTGGCACTCTCCCCAGGTTCTCCCATCTCGCACCATCTCCCCAGGTGCTCCAGCCACACCTGAGGACTGAGGAGTCATGCCTGATTTCTCCTGTGGCCTCACTCCCCACAAACAACCCCTCACGGAGAGCTGCCCTGGGACTTGCCTTTGTCCATTCACTTCCCTATCCCGCTGCTTCCACCAGGGCTAGACCCGTCAGCCCTGGTCCAGGCCATGCAACAGCCTCCTCACTAGGGCTTTGACCTTTGACCTTAACTTTTTTTTTTTTTTTTTCTGGAGTCAGGGTCTCACTCTGTTGCACAGGCTGAAGTTCAGTGGCTCACTGCAGCCTCCATCTTCCCACCCTAAGTGATCCTCCCACCTCAGCCTGGCTGAGATGGGAAGATTGCTAGCTACCAGCACACACCACCATGCCTAGCTAATTAGAAATTTTTTTTTTGTAGAGACAGGGTCTTGCTCTGTTGCCCAGGCTGGTCTCAAACTCCTGGCCTCAAGTGATCCTCTTGCCTCAGCTTCCCAAAGTGCTGGGATCACAGGCGAGAGCCACAGGGCCCAGCCGACCTTCACTCTTTATCATATCACTACCCTGCTTATAAACATCTTTCAATGGCTCCCCATTGCTCATATGATAAAACCTAAACTCCTGTAATAAAAATCTCTGGCCCACAACACCCTATAGAATCTGTCCCTTCCTCAAACACCACTCTCCCCTGCTTGCCGGTCTCATCACCTTGGCCTTCTGGCTGTCCCTTGAGCCACTGAGGCTTTCTGTGCCTCAGGGTCTTTCACTATCTTCCTCCCCACCTGCAATACCCTCCCCCACTCCTCCAACACTGGCCTGGGGCGTGGTGGCTATCGCCCGTAATCCCAGCACTTTGGGAGGCCAAGGTGGGTGGATTATTTGAGGTCAGGAGTTTGAGCCCAGCCTGGCCAACATGGTGAAAACCATCGCTACTAAAAACACAAAAATTAGCTGAACATGGTGGCACACACCTATAGTACCAGCTACGTGGGAGGCTGAGACAGAAGAATGGTTGAATGCCAGAGCGGGAGGTTGTGGTGAGCCGAGATCATGCCACTGCACTCCAGCCTGGGCAACAGAACAAGACTCCGTCTCAAAACAAACAAACAAAAAACAAAACAAAACAAAACAAAAACTTACTAAGACAGTTGTAGATAAAGGCAGATTTATTAGAAAAAGTAGGAAAATACATTGCAAGAAGGCAGAAGAGAAGCTGACTGCCAGGAAACAAAAGGTTGTTGGAGATTTTATAGAATTAGTGTTATGCTATCTGTTGAGGAGGTTTTTGTGCAGTATCAAACGCCAAGGGTACAGTGAGCTAACTTGCCAAGGGTACAGTGAGCTAACTTGCAGGAGTCTGGTGATAGTCGGGCACAGGAAGATTGTGAATTATTTGCACAGGAGAGCTATATGTCCTAGACATGAAGAAAGGCAGACTCACAGCTTATCTAATTTCTCTTTTTGCTTTCCCTTGCTCCCACCGACCAGATTCCCTTTCCCTAATTAGCACTTCCCACCTAGCACTTAGTAGGTGCTCAATAAGCATTTGTTTTTTTGTTTTGTTTTGTTTTGTTTTGTTTTTTTGAGACAGAGTCTCGCTCTATTGCCCAAGCTGGAGTGCCGTGGCGTGATCTCGGCTCACTGCAAGCTCCGCCTCCTGGGTTCACACCATTCTTCTGCTTCAGCCTCCCCAGTAGCTGGGACTACAGGCACCCGCCACCACGCCCAGCTAATTTTTTGTATTTTTAGTAGAGACAGGGTTTCACCATGTTAGCCAGGATGGTCTCGATCTCCTGACCTTGTGATCTGCCTGCTTCGGCCTCCCAAAGTGCTGGGATTATAGGTGTGAGCCACGGCGCCCAGCCCAATAATTCCACCAGAGGACAGGTCTGTGGGAGTGGGGCCCTTTATCGATTTGTTTATGGTTTTATCCCCAGTGCCTGGAGTACAGGAAGATTAAAAAATTTATTTCACTTTGCTGAGAAGAGGTGGAGCCAGGATTCAAATGCTGGTCTATTTGACTCCAAAGTTCACAGCTGGGCCACAGCACACCCAGGGGAAAAAGTCAAGTGCATTTGGGGATAAAGAAAGGTTGGTGACAAAACTGGAACAGGGATTAGAGTATTTTCCCCAAATCCCCAGTCTTTTCTTTCCCATTCTGCTAGCTGATTCAGCCAGGGGAGGGGAGATGTCAATTTCTCCCTCCCAGAAGGCTTTGCAGAGCTGCTGAAGTGCTTTCTTGTAGGCTGAGAGGCGGCCCCCCATCCGGCCCCATATTATCATTCCATCTTGACCTCAGAGGAAAGAAAGGGAAACCAGCTCTGCTGAGCACCCTTTCCACTCCCTCACCCCCAGGCCGTTATCTTGCTGAATCTGCACTATCTATCATGAGAGAAGTATATTTTGAGCCTGATCTTACAAAAGAGGAAACAGCTCAGAGACCTTAGGTAACTAGCCCTAAGTCACACAGCTAGTAAGTGGACGGGTTGAAATTTAACTTGGAGACTTGAACCCCAAATTCATCTTTTTTCTGTTACACCACACCTATCTCTGAAACTTACTGGCTGTCTCCTCAAAGGACATCCCTCTCCAAAGGGCTGGCTCCAGCTGGGAAACCGGCCTAAGGGTGCCCTGGGTCAGAGGGCCGACCTGTGGTTTTGGGGGCAACTCCTCCTGGCATCCGAGGCTCTTTAAAACAATCTGCAGCCACACTGTCTCCCAGCTCCGTCTCCCACAGGGCTGTTTGCCCTCTTCTCGCTCCCTCGGGCCTCTTCATGCTTATTTTGTGTTCCAAGACTTTGTCAGCATGCCCCACTTCCTCCCCCCCAACCCCAAGAGTGCCTCTTCCCTCTGTCCACCCAAGCCTGACCCTTGCTTCAGGGTCTAGTCCCTAGAAAGTCCCCCACCTTTACCTCCTCCCTACGCTGGAGTCTCTGGTCTCGCCCTCATCACTGTATCCCCATTCTGTTCCCCGGTCTCACCCTCATCACTGCATCCCCATTCTGTTCCCCCGCCACCCTGCACTCTCCCACCCCTGTCATGCCTGAGCACGCTGTCCTCTCCTGTGGCTCAGAGCAGGTCATCTCCCTGCTTTTCGTTAACAGTGATGTAACAGCCCTTGCTTAACGGAGGGCTCCTCACGTGCCAGCTACTGCATACTAAGCACTTTAAACGTATTAACTCATTTCCTCCCCTCCCCACAAAAACTTAAGAAGTCGGTGCCATTATATATCACCTATTTTACCAAATGGGGAAACTAAAGCACAGAGAGGTTAAGTAACTTGCCCAAGGTCACAGAGCTGCTGACAACTTCTTTATTGCCTCCAGGCTGAACATAAACTCCAAGAAAGTCCCATGAGGCTCTTTGGATCTCTTTTGCCCCTGTTGTTTGCAGGAACCCATCTCCCACCACTCTCCCCCACCCACACTGCAAGCGGCAGCCGCCTGAGCTATATTTAGATCCCAGAAGCCACCAAGCTCCCTCCGCACTCCCCGCCCTTGTGCATGCTGTTCCCTCTGCCTGGTCCCGGCTCTGTGAGGTGTGAGGTCTCCCCGTTAGCCCTAGTTTTCTTTCTGCCTCCTGGGAACCGTGTCCACCACCTCTCCACTTTGATCAATTATTTCCTTGCCGTTGTCTGTCGGCCTGTCAGCCTACCCCCACCCGACCGAGAACGCCTTGACGGTAGTGAAATGGTCTTGCCAATAGACTCCAGAGCAGGCTCCGCCACGATGTCAGCGCCAGGAAATGTTGGTGAATGAATGAATGAAGGCTTTCTGCTGCGAATCAGGCCCACTCTCCACAAACAGACCTGAGGAGAGGGGCCCAGGCCCGGCCCCCAGCGCTTCTGCAGCGGGAAAGCTGCGTCCAGAGAAGGCTGGGAGGTTGCTCCCAGGCCGGCTGAGGAGAGACCCTCGGAGCCTTCAACGCAGCCAGGCGGCAAGTGGGGGCAGGGCGTGGGCGCGGACACACCCCCCGCAGTGCCCCCGGCGCCCGGCAGGGGGCGCCGCCCCGCCGGCCCACGCCCCGCCGCGCGCCGGGCAGGCCCCCTCGCGCAGGCGCGCTGCCGCGGGCGGAGGATCCGGGCCGCGCTTCCTCTCGCCAGGCCTGCGAGCTTCCTCCCAGCGGAGCCCTGGGCGAGCCGAGGTTGGCCGCCGCCGCCGCCGAGCCCGCTGCCGCCCTCCCGCTCCTGCCCCACCCGCGCCTTGCCCGGGGGCTTCTGCCGGGGTGGGGTCCGAGCCGGGCGACCGCCCGGCTGCGCCGCCGTCGGGGCCGTAACCCGGCCCGCCGTCCCTCCCGCCCCAGCCAGCCTCTGGCCGCCGGAGCCCGCGGGGCGTGGAGCGCGAGGAGCCCCGCGGCCCCGATCGAGCGTCCGGGGCGGCCCCCGGCAGCCAGCGCGACGTTCCAAAATCGAACCTCAGTGGCGGCGCTCGGAAGCGGAACTCTGCCGGGGCCGCGCCGGCTACATTGTTTCCTCCCCCCGACTCCCTCCCGCCCCCTTCCCCCGCCTTTCTTCCCTCCGCGACCCGGGCCGTGCGTCCGTCCCCCTGCCTCTGCCTGGCGGTCCCTCCTCCCCTCTCCTTGCACCCATACCTCTTTGTACCGCACCCCCTGGGGACCCCTGCGCCCCTCCCCTCCCCCCTGACCGCATGGACCGTCCCGCAGGCCGCTGATGCCGCCCGCGGCGAGGTGGCCCGGACCGCAGTGCCCCAAGAGAGGTGAGTGCCTGGCCGTCCCGGAGTGTCCCCTGGAGGGAAGAGGGTGGAGGTCGCGCGTCTAGTCTCTGTTGCTGCCACTGTCGCGTCCACTCCCATTCCCCTCTTCTCCCACTTCTCCCTTCTCTCCTTTACTCCCTTGCACGGGTTCGAATTCTCCCAGGAGCCACTGTCAGAACCCAAATTGGAAGGGAGTGCATGAGGGAGGTACTGCCCTGCAGCTCCACGGACTCGTCTTCTCGGGTCATCCCGAGTCCCCCCCTCTGTGGAGCTCAGAGTAGGAGGTGGCTGGAGTCTGGAGGAAGAGGATCCGTATGGGCCAGGTCCCTAGAGAGAGTGCTGGACTCCCCTGCCCTTCCCTGTACAGGGCCTCCCCGCAGGTGCCCTGGCTTGCTTGGTTCTGACCCCTCCCTCATTACCCCACCATGACCCTGCGGGCTGCAAGCAAGCCCAGGGCCCAGCCACCTCGGGTGAGCAGTTAGAAGCCCAGGTCCTAGGACTGAGCCTGTCACCCTTGGCCTCTCAGAAGACCAGGCCTAAGCCAAGGGATCTTTGGGTGGGAAACTGGGCAGGCCTTCTGCCCGGGGGGAGGTAACGGAGCATTAGCACCATGCCCCCACCTTCTGGCACCCTGGGCAGCCCATTCTCCTAGGCTCTTTGTGGCCCAGACCAGGTGTCAGGAAGGGGTGTGTCCAGCCAGCAGATTTTTTGGAGCTTAACTACCAGTTCACTTCCCCGCCCATTTTGTACACCCGGGAACCGAGGCTCAAAGGGAGAAGTTGCTACCCCAGGCCTCTAGTGGAGTTAGGCTGGCTGTCCTTTCATCCCCAGCTATACAGGGCTGGATGGCTGTGGGTGGAAGGAAACCAGGCAGGCACCTTCACCCACTGGGGACACAGGCCCCCAGCCCGGCCCCAGAGGGACCTTGTTGGTTGAGCACGTGCTTCCCTGCAGAGGGCTGGAGGGAGTGAAAGGGCTTCCGGCTCCAGCTGTGGCTGGGTCAGCTAGCAGGAGATGTGGGGAATGTGTGGTGTATGGCCATCTGTGTGGTGTGGCAGGAAGGTCCGGTCCTGGCCCCGGCTCTGAGTTGAAACAACCTGGTGGTCAGTCCTGACCCAGCACTCGCCACACCTATGGCCCAGCTGGCACAGGAGCAGCCAAGTTCAGGATATAAATGGGGTCACATGGGAACCGTGGAAGCTCTGTCTCCACTGGCAGCAGGCTACAGACTGGGGACATGGGAGCATTGTGAGAGTGGGGACACCCAGGGGGCCTGTTTCAAGCTCCTAGTACCCTGGCGGTTCCAGTGTCTTTCTTGGTTGTGGCCACAGCAGGAACAGGGCAAGGACAGCAGGGGTGAGGTTGAGGCCTGGCAGGATCCTCTGGCCCAGGAGAGCAGGCATTGCCCTGGTGGGTGCTGAGCAGTGTCTGGGCTCCCTTGGAGCTGCTGGCAGTTTTGTCCTGCTGGGTCCCTGCTCACGATTTAGGGTTTTTTTGTTTTTTCACTTTTTTTTCTGGCTGTCCTGACATGCACAGTGGAGGGGACCCAGATGTCCTGGGCCTGTGAGACTCCCCTCACATGGCCCCACACCCAGCCCTAACTTCCTTTCCAGCCTGAGGGACTGGGGCTGGAGCCTGACATGGTTAGCTCCCTCCCACCCCAGTCAGCCTTTTTAATTTTTATTTTATTTTATTTTATTTTTTTACCAACTGTGAGCTGTGAAGGTGTGATCCAGGGTCCCAGGGCCTTTGAAGAAAGGAGTCTGGCTTCTGGCTGGCACGTGTGCAGGGATGTGCTTTTCATTGGTGAGCTTGGTGCCCTCCACCCTCTCAGAAGCAGCTGCTCTTCTCTCTGCATTGGGTCAGGGGCAAGGAAAAAGCAGAAAATGTTCCCATTCACCACCGCAGGGGGGCCAGACCCCAAAAGGCTGAGCCACACAGAGTGGCCCTCGGCAAGGGTTGGAAATTTCGGGGACAGAATGCAGCTTCCTCCAAACAAGTATAGGTAGGGGTTGAGACCCAGGATCCACAGTGTGACATGGCTGCCCCCCAAAGGGGGCAGACCCACCTGGGTGCGGTTCTGGGCTCCATCTTTTGAAGGATTTTAAAACCTTGACAGGTCATCTTCAAAGAGCCAGGGATGTTGACTGAGTCTGGGAAAGAGAAAGTAGGGACAGATTCTCATATGTCTGAGGGACTGTCCCAAATGAGAAAGGCATCCCATGGCAGAAATTGTCCCAGACACGTGGGCCAGAGCTAGGGAGCAGGTGGGTCCCAGGGAAGTGAATCTGAGCTCATTATAGGGAAACCATGAATGTACTCATTTTCTTGATTTAGAAAATAACAAAACAGCGCTACAGGAAATTTAGAAAATGAAACAAAAATCACCCACTATTTCTTCAGCAGGCAGTGACTGTGTTAGCATTTTGGAGTTCACTGCCAGTCTTTTCCCCATCCTTTTCCTTCATTGTCGTTGTCACTGGAGTGTGTGTGCCGTGACACCTTTTTTCATTTAATACTGCGTCTGTGGGCATTTTCTCATGGTGCTACGCGGTCTAAGTAACGTTGCTTCTAAAAAGCTACAGAACATTCTAGGCTGGCCTGCTGCAGCGCCATCACCCATACACTGGAGCGTGTGCATTTTTCCCCTCTGTTGCTGTTGTGGTTGTCGTTACTATGAGTCCCAAAAGCAGCCAGGGTGTTGGAGGGCACAAGCAACTTGGCACCCAACTGAATGTGGGTTCCAGGCCCAGACATGCCACTTAGGCCCAGGGTAGAGGGACCTTAGACAGGTCACTGACCTGCTGAGCCTCGTTGATATAAATAACAGGATGGTAACACCTACTTCAGAGGAAGGTGTAAGGACAGTGTCAACTAACTAACCAAGGGACTCTAAAGTGCCTGGCACAGCCCTTTCTTCACTCCCTCTGTGAGTAGGATTGGCATTGTTGAAGGAGTGCCCACTGCTGGCTGCCTCAACCTGTGGGGAAGGTGCCTGAGCCACGGGCCAATGTTGACTGACCACTCACCTGGCAAAGAGGTGGTCTCCGCCTGAGGAGCCCCTGTGAAACCCCCTGGCCCTGAGGTTCTAGAATACTATGGCCAGTGCCCTTGCCTGCCTTCCCTTCTCCCCATTACCATATGATTGGCTGGCCTAGGACATGGGGCTGGCCCTGGGAAGATGGGCTGCTGGTTAGGGTCCGGGACCTGACTCCACCCATTCCCCTTCCGGTCTCCCAGCATCAGAGCTAAATAGACAAGGCCTCTTCTCTCTCTCTCTCTCTCTTTTTTTTTTTTGTGTGTGTGTGTGTGTGTGTGTGTGTGTGAGATGGAGTTTTGCTCTTGTTGCCCAGTCTGGAGTGCAATGGCGCGATCTTGGCTCACCACAACCTCCGGCTCCCGGTTTAAGCGATTCTCCTGCCTCAGCCTTCCAAGTTGGGATTAGAGGCATGTGCCATCACGCCTGGCTAATTTTGTATTTTTAGTAGCGATGGGGTTTCTCCGTGTTGGTCAGGCTGGTCTCAAACTCCTGACCTCAGGTGATCCACCCACCTCGGCCTCCTGAAGTGCTGGGATTATAGGCGTGAGCCACTGCGCCTCTTCTGTAAGAGCCTGGCTGCCTCCTGCCTCCCAGCTCTGGCTAGGTCAGCCCAGCTTGGCATTTTCCCAGAGGAAATAGAGGCCTGCTTAGCCTGAGACTTAGACAAGGAACCCAGGCATCCTGAGCCCCAGCCCAAGAACAGCCATGCCAGCCTCATCTTCGCACCCTGTTCCAGTAGCCAAGGAAGGGAAAGAAGCTGGGAGATTAAGGGTAGGGGGATTCTGGAGCCTCCCAGAGCTTCCCAGGAGGGAGTTGGACACATCGGGAAACTCATGTTAGCCTCCCCCTCCTCAGCAGGTGTTCCCCAGGTCTAACCTGAGTGTGTATCACTGTGACACACCTGCTTCCTCTTGTTCTACTTTTGTGGAGACCAGGGTAACTGGGAGTGCCCTCCTACAGCCACCCCGTGGGCAGTAGCAGGACACCAGTCTCCTCCTGGCAACCCTGGGCCTAAGAGACTGTAGCCCCAGATGACCCTAGGGTGGCCCAGGACTAACCTAAGGAAGGGGTCCTCCCCCAGGTGGCCCATTCAGTGCAGAGGTCCCTTGGGCACACGACTTCAGACTCCAGCTGCCAAACTTTGGCCTGTGGAGTATCTCCTCCTCCCTGGTCTTAGTGTAAGGGAAGTGGGCATGACAACTGCCCTCCTGTCCCACAGCTTGGGATGGGATGAGGTCACAGGGTGGGGTCCGCCCCAAGATGCTGGCCTGGCCTGGCTCAGATGAGAGCCCTTTGGGTGTTTCTCAGTTTCCCCCGCCCTTGGTTGGGGACAGGATGGGTGGAGGAGCAGGCCACCCCCAACGCCCGGCAGGGAGCACTGCCTCCCTTCCCCCTCTCCTCTGGGTCCCTTCATCCAAGGGCTGGAAATAGAATCCGCTAAGTAATGATTAAAGTCAAATTCAGACCTAAAAATAAAGAGCTGGTGAAGGAAGAGCTGGTGCTCCCTGCATGGCTGAGGGGAGAAGTGAGCAGGGAGAGGCTGGCTTTGGGTGGCTGAGCCCCTGCTCCTCGGGATCAGAAGTACTCCACCAGTTGGGGGGGTGCTCTTTTATCTGCCATGATGTGGCCCATTAAGTGTAGACGGCACCACTCAGGGCAGACTGGCAGGACCCATTAGAAAAAAAATCCCATTTTTCCCATGGGGAAACTGAGGCCCAGAAAGGAGAAGTGGTTTGTCAAGCGACTATTTGAGAGCTCCCCTCAGCAGGCCCCCAGGGACTGGAGGGCCCTGTGCAGCCCAGCCTGCCCTTTCTGCCTGCTCAGTTTCTCTTCCTGGTTTTGAGGTGCTAAGATGAAGTCAGCTTCTCATCACACACTAGCTGTGCACACACCCTCCAACCGCAGCTTCCCTCCACCCCTCCTTCTGTGGTCTGGGCCCAGAGTCGAAGGAACAAGTAGAAGAGAGGCTGCTTGGTGCCCCCCTGGCTGTCCTGATCATGGCATGGTTGTAAGCCTCGTGGGCAGGCGAAAACCTGGGCATCATCTGCCCCCCTTGGACCCTGGCTGCTGCTTCTCAGCCCAGCCTGACACCTGGTCCTCATGCAGACTCGCGCATCTATCTATCTGCAGCTTGTGCTGTCCGTGCTGCAGGGAGACAGGAGGGAAGGATGAAGAGCAAACCCTGAGAGCGCCTCTGCTGGCGGGTAGAGGAGACGAGGAGTCAGTGAGGGGAGGCCTGTGGTTCTCACTTCCTGGCAGAGCTGGTAGGAGCTCTGAAGCTGGGGCTCTGCGTGGGCTGGGGCAGCCTGGAGGGCCTCCTGGAGGGGAAGGTCCTGTGAAAGTTGAGAAGTGTTTGAAGAAGAAGCGTGGTAGGAGGAGAGGTCCTTGTTTGAAGCTTCTGCCCTCTCTAGGGCTGCTGGCTCTTTTCTGTGTGTCCCTCGACAGGCTCTTGGCCTCTCTGAGAGGCTGGGGTATGCAGACAAGCAAGAAGTGGGCACAGAAGTACCTCTGCTTCCCAGAGCAGAACAGCCAAGCTCTGGGCAGACCTCCCCTCGGTGCCCCCCACCTGTCCATTTTCAGGGTGTCGTCTGTCCTGCACAAGGAAAGGTGGGAAGAAAGGTCCCCTAACCAAGGTTCAGACAACTCTGAGCTCAAGTACCCACACAGCTAGTTCCTCCTCTGTCAGAGATCACCAGTCCTTGCCCTATGGGGTGTTTGAAGGATTAAGTAACTAATGCAGTGCCCCAAACCCGGTTGGGTCAGTCAGCTGTAATTCCCGTGTTCTCATTCTGCAGCCCATCCTGCTGGAGGAGTGTACTGGTAACACCCCCATCTCCCTTAAGTAGTAGCAAGTCTGTCCTTTGTGTTGATCCCCACAGCTTTACCTTCTGAGCTGTGTGTTCTGCAGATCCTGGTTCTGAAGTGGGGAGACCAGAAATCTGGGGGCCGAAGTTTTAGACAGCTTATGGGCCTCCAGCCGTCAGTCTCCCCACCTAGAATGTGGCCAGGAGACTTCCGGGTGAGGGACAAGAACATGACTTTGAAGGGTCCATTGAAGGCTAGTGCTGAGAGGCTATATGCAAATGCAGGCAAATGAAGATGCAAAGACCACATCCTGTGCTAAGGGGGTGGGGGAGCAGAGGCCTGGGTTAGGGCCCTGGGGAGGCCCAGAGTCCCCATTGCCCAGCGCACATAGGTAATTAGGCTCCTGAGCGGTAATTAGAAACCTTTCTGGGCCAGGAATGGCAGCCTCAAGCCGCAGCGGTGCCTGGGGAGTAGGCTCCCCATTAGCCTGCTCTAACCCCAGCCCCCACCTCTCCCAAACCACTAGACGGGATTTCCGGTCCCACTGAACCATTGGGGGCAGGGGAAAAAAAGCCAGTGTGTTGCTATAATTTGGTATTTATCCATTAAATCCGCCCTTCTCCTTAGGTCAGGGTGCTGACGGGAGCCCCGGGATGGGGGTAGGGCAGCGTGCCCTGGAGCCAGAGCAGGCATTCTTCTGTTCCTTCGTAACCGCCCCGGGAGGTGTAGGCATCTCCAAGACCCTGGCGCCCAATTCTGCTGCTGCTCACCCTGAGACACCTGTGCAGTGGGGGTGCTGAGGGACCACCAGCGCAGGCTGCGGGGGTCAGTGGAAGCCCTCGGGCACCCTTCCTTGCCTGATGTGTGGTGGGGAATGTCACAGTGCCTCAGCCTGGTGTCCTCTGCAGAACCAGAGGTGGAGCTGATTTTATTGCTGCCAAACTTGCCCAACTGCTGGTGGGTGCCCCGCCCTCCTCAGGTGCACTGCCCTTTGGAGGGGCGGGCCCAAATCTGAAACTTAATTCTGCCTGTATCTGTACTATGACCTGTAGGCCCTGCTCGGAGGTTCCCTGGGCCCCCATCCTGAACCTTCTTCAGTCTTCATTAACTCGCTCTGTACCACAGTTTGCAGTCTTAATCCTGGTTTACTTCAAGGCGCCCCTCTCTCAGTCACTTTCCCCTAAAATCCTTCTAGCTCCTGCTCCCCTCACCCATCTTCCTGGAAGCCTTCCCGGGTGGCCCCTGTCTCACAATCTATTGAGGCACTGAACATACCAGGCCATGGCTGACCATCCAGTAACCAGGAGGACAGGAGCCGGGTCTGCATTTTGTGGTGGTTCCCAGCATCCAGCCCTGGCTTGTGCACAGAGGAGAGGTGTGTGAGTGGTGACCTTGGGTCCCCAAAGGCAGGACCTCTTGAGTCCTTTCCTTCTCCACCCGGATATCCTGGCCTACCAAGCATGGCTCTGGGCACACAGGAAGGCTTCTAAAACACTGGCTCAAAGAATGAGAAGGCAAGGTGGACCTTGCTGTTGCCTGTTTTGCCTCCAGTGGCTGTCCCCATCCCCCAGAGCATCCAGCTAGGTCCTGTGGCAGCACCAGAATCTCCGGGGGCCAGGGCCCTGAGTTCCCCCAGGTCTTTTGTGCACTTCCCTTTTCAGTGGGTATTTTTAGCTGGGCGTAAACAGTTACTGAAGGCTCCCACGCCCCATTAGGCAGCAGAGTTTTGGCAAGGGGGAAGGGCAAGGGAGCCCCTTGACCTCCCCTGGCCCTCAGCACGTGCCTGGCCTTGGGGGTCTACAGCTGCTTCCAGGGTAGGAAAAGGGCAGCCTGGGAGTTTCTGGGCTCCCAGTTCTTTCTCCCCACTCCTTGTCAGCCTGGGCTCACAAGAAAGGCTGCCTGAGGCTGCAGCCACTGACCTCAGCGCTTGGGCACAATGCCAGCCTGTTCCCGGGACCCCAGCACAAGGGCTGCTGGGAGCCGGGTTTAGGGCAGGAAGTCAGAGTGAAGCACTGGTCCTGCCACATCCCAAGCCCCTTGTCCCCTAGCCCTGCGGGAATGGGGTGACAGCTGCTGTCCCTTTGGGGTTAACTATAGTCCTATTGGTTATGAGACCTCGGTGTGGTACAGCCAGCCTGGCGTCCCCTTTTTTTCATTCGTTCATTCATTCATTCATTCAGCACTCATTTACTGAGCAGCCGCTTTGGGCCCAGCCCATGCAGACGTGAGTCAGACCCTCACTTTCCCCCTGCAGAGCTCCCAGTCCACCCTAAACCACAGGCCACAACCAGTGAGGTTCTCACTGGAGCACGGGGATGTGTGAGAGGCCTTGGAGGCCTCGGCAGCCAACACAGCTGGGGACCCAAGGAATTCTCCAGAGAGAGGTGATTTACAAAAAGTTTCTTATTTCCAGTTTTAAGGGGGAAGGTAATAGATGCATGTGGCTTTAAAAAAATAATAATAATTTTTTTAAAAGCCCAAAAGGACAAAATAGCAAATGAACAGTAAAAAGTAAGTTTCTCTTGAACTTGATCTCACTTTCCCTTCTCATCCTAGAGGCAACCTCTGTTACCAGTTTCCTCTGTCTTTCCAAAGATAATCGAGGCATATTTGAGTTTAGGGAGGTGTTGCATTAATACCTCTTTAAAAACACAACTTGTAGTATTCCATAGAGAACCTGCACCTGGCTTTTTTTTTCACAGCCTTTTATTTTGAGTATTTGAAACCTACCAAAAAGTTGAAGTAATAGTATAATGAATATTCATATATCCTTCATGCAGATTTGCCAGTTCTTAACATTTTGCCACATTTACTCTATCTCTTCTTTTATCTACATAGACATATGTGTGTATGTATTTTTTGCTGATTTGAGTGTTAGTTGTAGGCATTGCATCTTTCACCCTAAGAACTTTAGCGTGTATCTCTTATATAATCACAATGTCATGATCACACTTAAGAAAATTGACATTAATTCCATATTATCTACTATGTCCATTTCCCCTCTCCCCAAGTGATTTTTATAGCTGTCCCCCCGACCACCCCTTGATATAGAATTCAATTCAAGATCATTTATTGAATCTTGTCATGTTTCTCTAGTGTCCTGTTCAATCTAGAACATTCTCCAGCCCTTTTTTTGTTTTGCTCTTTTATGACATTGACATGAAGAGTCCGGGCCAGTTGTTCTGGATTTGTCTGATTGCTTCTCCCTGGTTGGAGTCAGGTGGAACAGCTCTGGCAGGAACGCCCCCCCGGGCAATGCAGAGTCCTCCTCCAGGAGGCACTTAGTGTCCATGCGTCACCTTGCTGGTGATGCTTCACTGGATCACTTGGTTCCGGGGTTGTCCGCACGTCTCCCTGTAGTGCAGGTGCTCCTTCCTGTTTCCAATTAGCCTGTGGGATGGGACTTGGAAGCTGTGTCTGTTCTGCTCCCCTGGCAACTTTTTCTTCAATGACTTGAGCTGGTGTTTTGCCATTTTCCATACTCTATCATGGGGAGTGTTCAGTATCGGCATCTAGAGATCTCCCCTGGCCCCATCACAGCTAGAGCTATGCTGTCCCCTTTCAGGGACATCTTGTAATTTATCCACCCAGCCCCCAACTGATGGACATAAAGGCTGTCTCCCCATCATCTCCTGCTACTACAGACAGCACTGCAGGGACTGTCCTGCTGTGTTTTTTTAAGGCATGGGTACTCCAGAAGCAGTTGCTCAGCTGCACCCCCAAGGTTGAGTGGAAGTCCCTCGGTAAAGGAGGAGGAGAGAGTGTGAAGGGAATGGCAAGGCGGGGAGGGAGACAGGGCACAGGTGTCCTGGCAACAGCAGATGGGAAACAGGTCTGGCTAAGGTACCAGAAGCCAACAAGTCCCAGAAAGGTCAAGTGACTTTCCCAAGGTCACACAGCAAGTTGATGGCAGAGCTGGGTACAGGACTCAGAGCATCTGACACCCAGGACGATGTTCCTGCACTGTTCCATAGAGTAGCCCGACTCTTAAGTTTAAATAACCCCAGGAAGGACCCCCTCTCTGTGCCTGACCCCCGCTGGGTTGTAGAGGCCTAAGTTTGCAGTAGCTCCTCCCAGCCACTCTGGCTGTCAGCCTCTGACCTGCAGTGGGAGGGTCTCACCTTCTGGAGATGTTTTAAGGAGGGGACCCCGGCCTAGGCACTAGCTGGGAAGCCACTGAGCCATCTTGTCTGCGGCCACTGACGTCAGTGCTTGGGCACAATGCCAGCCTGTTCCCGGGACCCCAGCACAAGGGCTACTGGGAGCCGGGTTTGGGGCAGGAAGTCAGCGTGAAGCACTGGTCCTGCCACATCCCAAGCCCCTTGTCCCCTAGCTCTGTGGGGGTGGGGTGACAGCTGCTATCGCTTTGGGGTTAACTATAGTCCCTTTGGGGTTAACTATAGTCCCATTGGTTATGGGACCTCAGTGTGATGTAGCCAGGCTGGATTCCCCCTTTTGTTTGTTCATTTATTCATTCATTCAGGGGTCTCATGACCCCACCAGGGAGGAGCCGTCCAAGAGAGTTAGCAGCTCCCACTTGCAAGATGTCTGTGGCAAGGCAGGCACTGTTCTGGTGCTGAGAGCTCAACTCCAGTCCTCACAGCAGCCCCCAGAGCCAAGGAGTATCACCAGTCCATTGCACAGATGGGGAAGCTGGGTTCTAGAGTCACAGCCAGCAGAGTAAAGGTGATGAGTTTAGCCCTCTTCCCTGTTTCCAGACCCTCTGAGGCCTTCAGAGCCCAGCTCCTTGAGGCAGCCCACCCCGACCGCTCCTAGGCTTACCCTTCCCTGAGCACCGCCCCTGTGCCCCTCATAGCTGCTTCTGCCTCCTCCCTCCTCCCTCCTCTCCCTTGCCCCTAGGCTAGTGTGGTCCCCATGGCAACTCCTGGGGCCTGTCCGGCAGGGAGGCACGGGGCTATGGGGAGGGCTGGCTCAGCAGCTCAGGAGTTTGACACCTGAGGGGGACAGAATGCTCACTCAAGGTGTGGCCCTAGGGACCCCCGCCTTGCCCCTGTGGGCCTCACTTGGGGTTCTCATCTGCAAAATGGGGATAATAATAGCTTCTCTGTCTCAGAGTTGTTAGAGGATGTGATGAGCCATAACGTGCCAAGGACAGGGCCTGGCACAGAATAAGTGCTCAGAAAACAGGGCCTGTTATTATTTTTATTATTATAATCAAGGCAGTGGGGAGGCGGCGGTGGCAGTAGCTGTAGGCCAGGAAGGGAGTGTTTGCAAACTGACAGCTGGAAGGGTGACTAACAGCGCAGCAGCCTCCGCGCCCCCCTGTGGTGGCAGGGAGTTTGGGGAGGAAGGGGGAGGCATGGGGATGTGGAATGCTAGCAGGGCCCCTATTCAGAAGGACCTAAAGGTTGGGGGCCCAGCCAGCCCTAGTGGGACCCTAATTCAAGCTCTGTCACCCCTAACTAGCTATGTGACTTCAGGCAAATTGTTCAACCAGTTGAGCCTCAGTTTCCGCTTCTGTGAAATGGGGGTAAGAGGGTTAGAAGAGCTCACAATCCTCCTTCCCTCCCCGCCACCCCCACCCCCACAGCTTACAGTCCACAGGAGGCAGGGGCAAGGGGTCCTCACCACCCCCACCCTCACAGCTTACAGTCCACAGGAGGCAGGGGCAAGGGGTCCCCGCCACCCCCACCCTCACAGCTTACAGTCCACAGGAGGCAGGGGCAAGGGGTCCCCGCCACCCCCACCCCCACAGCTTACAGTCCACAGGAGGCAGGGGTAAGGGGTCCCCGCCACCCCCACCCCCACAGCTTACAGTCCACAGGAGGCAGGGGCAAGGGGTCCCCGCCACCCCCACCCTCACAGCTTACAGTCCACAGGAGGCAGGGGCAAGGGATGGTTCCTGTACTTAGTGGTGACTGAGTCATGTGGATGGAGGCAGGTTTCAGGCTCATCCTCCTTGGGCCTCAGTGTCCCTGCCTAAACAGCAGGATTGATGGCCTGGCCTCTGGGGATAGAAAGGGCCCTGTATTCTGGGAGGAACGGAAGCTCTTTCATCCAGGGGATGGGGCAGGGGCGCACCAGACATTTCCAAGTTCAGGGTTTCATTCCAGCCCCTCCTCAGCCAGCTTGCAGGAGATACCTGTCCTCCCCTTCAGGGTAAGCAAGACTTAGAAGGGTTGAGTCACTCACCCCAAGTCGCACAGTCAACAGAGCCAGGTATTAAGCCCAGGCCTGACTATAGAGCCAGGTGTGCGGCCTGGAAGTGTTGGTTCTCCCTGGCCGTCTCCTCCCCAGCTCCTTCTGCTCTCCATGATCACATGCCCCCCTGCTGAGGCCCCATCGCCCTTGGAGTCAAACCCTGGTTCCTCACATTGGCAGTGGAAGTCCCCCTGCTGCCTGGCAGAGTTTATGCCAGGCCCACTTGAAACCATCCCCTACAGTGTCCCCTGAGCAGCGGTGCTCAAGGTGGACTCTGGAAGTGTGTGGGGTCCTAGAGCCCCAGATGGGCAGGGTCTGCCTTCCCGCTTCCCTCACCATCGGCTTCCACCTGGGCCAGTTTCTCATACTATGCCAGTCCCCTGCCTGACACCTTTGCTCAGACTGCTGCATCAACCTGGGGTGCCTTCCCTGGCCCGCCCTCTGCCTGTGTAAGCCCTGCAATCTTCAGGGCTCAGCCCCAGAGCTCCCTCCTCCAGGGAGCCTGTCTGAGCTCTGCAGTCCGTGCCTACTTCACACCCCCAGCACTTTGCACTAAAATGTCTTCTCCCGCGCCACTGCACTCCAGCCTGGGCAACAGAGCAAGACTCCGTCGCAATAATAACAATAATAATAAAATAAAATGTCTCCTTCCACTGGGGTAGGTAGCAATATTTGTGACTGTCAGCCTAGCCCCCAGACCTCATCCACTGTATCAAAGAGCCCAGCAAAGAGGCTCATGGAGGAGTTTCTCTTCTAACACACTGTGACCACGAAGATGCCACTGGCCCTTTCTCACCCTCAGTTTCCTCACCCGTAGAAAGGAAACAGTAGTTCCAGCCCCTCTGCTTCCTGAGACAGGTCCAAGGGGGCTCTGGGCTGGGATTACAAAGTATGTGTGTGCAGACGGGTGGGTTGCTGCTCTCAGGGAATGGGGTTGGCTAGGGTAGCTTTTTTGGGGAGTCAACTTTATTGAAGTAAATATACGGTTGACCCTTGAACAACACAGGGGTTGAGGGCATCAACCTCCTCCCTGCAGTCAAAAAATCATATATTAACTTTTGACTCCTCAAAAACTTAACTACTAATAGCCTATTGTTGTCAGAAAGCCTTGTAGATAAAGTTGATTGACACTCATTTTGTTTGTTATATATATTATATACTGTATTCTTACAATAAAGTAAGCTAGTGAAAATAAAATAAGAAAATCATATGGCCGGGTGCAGTGGCTCACACCTGTAATCTCAGCACATTGGGAGGCTGGGGCAGGCGGATCACTTGAGGCCAGGAGTTCAAGACCAGCATGGCCAATATGGTGAAACCCTGTATCTACTAAAAATACAAAAATTGGTCTGCTGTGTTGGCGCACGCCTATGATCCCAGCTACTCAGGTGGTCAAGGCATGAGAATCACTTGAACCTGGGAGGCGGAGGTAGTTGCAGTAAGCCGTGAGTCACCCCACCACTGCGTTCCAGCCTGGGCGACAGAGTCTTGCTGTCTCAAAAAAAAAAAGAAAGAAAATCATAAGGAAGAGGAAATATATCTACTATTCTTTAAGTCGAAGGGGATCATTATGAAGGTCTTCATCCTTCACATTGAGTAGGCTGAGGAGGAAGAGGAAGAGTTGGTCTTGCCGTCACAGAGGTGGCAGAGGTGGAGGCGGAGGAGGTGGAAAGGAAGGCAGAAAAGGCAGGCACACTCAGTGTAACTTACTGAAAAACATCCAGCCACGTGTGGTGGCGCATGCCTGTGGTAATCGCTACTTAGGAGGCTGAGGCAGGAGGATTGGCTGAACCCAGGGGTTTGAGGCTGCTGTGAGCTATGATCACGTCACTGCACTCCTGCCTGGGCAACAGAGTGAGACCCTTTCTCAAAAAAAAAAAAAAAAGAAAAGAAAAAGAAAAAATCCATGTGTAACTGGACCTGCGCAGTTCAGACCCGAGTTGTTCAAGTGTGCACTATACACCAAAAAGTGTGCCGATCGCAATGGTACAGCTCAGTGAATTGTCACAGAGTGGACCCACTTCATGATTGGGCTCAGACAGTCTGAAAACCAACCCCAGAGGTCCCCTTGCATTCCTTCCAGTCTCCCTGTCCCAAGAGCAGCTATCCTGACAGCATGGATTAGTTTGGCCAGATTTTGAACTTTATTCAAATGGAATTACATAATATGTACTTTCCTGTGTCTGGCTTCTTGGTTAACATTTTATTTATTTATTTATTTATTCATTCATTTAGAGGCAGGGTCTCACTCTGTCGCCCAGGCTGGAGTGCAGTGGTGTGACCTTGGCTCACTGTAGCCTTGACCTCCCCAGGCTCAAGCGATCCTCCCACCTCAGCCTCCTGAGTAGCTGGGAGTACAAGCACGCAGTACCACCCCCGGCTAATTTTTGTATCTTTAGTAGAGACCGGGTTTCGCCATGTTGCCGAGACTGGTCTTGAACTCCTCCTGGGTTTAAGCCATCTGTCTGCCTCAGCTTCCCAAAGTGCTGAGATTACAGGTGTGAGCCACTGTGCCTAGCCATCATTATGTTTTGAAATTTATCGGGATTGGCCAGGCACGGTGACTGGCACCTGTAATCCCAGCATTTTGGGAGGCCGAGGTGGGTGGATCACCTGAGGTCAGGAGTTCGAGACCAGCCTGGCCAACATGGTGAAACCCCATCTCTACTGAAAATACAAAAATTAGCTGGTTGTGGTGGTGCATGCCTGTAATCCCAGCTACTCAGGAGGTGGAGGTTGCAATGAGCCGAGATTGTGCTACTGCACTCCAGCCTGGGTGACAGAGCCAGACTCCATCTCAAAAAAAGAAAAGAAAAGAAATTCATCAGTGTTATTTAATGGTTGGAGTTTGTGTTGGAGTTTATTTAATGGTTGGTGTTTACTGCTGTACGTAGTCCCTTTTGTGAATATGCCACTGTTTATCCATTTTCCTCTGGATCGGCATCTGGGCAGCTCCCAGTTTGAGGTTTATTACAAAGCATGCCACTTGTAGCCCTCCTGTGCCTGTCTAGGCAGACACATGTCCTGTGTCCTCTCGGTGTGTACCTAGAAGTGGGGTTGGTATATGTTTAGAGATGCTACCTGGGCGGGATTTTGCAGGTGAAGGACCCAAGGACCCACAGAGCATAAGGGACTTTCTCAGATCACATAGCCCCTTCTCAGAGCTGCTCCGGGGCCCCTTTCCCCACAGAACAGTAGCTGGAACCAGGCCTGGGGCTGACGGTCAGGTGTCCATTGTCCCACTAGCCCCCTTTGCTCCTTTCTATCAGTCCTGGAAGGCCCCCTGTGGCCTTAGGGTTGGTGGCTCCCTCTGCCCCTGGGGGTCCTCAGCCCTCATGCTCCTCTACCCAGTACCGTCAGCCTGCCAGGACTGGAGAGAATGGCCCATGTGTCAAATCCCAGCGCAGGACACTCTTGGCACCTGTTCATGCCCAGTGAGGAGCCAGATCTCAGCAGTTGGGGGGCATTTCTTCACACCCCTCCTCAGTCTTCATGCTCTTCCCCACAGCTCTAATGGTACCAAGTGACAGGTTGGCTTTACTGTGACTCGGGGACGCCAGAGCTCCTGAGAAGATGTCAGCAATACAGGTACCACAGGGGTGAGGGTCTGGGACATGCAAGCATTCCCACCAGCCCCAGCGGGGTGCTTAGCAGAGGAGAGAGGATGCAGCTTAGATCAACCCACTCCCCTTTTTCCCAGCACTCAGTCAGGTACAGGCCTGGGGAAGTGGGGGAGTCTCAACAGGAAGGGACCCAGGGCTCGTTCTCCGGGCAGAGCACCTCACCCAGGCTCACAGAGGCCAGCTCAGAGGCTGTGACCACGAGGGTGCGCCAGCAGGTGGCTGGAGGGGGCCCAGGCTGCACCCGCCCACGTGTCACCTGCCTTGCAGGCCGCCTGGCCATCCGGTACAGAATGTATTGCCAAGTACAACTTCCACGGCACTGCCGAGCAGGACCTGCCCTTCTGCAAAGGAGACGTGCTCACCATTGTGGCCGTCACCAAGGTAATCAGGTGACGCCCACCCCACCATCCCACTGCTGGGCCTTCCCTCTGCAGGGGGAGGTGGGCCTGAGAGCATGTCTGGGCTGCCCTCTCCCCAGGACCCCAACTGGTACAAAGCCAAAAACAAGGTGGGCCGTGAGGGCATCATCCCAGCCAACTACGTCCAGAAGCGGGAGGGCGTGAAGGCGGGTACCAAACTCAGCCTCATGCCGTGAGTACCACGAGGAGGGGTTGGGGAGGGAAGGGGCCTTGGTCCTCCTGAAGGAGCATCAGGAGCAAGCAGGGAGGCCAGAGTGAGGGGCTTGGGTGTTGGGGAGGGCCTCAGGAGGAGGTGCAGGGTGCGGGTGCGGGACCTCACAGAGCAGGGCTGGGGGCAGAGGCAGGAGGGTGGCAAAGAAGGGACAGGGAGCAGAAGAAGAGGGCCTCAAATGCCTGACTGAGCGAGTGCGAGCCACGGGTGCCAAGCAGAGGGAACCCCTTCAGAAAGGGGAGCCAGGGTCAGTACCTTTGGGCCACCATGACCTCCAGCCCTGCTGCTCCCCAGTTGGTTCCACGGCAAGATCACACGGGAGCAGGCTGAGCGGCTTCTGTACCCGCCGGAGACAGGCCTGTTCCTGGTGCGGGAGAGCACCAACTACCCCGGAGACTACACGCTGTGCGTGAGCTGCGACGGCAAGGTGGAGCACTACCGCATCATGTACCATGCCAGCAAGCTCAGCATCGACGAGGAGGTGTACTTTGAGAACCTCATGCAGCTGGTGGAGGTGAGCTGGGGGGTACAGAGCCTTGCTCCCACCCTCACACACCCTAAACCCATCTGGGGCCCTGGCTTCTAGCTCCAGCCCCACTGCTTCTGCGTGGTGACCAGCCATGTGGGGCAACTTCTGTGAGCCCTTGTTTCCTCACACCTTGGTGGAGCAGCTGCTGCGTGCCAGGACTCACCTCTGACCCCACAGTGCCACCATGAGGAGGGGAGCCTTATCCTCATTTTATAGACCAGGAGTTGAAGGTTCAGAGCAGTTAGGGGACCCACCTGAGGTCCCACAGATATAATTTGGTGCCAGGACTAGAATCTGAGTCTGTCTGATCCCAGAGCTAACTTTCCTCCAGCCACTCACAGACCTGCATGCTCAGAAGCGTGTGCAGAAACATGAGCCATGCGCCTTGATCGCCAGGGCCCCTGAGGCTCTCGCACCTGCACGGACATGCCCACAGGTCCCTGCAGCTTCCCAGGCCAGCTCTGCCAGCCCTGGCCAGGCCACACCTGGCATCCGGTAGCCACAGGAAGCCTCCCGTGTCCCTCTGTATTCACTCTTATCTCCCTCCCCTACTGGCCTGGCTTGGCCTGTGGCAGGTGAGGGTGGGGTCCTGGGCACTCCTGGCTAGAGGCTGGTTTCAGGACTGAGCCATGGGTTGCCCTCTGCATCAGATACCCATGGGGCCCAGAGTGGTAGCAGCAGCTGAGTGTCCAGCAACCGCATGTAGGGTGGCATGGGAAATGGGCCATACGTCATAATCTGGGACTTCCCTAACCCCTGCCCTACCAGAAATGGGGAGCCCTCCCCACTCAGTGACTCCAGGCTAGGCGGGGCTGGCCTCTGCCGCCCTCTGGTGGTCAGGCCTGGACGGTGCATATGGGGCACCTTGGGCTGTCTCTGAGCACCCTGCCCCCCACACCCTGCAGCACTACACCTCAGACGCAGATGGACTCTGTACGCGCCTCATTAAACCAAAGGTCATGGAGGGCACAGTGGCGGCCCAGGATGAGTTCTACCGCAGTGAGTGCACCCCACCCCAGACCTCTTGCCCACCCACCTCCTCCCACGCAGGCTTCCTGGCACTGCCCCATCCAGGAACCTCCAGAGAACCCCAGTGCCTGATAGTCCAGTCAGCCTCTGTCATCCCAGCCATGTCCCTAGTGGCCTCCAGGCCCTCACTGGCCCCTCCCCACAGGCGGCTGGGCCCTGAACATGAAGGAGCTGAAGCTGCTGCAGACCATCGGGAAGGGGGAGTTCGGAGGTGAGCTGGGCCGGGCCCCCTGGGGGGGTTCTGAGGGACTCCGAACTTGGGAACAAGACCACCTCTCTGCCCCCAGACGTGATGCTGGGCGATTACCGAGGGAACAAAGTCGCCGTCAAGTGCATTAAGAACGACGCCACTGCCCAGGCCTTCCTGGCTGAAGCCTCAGTCATGACGTGAGTGGGGGCGGGGTAGGGGGGAGGTTGGCCTAGGTTAGGAGTGAGGCACCAGCTTCCCCTTTCTGACCACTCTCGTCCTGCCCCAGGCAACTGCGGCATAGCAACCTGGTGCAGCTCCTGGGCGTGATCGTGGAGGAGAAGGGCGGGCTCTACATCGTCACTGAGTACATGGCCAAGGTGGGCACCTGCCGAGACCCGGCACTCAGGCCTTCCAACTGCCCCGAAACCCCCACTGTGCTCTAGGGCCCCTGCTCCCTCAGTCCCCCGACCCCAAGTGAGCTTTTAGGTCACCAGGGCTGGGCTTTTGTCCTGGTTTACCATTCATTGACTGTAACATTGGACAAATCATGTCACCTCCAAGCCTCAGCATCACATCTGGGAAATGGAGATAATAACAACTTAGAGATTTGTGAGAGTCAAGGGATAAGGCATGAATAACACAGAGCAGTGTCCGGCATGGATGTTCTGGCCCCTCCCCACTCCTTCCCTGTCTCACACCTCCCTGGAGTGTCAACACCCACCCGGCCCCAGCGTGCTGTGTGAGAGGGCTGCAGGGCACGTCTGACCTCGGCCTGGTCTGTCCTTCCTGCCCCCAGGGGAGCCTTGTGGACTACCTGCGGTCTAGGGGTCGGTCAGTGCTGGGCGGAGACTGTCTCCTCAAGTTCTCGCTGTGAGTGAAGCAGCCTCTTGGATGGGTAGGGTTTGAGGGGTACCCTGCCCTGCTATGGGAGCCCCAGTCTGAGGGGACATGTGGCTGGCCTACCCCCAGAGATGTCTGCGAGGCCATGGAATACCTGGAGGGCAACAATTTCGTGCATCGAGACCTGGCTGCCCGCAATGTGCTGGTGTCTGAGGACAACGTGGCCAAGGTCAGCGACTTTGGTCTCACCAAGGAGGCGTCCAGCACCCAGGACACGGGCAAGCTGCCAGTCAAGTGGACAGCCCCTGAGGCCCTGAGAGAGAAGGTGGGGCTGGCCTCCCCTGGGGCCTACAGAGGTGGGCAGGAGTCCTGGGTCACTCCCCACCCTGGAGTCCCAGGATCTGACGCTGCTTCTTCCATCCACATGGCAGAAATTCTCCACTAAGTCTGACGTGTGGAGTTTCGGAATCCTTCTCTGGGAAATCTACTCCTTTGGGCGAGTGCCTTATCCAAGAATTGTGAGTATGGGTACTGGGATCAGGGTGGCTCTTGGAGCACCGGAGGGGTTGGCAGGGGCGTGAGCCTCCTTGGGCCCTGCCTCCCCAATCAAGGCCTAGAAGCCTCAGGCCTGCCCTGGGGAGCTCACAGGCCACTCTCCGGGCCTGGGTCTGCGGCAAAGCTGATGGGCATCCCTGAGAGGCTGCTGGGTAGGTGTCCTCTCTGAGGCCAGGGCCTGGACTGACTCCTGCCTCCCCCTGGCCACAGCCCCTGAAGGACGTCGTCCCTCGGGTGGAGAAGGGCTACAAGATGGATGCCCCCGACGGCTGCCCGCCCGCAGTCTATGAAGTCATGAAGAACTGCTGGCACCTGGACGCCGCCATGCGGCCCTCCTTCCTACAGCTCCGAGAGCAGCTTGAGCACATCAAAACCCACGAGCTGCACCTGTGACGGCTGGCCTCCGCCTGGGTCATGGGCCTGTGGGGACTGAACCTGGAAGATCATGGACCTGGTGCCCCTGCTCACTGGGCCCGAGCCTGAACTGAGCCCCAGCGGGCTGGCGGGCCTTTTTCCTGCGTCCCAGCCTGCACCCCTCCGGCCCCGTCTCTCTTGGACCCACCTGTGGGGCCTGGGGAGCCCACTGAGGGGCCAGGGAGGAAGGAGGCCACGGAGCGGGAGGCAGCGCCCCACCACGTCGGGCTTCCCTGGCCTCCCGCCACTCGCCTTCTTAGAGTTTTATTCCTTTCCTTTTTTGAGATTTTTTTTCCGTGTGTTTATTTTTTATTATTTTTCAAGATAAGGAGAAAGAAAGTACCCAGCAAATGGGCATTTTACAAGAAGTACGAATCTTATTTTTCCTGTCCTGCCCGTGAGGGTGGGGGGGACCGGGCCCCTCTCTAGGGACCCCTCGCCCCAGCCTCATTCCCCATTCTGTGTCCCATGTCCCGTGTCTCCTCGGTCGCCCCGTGTTTGCGCTTGACCATGTTGCACTGTTTGCATGCGCCCGAGGCAGACGTCTGTCAGGGGCTTGGATTTCGTGTGCCGCTGCCACCCGCCCACCCGCCTTGTGAGATGGAATTGTAATAAACCACGCCATGAGGACACCGCCGCCCGCCTCGGCGCTTCCTCCACCGAGCCTGCTTGTCCTGCCCGGTCGTCCCTCCCATGCCATCTTGTCCATCCCCCTGTGTCTGTGAGTGGGGCTGGGTGGGGAGCATGGCTGGGAGATGTAGCCGCCGCTTTGTGTCAGCTGCACGAGTGAGTGTCCTTGTGTCTGCCCTCCGGGAAGTGCTCACCAGTTGCCCTGCTGCCGCCAGGCCCAGCTCCGGGGCCCCATCTACAGGATGCTGCCTGGGGGTTCCAGCTGCCTCCCCTGCTGTTTTCAAGCCTGCCGCACAAGGAGGGCTACAGCTAGGGATGGGAGGGAGCCCAGGCCTGCACAGATGGGAACGGGGTTCTAGTCAAGCCCCCTGTGCAAGAGAGAGAAAAAGCAATGGTGGGCCCAGTGGGCTTCCTCTGGCAGGAGGAGAAGTGTCTCATGCCTGAGAAGATGCTGACCCGGAGAGGGACGGGAAAGCTCCTGGTGGTTCTCCAGTTTCACCCACGATGTCACAGCTTTGCCCTGTCCCCACCCCTGCCATGTGCCAGGCCTTAGGTCATACCAGACTTGGCAGGGGTTGAGGATGCAGGGCAGAGGGGAGATCCTGGCACCTTCCAGTCAGGGGGAGTCCCTCCCCACCCCACCTTGTCGGGGAACATATAGAGAATGTGGACCAGCCATGAGATTTTCTCCCCTCACTCAGGTTGTCCAGGGGCAGTGGTCAGTACAGAACCTCTGAAGGTGTGAGGAGGCTTCATGTATTCCCTGAGGCAGGCAGGTGGGGTGTTCCCCTGTCCTGTTGTGGCCCCGACCCTTCCTCTACCAGCCAACAGGACCTGAAATCCAGGAAGATCTGACTTCGAAGTCTACCTTGTGTCTGTTCCTCAGCCCCACTGTAGTTCCATCTACCAGTGCAACAGCCTCCTCGCCGCCTCCACTTCATCTTCTCTGCATACTGCCAGACTTAATTTTTCTAAAACTACACCATTCATTCAACAACAAATATTTGAATACCTGCTGTTTGCTAGGACTGAGGTTCATCAATAAGCAAAACACACCCTGTGGAGTCCACAGTTGGGAAGACAATCAAATAGTCACATATAGACAGTGACAAACTTAAGTGCTACATGAGGAACACAAAACATGGGAATCTTTGTAGATCAGGGAGGGCTTCTGGAAAGAAGCAGCGTTTAAGCTGAGATCAGAAGCAGAATGAACAGGTTGTATGGCAGGAGTTAGCAGCATTCCAGGAAGAGATGCTGAGACTGGAGGGAGGGCAGCTTTGTCTCAGATCTCCAAGAAAGTGGGTGAGGATGGACGAACAGCCAGGCCTGAGAGGTGAGGCTGTGGCTGTGGCAAAGACTTAGCTTTTATCAAACAGAGAATAATGGGAAGCCAATGACAAGTTTGATCAGGAGGGTGAGATGTCAGATAATTTTTGTTTGTTTGTTTGTTTTTGAGAAGAAGTCTTACTCTGTCACCCAGGCTGGAGTGCAGTGGTGCCATCTCAGCTCACTGCAACCTCCAGCTCCTGGGTTCAAGCGATTGTCTTGCCTCAGCCTCCCAAGTAACTGGGATTACAACAGGCATGCGCCACCATGCCTGGCTAATTTTTGTATTTTTAGTGGAAACGGGGTTTCGCCGTGTTGCCCAGACTGGTCTCAAACTCCTGACCTCAGGTGATCCACCACCTCGGCCTCCCAAAGTGCTGGGATTACAGGCGTGAGCCACTGCACGCGGCCCAGATATGTGTTTTTGAAATCACCCTAGCTACTGGTAGAGGAGTTTCAGAGAGTACAGTGAGGACTGGTCCAGATGAGAGACGGTCTCCAGAGAGATTTAGCTCCAGAGCTAAAATTGACCGAACTTGGCTATGGATTCAGTGTGAGAGTGGAGGAGAGGGAAGGGCCGTAGCAAGGCCTGATTGAGCAGAACGGATGCAGGGAGGGCAGCAGGGGGCATCTGCTGAGCGAGGACAGGAGACTCATGCTTAGGAGGGAGTATCATGAGCTCTGTTAAGGACATGTTAAGGTTTTTGTTGTTTTGAGACAGGGTCTCGTTCTGACACCCAGGCTGGAGTCCAGTGGTGCAAACACAGCTCACTACAGCCTTGACCTCCCAGGCTGAAGCAGTCCTCCTGCCTCAGCCTCTCAAGTAGCTGGGACTACAAGTGCCTGCCACCATGACTGGCTAATTTTTAAATTTTTTGTAGAGACGAGGTCTCCCTATGTTGTCTAGGCTAGCCTTGAACGCCTGGGCTCAAGCAGTCCTCCCACCTCGGCCTCCCAAAGTGTTGGGATTACAGGCGTGAGCCACCACACCAAGCCACACATTGAGTTTTAAGTGAGGCTTTGAAACTGCCAAGAAGCTGGGCGCGGCGGCTCACGCCTGTAATCCCAACACTTCAGGAGGCCAAGGCCAGTGGATCACTTGAGGTCAGGAGTTAGAGACCAGCCTGACCAACATGGTGAAACCTCGTCTCTACTAAAAATATAAAATTAGCTGGGCGCAGTGGTGCACACCTGTAATCCCAGCTACTCTGGAGGCTGAGGCAGGAGAATTGCTTGAACCCAGGAGGCAGAAGTTGCAGTGAGCCGGGATCATGCCACTGCACTCCAGCCTGGGCAACAAGACCAAAACTGCATCTCTCAAAAAAAAAAAAGGTCAAGAAGAGGAGGTTGACCATGCCAGTGCCATGTCGTAAAAGCCAAGGAAAAAGAACTTCAAGAGGAGGAAGCCACCAGGGTCCCCGCCTCCCAGAAGGCACAGAGATGGAGGCTGAGTCTGCCCCTTGGTTTTTATTTATGTATTTATATTTATTTTTTGAGACAGAGTCTCACTCTGTCACCGAGGCTGGAGTGCAATGGCACGATCTCGGCTCACTGCAAGCTCCACCTCTCAGGTTCACACCATTCTCCTGCCTCAGCCTCCCGAGTAGCTGGGACTACAGGCGCCTGCCACCACTCTCGGCTAATTTTTTGTAGTTTTAGTAGAGACGGGGTTTCACTGTGTTAGCCAGGATGGTCTTGATCTCCTGACCTCGTGATCCACCCGCCTTGGCCTCCCAAAGTGCTGGGATTACGGGCGTGAGCCACCATGCCTGGCTATTTATTTTTTTTGAAATGGAGTCTCGCTCTGTCGCCAAAGCCAGAGAGCACTGGCACAATCTCAGCTCACTGCAACCTCCACCTCCCAAATTCAAGCAATTCTCCTGCCTCAGCCTCCCAAGTAGCTGGGATTACAGGTGCCCACCACCACGCCTGGCTAATTTTTGTATTTTTAGTAGAGACAGGGTTTTGCCATGTTGGCCATGCTGGTCTTGAACTCCTCACCTCAGTGATTCATCCATCTCGGCCTCCCAAAGTGCTGGGATTACAGGCATGAGCCACTGCACCTGGCCAAACTGCCCCTTGGTTTTAGCCACAATGTCTGTGTTGATAAGGGCTGATTCCAGATCACAGTGACTAGAGAAGGGTGTGAGAAACGCAAGAGGTGGACAGTCTGAGAAATGAAGTTGTAATGGAGAGATGAGAGAGGAAGAGTGACAGGAGGATGTGGTGGATTTAGGGTTTTTTTCTTTTTCTTTTTCTTTTTTTTTTTTTTTTGAGATGGAGTCTCGATCTGTCACCTAGGCTGGAGTGCAGTGGCGCAATCTCAGCTCACTGCAACCTCAGCCTCCCGGGTTCAAGTGATTCTCCTGCCTCAGCCTCCTGAGTAGCTGGGACTACAGGTGCCCACCACCACACCCAGCTAATTTTTGTATTTTTAGTACAGACAGGGTTTCACCATGTTGGCCAGGCTGGTCTCGATCTCTTGACCTCCCAAAGTGCTGGGATTACAGGCATGAGCCACCGCACCCGGCTGGTAGATTTAAGACAGCAGAGTCTTGAGCAAATTTGGCTGCCAAAGGGAAGGACATTGACCTTTAAATTGTACTGAGTACTGAGAGTGAGGCAAGAGATATAGACAGGAGGGGTGGTATGTAGATGGTAGAGCCTTCCTTAGAGCAGGGGGTGGGTGGTGGGAACCCAGAACATGGGGGAACCGGCCTGAGATGGGAGAGGGATAGTCCCTCCGCAAGTGCAGAGAAGGAGGGAGACTCAGGCAGTGGTGCACTGATGAATGTTTAATATCCAAATCTAGGACACGGGCTGGGTGGGGTAGCTCTGATTTATAGCATTTGCTGATATCCGCGGAGTTAATACTCTGACTGTGGTCAATTTCAAGCACCAATCTGACTTCACTGAATACAGCGCTGGATGGGGATTCCAGCAATCAGCTCTCACAGCTGGTCCAAGCCAGCTAGGATTCAGAAACCCACAGTGAAGCCCGTGGCTATAGGGTCACAACAGGGGCCAGCCAAGCAACACAACAGAGATGGGCCAGGCATAAAACAACAGGAGAGAAGGGACAGGGCTCAGCCAATGGGACCCTGAGGGTTGCAGGCTCAGATGGCTGGGTGTTCCCATTCATCTTTCCTTTTTCTTTTTTTTTGAGAGGGAGTCTAGCTCTGTCACCTAGGCTGGAGTGCAGTGGCATGATCTTGGCTCAGTACAACCTCTGCCTCCTGGGTTCAAGCGATTCTCGTGTCTCAGCCTCCCCAGTAGCTGGGATTACAAGCGCCTGCCACCACACCTGGCTAATTTTTTTATTTTTAGTAGAGAGGGGGTTTTGCCATATTGGCCAGGCTGGTCTCGAACTCCTGACCTCAAGTGATCCACCCACCTCAGCCTCCCAAAGTACTGGGATTACAGGTGTGAGCCACTGCACCCAGCCTCTCTGTTTCTGCTTGTTTTTTTCCTCTTTCTTTTCTCTCATCTCTCCCTTCTCTGCCCTGGCAACTGGCTCATCACAGATGAGCAAGACATAGATCCTGCCCTTAAGGAGCTTGTGAACTGATGGGGAACCTTCTCAGGACTCAGTCTGCTGTCCGGAAAAGTGGGGGAATACCTGCCACCAGCACCCCACCAATGGGGCAGAGGCGGTGGGAAGTGCAGGGCGGCTCCTCAGACACTCAAAGAACAGGCAGGGACAGCAAGGGCATTCCTGGCAAAGGAAGGGCACTGCCCAGCCAAAGGTGGTGAGGTGCGACAGCGAGCTGACCAGCTTGCTGGGGCTCAGACGCCAAGGGGTGTGGCTTGGAAGCCAGTGAAGCTGAAGCGAAAGCAGGGGCCTGGACCTCACCTGCCTCTGTAGGCCCAATGAGGAGCTCAATGTTATGGGAAGATAGCCAGAAGCAATTGAAGGGCTTAGGACAGAGGTGTGGCATGGCCAGATCTGTATTTTATTTTATTGTATTTATTTATTTTTTTTTTGAGAAAGAGTTTCGCTCTTGTCCAGGCTGGAGTGCAATGATGCAATCTCGAGTCACTGCAACCTCTGCCTCCCGGGTTCAAGCGATTCTCCTACCTCGGCCTCCCGAGTAGCTAGAATTACAGGCATGCACCATCATGCATATTTGGTATTTTTAGTAGAGACGGGGTTTCATCATGTTAGTCAGACTGGTCTGGAACTCCTGACCTCAGGTGATCCACCGGCCTTGGCCTCCCTAAATGCTGGGATTACAGACGTGAGACACCGCACCCAGCCCAGATCTGCATTTTAGAAAGACCTTTTTCACTGCAGTCTGGGAGACGGTGAGGAGGCTGCAGTCAGCAGGTAGTGGGGAAGAGGAGGATAAAGGGGCTGCTGTCCTATTGAGCTGAGCACTGTCTGCCAGGCCCTGTTCTAAATACGTTCCATGTAACTTTTCAAACAACTCTTGGAGGCATATACCATTAATGCTCCCATTTTACAGATAAGAAAACTAAGGCTTGGCAAGATTAAGGAACCAGGTAACACGGTATGAATGGCAAGAACAAATGTAAGAACCTGCCTATGGCTAGATGTGGGGATGAGGCAGAGGGAAGGATATGGGAGCAGTTCCACTCTCTGGTGTAAGGGGGCGGTGCCACCTGGGAGACCTGAGGCCTGGAGGAGGATGAAGGGGCTGGAGAAGAGGAATTCAGTTTGGAATTCCTGGGGGCCTTAGTGACATCCAAGCAGAGATGTCCGCTGCAGAGAGACACATTCATTCAAGTCTTCCAGGAGAGGCTGGCTAGAAGTAGATTTGAGAGTGTGCACAGGGATGTGCTTGAAGTCATGGGCATGGAGGAGCTTGGTCAGGGAGTGTGGGGTTGAGGAGAAGCAAGCCCTGAGGCTTATGGGGGTAGGGAGGGAGAGCAGCTGGCAAGGGATTAGTGAAGGGAGCAGCCAGGGGCAGGGGGAGAAGCAGGTGGGCCTTGGGGGGACTCAGGGTACAGGAGGGGTCGGGGAGAGCAGGTGGATGTCAGCAGCATTTCAAGCGGCAGAGACTGGGTTGAGAAGAGTCTCCTAGGACCAAAGAACAGGCATAGCTGCTCAGGCCTTTGCGAGGGCGTTTTCCATGGAGTGGTGGGGACAGGATCGGGAAGCCAAGGGCTTGAGGATCCAGTGGGCTTGAGGGGCTTGAGGATCCAGTGAGGAGGCGGGGACAGAATGGACAACCTGTCCACCAGTGTGGCTGTGAAGGGAGGAGGAGCAGATGGAGGCAGGTGAGGGCTTGGTGTTGCAAAATGCTTTTTTTTTTTTTTTTTTGAGACAGAGATTCACTCTTGTCGCCCAGGCTGGAGTGCAATGGCGCGATCTTGGCTCACTGCAACCTCTGCCTCCTGGGTTCAAGCGATTCTCCTGCCTCAGCCTCTTGAGTAGCTCAGATTACACGCCTGGCTAATTTTGTATTTTTAGTAGAGATGGGGTTTCACCATGTTGGTCAGGCTGGTCTTGAACTCCCAACCTCAGGTGATCCGCCTACCTCGGCCTCCCGAAGTGCTGGGATTACAGGTGTAAGCCACTGCACCTGGCCTGTGAAATGATTTCTCATAGCATGTTCTAACATTTCACATGTACAACTTTGATTTTAATCCATTTGTAAAGCTTCAGTCACTGACTCCTATTGGGAACCTCCAAAGCACAGTAAAATTTCAGCTATCCAGGATTCTTGGCAAATGAGTCATTCTGGAAAACCAACTTTTATTTGGATGAAAATATTTGAAATATAGGATTTCTTTCTTTCTAAAAAAAATTTTTAATGAAAATTTTCAAATATATAAAAATAGGCCAGTGTTGTGGCTCACACCTGTAATCCCAGCACTTTGGGAAGCCAAGGCAGAAGGATCACTTGAAGCCAGGGGTTCAAGACCAGCCTGGGCAACAAAACAAGACCCCCATCTCTACAAAAATAAAAATTAAAAAATTAGCTGGGGGCTGGGCGCTGTGGCTCATGCCTGTAATCCCAGCACTTTGAGAGGCTGAGGTGGACGGATCACCTGAGGTGAGGAGTTCGAGACCAGCCTGATCCAAAATGGTGAAACCCTGTCTCTACTAAAAATACAAAAATTGGCCAGGCGCGGTGGCTCACACCTGTAATCCCAGCACTTTGGGTGGCTGAGGCGGGTGGATCACGAGGTCAGGAGATCAAGACCAACCTGGCAAACACTGTGAAATGCTGTCTCTACTAAAAATACAAAAAAATTAGCTGGGCGTGGTGGCAGGCGCCTAGTAGTCCCGGCTACTCTGGAGGCTGAGGCAGGAGAATGGCATGAACCCGGTGGGGGCAGAGCTTGCAGTGAGCGGAGACTGTGCCACTGCACTCCAGCCTGGGCAACAGAGGGAGACTCCATCTCAAAAAAAAAAAAAAAAAATACAAAAATTAGCCGGGCATGGTGGTGGGTTGGTGGGTGCCTGTAATCCCAGCTACTCAGGAGGCTGAGGCAGGAGAATCGCTTGAACCTGAGAGGAGGAGGTTGCAGTCAACCGAGATCCCGCCACTGCACTCCAGCCTGGGTGACAGAGTGAGACTTCGTCTCAAAAAAAAAAAAAAAAAAAAATTAGCTAGCAAGGCACGGTAGTGTGTGCCTGTAGTCCCAGCTCCTCTACAATCCTGCCATTGCACTTCAGTCTGGGTGACAGTGAGACCCTGTTTCAAAAAATAATAAAAGTAGAAGATATAAGGAACCCCTGCATCCCGCCATCCAGCTTCAGCACTTACCAACTCAAGGTCAATTCTGTCTCATCTCTACCCCACCTGCTCACCAACAAGCCCTGGAATATTTTGAAGCAAATCCCCGATGTTACAGCAATTCATCTGTAAAGCTTTTGTATGTTTCTCCAAAAGACACTTTAAAAACATAACCACAAGCCAGGCGTGGTGGCTCATGCCTTTATTTCCAGCTATTCAGGAGGCAGGAGGATCCTTTGAGCCCAGAAGTTTGAGTCCATCCTTGGTAACATAGGAAGACACCACCTCTCAAAAAAAAAAAAAAAGGCCAGGCGCAGTGGCTCACGCCTGTAATCCCAACACTTTGGGAGGCCAAGTCAGGCGGATCACGAGGTCAGAAGATCGAGACCACCCTGGTTAACACGGTGAAATCCCATCTCTACTAAAAAATACAAAAAATTAGCCAGGCATGGTGGCGGGCACCTGTAGTCCCAGCTACTTGGGAGGCTGAGGCAGAAGAATGGTGTGAACCCGGGAGGCAGAGCTTGCAGTGAGCCAAGATCGCGCCACTGCACTCCAGCCCGGGCGATAGAGCGAGACTCCGTCTCAAAAAATAAATAAATAAAATAAAATAAAAAATAAAAAACATAACCACAATACCATATTAGTTCTCAATTTTTTTTTTCGAAATGGATTTTTGCTCTTATCACCCAGGCTGGAGTGCAATGGTGCAATCTCCGCTCACTACAATCTCTGCCTCCCAGGTTCAAGTGATTCTCCTGCCTCAGCCTCCCAAGTAGCTGGGATTACAGGCATGCACCACCAGGCCTGGCTAATTTTTTGTATTTTTTTTTAGTAGAGACAGAGTTTCACAATGTTGGCCAGGCTGGTCTCGAACTCCTGACCTCAGGTGATCCACCTGCCTTGGGCTCCCAAAGTGCTAAGATTACAGACATGAGCCACAGTGCCCTAAAATTTTTAACAATTCCTCAATATAGTCAAATATCCATTGTTCAAAAATATCCATTGTTCAAATTTCCCCAATATCTTTTTTTTTTTTTGCAGTTGGGTTAAAATTTGGCTCCAAACAAGGTCTGCACGTTGCGTTTTTGTGCTGTCTCTAAAGACTCCCTTCTTTTTTCCATGTAATGCTTTTGTTGAGGAAACCAGGCTGCTTGGAAGGATGAGCCTGGGGGAATTCGGGAGAGGGAGAGAGGGGGCAGGGAGGAGAGAAGGATGGGTGTCCAGATAGATGTGCCATCCATGCTGGGGGACACAGGCAGAATGTGGAGGCCTGTCTCCCTAACTGGGAGGGGAGGCCAGGGCTGCTGAAGGGTGGGGGCCAACCCTGGGCACCCCCCCTTCCCCTCTGCCGCATCCAACTGCTGGAAGTGATGGGAGACAGAAAGATGGCCTGAGTCAGGAGCAGGGGCAGAGCTCAGGTTGTCGTGGGGTCCCGCTGCCCACGTCAGACTGGAGGTGAGGGATGGGCGGGGCCTGACAGCAGGCCTGGAAGGAACAGGATGTCTATGCTGGAGATAGAGGGAGAGGACAGTGCCAAAACCCAGCTCCTGGCCAGTCCCCAGCTCCTCCCTGCCTGGCCCTATCCCAGGATCCCCTCCCCGGCCTCCCAGCTATGATCTACCCCGGGGCCCAGACTTCAGGCGCCTTCACGATGCCGGCGGTCAGTGGTCCAGGTCCCTTATTCTGCCTTCTCCTCCTGCTCCTGGACCCCCACAGCCCTGAGACGGGGTGTCCTCCTCTACGCAGGTTTGAGTACAAGCTCAGCTTCAAAGGCCCAAGGCTGGCATTGCCTGGGGCTGGAATACCCTTCTGGAGCCATCATGGAGGTGAGGGGCAGGGGTGGGGACCAGCTATGCCCAGGGTCCCTCAAAGTGCTGGAGGGGCTGTGACTTGGTGGGGAGTGGGTCTGTCACAGCCATCCTCTGTCCAGGGTGGGGCAAGGCCTGGGACAGTGCCAGGCACCCCAGGACCCCTTCCAGGCTTGTCTCCTGCTCCACCGCCTCAACACCCCCCACCCCTGCCCAAGCTGTTTCTCCTCTGCCTCTCTGCTTCCCTGCCCCAGGACTTCTCTCTTCTCCTCTGCCTCTCCTTGGACCCCTGCCCTTCCTCTACCTCTGACCTGTGAACACACAGACACATGCTCACACACTAAGTCCCAGGCACACAGAAGGCAATGTGGACCAGCACAAACCTCCACTCTCCCGGCTCCATCCCAGCGGGCCTGTGGCTGGCCATGAGAACTGGGGGCTACCTGGAGGGAAGCATCCTCATCCCAGGTGAGTGGGCACCAGCCCTTCCCTGTATGTGTGTTGTGGGTGGAAGCAGGCATGAGAGCATCTTAGCCCATAGGTTTGTATTCAGGGACTTCCAAACCCAGACCTACAAAGAGTGTGTCTTCTACCAGATCTTGTTCAAAAAAGGGTTTGTGATGATGGAACTACACGATAGAGGGAGTGAGCAAGAACAATGAGGATTAGAGTGGAGCGTGAAATAGTCTAGGAGCATGGCTTCCAAAACATATGCTGTGAGGTCTGTCCACCTGAGAGTTGGGCCATGGATTTAATTCTGAGCCTCTTAGCAGGCAAAGCAAAGACAGAAAGCAGATCGGCTGTGGATTTCTGTCTATAAAATGTGAGTTCTTGGCCAGGTGCAGTGGCTCACGCCTGTAATCCCAGCACTTTGGGAGGCCAAGGCGGATGAATCACGAGGTCAAGAGGTTGAAAACCATCCTGGCCAAAATGGTGAAACCCTGACTCTACTAAAAATACAAAAATTAGCTGGGTGTGGTGGCGTGCGCCTGTAGTCCCAGCTCCTCAGGAGGCTGAGGCAGGAGAATTGCTTGAACCTGGGAGGCCAAGGTTGCAGTGAGCTGAGATCCTGCCATTGCACTTCAGCCTGGGCACAGAGCCAGACTCTGGCTCAAAAAAAAAAAAAAAAAAGATGTGAGTTCTGAGAAATGGCACGATTCCTAACTAAAGCCAGGACAAAATATCCCTTTTTTTTTTGTGAGATGGAGTTTCACTCTTGTTGCCCAGGCTGGAGTGCAGTGGTGTGATCTTGGCTCACTGCAACCTTCACCTCCCAGATTCAAGTGATTCTCCTGCCTCAGCCTCCTGAGTAGCTGGGATTACAGGTGTGTGCCACCACACGCAGCTAATTTTTGTTTTTGTTTTTGTTTTTTTTTTTTTGAGACGGAGTCTCGTTCTGTTGCCCAGGCTGGAGTGCAGTGGCGTGATCTCGGCTCACTGCAAGCTCCACCTCCTGGGTTCATGCCATTCTCCTGCCTCAGTCTCCCGAGTAGCTGGGACTACAGGTGCCTGCCACCACCCCCAGCTAATTTTTTGTACTTTTAGTAGAGATGGGGTTTCACCTTGTTAGCCAGGATGGTTTCGATCTCCTGACCTCGTGATCCGCCCGCCTTGGCCTCCCAAAGTGCTGGGATTACAGGCGAGCCACCGCGCCCAGCCTAATTTTTGTATTTTTTAAGTAGAGACGGGTTGTCACCATGTTGGCCAGGCTGGTCTTGAACTACTGACCTCAGATGATCCGCCTGCCTCGGCTTCCCAAAGTGCTGGGATTATAGGCATGAGCCACCGCGCCCAGCCCAAAATATTCCTTTAAGATGATAGGCCCTGTCAGTAGGGTTTCTTCCAGTCCTCCTTCATAGAGACACAGGAGGTAACAAAAAGGTGGGCTGTTTCTCACAGCACCAAGCTGGGCCCTGCTTCAGGACCAGGATGGCAAAACTTATACAACACTCACTGCTATGGGCCTTGCCAAATCTGGGTGTCACAGATCATGTGAGGGAGCAGAGGCACCTTCTCCAAGATCACCCAGTGATGTGTGCATTGTCTGTTCATTCATTCGTTCACCCTGATGTTCCTCTGTGCCCAGCCCAGAGATACCAGGCAGAGTGAGGCTGAAGGAGCCCATGGTCTGGGGCAAGGTCTCACCCACAGGCCTTGTAAGGCTGAAAGCCTTCTGCAAGGATTTCAGAGGCAGTGACAGCTTCCAGAGGCCCTGGGACTTGTGGCCTTGCAGCTCTGAGCCTCCCTACCCCCATCCCTGGCCTTTATAGAGCAAACAGGCTGGATTAGCTGCCTCCAGAACGTCCTGGCAGAGTCTGGGCCCTGGGCCAGGTTCCAGGCTGGCAGGTTGGAGGGTGGGGAGCGAGCTCGAGTAGGGCCTCTGAGTTCCCTGCCCCCAGTTCCTGCCAAGACTGCCTCAGTTTCTCTCCCATTCCTTTTTCCTACCATGCAGGGCTCCTTCCTCCCCGCCCCACCACCGCCAGTGGCAATTCTCACACACATACTCCATCCTGCATTCTTTCATCGCAGTCCTGTGGGCCGGTTCTCACCTTCACATCTTTGCTTTCCTGCTTTCCTCACCTTGGAATGCCCCCTAGGTCCTGTCCACCAGGAAGCTCTGGCCTCATTTGGCCACAGCCTAGAGTCTTGGGCCTTCTTGCAGTTACTCCCTCCTAAAGTGCTCTCCTGTGTTCTGTGGTCTCAGGCACTTCCTTTTTTGTCACAAGGCCTCAGTTTCGTCATCTGAGAAATGGGAAGGGTTAGACACAAATCTCTCTCGTGGTGGAAAAAGCTTGTGCTTTGGAGTCATATGGAGCTGAATTCCATCCAATCCACTTAGTTCCTTAACTTTTATGAGCCTCACCTTCCTCATCTGTTAGATGGGGTCTTATAAAAACAGACAGCACACACTGCGGTGAGGCTTCACTGACGACGTGGATGGTGCTGGCATTCATTGCCCTCCCCAGCAAAGGCCCCTCCAGCTGTGCTGGGCTCTGACTCCTGCTTCCCTGGCTGGCCGCTTATTTAATGGTAGGCCTTGGCATTGTCGCCTTCTCTTCCGGGAGCCCAGCCCGGGCCAAGTGAGAGAGTGAAGGGGGAGATGGGGTGTAGTGGAGCCTGGGGCTTGAGCTGCCCTTGTCCACAGACGCCATCCTGGGCCTGGAGGAAGTGCGGCTGACGCCATCCATGAGGAACCGGAGTGGCGCCGTGTGGAGCAGGGCCTCTGTCCCCTTCTCTGCCTGGGAAGTAGAGGTGCAGATGAGGGTGACGGGACTGGGGCGCCGGGGAGCCCAGGGCATGGTGAGTGTCCTCTCCCAGAGCTGACAGAGCGGGGTGGGTCAGGGAGGCGGGTGATGAGCCCCGGGGTCCCAGTATCCCACACGGTTCCCTGAGCTGAGGGGCTGGGGACCTGCAGGCCGTGTGGTACACCCGGGGCAGGGGCCATGTAGGCTCTGTCCTTGGGGGGCTGGCTTCGTGGGACGGCATCGGGATCTTCTTTGACTCTCCGGCAGAGGATACTCAGGTGCGTAGTGGTCTCCTGCCTGCCAGCCCGCCTGCCCGCTCACACCCTCCCCCTCCCGCCATGTCCGCGGCTCAGGCTGCTTCTCACCTCCCTGCAGGACAGTCCTGCCATCCGTGTGCTGGCCAGCGACGGGCACATCCCCTCTGAGCAGCCTGGGTAAGGGCCTGTCTGGACTGACCACTCACCTCCATTTTTGCACTGGGAGGGGCCCATCCCCCCCATCCGAGCCCCTGCCCCAGCCTCCTCCAGCAGGGGGCCCACCCTGCCGGGCCGCCATACTTGCTGGACTCTCTCACTTAGCCGACGTCCGCCCCCCTGGGGCTTGATTCCTTCGACCCAGCAGCCCCAGGTGAAATGACACAGGCTGGGGCCTGTGATGAGTATCTTTGCTCCCATGATCTCATCCCATCTCCAACACCCTCCATAAGTGGGGGGTTATTCGTCCCATTTACAGGTCAGGACATTGAGCCCAGAGAGGGGAAGGGATGTGCCGTGCGCAGTGCTGAACTTTGAGCCCAGACTTACCCCTGGAGGGTCCTCGCCCTTCCCTGCATAGCTGTCCCTTCCCTTTCCCCTGATGATTTGGCTTCTGTCCCTCCCCGGCCCTACTGCCTCCTCAGTAGCTGGGCCGGTTTGTCAGTGTCTCTCAGCAACCTTCTCTCGGCTCATAACAATTAGAGTAATTGCCTGCATTTATGGAGTGAGCTGATTGTATGCCAGGCACAGCACCAAGCCCTTCTCATTTACTGTCTTAGTTAACCCTCATAACATTGTTATGAGGTCGTTCCAATTACCATCCTCGTTTTAGAGATGGGAACACTGGGGTTTGGAGAGATGAGATGGCTTGCCCAAGGTCACATAGCTCGGGGCACAAACCCAGGTGGCTGCTGTGGTGCTGGCTTCTCCCCTGCCCTGTGCTGCCTCCCTCTTGGCGGAAGGCGGCACTGTCAGACGCTCTGCTGTGAGTAGCCTGAGGTGTCCAGAGACACTCAGCGTTTAACACTCTTCTCCTGACTCCCCAGAGCCTGCCGAGCCGACCTGTCAGGGAGGCAGCCTGGTCACATTGTCCTTGGCTGCCGGGACATGTCCAGGTCATCCGTCCTGAGTCAGCTGCATTCTGAGCCCTGGCAGCTGGGAGAGGAAAAGGAAGCCAGAGGCACAGAGGACTTGGAGTTTAAAAGAAGGAGGAGGGAGAGGCCAGGCACAGTGGCTCACGCCTGTAATCCCAGCATTTTGGGAGGCTGAGGCGGGCTAATCACCTGAGGTCAGGAGTTTGAGACCAGCCTGGCCAACATGGTGAAACCCTGTCTCTACTAAAAATTAAAAAAATTAGCCGGGTGTGGTGGCGAGCACCTGTAATCCCAGCTACTCGGGAGGCTGAGGCAGGAGAACCGCTTGAACCCAGGAGGCAAAGGTTGCAGTGAGCCGAGATCGCGCCACTGCACTCCAGCCAGGGCAACAGAGCAAGACTCCGTCTCAGAAAAAAAAAAAAAAAGAGAGAGAGAAGAAGGAGGGACGTAAGGGTGATAGGACGAGGGTGATAGGTGGGTCGGGGGAATGGAGGGCAGAAACTGTATTGTTGGTCCAGGCCTTTGTCCCCTTAAGGAAGGGCCACAGGGAGGCCCCTGGCCCCTTCTGTAAATCCAAGTCCCAACACTCCGTCAGGCAGGGCTTGCTTCCCCTGCTCCTCTCTCTTCTGCCAAGGGAGCAGGGTACAACAAGGGAGACTCAAGCTAGACAAGGTACATGTCCCATGCCAGCTCGCCCAGCGGAAAGGGAGGTGGCACAGCAAATCTGGGCAGAGTGGCTTCTGGGACTGCCCTCACTGTCCAGGCCTTGAGTCCTGTATATCCTGGCTGGATTCCAACTGCCCACAAGAGTCAGGCATGGTGGCTCACACCTGTAATCCCAGCACTTTGGCAGCCAAGACAGGTGGATCACTTGAGGTCAGGAGTTTGAGACCAGCCTGACCAACAATGTGAAACCCCATCTCTGCTAAAAATACAAAAATTAGCCGGGCATGGTGGTGCATGCCTGTAGTCTCAGCTACTTGGGAGGCTGAGGTGGGAGGATCACTTGAGCCCAGCAGGCAGAAGTTGCAATGAGCCACAACTGCACCACTGCACTCCAGCCTGGGCAGCGACTCTTTCTCAAAAACAAACAAATGAACAAACTGCCCACAGGGATGGAGCTAGCCAAGGGCTGGGCTCCTGTCATTGGGACTTCCGGAACCGGCCACACCCCTTCAGAGCACGGATCACCTACTGGGGGCAGAGGCTGCGCGTGAGTCACCCTTCCTGCTTCTGACAGGGCTCTGAGTTACAGAGCTGCTATGTGTGCGTGCCCACGGCCCCAACACACCAGTGCCTGTGACACCACGTGAGGTCCCTGGCACACACGGGCCAACATCCACAGGGGATCCTCCATCCCTACACAGAATCCTAACACTCACCCAGAGCACATACATGTAAGGGCTCACATGAGACCAGGAGTGCGGGTCACCTCCATGCCATTCTGATACCAAGCCCTAGGGCCACCTGCCATCCCACGGCCAGGGGAGCCAGGGAGTCAGAGGTAGGGACACCCCCCCACTGCTCACTCTCTCCATGTCCCTCAGATGTCCTTGAACAGTGGCCTCACTCCCAGTGATCCAGGTGAGTTCTGTGTGGATGTGGGGCCCCTGCTTTTGGTCCCTGGAGGTTTCTTTGGGGTCTCAGCAGCCACCGGCACCCTGGCAGGTGAGGATCCCACTGGACAGGTAAGAGCAGAAGGGCAGTGATGAATAAATCACCCTCAGCACACCTTCTAAAGAGCACTGGGGTGGCGTCAGCCACTTCACCACATGACCTGGGCTTCTGTGACCCTTGGGAGAAGTCATGTCTGCCTTGAGACTTGCAAGTCTCAAATGGGATAAAACAAGAGAAGCTTTGATTTCAGTGCTGGCCACATAAGTGCCCCTAGCTGTGAGTTGCGGGACAAGTGGAAGACAGACAGCAAAGAGGGGCATTTAGGAAAATGGAGCAAAGAAATGTGACACCATGGAGAGTCCACGGAGGGTCCCACAGCGGGAAAGCTGAGGGCAACCAGAGCGTGGGAGTCCTTGAATGCCAGGACCTTGGTCTGGTTTCTGAGGAGGAGAGTGACATGGTCAGAGCTATGCTGGAAAGGTGGCCACTGTGCAGTTGCTACTACCAGTAGCAGCTGTGCTCTGGGGGCCTAAGAGTGTCAGATGGTCTGCTGCCATGGCTCTAGCCCAGGATGTTTTGGGATCGTCCAGTTCTGCCACAGGGGCCTGCCTCTGACTGAGTGTGAGGTTCAACCCTCACCACCCACCCGTCTACCTGTCAACCCTCACACCTTTCCTAGGAAGTAAGCAAGACAAGCATCAGACGGTGGCCCAAAGTCACCCCTCTTGCCTCGGTGGGATATCATGGCGGTTAGGGTGAAGGCTGAGCGAGGGGGTTGCTGGGTGGAGGGGTCTTACTTCTCCTTCATCTGTCCCCTTCCAGATGATCATGATGTCCTGTCCTTCCTGACCTTCAGCCTGAGTGAGCCCAGCCCAGAGGTGATGCCAGCCCTGGCCTACCTGGGAATGGCAGCCCAGGGACCCTGCCCTCACCCATGTCATGGTGCCCTCAGACCTGCCATTCCAGCCCTTACCTCCACCTGGCCTCTGAGCTCTGCTCAGGCCAGACCTTGTGCAGGGCAGTGCTGCGGGCCAGGGCCGGTGTGTGAGGTCTCGCAGGCTGGCTGGCTCAGGCTGTGACATTACAGTTCAGAGCGATCAGTGCCAGGTCTCAAAAGGTGCAGGGGGCTGTGGGAGCACAGAGGAGGAGTCCCAACCAGCCAGGGGGTCAAGGAAGGCTGCCTGGAGGAGATGAGCTTAAAGGAGCCTCGGACCAGCACATATAGGCTTGAGGCCACAGCAGGGAGGGAAGATGGTGGGGATCTGCGTGAAGGCAGAACTCAGAGGGCTGGAAACTGCAGGGCCAGCTGGCCAGGGAGGAAGGCTGGGCTCGTGGGGAAGCCTGTGGGAAGGCTCCCCTTGCTTCTGGATCTCCCATGGGTTTGGGGCCCGACTTTCTGTCTTCCTCCCCTAGGTTCCCCCTCAGCCCTTCCTGGAGATGCAGCAGCTCCGCCTGGCGAGGCAGCTGGAAGGGCTGTGGGCAAGGCTGGGCTTGGGCACCAGGGAGGATGTAACTCCAAAATCAGACTCTGAAGCTCAAGGAGAAGGTAGGGACCGAGAGAGCGGGCAGGTGGCGCCCATCTGAGTGTCACAGCATCCTCCACCCTTATGACCAGGGGTCCTTTAATCAGTAGGGAAACTGAGGCCTGAGGAGGCCACATCTAAGCAGGCCCTGGGCCCAAGTGTTCTGTGCTATCCCCACCTTACCACTCAGACTCATCTTCCAGGAGAGGGTCTTGGAGGCAGCAGCCACACCTTCTGGCACCCCTCTCCAAGAAGCCACCCCAAAGATAAGATAGGCTGTGTTACCCCACCATGGCTGGCTGCCCATCCCAGCTCTGCCCTAATCCCCAGGGGAAAGGCTCTTTGACCTGGAGGAGACGCTGGGCAGACACCGCCGGATCCTGCAGGCTCTGCGGGGTCTCTCCAAGCAGCTGGCCCAGGCTGAGAGACAATGGAAGAAGCAGCTGGGGCCCCCAGGCCAAGCCAGGCCTGACGGAGGCTGGGTGAGAAGCCCTACAGGCATCCAAGGCTCCACCTGCGGGCCTGAAAGAGGAGCAAGCACTGTAGTCAGCAACTAGTCTCCCCTAAGGCCTGGAGGGAAAGGAAGGCAGGGATGAAATGCTGCAGGTCACAGGATGGGGCAGGGCAGCATGCAGGATGGCATCTCTGCACAAGCAAATGCGCACGGGGCTGGGGCTGAGGCTGGGGCTGGGGAGAGGAGATGCCAGCTATTTGGACTCAGCTCTGTAGATGAATGACAGAAATAGACTAGGTGCTAATTTGCATGTAGCTTCACATGCGATTTGCATAGGGCTTGCTTAATGCTCAGTTGCACCAGAAGCCTCATTGCATCTCCATTGCCATCTGGCTCCTCCCCCAGGGAGTCATAACTCGGGTCATGCCCAGCCTGGGGGCCTGAGAGCTAAACTCAGCCAAGGTGTTAGATACTGGGCAGAGGAGGCCAGCAGCTCTTGTGGGCTTTGCTGGGCTCTGACAGCTCGAGGTTTTAATCTTGTGTCAGAGCAGCTTAGGCTGGGCTGCTAGTGTGGGGAAGAGGGGAGGGGACTTACACTCCAGGGCCAAGCCTCTCTGATCCTATCCCCAGGCCCTGGATGCTTCCTGCCAGATTCCATCCACCCCAGGGAGGGGTGGCCACCTCTCCATGTCACTCAATAAGGTAGGGACCCAAACACTGGGTGTTGACCAGCACTGGCCCCAGCTTGGCTGGTGCTCTGGGAGAACCAGGGCAGAGAGGACTGGGCTGGGCCTCTGCTTCCTTCAGGGGACAGAACCACTTTTAGAAGGGAGACGTATTTTGGCTTGGCATGGTGGCTCACGCGTGTAATCCTAGCACTTTGGGAGGCCAAGGCGGACAGATCACGAGGTCAAAAGACTGACACCATCGGGCAGATCACAAGGTCAAAAGATCGAGACCATCCTGGCCAACATGGTGAAACCCTGTCTCTACTGAAAATACAAAAATTATACAAAAATTAGCTGGGCGTGGTGGCATGCATCTGTAGTCCCAGCTACTTGGGAGGCTGAGGCAGAAGAATCGCTTGAACCCAGGAGGCAGAGGTAGCAGTGAGCTGAGATTGTGCCACTGCACTCCAGCCTGGCCGCAGAGCAAGACTCCATCTCAAATAAATAAATAAGAAGGGAGAAGTATTTTGAGAAAACCCTGAAGTGGCCACTGTTGGGAGGAAACAACCACCCCTGGGGAGAGGGGCGTGAGTGGAGGGGGAATGTGGATGCCCTTATGGATGAGGTCAGAGAAACACAGTGTGTCCAAATAAGGAGGCCCTGGTAATCTGGGAAGGCCTCTGGAAGGAAGAGGCTGCAGTGCCGCTGGGAAGGTGGGCTCTGAGAAGAGAGGGGCTATGTCCTGGGCCCTAGACAAGAGGCTGCCCCTCTGCAGGACTCTGCCAAGGTCGGTGCCCTGCTCCATGGACAGTGGACTCTGCTCCAGGCCCTGCAAGAGATGAGGTAAGGGACTGGGTGGGGACCCCTCCACCACCTTGTTTCTCCGCCTTAAGTTCCTCCATTAGCCCTTCATTCCTTCCATCATTTCCTGAGCGCCCAGCACACAGCCTGTCAATTGGAAGGGCTACTGGTGGAGTTAGGTTTGTTGAGTTGACTTGAATTTAATTGAATCAAGTTTAATGTTTTGCAAGTCCTAGTTAAAAAGCAATTCTCTCCTGGAGAAGCCCATCATGAAGGCCCCCTCAGACACTCCCACCCTCAGGAGGCTTAAGAAATCTGAGCATTCCTTCAATGGCAGCTCCTAGGATGAGGGGCATTTTGTTGGGGGCTCTTGGAGAGGGAGCACAGCCAAGATCAGACCAGTTGGATGAGACAGTCCCTGACTTGGTTTTGTGCCCCCATTAACTTCCCGGTATCCCACTCTAGGCCAGGCCTCTGGAGCCCTGGGGGTTGGGGGAGTCCTGGGGATGCTGTGGAGGAGGCATGCATCCCAGGCTGAAGCCTAAAGCCCCACCTGTACACACACAGCTAGATGCCTAGGGTTGGGGGTGGAGAGGCACCTAGATGAGAAGAAGGAAAGGAGTTAAATCCCCAGGGGCTGGGAATGGAAGGCAGAGCCGGGGAGCCTGGGGTTGACACAGATAGCTTTAGGGAGATCTTTATCTGAGCTAAAGTCTCAGGATCTAGGAAGAAGGTTGGAGGTGAAAAGACCAGCCCCCAAGAAGGGGCCCCATGGATGGTACCTGTTCCCCATCCATGTGCTGCCCTTGGGGAGATGGGAAATGATTAGGCCATCTGGGTGGAAGCAGAAGAGGTAATGAGTCATCTTACTTGGTTACCACCCCCGGTTAGGGATGCAGCTGTCCGCATGGCTGCAGAAGCCCAGGTCTCCTACCTGCCTGTGGGCATTGAGCATCATTTCTTAGAGCTGGACCACATCCTGGGCCTCCTGCAGGAGGAGCTTCGGGGCCCGGCGGTGAGGGGAAAGTAGTGGGCAGCATGGGGTCCCCAACCTTGACGTCTGGGCTCAGCCACCCTTCTTCCAGCACTTCAGCAGCCCCAAGCCCTCCTGCCTTTGCCCTCCCCTCCCAGGACTGCTGGCAAGCACATCTGTGCCTGCGTCAGTGTCTGTGTGTCCGTGCATACGTGCCACCACACATCTCATCTTTTCTCTGTCCTCTCTCCTCTCTGAAGAGTCCCACAGACTCAGCAGCAGCAGGGCCCTGGACACCCCTCGATCCAATATCCAATGACCAGAGGGGAAACAGGGTGGGCTGTGTCCAAGATCACTGAGTCCAGTGGTAGTCAGCGCTTCCCCATGCCCTGTCCCATCCTCGTTCCCTCGCCCTCACCCTGCTCACCCTGTCTTTGGCTCTTTACTTCTCTCTTCTCTTCTCTTGAACCCTGGGCCCCTTGATGATCCCAGGCCCCAGGCCTTCCCAGCTGTTCCCACAGATGCAGCCATGGGAGCTGGGGTGGGGGAGGCAGCTTTGTACACTGCCCCCTCTCCAAGTTCCCTGGATGAGAGCCAGGACGCCCCAAGCCTGGGGAAAGGAAACGGAGCATGCACATGGCCTAGATTCCAGGTCCCCCACTCCTTCTGGGTAAGAAGCTAAGCTAGGACCTTAGACTTTCCCCTTTCAGAAGGCAGCAGCCAAGGCCCCCCGCCCACCTGGCCAGCCCCCAAGGGCCTCCTCGTGCCTGCAGCCTGGCATCTTCCTGTTCTACCTCCTCATTCAGACTGTAGGCTTCTTCGGCTACGTGCACTTCAGGTGGGCCACCCCGTGAGCAGGATTTCCCACAGCACTGGCATCTCTTGGTTCTCAGCTATAACCATTGGATTTAGGAGAGGGGACACTTCAGCTCAGAGGGGACCTGCCGAGTCCCCAAATCACAAAGAGCACAGTGCGGGATAGGGCCCATTCTCTCACCAAGCACTACTGACCACCTGCTCGGCCCCCAGCCCCATCTGGGTCCTGCTCTCACGGAGCTCACTCACACAGGTCTAACTGACCCTGTGTCGTCAATGCCATGATGTCAGGAAGCTGAGGGGCTACGAGAGTGCAGGAGAACACACTTGACCCCCCTTGGTTAGGGAATCAACCTGGAAGGGACATTTGATATGGTCATTAAGGTGACTAGGAGTTTTCCACCCTGACAAGATAGGTAAAGGCATAGAGGCAGAGGGAACAGCATGAGAAAAGGCAGGGAGGCATGAGAAAAACATAATATTTTAGAGAAAAAGTGGCAAGTTCAGTAATGTTGGAGCAAAGGGCAGGACGAGTTTGTGAAATTGGGCAAAGAGATCTGAAAAAGTGAGAGGAGGTCACTAGTTTTGCTTGGTGTGTGTTTGCTGAATGAACGTGCACCGTTTAGAGATGTGGGGTGTGCTAAAGGCCTCAGCAATGAGACTGACAATCTTTGTTGGTGGAATTTCAAGACAAGAAGAGTCCGTGTGGGCTGGGATGGTCCTGGAGGAGGAGTAAAATGAGCTAAGCTTTAAAAAGCACAAGGTAGAAATGCTCACAGGCTTCAGCACATGCACAGGAGTGCAGTGGTGGCAATCAGCCTGGAGCCACTAGGACAGACCTTACATGCCCAGGGGGAAAGCGTGGACCATATGCAGCGGGCCAAAGGAGCCACAGAAAGTCCAAGAACAGCGGAGGTTGTGGTGCAGTGAGTGTAGCAAGGCAAGCATGAGAGTCCTGGTTTTTCAAAAGCCCATAAAGGAGAGACGCAAGTAACCTGTAACCTTCTCTCTGGCAGCAGGCAGGAGCTGAACAAGAGCCTTCAGGAGTGTCTGTCCACAGGCAGCCTTCCTCTGGGTCCTGCACCACACACCCCCAGGGCCCTGGGGATTCTGAGGAGGCAGCCTCTCCCTGCCAGCATGCCTGCCTGACCCACCTCAGAGCCTGCTTTGCATCACTGGGAAGCAGGCAGTGTCTTGGGTGGGGGCTTGGTCAGTATCCTCTCCGTCTGGGTGCCCAGCTCCCACGCACACCTGAGCTTTCGGCATGCTCCCACCTCGTTAAAGGTGATTTCCCTCTCCCCATGCTGTGATATGCTGGTCTTCTTTCCAGCCTCACCCTAATCTCTGTGAAGGCTTCCACCCCTTCTGAGTACCTGGCTGGGAGTGCGCTCCAAGCAGGCAAGGAGGCCAAGGCCTGGCTTAACCTCCAAAAGACCGGATACCCCACGGGCTTTGAACCCTCGACTATGGAGGGAAAGAGAGCCATGACTGTATATAATTCTGTCCTCAAACTCACCCATAACAGAGAGCAGTGTCTCCCAGTGTCCCTCCTGGCCCAGCTCAGCCAGCATCACTGAGCAGCTCTCTCCCTCCCCACTCCTAGCTGCTCCAGGGGCAGCAGGGGAGGCGCGTGACAGAGCAACCCTGAGAGGCCAACTCGTGGAACCATAACTGGGATTCCCGCTCGCGCCCTCAGGTCTCCCTCCCTTTTCCAGCGTCAAGCTCTCTGGGCAGCTGCTGGGTTCAGTGACTTGGGTGGGTGGGGAGAATGGGGGGCACCCAAGGCTGGGTTTTTACCCCTTGCTGCTACCTGGATCTCCCAGCTGAAATCCTAGTTATTAGTGGCCCAGGAGAGGAGAAAGTTGGAAGAGGCTATGGAACAGGGTTCCGGGAGTGTATGAGCTCAACCCCTCTCCCGGGAGAGCGACCCCACCACCGCAGGCCCTAATCCTCTGTCAGCAGTGCCCAGCGGAGCTCGGCGTTGAAGGAGGCACGTGGGGGAGGCGGGAGTGGGGAGCGGGCACGTGGTCCAGCCTTCTCAGCCCCGTGCTGCCCCCCGCCCCCAGTGAGGAGGGGTTTGGGGAGGTGGGGGCGGGCCCGGGCGGGGGCGGGCGGCGGGCGGTGCCAAGCGTGGGGCGCGGGCCCGCGGCGGGAGCTGTCCGCGAAACCTAGTGCTGAAGTAGGCGCGGACGTGCCCGGTGCCTGGCGCGTGGTAGCAGGCGCCCGGTGCCCCGGCCGGCGAAGACCATGGCGTTCATGGTGAAGACCATGGTGGGCGGCCAGCTGAAGAACCTCACTGGGAGCCTGGGAGGCGGCGAGGATAAGGGAGATGGGGACAAGTCGGCAGCCGAAGCTCAGGGCATGAGCCGGGAGGAGTACGAGGAGTATCAGAAGCAACTCGTGGAAGAGAAGTGAGTGGGATCCCTTCCTGGCTCCAACGACCTCCCCTCCCCACCCCCACAGCTGCTCAGTCCATCCCCGGGCCAGCCTCAGGTCCCAATCCCTTCTCCCCTACTTTCCTAGACACGGTAAGAGACCGGGAGGTGTCCTCTACACTGCCCCCAGACCCATCCTATCTGACACCCAAAACCCCGCTCCAGCATCATGCTCCGGCCAAGGGGGAGTGGGGGGAGGGGCGACCGGACGAGGGACCGACCGGAGCCTGGGACGAGGAAGGGGGTGCACGTGCGTTTCTGACGAAACGATAATCCCTTAATCCGATCTGGTCCCAGCCGCCTATGTCTTCCAACTGGGGCTCCTCTGAACTTGAGGCTCTGAAAAAAGTGGTGCAGCCGCTCAGAGTCGCGGAGACAGACCCTGAGATGGGGGCACTCACAAACATTGAGCACTTGTGTGCCCGCAGTGCTGGGACAGAGTTTGGGGCTGGACTCTGCTGCTAGGCTACTTGGGTTCAGAGCCTGGCTTTGCCTATTAGCTGGATAACTTTAGGCAAGTTACTTAACCTTTCTGTGCCTCTGTTTCCTTTTCTGGAAAGTGGGGATGGTAATCATAATACATGCCTTGTATATTTATGAAGATTAAATGCCAATGCATGTAAACTGTTTAGCACAGCACCTGGCACATGATAAAGTCTCATAAATGATAGCTATTATTTCGCTCAATCCTGATAACAGTTTTGTGAGTTGCAAAATTTTATCCCCATTTTACAGAAGAGGAAGGTAAGTGACTTACCTAAGGATATACCTAAAATGGTAGTGGAGCTGGGATGTGAACCCAAGTTTGGCCTGAATACTTTTCCCCACATGACATAGCTTGTCAGTGAGGGAACAGCAGACCAAGTTGGAGGCCATGAGGGACAAATAATTAGGATCTGCAGAGAGAGCCAGACAGACTGCCACCCTGGTTCCCTAGTTCCATCCAGTGGCAGAGACGACAAAGGGCACTGTGATGGGCAGAGGCAGCAGAAACCTGGATGTCCGGGTTGGAGCGCTTTTGCTACACACAGGGACCAATGCAGCAGCTGCTAGGACTCAGAGACCCCTTCTGTCCCTCCCTCGAAGACCTCAACCCCCTTCTCTCAGCCCTCGTGGTGACTCTGCCTCCGGTGACCCTGCAGGATGGAGCGGGATGCACAGTTCACACAGAGGAAGGCAGAGCGGGCCACACTGCGGAGCCACTTCCGAGACAAATACCGGCTACCCAAGGTAAGCTGGCCCCGGCTGTGAGGCACATCTGGGACCCTGAGCTCTGGGTTCTGGACTCCTTCGCCCCATTCTGGGCACCACAGCCCTCAGCTATGAGACTCACAGGGTATTTGGTTAGATCCTTCCTTCTCATTCATTTGTTCTTTTATTCATTCACTCACTCGTAGTTAAATCTGTGCCCACCAAGGGCCAGGGCTTTGTGCTGAGGGGACCCCAGTCCTCATGAGACTGACAGGTCTGTATTTCTGGAGCCAATCTAGGCCTCTTCTCTCCTCCACCCCCCATATCCCCACCAAGCCTGGGCCAGGCCTGGGCAGAGGAAGACACAGGGGAGGCAGAAATCAGTAGATTTGACTGCAGAGGTGAGTGTTCTGGGGGTTTCTGAACCTACTGAAGGGCAGAACTTACTTAAGGTGGGGGAGAGAAGCCCTGTGTGTGCCAAGTACTTGACCTTCATGTCCTCATCTAACCCCCAATAATGCTGCCAGGCAGCTATCACCCACAGCGACAAAAGATGAAACTGAGGCTAAGAGAAATGGAGGGACTTGGCTAAGATCATACAGCCAGTGAGCCATGGAGCTGGGACCAGCCCTCAAGCCGGTGAATATGAGCCTGCCTTTGCTCCAGGGCCCCAGGCTGCTTTCCAGAGTATGGAGTCTGCCCGTAGAGAGCCAAGTACCCCCTTGGCCGGCCAAGCAGCCAGAGAGTATATCTCAGGAGATCCCTGCCCCCACGCTCCCCTGGGCAGTGCACCACCAGATGGGCGTGTAAGTGTGCTGCTCCTGTTGTCTAAGGAGGGGAATGAAGCACAAATCTCTCCCAGAATATCACCCTAGTGCATCCAGAACTGTGCTGGACTCAGGGGAAAACAGCACAGGGCTATAGCGCTCCTGATTTTGATCTTCCACTTGAATTGAATGACCAAATATATGAACATCACATTCACTCATTCAACAAATATTTACTGAGTCCCCAGCTGCTTCTGACTCCCCACAGGGCACCAATCTTTTGGAAATCTGTCACGGGGAAAAACCGGTCCAGAAAGCCTGCCTCACTGCAAACTCTTCTAGGAATAAAATCATTCCTCAGATGCTTGCGCTAGGCATATAAGAGACACCTGCCATCAGCAAAGTCAGAGTTGAGCAGAAGAGCCAAGACTTGGATGCAACTGAGTAGGACATAAGGCGCCCCCCAGAAGAATAGTGAAGGGCAATGGTCATCGTAGGTGCCATGCAAAAAAACACAGATGTTGGAATCAGTGACATAGGTTTGAATCTAGCTCCCCAACATCCTGCCTGTGTGATCTTGGATAATTTAAGTTACTTAAGTTACTTAAGTTAGTTAAGTAACTTAAATTTAAAGTAAGTTACTTAAATCCTGTAAGCCTCAATTTCCTTATTTGTGAAGTGGAAATAACAATACCTACCTACCTCACAGGGTTATTGTGAGAATTAAAAGCACCCAGCTCAACGTCTGCCATGTAATAGATATAATAGATGTTTGATAAATGGTACCCATCACTATTTTTGGTTACACCCTTAAGCATAACAAGAGTCAAAACATGACTTAGCTGACTGTAACAGTGTGACTCATAGGTATTTTCATTTTGTCTTTACTCACTGTGCTGGTCCTTCAGCATCTCAGAGTGAAATAAGGTAATATAAAAAGGTCTCCATGTCCAGGCATCAAACGCTTGATCCTGGGATGTGGGGGTGGGAGCTGAGCTCACTGGAACATGGGGCTCAAGAATCTAAGGGGCCGGGCACAGTGGCTCATTCCTGTATTCCCCCGGCACTTTGGGAGGCCAAGGTGGGCATATCACTTGAGCCCAGGAGTTTGAGACCAGCGTGGGCAACATAGGGAGACCTCGTCTCTACAAAAAAAAAAAAAAAGAAAAAATAGAATCTAGGGGCCTGGAACCCAGTCCAAGCCTCCTCCCTGTCCTCTCAACTCTGGGTCCTCACAGACTTCCACTCCACCCCACCCCCTCTTCCCCTCTTCCCTTCAGAACGAGACAGATGAGAGCCAGATCCAGATGGCAGGTGGAGACGTGGAGCTGCCCCGGGAGCTGGCCAAGATGATCGAGGAGGACACAGAGGAGGAGGAGGAGAAGGCCTCAGTCCTTGGGCAGCTGGCCAGCCTTCCTGGCTTGAACCTGGGCTCACTCAAGGACAAGGCCCAGGCCACACTGGGGGATCTCAAGCAATCAGCTGAGAAGTGTCACGTCATGTGACCACTTCCCCGGGGTTACCCACTGGGCTGGGCCCCCATGAGGGCTAAGAGTGTGTCAACTTCCAGGGACCCATACTCCATTTGGGGCTTTGTTTCCCTTGCCCCATCCTAGTTCCAAGACCTTTCCCATCCATGCCCCAAGCCTATCTTCTGGTTTCTTCCTCTCCGCTGGGAGTAAAGTCCCCATCTTCACTCTACCCTTCAGGACCCTCCCCACCAGCTCAGCCTGTGGAGGCCTCCCAAGATTGTAGGAATAGGCCCATCCCTCTCTGGCCATGGCCCCAAGTTCCTGCACACAGGAGCACCCACAGAGAGACACACACAGGACACAAAACCCCTGGCACGTTCAGAGACAGAAGCCACAGATACATCCCGGCACAGACAGACACACACGAGGCCAGCTCCCTTGCGTGTCCAGCCCCTCCAGACACCACCACTCAGAAACTCTGAGAGAGAGCATGGGCAGACACCCTCAGCAGACAGGAGGCCTGAGTTCCAGTCTCCACCTTTATTGTTCTTGAAAGCCCCTGCTCTCTCTGAGCCTTATTTCATCATCTGTAAAATGGGAATGTCCTGAATGACTTCTAAGGCTCTTTCTGGCTTGAACTGTCAGAGCCAAGCCCACATCCCTCCTTGGGCAGGGCAGCAGCTGCTGCCACAGCCTCCAGCGGCTGCCACTGTGGGCTCTGGGAGCCGGAGCGATGCTGTGTGAGAGGCAGAGTGCCAAGGATGAAGCTGGCACTGAACAGTAAGCGGCTCCAGGCCTCCTCTGGGCCCAGGGCCCAGCCAATTTCTGTTCTGTTCCTGTAGAACGCTCTCTGGATTCCATAGCTGGAATCTCCTCTCTTAGCTCAGTGAAAAATAAAAATCCCAAATGGTGTGCCTACCTTCCCACTTCTTACTGGCTTCCAGGAGTCTTGGAGTTCATAGCCCCCCGAGCCTGCCTTAAAGGGGTGTCCTCCACCCCCCACCTACAGCTTCACAGGAGGGGAGAAGGCATCCAGTGCTAGGAGTAGAAGTGTCTCCAGCTCTGTTCTCTTGGGGCCCTGGGTGAAGGTGGGGTCTGGGGCTTATGAAATAGGTCTGGGCTTTGAGGAGGATGGAGCAGCCTCATTATGTGGGGAAGATGGGGCCTCTGGGGCGTCACTGAGACCACAGGTGGGGCCGGGGCTGGACCGCAGCTGTCTTGGGTGCCTGTGCCTACACCCCTCCTCACCCTAGAGACGGAAGATGTGCAAAAAGAAAGAAGGAAGGGCAACTGCATTCCAGCCCCACACTGTGATGACTTTGAGCCTGTCCTTTCCCTCCTTGAGCCTGTCTTGCTTGTCCCCTGTAAAATGAACAGTCCCCCTCTCCCCCAAATAGTAATAATACATGTTTCAAAGGGTGACCATTTATAAAGCATATGACAAACCATATCAATAAATGTAACTCATTCTTTTAAAAAAATGAAGAGCCCAGATCTCATCCCGCTCACCTGTGGCAGGGGCTGAGGGGCAGGGGTCAGGGGAGGTTTAAGAAACCAGCCAGGAAGCTCCCCAAGCAGGTCGCCCCAGGGGCCTGGGCAGGAGGAAGGTGCTATGGGGCCAACCCTAGGTGCCCCACCCCGAGGTCCAGGGCCCGGCCTGTAGGGAAGCCAGCCAAGGTTCACAGGCAGGAGCGGCTGTCTGAGGATTGGGTTTCAAGGGCAAAGTTTCCATGAGGTCTCCTTTGTAAAATAAAAACAAGGCATATACAACCTGTACAGGAGATCATGCGGGGCTGGAAGAGAGGAGACAGGGCAGGGAGAGACACAGGCCCAGCCCTGGAGTCTGCTGCTGAAGCTGTCACTCTTGGTCTCACTCTCCTGAGTGTCCCCAGGGAATGGGCCTGGGCCTCTGAGCTGCTCCTGGGCTGCCCCCAGGCCAGGGCCTCCTCCTGACCTTCTCAGAGCTGGAGGAGACCCAAGCCAGAGCCCCAAGCCGGGTAGGGGGGTCATGGGCTGCCTCCGCAGCATCAGCAGCAAGGCCCACGTCAGCACTCCGCCCTCCGGGGCCTTCTGCCTAATGGGATTCGACAGACCCCTTCCCCCTCAGTGCTTCGCAGGGCCGAGAAGGAGAGGCAGGGGTGGTGGGCAGTGGGGGCTGGGGAACTTGCACTCGCTGAACCCTGTCAAAGCAAGGCTGGTTGGAACCTGGATTAAAGGTCGGGAGAGGGGTGAGCCCCCACATTAGTTTCCCCTTCACCCTGGGAGCGGAACTCCAAGAAGCCCTGACCAGTTTGCACTATCCCTGGAATGGGGTGGAGGAGGCTGTGGGGCTCAGATAGAGATGGACAATGAGGGTAGGCTGAGGGGTCCCTGGCTCTGTTGGGCATGCCTGGCCTCCCTTCTTCCTTCCCCCTCCCCATCAGCCCTGCAATCTGGGTCTCTGTCAGTCTGCACCCCTCTCACCTGTGTGCCCTCATGCCCTGCTGCTCTGCTGGCTCAGTGCCTGTCCTGTATCTGCCCGCAGCTGGGGGCTGACTTGGCCCAACTGGAGCTCTTCTGCACCTGCCCCCCAACTCCCAAGCCCTCGAGCCCTGAATACATCAACTACTACTCTCTTCCCAAGCTGTTCCCACCCTCTCTTATTTAGACAATCCAATGTCTAACTAGGATATTTACATATTTGTCCTGTGACTGGTCCACCCACCTGGTGTGATGTGAGGGCCACAGAGTCATTTGCCACCAAAACTTCCCATTTCACCCTCTGCCTAGAACCCCGTTAGTACCCCGTAGTTAGGACTCTGATGTTTCAGGCCTGCTCCTTCCTTCCCTCCCTCCCTCCTTTTCCCCTTTCCTTTCTCCTTCATACCCTTGCAGGCAGTCTGAGCATACAGGAAATGTTAAAAGGTAGTTAAGAGAGCCCCTCCAACTTCCCCAAACCCCTTCAGCAGGAGGGAAGAGGCAGAGATGGTTGCCTGTCCCACCACCTTTCACCCTCAGGGGCTCTGGTTCCACAATGCAGATTTCAGGGAAACCCTGCCCAAGGAGCCTGCAGTCCCCTGCTCCTACCTTCTACCCACCCGGACAGCTCAGGCCCAGTTGCCAGCAGGAAGAGGGTGCCAAGAGAACAAGTGACTTTCCCAAGGCCAGCTGGTCCCCAGGAAGGAACTGGGGAGGGTGACCAGGGTTTGCAGCATGGAGGATCTCCTCTTCCCTCAACAGCCAGATGGTTCCTCCTCAGACACCGGAGGCCCCAGGCAGGCGCTAAGGACACCTGGGACATGCTTGTTAGCTGAGCCGAGCTGCTGACATTGCCTGTTGACCCAGCTGACACTCAGCCGTGAGGCTGGAGCTTCTGTCCTCTATCCCACAGACCTGAGGTGGGGCTGGGGGTGTAGTTACAGGGTCCACTGCCATGCCTCCAACCCAATGCCTGCCAGGCAGAGCTGTCCCCAGAGGCCATTTGAGGTTTGAGATCAGGGGAGCAGCAGCAGCACTGAGGCAGCCTCAGCCTCATTCAGCAGGAGCTGCGCCTGCATGTGTGCTCATGAGCGTGTGTGTGGGGCCTGCGGGGGTTTGTGAGCCTGCACACGGCTGTCTTGTGTCTGTGGGATCTGCTGTGTGTAGGTGTAGTATGAGTTCCTCTGGGGAAGCTGTCATTGGTGTGCTCCTTCCCTTGGGCCCCAGCCTCGGTGTTGGGCCATTGCCCTTTCAGGGAGGGCTGGGACAGCAACCCGGCCTCTGGGGACAAAAGCCCTTCTAGATGACCTTCCGCAGGAACAAAGGTCCTATGTCCTTTCCCACATCCCAGGTAAAGAGGGTAAAGAAGGGCCAGCTGGACACCTGGGTCCCTCTATCTGCTTCTGAGGCCCATCTGCATCTTCCAGGGCTGGCCCCGTGGGAGAAGGCTTGGGTGCTTCCCCCAGCTTGGCCCAGGGCTGGCTCTGTGCTTGGGTGACTGGGATGGAGGTAGGAGGACAGGGCAGTCCCCTGAACGTTGCTAGGAGGTAGCCATCCTGCTTTGGGCACCTACAGAGTGTTGAAAGTGAGAGGCAAAAACAACTCTGCCTCCTCTGAAGGAAAACATGACCTTTAGAAAGTGGATCTGCGCATTTCCTACAGGCCTCTGCCGTTAGAAGCAAGCCCTGCCCCCCTCGCCCCAGCCTCCGGACTGCGCTGCCTCCCTGCTTGGCAGGCGGCTTGGACACAGGACCAACCTAGAGACCATCTAGATGTTTTATTCAAGAAGGGCCCCTTCCCAGGGGCTCCTCCAGCAGCCTCAGTCCCCAGGCCTTTCGAGTACTGAATCCTCCCTGTGGGGGCCCACTGCTCTCCACACCTACCTGCCTAAGAACTTCAGGCCTCTGTTCTCAGCCAGCCAATATAGTGATCACAAATAAGCAACTGGAGTCGATGGGCCAACCCTTTCTCTATTGCCCTTCAATTCTCTCTAGTCTTCCATCTCGTCTTTCATTTCCACTCTTCCTCCCATCTTCTTTTTTTTTTTTTTTTTAAGACAGAGTCTCGCTGTCACCAGGCTGGAATGCAGTGGCCCGATCTTGGCTCACTGCAACCTCCGCCTCCCAGGTTCAAGTGATTCTCCTGCCTCAGCCTTCCGAGTAGCTGGGACTACACGCGCCCACCACCACGCCCGGCTAATTTTTATATTTTCAGTAGAGATGGGGTCTCACCATGTTGGCCAGGCTGGTCTCCATCTCCTGACCTCGTGATCCACCCGCCTTGGCCTCCCAAAGTGCTGGGATTACAGGTGTGAGCCACCGCACCCAGCCCCTCCCATCTTCTCAATTCATCCACTCAACCAGGTCCATTCATTCCCCTCCTGTTCCCTCACTTTATATATTGAGGCTTTTTTGTCTGGCCCATTTCCAGAGATAATCTGAAGTACCTTTCTCTCCTTAGATCTGAAAGTCACATTTTATTGTATTCTTACTGTATGCCATGCCCATGTGCAACATCTCATTACACATGGGGCCCTTATCCTCAACCTCATTCTATGAAGAAATAGGCTCATCGATGGATCCTAAACTTCAAGGCCAAGTAGCAGAGCCAGAATTCTAGCAGTTCCTCCTGCCCTCTGGGACACTGCTCCACACTGCCCCCCGATGGCCAGGCCAGGGGCTTCAGGGAGAATAGTTCCCAGGGTCTGTTCCCATCCAGGTATGGGAAACCCTGGGATGACTGAGCAACCCGGGGGCATGGGTAAGTCTAAGGAACTGCTCCCCTGCTGGCTGCCAGGGGATGTGCTCCCCTCCTACTCCCAACAAGTGCTGATCAGATTGACACCTGGGGTGTACGTGGGGTTGGGGGAAGGCCAGGGTACAGAGCCTGCTGGAAATGGAGACCCTGGGGGCTGGGTGTGAGCATGATACCTCAAAACATGCCCTTTCCTCCAGTCCAGCTCACTGCTCCCTCAGTGGCCCAGGGTAAGGGAGGGAAGGAAGCCAAGAGATCCTGTCTGGGGTGAGACAGTGTGCGGTGTGGAGGGCAGAGCATGGTGGAAGATTGCACTCCTGGAGCTGAGCCTTCCCAGCTCCCAGGCCTGTGCTCCTCTCCCCACCGGTCGCCTGGGTGTGGGCAGCAATGACCCTGGTCAGCCCTTCTCCTGGATCTCTGGGGGCTGAGGGCAGATGTGGCTATCATTCTCAGCATTCCCCTCCATCTCGCGACCTCTCCGGCCCTACCTCAGCTTCCGCAGCTTTTGCTGCAGTCCTTCTTGCCCCAGCCTGTGGGCAGCGGCCACCTCTCCTGTCGTTCTTAAGGCAAGAAGAGACGCGCAAATAGAGAAAATAATTTAATAGAGAAACAATGAATGATACTCTTTACACTCAGCCTCCTGCAGGGAGGACAGACAGCTCTTGCCCAAGGAAGCATTTAAGGGCAGAAGGGCTACAAATCACCAACACCCGCTGATTATTTAAAAGAAACTCTCAAATACATTCTTTTCCAGGTTAAATTCACTTTGTCCTCATAAGTGCCCATGCTGTGGGCTGTGAAGGTATCAGCCCCATTGAAGAGATGGGGAGACCCAGGCCCAGAAAGGGGAAAGAGCTTGCCCAGGGCTCCACGGCGGCAGGGCAGGCCTAGAAGTGGGTGGCCTAGAGGGCACTGGGTCAGACTGTCTCCAAGCCTCCCTCTCCCTGTCCCAGGCTCAAACTCCAGCACAAGGCCCGCGCTGTGGCTAGTGTGGGGCCCAGAGGGAACGGAGGTGGGAGAGATGAGGACCAAGGAACCCTCCTGAGTGCTCCCTAGGCCAGGGCAGGAACAAGGCTTGGGCTTCTTAAACCCCAAAAGATCCAGCTTTCATGCTTGAGGGATTAACCTAAAGTACCAAGATGGCGGGCAGGTGTGAGTTCCCAGAAAGACTGGTGGGTTCTGTGGGGCTGAGTGCATACTGTGGGGAGGGTGGTCCCTGAGGGGTGTTGGAGTGCCCCATTCCAGTGCAAAGAGGAGCTGAGTTGGAATAAGGGGTCCCGGGAAGGGCAGGCCAGGGGCACAGCTGCCTGCTGGCAGGGCGAGGGCAAGCACAGAAGTACCCTGCGGGGGCCCCTTGCCCTCTTCTCGGAGCCAAAAATGATAGAGGGCTGCATGCCCCAAAACGGACAGGCACAGGACCCAGTAACCACCGAGTAACAAAGGTCTCATGAAAGAAGTGCTGTTCTCCCAGAGTCCTGCCCTCCCCTCCAGTATACAGCACAGCCATCAAACCATCTGTGGGGTGCAGAGTAACCTGAGGGAGGCTGGGGACTCTGGGATATGGGGGTCTCAGCACTGTCCATCCAAGAAGCCTGCTCGCCAGGGCTGCAGTGGGCCACTTCATTCTTGGCGTCAGCCTGGGTTAGTGCCCCTCTGCTCCAGATGGCTCACATCTGTCCAATCATTCTTCTAGGGTCACTGAAGGGTGCAAGCTACGGGGGTGAGGGGGACAATGGGGGAGGGTCAGTCTCAGGTCTTTGGTAAGGGAGGCAGAACCCAGGGCCCCCAGCCCTCACCCCTCCTTGGATGGAGGATCGACCCCAGGGCAGGACTCACAGCTACGAACAGATTCCGACAGTCCCTCTTTGTCCAGGGTGTCAGCTTCCCAGCGAGATTCCCTCATCTGTGGGATGTGAAGGCAGCACAAGGGATGAGAGGCAGACACACGAGCCACAGCGCAGTGCCGAGCAAGTGAGAGAGTGAAGGACGGGGACACGAGCCACAGCGCAGTGCCGAGCAAGTGAGAGAGTGAAGGACGGGGACACGAGCCACAGCGCAGTGCCGAGCAAGAGAGAGAGTGAAGGGCAGATACAGGGACAGGGAGGCCTGCAGAGGAGGCGAGAGAGCAGACATACACCAGCAGGGGGGGACGACAGCCACAAGCAGAGAGCAACAGAACCCACAGACCCTAGCCCCAGCGTGGCCCCCATGTGCCCACCTTGACCTGCTCCTTCAAGTATTCAGCTCGGGCCATGAGGTTCTGAACCTGCCAAGGAAAGATATGCCCTTGGGTGTGGGGGAGAGTGGCGGGGGGTGGGGTTTCAAAGGGAACTCCTCCTCACCCCTGATGCTCTCCAGAACCCTCTGCCCCATCAGAACAACTTGCCTCCTGAGTCCCTTATCTGCTCCTTCCTCCAGGAAGCCTTCCCAGACTTTTTGCTGCTGGGTTCCCAGATCCCCCACTGCCCTGTCTGAGCACCCCAGCCCTATGGTTTGACTTCCAGACTTGGAACACCCTGACAGTGGGACATTCCAGAGGGAACCCAAAGAGGTCCCCACAGGTAAGAGCAGAGAAAGGGGAAGAGGAAGCCCCCCAACCCTCTCAAGCTCAGTGGGCACCTCAGTGTGAAGCAGCTCCCGCCTCCGGCCCGGGGGCTCCGCTGTAAAGAGAGGGTGTGTGGTGAGGACAGGGTGGCCAGAGGCCCTGTGGGGGGCATAAATGGGGGCCCTCACCTGCCAGCAACAGCAGTAGCTCCCCCAGGCTGTGCTGGTACAGGTCCAGGGCATCCTGCTCCCCGCCGGCGGCCTCCTCCTGCAGCCACAAGGACACCAGGCTGCTTAGGGTCATGGCCTGGGTATCTCCCTGCCCTGCCCCGACCCACCTGGACCCCTCCCACTGGCACAAACCTTGGCCATGGCAGCTGAAGCCACTTCCAGGGCAGCTAGGAGGCGTGGCTTGTCCCGGGCCATCTCTGAGATGAGGGGAAAGGCTCAGGGTGAGGGAAGCAACCTGCCTGTTCGCTGCAGGATGCCTCTCCCCACCCGCCTCCCCCTCAGGCTGTGGGGAGGTTTGCTGGGGGCCCTGGGGTCAGCCAGAAACCGGAGTCTACCTCTGAGCAGGTCTCGGGCAGAGGTCCCCTGCCTCAGCAGGGCCTGATTGGAAGAGGAGACGATGGCCTTGAGCTCCTCAGCCCGGGACACGTACTGCCCCACCTGTAGCAGGGAAAGGGCCTGAGGAGGGGCTGTCTCACCAGCTACCCTTGCCAGAACCCACCTCCAAGTTCTCCCTTTGCATTGTTAGTGACTGCCTCAAGCTATAAACATGTCAGGGGGCAAATGTGGCTGGCCTGACCCATTCCCAGCTCTGTGTTGCAGGAGAGGAAGTTCCAATTCTAAGAGAGCCATTCCCCAGAGGCCCCCGAGATCTCCGGGCCTTACCCCCTGCCCCCCCACTTCCTCATGGGGACTCTCACCCACCTTTGCCTTAATTGCCTCCTTCCGCTGGGCATCCACTTCATCTGCAGAAAGTGAGGTCATATGAGGAGTCTGGGCGAACCCCTCCCTGCCCCACAACGAACCCTCTGGAATCCCTCAAAACACAATATTCCAGGTTTACGCTCTGCTTTATCGCCTACAAAATTCTAGATAGAGAACTTCTGGAATCCACCTACTGCAGCCACAGATGACTCCCATCCCTGCTGCACCCACGGGCTTCAGGCATGGCCTGGGACTCACAGTGCAGGGCAGGTACAAAGAAGTCCAGAGCCTTGCAGTAGAGTGATAAGGCAGCTGCTGAATCCCCCTCCTGGTCTTTCTTCACAGCCTGCACCACCAGGGCGGTCTGGGGATGGGCAGATCAGGGGTCAGGTCCACCTCCCTACCCTCCCACACTCACCAAGATGGGAGATCAGCTCCCCTGAGCCCGCCCTCTGTCTCTGTTGGGTGAGTCACCAATTCACCACCAACGGGGGCAAGGAGACCTCCAGCCCACCCTCAGCCCACCCCAGCCCCAGCCGTCTGCTCACTGCTCGCCCCAGACTCTCCCCACTGGGCATGTGCTCCAGGTCCACCCAGGGGTGCGCAAAAAAGTCCTGGAAGGAGATGCGACGGCTGGGGTCCCGCTCCAGGAGCCGCTGCAGTAGGTCCCGGCAGTCTCGGGAGAGCAGGGGCCGCAAGGGGAGCTGCAGGGAAGGGAACGGCAGGGACAGATCACACTGGGCTCCTCCACCCCTACCCCTAGCCCAGGGGTCTGCGAGGAACCCCAGAGGTACGCGTTGGACAGGTGGGGAATCTGAGACCGAGGAGGAACAGGATGGGTCAGGATGATGGAGCCAGCGGGGAGCGAGGCCTCCATCCCTGGGCTCCCGGTGCACCCTCGCTGGAGCCCTGAGCTGAGCTAGAATCGTGTTTCTGGGTCCTTATTTCCCTCCCTGGACTATGCTCCTAGGAAGGCTGGGCCTGGCTCTGCTTTGCATTCTCCCCACAAGGGCCTGCAAAATGGGCACTGTGCTGCCAGCTGTGGGCTGACCTGAGGCCCTGGGACAGCCTGGCACCTCGACTTCCAGCCTAGAACCTGCCCCTCCACCACAAAGGCAGCCTGGAGCCCATACTCCAGTCTCTGCAGGTCAGAACGAGGTCTAAACCCTCAGGGCCCTGACTCCCTCTGCCCCCCAGTGGTCGCTAAGGCCCTGCTAGACACACCTCGATGACCCGGTTGCTACGGATCTTCTCTTCCAGCTCCGAGAACGACCTGGAGGCAAAGGGGGGCTGCCCGAAGAGGGCTTCTGTGGAAGGGAGGCAGAGCGGAGGCTGGGAGGGAATGGGTCAAGCCTGGCCTGACGCCCCTCAGCAGGGGCCCTGGGCCAGCAGTCAGTTTTCATCAGAACCCTTCAGAAGTGGCCCAGAGAGGCCTTGCCTGAGGAAACTGTAGGCCTCAGGGTGAGAAGCAGGGAAAAGAGGTCTCACCATACAGGATGACCCCCATGGACCAGAGGTCCACGCGGGCGTCATACTGCCGCTGGCACACCATCTCGGGGGCCATGTAGAGGGGGGAGCCACGGAGCACGTGCTTCTCATCCCACGGGGACATGTGTTGTGCGAAACCAAAGTCTGCAGGCAAGAGGAGAGGCAGCAGGGCTTGAATTCCAGCTGCTTCAGCTCCTGACTTGTAAAGCCTCACCCCAGGCTCCTCTCCACCCTCCAGACCCGCCAGGATCAACCCTATTTCCAAGCCTCTGCTCATCATTAGGCTGGAACACCCTCCTATATCTGCCTCTGGGGTATAAAACCTACCCATCCTTCCCAGCTCCCTTGGGCACCTTTTCCTAGGAAGCCCACCTGATCACACCAGCTACCTGCATAAGCCCCCACCCTCTCACTGTCCCCCCAGGCTTAGGTTCTATCACAGTCTCTGGCCTCCAGTGTCAATTATCCAAATCTTATCAAGGGTCACCACCTCCTACTCCCCCACCACACCCCTCCTATGTGGCCACAGATGGAGTCACAGACTTGAGCCCCAATTCTGATGACAGACCAAGTCCTGTCCCTGCCCACAGAGGGATCCCTGATGCTTGTCACACGCTGAACCCTGGCACTGTTCCCAGATTGACCCCTAAACCTGGACACACAGTGAGTCCCAACTCTGGCCACAGACTGAGCCCTAACTCCACCCATTATGCTGCTGGACTTGAGCATGGGTAGCCTGAGAAAGCTTCCACCTTTTGATGACAGGGCCCAACCCCAGACTTCACGGCCTGTCACTCTTTGAGGACTCTATAGAGGGCTCCATAAGAACCAGGGCTGCTGAGTGAGCCCAGGCAGAGGGAGGCCTCTGCACTCTCCAAACCTCATCCCTGCTGTTTCAGACACAGACCTGCCAGTTTTAGGTGGGGCTTCTCCAAGGAGCTCAGTAGAATGTTCTGTGGCTTCAGATCCAGGTGAGAGATATTCCGTTCATGCAGGAATTGCAGGGCGCTAGCTGAGGAGCAGGACCCACGAAGAGAGACAGTTCAGAGCCCATTCCCGCCTGCCTCTCGCCTCCCCGGCTCACATCTGCCTCCTCAAGCCTGCACAACCCCAGTTCCTGCCTGGCTGGTCTAATGTTTTCCATATAAGCACCAAGATCACACCACTTCTAGGAGTTTGCCACCCCACCCGAGTGCCCACCCTCCTTCCCTCTGCCCCTTCACAAGTCTCCCCACCTCTCAGAAGCTTCTCTGGATGCCCCAGCCCTTGAGATCCTGCTCTTTTCCTTGGCACAGCACTTGAGTCCTACCTACAGGACTCTGGAATGTTCTACAAGGTCCTTATATTATGTTCTATGTATGGAAGCCTGAACACCCCACAGAGGGGTTACCCCCTCATCTCTCCCACAGCGTCCTTGAGCAAGGGTTGAGTGTATGAGATAAACAGGACCATAAAATTTCAGGCTGTGCAGGAGGCAGCTGCAATGCGTGCCAAGGCTCTAAGCCTGGGGGAGGGGTGGGATGGTGGGGGGCAGAGAACAAGGGACAGAGTGTCAGGCTGGTGTCACAGGCCTTTACCTAATTGCTGCATGAAGACACGCGCCACCTTCTCAGGCAGAATCCTGCGGGTATGGATGAAGCGAGACAGGTCGCCCCCTGCGCAAAACTCCATGATGAGGTAGATATTGTCACTGTCCCACTGTGTTTAGAGGCAGAGAGGCGGCCTGAAGAGAGTGTCCCTTCTCCAGCTCCCTTTGGCAGCGGCCCCGCCCCAGGCTCACACCTGAAAGTCTTTCAGCTGCACAATGTGGGGATGTCGAATGCCCTTGAGGATCTCAATCTCCGTGAGGAGGTTCTCCACCGATGCCTTGTTCAGACTTTTCTTGGCTACACACTTTATGGCTACCACTTCACGAGTGTCCTTCTGCGAGACAGGAGATTTGGGGACTCTGCCTTGAGGGGGCCAGGACCCTTGTCTGACTGGAAAGGCTCTATCTGGTTCCCTCTGTTCCCCCACCCCGCCCCTCCCCGGGTCTACCTACTGCACACCAGCACCGGGCTTCCCAGCTTTCCCTTGTGAGGCCAGTGAGGAATGCTGATTCTGGAATCCTGGCTTCCCGACACAGCCTCAGCCTGGTCTTCTCCAACCCTCGGCTAGCTGATCCATTTCTTTGCATTCTGGAGTGCTCCCGGCAGAGGCATGTCACTCAGGGTTCTAGAACCGCCCACTCTGCCTCCCAACTGGCTCCAGTCCCAGACTCCTCCCAGCCCACCAGGTAACCTGTTTTGAGCCTGTTCTTCAGCCACTGACCCTGCAGGTGGGTGCAGGTGCGCTCTTTAAGACCTAAGCGTGGCAGTCGGCTCCAACCTCCGCCGAGGGTCAGCTGGGGCGAGGCCGGCCTCCCGCCCCTAACTATTCCCACACTGTCGCTAACCTCTCAGAGTCTCCCCGGCCGGCACCAGCCGAGCTAGCTCGGGCGGGCACGGGGCCATCGGCCGGCACCCACCTTGGCGTAGGCCTTGTACACCGTGGCGTACGTGCCGCTGCCCAGGCGCTCGGTGAGGATGAAGCCGTCCAGGCGCGGGGGACCCCAGCCGGGCCCCGCCATTCCGGCCGCCTGCGCCCGCGCGGGCGCTTCCTCGCTGCGGGCGGCGGTTCCGGCGGGTTGCGGGGCGGGCCGAGCACTGGGTGGCTCCACGCTGCCCCCAGCGCCGCCCGCCGGAAATGCAGCGCGCATCGGGGACGCGGATCCGCCCGGCTCCCGGCGCCCCTCCCCTGTCTCTGGGCCTCGCCGGGTCACGCGCCCCGCCAGTTCCTGCAGGGCCCACGTGGGGATACGGAGGCCCCGCGAGCCTAGAAGTTAACAACGGAGGACGGCCGGCGTGGTCTCCGGGGACTCCTAGCGGGCGCAGAGGCGTCTAGAGATCGCCCACGTGAGGGCGCGGGCGGCGGAGCGGGCGTGTGTGGGGGCGACGGCGTCCGGGAGGCTCCCAGGGCCCCTCCCCAGGACCCGCAGCTCTGAAAGGAGAGCTACTGGCACGAGAAGGCGCCTTTGGAAGAGGCCGCGTTGGCTTCCCAGGCCTCCCAGCTGCTTTTCACTTTTCTGAGGAAGGGCCTTGACCTATTTATTGCATCTTAACTGTCCCCGCTCTCCAATCTTAGCAGCGGCGCCCAGCCCCTAATCCTGTGGGCTGCCCCGTCCTCCCAAGTCCACCAGACATGTGGACCCGTGTTGTCTGAAAATGTTTTTATTTTTACTTAAGCACAAAAATTGAGACGTAACATATACATTTGTACATAGAGGGGAAAAAATACCAGAAAGGAGTTCATAAAACCCCAGCCGCTGCCAGTATCATTCAGTGGCTGGGGCCTGCGGCTGTCTCGGGCCCAGAGCCGGAGGCTAGTTTTGTGGGAAGGCACCCCAGTCCACACACCCACTCGGCAGCCTCGAGGGACAGGGTGCTGGTTTTAAGGGTGGACTCCTACGTGTCCCATCACAGTGACACACCCCCCAGGGTGTGAACCAGACTCCACTGGGTATTAGGGGGCCCTCCGAGAGATGGCTTATCAGTCCCTGCTGAGGGATGCGGTTCTGGACTGGCTGGCCCTGCCCTTCCTGAAAGTCTGGATGCTGCTGATGGGGAGCATGGGCGGGGCAGGTGGCATCTGAGGCAGAGACAAAGGCAGCCGTCCCTCGGTTCGGGGAGGGGGGGGGGTAGTCACAGCAAACAGGGCCAAACCAACCACACCAGGACAGGCAGACCCCACCCTCCTAGAAGACGCTGGACGCTAGGCAGGACAGCTTGGGGTCAGTGTCCTTGGTCCCTTCCAGTCCCCAAATCCCAACCAACGGCATTGTACATTCAGAAAGTCTGAAGAGAGTAAGGCTCAGCAAGGGGAGGGCTCCAGAGGGCTCAAAGTGCCATCCCCTGCAGGAGGGTGCAGGGGGATAAAGGGCTATTAATCCGTTTCTCAGGAACACGAGGCAGGGAAGAGCTTAAGGCAACCAGCCTTCTCTGGATCCGTTTATGAGGCAGAGAAGAGCTTGAGGCAACCAGCCTTCTCTGGAAGCCTGGAGACCACTGGAGTGACCTGGGGAACAGATCTGTCCACCAGAACCTGTGAGAGGCTTATTCCCAGCCCAGGCAGGAAGGACTGGGCTGTGTCTAAGAAGCCAGATTCAGGCCAGGCCTGCAGGGTGGGGGAGTCAAGGCCCAGGACCCTGGCAGAAAGCTCCAGCTGGGATGGGCCCAGGTCAGCCTGTGATCCCAACTGTGTGGGGGTGTCTGTGTGTGCACAGGACGAAGAGAACTTCAGTCCCACTGCTTCCAGAGACAAAAGAATCCTACCAAACCATCACCAGAGAAGGAAAGAGAGCTTTGTTTTTTTTTGTACATAGAGGGGGAAAAAATTCCCTGTCCCTCCCGTTCCAGGGAGAGCTGGTCGCTGAGGGAGGAGGAAGAGCCACGGCAAGAACCCTGCCAGGTCTGTGCTGGGCACAACCACCACCACATAAGGCACCCACGGAAAGTGCAGCTCAGAAGGCAGGCGAGAGAAAGGCTGAGGGGGAGAGAAGAGAGGAGGACTAATTCCCCTGGAAGGCTCCTTGGGCAGCAGATGAAGCAGCTCTGTGGAAGGTTCTGCTGCTGAAGATGCCCTGGGAAAACTCCTCCTGGGCCTGCTGGAAGCTGGCCCCTGTCCGTCGGTAGAGGGAGTGCACCTGGCGAAGAGGGGTGGGGTGAGAGAAGCCTGTCCTTTGGGCCCACCAGGAAGCCAGCCATCCAGGTTATACTCCCAAAGGGGTCACCAGAAGCCTGGCACTGCCTGACCCCCCACCCAGATCCCTGGAGAAAGGTACTGGACCTTTGGGGGCCTAGGATGCCCAACTGCAGTGGTGAAAAACATCTCGTGGCAAGGGCAGGAAACGGTTGCCTGCCTCCTCCCATTTGCTGTCAGCCCTGCCCACACCACTCACCCGCTGCAGGAGGAAGACTGAGAGCACGGCACAGAGGGTGAAGAAGCCAGCCACCACCATCATGATGACTGATATGGCCAGGGAATGATTATCCAGTGTAGACAGGGCTGCAATCCAACCGCTATAAAGGGAAGAAGAGGCCAGAGGGAGCAAAGTGGGAGTGGGCTCCAAAAGTCAGCATAAGGGGCTCTTCTCCAAGTGGCTGCTGTGTCCTGACCATCACCTTGGCATCTCCCCACAGCACAGGGAGCCCTGTGAGCCAGAAGCCCTTGGCCTGTGAGGCCAGACCTCCGTGAAGGCTGACAGGCCCACACTACCCCATTCACAAGGGGAATCTTCTGGTTATGTGAGGTCTGAAAGGGAGGATGTGGTTGCTGCCTTCACAGAGTCAGAAGTAGCACCGGGCTGGGTGCTATGGCTCTCACCTGTAATCCCAGCACTTTGGGAGGCTGAGGCAGGAGGATCGCTTGAGCCCAAGAGTTCAAGACCAACCTGGGCAACAGAGGGAGGCCCTGTCTCCATAAAAAATAAAAAAAGGCCAGGTTCGTGCCTGTAATCCCAGCACTTTGGGAGGCCAAGGAAGGCAGATCACTTGAGGTCAGGAGTTTGAGACCAGCCTGGCCAACATGGAGAAACCTTGCTCTACTAAAAATACAAAAATTAGCTGCGCGTGGTTGCACACGCCTGCAATCCCAGCTACTCGGGAGACTGAGGCAGGAGAATCACTTGAACCTGGAAGGTGCAGGCTGCAGTGAGCCGAGATCATGCCATTGTACTCCAGCCTAGGTGACAGGGCGAGACTCCAACTCAAAAAAAAAAAAAATTAGCTGGCTGTGGTCATACATGCCTATGCTCCCAGCTACTTGGGATGCTGAGGTAGGAGGATCACTTGAGCCCGTGAGGTTCAAGGCTGCAGTGAGCTGTGATCACGCCACGGCACTCCAGCCTGAGCAACAGAGTGAGACCCTGTCTCCAAAAAAAAAAAAAAAAGAAAAGAAAAAAGAAAAAGGGCTGGGCACAGTGGCTCAAGCCCGTAATCCCAACACTTTGGGAGGCCAAGATGGGCGGATCACGAGGTCAGCAGATCGAGACCATCCTGGCTAACACAGTGAAACCCCATCTCTACTAAAAATACAAAAAATGAGCCAGGCATGGTGGCAGGCACCTACATAGTCCCAGTTACTCGGGAGGCTGAGGCAGGAGAATGGCGTGAACCTGGGAGGCGGAGCTTGCAGTGAGCAGAGATCGCGGCACTGCACTCCAGTCTGGGCAACAGAGACTCCATCTCAAAAAATAATTAATTAAAAAGGTAGCACTGGGCCGGGCCTTTTTCTGCTGCTTTGGGGGTGGGGAGTATGGAAAGCGTGGCTGCTCACTCCTGAGGACCCACCTTCTGTGAAGGAGGATCACTGGCCAACTTGCTGTCACCTGTCTGAGCCCCATGTCCTCATCTGTAAAAGGGATATCCTCATATTTCTTGACATCAAAACTTACTACAAAGCTACAGTCACTAAAATAGTGTAGGACTGGCATAAACATAGACATATAGATCAATAGATCAATGGAATAGAACTGAGATTCCAGAAATAAACCCATACACCTATTGTCAGTTAATTTTTTTTTTTTTTTTTTTTTTTGAGATTGAGTCTTGCTCTGTAGCCCAGGCTGGAGAACAGTGGTGTGATCCCGGCTCACTGCAACCTCCACCTCCCGGGTTCAAGTGATTCTTCTGCCTCAGCCTCCCAAGTAGCTGGGATTATAGGCACCTACCAATGCGCCTGGCCAATTTTTGTACTCTCTAGAAACAAGGTTTTGCCATGTTGGCCAGGCTGGTCTCAAACTCCTTCCTGACCTCAGGTGATCCACCCGCCTTGGCCTCCCAAAGTGCTGGGATTACAGGCATGAGCCACCGCACCCAGCCAACTCAAGCCTTCTGATTCCCAGTACAGGTGCAAACGGCAGTCATGAATCACAGCTTTTCTACCAGGGTCTTACTTAGGTAAGGAGTAATGAAATTGGGTCACTGGTCAAAAGGGACCAGATTAACAACAGCAGGGCAAGAAGCATGAGGGGTGGTGGGAGGGCAGCGTGCACTTGTTTGGAGGGCAAGGGGAGGCAACCTTTCTCTCCCCACTGCTCTGGACTTGCCAGCTCTGCCAGAGGGAGGGGACCAAAATAGCACCGCCCTTCCAGGCTCAGGCTGTCAGCCAAGTGCCAGTCTGACCTTTCTGCAATGCTCCCTGTGCACTGGGGCAGAAAGGAAAACATCAGCCATCAGCTTTTCTTTTGAGATTAATTTTGAGCTGAGGACTGAGGTACCCTGGAAACTCAAACCAGCCGTATGCTCAAAGAGGGCAGCCAGAAGAAGCCTGTCCAGGGGAGGTGAGGGAACCGTCTCCTTAAGTTACAAGGCATCTGGAAAAAGTTGCAGCTCAGAGTCTGCAAAGGCCTGGGCATCCATCAGCTTTCAGGAGGGTGTGGCAGGAGAAAAGGAAGAGGCTGCAATCCAGTGCAGGACACTGTCATGGTAGCCTAAAGAGTCAAGCCAAGTTCACCCACAATACCCTGGAAAGTGGAGAGCAAGGGAAGATAGTGTCTTTTTTTTTTTTTTTTGATACAGGATCTCACTCTGTCACCCAGGCTGGTGTCCAGTGGTGCAATCATGGCTCACTGCAGCCTCAACCTCCTGGGCTCAAGTGATCCTCCTGCTTCAGCCTCCCAAGTACCTGGGACTATAGGTGCATGCCACTGCAACAGGCTAATTTTTTTAATTTTTGGTAGAGACAAGGTCTTCCTGTGTTTCCTAGGCTGTCTCGAACTCCTGGGCTTGAGCAATCTGCCTGCCTCGGCCTCCCAAAGTACTGGGATTCCAGGCATGAGCCACTGCACCTGACCAATAGTGAGTGTCTTTTGATGCCTTTAGTATCAAGGAGAAAAAAAAAGTGAGTGGCTACTGATGAAGAACTGGAGAGAAGGCCCAAAGCAGATCCGAGCTGGCCCACTCACCCACTCCCCGCCATGGGAAAAGCAGGGCACTGGCGGGGCTCTGTGGGAGCTAGAAAACAGGGCAAGAGAGGCTGAGTCCCATATCCAAAGCCTAATTCCCTCTGTGATGCCCAGGTCTCACCTGTCCCCCAGGCCAGGGATGCCAACCAACTGGATGATGTAGATCCCTATTTGACAAAAAAATACAAAGAAGAACACAAAGAAGCTGAAAGAGTTGTCGGACCTGTGGAGAGAGAGGGAAATAAGTCACAAGAGGGCTTGGGCTGTGTTCCTCAGCATCCTTACTTGGTGTGACATCCCTCCTCACTAGGAGCCAGGAGGCAGCATGGGCAAGAGACAGAGCTCCAGGGGCCCAGCCATACCACCCGTAAGGACACGCACACACCCCCCACCATAATCAAGAAGAGCTTGCCTTTCACTGCCTTCCAATTTAAGGGGTCAGTGCTTGACCCCTTCCTCAAAGAGCTGATAAAGTTGCTCCCCCAAAGGACAATATAAAGAGCCTAACACTCCTGCAGTGAGCCAAGATCACGCCACTGCACTCCAGCCTGGGTGACAGAGTAAGACTCTGTCTCAGAAAAATAAGTAAATAAAAAACAAAGAACCTAACACTCCATCTCCTGGAGTACTTGCGTTTCATAACAGGCAAGAAAAACTAAGCCAATCTCTTAATAATAAGTAAATCTCTATATAATAAGTAAAATCTCTAATAATAAGTAAAACTAAGTAAATCTCTTAATAATAAAACTGTATGAGGCCAAGAATTTGAGACCAGCCTAGCCAACATGGCAAAACCCTGTCTCTACTAAAAACACAAAAATTAGCTGGGCGTGGTGGTGTGCGCCTGTAATCCCAGCTACTTGGGAGGCTGAGACAGGAGACTCACTTGAACCTGGGAGGCGGAGGTTGCAGTGAGCCGAGACTGCGCCATTGCACTCCAGCCTGGGTAACAGACTGAGATTCTGTCTCAAAAAAACAAAACAGGCTGGGCACGGTGGTTCACACTCGTAATCCCAGCACTTTGGGAGGCCGAGACAGGTGGATCACTTGAGGTCACAAGTTCAAGACCAGCCTGGCCAACATGGGGAAACCCCATCGCTACTAAAAATACAAAAATTAGCCAGGTGTGATTGTGTGTGCCTGTAAGCCCAGCTACTCCGGAGGCTGAGGCAGGAGAATCATTTGAACCCAGGAGGAGGAGGTTGCAGTGAGCCGAGATCGCATCATTGCACTCCAGCCTGGGTGACAGAGCGAGACTCCCTCTCAAAACAAAAACAATAGAACTTGAGGATACGTGGTAACAAAGAACAATGAGAAAAAAACAAAACCTGTACATCTGACTGGAAGAAAAAAATATTTGGGAAACAGGGGACACCAGACAAAACTCTCTCACGAGCTGAGGACTTCCATCTCTGTGTCCTTGAGGGCTAGATCACAGTGAGGGTTCAGGGCCTCCAGTGGTACAGGGATGGTTCAGCCACTACCCTAATCCCTCTTCCCAGGGCCTGCTGGGCTCCCAGCCCTGAAAGCATAAACCCTGAGGTACAATTCCAGAACCCCTGGGGGTCTGTAAGGTGTATCCAGCTATGTTCCCAGTATCTAGCTTAGGTGTTGGCAGTCTTTATTGGGAAGCATCAATAGTCATGGAGAAAGAGCCCTGGAGAGCACTCATCTGATACTACCAGAGAAGCACACCTTAGAGCCTCAGAAGGGAGTTCCCAAAGAGCGTCCCCTCCCTCTTCCCAGTAACGGCATCAGCCAGACTGGGAGCAGTGGGATGGGAGGTCCCTTCTCTAGGTCTCCTGTGCCTGGTCCAAGGACAGGGCCCAGAGCAGACCTCAGGTACAGAAACTGAGGAACGGGGCCCCCAATCTCTGCTCTGGGTGGGAACAGAGGAACAGAATGTAGGGAAAGTGGATTTCCCTACATTCTATTCTGCTCTAAGACTCAGATGGGGTCCCAGGGCCTATAGCCCTTAGCCTGCTACCTGGGATGCCAGCCATAAAGTCTCACCCCTTGCCCCGGCCTCACTCACCTAAAGGCCTTATAGATGGGTCGGTACCAACAAAGGAAGGCACAGGGAGTGAAGATCAGAAACCACAGGATGGAGAGGCCAAAGTCCACTCCCTTGGAGCTGTTGCCCGAGAACCAGGCCAGGCAGGCAAGCAGGTTCAGAAACAGAGTCACTGAATGCACTGGGGAAGGGGACAGGACAGAGTTATGACTTGTGCCACAGTGGCTGAGGGGCTCCAATGTGGCAGCCACTCCCTAGGAGAGGTGAGGTTCATGCTGCGAAGGCAGCTGCTGAAACAGAGGAGCCCGCTCTGTACCTAGGCAGGGATAGTTCCCATATCCTGGTTTTCTGGGACCTCAAAACCAGGGATCAAACTACGTTCCTGAGAGGTGATGGGACAGCCCGGGTATCTGAGGGGTGTGGAGGGAGGATGCAGACCCAGGGCTGGTCCTTGGGGAAGGAAGTCTTTCTCTTAGCAATGCTTTTCCCTGGCCCTGGATGGCCCCTGATGGAGCTGCAGGGGGAGTCTCCTTCCTCACCCCTCAGAGTTCACAGGCCTGTGGGCAGGGAAGGCCTTCACCTAAGGAGGGCCTTTTAGTGCAGTGAGCTCTGAAGGAACTTGGAAGCCTCTAGTTAGTCCCACCCTCCCTGATCGGTGGTCTGGACTGCCCCTTTCAAGGAGGTTTCCAGACAGGGGGCAGCCTGTGGGCAGAGGCATCTCCCCAACCCAGCCCAGGCACTGAGGAAGGCTGGAGTCTGCTGAAAGCCTGTATACCAGGGAGGAGCAGCCAGGACCAAGATGGGGCTCTCAAGTCACACCCAATTCGCCCTTGCGCTTGGAAGGCAGGAGTGGGACTCACACATCCACAGATAGTAGAGCATCTTGCATATCCGCTGGTAGTCGGCAGGGATCTCTGTGGAGAAATCCTGATAGAAGCAGGGCTTCACAGGGCACCACGAGGGCAGAGGGGGCCAGTTGTTCTGTCTCACTGGGTAGGGCAAAAAGAGTGACGAGGTAAGGGCCCAGCCTCAGAAGGGGCATCAAGGTGCATGCACGCCAGCATAGTGTATGGGCCAAACCAGGGTTCCCAGAGGGGCTCCAGCAAGCGGGGCTTGGAGTCTGCATGGAGCATGGAGTGGGACAGAACAGGATAATGGAACCCAAAGAGATACCAACAAGCTCACATGGAGATAAAAGACCCCAAATGCACTGGGAAATACAGACAGCTAAATGGCCTAAGTGATTATTTTTATTAACAAGCAGCCCATAAGTGTGAGAACTCAGTTCATCATCATTAGCAAGGAATTGTGGGACCAAAGCCCCTATGCTATCAAAGAATCAAGGAATTTGAGAGCTAGGAAGGAGTGCAGAAGTAATCTACAGCCATTACAACTACACTGCAGGTCTCCTGACTTGCAACTTACTGCTCTTCCCAGGACCAGCATCCTGTGATGAGAAGAGCCCCACAAAACTCTAAGGCAGCTCAGGGTGAATGCTGGGAGGCCCTCCGCACAGGTTTCAGGACACTCTTCTATGCCAGGCAGGGCAGCCCCAGGCCCCAGCAGCCTCCCTTACCATGCAAGTTGGCTACAGTGTTCTGCAGCTCCCGCTCCTTGCGTTCCAGCTCGGCAGCTTTCCTGTCCAGTTCTTCCTGCTGCCGGAGCAGGCCTGCCTGGGCTGCAGACACCACGGCCTGGAGAGAACAGGGGAGGTACAGGGACAGCCAGACACAACAAACAGAAACAGTGTCAGCCTGGGTAGGCAGGCAGAGAGGCCTTGCCCCAGGCAGGGACAGCCATCAAGGAGTCCCAGAAGCAGTCCCCGCCCCACAGAGTGTCTTAGGTACCAGAGACCACCTTAGAGAGGCCAACCTGTCTTCCACTGCCCCCACACCTTCCTGACCCCTTGGCCATGACTAAGCTGTCCTCTCCCCTCATCCCTAAGCTTGAGTTGGGAAAACTACCCCCATTGGCTTCTCCACCTCTTCCCCATACTGGGTCAAGGCAGCGCTCAGTGATTGTGACCTTTGGGAAAAAGACCTCACAAGAAACTAAACTATAATAAGAAACCCACAGACCCAAGCCTCATTTGAAGAGCCTGGTGGATGTGTGAGAAGGAAAACAGTGCAAGCCTGCTAACAGTGAGTGGAAAGGGGAGACACGTGAAGGCAGATGGCGTGTGCCTGAGCCTCAGGATCTGTACAAGCACCCTGCCCCATGGCCTGCCCCCAGGAGCTGCCTCCTGAGGTCCCCCTAAACTGCAATTGGCTACACCCCAGGACAGCCCCTTAGGTGTGGCCCTGCCCTGCCTGGCTTTAGTGGCATGCAGAGTCCACACTTATCTCCTCTCCAGGCGGGGTAGAGCCTCTGAGTAACAGTAAGGGACTGACTGTATGTGAGGCTGAACAGACCTGGCCCCGGGGCCCTGCACCTGCTGGCAGCTGCTGCCATTTGGGCCAGGTTCCTCCTGAAGGATGAGACTACAGTCCTTTTTAGGGAGAGATCTCAAACTGGTCATTTCACAGGATGACAAACCAGGCACATGTGTACACACACACATGTATACACACACCAACCTCTCCAAAAGCTCTTCAAAGACCTAAGGCTGACGTGGAGAGCCAAGTTTCAGGCACTGGGGGCGGAAGCAGGAGCAGAACTGACCCCGCTGTGCCACGCTGGGGGTCTTGACCTCCTCCAAGTCTGTGACGCCAGCTGAGAAGGACCCAGCTCCCTACAGCCCACCACCCAGCTGCACAGAAAGGCAACTCCGCATGTAAGGCCTGCCTCACCTCCACAGGGCTCTGGGGCCTGGGAGGGGTGTGGGGCAGGCTCCGGGTGCCCTGCCCTTCCTCCTGCTCATCTACATTAGGCCTACCTTCGGAAGCTTTCGCATGTAGCTGTCTCTGAGAATACTTTCTCCTCCTAGGAGCATCTGCCTCTCTGAGAGCTCGCTCACTGCCAGGAATTGGGCAGGCGGGAACTTGCTGGCCTGTCTAAGCAGGAGCTGCAACACACAACTCCACCATGGGTCACGCTCATAGGGGCAGCGAGGGGTGCAGCGGGAGGGCAGTGAGGCGGCGCAGTGGAGCACCAGGCACAAAGCAGGCAAGATTCACAGTATTTGGTGAAGGGACAAAGGAAGACAGGAAGGAAGGTGAGAATTAATGAAGTTAAAAAAAAGAGAGAGATTCTGGGCCCCAAGGAAGAGAGAACAAGCCAAAGGCCCGAGGAGGACCTGGAGGGGTACAACAGGGACAAATGCCCTCTCTGGAGGCACCGAGGAGCCCGGCCTGGTGAGTAGAGCTTATTTCTCAGTGGTGGTGGTGGGTGGGATGGAGGGAGTAAGGATATTAATTGGCAGAGCAGCCCCTCTACTTGTAGGTGACCAGCTCCGAACAAATTAGCAAGAGGGCCCTTAGGGGGCCAAGGCTGAAAGCTCTCTGCTTGCCCCCAGCCTCAGGGCTCAGCTACTGGTCTGGATGATTCCCTCACTGGAGAGAAAAGGCCAGAGTTCTTTGTCAGCACTACCTGGGGGGTCGGCTGGGTTGGTTCCACTGATGGCTGGAGAACCGCTGGCTGTGAGGACCCAGGGAGTTGGGTGACAGGAACTGTTGTCGCTGCATTTGTCTACATGGAACAAATCAAAAGACAGAATTGAGTGGGACTCCATTAGCTGGTGACGAGGGGGCAAACCCACAGCAGGATGAGTGATGTGCCCCTGCCTGTGAGGGGACTCCCTCGGGGCCTGCACTGGGCCTTCCCCTGTGGCTTCCCAGCCAACAAGCCTCAGGTTCAGGCCATCTGATCCCTAACCCGGCACCCCTGGGCTCGCTGGGTCCAGCACACTTGGGCACTGCCCTGACCTCCTTGGGGAGGGGCCCCGGTCACAGATCCCAAGGGGAGAATTTTACAGAGCGTTTGGTGGCTTTGCCATCCTTACCCTGCCTCCCGGGTTCATGTTAGGACTGTCCCTTTGAGGACTGCCGCTTCTCAGAGCTGCTTCTGTCCTTGCCAAGGATCCCTGCCCCGGACACCCCAGCACCACCCTAGAGGGCCATGGGACTTGGAAAGAGGGCCTGCTCACCAACCTCTGAGAAGGGGTTGAATTCCGCCAGGCCGCCCTGCGGGGCGTTGGTCAGCTGGGTCACAGAGGGATCCTGAGAAGGTGAAAAAAAGCCCTTAGACACAGTGGAGAAAATCCGGGCCAGGGGCCGGCAGGCGAGCCGGTGACGCCTGACTGAAGCAGGGCAGCTGATCACCCTCCCGGGACCCTGAGAAGCCTCTCTGGAAGGGTCCTGTGCCTGCCTCTGCCACACCACAGCTGCGGTCCCTTCTCCCTTCCCCCTTCCTGGAAAAGGTTCAGCCCAGAAGAGACCCAGAGCAAGCTTTACCCAGAAGCTTGAGAGTACACACCACACAGGCTCCTGTTGGTGCCCTATACAGATTCAAAATGGTTCATAGTATTTACCTCTAGGGAGTGGGTTTTTTTTTTTTTTTGAGGGGTGGGGTGCTGAGGGGCAAGTGAATGGGGTGGTGAGGGTAGAGACTTACTATTGACTTTATAACCTTTCTGTACTGTTTTACTTATTATTCATTTATTCCTCTTTTTTTATATTTTTTTATTTTTTCGAGACAGAGTCTTGCTCTGTCACCCAGGCTGGAGTGCAGTGGCGCAATCTTGGCTCACTGCAACCTTCGCCTCCTGGGTTGAAGCGATTCTCCTGCCTCAGCCTCCTGAGTAGCTGGGACTACAGGCGGCCGCCACCATACCCGGCTAATTTTTGTATTTTTAGTAGAGACAGGGTTTCACCATGTTGGCCAGGATGGTCTCAATCTCTTGACCTCGTGATCTGCCTGTCTCGGCCTCCCGAAGTGCTGGGATTACAGGCGTGAGCCACCATGCCTGGCCATTCCTCTTATTTTGTAAAAGACAGTCTAAGGTAGCCGGGTGCAGTAGCTCATGCCTGTAATCCCAGCACTTTGGGAGGCTGAGGCGGGTGGATCACCTGAGGTCGGGAGCTCAAGACCAGCCTGACCAACATGGAGAAACCCCGTCTCTACTAAAAATATAAAATTAGCCAGGTGTGGTGGCGCATGCCTGTAATCCCAGCTACTCCGGAGACTGAGGCAGGAGAATCACTTGAACCCGGGAGGCAGAGGTTGCAGTGAGCCCAGATTGTGCCATTGCTCTCCAGCCTGGGCAACAAGAGCAAAACTCCATCTCAAAAAAAAAAAAAAAAAAAAAAGTAGTCTAAGTTTCTAGAACAAAAACATGCTGCTGGCTGCCAGTACTGATTTTATTAAATCGGGCACACTTGCTAAGAGCAGAGATATGATGAGCTGAGGTGAAAATTCAAGAAAATGTTTCTGGGTTTCGGGGGTTTTTTAAAGTCTTTTCATAAAATCCAAGAATGTCCTCAGAACACAACCTTGTCTCCCTTTCCCATCTGATCTCTGCATGGGGCTCTGCCATCCTCTTTACTGTGCCCCTGCTGGCCTGGAACAGTTGTCTTCACCCTGCCCTGCCCCAAGAAGAGCTCCTCCACACCCTCCCCTTCCTAGTAACAGATGCAGGGCTCAGGTCCAGCTTCACAGCCATGCCTGGGCTCCATGAGGAACAGCCCTGAGGGTGGCCAAATTCAGGGCTGTTCCTGCCTGTGGAGACACCGCTTGGGTTCCACACCTCACCCCACACCCCTAATTATTAAACCAGATGCTCCCAAACTTCAGGCCCAGCCTCACCTCCACTGGAAGCCTCTGCAGAGCCAGTTCTTTTTTTTTTTTTTTTTTTTTTTTTTTTAAGACAGAGTCACGCTCTGTCACCCAGGCTGAAGTGCAGTGGCATGATCTCCACTCACTGCAGCCTCCGCCTTCTGGGCTCAAGCTATTCTCGTGCCTCAGCCTCCTGAGTAGCTGGGATTACAGGCGCCTGCCACCACACCTAGCTAATTTTTATATTTTTAGTAGAGATGGGGTTTCACCATGTTGGGCAAGCTGGTCTTGAACTCCTGGCCTCAGGTGATCCGCTCACCTCAGCCTCCCAAAGTACTGGGATTACAGATGTGAGCCACTGCACCTGGCCTCCAGTTCTTTTTTTTTTTTTTCCTTTTTCTTTTTTAGAGACAGGGTCTCACTCTGTTGCCCAGGCTGGAGTACAGTGGTGCAATCATAGCTCATGGTAGCCTCAAACTCCTGGGCTCAAGCATTCCTCCCACCTCAGCCTCCGGAGTAACCAGGACTACACACATGAGCCACCAGGCCTGGCTGATTTTTAAAGTTTTTTTGTAGAGATGGGGTCTTGCTTTGTTGCCCAGGCTGGTTTTGAAGTCCTAAGCTCAAGTGGTCCTCCCACCCTGGGCTCCCAAAGCACTAGGATTACAAATGTGAGCCACCTTGCCCTGTCCAGATCCAATTGTTAAATACAATGCTAATATTAGACATAGCCACAGAGTGACCCCCTCAGTTTACAGATGTAGAAACTGATATTCACCATGATCCTAGGACCCAAAATGGGAGCTCTCTCCTTACTCTGAATATTTATAGAGCTGAGGGTCAGCATTGAATATGTTCTCTGGTTTTATCACAGATACTTCCTCTTATCTCTTATCTTCCCACCTGAGCCACCAGTTCATAGAGGGTATGAATGTCTGACTGCCTCCAGGCATACAGCCAGAACTCACTGTGTCTGGACGGGCCTCATACTACAGCCTCCACCCCTTCCAACCTCCTCTGCGACAGACTGTGGCTATGTTCTTCCTGCTGAACACCACCTCTGCCCTGATGGCTCCTGCAACTTGGACAAAGTGACAAGGTGAAGTTCAGGAGGCTCTGTGTTGCTGAAGAATTGGCCTTGAGGTTATTTCATGCCTGAATGACCAGTGGTTTACTACCAGAATCATCTGGCTTCCTGCAAGGAAGATTTGGGGCTTGGTATCTGTTCCCCTCTCAGACTCAGCAGACACCTAGCCACCGCTGAAGTCACTGAAATCGGATCTACCATCCACAGAAGTGGCTCCTCGAGTCTGAGTCACCAGAGGACAGAGGAAGAGGGGCCACTCTGGTAGCAGTTTCAGGTAATGGCAAACAGACATCTGGCCAAGGTGCACATGTTTAATAGGTGATCTCCAGGCCCACAAAGAGATGCCATTTCCTTTATGAATGGCAGACAGAAGGGGACTGTGATGGGGATCATAGGGTGACTGCCCTGTCCACTCTGATCCCTCCCTTTTTCCTAAAATCTTAAAGACATGGCCTTGGACTCCTCACCGGGCTCCTCATAAACAAATCTGATCTCCATGATTAAGTTAGAAGCTCCCTGCAGCCATGTGCATCTGTGTCTGGTTCATATTCTAGTTCCTTGGTGCTTGGTGAAGGGCCTATGGCAGCACAGCAGCTCAGCGGTTTGAGAAGACACGCAGCACGCTGTAGGGCCTCCCTCTTTTTAGAAAGCACTGCCCAAGTGCCAGGGCATAGCAAACAGGAGGCACCTGCATCACAGCAGTAGCCCAAGGGCCTGGAAGCACGTTGCCTAGGAAGAGCAACCTAAAACGCTGAGACAAGTGGATATTTTCCCATCTAAGAAAACCTAGGCTCTTTCTGAAAGATGTGCGTGGCTTCAAGACAAGCTGAGCCCTGGCAAGAAAGGGAGGGAGGAGGAGGGACTGGGGAAGGAAGCTGACATTTACTTAGTGTCTACGGTGTGCCAAACTCACCACACAATGATGCTACTGTGAAATTCTAGTCACCCCAGAACTAGCCACTGTGTCGAGTTGTCAGAAAAGAGGGTTTTACTGGCCTTCCTTGACCTGGTTCTTCAAAAGACTTATGACCCCCTAATCCACTATTTATAATGACTTTACTGCTCTCCTGGTACCTAGGGTGGTACTAGTTATACTCCATACTTGAGAGAGCTGAGAGAGTCACTCCAATCAGCTTCTCTGTTCTGTGGCTCAGCTCGGGACCCTGGCTGAGAAAAGCTACAATACAGCTCCTCATTTAACCCTCACAACAGCCTTATGAGGAAGGAATATTTATATTTTGCAGCTGGAAAAGCTCAAGCTCAGAGAGGGGAAGTAGCTTGTCTTAAGATCTCAGGGGTAGTGGCTCAGCCAGATTTTCAATCCAAGTCTGTCTCCAGGGACACAAGATGGTAAAGCTGAGTGGGGCAAAGCATCTCGAAGCCTGGTACGGAGCCTGACAAATTGAAGGCGCTCAGTGAATATGTGGCAGGATGAATGAGCCCCACTCCAGGAGGACACTGACAAGGGCTTCTGCTTGTTTCCTTGCTTCCTTCTTTCCTTCAAAGAGCTGGTTCTTTTTTTTTTTTTTTTTTTTTTTTGAGACGGAGTCTTGCTCTGTTACCCAGGCTGGAGTGCAGTGGCGCGATCTCAGCTCACTGCAAGCTCTCCCGGGTTCACACCATTCTCCTGCCTCAGCCTCCCCAGTAGCTGGGACTACAGGCACCTGCCACCACGCCCGGCTACTTTTTTTGTATTTTTAGTAGAGATAGGTTTCACTGTGTTAGCCAGGATGGTCTTGATTTCCTGACCTTGTGATCCGCCCACCTCAGCCTCCGAAAGTGGTGGGATTCAGGCGTGAGCCACCATGCCCGGTCCTAACTGGCTTTTAAATGGGTCAAGTAGGATGGTGAGGGCTAAGTTTCACCTACAAGGAGGAATAACCTAAAACTCCCCTGCAGTGCCACTCAGAGTGGCTATTGCCCTTTACTGAATTTGTAACAAATAAAAGGCTCTTAACCTCAGTTCTTTTCATTCAGCAACCAGCTACAGTGTGAGGAACATACCACAATGCATAAGACACAGCTCTCACCCTTCTGGAGTCCACAATCTGGTATCTGAGACAAGTGGGCACCCCCTGAAGGGGTGCTGGGGACCACGGCAAGGTGCAGAGCAAAAAACAGGAAGAAGGGGAGACACCTCGGTGGGCTTCAAGAAAGGCCAGGTTGTAGAAGGAAGACAGACAGCAAAGGCCCAGATCAGTAAGGCCCCCCACCACTGCAAGGCAGGGGGGCACTTCCACATAGCTGGGGGGTAAAGGCAGTGAGGGAAGAGAGGCAGGCAGAGTTAGGCTGCAGCTCTCCCAGGAACGGCCATGAAAACCACACTTTTTTTTTTTTTTTTTTGAGATGGAGTCTCGCTCTGTTGCCCAGGCTGGAGTGCAGTGGCGCAATCTCTGCTCACTACAATCTCCACCTCCCAGGTTGAAGCGATTCTCGTGCCTCAGCCTCCTGAGTAGCTAGGATTACAGGCACATACCACCACGCCCGGCTAATTGAAAACCACACTTGTCACTGGTTTGGAAACCTCATACCATGCGTTTCACAGGTGCTGGCTGTCTGAGCTCTCTGTGACTTTTCCTTGCCTTCCCTTCCTGTATTCCACCCAGGCTCCCAGTGTGAGGTTTATTTCAGGCTCCAAATAAACACATTAAATAAATATCTTATCTCACGGACTAAAAAAAATTCAGGGCCAGCCGGGCACGGTGGCTCAAGCTTATAATCCAGCACTTTGGGAGGCTGAGGTGAGAGGGTTGCTTAAATCCAGTTTGAGATCAGCCTGGGCAACATAGCGAGACCCTGTCTCTTTTTTTTCATAGTAAAAATAAAAAATAAGTTTAGGCCTGGCGCGGTGGCTCAGGCCTGTAATCCCTGCACTTTGGGAGGCCAAGGCAGGCGGATCACCTGAGAACAGGAGTTTCAGACCAGCCAATATGGCCAACATGGTAAAACCCCATGTCTATTAAAAATACAAAAATTGGCCGGGTCTGGTGGCTCACACCTGTAATCCCAGCACTTTGGGAGGCCAAGGCAGGAGGATCACCTGAGACCAGGAGTTCTAGACCAGCCAACATGGCCAACATGGTGAAACCCCATCTCTATTAAAAATACAAAAATTGGCCAGGCGTGATGGCTCACGCCTGTAATCCCAGCACTTTGGGAAGCTGAGGCAGGTGGGTCACCTGAGGTCAGGAGTTTGAGACCAGCCTGGCCAAGATGGCAAAACCCCATATCTACTAAAAATACAAAATTAGCTGGGCGTGGTGGCAGGCGCCTGTAATCCCAGCTACTTGGAAGGCTGAGGCAGGAGAATCGCTTGAACTGGGAGGCGGAGGTTGCAGTGAGCCAAGATTGTGCCATTGCCCTCCAGCCTGGGATACAGAGGAAGACTCCATTTAAAAAAAAAAAAAAAAAAAAAGCCAGGCGTGGTGGTGCATGCCTGTAGTCCCAGCTACTTGGGAAGCTGAGGCAGGAGAATCACTTGAACCCAGGAGGAGGCTGCAGTAAGCCAAGATCACTGCGCAGCACTGCACTGCAGCCTGGGCAGCAGAGCAAGACTCTGTCTCAAAAAAATAAACAATAATAATAATAATAAATAAATTCTGGCCAGGCACGGTGGCTCATGCCTGTAATCCCAGCACTTTGGGAGGCTGAGGCGGGTAGATCACCTGAGGTCAGGAGTGTAAGACCAGTCTGGCTAACAAGGTGAAACCCCATCTCTCCTAAAAGTACAAAAATTAGCCAGGCATGGTGGCGGGTGCCTGTAATCCCAGCTACTCAGGAGGCTGCAGCAGGAGAATCACTTGAACCCAGGAGGCAGAGGTTGCAGTGAGCCAAGATCGTGCCACTGCACTCCAGCCTGGGCAACAGAGCGAGACTCAACTCAGGGAAAAATAAATAAATAAATAAATTTTAAAACATTAAAAATTCAGGGTCATGCTGAGAGGCAGAGAGTCAGCAACACTCTGGAACCTCTGTGAAGTCCTATTGGCTTTGGAGATGAGGCTGAGTGTCACAGAGCACGAAAAAGCAATCACCCCCAGAGTGGCTAGCTGGGTCCCAGTGCACAAAGAGCCACAATTGACCTTGGTGCTCTCTGACCTGATACCTGAGAATCTGTCCTAAGAAAATATCACAAAAACATGTAAAAATCTGTACCTGCAATGATATTCATAGGACCAGGACTTACAATAGGAGAAAAAAGCACGAAACAAACATCCAATGACAGAGACCACAGGTATGTTTTGGTACGCATCCCCTTGAAGGCCCACAACGCCACTAAGCATCACAGCTATGAAGATGGTGCAGCAATACAGAACAGGCTTTCTGGTCGGGCATGGTGGCTCACGCCTATAATCGCAGCACTTTGGGAGGCCAAGGTGGGCAGATCACGAGGTCAGGAGATCGAGACCATCCTGGCTAACACGGTGAAACCCTGTCTCTACTAAAAATACAAAACCAAATTAGCCGGGCGTGGTGGCGGGCGCCTGTAGTCCCAGCTACTCTGGAGGCTGAGGTGGGAGAATGGTGTGAACCCAGGAGGTGGAGCTTGCAGCGAGCCGAGGTCACACCACTGCACTCCAGCCTGGGCAACAGAGCAAGACTCTGTCTCAAAAAAAAAAAAAAAAAAAAGAAAGAAAGAAAAGAAAAGAAAAGGCTTTGTTACATCAATACTAAATTATGGGCCAGGCCCGGTAGCTCATGCCTATAATCCCAACACTTTGGGAGGCCGAGGCAGGCGGATCATTTGAGGTCAGGAGTTTGAGACCAGCCTGGCCAACAAGGTGAGAACCCGTCTCTACCAAAAAAAAAAAAAATACAAAAGTTAGCCAGGCGTGGTGGCATGCGCCTGTATTCCCAGCTACTTTGGAGGCTGAGGCAGGAGAATCGCTTGAACCTGGGAGGTAGAGGTTGCAGTGAGTCGAGATCACATCACTGCACTCCAGCCTGGGTGACAGAGTGAGACTCTGTCTCCAAAAAAAAAAAAAAAAAAAAAAAAAATTCCTGGCCAGGTGCAATGGCTCACACCTATAATTCTAGCACTTTGGGAGGCCAAGGTGGGCAGATCACTTGAGATCAGGAGTTCAAGACCACCCTGGCCAACATGGTGAAACCTCTCACTACTAAAAATGCAAAAATTAGCAGGGCACGGTGGTGCATGCCTCTAATTCCAGGTACTTGGGAGGCTGAGGCAGGAAAACTGCTTGAACCCAGGAGGCAGAGGCTGCAGTGAGCCGAGATCACACCACTGCACTCCAGTCTGGGGGACAGAGTGAGACTCCATCTCAATAAATAAATAAATAATTAACAATGGTTGCAAATGACTGGTAGAAATATGGAAGACTTATTTTCTGTTTTCCAAATTTTCTATAATATGGTCATGTTATTTTGATTTTAAAAACACATATACATAATCCCAGCTACTTGGGAGGCTGAGGCAGGAGAACCGTTTGAACCAGGGAGGTAAAGGTTGCAGTGAGCTGAGATCGTGCCACTGCACTCCAGCCTGGGTGACAGGGCGAGACTCCATCTCAAAAAAAAAAAAAAAAACAAAAAACAAACCATACACACACACACACACACACACACACACACACACACACACACACATATTTTTAAAAAGAGAAAGAAAAAAAAATAGGCTGGACACATGGCTCATGACTGTAATCCCAGCACTCTAAGAGGCTGAGGTGAGAGAATCGCTTGAGCCCAGGAGTTAAGACCAGCCTGGGCATCATGATGAAACCCCGTCTCTACAGAGAATACGAAAATTAGGCCGGGTGCAGTGGCTCATACCTGTAATCCCAGCATTTTGGGAGGCTGAGGTGGACGGATCACCTGAGGTTGGGAGTTTGAGACCAGCCTGGCCAGCATGATGAAACCCAGTCTCTACTAAAAATACAAAAATTAGCCGGGTGTGGTGGCAGGCGCCTGTAACCCCAGCTACTTGGGAAGCTGAGGCAAGAGAATCACTTGAACCTGGGAGGCGGGGAGATTGCAGTGAGTCGAGATCACTCCATTGCACTCCAGCCTGGGCAACAGAGTGAGACTCCGTCTCAAAAAAAAAAAAAAATCAGCCAGGTCTCGTCGTGGGTACCTGTGGTCCCAGCTACACTGGAGGCTGAGGCAGGAGAACTGCCTGAGCCCAGGAGGTCGAGGCTGCAGTGAGCCATGATTGCGCTACTGCACCCTGGCCTGGGTGACAGAGACAGACCCCATCTCCAAAAAAAAAAAAAACAGTAAGTGAGCAAGGTACACTCAGGCCTCGCTTCCTGCCACCGGCTGCAATGTGTGGAACCCTTCAGAAAAGCAAGTCTGAGTCACCTGGCCGGGCATTCAAGGCCTTCCAGGACCTGGCACCAATCCTCTAAAGGAATCTACCCTCAAAATGGGACACTTACTATCTCCTCGCACCTCTGTGTAGTCTCTCCATACACAAACCATTCCATGCCAAGCACTGGGCTAGGGAAACCAAGAAAGAACCTTGATTCCTGCCTTTGAGAAGCAAATAGTACAGAGAATCACACAGAAGCCAGGGCAAGAGGTGATGGCACATGATCAGCACTGTAACAGGGTGAGGGCAGACACAGGGTGAGACACAGTGTGATCATAGAGGAGAGAGTAATTAAGCTGTCTGGGAGAGTCAGGGAAGGCTCTACTGAGCTGGAATCTGAGTTGGATCTTGAGAGATGAAAGAAACCTAGCAAACAGTAAAGAGGAAGGCAAGAACCACACTTGCAAAGCCACAGGATCTTTATTTATTTATTTATTTTATATATGTATATATTTTTGAGACGGAGTCTCACTCTGTCGTCCAGGCTGGAGTGCAGTGGCGTGATCTCAGTTCACTGCAACATCCGCTTCCCAGGTTCAAGTGATTCTCCTGCCTCAGCCTCCTGAGTAGCTAGGATTACAGGTGTGTGCCACCATGCCCAGCTAATTTTTTGTATTTTTAGTAGGGACAGGGTTTCACCGTGTTAGCCAGGATGGTCTTGATCTCCTGACCTTGTGATCCGTCCGCCTTGGCCTCCCAAAGTGCTGGGATTACAGGCTTGAGCCACCGCACCTGGCCGAGAATCTTTAAAAAGAGCTTGCATGTGTTCAGAAGAGAGAAGGTTATGGAGGCTGTGGAGGGGTGTGTGGAGAGAAGAGTCTGGAGTATCAGGGAACCAGTCTGAAGAGGGTGGGGCCAGATTGTGGGACTTTGGATGTTGCTCTACAGGCAACGGGGAACAACTAGAGATTTGCAGTCAGGGGTGACATGATCATTCTATCAGCAGTGAAGGGAGTGCAACAGCATGGTAGGACAACAGCGGGAAGACTGGCTAGGACACAACTGTCAACATGGGTGAAGTGAGGACCAAATTGAGGGACAGCAGCTGGGGATGGAGAAGAGGAACAAGAGGGACTTCAGAGACCTTCCTCACATCAATCCCACAGGCTCAGCAACTCTCTGGGTTGGCCTGGGAATGGAAAGACTACAGGGCAGGAAAGGGAAGGGAAAGAATAGAGTTGAGGCCAGGCACAGTGGCTCACGCCTGTAATCCCAGCACTTTGGGAGGGTGAGGCAGGTGGATCACTAGAGGTCAGAAGTTTGAGACCAGTCTGGCCAACATGGTGAAACCCCATCTCTACTAAAAATACAAAAATTAGCCGGGCGTGGTGGCACATTCCTGCAATCCCAGCTACTCAGGAGGCTAAGGCAGAAGAATTGCTTGAACCCAGGAGAGGTGGAGGCTGCAGTGAGCTGAGATCACACCACTGCACTCCACCCTGACTCTATCTCAAAAAAAAAAAAAAAAAAAAAAAAGGCCAGGCACAGTTGCTCACGCCTGTAATCCCAGCACTTTGGGAGGCCAAGGCAGGTGGATCACCTGAGGTCAGGAGTTTGAGACTAGCCTGGCCAACATAGTGAAACCCCATCTCTACTGAAAATACAAAAATTAGCCGGGCGTGGTGGCATGCGCCTGTAGTCCCAGCTACTTGGGAGGCTGAGGCAGGAGAATCGCTTAAACCCAGGGGGCAGAGGTTGCAGTGAGCCAAGATAGCACCACTGCACTCCAGCCTGGGCAACAGAGCAAGACTTTGTCTCAAAAAAAAAAAAAAGAAAAGAAAAGAAAAAAGAAAGAAAGGAGTGCCCAAAATAAGTGACTGTGGGAGAGGAGGAACAGGTTTTTCAAGGGTGGGTGTGGTGGGGTAGGGAGAGGATCCGAGAAGATATTGAGTCAGGTTGGAGATAGCTGTGGAATATTTCTGGTTGGAAGGATTGGGAAGGTGCAGGTGTGAGTTTGAAATAGTGGTCTGAGCTCAGGAGGAAGCTGAGAACTAGAGATCTAGATCTGGGATCGCTGAAATGTGGATGCTATTCTGAAGTCATAGAAATGAAGGTATAAAGTGAGAACAGGGTAAACCCAGCACTTTGGGAGGTTGAGGCAGGATTGCTTGAATCCAGGAGTTCGAGACTAGCCTGGGCAACAAAGTGAGACCTCATTTCTCCAAAAAAAAAAAAAAAAAAAGCCAGGCACGATGGTGTTTGCCTGTAGTCCCAGCTACTTGGGAGGCTGAGATGGGAGGATTTCTGGAGCCTAGGAGATTGAGGCTGCAGTGAGCCGTGATTGTGCCACTGCACTTCGGCCTAGGCAACACAGTGAGACTCTGTCTCGAAGGAAGGAAGGAAGGAAGGAAGGAAGGAAGGAAGGAAGGAAGGAAGGAAGGAAGGAAGGAAGGAAAGGAGGGAGGGAGGGGAGGGGAGGGGAGGAAAAGAAAAGAAAAGAAAAAAAAGAAAGACAAAGTTTAAGTTCTGAACTTCCAATAGCATGAATAAAAACAAAAAAAGAACTCTGGAATACTCCTAAATGTATGAGACAGGAAGTGAAAACAGGCTGAGGAAGGTGAGAATTATCAGGATAAAAGAGGCCAAGGATGGAGAGAATTTCAAGAGACTGGCCAAACAAGCATGTGAGTCACAAGCAGCAGACGCATCCCAGGCTCATGACTCCCTAAGAGACCATTAAGATCTAAGAGTGAGGACATGCCTGGGGGTGCAGGGGTAAGAGTGGACACAGGAGTACAGGGATGACAGCAAGCAGGAGCGACTTTTGGTTCTTGGCACTACTTCACCCAAAAATACTCTGTTTTCTGGCCGGGCGTGGTGGCTCACACCTGTAATCCTAGCATTCCGGGAGACCGAGGTGGGTGGATCACCTGAGATCAGGAGTTTGAGACCAGCCTGACCAACGTGGTTGAAACCCCACCTCTACGAAAAATACAAAAATTAGCCAGGCATGCTAGTGCACGCCTGTAATCCCAGCTACTCGGGAGTGTGACTCTGTCTCAAAAAATAAATGAATAACCCTGTTTTCCCATCTGCCAGGCTTTCTGCTTTCAGTCCAAGCCCTCTGTGCCACAGGTCTCTGCCCTTCCTCCTGAGAGCCCTCCCAGCTCCTTTGGACACTGCCCTGATCCCACTTGTGATGTGCTGTCACTCTCAGTGAGCATTTATTTTCTTTCTTTTTTTTTTTTTTTTGAGATGGAGTCTCGCTCTGTCATGCAGGCTGGGGGGCAGTGGTGCAATCTCGGCTCGCTGCAACCTCCGCCTCCCGGGTTCAAGCGATTCTCCTGCCTCAGCCTCCCGAGTAGCTGGAACTACAGGTGCCCGCCATCACGCCTGGCTAATTTTTGCATTTTTAGTAGAGATGGGGTTTCACCATATTGGCCAGGCTGGTCTCGAACTCCTGACCTTGTGATCCGCCCGCCTTGGCCTCCCAAAGTGCTGGGATTACAGGCGTGAGCCACTGCGCCCCAGCCTCAGTGAGTATTTCTTAGCTCTCCTGCCAGAAGCCATTGATCACATACTGTGCTCATTTACCATGGTCTCCTGCACAGGCCTGCAGAGCAGCATGACCTCAGTGATGTGCACTAACGTGAACATCTCAAAGCAGCACTTGCTGGATGGGTCACAGTTTGCAAATGTGCACAGCACTCTTCTCTGAATGAACAGCAAGTACCCCTTGTTTGTCCTGGTTAAATATTACCATTTCTCTGAAATTAAGATTATCTTACCCCAAGTGTTTCCAAAGAAGACTTAACGGAAGAGTCAAAGTTCACCTATCTCTCTACCCAAGTTTTAACACCCAGCCTGGCTCCAGGTGCCAACCATAAAGGCAGGAATCCTATCTGGGCAGCTGTCTGTAGTCACAGTGAAGCTGTAAGAACCCTGCCATTTTCAAATTTCTTGAGACAATGCTCTGTTACACAGGAAAGTTCTACCAGGTCCATCTGGTTATTCCAAGAATTCCCAAAGTTATGGTCAAGCTGGGGCCAACCCTCTCTGGGAAGGTCCCACTGTCTGCACAGGGAAATTCAAGTAACTTTGTTCACACCCAAATCACGTTTCTGCCACCACTTCTTCCTTCCACAGGAGAGAAATATTTCAAATCCTTGGGAAGCAGCCACAACACTGAGATTATCTTTTAACTGCAAGGAGGCAATGTGTGAAAGTGATATTGTGTGACTTGGCAACTTACAAACACTGAAAGGTTTTCTCTGTTCAATGCCACCACCTATTCCACTTCCTCTCCTTGAGATCAATGCTGTCTGCCTGGGATAATCTGGCAGAAGTGCTGAGTGGGAAAGCAGCCCTAGGCACTTGCCTGGGTGGTCTGATTTTTAGTGGACTGCTGAAAAATGGACAGTACAATGACTCCCTTTAGCTTTCCACCCCTTCATCACCTGACAAGACTTAATGAGAAACTTTTGGGAGCAGACACCCTGGATCATTCCAAAGCAGAGACCGAAATACTCAGAGGGTACAAAGCAGCTGCCATAACCAACAGAGGAATTAGGGTGTGCCAGTGGAGGCTGTGAAATCAACAACACTTGGCTTGCAGTTTCCTGCTTCCTCCTAGGAGGTGGGCAAACCTCTGTGGCACACTCATATCTTAACTTCCCATTCACAGCTCTTTCTGTGCAGGAAGTTTTCTAATCATCCCGATCATAACCACACGCAAGGAAGAGGTCATAAAAGCACATGCCCACAGTGCGGGGTGGAAGCAGGCACTTAATAAAGAACCTTGGATGAGGAAGTCAACTAAATGGTGCACTGGGAGTTTCAAAGGATATAACGACTGAGCAGAAAACAGATTCCATGGTCGAATAACCTTGAGAAATGCTGGGTCAAATAAAGCTGAGCCAATGTCTTTTTGTAGGATTTCTCAGAGCCTTTAACAAACTAACAGGCCTTGTGAATCTTTATTTTGGTTTGTTTGTTTTTTGAGATAGAGTTTCACTCTATTACCCAGGCTGGAGTGCAAAGGCACTCCTCAGCTCACTGCAACCTCCACCTCCCAGGCTCAAGTGATCCCCCTGTGGCAGCCTCCCGAGTAGCTGAGCCCACAGGTGCATGCCACCACACCCAGCTAATTTTTTGTATTTGTTGTAGAGATGGGGTTTTGCCATGTTGCCTAGGCCATTCTCAAACTCATGACCTCAAGTGATCCACCTGCCTTGGCCTCCCAAATTGCTGAGATTATAGGTGTGAGCCACCATGCCTGGCCAAGCCTTGTGAATCTTTGAAAAAACAAACAGGCTGGGCACAGTGGCTCACGCCTGTAATCCTAGCACTTTGGGAGGCTGAGGCGGGTGGATCACCTGAGGTCTGGAGTTCGTGACCAGCCTGGCCAACATGGTAAAACCCTGTCTCTAGTAAAAATACAGAAATTCTGAGCGTGGTGGTGGGTGCCTGTAATCCTACCTACTCAGGAGGCTGAGGCAGGAGAATCGCTTGAACCCAGGAGGTGGAGACTGCAGTGAGCCAAGATCGCACCATTGCACTCTAGCCTGGGCAAAAGAGCGAAACACCATCTCAAAAAACATAAACAAAGAAACAAAAACGAAATAGGTAGCAATTCCCAAACCTATTTGACCACAGAACCATGAGCACCTTTCAGGACTGGCATTACTCAGAATATATATTGCTTTAAAGAACTGTCTTAAAAAGCCCAAGAATTGTTCTCCAGTGGAAAAAAAAAACCAATAATAAAAAATAAAAAAATTAAAGAACAAAAGCACAAGATCTGTATTATTCCATCCCCTCACACTGGAGAAAAAATGTAGCTTAGCTAATACTAATTTGTTACTTTCACCACTCCCAGTACTCTCAAGAATGGTGACAACTGTGATGATGTTACATTCCATTCTTTCCTTAGCCAGCCTAAAATAGCCCCAGTGCAGTTTAACACCAATGTCTGAGCTTCAAAACCTTTAAAACAGCCCTGTCCTGGGAATGAGACCCAGGTCAGCACCTTCCTGCTGCTAAACAACTGATGACTCTGGCACATACCATCCTCATTGAGGTCTTGGTTTCCTCATCTCTAAACTGAAGAGGTTAGAATAGAGTTCTAAGAATGTTCTCAGCTCTTAACAGTCAACTATGAGCTCTGAACACTAGGTATATTTTTGCAATCCACCATTTCTGTCACTGCATGACGGAAATAAAAACGACTGTTCTGGAGTGTGACTAGGTGTGACAGTTTCTGAGTCTATCGCCTCTCCACCTGCTCTCTCCTGAGCTTGGTGCCAACACCCTGAGTAAATGAAGCTGGGCTCACACCCAGGCACCCAAGGGCTACACCTCCCAACGTCCTAGCCCTGGCAGTCAAGGAAGCAGACATCACCATCTCAAGGAAAAGGTGGGCAGCTCTGACCAGGAGAAGGTTCAGAGGCCTCACATCCAAAGCTGTTTCTCCCCACACCACTGTGTGCCAAGAGGAAAAGCCCAGCCCAGGATGAGGAGGAGCAAATCGCAGCCAGCCAGCCAGCTTTCTTCTTCCCACCCAGGACTCCCCACCAGATGTGGCTGGTTGACAGGACCACAGCTGCTTCCTGTCATGCCATATCCTGGGGCTTCCTGATGGACAGACTGTCTCGCTAGAATGCAGAAGTTACTTCTACCACAGTTTGCACAGTCATTTTTGGAGCCAGAGATGAGGTTTAAGACTTTCAAGCAGCTATTAATACAGGGTAGAACTATCTTGCCCTCTGCTAACACTGGAGCAAAGCTCTCTGCATTTTTAGACAACTGACTTCCTCTCTGTCAGACAGCAGCAGACTTTTTATTTCTGATTCTGAGAGGACAAAAAAACACACATAAAAAATGGAAAATCATCACATACAACATACACCATAAGGCTACAAGATCCTACTAAAACCCAAACCCCAGTATTATACAGCAGTTTTGTAATTAAAGTCTGTTACCAGAAGACATTGGCAGAAAAAAAAAATGCAAATCTTCTTTCTTTACTCAATAGAGATGACTGTTTGCCTTACATAAGAGACAAGGTCCTTGCAAACGCTCTGTCAAGAAACATTAAGCTACGAGAGGAATGTTCAGAATTCCCTGATGTTCTAAGGAACAAGCTATCAGAATTTGCCCTGAGGGCTCCTGTTGGCTAAGACACCTTGAGACCAAGAAAGAAGCAAAACATTTTCACTCTCCTGACAGCGTATAATTATTTAGTTCAAGTCTCCTTTGATTTTGCTCTGACCCTTGAAGCGATTCAAAGTGGGAAAACTCATGCTGTGAATGACAGGAAGGACTCCTTCAAGGACTTCTCTGACACCTGCAGGAAACTTAAAAGCTGCCAATGACCAAAATAAAGGACAAGCAGGGTGAGTTAATGTGCCTGGTGACATCCTGACAGAGCAGAATATCAGGGCTCATAATTCACCAGTCAGCACAAACAAGCTTCCCTAGAACGGGTTTTGAGCAGACGTGAAACAAGAGGCATAGGAGCTCTGGAGGTAACAGTTCAGCCCCTCATGGTGGAAAAAGATCATCCCTGTGCTCTCAGCTGAAAGGCAGAAAGGTGTGGGCTTTAAGTAGGAAGACTGTCCTGTGGCTCATGCCTGTAATCATAGCACTTTGAGAGGCTGGGGCCAGAGGATTGCTTGAGACCAGGATTTCGAGACCAGCTTGGGCATCACAGCGAGACCCCTTCTCTACAAAAATTTTTTTTAAAAGGAGTCAGGCCCAGTGGCACATTCTTGTAGTCCCAGCTACTCAGGAGACTGAGGTGGGATTCAAATAATCATTTGAATCCTGGAGGTCAAGGCTGCCATGACCTCCACTGTGCTACAGCCTGGGCGACAGAGTGAGACCCTGCCTTAAAAAAGGAAGAAAGAGGGCTGGGCGCAGTGGTTCATGCCTGTAATCCCAGCACTTTGGGAGGCCGAGGCAGGTGGATCACCTGAGGTCGGGAGTTCGAGACCAGCCTGACCAACGTGGAGAAACCCCGTCTCTACTAAAAATACAAAATTAGCCGGTCGTGGTGGTGCATGCCTGTAATCCTAGCTACTCAGGAGGCTGAGGAAGGAGAATTGCTTGAACCCAGGAGGCTGAGGTTGCAGTGAGCCGAGATCGCGCCACTGCACTCCAGCCTGGGCAACAAGAGCAAAACTCTGTCTCAAAAAAAAGAGGCCAGGTGTGGTGGCTCACCCCTGTAATCCCAGCACTTTGGGAGGCTAAGGTGGGTGGATCACTTCAGGCCAGGAGTTTGAGACCAGTCTGGCCAATAAGGTGAAACCCCGTCTCTACTAAAAATACAAAAATTAGCCGGGTGTGGTGGTGCACACCTGTAATCCCAGTTTCTCGGGAGGCTGAAGCACGAGAATCACTTGAACCCAGGAGGCTGAGGCTGCAGTGAGCCGAGATCGCGCTACTGCACTCCAGCCTGGGCGACAGAGCAAGAATTGTCTCAAAAAACAAAACAAAACAAAACAAAAAAAAAGGAAAAGAAAGAAAGCAGGAAGATTGTTTCTTCCTTGATTGCTGTTCAAAAGGTCAGGCCAGGCGTGGTGGCTCACACCTGTAATCCCAGCACTTTGGAAGGCCGAGGCGGATGGATCACCTGAGGTCAGGAGTTTGAGACCAGCCTGGCCAACACGGTGAAACCCCGTCTCTACTAAAAGTATGAAAATTAGCTGGGTGTGGTGGCATACGCCTGTAGTCCCAGCTACTCAGGAGGCTGAAGCAGGAGAATTGCTTGAACTCGGGAGGCAGAGGTTGCAGTGAGCGGAAATCGTGCCAATGCACTCCAGCCTGGGCGACAAAGCGAGACTCCGTCTCAAAAAAAAAAAAAAAAGTCAGGCCAGCTCACACGTCAGTGCATCTCAACTATGTTGCCACCACACACAGTTCCATCAGACAAACGTTCCCTGTGGGTCCAGAATTTTTCACAGTCCCCCGCACCTCTCCTCTCTCCCTAACCCGGGCTCTCCTATCTGGTCAAAACCCACTCCAAACTAGACCCATGGCCAAAATGTGGAATTCTTATCAAGGCCATTTTTCAACTTGGGCTACCTTCCCGCCCTCTCCCATCTTTCTTTCCCTGACAAATCTCAGGGGCTCTCCTGTACTTTATACACTAGTTTGGCTGGTGGTGGAGCGGTGGCAGGTGTCCTGGGCTTTTCCCACATTTTTCCCCTCCACCAGAGGCTTCACCACCTCCTCATATGTTGCTGTCACCCCCTCTTCTAAAGTGACTCAAGACAGGTGTCTATCCAAGAATGAGGGAATGCGATAGCCACATTTCGCTTCTCCCTGACGCTAGGAGACTTCCGGAAGGGTCCGACCGTACCTGCTCCAGTCCCCTTCCCTAGCACAGCCCAGCCTCCGGGTGCTAGAAGACCCCACTGTCTCCAACACTTCAGCGCCCCGCCTCCTCTGCAGTTCCACCTGCTGCTAGTCGCGCCCCTCACGCGTTACGATAGGCCAGACCTCAAAGCCCGCTCTCCCATTGGGCAGATGACCCGTCCCTCCTACGCCACGTCTCCCGGCTCTAGCGAGAGGCCCGGGCGGCGGCCGTGGGCCCTAGGGAAATCTGAGAGCTGGATGGCGGGAGAGGGGCTCTACCTGGAAGGGGTTTACATCCACTGGGTCCGCGAAGGGGTTGGTGTCGAAAGCCGACATGGTGATCGGGGGCCAGCGGGCGAACTCCGCGAACGCTGCTGCCTCCGGGCACCCAGACCCAGCGGCGCTTCGTGTAGACCCTCCACTTCCGGGAGCGAGGCAGCGGTTCTGGCGCAGGCGCGATGCCCTCCCCCGAGGGCGTGGCCCTATGACGGCACCGGGGTCGCTCCGCCCCCCCCCCCCCCCCCCCCGCCCAGCCCACAATAGTGCGGTGGGTGGGCATTCGGCTTCCGTCCACATCTTCGCTCTGCTGGGGATTCAGGGGTCTTGGCTGCGCGGAGCGTCTACGGAGCCAGAGGCGTGGCCGGAGTCCTTCCCAACTGCCTATCAATCTGACACCTTCCAATTTTATGTTTCTAAAGCAAACTCTCAAAAGTGGGACAGGAAACAGCCCCTTCACTTCTCTGTAGACCAAGTTTGGGAAGAAGTCCAAACTGATCCCTGGGCAAAGGACAGGGGTGACAGGTGAGGCCAGAGGCCTTGGGAGAACTAGGAAAGCGCTTCTTCTGCAGAACGTGCTCGGGGAAAGAGAAGTGCCAGGACCATCCAGCAGTCCTCCACCCGAGCTGAGCCTGCTTCTTCTAGGGCTGCTCGCCCTCTGATGTCGTTTCATCGTTTTAGGGACGAGGGTTCCTGGGCCCATCAGCTTTGGGACCTGAGTTGGGACTTGAACCTGGACATCAAACATTTATGAAGTGACTCACGGAATTCAGCAACACAGCCTCAATCATGGGGGAGGTGGCTGCTTCACTCTCCACAGCTCCGCTTTCCCCCGCCCCCGCCCCCCACAGGGTCTCACTGTCGCCCAGGCTGGAGTGCAGTGGTGCAATCATGGCTCACTGCAGCCTCGAGCTCCTGGGCTCAAGCAATCCTCCCACCTCAGCCTCCTGAGTAGCTGGGACTACAGCTGGTCACCACCATACCCAGCTAATTTATGGATTTTTTGTAGAGATGGGGATCTCACTATATTGCCCAGGCTCGTCTCAAACACCTGGGCTGAAGTGATCCTCCCGCCTTGGCTTCCTAAAATGCTAGGATTATACTCATGAACCACTGTCTGGCCAAATCCACCTTATTTATTTGGATCTGTCTGGTATTATTCATCTCTGCTGTCACCGAATCCCAGCCACTGTCATTTTTACCCTGAACTAATACAGTGCTGTTAATTGGTCTATTGTTCTTCATGTTGTAATCAAAGATATGTTTAAAGGGGGCAAAATTATCACAGAACTTTGTTAAAATTTTTCAATTAATTTCCATAAAGGGCTGGGTGCGTGGCTTATGCCTGTAATCCCAGTACTTTGGGAGGCAGAGGTAGGAGGATCACTTGAAGCCAGGAGTTCGAGACCAGCCTAGGCAACATACCAGGACCCTGGCTCTACAAAAAAAAAAAAAAAAAAAAAAAAATATATATATATATATATATATATATATATATACATATACATATCTCACACACACACGTAATTAGCTAGGCATGGTGGCCTGTGCCTGTACTCCCAGCTACTTGGGAGGCTGAGGCAGGAGGACTGTTTGAGCTCAGGAGGTCAAAGCTGCAGTGAGCCATCTTTGCACCACTACACTCCAGCTGAGTGACAGAGTGAGACCCTGTCTCAGTTAAAAAAAAAAAAAAAAAAATCAGGCCAGGCAAGGTGGCTCATGCCTGTAGTCGCAGCACTTTGGGAAGCCAAGGCAGGCAGATCACCTGAGGTCAAGAGTTCGAGACCAGCCTGGCCAATATGGTGAAACCTCATCTCTACTAAAAATACAAAATTAGCTGGGTGTGGTGGTGCACACCTGTAATCCCAGCTACTTGGGAGGCTGAGGCAGGAGAATCGTTTGAACCTGGGAGGCGGAGGTTGCAGTGAGCTAAGATTGCAACATTGCACTCCAGCCTGGGCAAAAAGAGTGAAACTCTGTCTCAAAAAAAAAAAAAAAAAATCATAAAGGCCCAAATTCTTAGTTTGTCTTCAAGGTCCTAAAGGATCTGCCCCTACGTTTCTCCCCTTCTGACCCCTTCTAGCCCCCAACCCCCACCCACTGTTCCAGCCATGCAAGTTCTTTTCAGTTGCTCAAACCTTCCTTGTGCCCTCCTGTCTCAGGGCCTTTACACATGTGTTCCTTCTACCTGGTATGCACTTAACCCATGCCCCACTATCATCCTCTGGTTAACCTCTCCTTACCCTTTAAATGCAAGTTCAGATGCCTTTCTTCAGGAGTAGCTTCCCTTCACTCTCTTGGTTACATCATCACCTCATACCCAACATAAGCTCTCCTATTGCCCTGTACTTTTCCTTCACAATACCCATTGCAGATTGTAATTAATACTAGTATAGGTGGTTCTTTATGCCTGTATCCTCCGCTAGACTGAAAGCTCCATGAGGGTAGGGCTGAGGTCTGTTTTGCTCACTGTTGTGTTTCTGTCACTAACATAGTATAAAGCACATGATACACATTTATTAATTTATTTTTTGTGGGTTTGGGGTTTTTTTTTTTTCCAGACAAAGTCTCACTCTGTCACCCAGGGTGGAGTACAGTGGCATGATCTCAGCTCAGTGCAATCTCCGCCTTCCAGGTCCAAGAGATTCTGCTGCTTTAGCCTCCCAAGTAGCTGGGATTACAGGCACTCACCACCACACCCAGTTAATTTTTTTTTTTTTTTTTTTGTAATTTTAATAGAGACTGGGTTTCACCATCTTGGCCAGGCTGGTCTTGAACTCCTGATTTCAAATGATCTGCTCGCCTCGGCCTCCCAAAGTGCTGGGATTACAGGCGTGAGCCACTGTGCCCAGCCCACATGCATCATACACATTTAGTAACTATTTTACTGTTTCCCTGCATCCATTTATTTTGTTTGTTTATTTAGAAACAGGGTGTTACTTTGTTGCCCAAGCTGGTGTTGAACTCCTGGCTTCAATTGATCCTGCCACTTCCGCCTCCCAAAGTACTGGGCCTACAGGTACACACCACTGCGCCTGGTCATCTGTTTCTTTCACCTTCCTCTCCCATCTAAATCCTGACTATCCTTTAGGGTTTAGCTCAGCTTTACTTCGGGAAATATCTGCACACAAGTGGGAGGATGGGGAAGGATCCATTTTGTATCCCCTTAGAAATTGCCTGTCCCCAAGCCTCTATGGCCACCCCTCAAGGGCAGCAGACAGATCTTTGCTGTCTGCTCTCTGCAGCCTCAGAGGAGAACAGTCCACACCCCACAAGGCAGTCCTGCCTGCTCTGGGTCTGCTGCAGCCAAGTACAATGCTGGGCTGGTGAAGAAAGAATGAAACTTAATTACAACCAATGTGGTGGCTGCCCATCTATCTGTCTAATTCCCTACAAGAGAGACATCATTCATTTATTCTACAAGAGAGGAGGTATAGAGAATGCAGCTCTTTGCTTTTAAACCAGTTATTTCACCTCTCCAAGACCCATTTTTCTCATCTTGATCTTGAAACCACCTTTGCAAAAATTATAACTGAGGAAATTATGACAGTGGGAGAGATTAGACCTAACCTACTCCATCTTGCTTCTGACCTTTAAGTGGTCCTTGTTCATTCCTGGGTGTAGGCTGAACTAACCTTGGGAAGGAATTTATAGTTTAACTCTGAAACAAAATTGATTATAGCCCTTTTCCAAAAAAAAAAAAAAAAAAAAATCCCTTCTTGCCTGGGGACCAGTCTGCCTTTCTGGACTAATAAATTAGCTACAAGATTAGAAACTATGGTTTAGGGACCATGCAGCCTTCAGCTGTGAGTCTGAACCTCCCCAGATTGCTCCTGAGAATAACATCACTATTGTAAAACCTAAGATCAGTGCTTGAGATATTTTGCAGACCTTGCACTTGATGGATCTGCTGACACCACCTCCAACAGTAATGTAGCTCAGACAGTTCTGCCATCCCACTCAGGAACAGAAGACAGCAAGAAAAACTCACTTCGACCCCCTATGATTCCATCTCCAACCCGACCAATCAGCACTCCCTACTTGCCTAGCCCCTACCAGCCAAATTATCTTTTTTTTTCTCTCTTTTTTTCTTTTTGAGACGGAGTCTTGCTCTGTCACCAGGCTAGAGTGCTGTGGCACAATCTCGGGTCACTGCAACCTCCAACTCCCCGGTTCAAGGGATTCTCCTGCCTCTGCCTCCCAAGTAGCTGGGATTACAGGCATGCGACACCATGCCCGGCTAATTTTTGTATTTTTAGTAGAGATGGGGTTTCACTATGTTGGCCAGGATGGTCTCGATCTCCTGACCTCGTGATCTGCCCGCCTCGGCCTCCCAAAGTGCTGGGATTACAGGCATGAGCCACCACACCCGGCCAAATTATCTTTAAAAACTCTGATCCCAGAGGCTGGGCGCAGTGGCTCACACCTGTAATCCCAGCACTTTCGGAGGCCAAGGCAGGTGGATCATAAGGTCAGGAGTTCAAGACCAGCCCGGCCAAGATGGTGAAGCCTCATCTCTACTAAAAAATACAAAAAAAATTGCTGAGCATGGTGGCAGTCGCCTGTAATCCCAGCTACTCGGGAGGCTGAGGCAGATAATTGCTTGAACCCGGGAGGTGGAGGTTGCAGTGAGCTGAGATCGTGCCATTGCACTCCAGCACAGGAGACAGAGCAAGACTCCATCTAAAATAAATAAATAAATAGGCCGGGCGCGGTGGCTCACGCCTGTAATCCCAGCACTTTGAGAGGCCTAGGCGGGCAGATTATGAGGTCAGGAATTCAAGACCAGCCTGGCTAACATAGTGAAACCCTGTCTATATACTAAAAATACAAAAAATAAGCTGGGCATGGTGGCGGGGCGCCTGTAATCCCACCTACTCCGGAGGCTGAGGCAGGAGAATCGATTGAACCCGGGAGGCAGAGGTTGCAGTAAGCCGAGATCACACCATTGCACTCTAGCCCAGGCAACAGTGTAAGACTCTGTCTCAAAAATAAACAAACAAATAAATTAAAATAAAAACTCTGATCCCTGAATGCTCAGGACGACTGATTTGGGTAATAATAAAACTCCGGTTTTCTGCACAGCTGGCGCTGCATGAATTTACTCTTTCTCCATTGCAATTCCCCTGTCTTGATAAATTGGCTCTGTCTAGGCAGCAGGCAAGGTGAAGCTGTTAGGTGGTTACAATCTCACAGGGTTGTCTTGAGAGTTGATGAAAAAAGCAGTGTTTTTTTCTCCCTCACAACTACAGACTCCCTCAACAGTCATTCAACACAATACTTCTGACACCTGACGTGTGTGGGTTGTTTCTCCACACATCAAGCAATTCTGCAGCAGACACTAACTGGGTGTCCTTCAATTTAATTTAATTCCAACACTTTCTACCTGGAGATAGTGTCAGATTGTAACTGCAGTAAGTTCATTGCCAGATGTGCAAATCAATACGCTGAGGCACCGGGTTGCAGCAAAGAAAAAGGTTTAATTGTAGGGCGACCTAAAGAGGGGATGGGAGAAAACCCCAAATCTATTTCCCCAAGGTGTTTAGGGTTAGGGATCTTTTTTTTTTTTTTTTAGATGGAGTCTCACTCTGTTGCCCAGGGGCGTGATCTCGACTCACTGCAACCTCTGCCTCCCTCAGGTTCAAGCCATTCTCCTGCCTCAGCCTCCTGAGTAGCTGGGATTACAGGCGCCTGCCACCATGCCTGGCTACCTTTTGTACTTTTAGCAGAGATGGGGTTTCATCATGATGGCCAGGCTGGTCTTGAACTCCTAACCTTAGGTGATCCGCCTGCCTCGGCCTCCCAAAGTGCTGGGATTATAGGCATGAGCCACCGTGCCCGGCCGGGTTAGGGATTTTAAAGGTTTTTTTTTTTTTTTTTTGAGACAGAGTCTCACATTGTCGCCTGGGCTGGAGTGCAGTGTCGCGATCTCAGCTCACTGCAACCTCTGCCTCCTGGCTTCGAGCGATTCTCCTGCCTCAGCCTCCCAAGTAGCTGGGATTATAGGCGCCCGCCACCAGGCCCAGCTAATTTTTTGTATTTTTAGTAGAGACGGGGTTTCACTATGTTGGCCAGGAGGCTGGTCTCAAACTCCTGACCTCGTGATCCGCCCGCCTCGGCCTCCCAAAGTGCTGGGATTATAGGTGTGAGCCACTGTGCCTGGCTTGGTTTGTTTTCTGTTTTTTTTGAGACAGGGTCTTTCTTGCTTTCTGGCCTAGGCTGAAGTGTAGTGAAGCAATCTGCAGCTTCAACCTCACAGGCTCAAGAGATCCTCCCACCTCAGACTCCCGAGTAGCTGGAACCACAAGAGAACGCCCACCATGCATGGCTAATTTTTGTATTTTTTGTAGAGATGGGGTTCTGCCATGTTGCCCAGGCTGGTCTCAAGCTCCTGGGCTCAAGCGTTCCACCTTCCCAAGGTGCGTGAGCCACTGTACATGGTCAGGAGTCTTTAAACTGTTTGGCATCACTTGTTCCCCCAGAATTAAGGATCTGAAAAACATCTTAAGCAATTCTTTTTTTTTTTTTTTTTTTTTTGAGACGCCCAGGCTGGAGTGCAGTGGCACGATCTCGGCTCACTGCAAGCTCCACCTCCCAGGTTCACGCCATTGTCCTGCCTCAGCCTCCCAAGTAGCTGGGACTACAGGTGCCCACCACCACACCCAGATAATTTTTTTGTATTTTTTAGTAGAGATGGGGTTTCACCGTATTAGCCAGGATGGTCTCCATCTCCTGACCTCGTGATCCACCCACCTCGGCCTCCCAAAGTGCTGGGATTACAGGCGTGAGCCACCGCGCCTGGCCCATCTTAAGCAATTCTTAAACAAAAGCTTTATGATTCTAATGTCAGACATCCTATTTATAGGAACAGTGTGGATGCAGATGGTCAGTATCTAGGGCTACGGTGACTTTTGGTTACAGGGAGGTGGCCCTAAGTGCAGACTGAGTAATGCTTAATTTTATTTTACTTTATTTATTTATTTATTTTGAAACGGAGTCTCGCTCTGTCACCAGGCTGGAGTGCAGTGGCGTGATCTCAGCTCACTGCAACCTCCGCCTCCCGGGTTCAAGTGATTCTCCTGCCACAGCCTCCCAAGTAGCTGGGACTACAGGCGTGCAACACCACGCCCAGCTAATTTTTATATTTTTATTAGAGACAGGGTTTCACCATGTTGGCCAGGATGGTCTCAATCTCTTGACCTCGTGATCTACCCACCTTGGTTTCCCAAAGTGCTGGGATTACAGGCATGAGCCACCGCACCCGGCCCAGCCTGATTAATGCTTAATTTTAAATATATTTGTCTTCTTTTTTTTTTTTTTTTTTGAGACGGAGTCTCACTCTATCGCCCCAGCTGGAGTGCAATGGTGCAATCGTGGCTCACTGCAACCTCCACTTCCCGGGTTCAAGCAATTCACCTGCCTCAGCCTCCCGAGTAGCTGGGATTACAGGCACACGCCACCACACCCAGCTAATTTTTGTATTTTTAGTAGAGATGGGGTTTCACCAGGTTGGCCAGGCTGGTCTCAAACTCCTGACCTCAGGTGATCCACCCACCTTGGCCTACCAAAGTGCTGGGATTACAGGCGTGAGCCACCATGCCCCGCCTAATGCAAATTCTTGGTAAACAACATAGGAACTGCCTCTTCTTTTCCTTTAAAAACCCATTAGTGGCTGGGTGCGGTGGCTCACGCCTGTAATCCCTGCACTTTGGGAGGCTGAGGTAGGTAGATCACCTGAGGTCAGGAGTTCGAGACCAGCCTGGCCAACATGGCAAAACCCTGTCTCTACTAAAAATACAAAAATTAGCTGGGCATGGTGGTGTGTGCCCGTAATCCTAGCTACTAGGGCGGCTGAGGCAGGAGGATCACTTGAACCTGGAAGGCGGAGGTTGCAGTGAGCCGAGATGGCACCACTGCACTCCAGCCTGGGCAACAGAGTAAGACTCTGTCTCAAAAAAAAAAAAAAAAAAACCATTAGTAACTGTTGCTAATTGGAGCATATATTAAGGGCAACTTGAATCCATGCTCCTGATCACAGGCCTCAAATTTGGCCCAAATAAACACTACTTATATTAAATTTGTCTAAGTTTCTTTTCTCTTTAGGTCAACAAAAGATATTACAAATGATACAGATAGCCAGATGGAAGAGATGCATGGAGCAAGACCCGTGGGAAGGGGTGTGGTGTTTCCATGCCCTTTCTGGAGGACCACCCTCCAGTGACCTCCAGGGACCATGTGTTCAGCTATCTGGAAGCTTTTTTTTTTTTTTGAGACGGAGTCTCATTCTAGGTTCAAGCGATTCTCCTGCCTCAGCTTCCCGAGTAGCTGGAATTGCAGGCACGCACCACCACACACAGCTACTTTTTTTTATATTTTAGTAGAGATGGGGTTTCACCATGTTGGCCAGGCTGCTCTCGAACTCCTGACCTCAAGCGATCCATCCGCCTCGGCCTCCCAAAGTGCTGGGATTACAGGGATTACAGGCGTGAGCTACCACGTCCAGCCTTGGTGGTTTTTTTTTTTTTTTTTTTTTTGAGACAGGGTCTGCTTTGTCGTCCAGGCTGGAGTGCAGTGGCAGGGACATGGCTCACTGCAGCCTCGACCTTCCTGGGCTCAGACTAAACTCCCACCTCAGCTTCCTGAGTAGCTAGGACTACAGGCATGTGCCACCATGTCCAGTTAATTGTTGTATTTTTTTGTAGAGCTGGGGTTTCGCCATGTAGCCCAGGCTGGTCTTGAACTCCTGAGCTCTAGTGATCTGCCCACCTCAGCCTCCCAAAGTGCTGAGATTACAGGCGTGAGTTACCGCACCTGGCTGACATATGCCCTTGAGTTGTCTTCCAGAAACCCAGACCCCTAGCAGATGGAAAACACCCACTGCTGTCACATAGACCCCAGATAAGGGGGAACTGAGGACTGAACTCTGGCCTTACCCAGTGTATAACTGAGGCGGGATTTTTCTCAGCCCCTTTGTCAGCCGGAGGTCTTCAGCTGGCGACACCCCTGCCCGGGCCTTGCTCAGGCCTGGGCTTGCTGCAGGAGATGCCCCGTCTACTCAGGTCACTGGGCCACGCCTGGCTTCCACTCCAATGCAGATCCCTGCACTCAGCCCCTGGAGGGAGGAGGTGTGAGCAAGTGTGGAGTCTGACCACCACACCAAGCACAGACACAGGAGTGGGTTCCATGCAGGGCTTGAGGCTGGACCAGGCATGTTGCACTGAGGGGAAAGTGGTGGTATATGAACAGGGATGCCTATGACCCCAAAGCCCCAGAGTGGGTATTACAGCATGCTAATAGCTCTTTTGGTCCCACTGTCTGCAGCCTGATGGACAGCGGCTGATGTGTTAACAGCTCTGTCAGTCCCATTGCCCCATTCCAGCCTATGGCTCCAGTACTGGCTTGGCCCTGCCACTCCTTCCCATCACATGAGGCACCTGACCTCAGCCAGTGGAAGGCAGAGGACCAGTGTTACAGCCTCTTTTTACCTACATTCGGTAGTCCTAAGTTCTTGTCCCGTGTCCAAGAAGAATGAGGTTATGTTGACGATTGAAGGGTGAGGGGGACAAAGAGCTTTACTGAGTGACAAAAGAGATCTCAGTGGAGAGGAGGATGTGAGGGCTTCCCCCACCTGAAGTTGGGTGGTCTCTTACTCGGTGTGGCTGTGTCTGCGGCTTTTATAGGCTCAGAATGGCAGAGTACATGCTGATTGGTTTGTGAGTATGCAAAAAAGGCTAAAACAAAGGCATCACTCAAAGGTGGGCACAACAGTGTAAGAAACCAATTAGGGAAGGGTAGGTATATGTAAAATAGGTGAGGGGTGGGGATCAATCAGAGGAAAGTGCACCAAAGTGGAAGAGAGGTTCTCACTCCAGTCCGTGGATTTACCCAGGACTTGTAGCTTGGCTTTCAGGCTTTAAACTGTCTTTGGTTTGAAGGTTGGTTTTCACCGGGGACCTGTCCCTGTCTGCCTAGGATTTGTCTGCCTCCTGCCACTCTCATAACAATAAAAGTTAGCTGCAGCCAGGTGCGGTGGCTTACACCTGTAATCCCAGCACTTTGGGAGGCTGAGGCCAGTGGACTCCTTGGGCTCAGGAATTTGAGACCAGCTGGGCTACATGGCAAAACCCCGTCTCTATAAAAAATACAAAAATTAGCCAAGTGTGGTGGTGTGTGCCTGCAGTGCCAGCTACTGAGGAGGCTAAGGTGGGAAGATCACTTGAGCTCAGGAGATGGAGGTTGCAGTGAGATGTGACCTTGCCACTGCACTCCATTCTGGGAGACTGTCTCAAAAAAAAATGCTGCTATTATAGCTTGAACCCTCAGCTGGGCACTGGCAGAAATGTGAAGCTGAATTAGACATATAGTCTAGAAGGGAAGAGAGAGAGGAAAGTGTATTGTCACTAGATAATAGAGTGTGATCAGTTCTACTAGAGATTGTTAACCTAAAAAGAAGAGGCTGAGTCACAAAATTAAAGTTACTTGATTCACAGTGAGACAGCTGTCCATAAGACTCATACCCAAGTAACCTTGGATATGAGCTCTGTTAGGCCTTTGTTTCAAGTTTTTTTTTTCTGTTTGTTTGTTTGTTTTTCCGAGATGGAGTCTTGCTCTGTCGCCCAGGCTGGAGTGCAGTGGTGCAATCTCAGCTCACTGAAACCTCTGCCTCCCGGGTTCAAGCGATTCTCCTGCCTCAGCTTCCTGAGTAGCTGGGACTCCAGGCATGCACCACCACGCCCAGCTAATTTTTTTGTATTTTTAGTAGAGACAGGGTTTCACCATGTTGGCCAGGCTAGTCTCACACTCCTGACCTCGTAATCCTCCTGCCTTGGCCTCCCAAAGTGCTGGGATTACAGGCATGAGCCACAGTGCCCAGCCACAAGTATGTTTTTAAAGGTAAAATGCAGGGACAAGGAGTGGGCTGATACAGTCTTTTGTCAGGAATTCTCATTGGTTTACTGAATTAGCACTGATTAGTGATTGGCCATACATTGTTAAGCTGTAGGGTATGGGTTACAGTGTCCATTGTGGTATTATTAGGTTAATTTATACCTAGTTGTGGCAATAGCAAGCAGTTTCAAGAGATAAATAAATAGCTCAAAAGGAAGGAAGTAGAATGTGGTTGCTGTCTCATTTTAATGTTGTTACTGAATTGACCTTGGATCTGCTTTCCTAGTGTGCAGAAAAAGCCAAACACTGGCCAGGCACAGTGGTTCATGCCTATACTCCCAGCACTTTGGGTGGCTGAGACAGGAGGATCACTTGAGGCCAGGAGTTCAAGACCAGCCTGGCCACATAGTGAGACCCAATCTCTTAAAAAATAAGCAGGCGTGATGGCATGTGCCTATAATCTCAGCTACTCAAGAGGCTGAGGTGGGAGGATCACTTGAGTCTTGGAAGTAGAGGCTGCAGTGAGCTGTAACTGTGCCACTGCACTCCAGCCTGGGCAACAGAGCAAGACTCTGTCTCAAAGTAAAAACAAACAAACAAACAAAAAAAAAATGCCAAACAGCGACACCAGGACTTGCAGCAAAAGAAAGTGAGATAATTTATTGCAGGTGCCAAGCAAGGAGAATCAGGCAGCTAATGCTTAAGACCTGAACTCCACAATGGCTTACAAGCAAGGGTTTTTAAAAGAAGGGGCACATTTCAGGAAAGCAAAATTGTAAATCGATACATAGAGGTTACACATTGGTTTGCCCCAAAAAAGTGGGATATCTTGAAGCAGGGGCTCATGTGAATTCAGAGATTCTTTGATTTGTAATTGGCTAAGGAAGCAAGGCTTTGTCTAAAAACTTGGTGTCAGCAGAAAGGAATGCTAAGGTTTGGCCCGTGGGTGTGACTCTCTCCACATCCCTCAGGAATAATTTGGAAAAAAGGATGGTGGTCAGAGTTCAGTCTTCAGTTCCCCCTTATCTGAGGTCAATGTGACAGCAGTGGGCATTTTCCATCTGGTAGGAGTCTGGAATCCCAGCACTTTGGGAGACTGAGGCAGGAGAACAGCTTGAGCCCAGGAGTTCAAGACCAGCCTAGGCAACATAGCAAGAACCTCCCGTCTTTACAAAAAATTTAAAAATTAGTCAGGTGTGGTGGCATGTGCTTATAGTCCTAGCTACTCAGGAGGTTGAGATGAAAGGATAGCTTGAGCCCAGGAGTTCGAGGCTGCAGTAGGCCTGGATGACACAGAGAGAACCCATCTCTGAAAAAAAAAACAAAACCAGAAGACATGTCAAGGTGTTATTTGTTTTTAGAGATGCAGTCTCACTCTGTCACCCAGGCTGGAGTGCAGTGGTACAATCACAGTTCACTGCAGCCTCGACTTTCCAGGCTCAAGCAATCCTCCCACCTCAGCCTCCAGAGTAGCTGGGACTACCGGCATGTGCTACCACCCTCAGCTAATTTTTAAAGTATGTTTAGAGACAGGGTCTTGCTATGTTGCCCAGGCTGGTCTTGAATTCCTGGACACAAGTTATCCTCCGCCTTGGCCTCCCAACGTGTTGGAATTACACGTGTGAGCCACTGCACCTGGCCAAGATATTATTTTCATTTTTTTTTAAATAGTAATGAGATCTTGCTATGTTGGCCAGGTTGGTCTTGAACTCCTGGCCTCAAGCCATCCTTCTACCTCTGCCTCCTAAACTGCTAGGATTACAGGCCTGAGCCACTGCACTCTGTCTTTAGTTGTTGTTTGTTTTTTTGTTTTTTTTTTTATTTTGAGACGGAGCCTTGCTCTGTCGCCCAGGCTGGGGTGCAGTGGCACGATCTCCACTCACTGCCATTCTCCTGCCTCAGCCTCCCGAGTAGCTGGGACTACAGGCGCCTGCCACCACGCCCGGCTAATTTTTTGTATTTTTAGTAGAGACGGGGTTTCATCGTGTTAACCAGGATGGTCTCGATCTCCTGAACTCTATCTCATGATCTGCCCGCCTTGGCCTCCCAAAGTGCTGGGATTACAGGCATGAGCCACCACGCCCAGCCCCTATCTTTAGTTTTTATAGAGAACTAAACATCTTGTGACTCTGGCTTACTTGGGTGGCTGCTTAAGTTACTATTACCTTCTTCCTTGGTGGGTTATTCATTTACTTCCCTAATTGCTGGGTGCAGGGCTAGCTAGTTCCTGAAATCTCCCTTGAAGGGACTCAAAATTTTCCCTTTATCTCCATACTTGCGGGCCAGAGGGGCACCTAAGAAGGGTCTGTCCTCCATATCAATGTCTCTCTGGGCCTGATAATATAAAAGGATGCACATTCCTCAGATAAAATCTCTTTTCTCAAGATAGACCAGCAAGAGGGAAGAAGTAGAAGGTTCTAGGTTCTCCAAACACCCTAGTTTCTCTTACAGATAAGTTTTTCTGTATTGGGGGAGGGTGGCATGGGGTTGGGGGGTGGTCTGTATCTCCCAACAATCTAAGTTCTTCCTTCACTTTGCAGGGATACTATGAGCAAATAACCCTGACTCTGTTTTCTGTGGTAGTGGTAGTGGGGAGTGCTCCAAGAACTCCTTGAGCCTCATTAGTCCCTCGTTCTTATCTGAGAAGGTTCCTATTGCTTGGTGTATTAGTCCGTTTTCATGCTGCTATAAAGATACTACCTGAATTGGGTAATTTATAAAGAAAGGAGGTTTGGGCCAGGCATGGTGGCTCATGCCTGTAACCCAGCACTTTGGGAGGCTGAGGTGGGTGGATCACCTGCAGTCAGGATTTTGAGACCAGCCTGGCCAACATGGTGAAACCCCGTCTCTACTAAAAATACAAAAATTAGCCGGGCATGGTGGCACGTGCCTGTAGTCCCAGCTATTTGGGAGGCTGAGACAGGAGAATCGCTTGAACCCGGGAGGCGGAGGTTGCAGTGAGCCAAGATCGTGCCACTGCACTCTACTCTGGGTGACAGAGTGAGACTCCATCTCAAAAAAAAAAAAAAAAGGAGGTTTGGCCTGACGCGGTGGCTCATGCCTGTAATCTCAGCACTTTGGGAAGTCAAGGCAGGTGGATCACCTGAGGTCAGGAGTTCGAGACCAGCCTGGGCAAAATGGTGAAACCTCGCCTCTACTAAAAATACAAAAATTAGCCGGGCATGGTGGTGTGCACCCAGCTACTTGGGTGGCTGAGGCAGGAGAATCACTTGAACCTGGGAAACAGAGCTTGCAGTGAGCTGAGATCATGCCACTGCACTCCAGCCTGGGCAACGGAGCAAGACTCAATACTCAAAAAGAAAAAATAAAAAAAAAGAAAGGAGGTTTAATTGACTCACAGTTCTACATGGCTGGGGAGGCCTCAGGAGCTTATAATCATGACAGAAGGCAAAGGGGAAGCGAGGCACATCTTAGATGGCAGTAGGAGAGAGAGCGAGAAAGTGCCACACTTTAAAACCATCAGCTCTTGGGAGAACTCACTCACTATCATGAGAACAGCATGGGGGAAACCACCCCCATGATCCAATCACCTCCCACCAGGTCCCTCCCTCAACATGTGGGGATTACAATTCAAGATGAGATTTGGGTGGGGACACAGAGCCAAATCATATCACTTGGGTAGTGGAGATGAGGGAAAGGAGTGGTATTCCAAAGCACGAGGTATTGAGTACGTTGTTTCATGAGTCTTTTTTTTTTTTATTTATTTTTTATTTTTTTATTGATCATTCTTGGGTGTTTCTCGCAGAGGGGGATTTGGCAGGGTCACAGGACAACAGTGGAGGGAAGGTCAGCAGATAAACAAGTGAACAAAGGTCTCTGGTCTTCCTAGGCAGAGGACCCTGCGGCCTTCCGCAGTGTTTGTGTCCCTGGGTACTTGAGATTAGGGAGTGGTGATGACTCTTAACGAGCATGCTGCCTTCAAGCGTCTGTTTAACAAAGCACATCTTGCACCGCCCTTAATCCATTAACCCTGAGTGGACACAGCACATGTTTCAGAGAGCACAGGGTTGGGGGTAAGGTCACCGATCAACAGGATCCCAAGGCAGAAGAATTTTTCTTAGTACAGAACAAAATGAAAAGTCTCCCATGTCTACCTCTTTCTACACAGACACGGCAACCATCCGATTTCTCAATCTTTCCCCCACCTTTCCCCCCTTTCTATTCCACAGAACTGCCATTGTCATCATGGCCCGTTCTCAATGAGCTGTTGGGTACACCTCCCAGACGGGGTGGTGGCCGGGCAGAGGGGCTCCTCACTTCCCAGTAGGGGCGGCCGGGCAGAGGCGCCCCTCACCTCCCGGACGGGGTGGCTGGCCGGGCGGGGGGCTGACCCCCCTACCTCCCTCCCGGACGGGGCAGCTGGCTGGGCAGAGGGGCTCCTCACTTCCCAGTAGGGGCGGCCGGGCAGAGGCGCCCCTCACCTCCCGGACGGGGCGGCTGGCCGGGCTGGGGGCTGACCCCCCCACCTCCCTCCCGGACGGGGCGGCTGGCCAGGCGGGGGGCTGTCATGAGTCTTGTATTATCCATTTTATTATTCCTTAGTGCATGGTAAAGCTTCCTTTAAAATGCAAGCTGATTTATTTGAGCCAGAGGACCCCAGGGGAGGTGAGATAGATACCCACACCTGGGCAGAGGATTACAGGGAAAACGGCACCCGCTCTTTCCCCTGGGCACATATGGTAGAGGCTGTGGGAATGAGGGTATTGCAGGGGTGATGAGGGTAGAGTCAGGACTGTAACTCCTCATTCCAGGTTCCCCGGAGCTTTGACTGTTGTGCTCCTAGCCTCAAGCAATCCTTCTGCCTCTGCCTCCTAAGGTGCTAGGATTACAGGCCTGAGCCACTGACTGTCCTCCTCCTAGGAGGCTGTTGACTGAGAAGGTCTGGATGTCAAAGCCTTTCACCACAGGATATAGCCAAGATTACTGCAGAGCCAAGGCCCAAGGCCATCCTTCCCTATGCACAGCTCTTCGTAATTCCCCTGACTTCTGTGTGTGCAACTTGTAAGCAGCTCAGCCTGGAGTAGAAGTTGGGGTTCTGACTTTCTACAGCACCTGGGACGGGAAGGATCAGAGGAGCACAGGGAGCTGACTGCCTTATAGGTGTCTCACGTCATCCCATCTGACCCTCCAACAAGCATGTCAGGCTGGCATTATTCACCCCATTCTACAAAGCTCAGAGCAGTGAAGGGCCTTGCATGTGACATTTACCATCATCATCACTAGTATGTCCCTACTCACATCACAGCAATTCTTTGCTCAAATCTGTAATTGCTGAGACTCGAAGTAAAACCCAAAGTCTTCACAATAGCAATAGCCTGCAAAGCTCTGCCCCCCTCCTCTCTTCTCTGACCTCCTCACTGCCCCTGTCTTACTCACTCTGCTCCAGCCACAGTGGCCTCCTTGCTAGCAGTTCCCTCCCCAACACGCCCGGCACAGTCCCACATTCCCGCCTTGCTCTGGCTTCCGCTGTGGCTGTTTCCTCCCCGCAGAACACTCCTGCCTTCCTCACCGCCAAGTCTGGACTCAAACCTCACCTCCTCAAGAGGCTTGCCCAGACAGCCTTTTATATTCTGCAAACTGCCTCCCACTGCCACCTGCCCCCTTACTTTTTGTGGCCTTGACCTTTCAACATACTACATGATTTGCTTACAATACTTGTCTGTCTTGCCTTCACCAGAATGTAAGCGCTCTACAAAGGCAGAGGGAAGGCTATCTTGCTCTCTGATGTATCCTCCAGCCCTTAGAACAGTCCGTGGTACTTAGCAGGTTTTCAGTACATCTGTGCCCGGCGATGGAAAGAATGAATGAATAGTGAGACCGAAGATCGCGGCCGTAAGCCTCTGGGCACGGGTGCCCCGGGGCCTGGCGGAACGCTCAGGGAACTACATTTCCCGTGAAGCTCTGGGCGCAGAGGGCCGCGGGGGCTGCCGGGAAAGGCATACGTGCTTAATCCTGGTGCAGGGGGCGAGCATGGCCGCTCCGCGAGGTGAGCCATTGGCTGGGGTGTCGGCGAGTGTGTTCGTGGAGCGCGTCCTGGGGACGACTCCCGGCATTATCGGCCAGGTTGAGTCCGCTCCTGGCATTCCGCGGAAAGATGGGTGGGTGCCGGGCAGAGGTGTGGCCACCTGCGATGGGGATTGACCTCCGAGGGGAGGGGGCCCTTCTAGACGTCGTGCCGTGGGATAGGTACCTTCTGCTCCCTCCCCGCCACCCTGCCTCAGATCAGCACAAGGTCCTTACTGCTGCCCATCTGACAGTTGGGAACATCGAGGCCTGCAGCGGAGGGGGGTCTCATCCAACAGCCTACAAAACCCTTATTTGACTCTGTCCCCAGTGAGCACCCCCAGCTCTTGCCTGGTTTCCCGGGACACTAGGGTGGGGCCTGAGGAGTGGAGTGGCAGCTGACCCTGTCTGTGCCCCTAGTATTCCCACTTTCCTGTGCGGTGCAGCAGTATGCCTGGGGGAAGATGGGTTCCAACAGCGAAGTGGCGCGGCTGTTGGCCAGCAGTGATCCACTGGCCCAGATCGCAGAGGACAAGCCTTATGCAGAGGTGAGCCCCGGGCTGTATTTCAGCCCACTTTACCCGCAGGTCAGGAGAAAGGGCCTGAGGCAAGTCATAAGAATCAGCTGGGAAGGGTGAGGCAGCAAGGAGGGAGGAGACCCACTTGGCTCTTCAGGCTAATGGACTAGATAGTGTTATCAAAAAGAAGAGAGGTTTTGTCATAATAGGCTGGGATTTCCAGCACTCTCCTTCCCCCAACCACTCTTAGCACTTAGTGAATTTTAATTCAGCCCTCTTTGACAATTAAGTTTTTTTACTTTGACTATTTTTTTGCATTTTTATTAACCTAAAATATTTCTCCTGCCTATTTAGTGGAGAAAAAGCCAAAGCATAGGAAGGCTTTCGCCTCTGCTTCTGAAACTGGAAGATGTATGTTAACCCCTGAAAGAATCATTTAAGAGTCATAGTTTTTCTGCTACCTTGACAGTGCAGATGTCATTCTCCTCTTTGGACAGACAAAGAAGATACATCTAAAGAAGGGAAATAACTAGTCCAAGTCTTCATAGATGGCTAGAGGCCGAGTCTGGACAAGGGCCTGGGTCTACTGCCTCCCTGTATGTCCATGATGGCATGAACATTTGTATCCAGACCTGGGAGGCCTTTCCCAGGACTCAGTTGCCCTGTGGGGAGCACAGCATAACGGATTGGGACAGGCCAACTCAGGGTGGCAGGTTTCTTCCCCCTTCCCCTCCCAAGTTTCCTGTCTTTCCAGTTGTGGATGGGGACTCACCCCCGAGGGGATGCCAAGATCCTTGACAACCGCATCTCACAGAAGACCCTAAGCCAGTGGATTGCTGAGAACCAGGACAGCTTGGGCTCAAAGGTCAAGGACACCTTTAATGGCAACCTGCCCTTCCTCTTCAAAGTGCTCTCAGTTGAAACACCCCTGTCCATCCAGGCACACCCTAACAAGGTAAAGGACAGAGTGCGGTGCAGAGGTCAGGGTACAGAAGGGCTTATGCTAAGGCCCTCCCGTGACTTTTACTGCCACTTTTACCCCACCCATGCCAGGCTCCTGCCCAAGGCCAAATCCAGGCTGACAACTCCCAATTTAGCTCTGCAAAGCCAGATGGTAGTGACACATGCAGCAACTAAGTCTAAGCAAACAGCTCACCGGCCTGTGCCAGGGGAGTTTCTCTAAGCTCATTCCAAGGGGCTTGTTCCTGGTCTTCCCTCATCCAACCCATGTCTATTCATATCTGCCATTTACTCATCTGCTTTCAGGAAGAGTTCAACTTGCAAGGCAGGGCAGGTACCCTCAGCCCCACCCCCATGGAGTCTCCCTACACAAGCCGGAGTCCCATCCTAAGCAACTGTGGATCAAAACTCCTTTTTTTTTTTTTCTGAGACTTGAGTCTTGCTCTGTCGCCCAGGCTGGAGTGCAGTGGCGCGATCTCGGCTCACTGCAACCTCCTCCTCCCAATTCAAGCAATTCTTCTGCTTCAGCCTCGCAAATAGCTGGGACTACAGGCACGCGCCACCACACCCAGCTAATTTTTGTATTTTTAGTAGAGATGGGGTTTCACCATGTTGGCCAGGCTGGTCTTGAACTCCTGCCCTCGTAATCCGCTCGCCTCAGCCTCCCAAAGTGCTGGGATTACAGGCGTGAGCCACCATGCCCAGCCAAAACTCCTTATTTCTAGATACACAAAGTAAGACCCAGAGAAGGGAGGGATTTACCAAAGCCACACAGCTTGTTAGTGTCAGAGCTTGGTCTGGTATTTGGGTTTCCTGATTCACAGGCCAAGCCTCTTAAAGTCTGCCCCAGCTTTTCCCTGATTTGCCCCGGGGTTGCCCCTGATTTGCCCCTGCCCTGGGTTGGCTGAGCCCCAAGTTTCTGCAACATGCTTTGACTGGGCTCCTTGCCAGAGGTAGGTAGTCACTGCCATCCTGCAACTGGGGAGGGTGGACAGCAGGGGCTAGGTGGCACTGGTGTACCTGCTAGGTAATGGCTGTACCCTCACCATCCTCCTCTTCCCCTGGCCACCCCACAGGAGCTGGCAGAGAAGCTGCACCTCCAGGCTCCGCAGCACTACCCCGATGCCAACCACAAGCCAGAGATGGCCATTGCCCTCACCCCCTTCCAGGGCTTGTGTGGCTTCCGGCCAGTTGAGGAGATTGTAACCTTTCTAAAGAGTAAGTTGGGCAGAATGCTGAAGGCATGCGTACTGGGCCAGGGATACCTGGGGAACCAAGATGATAGGAACAGTGGCTGAGAACGGGTCACATGTCACAGGAACTGAAGGGCCTCATGAAGCAGTTTTTGGAGCCAGTGAGCCAGGCCAGTGAGACCAGGCTCAGGTGTGGTAGTCAAGGGCTGGTGGTGAGTGATTGGTTTCCACTGCAAAGTTTACTTAGCATTGCCGGCTCTTTGGTTAGGGCTGGGATGGAAAGGTGTCCTCCAACTCCCCACTTGTGTGGGTTCCATCTTACCATTCCTGATATGGGCCCTGGGCCTTGCCTTCCTGTAGAGGTGCCTGAGTTTCAGTTCCTGATTGGAGATGAGGCAGCAACACACCTGAAGCAGACCATGAGCCATGACTCCCAGGCTGTGGCCTCCTCTCTGCAGAGCTGTTTCTCCCACCTGATGAAGAGTGAGAAGAAGGTGGTGGTGGAACAGCTCAACCTGTTGGTGAAGCGGATCTCCCAGCAAGGTGGACACAGTTATATTCCTGGTTGGGTGCAATGCTCTGGCCTGGGCTTCCCAGCAGACACCAGACTCTGGGGACAGTTCTCAACCCCCTTGCCCAAGTGGAACACTAAAAGGGGCCCCACTTAGATGACCTGTTGGCAACTTAGCATTGCTTGCCTAGTCTTTGTGGAGCAGGGCCCTTCTTAGTTGAGTGCTGCTTCCCAACTGGTCATCTTCTCCAGATGGTTGGAGGCAGACTGGCATAGAGGACTCTTAGGATGCCTTCCACCTAGGCATTCTGAGATTTTCCCTAGCCCTGCAGCTGCCCTCCATGGATGGACTTGTATCTCGGGGCTAAAGAGGCAGGAAGGGGACACGAGCATCCTCCCTCTCCTGGAAAGGACTGATGCCTCCAGCACTCAGTCATTTGATCTTTCCTTTACCTTCTGTGTGCCCAACCTTGTGCTAAGAAGAGTTCAGGAAATGACTGTGATGGGTGTGGTCACTGTCACCCTAAAGGTGGGGAGTCAACACAAGCAGTAAGAAACCCAAAACAGAACAGACTCCCAGCAATGAGCTTATGTGGTGCAGGCGATGAGGTCTCAGCTTCTTAGCCTGGCAGCCACAACCCCTTCTCTAGGTGGCCCAGAGCTCTCTTTTTATTTTACCTCTACAGGTTTCCCATTACCTTTGAGCCTTAGGGCATTATTTATTTGACCCAAGCATATTTTTTTCTGTTCAGTGTGTGTGTGTGTGTGTGTGTGTGTGTGTGTGTGTGTGTGTGTGTGTGTGTGTGTGTGTGTGTGTGTGGTCTCTTTCTGTTGCCCCAGGCTGGAGTGCAGTGGTGCGATCTTGGCTCACTGCAGCCTCTGCCTCCCGGGTTCAAGCAATTCTCCTGCTTCAGCCTCCTGAGTAGCTGGGATTACAGGCATGTGCCACCACATCTGGTTAAGTTTTTATATTTTAGTAGAGACGGAGTTTCACCATGTTGCCTAGGCGGGTCTCGAACTCCTGAGCTCAGGCAATTCACCTGCCTCAGCCTCCCAAAGTGCTAGGATTACAGGTGTGAGCCACCACGCCAGGCCCCTTGCCTCACTTTAAAGAAGCCTGGCTGGGCACGGTGGCTCACACCTGTAATCCTAACACTTTGGGAGGTTGAGGCGGCCGTATCACTTGAGGTCAGGAATTCAAGACCAGCCTGGCCAACATGGTGGAACCCCATCTCTACTAAAGATACAAAAATTAGCCAGGCGAGGCAGAGGTTGTGGTGAGCCTAGATCATGCCACTGCACTTCAGCCGGGGCAATAGAGTGAGACTCTGTCTCAAAAAAAAAAAAAAAATGCTGGGCATGGTGGTGTGTGCCTGTAATCCCAGCTACTCAGGAGGCTGAGGCGCAAGAATCACTTGAACCCAGGAGGTGGAGGTTGCAGTGAGTCTAGATTGCACCACTGCACTTCAGCCTGGGAGACAGAGCAAGACTCCGATTCGGAAAAAAAAAAAAGAAAAAGAAAAAGAAAAAAAATTTAAAAATTAAAGAAGTCCACCCTTGCCACTCTACCCAGGCTGAGCTCATTTTCCCTTGTCGTTTCCAGGACACATTTTGGCCCTCAGCGCATTCTGCCTCATGCTCTCTGGAGCAGACCGAGAGAGATTCTCTGAGACATAGAACTTTCTTTTTTTTTTTTGAGACGGAGTCTCGCTGTGTCACCCAGGCTGGAGTGCAGTGGTGCAATCTCGATCACTGCAACCTCCGCCTCCCGGGTTCAAGCGATTCTCCTGTCTCAGCCTCCCGAGTAGCTGGGATTACAGGCACGTGCCACCACACCTGGCTTTTTTTTTTTTTTTTTTTGTATTTTTAGTAGAGATGGGGTTTCACCATGTTGGTCAAACTGGTCTCGAACTCCTGACCTCGTGATCCGCCTGCCTTGGCCTCCCAAAGTCCTGAGATGACAGGTGTGAGCCACCGCGCCCAGCTGAGACACAGAACTTTCAGTGCTAAAAACTAGAAAGTCGCCGGGTGCGGTGGCTCACACCTGTATTCCCAGCACTTTGGGAGGCCTAGGTGGGAGGATCCCTTGAGTTCAGGAGTTCGAGACCAGCCTGGGCAATATAGCGACCCCCTCTCTCTGCAAATAATAAAAAACTTAGCCGGGCATGGTGGCATGCACGTGTGGTTCTCGCTACTCAGGAGGCTGAGGTAGGAGGATTGCTTGGTCCTGGACAGTTGAGGCTGCAGTGAGGTATGATCGTGCCACTGCACTCCAGCCTGGGTGACAGCGAGACCCCGTCTCAAAAAAAAAAAAGGGAAAGCTCGGGCATGTTGGTTACCCTTCATGAAACTCTTTTGCGTTATCTCCCTAGATTTTGAGCTCCAAGGGCAGTGGTTCTCATACAGGGGACATTTGGCTGTTGTCTGGAGCCATTTTTTGATTGTCAAAACCCAGATAGGGGTTGCTAGTGGCATCTTGTGGGTGGAGGCCAGGGAAGCTGCTACACATCCATCAGTACACAGGACAGCCCCCACAATAAAGAATTACCTAGCCCAAATGTCAGTAGCGCCAAGGCTGAGAAATCCCATCCTGAAAGGACCATACTCTAGCTCTTTTAGTGGCTAGTATAGTCCTGGGCATATGAATAGTCAAGATATGATGAAAGATGGTATTTGTATGGACTGGAGTATCAAGCAAGGCTCGACCCCCAAAGGGCTGGAGGCGTGGCCAGAAGGACAGGGCCACTTTGGCTTCTGGATTCCTGTGGCAGGGACCTTTTCCTAGGACTCCCTGGCCAATGTGGGGCTATGAACAGCACTGAGTATCCCCCTAAGTGACCTTGGGGTGCTCTGTGACCCTCAGCGGCTGCCGGAAACAACATGGAGGACATCTTTGGGGAGCTTTTGCTACAGCTGCACCAGCAGTACCCAGGTGATATCGGCTGCTTTGCCATCTACTTCCTGAACCTGCTTACCCTGAAGCCTGGGGAGGCCATGTTTCTGGAGGCCAACGTACCCCATGCCTACCTGAAAGGAGGTGAGCCACATTTCAGCAGTGAGCCCCACTGCCATCCCTGCTGGGCCCTGTTTCCCTATCTGGACAAAGGAAGGAGAAGGGTGGTCAAGGAGACCCCCAAGGACCTTGCAGCTCTGACCTCTGAGGGTTCCTGGGCTCAGCAAGCAACAGCTGGTAGGGATGATGAATGCATTTAGCATTGAACACGCCTTGAATCCTGACACCAACCCTGTGATGCCATGCTACTCTGATTTTAAGTCCTGCCAGTCAGTGTGGGAACCACAATTTGAACGCAGGCTATATTGGATCAAAGCTGTTGTTCTGTCACAGCCTTTGTATGTCTGTCCTACCTACCAGGGATTTTTACACTAAAATATGCATGTTGCCATGGAAGGATGCCACCTTTCGACTGTTGGCTGCTTATCCACACATGCCTCATGCACAGGATTCTGGGGTAGAAGTGGGAGACTACAGAGTTGGGGCTCCCCAACCCCCAGGGGTTAACATGACTCCCCTCTGACAATAATGGGTGACCTGTCACCTGTTTTTGGTATTTGATATCTTAACCCCATTCTCCCAGAGAATACAATTCATGGAAATTTTTACCTAACTTGGCATGGGGTTCATGGAGCTCAGGTTAGGAGGCCCAGAACTGGAGAGCTAAGGCATACTTCATCAGCTTAGCACATGACGACTGTCTCTCCAGACTGCGTGGAGTGCATGGCGTGTTCAGACAACACAGTTCGTGCTGGCCTGACACCCAAGTTCATTGATGTGCCAACCCTGTGTGAAATGCTCAGCTATACCCCTAGCTCCAGCAAGGACAGGCTCTTTCTCCCAACACGGAGTCAGGAAGACCCCTACCTCTCAATCTATGACCCCCCTGTACCAGACTTCACCATTATGAAGACGGAGGTGAGTGAGGGGCTATGATGGGTGTCCTTCGTGTGCCATGAAAATCTCTGGCAAGGGTCACGATGTGGAGGACACCTGGGGCTGGGTTTCCTGTCAAGCCCACTTGGCGGAGGGTGGCCCCAGGGCCTGCCCATTCCTTCCTGTACCAGGGACCAGGCCTCTATGCTGACTGAGCCTGGGTTGTGCGAGAAGGTGGCAGAGCTCTCCCTCGTGCCCTGGGGACTGTCCTGGGCCCATGAGCTGATGAGAGCAGAGTCTGAGCTGCACTGCCTTATCATTTCTTCCTGCCCAGGTCCCTGGCTCTGTCACTGAATACAAGGTCTTGGCACTGGACTCTGCCAGCATCCTCCTGATGGTACAGGGGACAGTAATAGCCAGCACACCCACAACCCAGACACCAATCCCTCTGCAACGTGGTGGCGTGCTCTTCATTGGGGCCAATGAGAGTGTCTCACTGAAGCTTACTGAGCCGAAGGACCTGCTGATATTCCGTGCCTGCTGTCTGCTGTAAAGGCTGCAGCCTCCCCAGCTCTCCTCTGCCAGCCACCCTAAATTCCAGCCAACCTCACCTCCTCGGGCCCAGCTCAAGCCCCCTTCCTTGCTCTGGACCCCTTAGGTATACCCTGGAAGAGCTGGGGTGGGGGAGGAGGGAGCGTGAAGGTAGTGACTCCTGAACACACCCAGGTGGAACCATCTTTGGGGAGGAGAGGCCCGTGTGAGGGGTCTGATACTCCCTTTGTCTTCCCTCTCTACTCCTCGCTACACCTGAGCCAGGCTCTTGCCAACTCTGTTCCAGCCTATGGCTTTAGGCTAGCTGTTAAATATGTGACCCAGCATTAGCTCAGCATCTGTCAGAGCAAGAGACCAGGTAATTTCTAAGAACAGGGTTCTAGCGATGGGACTGCCCATTTCCTCAGCTGCAGAGGAGGAAAGGGAAAGGGTAGGCCTGTAGACTAACGCTGTTTACACCCTTGTTCTGTCAAAGCAATTAAAGATCACTTGTGTTGAGGCTGTGGGGTAATGAGCACTCAGCCTTTGGGGTACCTGTTCCTAAAGTGGGCCAAAAGAGCCCTCCCTACATGATGCCCCAGTTTTTGCTTTATTCCTATTTCATACAGCTTCTCGGGGGAGTGAGCAGGCTACACTCCAGAACACCGGTATGGGAAGGAGTGGGAGAGGAAGCCAGCTTTGGCCTCACAGGCACAGCTTGCAAGCAGGCCTTGGGTCTGCCCAGAGGCACAGCTTGCAAGCAGCCCTACAGAGAAGGTGACTCAAAGGATACACCAGTCACCAGTGCAAGACTCTTCGCTCCTGTTTTTCTCTTTTTTTTTTTTTTGAGACGGAGTCTCGGTCTGTAGCCCAGGCTGGAGTGCAGTGGCACGATCTCGGCTCATTGCAAGCTCCGCCTCCCGGGTTCACGCCACTCTTCTGCCTCAGCCTCCCAAGTAGCTGGGACCACAGGCGCCCACCACCACGCCCAGCCAATTTTTTTGGTATTTTTAGTAGAGATGGGGTTTCACTGTGTTAGCCAGGATGGTCTCGATCTTCTGACCTCGTGATCCGCCCACCTCAGCCTCCCAAAGTGCTGGGATTACAGGCGTGAGCCACCACGCCTGGCCCGGCTCCTGTTTTTCAACTGGCCCTAGAGGAGGGGTCCGCAAACCAGGCTGGCAGGCCAGTTCTGGCCATACCTGTTCATTTCCATACTGTCTGGCTGCTTTCAAGCCACAGTGGCAAAGTTGAAGAGTTGCACTAGACTGTACGGCCTGCAAAACTGAAACCATTGACTGTCAACCACTTCTCTACAACATACTCAACTGTTGCAGATTACAGGGACTCAGGAACCGAATTAGACAATTTTCATGGCGAGGAGAAGCCCAGTTAGCTTTCCTAAACGGGCAGGAAGTGTGAAGGAGGGAATCTCCTGATGCCCTGCTCCAGGGGTGGCACACACCTGCAAGAGGCTGTCGGCTGTCTGCTGCTGCTGAGGTTTCTGACCTGCAATCGTAGATCCTGTCACCACAGACTAATCACTTAGTCCACTGGCTCCTTCCTGTGGGATAAAGGTTTAAATTCATGCAAAAGAATCTTTCTGGGCTTCTGCCCACACTAGAGTCCCTATACAATGGAGTTCCAGGAAACCACCTTCAAAAATCTCCTGGGTTTTCTTGCCTCCAAATTTTCTTCAGCTAAAAAACAATAAAGATGAGCTGGAAAGAAAAGGTCTGCTAAAGGGAACCCATTCTACAGAAGTGACTTGCAAGAGCCTATTTCACTCATGCCGTCCAGTGAAACAGGCCCGAAAGTGATGCCCAGTGGGAACAGCAGAAAGGGGAGGGAGTTTCCAGAAGGAATTGCTGTAGTCAGCTGTTAAGCTATTTCTTCATTTCAGGATATCCAGGATATTCTTAACTTTTATTTTTTTGAGACGGAGTCTCGCACTGTCTCCCGGGCTGGAGTGCAGTGGCGCGATAGCTCACTGCAACCTCCGCCCACTGGGTTCAAGCGATTCTTCTGCCTCAGCTCCTGAGTAGCTGGGACTACAGGCGCCTGCCACCACACCCAGCTAAGTTTTTGTATTTTTAGTAGAGACGGGGTTTCAGTAGAGACGGGGTGACAGGATCTACAATTCCAGGTAAGGTCAGGTTGGTCTCAAACTCCTGACCTTGTGATTTGCTTGCCTCAGCCTCTGAAAGTGCTGGGATTACAAGCATGAGCCATTGTGCCTGGCCAAGGCCTTTAAAATCCACTGCAACACAGACACAGCTCAACTAGTGTGATTGCATTTATTCTTATAAATGTACAGAGCTGTAGAAGTGCAAGCCAAGAGTTCTATAGAGTAGTACATAAACACCATATGGTACCACTCCTGCTGGGAGGTAAGCCTGGATACACCCCTCTCCTCAGGAAACTGTCACCTGCAGAACACACAGCACTCAGAATTAAGGCAGTTTGGCCCTGGGCACATTGGTGGTATTTTGGTATGTGGCCACTGGCCCTAAACAACTGACCATTTCTACCCTGCCTCACTGCACTGTCCCACCAGGTCCCTCCAGCTTTTTCTACAAGGTAACACCCTCCTACATGGGGTCAGCCAGCTCAGAAACCTCTTCTTCAGGGACAGTTGCAGCTGAATATGCCAGAGCTGATTATTACAACAACGATGCAGAGGGCCTTGGTTTTGGGGTCCTGCCACCCTCACCCCTAGAAGCTGCTAAACACCCAGGCCATTCTGCCCTGACCACCTCCCCAACAGAGATGTAGGTCTATACTTACCTTCCACAGCCACCTCCCAGCACACACTGGGTCCCTCTACCTGTGTTGCTGTCTTTCTTTACACTGTGCTACATTTGATCCCTTTCCACATGTGCACTTCACCTCTGCAGACACAAGAAAGGCCTGGACATGGTCTCTGCAGATGGGGAAGGGGTTCTGGATGGAGATGTTCTTGAGCTCTACAAGCATTTGCACAAAGTGCTCAGAATGTTGGCCACTGCATAGAGCTGCAGAGTCCCATTCCAGAACAGAGTAACCATCTGCCTCTCTTCCCAAGACCCCAAGCTGGCATGACTCTGGTCTCTGTCCTATCTCTCTGCTGTGATGCTCCTAGCTAGTAGAGTAAGTCAGCCCCCAGATACTGTATATTCCTCTCAACCTTCCATGGTTTGAGAAAAACACAAAGATAGATGTCCATCAGGCACTCACAGGATTACCATCGTAAGGATGGTTGTCAGACAAATAACAAATAAGGCCGTATCTTTTTATTAGACTTGCTCATCTTCTAGTCACCCCTTGTGGTAGAGCGAAAAGAGTGTGTTGTCCCTCTCATGCCTCTGGTGGTCACAGGACACTGAGTAAAGCAAGAGACTGGATACTTTCCCATGTAGAACCTATACCCCAATCCCGACTATTGGGCTGGGAACCCTGTCTATGCCCATTCAAAGCTCACCATGTGGGAGGACTGCTTGGGCCTGGGAGGTTGAGGCTGCAGTGAGCTGTGATTACACCACTGCACTCCAGCCTGGGTGACAGAGACCCTGTCTCCAACAAAACAAAGCAGAACGCTCACCATGGTTCTGAGTTAAGCCAAAAAACAAAACAAAACCTGTTGGAAAAATTCTAGAAAGAGGCTTGGTATAGAGTATAGCAAGATATACTCTCCAATTTGTGGGTAGGGGGTGTCACAGCAGAAATTATGCCTATTTCTGCTGTTTGGGCTGGGGGCTGAAAGAGGCTGTGTCACACCCAGAGGTCTGCTTAAAGCCCAATCCTGAGTATCCAGTAAGGCCCATGCTGTGACCAGAAGAATCTGGCAATAGAATGGTCCATGCTGGAGTGAAGGGAGGCCCTCTACACTGGTGGACTGATTTCCTCAGGCAAGGGTCTAGGAGCTGGCTTAGGTCTCTCTTACCCTTCCTGTCTGTAAGCCTCAGTCTAGGACAAAGCCCACACAGCTGTATACCCACTCTCACGAGTCCATTGCTACTTCTCAAAAGTTTAAAAAGTAAACAATAGGAAGGCACCGGACTGCTCCCTGTAGCTCCCTCTGCTGGTAATAATAAAAACTGCAGGCTTCTGGGGCCAGCCCCAGTACCTTCGACCTAATCTTTAGCTCAAAGACTGGGTGAAGAAACTCACCCAGACCAAGGAAATACAAATAAATAAATATGAACATGTCAGAGCAGTTTTTCTCTAACTAGGGAAGGGCAAACCAGAATCACTAAACTCACCCGGACGGTTGGACCAGTTGGGGATGCCCCAGGTCCAGGGATTCTGGAAGCCAGGATCCTGCTGTATCATTAAGCAACCTGCTATGATCCCTGTCATAGTTAGACAGGTGCAACCTGAAGAGGGACAAAAGGACTCACTTTATGCTGTCTTGAAGGTCAAGCCTGCAAACCATCTTAGAGCTAGGAAGAATAGAGCAAACGGAATTTCTCGAACTGGTCTCAAACAGTTTCTTTTTTGGATTGCCAGCTATAATAAACCATAAAGTGCTATTTTCTGCCTCCATTCAACACTATCTAGCACAGCCTGGGCACAAGAGCTCCCTTTTTGCCTCCCTGAAGCACTATGACAAATACCAATCAAGCTGTCTGCAAGTGTTTTCCTTAGCCACCTTTGTCACCCACCATAAGAACCAGAATTTTCTGTCTTGCCCTTATTAAAGTGACTTCTCCAAACTCTGCTCCAACAGCAGAGGAAAACTACAGAATTCTACCTATCAGCCCACAGCCCAGATGGGGGCCTCTGGCCTGAGAAGCAACAGGTAAGGGCTACCTGCAGGTCACTTTCTAGGGGTCAGTGACTTCAGTGCTCACTGCACTGTGTGAGCTATGAGTGGCCAACAGGGCTCTGTAGGCCTCATGGTGAGCAGGGCCCACCTTGGAGGGTAATGTCTACTGGAGGGTACAGGAAGAAGAGTCCCCAAGACAGCACCAGCAGCAGGAGCATGTTGAAGAGGCCATGGGCTTAGGGGGGATGAGGTCCAAGTCCTCGTCATCTGGAATCTCATCCAGGTGATACCCATCCTGAAGCAGCTGCCGGCTCACATCCTGGTTCACCTGCTAAGAGAAGGAGAGGAGGGAACTATAGGCCAAGATGCAAAGCAGAAGTAACTGCTACCCAAAAGACAGAACCACATTCCGTTACCAGGGCTTCCTGTCCATGTCCCACCCCAGGCCAACCCCACACATCCCTGGACTACAGGAGGAAGTACCACCTTCTCCTACTTGTGCCTCAGCCAGCAGTAAGCCTTAGTACTGTCCAGACTTCACTGTCACTGACCCCCAGGGATCTGTTCTCACTAAATCCTGAGGCATTCATGTAAATATCGAGTTCCCAATATGTTTGAAAATCAGTGCTCTGACAGTTCCCACTGGGAGCCCAGACTAGTCCCTATCAAAGCTGAAGAATATGGGATAATAACAGAACAATGGGCTAGCGTAGTAGAGCATGGGTTACAGTGGAAGGGGGTGGTGAGCAGCTTTGTCTACACACTGCTGGTTAGACTTATCCTTTGATGCCAACAGAGGTGGGTTCCTGCAAAGTGGAATTTGTTGGTTGGTTTCATCAGTTCACTGAACATAAGAAAAATAAGGCTGGGCGTGGTGGCTCACGCCTGTAATCTCAGCATTTTGGGAGGCCGAGGCAGGTGGATCACGAGGTCAGGAGATCGAGACCATCCTGGCTAACATGGTGAAACCCCATCTCTACTAAAAAATAGAAAAAATTAGCCAGGCGTGACGGCGGGCGCCTGTAGTCCCAGCTACTCGGGAGGCTGAGGCAGGAGAATGGCGTGAACCTGGGAGGCGGAGCTTCCAGTGAGCTGAGATCATGCCACTGCACTCCAGCCTGGGCCACAGAGTGAGACTCTGTCTCAAAAAAAAAAAAAAAAAAAAAAAAGAAAAAGAAAAATAAATGAGGCTGGGGAAAGTGTAAGACTTCCTCTTACACACAATCTTTGACACTCAGACATTTAAGGAGGACAAAATTTGCAAACTGCTCTATTCTCTGTGACAGAAACTCAGAGATTAGCCAAGATTTCCAGGAGAGTAAGAAAAGCAAGTGGTGTAGAGTCAGGTCCCCAGCACTTCACCTCTGTCAAAGGGAATGGGCTTCACTTGCCAGGATTTTACATCCCTGTTTTTCTATCTGGGACAGTCACTCTAGAAAAATGTCTACATGGCTATCCCAGGAGTGTTTTAGCCTGAGTTTTCATAGATGGAACAACTGAAGAAACAGAAGTTGTTTGGTCTGGAAGAAAGCAAGCTTGGTGAAAGATGGGCAGGGGAGAGACGGAAATGCTGATCTCAGAGAAACTAGAGTTGCTGTGTGACACTGGAAAGCAGGTCAAGGACCAATGGACCCATTCAGATTAATAAGGAAGATTTCTCTAACAGCTACTCAAAGAAAAAATTCTGTGTGTGTTGAGGGAAGGGTGGGTAGCAAGGCTCCTTGGAGGTGGTCAGTACCCAATTACAAAAAGCATTCAAGTAAGCACAGACTAGCAAACACTTAGCTGGGATCTATCAAAAGGGTTCCTTTTGTAAGCTGTGGCCTAGAAGACTTTTATTTTAGAGTCTTATTTTAGAGACAGGGTCTTGCTATATTGTCCAGGCTGGTCTTGGAACTCCTGGGCTCAAGCAATCCTCCTGCCTCAGCCTCCCTAGTAGCTGGGACTACAGGCATGTACCACCATGCCCAGCTTACATGACTTCTGAGATCATTTCTAGCCCTGAGTCTAAATGGTCTCCTCGATTCTCAACAGCCCTCCTTGGTCACCTATACCTCCACCGGGGGAAGAGGGCAGAGTGGAAGATCGTAGAACAGACCAGAAGTCTGGCACAGTGCTGTGCTCACAGCGGGCACCAAACAAGCATTTGGCAGTGGTGGTAATGCTGCCTGCAGCCTGGCCCTGCACAGAAAGGTGTTCTGGACTTGCCTCTGCAGATGAATACCCGGAGGAGTATCTGGATCCCAGCTCCCCATCACTAGGAGAAGAGGAAAACAGTCAGTTCCGGGAGGTACCTGTGGTGCACAGCTGTAAATCATCAGGCGGAGAGCATGCAAGGGCATCTGGAAGACTTTTGAAGCAAAGGCCACACACAACAGAACTCAAGTCCGAACAGGCCTTGAATAATACTGGTTCCCTCAATTGGTTCTGGCAGGGACAGGGTCACTCTCACTAACAATGCAAACATAACAGGGCAGGATGATCCCCCGGACATTGGTGCTCCGAATTCTAGAGCAGCACGATTACCTATGAGTCTTCTAACCAAGCCATCCTGGGAAGGGATATTGTTCAGAAGAGAACGGCCCTGGAATGTACATGAAGGGCCTTGGAGGAGACAGGGAACAAGCAAAGGCATCAGGCGATCTTCAGTCCCAGCCAAGTTGCTTCCCAAGGGGGTATTTCCAAGGGGAGCACTCACCTGTCAGAGTCGAGGGACACCAGGTTTTCATCTGGACTCTGGCTAAGAGCAGTATAGCCCTTGTTAAACTTCACTGACCTGAGGGGAGACGGGGGAGAAGAGACCAAACATAGATGAAAGCATAGGCATTTCACAGGGATAGGCAGAGTCCTCGCCCTGAAGGAGAAAGAATTGACTGCACTACTGACTTGCCTTCTCCCTGGTCACAGCCACCACTGCCTGCAGCTCCATGTACCTGGCTACAGTGCCTCAGAATGTGTATGTTCTCATTCTTTTTTTCTTTTTTTGGAGACAGAGTCTGGCCCTGTCACCCAGGCTGCAGTGCAGTGGCGCGATCTCGGCTCACTGCAATCTCCGCCTACCATGCTCAAGTGATTTTCCTGCCTCAGCCTCTTGAGTAGCTGGGACTACAGGCGTGCCCAGCTAATTTTGTATTTTTAATAGAGACGGGCTTTCACCATGTTGGCCAGGCTGGTCTCGAACTCCTGACTTCAAGTGATCCACCCGCCTCGGCTTCCCAAAGTGCTGGAATTACAGTCGTGAGCCACCACGCCCGGCCTGTATTCTACTCCTCCCATAGGTCTTGGAAAAAAGCACACCTCCCCTTGCCTGATCTAGGAAAAGCACCCTCTCCCCACTTATTTAATCAGAGGACACAAAAACTGCAAGTCTTTGGGTAAAAGGTTAGGGTTAACCTTCACTTCTCCGAGTTTCAACCCTCATCTGTAAAAGGAGGCACTGAATAAGGTTCTATGCAGCTCCGAGTTTACTATTCTGTTAAAAACAAACAAACAAAAACAGGTCTAGCCATTCCCACACTGCTCTTCGTCCTCATTGCTGGGGACTCCAGCCACCATTCTCCTCCCTAACAGAGGAGGAGAATGATAGTGAATGAGCCTGTGCACTCACAGAACTCCCTTATTCCGAAGCCCTTTATCTGATCCTATCACATCCTTAAAGGAAAAGAGAGATTGTTCCTCTTCCCATTTTAAAGATAGTGAACCTGACAGGTTGCATCAGGGGAATCGCTAGCTCGGCCTTAAACCAGAGCACCCTGCCTCCGTCCTGGGGATTAAAGCCTTCTCTAAAGCTGCTGGCACAGAGGAGGTGGCGCCTGCTGAGACCTTTTCCCTGAAGAGTCTGGGCGGTTCGGCGAGGCCCCCAGCATGCCTTTTCTCCGCAGAACGGCCTTGGCCAGGTCCCGGTGCTTCTCTGGAAGTTAAAGGACCCGGGTCAGCCGGGTCTTCCCCACTCCGCCGCGTCTCCCGAAGGCTGGGAGGCCGCTCTTTCCGAACGGATTTTGAGGGGCGAGAGCAGGCTGCAGCTAACCCCTTCCCTCCGGGGCCGAGGCCCAGCGGAGCTCCGGAACCCGCCCTGGGGACGCGGCCGCCCGCCCAGGGAGAAACCTCCCCCGACCATCGGGCCACACTCACGCAGCTTGGCTTGAATGGAGGGTGCGCGCGTCACCATGTATGGCCCCCGCTTTTCCACGGCCGCGGGGGTGCGCTCCCCCAGACGGAGGGCTCTATTACCGATCTGCCCGGAGGGTGGCCCCGCAGCTCCCGGCGCGCGGTCCCGAGCCCCGCTGGGCCGGGGTCCCGGGGTAGACAACCGCAACGCGCGCCCGCTGGGCTCCGCGGTCGCCATGGCCGGGCCCCGCCCTGCCGGATGGTGCAACCCCGCCCGTGGCGAAAGAGTGACCGGCCGAGGGAGAGGCGGGCTCTTTTAACAAGATGGCGGTGCGCAGGCGCAGGTAGTCCCCTTTCGGAGCTCTCCGGTTCGGTAGTCTGAGGACTTGGCCGAAATGTTCCGCCCTTCTTTTCGGGGGGACCGGGCAGTTCCGTTCTCGGTTTTGGGGTAGGCGGCTTGAGCCTGGTGATGGTTAGGCTTAGTTCTGTCTCTAGTGGAAATTAAATACTGATACTGTCGTGGGGCTGCGCGTGTGCGTCGGTCGGGTGCCCACGGTTTGAGTCCTGGCGCGCCGCACTCTGTGCTTCTCGCAGTGTCTCCTTGGGGGTCTCCCCACATGTGGGGCTGCCAGAGAGCAGACTTGGGTTGAAGAGTCATATGAGGACAAGCGTTATCAGCGACCTTTTCTAGCAAAAGAAACAGGCCCCAGAAGTTAAAGAACCTTGTGAAGGTGACACATCTAGAGGCAGTGCTTGCGCTGATCCATCTGACGCCAAACCCCACCTTCTTTCCAACACCAATTGGTGCCTGTGACATTGGACAGGACCTGACCCTCTCTAGGCCTCAGTTTCCACATTTAAAAATAGAGCCAATGTCACTACTCATTGTACAGTGAGGCAAATAGGCGTTGAAAAGGAGGGTGAAAGTGCACTCTGAGTCTGTGTGTGGTAGGCTATGTGTCAGGGCTCTTGACTTCTCTAGCCCCCAAGGGATGTGCTTGTGACTGGCTGGAAAGAAACTCCAGATCCTTGTAGAACTCCCAAATCTCATGAGGCTGTCCCTTGACTAACTTACTGGCTTCAATAGGGTAGGTCAACAGTGTGCAACCTCCGAGCTCCCAGGGCCACGCAGACCGTTGGGTGGCACTATGCCTTGGGCAAGAGAGGTGAAAAGGAAGAATTTAGGGCTGAAGTTTTCAAAAATCAAAAGCACAAAGGAATCCTTACCATTTTGGTAGATTCCCCCCACTCCCCATGATGTTAGACTGTTTTTGCCTCCAGAAACAGCAGGTTCATATAGCTCAACTTAGTATTTAATGGTTATAACCTCCCAATGAAGCCAATAGTTATTCTTGTTAAACAAATGAAGCTTAGACTTGGTCAAGTTTACCAGTTAAGTGATAAACCTGGAATTTGTACCCAGTTGCCTGTGGACTCCAAAGAAGTAGTTTTCTGGCCGGGCACAGTGGCTCACATCTGTAATCCCAGCACTTTGGGAGGCTGAGGCAGGCGGATCACCCGAGGTAGGGAGTTCAAGACCAGCTTGGCCAACATGGTGAAACCCCATCTCTACTGAAAATACAAAATTAGCCGGGCGTGGTGGCGGGTGCCTATAATCCTAGCTATTCAGGGGCTGAGGCAGGAGAATCGCTTGAACCCAGGAGGCGGAGGTTGCAGTGAGCCGAGATCAGGCCACTGCACTCCAGCCTAGGCAACAGAGCAAGACGCTGTCTCAAAAACAACCAACCAACCACCCCCCAGCCAAAAAAAAAAAAAAAAAAAACCAACAAAAAAACAACGAAGTGGTTTTCTCCTGGTTATGCTGATGTGGACATCACCAAGGGCCAAAGAAAATGTGATTTAAACCAGCAGTCTCCAGCCTTTTTGGCACTAGGGGTTGGTTTTGTGGAAGACAGTTTTTCCACGGGGTGGAAATGCGGGGGCTGGTTTTGGGATGATTCAAGCACATTTATTGTGCACTTTATTATTACATTACAATATATAATGAAATAATTATACAACTCAACTTAGAATCAGTAGGAGCCCCAAGCTTGTTTTCCTGCAACTAGACGGTCCCATCTGGGTGTGATGGGAGACAATGACAGATCATCAGGCATTAGATTCTCATAAGGAGCCCACAACCTAGATCCCTTGCATGTGTGGTTCACAATAGGGTTCATGCTGCTATATGACTCTAATGCCACGGCTTATCTGACAGGAGGCGGACGGAGCTCAGGTGGTAATGTGAGCAATGGGGAGCCACTGTAAATACAGATGAAGCTTTGCTCACTCATGGACCAGTATCCATCCATGGCCTGGGGCTTGGGAACCCCGACCTAAACCCACTTAATGTCACAAGATCACTAGGAACTTGTAGCAAAAGTGTGACAGCCTTCATGCACACTCCTCCCAATCTTCCATCAATAATGCTGTTAACTGCTGACTGATTGAACATAGACCCTGAAGCCAAATTATTTGCTCTGTTACCTACTGGCAAATTATTAAACCTCTTTATGTCTCAGTTTCTTTAGCTAAGTGGAGATAAGAAAACCCATCTAATGGAAGTGGAATTGTGAAGTTCAGTTGTAAAGTGTTTAGAATGACACCTGGCAAATAGTAAGTGTTCAAGAAATATATGCTATTATTTACACAACCCTTATACAGCATTACAAGGATTTAGTGTTTATTCTCTCATTTGACTTTACACTCCCCAAGGGCAGACCTTATTCACTTTTTAGCATAAGGTTATAGTAATAAGTATTTGTTGAATTAATATCCTATTTCCCCTCTTTTAGTTAACTAGTATCATAGAACTTTGGGGCTGGAAGAGATCTTTTTTTTTTTTTTTTTTTTTGAGACAGAGTCTTGCTCTGTCGCCCAGGCTGGAGTGCAGTGGCGCGATCTTGGCTCACTGCATGCCCTACCTCCCAGGTTCACACCGTTCTCCTGCTTCAGCCTCCTGAGTAGCTGGGACTACATGCGCCCGCCACCACACCTGGCTAATTTTTTTTTGTATTTTTAGTAGAGACGGGGTCTCACCATATTAGCCAGGATGGTCTCAATCTCCTGACCTCGTGATCCGCCCTCCTCGGCCTCCCAAAGTGCTGGGATTACAGGTGTGAGCCACCGCACCCGGCCTGGAAGAGCTCTTAGAGATTATATAAAGTCATTATTAATGAAGAAATTGTGGTCTTGTGATAGTTGTACTCAATGATCCTGGCCTGGATGTGGGAAGTTCCCTTTTCCACTTAAGAAATTATGTTCACTAGGGCTCACGCCTGTCATCCCAGCACTTTGAGAGGCCAAGACAAGTGGATCGCTTGAGGCCAGGAGTTCAAGAGCAGCCTGGGCAACATGGCAAAGCCCCGTCTCCACAAAAAAAATAGAAAAAGTAGCTGGGCATGGTGGTGTGTGCCTGTGGTCTCAGCTACTTGGGAGTCTGAGGTGGTAGGATCACCTGAGCCCAGGCAGTTGAGGCTGACTGACAGGAGGTGGAGCTGCAGTGAGCTGCGATCGCACCACTGCACTCCAGCTTAGATGACAATGAGACCCTGTCTCAAAAAATAAATAACTTACAATTCAAAAAAAAAAAATTATGTTCACTAGGAACCTAAGACAAATAAATACCCACCCCACCACCAAAAATACCCCCAACCAACTCTAGGTTGCAAGGGGATGAGTCTCCAGAGCAAGAATTGCCACAGCAGAAAGGGCACAAAGCCCCTCTTCCTTGCTCCTACTACTCAGACCTTAACCCAGTGCTTGTGCTGCCTGCCTTGCTGGGCCTGGGGCTTCTCAATTTAGCATAGCTTTATTCATCTCCTACTGTGTCACAGGTGCTATGCTGGGTCCTGCAAACCTAATGATGACAAATAAGGTATCTCCCAGTTCCCAGTCTTATTTCTTTGTTATTGGGGGGTAGTGAATCCTCGGGGAGAGATTATTGGCTGTTAGGAGCAAGGACTACTACCCTGGCTTTTGGAACCCTCATTGGGCAGTTACTCTTTATCCCTGGCTCTAAATCTAAGTTATTCCCTAAACTTTCTTGGTCCTGGGACAGATACATCTCCATCATCAGTTGAGAATTCTGGTTCTGCTGTTGACTGGAGCTGAATTCCTTCATACAGGCAAGTATCTGGGGTTAAACATTAAAAGGGATGGAGGACAGAGATTTTTTTTTTTTATCCTGCTACTTCCCTTTCAAGCTCTCTTCCATCTCAGAAGCCACTGTCTCACCAGGTTGTGGCCTCTAGCCCAAGGAACTTCTCTCATTATTGGTAGAGTACAGATAACTAGATAGGACCTATGAATCTGCAGGTCTTTCTGGGTTCCCAGGTTACCAGACCCACCATTGTCCTCACAGTTATATGCAAAGGTATGGCCACAGCTGTGGCGGGCTGCTGTGGCTTGTCTCCACCAAACCCCATGTTTAAATTTGATCCCCAGTGTTGGAGGTGGGGCCTAATAGGAGGTATCTGGGTCATGGGGGTGGATCCCTCACGAATACATTAATGCTCTCTCTGAAGGTGGTAAGTTCTTATTCTATAAGTTCCTGAGAGAGCTGGGTTTTTAAAAAAATATCAATTATATATATATAGTGGGCCATAAAAACTATCTCTGCGGCCAGGCGCAGTGGCTCACGCCTGTAATCCCAGCACTTTGGGAGGCCAAGGCAGGCGGATCACAAGGTCAGGAGTTTGAGACCAGCCTGACCAACGTGGTGAAACCCCATCTCTACTAAAAATACAAAATTAGCCGGACGTGGTGGGGTGCGCCTGTAATTCCAGCTACTCAGGAGGCTGAGGCAGGAGAATGGCTTGAACCCAGGAGGCGGAGGTTGCAGGGAGCCGAGATCGTGCCACTGCACTCCAGCCTGGGCAACAGAGTGAGACTCCGTCTCAAAACAAACAAACAAACAAACAAACAAACAAAAACTATCTCTGCTTTCTTGAAGTGTGGATTTAGCCAAGGAGCCAAAAAACAAAAAAACATAGCAGTGGAAATTTACTAGTTATAGGGATAGTCTTAGATATATATTTATGTGTGAATATATATTATCTGTATAGATAACTAGGTATTAATGTCACATAAGATGGTGTGACCACACACACACACAAACACACGTGCAGAGAGAGGGAATTCAGCCACGTGGTGTAGGTTGGTTAATTACTTGAGATAAATGAGAAGCAGGCAGGTCTGTGCTGAGCTGTGTCATCAGTGAAGATCACACTTGGAGGTGACATTGAAGCTGATTCCTCAAAGAACCACGAAGGAGGCACGTGGAGACCCAGACAGGGAACATCAGAGGCTCCAGAAAGAGCAGGTCCCAGAAAAGTCTCAGCCTGTTCTTCAGAAAGGAATGACCACTTTGTCTGTGGGGTATAGTGGGAGGCAGAGGAGGAGATGGAGCTGAGATTCAGGGCCTTGGTGGATTCAGAATAGGTCAGGATAAACTGGCCAGGAAAAGGTGGCCCCACCATCTCAAGAGAGTTAGATATTAAAGAGCCTGGTATCTCCCCTTCCTCTTGCTTCCTCGCTCACCAAGTGATTTCTGCTCAAGCCTGCTCCCCTCTGCCTTCCGCCATGAGTGGAAGCAGCCTGAGGCCCTCACCAGAAGCTAAGTAGATGCCAGTTCCATGCTTCTTGTACAACCAAAACAACCGTGAGCTAATAAACGTTTTTTTTTTTTAGACCAAGTTTCACTATTATTGCCCAGGCTGGAGTGCAGTGGCATGATCTCGGCTCACCCCAACCTCCACTTCCCCAGTTCAGGCGATTCTCCTGGCTCAGCCTCCTGAGTAGCTGGGATTACAGGCATGTGCCACCACGCCTGTAATTTTGTATTTCTAGTAGAAATGGGGTTTCTCCATGTTGGTCAGGCTGGTCTTGAACTCCTGACCTCAGGTGATCCGCCCGCCTCAGCCTCCCAAAGTGTTGGGATTACAGGCGTGAGCCACTGTGCCCGGCCTAATAAACATTTTTTGTTAAGAGATGGGGTCTTGCCTTGTTGCCCAAGCTGGAGTACAGTGCTGTGATCATAGCTCACTGTATCCTTGAACTCCTGGGCCCAAGCAATCAGTCCATCTCACCTTTCTGAGTAGCTGGGACTATAGGTACATACCACTGTACCTGGCTAGTTTTTAAAATTTTTTTGGTAGAGATGGGGGTCTCACTATGTGGCCCAGGCTGGTCTCGAACTCCTGGCCTCAAGTAATCCTCCTGCCTTGGCCTCCCAAGGCACTGGGATTACAGGCATGAGCCCCTTTACTTTAAAAATTACCCAGCCCCAGGCCGGGCGCAGTGGCTCACGCCTGTAATCCCAGCACTTTGGGAGGCCGAGGCGGGTGGATCACAAGGTCAAGAGATCAAGACCAACCTGGCCAACATGGTGAAACCCCGTCTCTATTAAAAGTATAAAAATTAGCTGAGCGTGGGGGCGGGCACCTGTAGTCCCAGCTACTCGGGAGGCTGAGGCAGGAGAATCGCTTGAACTCGGGAGGCAGAGGTTGCAGTGAGCAGAGATCACGCCATCGCACTCCAGCCTGGGCGACAGAGCGAGATGCCGTCTCAAACAAAACAAACAAAAAAAAGTTACCCAGCCTCAGGTATCCCTTTACAGCAACACACTAAACCCGTTTAAGACAAAGGCCAAGCCCAGCACAGAGTCATCTCACTTGGCGTTCAACCAAACTTCTCCAATGCAGCAAAATGGCAAACTAAACAATGTTACTGCAAAATGTGACTATAGACTAATAGGCTCTGCTGCTAAGGACAAGCTCTCTGGCATCCAGTTAAACAAACAGCCAGGAAAAACTGAAGTGATAGTTAGCAAAACTTAGGAGAGAATGACTAGGCTTAAGCCATTTTCCCAAGCACAACCAAAAAAATGATTATAACAAATAGAACATAATCTGCTAACCTTTCATTCTTGTTATATCCTTGTGAGGTGGCTCCCATTTTCAGATAAGGAAACAAAAGGACAGAAGTGTAGGCAACATATACACAGTCATATGACTGTTATACAGTAGACTGGGATTTATACCCAAGTCTGAATCCAAACCCCATTTTCTCATCTTACTGCTACATTATGCTGCCTTCCATCAGCTGGTAGGTGTATGTAATAAAAAGACATGAGGACAAACTGACATCATGTCCCTCCTGAGGGGATACAATTGGAATTTCACATAGTATTTTTGCCAAAAATGTTTAGCTGGATTTGAATAATTAGGAAACAGACACAGGCAGATTACAGGACATTCTACAACTGGCCTGGACTCTTCAGAAATATGAACTGTATGTATTTGATGCTAAACTTATTATTTTTTTTTTTTTATTTTGAGACGGAGTTTCACTCTTGTTGCCCAGGCTGGAGTGCAATGGCCAATCTTGGCTCACTGCAACCTCCATCTTCCAGGTTCAAGCGATTCTCCTGCCTCAGCCTCCTGAATAGCTGGGATTACAGGCATGAGCCACTACGCCCAGCTAATTTCTGTAGTTTTAATAGAGACAGGGTGTCTCAGTGTTGGTCAGCCTGGTCTCGAACTTCTGACCTCAGGTGATCCACCCGCCTCGGCCTCCCAAAGTGCCAGGGTTATAGGCGTGACCCACTGCGCCTAGCCTGATGCTAAACTTCTTGAAATAGAACAGAATTGTGTTTATGTAGGAGGCAAAAGTCCTTTTTCTCAGATTTTTGCTGAAGTATTCAGGGGTGAAGTGACGTGTGTAGATATATAACATATAAACAAATGTGACAAACTATTAATTGCTTTGAAATTTATTTTCTTTTTTTTTTTTTTTTTTGAGACGGAGTCTGGCTCTGTCGCCCAGGCTGGAGTGCAGTGGTGCCATCTTGGCTCACTGCAAGCTCCGCCTCCCGGGTTCATGCCATTCTCCTGCCTCAGCCTCCCGAGTAGCTGGGACTACCGGTGCCCGCCACCTCGCCTGGCTAATTTTTTGTATTTTTAGTAGAGATGGGGTTTCACCGTGTTAGCCAGGATGGTCTTGATCTCCTGACTTCGTGATCCACCCACCTCGGCTTCCCAAAGTGCTGGGATTACAGGCGTGAGCCACCGCACCCGGCCTGCTTTGAAACTTAATTAAAACAAACTGTAGGAAAGAAAAAGGCTAGAGACCCCATCCTGTTAGGGTAGAAGCCCTGTCCATCCAAGTCAAGCTGTGGAAGGATCCTCATATTTACCATCTACTTCTTTTGTTTGTTTGAGACAGAGTCTTGATCTGTCGCCAGGCTGGAATGCAGTGGCACGATCTCGGCTCTCTGCAACCTACGCCTCCCAGGTTCAAACAGTTCTCCTGCCTCAGCCTCCTGAGTGGCTGGGACTACAGACGTGCACCACCATGCCCAGCTAATTTTTGTAGAGACGGGGTTTCACCATGTTGGGAAGGCTGGTCTTGAACTCCTAACCTCATGATCCGTCCGCTTCAGCCTCCCAAAGTGCTGGGATTAGAGGCGTGAGCCACTGCACCCAACCCATCTACTTCTTTAGGTAGAGCTAGGATCCATCAAGCTAAAAGATGTACCTACTTTTTTTTTTTTTTGAGATGGAGTTTCATTCTTGTTACCCAGGCTGGAGTGCAATGGCATGATCTCGGCTCACCGCAACCTCCGCCTCCCAGGTTCAAGCGATTCTTCTGCCTTAGCCTCCTGCTGGGATTACAGGCGCTCGCCACCATGCCCAGTAAATTTTTTGTATTTTTAGTAGAGATAGCGTTTCACTGTGTTGGCCAGCTGGTCTCAAACTTCTGACCTCAGGTGATCCACTCACCTCAGCCTCCCCAAGTGCTGGGATTACAGGCGTGAGCCACCGCGCCTGGCCAAGATGTACCTACTTTTTCCAGCACAACAAAGAAGTTGATTCAATTTGCCTAATGGGTGTGTGTGTGAAGAAAGTTTGATGAGACAAATTCACCAGTAGATTGAATTTATCTAGTCACTTTTGCCTTCTAGTAACATGCCTTGTGATTTTTGTAAGTTTGCTTCTTGTGAAAATTATTTCTATTATTTTAGAGTAAAGGTGGGCAAACTTTCTGTAAACAGGCAAATAGTACTCTCTGGTCCAACTACTCACTATGTCATTTTAATGCAAAAGCAGCTATAGATAATGCACAGTGTGAATGTACCTAATGCCACTGTACTGTAAACTCAAAAATGGTCAAGATGAGGCCAGGTGCAGTGGCTCATGCCTGTAATCCCAGCACTTCGGGAGGCCCAGGTGGGCGGATCACGAGGTCAGGAGATTGAGACCATCCTGGCTAACACGGTGAAACCCCGTCTCTACTAATATAAAAAATTAGCCGGGCGTGGTGGCTGATGCCTGTGGTCCCAGCTACTCGGGAGGCTGAGGCAGGAGAATGGCGTGAACCTGGGAGGCAGAGGTTGCAGTAAACCGAGATGGCGCCACTGCACTCCAGCCTGGGCGACAGAGCGAGACTCCATCTCAAAAAAAAAAAAAAAAAAAAAAAAGGTCAAGATGGTAAATTTTATGTATGATCTTACCATAATTTACTAAAAGGCAAAAAAATAAGCCACAGATAATATGTAAATGAATGAGGGCGTGTGACTGTGTTCCAATAAAACCTTATTTATGGACACCATATTTGAATTTATTATTTTTTGAGACAGAGTCTTGCTCTGTCGCCCAGGCTGGAGTGCAGTGGCATGATCTCGGCTCACTGCAACCTCCGCCTCCCAGGTTCATGCCATTCTCCTGCCTCAGCCTCCGGAGTAGTGGGGACCACAGGTGCCCGCCACCACGCCCGGCTAATTTTTTGTATTTTTAGTAGAGACGGGGTTTCACCATGTTAGCCAGGATGGTCTTGATCTCCTACCTTGTGATCCACCCACCTTGGCCTCCCAAAGTGCTGGGATTACAGGTGTGAGCCACCATGCCCGGCCCATATTCTGAATTTCATACAGTTTTTATATATTATGAAAAATTTTTTTTTTTTTGAGTCAGAGTCTCGCTCTGTCGCCCAGCCTGGAGTACAGCAGCATGATCTCGGCTCACTGCAACCTCCACATCTTGGGTTCAAACGATTCTTCTGCCTCAGCTTCCCGTGTAGCTGGGACTATAGGTGCGTGCCACCATGCCCAGCTAATTTTTATATTTTTAGTAGAGACATGGTTTCACCATATTGGCCAGGCTGGTCTCGAACTCCTGACCTTGTAATCCACCCGCCTCAGCCTCCCAAAGTGCTGGGATTACAGGTGTGAGCCACCGCGCCTGGCCGAAATATTTTTCATTGATTTTTCAACCATTTAAAAACATACCAGGCCGGGCACGGTGGCTCACGCCTATAATCCCAGCACTTTGGGAGGCCGAGGCAGGTGGATCGTTTGAGTCCAGGAGTTTGAGACCATCCTGGCTAACACGGTGAAACCCCGTCTCTACTAAAAATACAAAAAATAAGCCAGGCGTGGTGGCGGGCACCTGTAGTCCCAGCTACTCGGGAGGCTGAGGCAGGAGAATGGCATGAACCTGGGAGGCAGAGCTTGCAGTGAGCCGAGATCATGCCACTGTACTCTAGCCTGGGCGACAGAGCAAAACTCTGTCTCAAAAGAAAAACAAAACACAAAAAACCCATACCAGCCTGGGCAACGTGGTCTACAAAAAAATACAAAAATTAGCTGGGTGTGGTAGCATGCATCTGTAGTACCAGCTCCTCAGAGGCTGAGATAGGAGGATTGCTTGAGCCCAGGAGGCAGAGGTTGCAGTGAGCTGATACCACACCACTGTACTCCAGCCTGGGTGACAGAGCAAGACCCTGTCTCGAAAAAAAAAAAAAAAAGTAAAAATTCCTAGAGCACCCCAGGTGCAGTAGCTCATGCTTGTAATCCCAGCACTTTGGAGGGTGAGGTGGGCGGATCACTTCAGGCTAGGAGTTCAAGACCAGTCCAGCCAACATGGTGAAACCCCATCTCTGCTAAAGCTACAATAAATTAGCCAGGCGTGGTGGCACATGCCTGTGATCCCAGCTACTCAGGAGGCTAAGGAAGGAGAATCGCTTGAACCTGGGAGGCAGAGGTTGCAGTGAGCCGAGATTGTGCCACTGGACTCCAGCCTGGGCAACAGAGCAAGACTCCGTCTTAGAAAAACAAACAAACAAACAAAAAACTTACCAGAGTACCCGTTTCCTTCTAAGGGTATACATGAGTGAATCAGATAAAATAAAATGTTGAAATCTCAACCTTACCTAAGATACAAAGGAGGCCAGCTGTGGTGGCTCACGCCTGTAATCCTAGCACTCTGGGAAGCCAAGACAGGCAGAGAGCTTGAACTCAGGAATTTGACACCAGCCTGGGCAACATGAGACCAAAACCACAAAAATTAGCCATGTGTGGAGGTGCACGCCTGTGGTCCCAGCTACTCTGGAGGCTGAGACGGAAGGATTGTTGGAGCCCGGGAAGTCGAGGCTACAGTGAGCCATGATCACATCACTGCACTCCAGCCTGTGTCAGAGCAAGACAGTCTCAAAACAAAACAAAAACACATTAAAAAAAAAAAAAAAAGCAAAGGCAACAAGAATCACTTTCCATCTACTAGTTCTATCCAGCTACAAATAAATCTTCTGCTTGTAAAAGAAAAGCCAATGCCTCAACCCTCACCATCTTTCAAATCACTCTCATTGCCTAAGATCACTCCTTCGCCTCCTGCAGTTTGGCCTCAACCGCCCACAAAAACATGGCCAAGAAATTAAAATTTCTTGAGCATCTGGCTGGGCGCGGTGGCTCACGCCTGTAATCCCAACACTTTGGGAGGCTGAGGCAGGCAGATCACCTGAGAGGTCAGGAGTTCGAGACCAGCCTGGCCAACATGGTGAAACCCCATCTCTACTAAAATTACAAAAATTAGCAGGGCATGGTGGTGCATGCCTGTAATCCCAGCTACTTGGGAGACTGAGGCACAAGAATTGCTTGAACCCGGGAGGGGGAGGTTGTAGTGAGCCGAAATTGGGCCATTGCACTCCAACCTGGGCAACAGAGTGAGACTCTGTCTTAAAAAAAAAAAAAATTTTGCTGAGCATCTGTATATGCTTACTTGCTTCACTTAGTGTCATTTAATCCTGACAAAAATGGCTCTTAAAAGTCCTCCATTCAGCATTTCACAGGTATACACATGTAAAAGCTCAAGCTACATACTTTAAGATTTGCACACTTGGCTGCATGTAAGTTATACCTTACTAAAGTTGCTCTCTTCTTTCCCTCTAAATGTACCTGCTTCCAGTTTCGGCCTTCAACGTAGTTCACATCTGCCTCCAAACAGCCTCCTTGGAAGTCTTACTTTTTGCTGTTTCAAACCTTAAATTCTTTTCTCTAGTCTCAGTCTCTTTTCAGAGCTCTTGTCGTAACTAGCCCACGGATGCCTGAAATTTAACAGATCCAGAATCAAATGTAGCAATTTCTCCACTCTGCACCAAGGTCCTCCTTTTGCTGACTCCTGTATGAATGGCATCACCACTCAAATCTCAAAAATGGCCTTCCCAGAGTTCTCATTTCCCCTCATCGAATTACTTATTAACTACACCTCAATAATGTGATTCTCAAAATTCATCCCTTTCCATTCCTATGGCTACTACCCTAATTCAAAATCCCCATTAAGTTATAACCACACTGTGCCTAACTTTTATCCCTACCTCCAGTGTCTCCAGGTTCCAATATTCACTGTCTCTCCTGTTCACTGCTTTACCTTCAGTGCCTGGCATGTTTGTTAGACAGTAGGTGTTCGACAAATTTTTGTAGCATGAAGACCATCACAGCATTTATCTCACCCTCATAGATAACTGTGACCCTATGTTCCTTCCTCTGCTCCTCCCATGACATGAGGAACGAGACCATTTTTATGGCAGTGAGGAGGAAAGCGCTGGCCCACAGTGGGATCAAACCTAAGAACCATGGCCTACCAACTATACATTAAAAATATGTGCCATTTTAGTTTCACATTTCTACTTCCTAAAAACTGGGCAGGGGGTTTTCTGGTAGCGGATCAGCCTTTATAAAAGGTCTCACTAGTATTAGAACTTCACCAAAACTGATTTTAATAACAATCCCTTACATGGCTCTAGGAGAGAAGACATCTAAATTTCAAGCTAATATTAATTCAATTTCCCTAATACTGCAGTCTGGACTGGCTATACTAGAAGTCACCCAGATCTAGAACCTCTTTATCCAGCAGCTGGTTCTAGTATTATGGCGCTTCTAAGACAAGCAGGATTTGTTTTACTCAGCTGTTTAATCAGAATGCCTCCAAATTTACAAAGCAAATGTTTTAATGTCCAAGGCTAATACACCACTGCAAGGGAAGAACAGGTAGGAAAGGAAAGGGGCACTAAGAGAGGAACACACCGTAAGAGGGCTTGGCTACTGCATAGCACATCCTCAAGACTATCTCAGTGACCACTTTTAAACATCATTAAAACCTGTTTTGGAAAGGTACACAATTTGATCTATCCCCACAGACAACCAGTCCCCTAAGCCTAGGGTGTCAACAAGAAAATTCTATATAAATGACTTCTAGCCTTCAGCTAATTTACAAGCTAGGGCACCCAAACATATTAATGAAGCTGATTTTCATGTCAGATGGTTTCCAGAGAATTAACACAGTTCTCTCAGCATGTAAGAGGGCAGCAAAACCATGAAACCAATACAGCACTTAATTTTCTGCTTATTAATGCAAACACATGAAACAAATACCTAATTTCAGTTCAAACTCATTTCCCTTTTATTAAAGTCCAAGTTACCATTACATGGCTTGGTACTCAATAAAGGAAAACTTGTTCAAATAAGGTAATATGTTATCATCAGTATTTCCAGGTAACTGTTCACACTCAAGTAGCAATGTCAATAAATCCTTGGGGAAGCCCATCTGTAAGAGAAAACACAAAGAATTAGCCAGGAAAGAATAAAGAAAAAGTAGAAATCTTTTAAAAATAACCCTTAGTGCTACAACCAGGGAAATCACTGTCTCTCTGTACCCTTTACTGCTCTTACTTAATCCTGCCTACTGTCAACCCACAAGCGACTAGCTTTGTGGCTTTTTTGTTGTTTATACACTGGTACTTCCTTCCCAATCAGAAAAGTGTCCAGTAGCTGCCATTTAACAAAAGAAATTTTTTTTGGGCCGGACACGGTGACTCATGCCTGTAACGCTAGCCCTTTGGAAAGCCGAGGCGAATGGATTGCCTGAGCATAGAAGTTCAAGACCACCCTGGGCAACACGGTGAAACCCCGTCTCCACTAAAATACAAAAAATTAGCCTGGTGTGGTGGCCCATGCCTGCAGTCCCAGCTACTCGGGAGGCTAAGGCACGAGAATCTCTTCAACCGGGAGGCGGAGGTTGGAGTGGGCCGAGATCGCTTCATTGCACTTCAGCATGGATGACAGAGCAAGACTCTGTCTCCCAACAAAAAAAAGAAAAAAAGAAAAAAAGTTAGTATAGCTAGAATATATCCTACATAAAAAAGATCTTCTGGACCCCTTGGAATAATACTTGATAAAATGAAAACTAAAACCATCTTTTAGGAGTTCATTATAGAATATGAACCACAGGGCTGGGCGCGGTGGCTCACGCCTGTAATCCCAGCACTTTGGGAGGCCGAGGCAGGCAGATCGCGAAGTCAGGAGATTTGAGACCATCCTGGCTAACACGGTGAAACCCCGTCTCTACTAAAAATACAAAAAATTAGCCGGGCATGGTGGCGGGTGCCTGTAGTCCCAGCTACTCGGGAGGCTGAGGCAGAAGAATGGCGTGAACCTGGAAAACGGAGCTTGCAGTGAGCCGAGATCATGCCACTGCACTCCAGCCTGGGTGACAGAGCCAGACTCCGTCTCAAAAAAAAAAAAAAAAAAAGAAAAAGAATATCAATCACAGGGCCAGACGCGGTGGCTCACACCTGTAAGCCCAGCACTTTGGGAGGCTGAGGCGGGTGGATCACCTGAGGTCAGGAGTTCAAGACCAGCCTGGCCAACATGGCGAAACCCGGTCTCTACTAAAAATACAAAAATGAACCGGGCATGGTGGTGGGCACTTGTAATCCCAGCTACTAGGGAGGCTGAGGCATGAGAATTGTTTGAACCCAACAGGCAGAGGTTACAGTGAGCAGAGGTCGTGCCACTGTACTCCAGCCTGGGCGACAGAGTGAGACTCCGTCTCAAAACAACAACAAAAAACAAACAAGAGCTTCAAAAGTATAACTAGGAAAATTTCCATTCTGAACAACTAGTTTTCTTTAAGTACTCACAGAAGTCAAAACCATTGCATATATTATAAAGATGAGCTACTTCAGGGAGGTTGTGCTGGTGAGGGGGTGGACAAAGATAAAATGAAAAGACCATTGCTTTTGGCTCACACCTGAAACCCAAATAATTTGGAAGGCCAAGGTGGAAGGATCACTTGAGCCCAGGAGTTCAAGAACAGCCTGGGCAACATAGTGAGACTCTGTCTCTATAACAAAATTAAAAATAAATAAATTAAACAAAAACAAACAAAAAGACCACTCCGTTAAAGCAAGCTTTAAAACGAGATCCCACCTGGGCGTGGTGGCTCATGCCTGTAATCCCAGCACTTTGGGAGGCTGAGGCGGGTGGATCACCTGAAATCAGGAGTTCAAGACCAGCCTGGCCAACATGGTGAAACCGTCTCTACTAAAAATACAAAAATTAGCCGGGCATGGTGGTGCATGCCTGTAATCTCAGCTACTTAGGAGGCTGAGGTACAAGAATCGGCTTGAACCCGGGAGGCGGAAGTTCAGTGAGCCGAGATCATGCCATTGCACTCCAGCCTAGGTGACAGAGTGAGACTCCGTCTCAAAAAAAAAAAAAAAAATCTTAAAAGTAGATTACAAAGTTTTCAGCATTTTCTGTTCAGTTTCTCAACAGGAAGACTGAATATAAAAATTCCTTGAATTCTGAATATTTTTCTTTCTATGTATGTATGTATTTAATTAACTAAAGGAGACAGGGTCTCACTATGTTGCTCAAGCCAGTCTCAAACTCCTGATACTCCTGAACTCAAGCAATCCTTCCACCTTAGCCTCCCAAAGTGCTGAGCTTACAGGCATGAGCCATTGCTGCCAGCCAAGTTGAGTCTTTTTTTTTTTTTTTTTTTGAGACAGAGTCTCACTCTGTCACCCAGGCTGGAGTACAGTGACACAGTCTCGGCTCACTGCAACCTCTGCCTCCTGGGTTCAAGTGATTCTCCCGCCTCAGCCTCCCGAGTAGCTGGGACTACAGGCACATGCCACCACACCCAGCTAATTTTTGTATTTTTAGTAGAGACAAGGTTTCACCATGCTGGTCTCGAACTCCTGACCTTGTGATCCACCCGCCTCGGCCTCCCAAAGTCCTGGGATTACAGGCGTGAGCCACTGTGCCCAGCCCAAATAGAAATACTTTAAACACACCAAAGCAAATGTGGCAACAATAAAAGTATCTGAAAATCTGGATATGTGTACACAGACTCACTATATTATCATCTATGCTACTGTTTATGCCTAGAATATTGTATGAAGATTTTTCTTTAATTAAGGTGGCTTTTATTTGTCTTTCTACCAGTAAGAAAATAATGATGCCGGGCGCGGTGGCTCAAGCCTGTAATCCCAGCACTTTGGGAGGCCAAGGCAGGTGGATCATGAGGTCAGGGGTTTGAGACCAGCCTGGCCGACAGGATGAAATCCCGTCTTTACTAAAAATACAAAAATTAGCCAGTTGTGGTGGCATGTGGCCTGTAGTCCCAGCTACTTGGGAGGCTGAGGCTTGAATCCAGGATGCGGAGGCTGCAGCGAGCCTAGATTGCACCACTGCACTCCAGCCTGGGCAACAGAATAAGACTCCATCTCAAAAAAAAAAAGACGAAAGAAAGAAAAGAAGGAAAGAAAGAAAATAATGACAACAACTAGAAATCATTTCAGTTCTTTAAATTTACCATTACTGGTATTCTCAAAATCTCTTCATGCTCACGGCCATTACCTCTAACAAGAACACTGAAAGGTCTTACTATAGCACACTGAAATGTCATCCACCCACACCTCTCTGGATTGTTTTCCTGCCTTCTTCAGTGGTTTGTCGCTTACCCATGCGGTTTACACTTTGTCAAGGCCCAGTTCCTCCGGAGTGGAGATTCCCAGTTCATTTAAAGTTGGTCTAAGTTCCTGGATGACATAGGGGTAGATTTCCTTATGAGGTCCTGCTTTGTCCTGATGGCAAAGAGAATATTCACATTTAACTCTCTCAAAAGCCATGTCTATTAATTCATGAAATGAACTTAAAAATGCCTTTAATTACTTATGCAGAGGCAGGTAGGACAGAATAATACAGGTGATCAGCTGGGCATGGTGGCTCACACCTGTAATCCCAGCACTTTGGGAGGCTGAGGCGGGCGGATCACTTGAGGTCAGGAGTTCGAGACCAGCCTGGACAACATGGTGAAATCCCGTCTCTACTAAAAATACAAAAATCAGCCAGGTGTAGTGGCACATGCCTGTAATCTCAGCTACTCGGGAGGCTGAGGCAGGAGAATCGGCTTGAACCCGGGAAGCGGAGGTTGCAGTGAGCCAAGATCACGCCACTGCACTCCAGCCTGGGTGACAGAACAAGATTCTATCTCAAAAAACGAAACAAAACAAAACAAAACAGGTCATCTACTTTTAAGTTAACACATTTGTTCGGTAAGTAGGGCAACTTGCTGGGTGCCGTGGCTCATGCCTGTAATTCCAGCACTTTGGGAGGCCAAGGCGGGTGGATCACAAGGTCAGGAGTTCGAGACCATCCTGACCAACATGGTGAAACCCCGTCTCTACTAAAAATACAAAAATTTGCTGGGTGTGGTGGCACGCCCCTGTAATCCCAGCTACTCGGGAATGCTTGAACTAGGGAGGCGGAGGTTGCAGTGAGCTGAGATCATGACACTACACTCCAGCCTAGGGGACAGAGCGAGACTCTGTCTCAAAAAAATAATAATAATTAAATAAAAATAAAGAGGGCAACTTATATATGTACTGTTCAAGGTAGGCTTTTGAAATACCTTGAGAATAACTGCAATTGGACTAAATCCAGAACATCTTAAAGTCTAGAATTACTGGAAAAGAAGGTAGTGATGACAGAATTTTGTGAAGGCAATTAGACATGCCCAGCAGGCAACACGAATAATTAAGTTAACGGGAAAAGTTTTTTCATTTGCCTCCAATTTGAGACCTTAACTGAATTAACTACCAGTGCTGAATGGATTGATAGCCTACAGAACCCTTAATTATCTTACCCATTATAGATAAAGTAATGTCACACTTTTGCTGTTAACGGACCTTAAGTTTCTTTCTTACAGACCACAGTATCTTTTCATGGAGAGCTGTACTTTGAGAATACATATGTCCAGGGCTGGAGACTTTTCACTGTAATATATAGTTACACCTGTGCTGTCACAAGGTTCCTTAGGAACGAATAAGAAGTCAAAAGAACTAAGAAAGTGCCGGCCGGGCGTGGTGGCTCACGCCTGTAATCCCAGCACTTTGGGAGGCTGAGGCGGGCGGATCAACTGAGGTCAGGAGTTTGAGATCAGCCTGACCAACATGGAGAAACCCCGTCTCTTAAAATACAAAATTAGCCTGTAATCCCAGCTACTCGGGAGGCTGAGGCAGAAGAATTGCTTGAACCCAGGAGACCTCGGAGGTTGCAGTGAGCTGAGATCACGCAATGATTGCACTCCAGCTTGGGCGACAGAGTGAGACTCTGTCTCGAAAAAATAAATAAACTCAGAAATTATGACCAAATAAGAAGGAGGAAAATTAGTATATATCCTCCTATGTTTTCATATAATGTATATATATATTTTTTGAGATGGAGTTTCTCTCTCTTGTTGCCCAGGCTGGAGTGCAATGGTGCCATCTTGGCTCACTGTAACCTCTGCCTCCCGGGTTCAAGCAATTCCCCTGCCTCAGCCTCCCGACTAGCTGGGATTACAGGCATGCACCCCCACGCCCGGCTAATTTTTTATTTTCAGTAGAGATGGGGTTTCTCCATCTTGGTCAGGCTGGTCTCGAACTCTTGACCTCAGGTGATCCACCTGCCTCAGTCTCCCAAAGTGCTGGGATTACAGGCGTGAGCCACCGTGCCCAGCCGACACAAATATGTTTAAAGTCAAACACATTTCTACAGTATCAACAGTTGTGTAGTATAACCAGTTCTGGGAAGCTCCCTCTTAAGAATTCCTAACATTTCGTATGACAAATAGCAAGAAGATGAATACACTTTGTAGTTAAATCTTTATATATCCTTTATTATTTCCTTGATAAATTCCTTTCTTTTTTTTTTTAGAGACGGAGTTTCTCTCTTGTTGCCCAGGCTGGAGTGCAATGGTGCGATCTCAGCTCACTGCTACCTCCGCCTCCCGGGTTCAAGCAATTCTCCTGCCTGGGCCTCCCAAGTAGCTGGGATTACAGGCATGTGCCACCATGCCCAGCTAATTTTTTTTTTTTTTTTTTTTTTTTTGAGACAGAGTCTTGCTCTGTCACCCAGGCTGGAGTGCAGTGGCGCTGTCTTGGCTCACTGCAAGCTTTGCCTCCCGGGTTCACGCCATTCTCCCGCCTCAGCCTCCTGAGTAGCTGGGACTACAGGCGCCTGCCACCACACCCGGCTAATTTTTTTGTATTTTTAGTAGAGACAGGGTTTCACCGTGTTAGCCAGGATGGTTTCGATCTCCTGACCTCGTGATCCGCCCGCCTCGGCCTCCCAAAGAGCTGGGATTACAGGCGTGAGCCACCGCGCCTGGCCTAATTTTTATATTTTTAGTAGAGACAGGGTTTCACCATGTTGGCCAGGCTGGTCTCAAACTCCTGACATTGCATGATCCACCCGCCTTAGCCTCCTAAAGTGCTGGGATTACAGGCATGAGCCATCACACACGGCCAAGATAAATTCTTAAAAAAGAAAGAAAAAAAAAAAAGAGAGAAAAAAGAAAAAAGATAAATTCTTAAATGGAATTGCTGAACAAAAGTGTATCATGTACAATTTGTAAGGCCTTGAATAAATGCTGCCAAAGTAGCCTCTAGAAAGATTTTAACTGCAATGTACATTCCTTCTAGTTATATAAGGACTCATTTTAGGCATTTTAACAAATTCAAAAATACAGAATATTCTGATACCTCAGCAATAGCCCACTCATTTACAGAACAATTTTAGCATTATTATTTCACTGACCTTAACAACCTCTAGGATACGAACTGTACTAGCAAAATCATTTAACCGTCTGCATGCCCGCAAAGCAGCATCAATGATTTTGGGCTCTGGAACCATATCATAGGTAACAAGTGTGTTTATCCCTGCAAAATTAAAAAGAAGGGCCATGTCAACCTCGAAGAGCCTCACTTAAACTATGAGTTATTTATATTTTTACTGAATCACTGATGTATGATCTTATCTGTCTGGGTCTCCATTCTCTTACCTATAAAATGAGAGAAACCTACCTTTAACAAATTCTAGATAATAAGATCACAGTGGATCTCCCTTAGTGAATCAGTGGAAAGAAAGAACTATGCAACAGCACGCAGATTGAAGGAAAAAATCCTGAGTTTTTTTTTTCCCCTTTGAGAACAAGAGGGTCATTTTCAACTCCTAACTTTTTTTTTGGAGATGGAGTCTTGCTCTGTCACCCAGGCTGGAGTACAGTGGTGCCACCTCAGCTTACTGCAACCGCTGCCACCTGGGTTCAAGTGATTCTCCTGCCTCAGCCTACCAAGTAGCTGGGATTACAGGCGGGTGCCACCAAGCCCAGCTAATTTTAGTATTTTTAGTAGAGACGGGGTTTCAGCATCTTGGCCTGGCTGGCCTTGAACTCCTGACCTCGTGATCCACCTGCCTCGGCCTCCCAAAGTGCTGGGATTACAGGCATGAGCCACCACATCCGGCCCTCCTATCTTTAACTCTTAGTACAATGAACACATTTTGGATGCTTTAAAAGAGATTCAAGGCTGGGCTCAGGTGGATCACCTGAGGTCAGGGGTTCAAGACCAGCCTGGTCAACATGGAGAAACCCTGTCTCTATTAAAGATACAAAATTGGCCGGGCGTGGTGGCACATGCCTGTAATTCCAGCTACTCTCGAGGCTGAGGCAGGAGAATCACTTGAACCCAGGTGGTGGAGGTTGCAGTGAGCTGAGATCGCGCCATTGCACTCTAGCCTGGGCAATAAGAGAGAAACTCCATCTCAAACAAAACAAAACAAACAAACAAAAAAACCAAAATAAAAGAGATTCAACTGGAAAACAGCCTAAAAACAGCCAGAGAAATGCGTAGAGTTAATGAAGCCTAAATGAGGACATTAAGGAGATATTATAGAGAAACATTAGTACACAGACTCATAAACATTCAACCAGAAAATGATTGGGCATGATTACTTTCAGATCTGCACAAAATGACACATAATAAAATTTAAGATTCTCTTAATGGGAATACATAATTGTTCTTTTTATTACTTCTACTCCAGATTGTTCAGTAAGAATTCTATTGGTTGTAGCAAAAGGGAATCATTACATTTCTGCAGAGAAGTTTAAAGCACTTAGGTTTCTTGCTTTTATTACTTTAAAATATTTAAACAAAGGATACCAGTGAATACGATAGTCATTGAGATTGAATTTTTGGTATGAGATAAATTACCCTACACCTAATTCTATTTTTTCATGTTAAGTGTGCATCTGCAAATTTAGGAAAGACAAGTTCTAACTTACTTAGATACTTATTCATGGCAAAACAATGCAAAAATAACAAAAAACCCAAACCATCACCCAAAGGGGAAGGGAACCAAATGACTGCTTTGTGTAAATTCTTTTTTTTTTTTCTGAGACAGAGTCTCACTCTGTTGCCCAGGCTGGAGTGCAGTGGCGCGATCTCGGCTCACTGCAAGCTCTGCCTCCCGGGTTCACGCCATTCTCCTGCCTCAGCCTCCCGAGTAGCTGTGACTACAGGCGCCCGCCACCACGTCCGGCTAATTTTTTTGTATTTTTAGTAGAGACGGGGTTTCACCATGTTAGCCAGAATGGTCTTGATCTCCTGACCTCGTGATCCGCCCACCCTGGCCTCCTAAAGTGCTGGGATTACAGGCGTGAGCCACCGCGCCCGTGCTATGTAAATTGTTTGAAATGTACAAAACTGTTACCTTTTGCTCATCTAGCCTTATTGCTATAGCAGTGGTTTTCAATTAAGGGTGACTTCATCCCTCAGGAGACACTGGGTAATGCCTAGAAACATTTTTGGTTGTCATGATACGAATGTGTGCATACTGGCTCCTAGCAGGTAGAGGCCAAAGGTGATGCTAAACACCCTACAGTGTAAAGGACAGTCCCCTACAACAAAGAATTATCTGGCCCAAAATGTCAATAGTGCCTGCCTTAAAATCCTGCTTTATAGGTAGCCATAAACTTTCCTAACTGCAAGTTGCATGAAGTAACCAGTTTAAACAACGCATGTTTTCGAAACAGTTGCTCTCAATAAAGGAGCAGAAGCAGTTCATATTTACACACCAAAATAGACAAATATGTTTATGTTCCAATTACCTTTACGCAATTCCCAGGCATCTATATCTGGCTTGTTGAAGTATGTTACCCAGCGAGCATCAAACTCCTCATCTGTCTCCTGTGACCCATGGGAATAGCAGCGAACTGACTGGATAGCTATAATGTGAAAGAACCATAACTTCAATGTACACAAATAGTACTTGATATATTTTGTTCAATGCATTAAATTTTGAGTTGACTATATATGTTGTGGCAGCAAAAATATTGAACAGGTCAAATGAAATACATCGTATACATTGATACAGAAAGATATATTTTAAATTAAGCAAATAAAATCAAGTAGAACAAAAAGTATTACATAGGCATGTTTATACTTTTCTCCCTAATGTATAATACTCGCTTGAAATTATTAACAGTGGTTCCCTCTGATTTTAAATTAACAGTGATTATCATGGGACGTAAAAACTACTTTATATACTTCCATATTGTTTGAATTTTTACACATAACCAGAGTATTAATTCCTAAGTAAAAATGTCCCAGGTGGGCATAGTGGGGCACACACCTGTAGTGCCAGCTACTCAGAGGCTGAGGCAGGAAGATTACCCGAGCCCAGGAGTTCAAGGTCGTAGGGTGCTAACAATATGACAGAACCTGATAAGATAGCCATTGCATTCCAGCCTGGGCAACACAGCGACACCCCACTTCTAAAAACTAAGAATAGGCCAGGCGCAGTGGCTCACGCCTGTAATCCCAGCACTTTGGGAGGCCGAGGCAGGCGGATCACGAGGTCAGGAGATCAAGACCATCCTGGCTAACACGGTGAAACCCCGTCTCTACTAAAAATACAAAAAATTAGCCAGGTGTGGTGGCGGGCGGCTGTAGTCCCAGCTACTCGGGAGGCTGAGGCAGGAGAATGGCGTGAACCTGGACGGCGGAGGTTGCAGTGAGCTGAGATCACACCACTGCACTCCAGCCTGGGCGACAGAGCAAGACTCCAACTCAAAAAACAAACAAACAAACAAAAACAAAAACAAAAACAAAAACTAAAAAACTAAGACTAGGCCGGGCGCAGTGGCTCACGCCTGTAATCCCAGCACTTTGGGAGGCTGAGGCGGGTGGATCAAGAGGTCAAGAGATCAAGGCCATCCTGGCCAACATGGTGAAACCCCATCTCTACTAAAAGTATAAAAATTAGCTGGGTGTGGTGGCGCGTGCCTGTAGTCCCAGCAACTCGGGAGGATGAAGCAGGGGAATTGCTTGAACCCAGGAGGCGGAGGTTGCAGTGAGCCAAGATTGTGCCACTGCACTCCAGCCTGGCGACAGAGCGAGACTCCGCCTCAAAAAAAAAAAAAAAGACAATAAACAACAACAACAAAAAAAACCAAAAAAGCAACAAAAAAAAAAAACTAAGAGCAATACTAATGTCCATTCAAGTTCTTTTTTTTGAGACAGGCTCTCGCTCTGTTGTTGCCTAGGCTGGAGTGTAGTGGCGCAATCACAGCTCACTGCAGCCTCAAATTCTTTGGGCTCAAGCATTCCTTCCTCCCTTGGCTCCCAAAGTGCTGGGATTACAGGTGTGAGCCACCAGCCCTGGCACCATTCAAGTTCTTAAATAAACTTATATACTTCATTCACACATTAAAAAAAAAAAAATCTCGGGCCGGGCTTGGTGGCTCACGCCTGTAATCCCAGCACTTTGGGAGGCCGAGATGGGCAGATCACCAGGTCAGGATATCGAAACCATCCTGGCTAACACGGTGAAACCCCGTCTCTACTAAAAATACAAAAAATTAGCCAGGTGTGGTGGCGGGCGCCTGTGGTCCCACCTAGTTGGGAGGCTGAGGCAGGAGAATGGCGTGAACCCAGGAGGCGGAGCTTGCAGTGAGCAGAGATCACGCCACTGCACTCCAGCCTGGGCAACAGAGCGAGACTCTGTCTCAAAAAAAAAAAAAAAAAAAAAAAAAAAAAATTCTCATGTTATTATATTCCAAAATAAATTACACATCCTGACAAATTACACATACAAATTGCTTTATCAAACTACAGCCCCTTCCCAAAATATTCTGATAAATCCCCTAAGGGAACGTACACTCTAATCTACACCTAATGCAAAATAATACTGTTTTACTAGGAATATTTTGGGCTGGGCGCAGTGGCTCACACCTGTAATGCCAGCACTTTGGGAGGCTGAGACTGGTGGATCACCTGAGTTCAGGAGTTTGTGACCAGCCTGATCAACATTGTGAAACTCCGTCTCTACTAAAAATACAAAAATTAGCTGGGCGTGATGACGGGCGCCTGTAATCTCAGCTACGCGAGAGACTGAGGCAGGAGAATCACTCGAACCCAGGAGGCGGAGGTTGAGGTGAGGTGAGATGATGCCATTGTACTCCAGCCTGGGCGACACAGCAAGACTCTGTCTCAAAGAAAAAAAGAAATGATGTTTACATAGAGTACTGTATGAAAAGCATTTCCATTTTTTTTTTTTTTTTTTGAGATCGAGTCTCACTCTGTCACCCAGGCTGAAATGCAGTGGAACAATCTCAGCTCACTGCAACCTCTGCCTCCTGGATTCAAGTGATTCTCCTGCCTCAGCCTTCTGAGTAGCTGAGACTACAGGCGAGCGCCACTAAGCTTGGCTAAGTTTTGTATTTTGAGTAGAGACGGGATTTCACCACATTGCCCAGGCTGGTCTCGAACTCCTGACCTCCAGTGATCTGCCCACCTCAGCCTCCCAAAGTGCTGGGATTACAGACGCGAGCCACTGCACCCAGCCCCATTTTTTCTTTCTTCTTGTCAAATGGACACTGAATTGAGTTTGGAAATCTGAATTCCTTCTGAACAGCCTCTGGAACAGGTAGGGGGATAGGCGGAGGCAGAAAATTTTATCTTTGGGTATTGAATGCAGCACAACCTAGCACTCAGATACCTCTAGGCTCTTCGCTCTCTCTGTTTGACCCTGGAAAATTAACTTAAGTTTATTTTCCTTATCTGTAAAATGGGGACGCTACCCCCCTTAGCAGATTATGAAGATTAAATGTGAAAACAGGTAGGTTAACACTATGCACTGGTAAGTATTAAACAAATGGTAGCTATAAACTAACCCTTATCTAAAAACGTCTTAGTTGTCTATTTATAGAAATCATAACTTAAAGAAATGAAACCTATCTCAAATCACATTTCCTACTACCTGTATTAGATAAGTGTGGTGTAACTTCCAGTTGTTTAAGGCTTAACATATTTTTATTTATTTACTTTTAGAGATGGGGGTCTTGATATGTTGCCCAGGGTGGTCTTAAACTCCTAGCCTCAAGCAATCCTACCACTCCCAAAATACTAGAATTACAGGTGTGAGCCACCATGCCCAGCCTTAACATACATATATATATATTTTTAAAAACTTCACCCAGAAACCTCTCAACATTGTTGTTCTAAGAACACTGAAATTTAAACATTAGTAATATCCTATATATCTTTAATGCAGTAACTGGCAGGAGGAAGAGTAGCAAAAAAACGAAGCAGAAAAGATCTTCCCAGAGACCTAAATTACCTACATAATCCAAGCCCAGAATGAAGTGGAACATGTACATAAATGGACTAGAAGTGAACACGTTTTAATTTCTTTTTTTTTTTTTTTGAGACAGAGTCTCACCCTGTCGCCCAGGCTGGAGTGCAATGGCACGATTTCGGCTCACTGCAACCTCCACCTCCCGGGTTCAAGTGATTCTCCTGCCTTAGCCTCCCAAGTAGCTGGGATTACAGGCATGCGCCACCATGTCAGGCTAATTTTTTGTATCTTTAGTAGACACAAAGTTTCACCATGTTAGTCAGGCTGGTCTCGAACTCTTGACCTCATGATCTGCCTGCCTCGGCCTCCCAAAGTGCTGGGATAACAGGCATGAGCCACGGTGCCCAGCCTTAATTTCTACAACAAGAAAAAAATGGATCTCTACACCTAAATATGTCTGGTAAGTATGAACATTTAATCAAAACTACGTGGATATTTAATAAGTCTTACAAGACTAATATTCAAATTTAATATATCAGAAAACAAGGCCAGGTGCGGTGGCTCACACCTGTAATCCCAGCACTTTGGGAGGCTGAGGCAGGCAGATCACTTGAGGCCAGGAGTTCAAGACCAGCCTGGCCAACATGGTGAAACCCTGTCTCTACTAAAATACAAAAAATTAGCCAGGCGTGGTGGCACACCCCTGTAGTCCCAGCTACTTGGAATGCTGAAGGAGGAGAATAGCTTGAACCCAGGGAGGTTGCAGTGAGCCAAGATCGTGCCACTGCATTCCAGCCTGGGCGACAGAGCAAGACTCCGTCTCAAAAAAAAAAATATCTATCTATCTATCTATCTATCTATCTATCTATCTATCTATCTATGTAAAAACATAGATTAGAACAACCATCTAATGCACTATTATCAAGAACTTAGGGCCAGATGCAGTGGCACTAGCCTCGGAGACAGAGTGAGACCCTGTCTCAAAAAAGAAAAAATTATAAGCCACCTCTTCAAAAACTAAAGCTAGCCTTAACTGAATACTGAAAGTGCAAGTATAAAATGATACAATCACTTTGGAAGACGGTTTAAGCAGTTTCTTATCAAGTTAAACACAAACCTACCATATAACACAGTAATTCCACTCCTAAGTATTTACCCAATGAAAGGTCTATGTACTCCTTCCCCAGAGGTAATTACCTGTCCCATCCACAACAGTGCTTCATGATAAGCAATTCGTTTTGTTCACTGCTGGGCATGGATTTGACTACATGAGTGCTAGGCTTTGTTTCCTAACTGTGAATAAGATGACCACCAACAGCAAATCCAAGTCAAGGAGATCACCACCTTCAAGGATTTGATCATATGTCTTCTGGAAGCCAAATTACAAACTGGTTGTATTCCAAAAAGTCTTTTATAAAACAGAACTAGAACTTTGAGAGGCCAAGGCAGGATCGCTTGATGCCAGGACTGAGAGACCAGCTTGGGCAACAAAGACAGACCTCCATTCTCCACAAAAAACTTAAAAAATTAGCGGGGTTTGGTGGTCCCAGCTACTCAGGAGGCTGAGGCGGGAGGATCCCTTGAGCCCAGGGCAACAAGGCTGCAGTGAGCTATGACTGCGCCACTGCACTCTAGCCTAGGTGATAGAGCAACACTCTATATCAAACAAATTAAAATAAATAAAAATTTAAAAACCCATACATCCCTTTCTGAAGGGCTAAAACAGACTCTCCCCACGTGATTTAAATTTTTTTTTTTTTTTTGAGATGGAGTCTCACTCTGTCGCCCAGGCGGGAGTGCAGTGGCGCAATCTCAGCTCACTGCAAGCTCCGCCTCCCAGGTTCACGCCATTCTCCTATCTCAGCCTTCCCAGCAGCTGGGACTACAGGCACTCGCCACCACGCCCGGCTAATTTTTTTGTATTTTTAGTAGAGACGGGGTTTCACCGCGTTAGCCAGGATGGTCTCGATCTCCTGACATTGTGATCCGCCCGCCTCAGCCTACCAAAGTGCTGGGATTACAGGCGTGAGCCACCATGCCCGGCCATGATTTAAATTATATTGTTAAATCCAATAATGGGTAAAGCAGGATCTATTCTATTAGCTATGGACACATCCCCCACATGCTTAACTTTTTTTAGGTAAACTCTACTAGCATTCTCTGCCCCACACACCCCACCCCACTTAAGAACAGGATCTCCACCTAGTATTGAAGCTTGAAAGGCAAATTATTTTGGAAAACAATTACTCAGAGCTTTTACGTAACCTGAAAGTCCCAAAGTAAGAAAAAAGAAGCAGCTGTGAAAAATGAGGACATTTTTAGGGCTTCATCCTAAAAAGCTATTTCTAACACTGCTTTTTGGCATTCAGTTAAGCACTCCATTTAAAAACAAAAAAGGCTAACATATATAGAAAAATAAAAGGGCTCATTGATCCTTTGGGTTTAAATTTAGTTAAATCGGATAGTTTTCCATTTAATAAATAATCAACCCTGACAGGCCCAAAGAATGAACACTTTGGTGGTGGTAACTGTAGGAATGAGGGCACATTAACGAGTTACTGAGGCTGGGTGCAGTGGCTCTCGCTTGTAATCCCAGCACTTTGGGAGGCTGAGGTGGAAGGATGGCTTGAGCCCAGGAGGTTAAGGCTGCAGTGAGCTGTGCCAACTGCACTGCAGCCTGCATGACAGAGCGAGACCCTGTCTCAAAAACAAAAACAAAAACAAAACAAAACCACAACAACAGAAGAAGAAAAAGAAAAATTTGGCTGGGCATGGTGGCTCACACCTGTAATCCCAGCACTTTGGAAGGTGGGAGGAGGGAGGCACTCCTGAGCCCAGGAGTCCCCAGACCAGCCTGTTTCTACGGAAAATAAAACTGGTGGCGCACCCTTGTGGTCCCAGCTACTTGGAAGGTGGAGGCAGGAGGATCAGTTGAGTCCCAGGAGGTCAAGGCTGCAGTGAGCTGTGATGGTGCCACTGCACTCCAGCCTAGGCAACACAGTGAGACTATCACCAAAAAAAAAAAATAAATAAATAAATAAATAAAAAATTTTTTTTTTGAGATGGCATGATTTCGGCTCACTGCAAACCTCTGCCTCCCGGGTTCAAGCAATTCTAATGCCTCAGCCTCCCAAGAAGCTGGGACCACGTGTGCGTGCCACCACACCCGGCTAATTTTTGTATTTTTAGTAGATACTGGGTTTCGCCATGTTCAGGCTGGTCTGGAACTTCTGATCTCAGGTAATCTACCCGCCACAACCTCCCAAAGTGCTGGGATTACAGGCGTGAGCCACCGTGTCCGGCTGAAAAATGTAAATTGTACTGTTACTTTAGCAAAACACAAAATCTAAACAAACATCAGGATGGCCCAAACATAACTATAAGAAACAAAAATGGTTCCACCATTAAAAAGGAGTCAGTTTCGGCCAGGTGTGGTGTCTCACGCCTGTAATCCCAGCACTTTGGGAGGCTGAGGCAGACGGATCACCTGACCTCACGAGCTCGAAACCAGCATGGCCAACATGGTGAAACCCCATCTCTACTAAAAACACAAAAAGTAGCCGGGCATGGTGGCAGGTGCCTGTAACCCCAGCTACTCCGGAGGCTGAGGCAGGAGAATCGCTTGAGCCAAGACCGTGCTATTGCACTCCAGCCTGGGCAACAAGAACGAAACTCTGTCTCAAGAAAAAACAAAACAAAACAAAACAAAACAAAAACAAACAAACAAACAAAAAAAAACAAGGAGTCAGTTTCCCAAGATGGACTTTGGTTTCCTTTTCTATAAAATAAAATGGCTTCCACGATCTCTAAAGTACACTCTAGGTTGGCTGCAGTGGCTCATGCCTATAATCCCAAACTTTGGGAGGCTGAGGTGGGAGGATCACCTGAGCCCAGGAGTTCAAGCCCAGCCTGGGCAACATAGGGACACTCCGTCTCTAATTTAAAAATAAATAAATAAACAAAAATAAAGTACCCTCCAGCCTTATGGTTCTACGACAAATGATAAAAGTCTAAAATGAATGAAGCAAAACATATTCTTTTTTTTTTTTTTTTTTTTTTGAGACGGAGTCTCGCTCTGTCGGCCAGGCTGGAGTGCAATGGCGCGATTTCGGCTCACTGCAACCTCCGCCTCTCAGGTTCAAGCGATTCTTGTGCTTCAGCCTCCCGAGTAGCTGGGATTACAGGCGCCCACCACCACACCCAGCTAAATTTTTTGTATTTTTAGTACAGACAGGGTTTCACCATGTTGGCCAGGCTGGTCTTGAACTCCTGACCTCAGGTGATCCGCCCGCCTCGGCCTACCAAAGTGCTGGGATTACAGGCATGAGCCACCGCGCCCGGCTGAGTTCTTTTTTTAATTTTTAACTTCAGCATACCCTGAAACGAGTTTCTGAGTTCTTATGTTTAAATACGCATGCATAGTTGCCAGTGATGCAGGTTCAAAAATAAAATATAATATGCATGCATAGAAGCTAAATTTCACGGACCAAGATCGAAGTGCAATTACTGTAATTATTCTATGGTGGTGGACTCAAAACCTCCCAGCACACATATAAAGGGAAGGAAAATAGACAAAAATCAGAAGCACGTCTCATACTCCAGCAATCAGGCTTCTATTACAAAGGGGAAAAAACACGAAGCGTTCCTATGCTTGTAAAACCCAGTATTCCTGTGTCTGTGACATTCAGTTTTCAAAAGAGTGATATTTTTATCATAAGCCCTATCAAAACTCTGGCTATCTTCCGGAGATCAGGAAACAACCACACACTTCCATCTATTTTAAACGTGGAAGAATTAGAACGTGGCACAGCAGACCCTAAAAATGATGGAAAAGGCTGTGAAGGTGACACACTAATCGCTAACCGAGAAATGCCTGATTGAAAAGTATAATCGTGTGTCCCATACGGAAGTATATTGTGTCCTCGGACCCCAAGCGGCGTGCCCGGAGGCTCAATGTCACCTTCGCCGAGGCGCTGCAGGCCGGCGGCGGCCACTCTCGGTCAGGTGGCCGCAGGGTCGGCGCTGGGGCAGGGTCATGGCCCGGGAACCGAAGGGGAGCGCTGCGTCCCCTCCTCGGCGCCCACAGCAGGTCCACATCTGACCTGTCCGCGGTGGCACAGCCAGGAAGTTGCGCGGGGGGAGGCCCCGGGGGCGCGCTTTCAGGTCCTCCACTACTCGAGGCGGCGGGCAGGGCGGCCCGCGGTCACCGGGTTCAGTAACCAGGGTAGGGCAAGGGCTAGGCCGGGGAGAGCCCGCCCCGGAGTGGCAGCGGGGACCCAGGTCACCGCAAGGACACGAGGGCGCGGGCAGTGGCAAGCAGGGGCCTTACCCACGGCGGGGCCGGGGGTCCGGGCGGAGTGCAGGAGGCCTCGAGGGTCGGCCCGGGTGGTTGCGGCCACAGCGCAGCGGCGGAGAGCGGCGCCCAGCATGACGGCGATGGCGGCGCGCGGGCTGAGGACAGAGAGAAGCCGGTGTAAGCTCGCGGGTTGCTCCGGAGCGGGCGGGGGCCGGACAGGCTCACAGCGGGCGGAGCACGTAGGCCCGCCCACTGCGACTCTGGCGCGTGGGCGGGAGGAGCCACCGCGCGGCCGGCGGCGGCGGGGGCTACGGCGGCGCGCTGAGGACAAACTGTTAGCCTCGCGTCCCGCCTTGTCTCTGGTCAGGTGACGTGCAGCTGCCATCCTGTAAGTAGGAATGGAGGCGAGGGAGGAGCAACCGACCGTGATCTTGTTCGAGTCAGGCCCAGGAGGGCACTTAATCACCTCAAAATAGGAATGACAGCAATAACAACAAACTATAATAAAAAATACGTACTTTGCGCCCGGGCGCTGTGGCTCATGCCTGTAATCCCAGCACTTTTGGGAGGCCGAGGCGGGCGGATCACCTGCGGTCGGGAGTTCAAGACCAGCCTGGGCAACATGGAGGAACCCCCGTCTCTACTAAAAATACAAAATTAGCCAGGCGTGGTGGCGCAACGCATGCCCGCAATCCCAGCTACTCGGGAGGCTGAGGCAGGAGAATCGCTTGAACCCAGGAGGAGGAGGTTGCGGTGAGCCGAGATGGTGCCATTGCACTCCAGCCTGGGCAACAAGAGCGAAACTCCGTCTCAAAAAAACCAAACAAAACAAAAACCTACTTTGCTTAGCCCCGCCTTCTCATTGTGGCATAAAATAAAACAGCGAATGGGGGAAAGAATGCCGCTGGACGCGGTTGCTCACGCCTGTAATCCTAGCACTTTGGGAGCCCAAGGCGGGCGGATCACCTGAGGTCGGGAGTTCGAGACCAGCCTGACCAACATGGAGAAACCCCTGTCTCTACTAAAAATGCAAAATTAGCCAGGTGTGGTGGCGCATGCCTGTAATCCCAGCTATTTGGGAGGCTGAGGCAGGAGAATTGCTGGAACCCAGGAGGCAGAGGTTGCAGTGAGTTGAGATCGCACCATTGCACTCCAGCCTGGGCAACAAGATCAAAACTCCATCTCAAAAAAAAAAAAGGCCTATGCGTAAGGGATTTTATTAGTACATATTCTTATATCACAAACCAGCTTGCATAAAAAATGAGTTAAACTACTTCATTTCACAGATTAGGAAAGAGGCTCAGAAATTAGGTTGCTGCTGGCAGTCAAGGATCTTTTCGCCACATCCCCAGTTCTGAGGACTCTCACCTGAATGTTTCCCATCTCCTACAGGAGGGCTCCTGAATCCACGATGGCTCTGAAATAGGGTTGATCAAGTTCCACAGTTGTTGCATCTTATCTCACTAGCTACATCCTAACTTTGAGCCCCTGGGCAGTCAAGGACACCTCTCCCAGGCCTGAAGTATCTGGATGCTGCCCAGAGTTAATGAGACATTGTATTCTGTCTTGCTGTCTCCCATTCTCTATCCCTGGGCACACTGAGGAAAGAAAAGGTGGCCATTCATGTGCCACTTCCTCACTTCAGGCCGACTCTCCAGGGCCTCAGCATCTGCCCTTCTCTTTTTCCTCCCTAGCAGTGTGGCTTCAGTGGGTAGGAACCTGGCGGGGAAAAGGATTTTTAAAATGTTTTCAAAGCACCTGCCCTCACCGTTTCCCACCAACCTAGTGCTGGGGCTTAGAAAACAATACCACAAAGTGAAGGCCTATGAAGCAGTTTCTCTCTGACCTTCTGCCCTCTTGTCTCTTGCCCCTTACTCTCCCTCCAGGCATGCCACAGAAACTAGAATCCCTCCTCCCCAAGAGGGGGTCTAGAAAGTAGAACCCCTTTGTCCCAAAGCCAGCCATAAAGCCTAAAAATATTGCTCTAACCTTTCTCTTTGCCTTTCTATGTAACAGCTGGCCATAAAGAAATTAAGGCCGAGCACGGTGGTTCACGCCTGTAATCCTAGCACTTTGAGCCGCCAAGGCCAGGAGATCACTTGAGGTCAGGAGTTTGAGACCAGCCTGGCCAACATGGTGAAACCCCATCTCTATTAAAATTACTAACATTAGCCAGAAATCACTTGAACCCAGGAGGTGGAGGTTGCGGTGAGGCGAGATCACACCACTGCACTCCAGCCTGGGTGACAGAGCTAGACTCCGTCTCAAAAATAAAATTTTTTAAAAAAAAGGAGAAAAGGAAACATGGCCAGGTATGGTGGCTCATGCCTGTAATCCCAGCACTTTGGGAGGCTGAGGTGGGAAGATCACCTGAGGTCGGGAGTTCGAGACCATCCTGGCCAACATGGTGAAACCCCGTCTCTACGAAAAATACAAAAATTAGCTGGGTGTGGTGGCGCACGCTACTCTGGAGCCTGAGGCAGGAGAATCACTTGGGCCCGCGAGGTGGAGGTTGCAGTGAGCCGAGATCGCACAACTGTACTCCAGCCTGGGTGACAGAGTGCGACTCCGTCTCAAAAAAAGAAAAAAAGAAGTTAAGGCTGGGCGCGATGGCTCATGCCTATAATCCCAGCAATTTGGGAGGCTGAGGTGGGGGGATCACCTGAGGTCTGGAGTTTGAGACCAGCTTGACCAACGTGAAGAAACCCCGTCTCTACTGAAAATACAAAATTAGCCGGGCATGGTGGTGCATGCCTGCAATCCCAGCTACTCAGGAAGCTGAAACAGTAGAATTGCTTGAACCTGGGAGGTGGAGGTTGCAGTGGACCGAGATCTTGCCACTGCACTCCAACTTGGGCAACAAGAGTGAAACTCTATCTCCAAAAAAAAGAAAGAAAAGACACTCGTTCCAGTAGTAGGGAGGACAGGGAGGAAGAAATGCTACAAAAGAGAGGCCAGAAGGATTTGAACAGACAGGCTTTGCTGGGTTTTCCCACTCAATCCATTTCCGTTAGCTTGGACCCTTTTTGTCCAATCACAATTCTACATATGCTTTATTGAACCTAAGCATAAAGGACGATTTTCCTTGTATCTATGGGTCTTCAGTCTGAAGCCTCCCATGTCACATAAAACTATGATCAAGTAAACTTGTTATGGTTTTTTCTTTTTAACCTGTCTTTTGTTATGGGAGTGTCAGCCATGACCCTTATGATGGTGAGGAAAAGGATCACCCCTTTCTGCCCCTACACTGGCCAAAGGGCAACGGGGAAACCTTTGACCTCTCTGCAGTTCAATTAGTGTTCATCAAATCTCCAAGGCTGGAAGCTTAAGATGAGGTCAGGGTAAGAAAGTAAGAAAAGTAAGAAAAGCAAGTAAGAAAGCACTGGGCTATATTGCTTGAATCCCAGCTGGTCTCCCTGCTGTCAGAATCCCTCCACTTTGCCTACAGTCACTTAGATTGGCTGCTGAAGTGTTTTTTTTTCTTTTTAAAATACAATTATGACTATAATTTACAATGTGCCACTACATGCCACAAACTATTATCCCATTTATGCCTCATAACAACCTTGTGAGATAAGTTTTTATCCCTATTTTCAAAATTTATTTTATTTTATTATTATTCTTTTTTGAGGTGGAGTCTCGCTCCGTCGCTCAGGCTGGAGTGCAGTGGTGTGATCCTGGCTTACTGCAACCTCCGCCTGCCAGGTTCAAGTGATTCTCCTGCGTCAGCCTCCCGAGTAGCTGGGACTACAGGTGCTCGCCACCATGCCCGTCTAATTTTTGTATTTTTGGTAGAGACGCTGTTTCACCATGTTGGCCAGGCTGGTCTTGAACTCCTGACCTCAGGTGATCCTCTCACCTTGGCCTCCCAAAATGTTGGGATTACAGGCATGAACCACTATGCCCGGCCTAGCCCTGATTTATTGATAAAGGAATAGACTTAAAGGATACTTGCCAAAAATCATACAGCTAACAAATAGTGGTAGTTAGGTTTTAGTCCCCACTTGTCTGACTCCAGAAATTGTTCTTTCCCTACCACTGCTGAAGGTAGGTTTTGCTTGTCTTTCAGTCAGTTCTGAATTCTCTGCTACCTTGAGAGCAGTCCACAGCCCTAATTGCCTGCATTCATTTTTTGTTGCTGCCTAACAATTTATCAGGTATAGCATAACTGAATTCTCTACTGGTTATCACAAGACTGAAATCAAGATCACGGCTAGGTTAGACATCTCATCTGGAGCTCAGAGGCCTCTTCTAAGGTCATTCAGGTTGTTGGCAGAATTGATTTCATTGCAGTGGTGGGACAAGGTCCTCATTTCTTCTCGGTAGCTGTCAGCCAAGGACACTCTCAACTCCTAGAGAGTGCCCTGATGTCCTCTCCACTTGGCTCTCTCCATAGGCCCTTCTTACAATCCTGGAGCTTATTTATTCCAAGCAGCAGGAAAGTGTCTCTCTGACACTTTACCTGCTTTTAAAGACTTCATCTCAAGGTGGGCGGATCACTTGAGGTCAGGAGTTCGAGACCAACCTGGCCAACATGGTGAAACCCCATCTCTACTAAAAATACAAAAATTAGCAGGGCGTGGTGGTGGGCACCTGTAATCTCAGCTACTTGGGAGGCTGAGGCAGGAGAATCGCTTGAACCCGGGAGGCAGAGGTTGCAGTGAGCCAAGATCTCACCATTGCACTCCAGCCAGGGGTACAGAAGACTCAGTCAAAAGAAAAAAAAAGACCTCACCTGATTAGGTCAAGCCCACCAGGGTAACTTTTTGATTCACTCAAAGTAGACTGACTAGTAAACTAGTCTTGGGAATGATATCTAAAGAAATTCACAGATTCTGCCCCCTACTCAAGAGGAGGAGATTGTACAAGGGCATGTAAACAGGGGGCATGAATCCTGGGGCTATCTTTGAATTCAGCCTACCATATCACTAAGGCACGGGGGCCCTTGCTTGTTTCCTAGTTGGCCCCCAGATGTGTCCACAGGTTGAAGCCCATCCCATTGCTTCTGGAGGGTACCCCTTCCCTGATGGGCTCAGAGCAGACATCCTGGTTCTTACTCAAGGTCTTCAGGGTCTTTTATCTCTTCCTGCCATTTCCTACCTTGAAATCCTTCGCTGTCCCTCTGGAGAAGCCACACCTGGACTTTTGCTTCTTCTTCTTTTTTTAAAACACAACAGCTGGACTTCTGATGGCTCAGAAATGTCATCGTCACCAGTGGATCAGCCTATCAGCTTTCTGCTACAGCTCAGGGCCTTCATTCTGGAAAAGTTGTGATGAGGCAGTCCCTCTGATGTGTGTGGGGGATGGAATGACATTACTGAGGAGTTTGTGAGGATAAAGACACTGTTCCACCATGTGAATTTCTAGTAACGGTTAAGTTCACGTGCAAGAAAAGCTCTTTTTTTTGTTTTTTCTTCTCTTTTCTTTTTCTTTTCTTTTTTATGTTTTTGAGATAGGGTCATGCTCTGTCACCCAGGCTACAGTGCAGTGACAGAATTATGGCTCACTGCAGCTTTGACCTCCTAGGCTAAAGCAATCTTCCCCCCTCAGCCTCCCAAGTAGCTGGGACTACAGGTACGCACTACCATTCCCGGCTAATTTTTTTAACATTTTTGTTGAGATAGGGTCTTGTTATGTTGCCCAGGCTGGTCTCAAACTCCTAGCTTCAAGCAATCCTCCTGCCTTGGTCCCTCAAATTGCCGGGATTATAGGCATGAGCCACCGCACCAGGCTAGAAAAGCTCTTATTTTCTCTGGTGGGAATTAAGCATGTGCTCAGGAAAAAGAGGGGGAAAAAAATGAAAGAATCCTACCATTTTAAGACTGAAAGTGGGGGCCGGGTGCAGTGGCTCAAGCCTGTAATCCCGGCACTTTGGGAGGCCGAGCCGGGCGGATCACGAGGTCAGGAGATCGAGACCATCCTGGCTAACACAGTGAAACCCCATCTCTACTAAAAATACAAAAAATTAGCCGGGTGTGGTGGCAGGCGCCTGTAGTCCCAGCTACTTGGGAGGCTGAGGCATGAGAATGGCGTGAACCCGGCAGGCGGAGCTTGCAGTGAGCCGAGATAGCGCCACTGCACTCCAGCCTGGGCGACAGAGTGAGACTCTGTCTCAAAAAAAAAAAAGACTGAAAGTGGCCCCCGAGGCCATTAGTCTACTGAGTCTACATGGTTTCCATTTCCTCAGGCCCCTACTTGAGGAGCATCTCCAGTGAACAGGATCTCAATACTAGACTGCTTCGAAAACAGAGCCTAATGAAAAAAGTCACCCAAGAGAATGACACCCTCACCGCTATTAAACTACAGTTCTGCCTTATGCCCTTGGGCAAATTATTCCAATTCCCTGAACCACTGTTTCCTTGTCTAAAAAATGGGAATAGCCGGGTGTGGCAGCTCACGCCTGTAATCCCAGCACTTTGGGAGGCCGAGGCAGGAGGATCACCTGAGGTTGGGAGTTCAAGACCAGCCTAACCAACATGGAGAACCCTGTCTCTACTAAGAATACAAAATCCGCCTCGCGGCTTCAAGCGATTCTCCTACCTCAGTCTCCCAAGTATGCCAGCATGCCTGTAATTCCAGCTACTGGGGAGGCTGAGGCAGGCGAATCGCTTGAATCTGAGAGGTGGAGGTTGTGGTGAGCCAAGATTGCATCATTGCACTCCAGCCTGGGCAACAACAACAACAAAAAATTAGCCAGGCATGGTGGCACGCGCCTTTAGTCCCAGCTACTTGGGAGGCTGAGACAGGAGAATCGCTTGAACCTGGGAGGCAGAGGTTGCAGTGAGCCGAGATCACGCCACTGCACTTCAGCGTAGGCGACAGAGCAAGACTCCATCTCCAAAAAAACAAAAAACAAAACAAATAAAAAATGGGATAATAATGGAACCTACCTAATAGGTTAATAGATTGTTGGGACGATTACCTCAGAAAATGCACATAAAACACTATGTCCTGGCTGGTATACAGTAACAGCTCAATAAATGCTTACTGTTGCTCTCTAAAAGAGCATTTTCTTGTTGTAAAATTGTAGCGGGGCAGGGCAAGTTGTGAGATGGGGATGTTTTAGTCTGTTTTGTGTTGCTATAACAGAATACCTGAGACTCGGTAATTTATTTATTTATTTATTTATTGAGACAGGCTCACCCAGGCTGGAGTGCAGTGGTGAGATCTTGGCTCACTGCAGCCTTGACCTCCTGCGCTCAAGCAATCCTCCCATCTCAGCCTCCTGAGTAGCTAGGACCACAGGCATGTGCCACCTCACCCAGCTAATTTTTGTACAGGTAATTTATAATGACCAGAAATGTATTGGCTTATATTTCTGGAGGCTGAGAAGTCCAATATCAAAGTGCTGGCATCTTGTGAGGGCCTTCTTGCTGCATCATCCCATGGCAGAAGGCATCACATGGTGGAAGGGCAGAGAATGCAAGAGGGGGTGAACCCACTCCCTTGATGAACAAATCATTCTTTTTTTCCCCCCACAGGCTGGAGTGCAATGACTCGACCTCGGTTCACCACAACCCCCACCTCCTGGGTTCAAGTAATTCTCCTGCCTCAGCCTCCCAAGTAGCTGGGATTACAGGCATCTGCCACCATGACCAGCTAATTTTGTATTTGTAGCAGACACGGTGTTTCTCTATGTTGGCCAGGCTCGTCTCAAACTCCTGACCTCAGGTGATCCGCCCACCTTGGCCTCCCAAAGTGCTGGGATTACAGGCATGAGCCACCGCGTCTGGCCAAGAACTCATTCTTGCAATAATGGCACTGGTCCATTCATGAGGGTAGAGCCCTCATGACCTAAAAACCTCTTAAGGGTTCCACCTCCCAACACCAACACAATGACAATTAAATTTCGAGATTAGTTTGATTTTTTGTTTCTTTGTCTTGTTTTTTTTAGAGACAGGGTCTCACTCTGTTGCCCAGGCTGGAGAGTAGTGACATGACCATAGGTCACTGCAGCTTCGAACTCCTGGGCTTAAGTGATCCTCCTGCCTCAGCCTCCTAAGTAGCTGGGACTACAGGTGAACACTACTACACCTGGACAATTTTTTGGACAGGGTCTTGCTATGTTGCCAGGCCGACCTTGGACTTCTGGGCTCAAGCAATCCTCCCACCTCAGTCTCCCAAAGTGCTGGGATTATGGACCACATCCAGCCCAGTTGTTTCTTGTGAGTGGCTTATAAATAGACATCTTTTTTCCCTGTTTTCACATGGTCTTTCGTCTGTGTGAACACGTCTGTATCCTATATCCTAATGCCTTTTTTTTTCTTGAGATGGAGTCTCACTCTGTCGCCCAAGCTGGAGTGCAGTGGCATGATCTCAGCTCACTGCAAGCTCCGCCTCCTGGGTTCACGCCATTCTCCTGCCTCAGCCTCCCAAGTAGCTGGGACTACAGGCGCCTGCCACCATGCCTGGCTAATTTTTTTGTATTTTTAGTAGAGACAGGGTTTCACCGTGTTAGCCAGGATGGTCTCGATCTCCTGACCTCGTGATCCGCCTGCCTCGGCCTCCCAAAGTGCTGGGATTACAGGCGTGAGCCACCGCGCCCTGCCTGCTTTTTATTTTTTAAGAGACTGGGTCTGGCTATTTTGCCCAGGCTGGTGTTGAACTCCTGGACTCAAGTGATCCTCCTGCCTCAGCCTCCCCAGTAGCTGGGACTACAGGTTGCGACACCAACCCAGGCTGTGGCAGTTATTTAACAGTGTTTCTCTCCAGAAACATGTTCAAACCATTACTGAAGGTGAAAAGCAAAAGAAGGGGATTTAATTTTGTGTCTCTCTTACCACTGTAAATGTGGCTACATAACATCTCAGAGAATAAACAATCTTGATGAACCATCAAAATCAGCTGAAGATCTTATTACAATGTGTATTCCCAGGTCCCTCCTGGGAGAATCTGATCCTGTTGGTTTAGAGTTTAGCCCAGGTAATCTGTTTTTTGTTTGTTTGTTTCGTTTTCTTTTTTGGTTTTTTGTTTTTGTTTTGCTTTTGAGATGGAGTTTCCCTCTGTTGCCCAGGCTGGACTGGGGTGGCATGATCTCTGCTCACTGCAACCTCCGCCTCCCTGGTTCAAACGATTCTCCTGCCTCAACCTCCCAAGTAGCTGGGACTACAGGCGGCTGCCAGCACACCCGGCTAATTTTTGTATTTTTAGTAGAGTCAGAATTTCGCCGTGTTGGCCAGGCTGGTCTCTCACTCCTGACCTCAAGTGATTCGCCCACCTTGGCCTCCCCAAAGTTCTGAGATTTTAGGCGTGAGCTACCACACCTGGCTTGTTTTTGTTTTTTTGAGAGGGAGTCTAGTTTTGTGCCCAGGCTGGAGTGCAGTGGGCGATCTTGGCTCACTGCAACCTCTGCCTCCCGGGTTCAAGTGATTCTCCTGTCTCAGCCTCCCAAGTAGTTGGGACTACAGACACTGGCCACCATGCCCAGCTAATTTTTTTTTTTGTATTTTTAGTAGAGATAGGGTTTCATCATGTTAGCCAGGCTGCTCTCAAACTCCTAGCTTCAGGTGATCTGCCTACCTCGGCCTCCCAAAGTATTGGGATTACAGGCGTGAGCCATTGTGCTGGCTTTTTTTTTTTTTTTGACACGGTCTTGTTCTGTCACCTAGACTGGAGTGCAGTAGTGTGAACATGGCTCACTGCAGCCTTTAACCCCTGGGCTCAAGGAGTCCTCCTGTCTCAGCCTTCCCAGTAGCTGAGACTACAGGTGCATACCACTATGCCCAGTTAATTTTTGAAATCCGTAATCTGTTTTGTTTTGTTTTTTTTTTTTTAACATGGAGTCTCACTCTGTTGCCCAGGCTGGAGTGCAGTGGTGCGATCTCAGCCTACTGCACCCTCCACCTCCTGGGTTCAAGCAATCCTCCCACCTCAGCCTCCTGAGTAGCTGGGATTACAGGCCCACGCCACCAAGTCCCAGCTAATTTTTGTATTTTTAGTAATGATGGGTTTTCACCATGTTGGCCAGGTTGAACTCCTGACCTCAAGTGATCCGCCCACCTTGGCCTTCCAAAGTGCTGGGATTACAGGCATGAGCCACCAAGCTCGGCCAGTAATCCGTATTTTTACACTTGATTTTAGCCAAAAGGTGGAGAAGTGATAGTAATCTGTATTTTTAATAACTGTCCAAAGCGATCCTGACAATGAGCCAAGGTTGAGAGTTCCGGTAGTATTATCTCCCTTTTCTCCACAGCAATCTGGTTTATTTTGCAAACAAGAAAACTGAGGCTCAGAGAAGAATTAACTTGCCCAAAGCCTCAATCATACTGACTTCCTCCAAAGCCTATGATCTCTTCCATACAACATCAGACATAACGTTTGTTGGCACAAGGCTGCAAAGTAGAGACCTTCCCACCACGCAGGGCTGGAAATTCTGGTAACAGGGGCCTTGGCAAACAACCCACATTCCTCTTCCCTATTCCCACTGAAGGCTGTGAGAACACTTGTTGGATTAGAGTCCTAGCTGCCATAATGAAGTACTACAGGCTGGGTGGCTTAAAACCCAGAGGAGGCCGGGCGCGGTGGCTCACACCTGTAATCCCAGAACTTTGGGAGGCCGAGGTGGGCAGATCACCTGAGGTCAGGAGTTCGAGACCAGCCTGGCCAACATGGTGAAACCCCATCTCTACTACAAATACAAAAATTAGCTGGGCGTGGTGGCAGGTGCCTGTAATCCCAGCTACTCAGGAGGCTGAGGCAGGAGAATCACCTGAACCTGGGAGTGGAGGTTGCAGTGAACCAAGATCGCGCCATTTTACTCCAGCCTGGGCAACAAAAGCGAAACTCCATCGCAGAAAAAGAAAAGAAAAAAGCATAGAGAAAAAAAATTATTGTCTAACAGTTCTGGAGATTAGAAGTCTGAGATCAAGTGGGGCAGGGCCATGCTCTCTGAAGACTCTAGGGAAGTATCTGTTCCATGCCTTTCTCTTAGCTTCTGTCATTTGCAACCTTCCTTGGCTTGCAGGTGTATAAATCCAACCTCTGCCTCCATATTCACATGGTATTCTTCCCTCTGTGTAATCAATCTCTGTCTCTTCTCTATTTTATAAGGATTCCTCATTGAATTAAATTGTATTGGATTAAGGGCCCATTTTACTTAATATGACCTCATCCTAATTTCTTAATTTAGATCTTTATTAAATCTGCTGAATCTCTTTTCTTTTTCTTTTTTTGAGACAGAATTTCGCTCTTGTTCCCCAGGCTGGAGTGCAATGGCTTGACCTTGGCTCACTGCAACCTCCACCTCCCAGGTTCAAGGGATTCTCCTGCCTCAGCTTCCCGAGTAGCTGGAATTACAGGCATGCACCACCATGCCCGGCTAATTTTGTATTTTTAGTAGAGACAGGGTTTCTCCATGTTGGTTAGGCGGGTCTCGAACTCCCAGCCTCAGGTGATCCACCCGCCTCGGCCTCCCAAAGTGCTAGGATTACAGGCGTGAGCCACCGTGCCCAGCCTTTTTTCCTTTTTTTTTTTCGAGACAGAGTCTCACTGTCACCCAGGCTGGAGTGCAGTAGCACAATCTGGTGGCTCACTGCAACTTCCACCTCCTGGGTTCAAGTCATTCTCCTGCCTTAGCCTCTTGAATAGCTGGGATTACAGGCATAAGTTACCACGCCTGGCCAATTTTTGTATTTTTGAAGAGATGGGGTTTCACAATGTTGGCCAGGCTGGTCTCAAACTCCTGACCTCAGGTGATCCACCTGCCTCGGCCTTCCAAAGTGCTGGGATTGATTACAGGCATGAGCCACCATGCCAAGCCAGAGTTTCCAAATAAGGTATCAGGGATTAGGACTTCAACATGTCTTGGTGGGGGGGCACGAAATTCAATTCATAGCACCTATAATATTCAGGTGTCAGAAACAACACTGGAATCCTCAAGCTGAATATACAAACCCAATTGCCATGGTGACCCTAGCTTCTCCAAAGGCAGGGGTACCCAAGGGCTCAGATGGGATGAGAAGCTGTGGAAGAGATAGGGGCAGCTTTGGCCATTGGTTGGATGGTTAAGAATTGTAATGTGACATCAGAACAGTTCAGAAACCTGGCTCAGAAAGTCTTTTGTTGGTTTGAAAGAGTGGAGTGATCATGGCTCACTGCAGACTGGACCTCCCAGACTCAAGCAATCCTCCCACCTCAGTCTCCTGAGTAACTGAACTGCAGGCACACACCACCACATCCAACTATTTAATTTTTTTTTTTTTTTTTTTTTTTTTTTTTTGTAGAGATGGTATCTCACTATGTTGCCAGGGCTAGACTCGGAACTCCTGGGCTCAAGTGATCAGCGCTCCTACCTTGGCCTCCCAAAATGCTGAGATTACAGGCATGACCCACTGTGCCTGGCCAGCGGCAAGTCCATTCAATCAACAACTCTCTAAGAGCTTCTCATGTGCCAGGAGCTGGGCAAGGAGCAAGGCAGGCAGGATCCAGTCAATCACGGGCTCATGGGTTAGTAGGGTGACCAATAGCCAAAAGATAAGACTAATGAGGACACACTTATAAACCAGTATCTGTGCTCTGAAAGGAAGAAACTTGATGCCTTTGAGGAGACCCTCCTGTGGCTGCATTTTCCTCCTCTTTCATTCTCCTTCCCTTCCTTCCTTTCCTTTGCCTTTCTAACTACCATTCTCTTGGAGACCTGCGAGTGTTTCAACATCTCAGTGAAATAGAGGGACGAGAGCATCACCTAGTGGTCAGTGTGGGCATAGCAATGACCAAAACTGAACTAATCAGCTTGGGAGATGAAGGGCAAGGGGTGGTGGGGGTAGGCAGTGTGTGTGTCTGGCCCAGGTATGCACCTAACAGTGAAGTGAATACACTCTGGCAGATTCATGGCAATGGACAACAGCTCTTAAAGATTTACCAATTTGAAGCTGGGTACTCCCACCTCCCACAAAAAATAATCACTCCATTGTTTGGTCCTGACATAGCACGTCCCCTGGGGTGCCAGAAAGGCAGACCAAGTCCTGGCCAGGCAGGGTTAATGCTCAAGGAGAACCCTCCCATTTCCTGGCTGTAATAGCAGTGAAATCCTACCTAGCCTGGGTAGCTCTCACATCTGCTCCCATCTCCCTCCGCATTGCCGATGTCTCATCTCTTATCCCTGCATTGTCTCTAGGGTCTAATCAGACCCCCTTCCAATCCACTCCCACTTACACAGGTGTCAGAGGGATCCTTCTCAAACACCAGTCAGATCTGGGCTCAGAGCACTCCCTGGCTCCCAGTGGCTCCCTCACTTCCCTGTGACCTGGCTCCCACCGGCTCCCTCACTTCCCTGTGACCTGGCTCCCACCTAGCACTCTAGTTCACCTGCATCTCTACACGTTACCCTCTGCCATCTCCTCTATCCATCAGACACCTGTGGCAGCCTCAGCATCATACACACCCGCTCTCTATGCTCTGCCTGGAGCTCCCTGTCCAGTCTTGGTCAGCTGGCTAACTCCTGATCCTTGGAGAACCAGCTCCATCAGCACCTCTGGGCAAGGTAAGTTCCCCTTCTCAGAGCTCCCATCTTCTATCATCACACTGTGCTAGATGGGCCCAGGCTGGAGTGCGATGGCACATCTCAGCTCACTGCAACCTCCACCTCCTGGGTTCAAGCGATTCTCCTGCCTCAGCCTCCCAAGTAGGTGGGATCACAGGCGCCCGCCACCATGCCCGGCTAATTTTGTATTCATCATATTGGTCAGGCTGGTCTCAAGCTCCTGACCTCAGGTGACCCCCCCCCCCCCGTCTCTGCCTCCCAAAGTGCTGGGATTACAGGCGTGAGTCACCACACCTGGCCAAGACTCGGCCCTCTTTGAGGTACAGTGTCTGATTATGCTGTGATTCTATACCCAGCCCCAGCCCATTTCTAGACTGGGTCCCGGTACAACAGTGAACACTTGTTGAATGAATGAAGGCTCAGGTGGAAGTCCATCACTCATTCGACCATGAGCTCTGGGCCTTGCATTATATACTTTTATGTTTCCAAATGGATTTTGTTTTTGTGACCTAAGTTTTCTAGGTGTGAGACTTCACTGCCGCTCCTAGTCTGGAAGTATCCCAAGGCGGGGCCAAGGCAAGCACCAGGCTGGGTCCAGGAAGCTCCTGGGTAGAGACCACTATTGGAAAAATGGGGTTTCACAAGAGGGACTCTCCCACTCTGCCACTAGTCGGCTCCTGAAATGGGCCTTGTCTCTGAGGTGCTCCCCTAGCCACCCCTCCCTTTATCCCAGGACTTCTGAGGTTCCCACTTCAGCCTTGGTGGTGGGGAGCGGGTAGAGGAACATCTGTCACCTTCTTTTGGAGCCTGCTCCTAGGTCAGTGGGGCCAGAAATCAGTAGGGCAGAGATGGAGTGCTCATGCGTGCTGGGTTCCATTGGTGAGTCAGCACACCTACTGAAAGCCTGGGAACCAAACTTGCCGGGGTGGGGCGGGAGTGCAGAAAAGAAAGTGTTTCATGACCTGCTTGGGGGAAGGTTAATGCTCTGATGCTGGATAAACATGTTCCTCTCTTCTCTACCCCCCAGGATAGGTTTCTGGGCTGGAAGGGAACTTTTCTGACCCATCAAGAGAAATCCACTGCAGGCCGGGGGCAGTGGCTCACCCCTATAATCCCAGCACTTTGGGAGGCCGAGGCGGGTGGATCAGTTGAGGTCAGGAGTTCAAGACCAGCCTGGCTAACACGGTGAAACCCCGTTTCTAATAAAAATACAAAAATTAGCTGCTCATGGTTGCCCACGACTGTAATCCCAGCTACTCAGGAGGCTAAGGCTGGAGGATTGCTTGAACCTGGGAGGCGGAGGCGGCAGTGAGCCAAGACTGTGCCACTGCACTCCAGCCTGGGCAACAGAGTGAGACTCCGTCTCAAAATAAAAAATAAAATAAAAAAATAAAAAGAGTCCGGGAGCAGTGACTCATGCCTGTAATCCCAGCACTCCAGGAGGCTGAGGCGGGTGGATCACCTGAGGTCAGGAGTTTGAGACCAGCCTGGCCAACATGGTGAAACCCCATCTCTACTAATAATAAAAAAATTAGCCGGGCGTGGTAGTGCACACCTATAATCCCAGCTACTCCGGAGGCTGAGGCAGGAGAATCACTTGAACCTGGGAGGCAGAGGTTGCGGTGAGCTGAGATTGTGCCATTGCACTACAGCCGGGCGAAAAAATATATATATATATAAAATCGTGGTGGCTCACACCTCTAATCCCAGCACTTTGGGAAGCCAAGGCAGGTGGATCACAAGGTCAAGAGATTGAGACCATCCTGGCCAACATGGTGAAATGCCGTCTCTACTAAAAATACAAAAATTAGCTGGGCGTGGTGGCACATGCCTGTAATCCCAGCTACTTGGGAGGCTGAGGCAGAAGAATCGCTTAAACCCAGGAGGTGGAGGTTGCAGTGAGCTGAGATTGCACCACTGCACTCCAGCCTAGTGACAGAGCAAGACTCCTTCTCAAAATAATAATAATAATAATTAAAATAAAAAAAATAAAAAAGAGAGGCCGGGTGTGGTGGCTCATGCCTGTAATCCCAGCACTGTGGGAGGCCGAGGCGGGTGGATCACCTGAGATCAGGTGTTTGAGACCAGCCTGGCCAACATGGTGAGACCCCTTCTCTACTAAAAATACAAAAACTAGCCGAGTGTGGGGATACACGCCTGTAATCCCAGCTACTCAGGAGGCTGAGGCAGGAGAATCGCTTGAACCCAGGAGGCAGAGGTTGCAGTGAGCCGAGATCGCACCACAGCACTCCAGCCCGGGCGACAGAGAGATACTCCGTTTCAAAAAAAATAATAAAAAAAAATCCATTGCAGCCTTATCTCCGTGACAAGACTAGCAGACCCTGCTTTCTTTTTTTTTTTTTCGAGACGGAGTCTCACACTGTCGCCCAGGCTGGAGTGCAGTGATGCAATCTCGGCTCACTGCAACCTCCGCCTCCCAGGTTCAAGCGATTCTCCTGCCTCAGCCTCCTGAGTAGCTGGGATTACAGGCGCCCGCCACCATGCCTGACTAATTTTTGTATTTTTAGTGGAGACGGGGTTTCACCATGTTGGCCAGGCTGGTCTCAAGCTCCTGACCTCGTGATTTGCCCGCCTTGGCCCCCCAAAGTGCTGGGATTACAGGATTACAGGCATGAACCACCATGCCCGGCCTCAGGCCCTGCTTTCATAGTCCTGGTAACCCGGCTATCAGTCACTTGTTGTCTTGGAAAGTTGGACCCTTTTCAGAACCAAGACCAGTCTCCCTTAAGCTTCTACCATGCAGGACCTTGTCCAAGTTTTATCACTGCCTTTAGATGCTGAAGTCCAGGAGAAGCTAGGCCATCTTGTCAGGACAGTTTACATTCTTTCCATGCTTCTTGGGCCACCCCTGAGAGGGTCAGACAAGCAAACCCAAACCCCTTGGCCCTCTCCAGGGACTCATCAAGAGCAGGAATTTGGGGAGAGCAACGAGGGACAAAGTCTGGATGACAAAGCTCACTCCAAAGCTCAAGCAGAGATACTGCAGGGGAGGGAAACCTCCCTAAGAGCCCCTCCAGTCAGCCACAGAACGTATCTCTTGTCACCAGCAGGATTTATTTCAGGGTTCTGCCAGCAAAATGACTTATAAATACATTCTTCCGCATCTCCCCCTTTCCAGGGGTGCTGCTGAGTTGCATGGGATGAGATCTGCTTCTGAGATCCTGGGGCTGTATGCCACCCCCAACTCACCAGAGCTCTTCCAGCACACAGCAGCACCCCCACCCCCCAGCTGGCTTGGAGTTGGGCAGAGAAGCTTATGAGGCTGTTATCTCTCAACAGACAGCTGTGCAGGGCTGGAGGCAGCAGCTTATCAGGAGGCCTGCAGTGATTCACAGCCCAAGACCCAGCTTCTCTGCTGAATAGTAATTTCCAGCAGTGGATTTGTGCTCAGTCTCTCTCCTCCCCCTTTCCCAAGGGTGTGCTGTCCTTTCTCAGAGAGAGGGCAGTGAAGGGGAGATCCTACCCACAGAGCTGGGGGCTTTGTGCCAGCCTTCTGGGTAAGGTTCAGTTTATTGTCTGGAGGCTGCAGATTCAGGGACCTCAGCAGGGTCTGCCACCCTTTGCAGTGACCTCCAGGAGAGTTCATCGATGCTGTCCTTCCACTCCTTCCTTCCCCTCCCAGAAAAACAATGTGCCGCTCCCTTTCCCTTAGTGGCGATGTACAGGGGTACACGGGCCCCCATTTGCAACAGCCTCTGAGGCCAGGGCCAGCCCGGGAGGGCGGAGTGGGGGAGGAGAGAGGAAGAAGCCAGGGACTGGGCAGTGCCTTGCACCATTTTGAAGCTGTTCAGTCTCTGTGCCTGACCCTGAAGACTCCAAAGACTCAGGACGCAAGGCTGGAGGGGAGGGGAGACACAAGGGGCCAGGCGAGAGCTGTCTCTGCACAGGCGGGTGGTTAGAAAAAAAATGGGGGACACAGCCATTTTTGTGCTTGTTTTATTGGAAGCAAGACTCCAGCCAGCTGCAGGGCTCAGGGGAGGAGGCCTGGAGAGTTCAGTCCTGGGTCTCCCTCTGGGCCAGCAGGGGGAAAAGGGGTGTTAAAAGAGCTAGAACCCTCAGAGATGCTCCTCTGAAGCAGGGGAAAGAAAACTAGAAAGGAAAACTGTCCCAGGGCGGGGAGCGGAATAGGGCCCCCACATCTCAGACTCTCCTACCCTCAAGCAGTTAATTCTCACCCCCTGCCTTCCTCTGTCAACGGTGGGGGTGATTCCAATAACTCTTCTCAGCTTCCATACTTCAGGTGCTCTTCGTGAATGCTGGGTGGCTTTAACCCTTGGGGGTCCCAAACAAGTTTCCAGAATCCCACTGTCCACCATTCTCCCCCAAAGAAGGTCCCAGAAAAGGTGAAGTTCCGTGTCTTCACGCAACACGGGCATAAGCAGCAATTATCGCACGAAGTTTCCCTAGGGTGGTCGGGGATCCTCTCCTGCCACTCCTGGGGCCCCTCTCTTGTCGCCTTAAGGTCCATGCTACCTGTCTTGAGGAGCTGTGTCCAGGTTGTGGGCTCCGGAGGACCGAGGAGTGAAAGGCTGGAGGTACATCTGAAGGTGGAGGCGCTGGCGGAAGATCCTGCCGGACTAGGTGGCCCACAGTCCGGAGTTTCAGGCCGTCTGATCCTCGTCCGCAACCCCTGGCTCGGGTTGCGATCGCTTCGCGGAGCCTTCTCCAGCTGCGGGTTCCCCTAGGCTCCTCTTGGACGCTGGCGCGGCTGGCGGGGACGAGGGACCAGGATGGGGATTCGGGGGCTGGTAGCCGGGCTGTCGCGGATCCAGCGCGTCCTTGGAAAGTAGGATGGCGAGGCCGGGCACGTTCTTAAGTACGCTGAGACTAGCGGCCGGCTCGCCAGGCGTCTGACCCTGCGTGGGCCCAGGCGGGAGGCTCTGCCACACCTCGCGTACGCTCCGGTAGCGCAGCCGCGTGACCTGGTGCAGGCCCGCCAGGCGGCGCTTGAGGATCTCGGCGCACGTGACGGTTTTGGTGGTGGCCCGGCCGCAGCCGCTGAAGACGATGGCGCGCGTGGCTGGCTGCGCCATGCTGGCGGTGGCGAAGGCCATCAGGTTCCGGATCTTGCTGCCTTCCTTGACCCGCATGTGCACCGCGCCCGGCGCCAGGTCTGCGAAGGGGCCGGAGCCCGGGCCGCCTCCCTCGGCCCCGCACCCCGCTGGCGCCTCTTCGGAGCGCACCTTACGGAAGTTCTCCATGCGCCGTCGTCGCCGGGACCGCCGGCTTTGCCATGGGGCGGCCTCAGCCCCGGGGCTGCATGGCCGCCGGTCGCGCCTTGCAAGGGCCAGCAGGGGTAAGGGCGCCGGAGCAGCGCAGACGCCGGCGGGCGGGCTGGGACGGCGCGATCTCGGCCCCACTTCTCTCGAGCGGGCGCCGCTCTACTCAGCGCTCTCGGCGCCGGGTGCTCCGCGCCTTTAGCTGAGGCCCCGCCCCTGCCGCCAGGCCCCTCCCCTGACCCGGCCCGGCCGGGCCCGCCCGGGCCCCAGCCTCACTAGCCTTTCCTGGCGAGTCTGGGTCCTCAGCTACGCGGGCGTGGGAGCGGGCGCGCTGCGGGGCGCATGAGCAGGTGAAGGTGAAGTTCCACTATAATCGCCATCAGCGCTCTGAGAGCCAACCCTCACAAACCGGCAGTCTAAATAAAAGCTGCGCTTGCCGTGCAAACACTGCTTCAAATCCGGTATCCGAGCCCTTCCCATTTGCAACTGAAGGCCGCCCCTCGTCCCCTCCCAGGGAGAGATTTCCAAGAGGCTTGCTGGGGCCTTGCCCCTCCTCCCCCGCCCCGGGGAACACCCCCACCTTTTTTCCGCTCCCAAGTATTCTTGCCTCAAGGACAGCTAGTGCGCGGTCAGCAGAGTGCGGGAGGAGCTGGCTGCGGCTCCACTCCGCGCCTCCCCGCGGGCGATTACGTCGCGGCGTGGTCCTCGCGGGGCGCGGAAGACCCAGACTTCAGCCTCGCCACGCCTGCCCGGAGCTCGAGGCTCCCGGACCCCCGTCCACCCCTGGGACGTGAGGAGTGAGGCTTTGGGCCAGGCTGTTCCCCGAGGCGCGTGGGGAAGCGGGCGTGACCTCTTCTGAAAAGGCGGTAGGCTCGCTCCACCCAGGCCCTAGAGCCCACCCTTAGAGCTGCGCGCTTTAGGGTGAGCCAGGCACGATGCCTTGCCAACGTGGCCGCCCCCTTCCTCCCAGGCGGAATTCGCTCAGGCAACATTGGCCCCTTGAGATCCAGTGGGGTCCTTTTCGAAAGGAGGCTAGGTGAACGCAGGTTTTAAAAAAGAGAAGGGAGGGGCCGGGCGCGGTGTCTCACGCTTTTAATCCCAGCACTTTGGGAGGCAGAGGTGGGCGGATTACTTGACGTCAGGAGTTCGAGACCAGCCTGGTCAACATGGTGAAACCCCGTCTCCATTAAACGTACAAAAATCAGCTCGGCGTTGTGGCACGCTCCTGTAATCCTAGCTGCTCGGGAGGCTGAGGCAGGACAAGCGCTTGAACCCGGGAGCTGAAGGCTGCAGTGAGCCGAGATCATGCCACTGCACTCCAGCCGGGGCGACAGAGCAAAGCTCTGTCTCGAAAAATGAATAAATTAATTAATTAAATAAAATACAAAAGAGAAGGGAGGGATACCCCATTCTCCAGGATGTGATTATTATGCATTGCATGCCTGTATCAAAACGTCTCATGTACCCTCTAAATATAGACACCTATTGTATACCCACAAAAATTAAAAAGACTTAAAAAAAAATAAAAGAGAGAAAGAAGGGAGGAAGATGGGGAGTTGAAGCCCTGGGGGCATTATGGAACTACTGGATGCCTCTCCGGCGGAAACTCCACGGGACCGAAAGAGAGGCCCGGGGTCTCCTGCCGGGTGAGAGAAGCATTAGAGAAAGATGAGATTGGGGGCTGTCAGGACTACTGATGGAAGGGAGGGGGTCTGAGAAGGGGCCCGACCCTCCCTAAAACTGCTCTCGGGATTCCCCCGTCCTCCTTCCACCCGCCCTACGCAGTCAGGACTGAGAGAGGGCGGCAGATCTGGTCCTAGCCAGGGGACTGTGACGGGGCGTGGCGGGGAGGGACACAGAGAGCTGGGGCGGGCGGGCCACCGGGAAAGTGCTGGGGGCATGACAGTGCCTTGGATTGCTGGGCCTCAGTTGGAGATGGGGCTGCCAGATGCTGTTCTCCCTCCTCCCGCTGTTCTCGCCCTCTGGGCATCTGCAGCAGCTCTCAGTCCCTGCTGTTCAAAACCAGGGTTTACTTCCTTGTCACTTCTTGGGAGCGGCCCTCGGTCCCTGCTGTTCAGAACCGGGATTTACCCTCTTACCACTTCCTGGGAGTGGCTGCGGCGACTGGACCTTGGCACCGCAATGTGTGAATGGCTGACCCCCTCCCCGTCTCCTGGTGGGATCAGGAACCCTCGGGGTATGCTCCGAACCGGGACTTCGGTCTCGGTCCAGTCTCCATGGGCCCCACACAGCGGTGGGGGCTGGAGGCACAGCAGCCTTGGGAAGAAACAAAGACTGTCCGCAGCGCGTAGCGGGGCGTGGAGAACCGAGGGCTGTGTAAGGTCAGGCCCTGAGAAAAAGCCCCCGAAAGGCTGGAAGTTACGTTGGAACGGGCTGGTTGTGGAAGGAGCGAGCTCTCCGTCCCCGGGAGTATGCAAGTTTGGGCTGCACGATCACTTGGAAGGGATTGGGCGGAGTTCTGTCATTTGGAGAAAGGGTCCTGGGAGCTTCAGGTTTGTGTAGGGCGAGGACGGGGCGGTTCTGCGTCCGGCCAGGTTGGCCCTCGAGGACCCAGCCGTCCCCAACCTCCTAAACTGCTGTCGGATGTAGAAGACTCGCATTCACTGCTCTCCACAGTCGGTGAAGGGAGAACGCCGAAAAGGGCCGCATTCCCTCCTGCCGGTCCCCTCCCCTTCCCGCGCTCCCTCTGCAGCACTTAAAATGTAAATGTACATCGTGATTAGCCGCGGGGTCGCTAATTACAGCTGAAGCCATTCATTACACTGTCAGCGCGCGTCGCAGCCCGCCGGCTGTGCGCTCCCTCCTAGCCGTGAAGGGGTGTAGGGGGTGGGGGCGGGAGATGCGGGGAGTGAGGGAGGAAGGATGGGGTGCTGTGAATTAGGGTAATGTGGCAGGCCTGGAGGAAGCTGGAGTGGGAGAGAGCGGGCAGCGAGCGGGGAAAACAGGGTGGGCGGTGAAGGACGGGGCGGGGTGGCGAGGAGAGAGGAGAAACGCGAGAGGCAGGAAGGAATTGGGGCATGAAGTAGTGAGGACACAGGGAAAGGGGCTGTATGAGGGGGGAAACAGCGTAGGGGACAGGGCGAAGGGAGAAAAAGCTGAGAAGAGGGTGGGAACCCCAGGGTGGGGCCAGAGTCAGAGGAGGGGAGCACAGGGCTCAACTTCAGAAAGGCTGGTAAATTTTAAAGTAGAGCATCAGTGGTGCACACCACACAATGGTTAGAAAAGTGGAGTCAGTGAAGACGTTGTGTTAAAGGAGCTGGGTGCCAGCCATACACAGAGTAGGGGGGCATTTATTTCCGTGTGTGTTTATAGATGTAAATGTATTTTTAAAATATCTGCAAGAAAACAGCACACTGACCTCTTGTTACCGCATGAAGTTTTCATTACCTTCTTTAAGAAAAGGACAATTAAATATGAATACAGAGTCTTGGAGCAGCTTGCATAAATGAGCTACTGACCCTGAAGCTTCAGCTTCTATTAGCTTCTTTCTGCCTCTGTGTGACCTTGGACAATTTACTTAACCCATTTGCTTTGGCTTTGTCATCTGTAAAATGGGGCTAATTATAGTAATCTACCTCACAGAGTGATTATGAGACACAGCCGTCTTGGAACCTTGGCTGCTAAGTTCTCAGGAAATGTTGGCTGTTATTATTTTTCATATATTATTTGTGAATTTAAAAAAATTGTAAAGGGATTGGGGGAAAGAAAACTGGTGAAAAGGAAAAGAAATTGGGAAAGACTCAGAAATAATAGCAGTTTTCACTCACAGTGAACTGGTGAGTGGCAAGCTAGACTCCTTTCACCCTGGGAGGAGGTGTTGGGGTAGCTGGGCTAGAGGCCAAGCCTAGCCAATACATATCTGTTAAGGTTCCCTGGGACCTTTCCAGCAGCACACCCTACTTCCTGTGGACAAATCTCTCATGTTCACACTGGAGGGGGATCGCTGGTACAGCCCCTCTCCTCTGTCTCTTGTTGCAGGAGGAGGATGAGGAGCTCTTAAAACCCCTGATCCTAGTCCCAGCCTCTTTGGGCAGGGTCTTGGGAGCATGCAAGTAGAGTCAGGAATTAGAAAGTTAGCAGGGCCAGGCCGGGCGCAGTCGCTCACTCCTGTAATCCCAGCACTTTGGGAGGCAGAGGCGGGCGGATCACGAGGTCAGGAGATCGAGACCATCCTGGCTAACACAGTGAAACCCTGTCTCTACTAAAAATACAAAAAATTAGCTGGGCGTGGTGGTGGGCGCCTGTAGTCCCTGCTACTCGGGAGGCTGAGGCAGGAGAATGGCCTGAACCCGGGAGGCGGAGCTTACAGTGAGCCGAGATTGTGCCACTGCACCCCAGCCTGGGCGACAGAGCGAGACTCCGTCTCAAAAACAAAACAAAACAAAAACAACAACAACAAAAAAGAAAATTAGCAGGGCCAGAGGGAACTCAGATTTAGCAGGCACCCACCGAGTGCCCAGCATTGGGTCAGATGTGTTTAATCTCCACACTCTTCTTTCCAGGAAGGTATCATCATTGTTTGACAGATGTGAAACTGAGACCCAGAGAGGTTAAATAACTTGCCTTATGTACCACAGCTAGAAAGAAGCAACCACAGATGTTTGAACTCAGAGTTCTGACTCCCTTTACTATCTCAGCCGAATGTATGAGAAAAATAAACTTTTAAGTGACTCAAACTGCCCAAAGGGGTTAGCTTTGGGAGATGAGGGTGTTCCATAGTGGAAAAGATGTGTTGGTGATCTGTTGCTGCATAAAAATTACCCCACAGCTCAGCAGCTTAAAACAGCAAACATTTGGCCAGGTGCAGTGGCTCCAGGAAGTTTAGACTGCAGTAAGCTGTGATTGTACCACTGCATTCCAGCCTGGGCAACAGAGCGAGACACTGTCTCAAAACAAACAAACAAAAAAAAACCCAACAACAATCATTTATTATTGTGAGATCACACAATTTCTGAGGGTCAGAAATCCAAGAACAGCTTGAAGAGGTCTCATCTAGCTCAGGGTCTGTCATGAGGCTGCAGTCAAGATGTCAGCTGGGCATGGAGGATCTACTCCCAAACTTACTTCACATATCTGTTGGTCAGAGGCCTCTGTTTCTCCACTGGTCTGATCATGACCTGGCAGCTGGCTTCCCCTAGAGCAAGTGATCAGAAAGAGACAAAGAAAGAGAGGGACAGAGAAAATAAGCAGGAAGCTGCAGTGCCTGTTATGGGCCAGCCTCCTCTGAAGTTGCACGCCATCATTTCCAGTTTATTATATTAGTTGGAAGGTAGCCCAGCCTACATTCAAAAGGAGGGGTTTCAGACTTCATTTCCTGAAGGGAAGGGTATCAAAGAACTGTAGGCATTTCAAAAATCACAACAGAGCCGGGCGCGGTGGCTCACGCCTGTAATCCCAGAACTTTGGGAGGCTAAGGCGGGTGGATCACAAGGTCAGGAGATCGAGACCATCCTGGCTAACACAGTGAAACCCGGTCTGTACTAAAAATATAAAAAATTAGCCGGGCATGGTGGTGAGTGCCTGTAGTCCCAGCTATTTGGGAGGCTGAGGCAGGAGAATCGCAGGAACCCGGAAGGCAGAGGTTGCAGTGAGCCGAGATTGCGCCACTGCACTTTAGCCTGGGTGACAGAATGAGACTCCGTCTCAAAAAAAAAAAATCGCAACAGAAGGCGAGTGTTTGGGAGGCAAATTTAGGAGGAGACGGAAGAAGGAATCAACATATTGAAGCAAACACGTGGAAAGAACACTGACCTTGAATCAGGAGAGCTAGGTTTATTTCCCGGCATACAGCAAGCACTTAATAGATGTTTAAGTGAATGCATGATTGACAATTTTTCTGAGATTGTTTTCACAGACGTAACAGCAGTTACCACCCCACATGCTCTCCTGAGGATTGAGTGGGATTATGGGTATCAGAGCTCTCTGTAAATGTAATAGTGCTGGTTGATGATGCCTGGAAGTGAATGTGGTCTGGGAGACAGGGAGAGGGCTCTGCCATACAAGAGCCTCTGCCCAGGCCAGGCATCTCTTCTGTCAGACTGAGTCCCAGGCCCTGGGGTAGTGCTCTGATTCCAGCTCTCCTTCTCAGCTCTCTATCTCACCCTCGGTCCAACCTCCTCACCATGGCTCAGCTCTAGGTATTGCTTTTCTCCTTCAGCCAGTCAGGACAGGACCCAGGAGACTTACCATTGGCCAAGCCTCTTGCCTGCAGGCCACTCTACCTCTTGTGCTGGCTCTGGCCCCACAGATGGGGAATGGGGGTTTGCATTGCAGACCCAGTGAGTGATGCCATTTGAGGACAAGAACCATTAATCTTGCATGAAATTCAATTGCTCTCCTAGCAGATAGGCCAAGTCACCGGAGTCCTGAGAGGAAGAGGGGTGTGTGGGGCCTAGAATGAATGAGGAGTGGTGTCTGTGGAAGGGGAAAGGAGAGGAGAGGCAAAAGCATCCATGGGACCTCCTTCTCGTTCTCCTTAAGACGGGATGCTGCCAGTAGTTCCCCTATCTTCCTTCCAGACTCTAGAGGCAAGTGCAGCGAAAAGCCACTCACCTGGGCAACATTAGTGTTCCCAGGAGAGCTCCTATTCCTGAAAGACTTCCCAAGAGCCTGCTGTGATGCCCAGAATCCTCCATTATTGCTTCCCCCCTTAGGATCAGTTTTGTCCTCTGAAGATAAGGTCCCTCCAAAATGGGAATTGGTCAAAACAAAATAATCCGGATGCTTGAGAACGTTGGGATGGGAGGAAGATATAGAGCTGATAAAGTGAGGAATCATTATCAATTACAGCTGACATTTAGTTAGCACGTACTATGTGCCAGACACTATCCTAAGCACTTTACATGTACAAACTCATCACATACAACAAGCACTATGAGGTAGCTGCTACCCACTTCATACGTAAATTAGAGCCAGATCCAGAGACAGATGGTCTGGCTCCAGTGTCTGCTCTTAACCATGGCACTAGACCATTGCAGGAGGAAGGGAAGGCAGGGCAGAAAGCCACCAGCTATCAAGACCTCCCTGGCTATCCATAATGAAGGGCACAGCACTCCAGGGCGTGTTCTGCTTTGCATTTGCCTGGTGTGGAAGGCATCAGGGCTGGTCCTTCTCCAGCACTGACCTGGGGCAGAGATAGGGAGCTTGGTTGGGTCTGCTTCCCTAGAAATATATCATATGCCCTTCAGGGTGCACTGAAGTTTGTCTGTTTTTGAGACGGAGTTTCGCTCTGTCACCAGGCTGGAGTGCAGTGGTGTGATCTCTGCTCACTGCAACCTCCACCTCCTGGGTTCAAGTGATTCTTCTGCCTCAGCCTCCTCAGTAGCTGGGACAACAGGCGCATGCCACCACGCCCAGCTAATTTTTGTATTTTCAGTAGAGATGGGGTTTCACCATGTTGGCCAGGATGGTCTCCATCTCTTGATCTCGTGATCCACCTGCCTCGGCCTCCCAAAGTGCTGGGATTACAGGTGTGAGCCACTTCGCCCGACCGAGGTTTTTGTTTACAACTCAGAAAATGCTTGCCCATCTGACACCCAGAAGCAGCTAATGGGGTGGTTACGAGTTTGGACTCTAGAGCTCCACTGCCTGTGTTGGAATCCCAGGTCTGCCACTTACCAGCTGTGCCCTTGGTCAAGCTATGGAACGTCTCTGTGCCTCGATTTCTTTCCCTGTGAAATAGAAACAATGACAATAGTACTTATCTCTTAGAATTGGCTCAGGTTAGGCCGGGCGTGGTGGTTTATGCCTGTAATCCCAGCAATTCGGGAGGCCGAGGCGGACAGATCACTTGAGGTCAGAAGTTTGAGACGGGTCTGGCCAACATGGTGAAACCCCATCTCTACTAAAAATATAAAAATTAGCTGGGCATGATGGCGCACACCTGTAATCCCAGCTACTCCGGAGGCTGAGGCAGCAGAATCGCTTAAACCTGGGAGGCAGAGTTTGCAGTGAGCCGAGATTGGGCCACTACACTCCAGAGCGAGTGTAGTGTCACCTGGGTGACAGAGCGAGACAGAGCACAAACAAAACAAAACAAAAAACCGAAAAACAAAAAACAAAAAAATGATTGTCTTAGGTTATACCCCAGTACTTCCATGGAGTTGTCACCCCAGATTTCAGAGATAGGCTAAATCCCTTGTCTATAGATTCAGCTACTGAGCATTAAAGCTTGTAGGGAAACCCGTGGTGGTGGGGGGATGGGGTAAAAAAACACAGGGAGGCAGAAGGGGGATGTTGACTTCCATGTGGCAGCCAGCACTGCTGGGCCTCAGCTGTTCATTGACAGGCAGGACTGCAGGCCCAGTGGTTTTATTTTGATTGTGTGTGATTGAACATTTTCTGCTTCATTTCAATGAGAGTTGTCTGTGTCAGCTTTTCTGAATGTTACATAGATAGAACCCTTCTTCCTTCACATCCGGTTGAGTCAGGCTCATGACAAACAATGTAATTTCCTTGCTGTAGAGTCCCCTAGGGTCTGGAGTACTGGGAAGAAGCCAGGAAATTGTTCCCTTTTTCCTGGGTCGCCTCTCTTCCTGACAGTTGTTCCTTTCCCACCTTCCCATGGTGGTGAGAGTGGAAACAGCATTTTTCACATGCTACCCTTGATACCTCCATCCCCCAGCCTGCCAGCCTGGAACAGAGCCCCCAAATCAAGCTGGATGAATTGGGGTTCCTCTCAATTCCAGGAGACACTTAGTCAAATTCCCTTTATGGCCACGAGGATAATTACAACCAGATAATTGTCTTCCTTCTCTTGAACGAACGATGAAGTAAATCAAGTGTGCCTGCCTTCTACTCTGAAGTAAATCACAAAGCACCCTGTATGTATTCTCCCAGAAGATAAATTTTATACATTTCAACAAGGAAAGAGAACATATTTTGTTTGCAAAATTCCTGGGAGAACTCTCTATCTCTCTCTGCCCAGAAATTATGTGTACCTGCTGATGAATGACCTGCCTGATGAACCTGCCTTGGGAAAGATAATAGAGTTATGATTGGATGTCACCAGCTCTCATCATTTCTGCTGTGGGAGAAGTCACAGGAGCAGGCAGAACTCTTCCCTCTGATGAAGCAGTTGTCTTCTTGTAACCACAGATCTTCTTCGTTCACTGGGGTTGTGGGCACACCTTTAAGATTCTGCCCTGCGCCGGGCGCGGTGGCTCACGCCTGTAATCCCAGCACTTTGGGAGGCCGAGGCGGGTGGATCACGAGGTCAGGAGATCAAGACCATCCTGGCTAACATGGTGAAACCCCGTCTCTACTAAAAGCACAAAAAATTAGCCGGGCCTGGTGGCGGGCGCCTGTAGTCCCAGTTGCTCAGGAGGCTGAGGCAGAAGAATGGCGTGAACCCGGGAGGCGGAGCTTGCAGTGAGCCGAGATCACGCCACTGTACTCCAGCCTGGGCGACAGAGCCAGATTCCGTCTCAAAAAAAAAAAAAAAAGAAAAGAAAAAGATTCTGCCCTGAAGTCCAAGTGAGCTACACAGGTCCAGTGTTTTCAAAAAAGAAGTCCCCAAACTCATGTTTTTATGTGACAGTTTCAGGTTTTTATTTTTTATTTTTTTATGTTTAATTGTTTTTAGACAGAGTCTCACTCTGTTGCCCAGGCTGGAGGGCAGTGGCACGACCTTGGCTCACTGCAACCTCTCCGCCTCCTGGGTTCAGGCGATTCTCCTGCCTCAGCCTCCCGAGTAGCTGGGACTACAGGCTTATGCCACCACGCCCTGCTGATTTTTGTGTTTTTAGTAAAGATGCGGTTTCACCAGGATGGTCTCCATCTCTTGACCTTGTGATCCGCCCACCTCGGCCTCCCAAAGTGCTGGGATTACAGGAGTGAGCCACTGCGCCCAGCCTATTTTTTATTTTTAAATTTCTTTTAGAGACAAGGTCTCATTTTGTTGACCAGAGCTGGAGTGCACTGGTGCAGTCATAGCTCACTGCAGACCTGAACCCCTGGGCTCAAGGGATTCGCAGGCACATGCCATGTGGGCCAGTTTCAGGTTTTTAAATGTTGTCGACTGTTTCAGTTATCTATTGCTGAGTAACAAATCACCTTAAAATCACAAATCACCAGGCCAGGCGCGGTGGCTCACGCCTGCAATCCCAGCACTTTGGGAGGCTGAGGCGGGCGGATCACGAGGTCAGGAGATTGAGACCATCCTGGCTAACACGGTGAAACCCCGTCTCTACTAAAAATACAAAAAATTAGCCGGGCGTGGTGGTGGCCGGTGCCTGTAGTCCCAGCTACTCAGGAGGCTGAGGCAGGAGAATGGTGTGAACCCAGGAGGCGGAGCTTGCAGTGAGTGGAGATTGCGCCATTGCCCTCCAGCCTGGGCAACACAGCGAGACTCCCATCACACACACACACACACAAAAATCACACATCCCCTTAATTAGTGGCTAAAATAGCAATGATGTATTATTTATGTTTTTTTACTATTATATATTTTTTAAAAATAGAGATGGGCTGGGTGCAGTGGCTCACGCCTATAATCCCAGCACTTTGGGAGGCCGAGGAGGGTAGATCTCCTAAGGTCAGGAGTTCTAGACCAGCCTGGTCAACATAGTGGACCCTGTCTCTACTAAAAACACAAAATTAGCCAGGCATGGTGGTGGGCACCTGTAATCCCAGCTACTCGGGAGGCTGAGGCAGGAGAATTGCTTGAACCCAGGAGGCGGAAGTTCCAGTGAGCTGAGATCAGTGTAGCCTGGGCAGCAGAGCAAGACTCCATCTCACACAAAAAAAAGAGATGGGGTCTCACTATGTTGCCCAGGCTGGTCTTGAACTCCTGGGCTCAAGTGATCTGCTCACCTATGCCTCCCAAAGGGCTGAGATTATAGGCATGACGCACCATGTCCAGCCAATGATGTATTATTTCTAATGACTTCGTTTTGGCTGGGTTCAGCTGGGCAGTTAGTTCTTCTGCTCCACTTAATACTGGCTGTGGTCACTCACATGGCTTCATTCAGCTGGGAGCTTGACAGAGGTCAGAACACTCAAGATGGCTTCATTCATAAGTCTAGTGCCTCTGCTGGGGTGGCTGGAAGGCTGGGGGTGTTGGCTGGGCCTCTCTTTTCATGGACTCTAGCCTAAGCTTCTTTCTTGAGTGGCTTGATCCCAAAACAGTGAAAATGGGAGCTGTCAGGCTTTGTAAGGCCTAGACCTAGATGTCACACATTATCATGTCCTCTACATTCCATTGGTCAAACCAAGATACATGTCTAGACCAGATTCAAGGGATAAGGAAATAAACTGTACCTCTTGGTGAAAGGCCTGACATGTATATACAGGAATGGGAGGAACTGTTGACAGCCATCTCTGCAGACAATCTACCACATGAACTAACTCATGTGTTTTTGTTTTTTGTTTTTGAGATGGAGTCTCGCCCTGTCGCCTAGGTTGGAGTGCAATGGCACGATCTCGGCTCACTGCAACCTCCGCCTCCCAGGTTCAAGCGATTCTTCTTCCTCAGCCTCCCAAGGAGCTGAGATTGCAGGTGCCCGCCACCACGCCTGGCTAATTTTTTTTTTTTTTTTTTTTTTTTTTTTTTTTGAGACGGAGTCTCGCTCTGTCGCCCAGGCTGGAGTGCAGTGGTGGAGTCTTGGCTCACTGCAAGCTCCGCCTCCTGGGTTCACGCCATTCTCCTGCCTCAGCCTCCAGAGTAGCTGGAACTACAGGTGCCTGCCACCACGCCTGGCTAATTTTTTTTTGTATTTTTAGTAGAGATGGGGTTTCATCATGTTGGCCAGGCTGGTCTCAAACGCCTGACCTTGTGATCTGCTGGCCTCAGCCTCCCAAAGTGCTGGGATTACAGGCGTGAGACACTGCGCCTGGCCTAGCTCATGCTTTTAAATAACGTATCTGTAGCTCAGTTTAGCCCAAGGTTGCAACTTCCTTTTTTTTTTTTTTTGAGACAGAGTATCTCTCTGTCGCCAGCCTGGAGTGCAGTGACCTGATCTCAGCTCACTGCAACTTCCATCTCCTGGGTTCAAGCAATTCCCTGCCTCAGCCTCCCAAGTAGCTAGGATTACAGGCGCCCACCACCATGCCTGGCTAATTTTTGTATATATATATTTTTTAGTAGAGACGGGGTTTCACCATCTTGGCCAGGCTAGTCTTGAACTCCTGACCTTGTGATCCACCTGCCTCAGCCTCCCAAAGTGCTGGGATTACAGGCGTGAGCCACCACACCCAGCCTCCTTTTATTTTTTTAATTTAAATTTTATTTTTTTGAGACAGAATCTTGCTGTGACGCCCAGGCTGGAGTGTAGTGGAGCAATCAGGGCTCACTGCAAACTCTGCCTCCTGAGTTCAAGCAATTCTCCTGTCTCAGCCTCCCGAGTAACTGGGATTGCAAGTGCCCACCACCACACCAGCTAATTTTTTGTATTTTTTGTATTTTTTTTTTTTTTAGTAGAGTAGGGGTTTTACCATGTTGGCCAGGCTGGTCTCGAACTCCTGACCTCAGGAGATTTGCCCGCCTCGGCCTCCCAAAGTGCTGGGATTACAGGTGTGAGCCACCGTGCCCGGCCATGCCCAACTAATTTTTGTGTTTTGTTTGTAGAGACGGGGTTTTGCCATGTTGACCAGTCTGGTCACAAACTCCTGGCCTCAAGTGATCCACCCGCCTCAGCCTCCCAAAGTGTTGGGATTACAGGCATGAGTAACCATGCCCAGCACAACTTTTTTTTTTTTTTTTTAAGACAAGGTCTCACTGCTGTCACCCAGGCAGGTGTGCAGTGGCACTATCACAGCTCATTGCAGACTCAACCTCTCAGGCTCAGGTGATCCTCCCACCTCATTTTTAGATTTTTTTTTTTTTTTTTTGTAGGGATGGGGTCTTACTATGTTGCCCAGGCTGGTCTGGAACTCCTGGGCTCAAGCAATACTCCTGCCTCGGTCTCTTAAAGTGTTGGGATTACAGGCGTGAGCCACTGCTCTGGGCCAAGGTTGCAACTTCTACTTGAAACTTTCAGGGAATTCACCTGGAAATGCAGGGGCTTTTTTTTTTTTTTTTTTTTTTTTTTTTTTTTTGAGACAGAGTCTCACTTTGCTGCCCAGGCTGGAGTGCGGTGGTGCGATCTTGGCTCACTGAAACCTCTGCCTCCCAGGTTCAAGCGATTCTCCTGCCTCAGCCTCCCAAGTAGCTGGGACTATAGGTGTGCACCACCATGCCTGGCTAATTTTGTATTTTTAGTAGAGACGAGGTTTCACCATGTTGGCCAGGCTGGTCTCGACCTCTTGACCTCAGGTGATCCTACTTTGGGATTGTTTCCACCCATCAGCCTGAATCCCAAAGCTGCCTAGTTCCTAACCTGAAGGGAAGAAGGCCAGGTGATTGGCTGGGTGCAGTGACTCACACTTGTAATCCCAGCACTTTGGGAGGCCAAGGCAGGCGGATCACCTGAGGTCAGGAGTTCGAGACCAGCCTGGCCAACATGGCGAAACCCCCCATCTCTACTAATAATAATAAAAAAAATTAGCCAGAAAAGAAGACCAGGTGATTAATGAGATCTCTTTATTTTATTTTTAGAGGGAGTCTCACTTTGTCACCCAGGCTGGAGTGCAGTGGTGCAATCTCGGCTCACTGCAACCTCTGCCTCCTGGGTTCAACTGATTCTTCTGCCACAGCCTCCCTAGTAGCTGGGATTACAGGCACATGCCACCACAGCCTTTTAGTAGAGACAGGGTTTCCCCATGTTGGCCAGGCTGGTCTCAAACTTCTGACCTCAAGTGATCTGCCCTCCTCGGCCTCCCAAAGTGCTGGGAATACAGGCGTGAGCACCGCGCCTGGCCTATTTTATTTTATTTTATTTTTTTGAGACAGAGTCTTGCTCAGTTGCCCAGGCTGGAGTACAGTGGCATGATCTCAGCTCACTGCAACCTCCCTGGTTCAAGCAATTCCCCTGCCTCAGCTTCCCAAGTAGCTGGGATTACGGGCACATGCCGCCACGCGTGGCTACCTTTTTTGTATTTTTAGTAGAGACAGGGTTTCACCATGTTGGCCAGACTGGTCTTGAACTCCTGACCTCAAGTGATCTGCCCTCCTCTGCCTCCCAAAGTGCTGGGATTACAGGCGTGACCCACTACGCCCCGCCCATTTTATTTTTTGGAGACAGAGTCTCACTCTGTTGCCCACGCTGATGTGCAGTGGCACAATCATAGCTCACTGCAGCCTTGATTGCCTGGGCTCAAGGGATCCTCCTGACTCAGCCTCCTGAGTAACTGGGACTACAAATATGAGCCACCATGCTGGCTAATTTTTGAATTTTTTTGTAGAGACAGGGGCTTGCTATGTTGCCCAGGCTGGTATCGAACTTTTGGCCTCAAGTGATTCTCCCACCTTGGCCTCCTAAAGCTCTGGAATTATAGCTGTGAGGCACTGTGCTTGGTCTGAAATCTCTTTTATTTATTTATTTATTTATTATTTTTTTGAGACAGAGTCTTGCTCTGTTGCCCAGGCTGGAGTGCAGTGGTACAATCTCAGCTCACCGCAACCTCCGCTTCCTGGGTTCAAGTGATTCTGCTGCCTCAGCCCCCTGAGTAGCTGGGATTACAGGCGTGTGCCACCACGTCCAGCTGGCTTATTTTTGTATTTTTGGTAGAGACGGGGTTTCACCATGTTGGCCAGGCTAGTCTCGAACTCCTGACCTCAGGTGATCTGCCCACCTTGGCCTCCCAAAGTGATGGGATTACTGGCGTGACCCACCACACCTGGCCCTGAGATCTCTTTTTTTTTTTTTTTTTTTGAGACGGAGTCTCGCTCTGTTGCCCAGGCTGAAGTGCAGTGGCACCATCTCGGCTCACTGCAAGCTCAACCTCCCGGGTTCACGCCATTCTCCTGCCTCAGCCTCCCTAGTAGCTGGGACTACAGGCACCCGCCACCACACCCAGCTAAATTTTTTTGTATTTTCTTAGTAGAGACGGTTTCACCGTGTTAGCCAGGATGGTCTCGATCTCCTGACCTTGTGATCCGCCTGCCTCGGCCTCCCAAAGTTCTAGGATTACAGGTGTGAGCCACAGCGCCCGGCCCCTAAGATCTCTTTTAATATCCTGTAGTGCTCACCAGCTTTGACTTTAGCCTGAGGAGTCATTGCAGGATTTTAATCAGGCCTATCTTGATTAGATTAGTACTTTAGAATGTTCACATAGGATGCTAAGAGGCCTTTGTTCCAGTTAGCAACCGCTGCGTAACAAATTATCAGAAATCTAGTTGTGTAAAACATTTATTTATTTATTTATTTATTTATTTATTTATTGAGACAGAGGTTCACTCTTGTTGCGCAGGCTGGAGTGCAATGACACGATCTCGGCTCACTGCAACCTCCACCTCCCGGGTTCAAGCAATTCTCCTGCCTCGGCTTCCCATGTAGCTGGGATTACAGGTCTGTGCCAGAACGCCTGGTTAATTTTTTTGTATTTTTGGTAGAAATGGGGTTTCACTATGTTGGCCAGGCTGGTCTCAAGCTCCTGACCTCAGGTGATCCACCCACCTCGGCCTCCCAAGTGCTGGGATTACAGGTGTGAGCCACCACACCTGGCCAAAACAATTATTTATTATGCTCACAGATTCTGTGGGTCAGGAATTTAGGCAGGGCACATTGGAGATGGCTTTGTTTCTTCTCCATAATGTCTGAGGTTTCAGCTTGAATGCTGAGGCTGAATTAATGGCAAAACCTTATCTCTAAAAAAAATAAAAGTTAAAAAAATTTTAAAAAATGACCACAGCAATGGTCCCAAGTGCTAGGATTACAGCTGTGAGCCACCACACTCAGCCTATTATTATTATTATTTTTTTTTATTATTATTATTTTTTAATGATTTAATGCTGGGCATAGTAGCTCATGCTTGCAATCCCAGCATTTGGGAGGCCAAAGTGGGCAGATTACTTGAGCTCAGTTTAAGACTAGCCTGAGCAACATGGTGAAGCCCCATCTCTATAAAAAATACAAAAACCAGCCAGGTATGGTGGTGCACGCCTGTAATCCCAGCTACTCAGGAGGCTAAGGTAGGAGAATCACTTGAATCCAAGAGACAGAGGTTGCAGTTAGCCAAGATCGTGCCACTGCACTCTAGCCTGGGTGACAGAGCAAGACTCTGTCTCAAAAAAAAAAAAGTAATAATAAAGCGAAGCATTAATTCAATGAAATCATCAATAGCCTTTCAAAGTATACCCAGAACTTGAGCACTCCTCCCTCCTCCGGCCTCATTCCCCACACCTTTCCCGTCATCCATTCTGCCTGAGCCGCACCAGCTTCCTTGCGTTCCCTCAAATGTGATGAACACGCTTCTGCAGGGCCTTTGCGCTGGCTGCTCCTTCCACTAGGAATGTGGGTCCCCCTGGTATTTCCCTGACTGTCTCCCTTGTAGCCTTCAGTCTCTGCTCAGATGTCTCCTGCTCAGAGAGCCCACCCGACCATCCTAATATAACAGTCCCCTCCTTCCATCTCTTTTCCTTTCTTTGGTTTTCTTTTTCTTCATGGCATTTACCATCATCTGGCATAACTGTAATTGCTTATTGTTTATTATCTGTCTCCTCCCACTAGAATGTCAGCTGTCCAGGAGGATAGGGACCTTGTTTTGTTCCTAGCTTCATTTCCAGCACCCAGAACGTGTCTGGTACTCAGTAAGTGCTCAAATCAATGTTTGTGGAGTGAATGAAGGATAGGCTTCTTTGGGTGAGAAAAGTCAGTAACCCATGCCTAGGACATGATCTAGAACAGTGGTTATAAAGTGTGGTCCTTCAAGTGTGATCCAGGATCTTTGAGGGTCCCCAAGACCCTTTTGTGTGAGAGGATCTGCAAGGTCAAAACTATTTTTTTTTTTTTTTGAGATGGGGTCTTGCTCTTCTTGCCCAGGCTGGAGTGCAATGGCACAATCTTGGCTCACCGCAACCTCCACCTCCTGGGTTCAAGCAATTCTCTTGTCTCAGCCTCCCGAGTAGCTGGGACTACAGGCATGTACCACCATGCCTGGCTAATTTTGTATTTTTAGTAGAGACGGGGTTTCTCCATGTTGGTCAGGCTGGTCTTGAACTCCCGACCTCAGGTGATCCACCTGCCTCAGCCTCCCAAAGTGGGTCAAGACTATTTTTATAAATATACGGAAATATCATTTGCCTTTTTCATTCTTATTTTTTCATGAGTGTACTGTGGAGTTTTTCAAAGGCTGTAGAGCATGTGATGTTTCAACAGATCGAATGCAGAAGCAGATATGGTCCAGGCACAGTGGTTCATGCCTATAATCCCAGCACTTTGGGAGGCTGAGATGGGAGGATTGCTTGAGTCCAGGAGTTCAATTCAGTCTGGGCAACATAGCAGAACTTCATCTCTTTTATTTTTATTTTTTGAGATGAAGTCTCACTCCATCACCCAGGCTGGAGTGCAGTGTCGTGATCTCGGCTCACTGCAAACTCCGCCTCCCGGGTTTAAGCAATTCTTCAGTTTCAGCCTCCTGAGTAGCTGGGACTACAGGTGCCTGCCACCACCCCCAGCTAATTTTTATACTTTTAGTAGAGACAGGGTTTCACCTTGTTGGTCAGACTGGTCTCGAAGTCCTGACCTCAGATGATCCACCCAGCTTGGCCTCCCAAAGTGCTGGGATTACAGGCATGAGCCACTGCGCCCCAGCTCATCTCTTTTATTAAACAAAGAAAGGAAAAGAAAAGGAAGGGAGGAAGGGGAGGAGAAGAAGGGAGGGAGAAGAGGAGAGAGGCAGAAAGGAAAGGAGGGAAAGGAAAGGAGCAGATATGGGAATCCAGCTGTCTTCTATTAAGCCAGACATTAAAGAGATCTGCAAAATTATAAAATGATGCCACTCTTCTCACTGTTTTTTTTTTAATGTAACTAATTTAAATAAAATGTTTTTTATGTTAACGTGTAATGAGTTTATTAATTTTTTTGTTTGTTTGTTTGGTTTTTTTTTGGAGACAGAGTCTTACTCTGTTGCCTACGCTAGATTGCAGTGGCATGATCTCAGCTCACTGCAACCTCCACCTCCTTGGTTCAAGCGATTCTCCTGCCTTAGCCTCCCGAGTAACTGGGCTTAGAGGGGTGCACCACCACACCCAGCTGATTTTTGTATTTTTAGTAGAGATAGGGTTTCACCATGTTGCCCAGGCTGGTCTCAAGCTCCTGACCTCAAGTGATCCGCCTGCCTCGGCCTCCCAAAATGCTGAGATTATGGGCCACCTCACCTGGCTGAGTTTATTAATTTTAAAAAATGAATTAATAATAAATGTTTTCCGTGGGTGTGGTGGCTCACGCTTGTAATCCTAGCACTTTGGGAGGCTGAGGCAGGCAGATGCTTGAGGCCAGGAGTTAAAGAGCAGCCTGGGCGACAAAGTAAGACCTCGTCTCTACAAAAAAATACAAAAATTAACCGAGTGTGATGGTTCACGCCTGTGGTCCAAGCTACTAGGAAGGCTGAAGTGGGAGGATTGCTTGAACCCAGAAGATCAAGGCTGCAGTGAGCCGTGATCATGTCACTGTACTCCAGCCAGCCTGGGCAACAGAGCAAGACCCTGTCTCAAAAAAAAAAAAAAAAAAAAAAAAAAAAAAGAAAGAAAAGAAAAAGAAAAAAAAACCTCCACAAAAACAAAACAAAAATGAATGAATTAATAATAAATATTTCTGCGGGGTGGTGGCTCACACCTGTAGTCCTAGCACTTTGGGAGGCTGAGGCAGGAGGTCTGATTGAAGCCAGGAGTTCAAGATCAGCCAGGCAGCATAGTGAAACCCCCTCTCTATAAAAAATAAAAAAATTGGCCAGGCACAGTGGTTCATGCCTGTAATCCCAGAACTTTGGGAGACTGAGGTAGGTGGATTGCTTGAGCCCAGGGGTTCAAGACCAGCCTGGGCAACATGGTGAAACCCTGTCTCTATAAAAAATGCAAAAATTAGCTGGGTGTGGTGGAACATGCCTATAGTTCCCAGCTACTTGGAAGGCTGAAGCCTGAGAATCACTTTAACTCTGGAGGCAGAGGTTGCAGTGAGCCGAGATCACGCCACTGCACTCCAACCTGGGTGACAGAGCAAGACCCTGTCTCAAAAAAAAAAAAAAAAAATTGCCAGGCACGGTGATCTGGGTCTGTAGTACTGGGTACTCGGGAGGCTGAGGTGGGAGGATTGTTTGAGCCCAGGAGTTCAAGACCAGCCTGGGCAACATGATAAGATCCCATCTCTGCAAAAAATCAGAAATTAGCTGGATATGGTGGCATGCGCCTGTGTTCCCAGCTACTTGGAAGGCTGAAGTGGGAGAATCGCTTGAACCTGGGAGGCAGAGGTTGCAGTGAGCTCAGATCATGCTATTCCAGCCTGGGCAATAGAGTGAGACTCTGTCTAAAAAATATATATAAAAGAGGTGAGGATTGAAAGGAGGCTGAGAGACTCGGACCCAGGGAAGAGTTGATGTATGCAAAGGAGTCCAACAACACGATGCCTGTGCACTCATTGAGGAATAATCTCAGTGCAGCAATCTCTCGGTTCAGAGATGACCAAAAATGCTCCAGGAACAGTCATGCTTAATATTGACTGTTTGTTGTTTTATTTTTATTTTTTGACTGTCCTAGATTGTTTATTAGGTATGAATTTTATAAACTTTAGTTATACCAGTGGTAACGGTGGAGCTGGAGAGTATTGTGCCTTCTCCAAGCTTCAGGGGAAGAACCACCAATAGTGTGGTGGAACTTATGGCCCTTTCCAAGGCCATGGCTCTTTCAGCCTGCAGGTGTCAGCCCATGCATTTCCCTGTGCTTGTGGACTGGTTTGGTGATCCACTGGGTGTCAAGATTTCTTCTGATAGCTTTATGGAATGGATCAATGAGGATAACATCAAAAAATGTTTATGTGGAATCTTCATCAACCCAGTAAGAATTCAGGACTCTTAGAGCCCCACAGTGGCATCCAGCTTGCTGCTCTGCAAAGGACTGAAGGCTTTGAGCAAACTTTACAAATATATATATATAATATTATATATAACATAGATAACATATAATATTATATATAACATAGATAACATATAATATTATATATAACATAGATAACATATAATATTATATATAACATAGATAACATATAATATTATATATAACATAGATAACATATATTATATATAACATAGATAACATATAATATTATATATAACATAGATAACATATAATATTATATATAACATAGATAACATATAATATTATATATAACATAGATAACATATAATATTATATATAACATAGATAACATATAATATTATATATAACATAGATAACATATAATATTATATATAACATAGATAACATATAATATATATAACATAGATAACATATAATATATATAACATATATAACATATAATATATATAACATATAACATAATATTATATATCATATAACATATATAACATATATAATATTATATATAACATATAATATTATATATAACATATATAATATATATAACATATATAATATATATAACATATAATGTATATAACATATATAACATATATAAATATATAACATATATAACATATATAACATATATAATATATATAACATATATAATATTATATAACATATATAATATTATATATAACATATATAATATATATAACATATATAATATTATATATAACATATAATATTATATATAACATATATAATATATATAACATATATAATATATATAACATATATAATATATATAACATATATAATATTATATATAACATATATAATATATATAACATATATAATATATAACACATTATATATGTTATATAATATTATATAACATATATAATATATAACACATTATATATGTTATATATATTATATATAACATATATAATATGTATATTTTATATATATCTTTCTCCCCCACAAGAACACATATTCAAAGAGTAAGTTGCATGTAATAATAATAGAATACAGCATCCAGATCCTTGAAATAAAAAAATGAAAAATATAACACTGGTGAATATTAGCTTCAGTTTCTAAAATTGAAAGCCAAGCAGGGAAAGTAAATTTTTTTTCTTATTAAAGTATGAAGGTCACAAAATTAACAACTCACAAAAGAGAGGCTGATGTATAGCCAATTAGCGCACAAGAGACAGATGGATAAACCAGACACAAACTGTTAAAGGGCCTGGCAATCACATCCTCTGAGTGATTACAGACCTAGGCAAGGGCCATGGGAGGCCACGTAACGACCAGAGTTATGACTAATGGATCTTGAGTCAGAATGGGAGAGCTAGTTTTATATTTTCTAAATACCATTTCTGCTCACGTTAGCTAGAGGTGGCTTCTTCACATTTAATAACCAAGAACTCTGATTTATCAAACAATCTTTAGCACATGGTGGGTACTTACTGCCTTGGGAATGGCTGAAATATTCCAGGCGTAGGAGTTAAAGAATGACTTGGGTGAACAGAGGGATAACAGTTTTTTGTGTTTCTATTGGGAGATGCTTGAAGGATGAATAAAAGAAACAAGGAGAAGTTGATAGCACTGAGGAAAAAGGGTAATTGATAGATCAAAACCCCTGAGGAGATAAGAAGTGATGAGAATCAGAGCACAGTTGTGGGGCTGGCCTGAGCCTGTGAGGAGGGAGTGGAGACATCTCTTCCTCTGAGACAGGTAGGAAGGAGGAAGGGATACAGGAGTACATTAGTAAATGCATCTCCCTGAAGAGGCTGAGGTTGCCTGCAGAGAGTGAACAGAATGGGCAATACTGGGGAAGAATTATCCCTAGCGGGCTTTTTGCAGGTTCCACATTGAAGGACAGTAGGTGATAGGAGTTTATTAAGAGGATGCATAGGGTACAATGTGGAATACAATAATGAATCATTATTCATTTATTTTGTTTGTTTTAAAGCCCTGAGCTTAATTTTCTATATTAATTCATTCAAAATATTAATTGTCTGTATCACATGACAGGCATTGTTGTGGGTGCTGGGGATATGGCAGTGAACAGCACAAAAGTTGTTTCTGCTTGTGGAGGTCACATTTCAGTGAGACGAAAACAACAAAGTGTGTGTGTGCATCCCTGCCCCCCCTCCCCCACCGTGGCACTGAGTCACCCGGGGAGCTGAACTCTCCTTTGCCTCTACAGCCAGCACATGAAATGCAGCTCAAAGCCACTTGAAAGCACTCACTTGGTAACAGGCTGCTCCCTAGTGTGGCAGACACCACTGGTGCCCTACTCAGCATCCATTCTCCTTTTCTTCCTTACTAATACAACCCTGATTTTATTGGCAGAGGCAATGTGCCCAGCTAAAAGGTATTTTCCAGCCTTCCATGCCAAATAGGAGTGACTGTATGACAGTTTAGGCCAATGGGAGATAAACAGAAATGGTTGGATAGGGCTTTTTGGAGCTAATTAAATGGGGATGCAGACTCGGCTGGCATGCCCATTGTCCCTTTGCCCTTCCTTCTTCCAGCTTCTTGCAATGCAGCCATGATGGCTGGAGTTGAGAAGCCCTCTCAAAACTCTTGAGGGCAGCTGGGCACAGTGGCTCACACCTGTAATCCCAGTGCTTTGGGAGGCCGTGGCGAGCTGATTGCTTGAGCTCAGGAGTCTGAGACCATCCTGGGCAAAATGGTGAAACCCGGTCTCTACAAAAAATACAAAAATTAGCCGAGCTTGATGGCATGAGCATGTAGTCCCAGCTACTTGGGGTGTTGAGGTGGAAGAATCGCTTGATGCCTGGGAGGTGGAGGTTGCAGTGAGCCGAGATCACGCCACTGCACTCCAGCCTGGATGACAGAGTGAGACTCTGTCTCCCCGCGCCCCCACCGCCCCCCCAAAAAAAACTTCTCAGGAAAAGGCCAAGAGAATTTCAGAGACCTCTACCCTGTATCTTAAAGTCACTGAGCCAAGTCACTTATTTGGATTTCTCATTATGTGAGAACAAGCAGAGGTATCTTGTTTAAGGCATTGCTATTTAATATTTGCATTTTCTGTTATATGCAGCCAAGCTTAAGCCATACTTGAGATGCAAAGAATCAGCCGTGTTTGTTACCTGTGGCAGCCATGAGAATGGCTTCTCAAATCTCTGACTGCAGGAAGTATAATTAACCAAGGACTCCAGCTGCTGCCTCTGAAATGCATCACTGCATTTATGCCAAGGCCAGATTTTCCATGGACTGCTCCCGGCTAATGACTGAGCATGGATGGGATACTAAGGCAGTCTCATTCTTGGGAGAAGGGTGAAAGATGGGTGACTTTAAGTGAGGATGCCGCAGTGGACTTGCTGAAAACTTTCCTTAGAGCTGCACTGCAGTTTAAGAGGTGTCCATTAACTTCTTTCCTTCCCTCTCTTCTGCACTCAAGAGTCAGACTTCTATCATGCTCTGATGTCTCTCCCAACCTTTCTTAGCTCCCTCCTCATTCTCTCTCTCTTTTTAAAATAGAGATGGGCACTTTGGGAAGCCGAGTTGGGTGGATCACTTGAAGCCTGGAGTTCAAGACCAGCCTGGCCAACATGGCAAAACCCCATCTCTACTAAAAATACAAAAATTAGCTGGGCATGGTGGGGCTCGCCTGTAATCCCAGCAACTCGGGAGGCTGGGGAACGAGAATCGCTTGAACCCAAAAGGCGGAGGTTGCAGTGAGCTGAGATCACGCCAGTGCACTCTAGCCTGGATGAGAGAGTGAGACTTTGTCTCAAAATAAATAAAATAAAATAAAATAAATAAAATAGAGATTGGATCTTGCTATGGCTAAATAGAGATTGGATCTTGCCCAGGCTAATATGGAACTCCTGCCTCAAGCAATCCTGCCTCAGCCTGTCAGTGTTGGGAATACAAGTATGAGCCACCATGCCCAGCCCCTCCTCATTTTCTCTAACAGTTGGTTTCCTAATAAATTTCTTGCATATTTAATTTTATTCTGGGATCCCACCTTCTCTGAGGACCTGGACTAACACATCCCCAAATCTGTTTATGCCTGTTGCAGGTGCTACTGTAATTACATAATTTAACTAAGCCATAACTAAACCATAGAAATATGGACACAGAAGGAAAGTGAGTTGTTATTTCTATGAAAACCAAGTAGACTGCTTTAGAAAGTTTTGAAAAGGGTATTTGCTTAAAAGAAAAAAAAAAGCTGTTCACAAAAAGACAAACGAGGTCTTTTTACAAAAAGACAAATAAGGGTGTGGTGGCTCATTCCTGTAATCCTAAGACTTTGGGAGGCTGAAGCGGGCAGATCATTTAAGCTAAGGAGTTCAAGACCAGCCTGGGCAACATGGCGAAACCCCATCTCCACAAAAATACAAAAATTTGCTGGGTGTGGTGGAGTGAGCATGTAGTCCCAGCTACTCAGGAGGCTGGGGTGTGAGGATCGCTTGAGCCCAGGAGATTTCAGCTGCAGTGAGCCGTGATTGTGCTACTGCACTCCAGCCTGGGCAACAGTGCAAGGGACTGGAGGGAGGGAGAAATGGGAGTTGTTTAATGGATATGGAGTTTCAGTTTTGCAGGATGAAAAAGTTGTGGAGATCTGTTGTAAAACAATGTGAATATACTTAATACTACTGAATCATACACTTAAAAATGGTTAAGATGGTACGTTTGGCACACCTGTACTCTCAGCACTTTGGAAGGATAAGGCAGGAGCTCAGGAGTTTGAGACCAGCCTGGGCAACCTGCAGTGAGCCATGATAATGCCTCTACACTCCAGCCTGGGCAACAAGAGCAAGACCCTGTCTTTAAAATAAAATAAAATAAAATAAAATAAAAATAGGCTGGGCGCGGTGGCTCATGCCTGTAATCCCAGCACTTTGGGAGGCCGAGGCAGGCAGATCACCTGAGGTCAGGAGTTTGAGACCAGCCTGCCCAACATGGTGAAACCCCATCTCTACTGAAAATACAAAAATTTGCCAGGTGTGGTGGTGGGTGCCTGTAATCCCAGCTACTTGGGAGGCTGAGGCTGGAGAATCGCTTGAACCCGGGAGGTGGAGGTTGCAGTGAGCCAAGATGGCGCCACTGCACTCCAGCCTAGGCGACAGAGCAAGACTGCATCTCAAAAAACAAAAACAGGCCGGGTGCGGTGGCTCACGCCTGTAATCCCGGCACTTTGGGAGGCCTAGGCAGGCAGATCACGAGGTCAGGAGATCGACACTATCTTGGCTAACATGGTGAAACCCCATCTCCACTAAAAATACAAAAATTTAGCCAGGCGTGGTGGTGTGCGCCTGCAGTCCCAACTACTCGGGAGGCTGTGGCAGGAGAATGGCGTGAACCCGGGAGGCGGAGCTTGCAGTTAGCCGAGATTGCGCCACTGTACTCCAGCCTGGGCGACAGAGTGAGACTCCATCTCAAACAAACAAACAAAAAACAAAAATTAGCTGGGTGTGGTGGCACGTGCCTGTAATCCCATCTACTCAGGAGGCTGAGGTAGGAGAATCGCTTGAACTCAGGAGGTAGAGGTTGCACTGAGCCGAGATTACACCACTGCACTCCAGCAGCCTGGGCGACAGAGCGAGACTCCATCTCAAAAAAAAAAAAAAAAAAAAAAAAGTAAAACATAAAAACTTACAAAGTAGCTGTTTGGTTTGGAAAGACTACCGGAAAAGGTTGGGGAAACGCTATAGTAACCCGAGTCTGCACTCACACTGGATCTTGAGTGTAGATCCAGTAGAAGGAAAAGGAAGGCAGGGCAAAGGGATGTTCCAGGGATCAGGAGGAAGCTGATAAAGAGACCATTTGAGGATTGAGAAATGGTGTTCTTCAAGGCCATTCTCAGTCTTGCTTTGCAAGCATCCTAAAGCACTTAGGCACTTTATAGGATGTGGAAATCTAGACAATTTGTCATGGGTATTGTTATGCAAGAAAAGAAATACGCCAGGAGGCTGAGGCAGGGGGATTACTTGAACCTAGGAGTTTGACACGGCAGTGAGCTATGATTGCACCACTGCACTCCAGCCTGGATGACAGAACAAGACCCCATCTCAAGAAAAAAAAAAAAAAAAAGGGCCAGATGTGGTGGCTCATGCTTGTAATCCCAGCACTTTGGGAGGCCGAGGCGGGTGGATCACCTGAGGTTGGGAGTTTGAGACCAGCCTGACCAACATGGAGAAACCCTGTCTCTACTAAAAACACAAAATTAGCCGGGCATAGTGCCGCATGCCTGTAATCCCAGTCACTCAGGAGGCTGAGGCAGGAGAATCGCTTGAACCTGGGAGGCGGAGACTCCAGCCTGGGCGACAAGAGCGAAACTCCGTCTCAAAAAAAAAAAAAAAGACAAGTGCAGTGGCTCATGTCTGTAATTTCAGCACTTTGGGAGGCCAAGGCCGTAGAATTGCTTGAGCCCAGTAGTTCAAGACGCTGGAGTGAGACCCCCTCTCTATAAAAAATAAAAACTTGGTCAGGCATGGTGGCGGCACCCCTAGGCTCAGCTACTCAGGATGCTGAGGTGGGAGGATTGCTTGAGCCTGGGAGTTCGAGGCTCCAGTGAGCCATGGTCCTGCCACTCCAGCCTGGGCAACAGAGGGAGACCCTCTCAAAAAAAAAAAAAAAGAAAGAAATACGGAATTCCAATCAGCAAACCCGTACTCAAAGAAAAAGCCTTGGCGTTACATCAAAAGATTGGCGAGTTAGTATATATTTCTATGTTTTACCTTAAAGCAAAATGTACAAATACATATAACTTTTTTTTAGGCCAGTCAAGTGAGGCAGTGGGAGTGGAGAAGGAAACAAAGAAATCTGTAACTAGTTATAATCAAATACTTGTAAACACCACTGCACTCGGACCAGCCCACATATCTTTTTTGTTGTTGTTGTTGAAACAGAGTCTCGCTCTGTCACCCAGGCTGGAGTTCAGTGGCTTGTTCTTTGCTCACTGCAAGCTCCACCTCCCGGGTTCTCCTGCCTCAGCCTCCCAAGTAGCTGGGACTACAGGCGCCTGCCACCACGCCCGGCTAATTTTTTGTATTTTTAGTAAGAGACGGGGGTTTCACTGTGTGAGCCAGGATGGTCTCAATCTCCTGACCTCGTGATCCGCCTGCCTCGGACTCACATATCATTTTTAATGATCCTTTTAAACTTACTGTTTTTTTTTTTGTTTAATTGACCAACTTCTGGTCTCAATTGCATCAAATAAGAAAGCTTCTACTGAAATAATAGTAAGTGTGAATTGCTTTATTGTGTAATTACTATACATCTGGGTGAAAAGTCTCGAGTGTCAAGTGTCAGTCCAGTAGAAGAAAGGCAGGGAGGAGGGACGTTCCAGGAATCAGGAGGAAGTCAATAATAAACAGAGACTAAGTGAGGGGTTGGAGACCGGTGTTCTTCAAGGTGGAAGGACATGCATGGGGGTATTGAGAGGGCTGGAACAAGAGGAGGCTGTAGTCAAGAAGCAAGAGAGGAAACTGTGATTCAGTGGGTGAAACAGTTTTTGGTGATGACAAACCTCTGTTGAGGCCAGGGGAGCAGGTGGGTGACTGAAGGAGAGACAAAGGTCACCAGAGTTGAGGAGGAATCACAAACCCCGGGTATTGGGTGAGTCATCCTATGAACTCAGAAGTCTACTAGACTGGCAGCAAGATTGGGCTTGGAGAGGAAATTGGGGGCAGGTGTCCAAGCAGTAGTGTGGTAGAAGCAGCTTGTATAGGGTCAGGAAAACCAACTGTTAAATTTTCAATTTTGTGGGCTTGTTGTTACACATTGTCATTATTAAAATGTAATTATAAAGGCCAGGTGCAGTTGTTCATGCCTGTAATCCTGGCACTTTGAGAGGCCAAGGCAAGCAGATCTCTTGAGCCCACAAGTTTGAGACCAGCCTGGGCAACATAGTGAAGCCCAACCTCTACAACAACAACAACAACCAAAACAAAACAAAAAAAAAAAAACAAAATTAGCCGAATGTGGTGGTGGGCACTGTAATCCCAGCTACTCAGGAGGTTGAGGTGGGAGGATCGCTTTAGCCTGGGAGGCGGAGGTTGCAGTGAACTGAGATCACGTCACTGCCCTCCAACTTGGGTAACAAAGTGAGACCCTGTCTCAAAAAAAAAAAAAGTAATTATATAAACTTACAATTAAGTAAAGTATATTAAAACAAAGGTAATGAAAATTCAAAACTCATTACTTTCTAATAACTTTCCTACATCTTACTACTATTCATGCTCTTGGAGTTAATTTCTGCTTCTTGCATCTGTATGGTGGAAATACTGTATAATGGTGTGCTATGGTGCATCTCTGCCCAGCTCTGCATTCAGTGGCATCGTGTTATTAACTCAAAATCAGCTCCGGTGGAAATATTTACGCCATGGAAATTAGCCAACACTACAGATACAGAGCTTGAGTTACTGAGTTTTTTTTTTTTTTGAGACAGAGTTTCGCTCTGTCGTCCAAGTTGGAGTGCAGTGGCGCAATCTCAGCTCACTGAAACCTCCACCTCCTGGGTTCAAGTGATTCTCCTGCCTCAGCTTCCTGAGTAGCTGGGACTATAGGCGTGCATCACCATGCCCGGCTAATTTTTTTGTATTTTTAGTAGAGACGGGGTTTCACCGTGTTAGCCAGGATGGTCTGTATCTCCTGACCTCATGATCCACCTGCCTCGGCCTCCCATAGTGCTGGGATTACAGGCATGAGCCCCTGTGCCCGGCCCACTGAGTTATTGTTTTGTGAAATACCTATACTCATTCATCAACTGCAATCATAGATATGAGTTCAGCAAAAAACGACAGCATTCTGTGAGAATCAATTGGTTATATGGAATTTACAATAAAGGGAGTTGTATATTATGTGTAAGTTCTGTGTTAAGCATCCTTTCTATCAGTAAAATTTATAGTAAATATATTTGCACATTATATATATATACACATATATATGTAAATACACACACACACACACACATACACACACACATTTTTCCCTAAAGAGCTGGTTGTTAAACATTTACAAACACATCACTCAGCTAAGGACTCCTTTCCCGGAGACTGGCATTGGGGTGATGGTAAGCAATACCATCATGGTGGGGCTGATTCTCCTTCCTGCCCCTGAGCTCACATCTCACGGGGAGTCAGGAACCGAGGTAACAATACAGCACTGGGTGGCAGGGAGGGAAGGAACTGAGACCAAGTAGAGGTAGGGAGGTGTTCAAAGCAAGTGAGATTTATGTAGACACTCAAAGGATGAGTAGGAATCAGCCAGCCAAAGGAAAAACATGAGCAAAGGCCCAGCTGTCGTCAGAAACAATGGGAGGCAGGCTGGGTGCGGTGGCTCATGCCTGTAATCGCAGCACTTTGGGAACTGAGGCAGATGGATCACCAAAGGTCAGGAGTTCAAGACAAGCCTGGTCAACATGGCAAAATGCTGTCTCTACTATTAACACAAAAATTAGCCAGGCATGGTAGTGCACGCCTGTAATTCCATCTACTTGGGAGGCTGAGGCACGAGATTCACTTGAACCCAGGAGGCAGAGGCTGCAGTGAGCCAAGATCATATCACTGCACTCCAGTCTGGGCAACAGAGCGAGCCTCCATCTCAAAAACAAAAACAAAAACAAAAACAAACCAAAAACAAAACAAAACAAAAAACCCACAACAGGTTATGATGTGCCTGAGGGCAGTGGCCATGGGTTGCTCCTCCTGGAGCACCTGGAGAGTGGAGAAAGAGCAGCCTGTACTGGAAAGGGTTTTCTGAACCCTCGATCTAAGAAGAGTAAACATTTCTGGACAAAGGGACAAAGATGGGAGTCAGGTGATGGGAAGAGAGGGTATTCTAGGCAGAAGGAACCGCATGAGCAAAAGCAAGGAGGTGAAAGAGAATCTGAATACATAGATCTGCAGGCAGTTCTGGGTGGCTGGAGTGCCTGTCGGGGAGAGTGTGCAAAAGACAAGGCTGGAGAAGTGGCCGTGGCTGAGGCCAGGAGGGCTGAGAGCCAAGCCCAGGAGAGGGTGTGAGTTCTTAGGAGCTGTGGGGAGCCTTAGGAGGGGCCTGAGTAGGGAGTGACATGATTAAGATCCCCGCGGCTGCTTGAAGGAGAATGGCTTCAGTGGGTGTCAGGTAGGGAAAGACTGGAGAATGTGATACTTTTGGGAAGATACTGCAGTCACGTAGGTGAGAGATGATGAAATAAGGTAGTGGATGTGGAGAAGGAAAAAAGGAAAATTGATTCCAAAGATATGGGGGAGCGGAATTGAAAGGACTTAACTTCAAGGAGTCTGGCATGGGTGATTGAGGGCTGATGCAGTCGTTTTCGAAGAGCACTGATCCGTTATTTTGTAGAATGTCCCTCCACTGGAGTTTGTCTGATGTTTTCTCATGATTAGACTGAGTTTGGCCGGGCATGGTGGCTCACGCCTTTAATCCCAACACTGTGGGAGGCCGAGGTGGGCAGATCACTTGAGGTCAGAAGTTCGAGACCAGCCTGGCCAACGTGGTGAAACCCCATCTCTACTAAAAATACAAAAATTATCTGGGCATGGTGGTGGGCTCCTATAATCCCAGGTACTTGGGAGGCTGAGGCAGGAGAATCACTTGAACCCAGGAGGTGGAGGTTGCAGTGAGCCAAGATTATACCACTGCACTCCAGTCTGATGACAAAGTGAGACTCTGTCAAAAAAAAAAAAAAAAAGATTGAGGTTACACATTTTATGCACAAATATCACACAGATCAGTGAATCCTACTAGGAGGTACATGATATACCCATGTCTTATTACTGATGATAGAGTCATCTTTGGGGGCAGGGTCACAGAAGGAGGTACACTTATAGGGAAAAGACCTAGCGTTCTGGTTTGGGATGGGGCTGGAGTGCAGAAGAGAATCCAGATCAGAGACACGGCTTTGGGAACACTCAGCACCACGGAGGTAGCTGAGGACTTGGGAGGGGGGGCAAGGTTGCCAGGGCAGAGGGTGTCAGAAGGAAGAGAAACAGTGGAAGTGGAAGCAAGACTGGCTTTGCATTGTATCCAAGTGGTCAGGTGGGCGAGGATGGGAATGCGTCCTGTGGATTTGGTATCCAGAGGCTTGGCCAGTGCTGGGGTTAGTGCTCACCAGGGCCAGGCCCAGGCTGGGACTTGTGGAGGGCATTTTTTCTTTCTGGGCAGTTAATTGGAGCAGATTTGGATGGGCACTCCTGGCCGTGTGTGTTTTTTTGTTTTTGTTTTTGTTGTTGTTGTTTGTTTTTTTAAGACAGGGTCTTACTCTGTTGCCCAGGCTTGAGTGCAGTGCACGATCATGGCTCACTGCACCCTTGACCTCCCTGGCTCAAGTGATCCTCCCCCTTCAGCCTCCCGAGTAGCTGGGACTACAGGTGTGCACCACCACACCCAGCTAATTTTTGTATTTTTAGTAGAGATGGGGTTTGCCATGTTGCCCAGGCTGGTCTCGAACTCCTGGGCTCAAGTGATCCACCAACCTAGGCCTCCCAAAGTCCTGGGATTACAGGTGTGAGCCACTGAGCCCAGCTCACTACTTCTGATTTAACTCAACCCATGAGAAGTGGGCAGTGTTCTGGATTCTGTGTTAAGAACTCCTGGCTAAGCTGCAAGAGGTGACAATGAAATTGGCTTGTGTGCAGGCCAGCAGGCTGCCTAGCCCCCAGCACTTCCAGCTGTGGACAGAGCCACCTAGCTGGTGGAGAACTAACTCTGTGGGCGTGGGTGCCCCCAGGTGTTCAATTGGAGGCCCTGCTGTTGGAAGGGAAGCAGTGAAGGGTGGCCATTTGTAAATCTTTGGAGAAATTTCTATTCAGATCCTTTGTGCATTTTTAAGTGGATTATTTGTCTTTTTATTATTGAGTTGTAAGAATTCTTCGTATATTCTAAATGCAAGTCTTTTTTTAGATATATTGCAAGAGGTAGAAGGTGGGGTCCTTATTCCCTAGACTCAGGCTGCCCCAGGGATCCACATATATATATTTTGAGACAGGGTCTCACTCTATCACCCAGGCTGGAGTGCGGTGGTGTCATCACAGCTCACTGCAGTCTTGACTGCTGGGGCTCAAGCGATCCTCCCACCTCAGCTTCCCAGTAGCTGGGAGTACTGGCATGTGGCACCATGCCAGAATGATTTTTTTTTTTTTTTGTAGAGATGGGGTTTCACCATGTTGCCCAGGCTCATCCTGAATTCTTGGGCTCAAGTGATCTGCTTGCCTCAACCTCCCAAAGTGCTGGGCTTTCAGGCATGAGCCACATCACCTGGCCTCCCCCCAATTTTTAAAAATGACATTACTTTACTGAGTTCTAGTTCACATACAATAAATTGCACCTATCTTAAGTTTTCAGTTTGATGAGTTCTGTTTTTTTTTTTTTTTTTTGAGCCAAGTCTTGCTCTGTCACCTAGGCTAGAGTGCAGTGGTACGACCTTGGCTCACCACAACCTCTGCCTCCTGGGGTCAAACAATTCTCTTGCCTCAGCCTTCCAAATAGCTGGGATTACAGGTGTCTGCCACCACAGCCAGCTAATTTTTGTATTTGTAGTAGACATAGGGTTTCACCATGTTGGTCAAGCTGCTCTCGAACTCCTGACCTCAGGTGATCCACCTGCCTCAGCCTCCCAAAGTGCTGGGATTACAGGCATGAGCCACCATGCCCAGCTGAGTTCTGATAATTTCATACAGTTGTAACTATCACCCTAAACAAGATCTAGAATTTTTTTTTTTTTGAGACGGAGTCTCGCTCTGTCACCCAGGCTGGAGTGCAGTGGCACGATCTCAGCTCACTGCGACCTCTGCCTCCCAGGTTCAAGTGGTCCCTCTCAGTCTCCCAAGTAGCTGGGAGTACAGGTGCACGTCACCACACCTGGCTAATTTTTGTATTTTCAGTAGAGATGGGGTTTCACCATGTTAGCCAGGCTGGTCTCAAACTCCTAGCCTCAAGCAATCAGCCTGCCTCGGCCTCCCACAATGTTGGGATTACAGGCATGAGCCACCGCACCCAGCCAAGATCAAGAATATTTCTATCACCCCCCACTCTCCCCACAACTTTTATTTTTGCCCCTTTCCATTCAATCCACACACCTCCCCAACCAGCAACCACTATTCTGACTTCCATCACATTAATTTTCCTGTTCTTGAACTTTATATAAGTGGAATCATATAGTTTGCATTTTTTTGGTCTGGCTTATTTTGCTCAACATAATGTTTTGAGATTTATCCATGTGCTGTATCAGCAGTTTATTCATTTTAATTGTTAAGTCATATTCCATTGTATGAATATGCAATGATTTCTCTATTCATTCTGTTGTTGATGGTTGTTTCCAGTTTTTAGCTACTAGGAATAAAATCATAATAAATATTCTTGGCCATTTTGTGAATATGTTTTCATTTCTCTTGGGTATATACCTAGGAGTAGAATTGCAGGGTCAAATGATAACTTGTTTAAAAATGTTTAAATTTTGGCCGGGCGTGGTGGCTCACTCCTGTAATCCCAGCCCTTTGGGAGGCTGAGGCGGGCGGATCACGAGATCAGGAGATCGAGACCATCTTGGCTAACACGGAGAAACCCCGTCTCTACTAAAAATACAAAAAATTAGCCGGGCGTGGTGGTGGGCGCCTGTAGTCCCAGCTACTCAGGAGGCTGAGGCAGGAGAATGGCGTGAACCCGGGAGGCAGAGGTTGCAGTGAGCTGAGATAGCGCCACTGTACTCCAGCCTGGGCGACAGAGCGAGACTCCATCTCAAAAAAAAAAAAGTTTAAATTTTTTAGCAACTGCCAAACTGTTTTCCCAAGTGGCTGCACTATCTTACTTTCTACCAGCAGTGTATGAAAGTTCTGATTTCCCTACATCCCTGAAAATATTTATTATTATCTATCTTTTAAATTATAGTAATCCTAGTACATATAGAGTGGTATCTCATTGTGGTTTTGATTTGCATTTCCCTGATGACTAATAATGTTGAACATGTTTTCACATGATTATTGGCCATTTGTAAATCTTCTTTGGAGAAATTTCTTTTCAGATCTTTTGTACATTTTTAAGTGGGTTATTTGTCTTTTTATTATTGAGTTGTAAGAATTCTTCATATATTCTGGGCGCAAGTCTCTTTTCATATATATGATTTGCAAGTATCTTCTTGCAATCTGTGGATTGTCTTGGGGAGCTTCCAGTCTGTTTGGGCGAGAAGGGACAAACACAGGGACAGGGCAGTGTGGAGCAGTGTAAGGAGGAGAAGCACTGTTCAGGGAGGTCTAGGGTGAGCTCTCTGAGCCTCAGGGTTGCTCACTGCTGGATGAGCTGATCTGACATTTCTGTGGCTCTGTAGCAAGTATGTGTGTCCCTGTATGCTCGGTGCTGTGCAATCAAGCACACATGCTAAGTGTCAGGGAGGTGGCATCTCACAAGACCAGGAGCATGGGGGAGACTGGGGGAAGCAGGAAGTTCTTTCTCTTCTTTCTTTCTCTTCTTTCTTTCTTTTTTTCTCTTTCTCTCTCTTTCTTTCTTTCTTTCTTTCTTTCTTTCTTTCTTTCTTTCTTTCTTTCTTTCTTTCTTTCTTTCTTTCTTTCTTTCTTTCTTTCTTTCTTTCTTTCTTTCTTTCTTTCTTTCTTTCTTTCTTTCTTTCTTTCTTTCTTTCTTTCTTTCTTTCTTTCTTTCTTTCTTTCTTTCTTTCTTTTTTGGCAGGGTCTCACTTTGTTGCCCAGGCTGGAGTGCAGTGGTTGAAGAACATGGTTTACTGTAGCCTCAATATCTCAGGCTTAATGTGGTCCTTCCACCTCAGCCTCCCAACTAACCAAGACTACAGGAGCATGCTACCATGTCAAGCTAATTTAAAAAACTTTTTTTTTTTCTTTGAGATGAAGTCTCACTCTTGTCCCCCAGGCTGGAGTGCAATGGCACAATCTCGGCTCACTGCAACCTCTGCTTTCCGGGTTCAAGCGATTTCCCTGCTTCAGCCTCCCAAGTAGCTGGGATTACAGGCGCCCGCCACCACACCCGGCTAATTTTTGTATCTTTAGTAGAGACGGGGTTTTACCATGTTGGCCAGGCTAGTCTCGAACTCCTGACCTCAGGTGATCCACCCACCTTGGCTTCCCAAAGTGTTGGGATTACAGGCATGAGCCACCGCGCCAGTCAGGGGAGGCTCTTTGTTAAGAAAGAAGACTCCATATTGTAAACTTCCACAGGACTAACAGCATGGATGATAACGTGATTAACAGGATTATCATGGAGGTGACATAAGATGGCTCAGGAGCCAGGCTGATGGGTTTAGGTCCTGGCTGTGGTAGATGTCACAACACAGTGCCCTTCCCATACCCCTTTAGCCACTCCTGATGTTTTTTTACTATAAGCCCCTGGGATTTTCTGCCTGAGGGTGCTCTCTGCTCAGAAGGCACTCCGGCAGGCTGGAGGTGCCAGGAACAGCTCTCAACTAATGAAGAAATCATCAGTGTCATCACTCCTTCAGTGGGATGAGTACCTTGTCTTCTTCACTCTCCCAGAGATGCCCAATACAGTCAAGCCCCATTTGTCCACAGTGGTAATCTGCTGATTATTGCACCCTATATTGCTTTTCTTCATTTGTTTGTTTCACTCCCCCTCTCTCCTACTAGTGCTCCACGGAATCATCTCTCAAATGGACCATTTATATGAACATCCTTATCTCAGTGTCTGCCTCTGGGGATACCCAGCCTAAAGATAGTGGTTCTTTTATTTCTTAGATCTATCCATCCAATTTCCTTGGGCAGATCACTTTACCTCTCTGAATTTCACTTGGCTCATCTATAGAATATGGATAGTATCACTTCTTTCTTTCTTTCTTTTTTTTTTTTTTTGAGACCGAGTCTCGCTCTGTCGCCCAGGCTGGAGTGCAGTGGCGGGATCTCGGCTCACTGCAAGCTCCGCCTCCTGGGTTCATGCCATTCTCCTGCCTCAGCCTCCCAGCAGCTGGGACTACAGGCACACGCTCTCATGCTCGGCTAATTTTTTGTATTTTCAGTAGAGACCGGGTTTCACCGTATTAGCCAGGATGGTCTCGATCTCTTGACCTTGTGATTCACCCGCCTTGGCCTCCCAAAGTGCTGGGATTAGAGGTGTGAGCCACTGCGCCCGGCCCAATAGCACTTATTTCTTAGGATGGTCATGCAGTTTAGCATTTCACTCAGACATTAAAAGTTCAGTAAATACTTCTATTTTTATTCGTTTACTGGCCTGTAACATAAATATTCTCCCAGAGACTCTTGGATGGACATGCCTCATTCAGGCATAGCTAGGCAGGGAAAGATAAGCAGCCTGGAGCTGGCCCTGTGGGACATTGATTGATTGGGTTCCTGTTCCCAGTTACTTGCTCCCTCTGCAATGGGATTAAATGTCCCCACCATTTGTCATGTGACTTATCTGGCATCCTGTATGGGTAGCATACCTCCCTGACCCCCATGAATTAATTTTGGGCTTACCCATGTGACTTGCTTTGAGTAATGGCATATGAGCAGATGTGACATTCTCCACATCTGCAAAGAAGCTTGAAATGTGTTACTGCATGGTTTGGCACAGGCTCTCTCACCCCTGCCCTCCACTACAACAAAGACATGTCTCCAGTGCCTGCCACGCAGTTTGAGCTAGCACCTTTAAATACTTTATTTATTTATTTTTTTGAGAGGAAGTCTTGGTCTGTCGCCTAGGCTGGAGTGCAGTGGCGTCATCTAGGCTCACTGCAACCTCCACCTCCTGGGTTCAAGGGATTCTTGTGCCTCAGCCTCCTGAGTAGCTGGGATTACAGGTGCACACCACCATGGCTGGCTATTTCTGTATTTTTAGCAGAGATGAAGTTTCACCATGTTGGCCAGGCTGGTCTCGAACTCCTGACCTCAAGTGATTCGCCTGCCTTGGCCTCCCAAAGTGCTGGGATTATAGGCGTGACCCACCGTGCCTGGCTTAAATACTTTATTTTTAATTTTTAAAAATTGTTTTATCCATCTATTTACAGATCATTAAATACTTACTGTGTACCAGGCAGTCCCATATGTTACATGTGTCTGCATGTATTAATTCATTTCATCCTTGCAGGAACCCTAAGACACGGGTCCCATTATCACCATCCTTATTTTACATATGTGGAAAACTAAGGTTCAGTGAGGATTAGTACCTTCTCAAATTCACACTGCAGGGAAGGGGCAAGGTCTGCCTTCTAGGTTGATATTCTTAACCACTGCTGTATGCTTCTTCTCATGGTAGGTAACCAGCAAATGCCTATTAAGTAAACGTTTGTTTAAGTGATCATTGTTCCCTTCCATTTACCTGAATAGGAAAGGTACAATCTACTGGGACAAAGGTGGGCTTCTGACTTTGGACCTGCTCACTCTTCCTACGTTAGTTGTTTATCAAATAGGAGACCCTTCTGATTCTTCTGAGTGGAGAAAAATTGTCCGTGGTCATCAGACGGGAACCCCAATATTTCCCTTGTAGGACCTACATGAACCACAAGATATCTCCTATAAATTCCATGTGGTTTCCAGACATCTTCCTTGTGGATCCCAGTGTGGACCTCAGATCTCTCTCCTAAAGGCCTATGTGAACCCCTATATCTTTCCTGAGGCCCACATGGACTCCCAACATTTTCCCTGTAGCAGCCACACTTGATAACTTCGACAGGTTCCCAGTTGTCATCTCATTGGCTGCTCTCCACAGCTCTGTAAATCAGCCTTGGCTTGCATTATAGCAGGGAGAGACAGCATGTGGGTCAACCAGGGACAGGACTGACACAGAACCCAGTTGTCCTGCCCCGAAGCCCAGGACCCTTCCTTCCTGGTTGGCCTGGTGGCAGGATGATGCTTCCTGCTCAGCCCTTCCCAGGCACCGAGGCTCTCTCCCTCCTTTTCCCCTCTGCCACACTAGTTCTTGTCTGCCTTTTTTCACTGCCACCCCCTTTTCATGCCAGCTGTGGGAGTGAGGCCCCACTCCTGGCAGGATGGAGCCAGACAATGGGCCCTTATTCTAGGCAAAGAATCCCTGCAGTGTCTCCCACCCACTGAGGCCCCCTTCCAGGCCTAGGATGGTGTGGGTGGGGGGTGGAGGGTGGGTGTATGGTGTAGGGGAAGGAGCAATTGGCTGGCAGGACAGACAGTGGCCCTGGCCCTGCCTGTAGAGATCCCACGGAGGTTTACTATGTAAACACCAATCACAATAAAATCCTGTCTTCACTCCCAGCCCATCTCTCCAAGTGGGTCTCTCTCAACCCTCCAAAGCTCTGGGTTTTTAAACATTTACCCTTGCCTCTACTCTCTCTTGGTATTCATCTCTGCATATCACTGTCTCTTTCATTCCTTTTTCTGAGTCTCTTTCTTTTTCTAAGCCTCTCCTCTCTCTCTCTCTCTCTCTCTGCTCCTTTGCGTAATTTGTCTCTATTTCTTGCCTCTTTCTTGCTTCATTATGCTCCCTTACCTATCTTATCTTTCCATGTCTTTTTTCTCTCCAGGCCTTGAGCTCTCATCTCAGTCTCTCTCTCCGTGTGTCTCTGTCTCTGTTTGCAGCTCTTCTTTCTCGTCCTCCTATGTCGTCTTTCCGTGGATCTGTGTCCTTGCCTCTCTGAATATCATCTCCGATCTTCCGTCCTCTGTTCTCTCTTTCCCCCTGCGCCTGCAGATCTGAAGGACCTTCCGCAGTCACCACACTCTCCTGCTTTCAGCTCTTTCTCACTCCTTTCTGGCACGTCCCAGAGGCTCCTGGCATAGGTATAGGAGGTTATTCTCCCCAGTTTACAGATATGGAAGCTGAGGCTCTGGCTGCTGGTGCCAGGCTCCCATCTCTGGGTCTCTTCCTTCCACCTACACGCCAGGCTCTTGTCCCTGAGGTGCCCGTCAACCACCTGATCCGGCCGGGGCCCGGGAACTAGCACCTCGGACAGCTCCTGGAAGATGCCGGGGCGGCCGGGTCGTCCTTCTCGCGAGCTCAGGAGGAGCAGCCTTAGGAGCAGAGCGGAAGTCTCGCGAGAGTGACTGCTGCAGGCAGTGGCGGCGCGGGCGCGCGCAGAGACGGCCTCGGGCGCGCGCGCGCGCGCGCGCGCTCCCCGCCCCCAGCCCCGGAGCGGCTCGCGGCCGGCTCCGCGCCGCATCGCTCGGGTGCAGCGCAGCTCAGCGCAGCGCTGCGGCCTTTCGGCAGCCGAACGGCCGCGGCAGGTGAGTCTGGGCATGAAGGCTGGGAGGAGAGCTTTGAAGGGAAGCTGGGCGCGGGGCGAGAGGTGTGGGGGTCGCTGGCTGCAGCTTTGTTCCTCCTACACTTCACCTTTGGATGCAGGAAGAAGGCCGAACTGCTGGAGAGGTGGGAGTGGAGGTGACCTTTACTGTTTGGGGCTGGGGGAGAGCGCTCAGGGCGCACCCAGGCCCCCCGAGCCCCCCAAGCCCCCCCATTCCCATCTGTGGCTCCCGCAGAGGGAACTGGGCCTTTGGGTGACGTCAGACCCTGGATCTGGAGCCTGAGCTTTGGGCCCTCCATCCCCCCCGCCAGCCCCACCTGGCGTTCCCTGGAAACCGGCCTTCTGGAGATGGCGTGCGCAGCCGGGGATGGGGGCGACTGGAAGGGGGTGCCCGTGGCTTCCTTTGGGCCTTTCCTTCCAACTAGCGCCTGCAGGTGGACCCGGGTTGACTTCCCTCACCTCCCTCGGGCGGCCGACCTTTGGATGGCGGACCTCAGCCGCCCCAGGGTTGCGAGGCGACGGGCGCGCTGGCCCAGGCCACCAGGCGGGCTCCATCAGGGCTTTGGGTGGTGAGTTGGGGGCGCCGGATTTGGCTCATTTCAACGCTGGCCGGAGGTCACGAGGATGGAGGTGAGGTGTTTGTGAACCGATCCTTGTCCTCCGCCTCGGGGAGCTCCTGGTCTGTGGGTTGGGGGAACCAAGTAGAGACTCGGACTGAGCATTCACTGTCACAGGCGGCTTAAACAAGTAATGTCCCAGCTTCCCGATGGGGAGATCAGTGAGGGCCTGGCAGACTTTCCCAGGGACACAGAGAGAAAGGGAGGCGACAGCTAGCGAATAGGAGACTTCCAGAGGTGATGGGATTTGGGTGGGAGGAGAGGCAAGAGAGGGCATTCCAGGAGAATGTATGGGCAAAGGCACAGGGATGAAAACGAGCACAGCTGTTGGGGGCTGAGCCTGGGAGCTCAGCCATGTGACTGCCCATGGGGTGGTGGAGTCTGGAGAAATTTGCAACCTGTCCCCTACATGTTCTGCCTCACGGAGCAGGGCTCTGAAAGAGGGAGATGGTTCTTGCAGGGGCATGATTGGCAGAGAGATTTTGTTTGGGGCTACACAGGTCTTGCTAACTTAGGTTTGTTCTGGGCTTGGTGAGCCTTAGGGCAAAGTCTCTAGAGCTGAGAGGGGGCTGTCTCTGGTGAATGGGCCCCTGAAAGAGGGTCTTAGGTTTAGCAAACCCCTTGGAGAGTTAGTGGGGTCCCAGGAGGGGAGTTCTAGAGAGAGACCTTGGGCTCTGTGGCTGTTTCTTTAACCGTTTCCTGAGTGGCCACCTCCAAGCAAGTTCCCCAAGTCACCTCCCCTCTCTGGGCATCTCTTTCTAGCACCTTTCTCTAGAGATGAAATAATAGGACTAAGTAGTGACCTCCCTTGAGGATGCTCCTTGTTCTAGTTTAGAGCATCCCCCCTTTCTTCTCCCTCTTCCTTTTCCTTTCCTCCCCTATCCCTCTGCCTCCCTGTCCCTATCCCCACCCCTTGCCCCCCACAGCATTTCCTTTACAGGCTGCACTTCCTTCCCTGCTGCCAGCCAGGAGTTTCGGAAGGTTTCCTGGAGGAAGTGTGATACAGCAGGTTTGACAGCAGCTTTGGGCTTAATCTGATTGGGGGAGGGCGTTAATTGCCTCCCTCCCACCCATTGGGAAAGTGTCCAAGTCTTAAGCAAGTATATGGATTGACTGTGCTCTGTGCTGGGTCCCTCCTGGAAACTCCATCCAGGAGGGAGTGAGGAGATTATGGGAGAAGACGTGAACACTTAGTGCCCAATGACTGACTCAAAATGTATGCAGCGGGATGCAGAGCAGCGATTTTTGGAAAGGCTTCCCAGAAGGGGTGGGATGTGAGAAGGTAGCAGGACTTAGAGGAGCTGATAGTGCTGCCAATTTAGGGGCACTGGAAGCAGAGGGGGCGGCTAGAGATGATCTCCTGCATGAGGCTGGGAGTGTAGGAGGCAGGTCAACCTGTGAGCAGCCAAAGGTGGTGGGAGGGAGGTTTGTAGCTGACTGGCACAAAGCCTTGAATGCCAGGCAAAGATCTGTAGGAGGCTACTGAATAGTCATCAGTAGGACAGGGACAGCATGGCCAGGAGACTGCTGTTTTCTGAGGATTATTCATAGTTCTGGGATTTCAGGGCAGAAGATGGGGCTAGGAGTGGGATGAGGGGATTGGAGGTAGAGCAGGAGGGGGAAACTTCCATCTTAGCAGGTTGGCTCTGGGCAGCAAAAAGGAATCACCATTTCTGTGCCAGGGATGAGGGGCCCATACTGGTGAGCAGGGAGCCCTGGAGTTAGCCCCAGGACTCTGGCCTGATCTGAAGCCAGGCTTGACCCTCGTCTGCTGCCAGAGGCCTCAGTCTCCCCACTGTGGGGGCTTCTGTCCTAGCTTCACAATAAGGAATGGAATACATTATAGTTAGGGTTTCATGAACAAAATTCAGGTAGTAACTGCTATCTTATTGATAATTAAGGTGTTTCCCTAGGCCTACATCTTTGGAGGGATATGTAGCCCTTATCCCCATTATAAAAGATTATCAGTTGAGCAGATTGCTAATTCTTCTGTTTTGTAGTCTAAGAACTTTGGTTTGGCCGGCGCGGTGGCTCATGCCTGTAATCCCAGCACTTGGGGAGGCCGAGGCGGGTGGATCACCTGAGGTCAGGAGTTCGAGACCAGCCTGGCCAACATGGTGAAACCGTGTCTCTAGTAAAAATACAAAAATTAGCCAGGCATGGTGGTGCACGCCTGTAATCCCAGTTACTAGGGAAGCTGAGGCAGGAGAATAGTTCGAACTTGGGTGGAGGAGGTTGTAGTTAGCTGAGATCGTGCCACTGCACTCCAGCCTGGGCAACAGAGTGAAACTCCATCTCAAAAAAAAAAAAAAAAAGAACTTTGGTTTGCAGAGGCCAGTGATTGCTGTCTTCCCCTCCAACCCCCCACCCCCCATTTCAAAGGCTTCCCAGAAACAAGGGCAGAGAAGCCTGGAGCCTTCCATTTCTGTGACCCTAGTCTTTTACCACCCTCTCAAGCCCCAGATTCTCTCTGCCCTAACCTTTATATACAAACAAGGCAGCTTTGCCCTCTGCTCTGGTTTCTGCTCTGAATTATTCATACTTTGCTGCACTGACTTCTCTGGAACTGTAAGCAGACTTTTGGGAGATTGTCTGGGACCAGGGACAGGGGTTAGGCTGGAGCCCGGTTAGGGAGAAGACTCCTCCTTTGAGGCCCCTATGTTCTAGTTGTTTTCTCCTCTCCCTCTGCTTCCTTGTTTTCCTGGAGGTCTTTAGTGCTGGACCACAGTCTCCCACTCCATGTCCCATTGTCTCAGGGGAGGTAGTGCCTCTTTCAGTCACCATTTTAACCAACTACATCTGAATGTGGTCCTCATTGGCATGTGGCCACCTCTGAAATCTTAAACTCTAGTATTTCTCTCTGACCACAGTCTAACTAATGCTTTATGTGCTCTGACCTCAAGGAGACCTCTAGTTCTCAGACACCTCCATTTTCTCCATCTCATGAATTGCCTCTTCCGTGTTCTTTCTGAACTCCATGCCCTCAACCACTTTGCCACTTTGCCTGTGTGTCACCCGAGCTGCCAGGAAGGGTCTCCAGTCTCAGCCATCCCTTCATCACTTATAGAAACCCCTCTCCTCATTCCCATCAGTTCCCCTTTCTATTCCATGGGAGGAGTATTCCAAACTGGACTACTCTCCCCAGGCCCTTTGCTCATGTAGAGGGTGGTTGGGGTGTGTGTGGGGGAGGTGGAACCACCCCCATGTTTTCCCGAGGCGGAGCTTGCAGTGAGCCGAGATCGCACCACTGCCCTCCAGCCTGGGCGACAGAGCGAGACTCCATCTCAAAACAAAAACAAAAACAAAAACAAACCAAACAAAAACAAAAATAAAAAAACACAAAAGTTAGCCAGGCATGGTGGTGCGCACCTGTAGTCCCAGCTACTCGGGAGGCTGAGGCAGGGGAATTGCTTGAACCCAGGAGACGGAGGTTGCAGTGGGCCGAGATCGCGCCACTGCACTCCAGCCTGCTGACAGAGAGAGACGCTGTCTCAAAAATAAATAAATAAAATAAAACACTTCCTGATTGCCATATCAACTTGTCACCTGACTGCTTCATGGCCATGGATATTGTTGACCCAGTCGACCAGTCATTAAAAAGATTGAGATAGATCTGTATTCATTAACATGAAAAACTTTCACGAGATATTGTTGAGTGGAAAAAAACAGGTTATAAAACAGGATGTGTGGAATGATCTCATTTTTGTCATATATGATTCTATATACGTTAAAAATGAAAGCCAACAAAATCCACCAAACCTAAAGATCAGACTGTTAAAGGGGTGGCATCTGAGAAAGTGGATTTTGGGAAGACTTTTCTACTTTATGCACTTAGATTTTTTTTTTAATTGCATATATTTTTACAGATAGCTAAAAAGCAACATATTAATTAACTAATTAGTTTAGAGATGAGGTCTCACTATGTTGTCCAGGCTGTAGTGCAGTGACTATTCACAGGTGCAATCATAGCTCATTGTAGCATCCAACTCCTGGGCTCACAATCCTCCCACCTCAGCCTCCTGAGTAGCTGGGACTACAGGCACATGCCACCGGGCTAGGCATATTTAAAAAACCTTTAAGGCCATTTTTTTTTTTGAGAGGGAGTCTTGTTCTGTCCCCCAGGCTGGAGTGCAGTGGCACAATCTCGGCTCACTGCAAGCTCTGCCTCCTGGGTTCATGCCATTCTCCTGCCTCAGCATCCCGAGTAGCTGGGACTACGGGCCCGCCACCAAGCCTGGCTAATTTTTTGTATTTTTTAAGTAGAGACGAGGTTTCACCGTGTTAGCCAGGATGGTCTCAATTTCCTGACCTCGTGATCCGCCCACCTCGGCCTCCCAGAGTGCTAGGATTACAGGCGTGAGCCATCGCACCCAGCCTTTTTTTTTTTTTTTTTTTGAAGAGAAGAAGAATAAAATCCTTCAGTGGCTCCCGTGACACTGAGGACAAAGTCCAAATACTGCCCATGGTCTTCAAGGCCAGGATGACCTAGCCCCATTTACCTTTCAACTCCATTTTGCCTTTCCTTTGCTCCCTTCACTTTGAGATTCATCCTTCCTCTGCCTCTTTCGTTCCTTAAGTATGCCGTGCTATTGCTCTTCTGACTTTCACACCTGCTTTCCTGATTCTCTTTCCCTGGCCAACTCCCTATTCCTTGTTAAAAATTCAGCTCCAGGCCGGGCGCGGTGGCTCACGCCTGTAATCCCAGCACTTTGGGAGGCTGAGGCGGGCGGATCACGAGGTCAGGAGATCGATACTAGCCGAGACCATCCTGGCTAACACGGTGAAACCCCGTCTCTACTAAAAGTACAAAAACAAAATTAGCCGGGGGTGGTGGCGGGTGTCTGTAGTCCCAGCTACTCGGGAGGCTGAGGCGGGAGAATGGCGTGAACCCGGGAGGCGGAGCTTGCAAGTGAGCCGAGATCGCGTCACTGCACTCCAGCCTGGGCGACACAGCGAGACTCCAAAAAAAAAAAAAAAAAAAAAAGATTCAGATCCAATATCTATGAAGCCATCCTTGACTCCTGTAAGACAGACCAGGGAGGTGTTCTGTGTTACCACAGCTTTCTGAGTCTGCTCTCCCAGAGTGCTCAGGCTGTGTCAGAATTGCTCCTTGATTTAGCTGGGTCCTGTACGCTTATCTCCTCCCTCTCACCTTCATCTTGTCTCCTCTATCACAGAGAAAATTGGGCTAGGTGCAGTGGCTCATATCTGTAATCCCAGCACTTTGGGAGGCTGAGGCGGGTGGATCTCTTGAGTCCAGGAGTTCAAGACAAACCTAGGCGGCCAGGCACCCTGGCTCATGGCTGTAATCCCAGCACTTTGGGAGGTTGAGGTGGGTGGATCACGAGGTCAGGAGTTGGACACCAGCCTGGCCAACGTGGTGAAACCCCGTCTCTATTAAAGATACAAAAAATTTGCCAGGTGCGATGGCACGTGCCTGTAATTCCAGCTACTCGGGATGCTGAGGCAGGAGAATCGCTTGAACCCAGGAGGCGGAGGTTGCAGTGAGCTGAGATCATGCCATTGCACTCCAGCCTGGGCAACAGGGCAAGACTCGGTCTCAAAAAAAAAAAAAAAAAAAAAAAAAAAAAGAGACTAACCTGGGCAACATGGTGAAACCCCATCTCTACCAATAAACAAAACAAAAAATTAGCTAGGCATGGTGGCACGCATCTGTAGTCCCAGCTACTTGGGTGGCTGAGGTGGAAGGATGGATTGAGTGTAGGAGGTTGAGGCTGCAGTGAGCTGTGATTGCACCACCGCACTCCAGGCTGGGCAATAGAGTGAGACCCTGTCTCAAATAAAAAATAAAACAAAATTGAATGCCTGTGAAAATAAAATAATAAAACAGAAAATTGAAGCAGACATCCAAGATGCTCTCACTGCCCATCTAAGACCTCAAACCTGCCTGCATCTGCTTGGATCCTGTTCGGCTTCCCACCTGTTAGGATCAAGGCTTGTCCACCTCCTTGCACTGGTGCCCCTGTGTCTCCCTCTTCACGGGCTTTGTCTATCAGGTAACATCTGTCTCTACTGTAATTGCAACCTTTCTATGTATCCTACACATCTCTGGCTTATTTCCACCTAAAATGACCCCCAGCTGCAGCCCTCCCTGGGCCCTCTCCCTACCCCCATATCCTACCCAGGTGGTACCCTATCTCTATTCTCTCTGTATATTGTCAGCCAGGCTTCTTTATCACTGCTGTCACCACCAAAACGATTCTTGCTGGATTCACAGCTGACTCGATGCTGTTAGTGTCATGAACGCGTTAGTCCCGGTAGTGCCATCCTTTCACATGGGAGCCCTCAGTGGCATTATCACATTTGTCCAATCTCTGCCCCTGGCTATGGAGACTCCACGCTCTCTGGGCTTTCCTCGTGTCTCATCAGCTGCTCCTTCTCATTCTTCCCCAACTATCCTATTCTGCTTGCCTTTTTTTTTTCTGCTTAACTTTCTTGACTTTTTATTTTTTTGAATAGGTAGTGCATTTATATATGATTTACAGTTCACAAAGATGTTCCAAATTTTGTCAGTTCTAAGATGAACATTTTGATATTTCTGAAAACATTTTCATGTCTGTGTTTTAAAATTTCTGGCATCTTACAGTTACAAATTGGCATTTTTATTTTTATTTTTTGGAGATTGAGTCTGGCTCTGTCACTCAGGCTAGAGTGCAGTGTGGCACGATCTCAGCTCACTGCAACCTCTGCCTCCTGGGCTCAAGCGATTCTCCTGCCTCAGCCTCCTGTGTAGCTGGGATTACAGGCGCACGCCGTCACACCCGGCTTATTTTTAGTAGAGACAGAGTTTCACTGTGTTGGCCAGGCTGGTCTCGAACTCCTGACCTCAAGTGATCCGTCCATCTCGGCCTCTCAAAGTGCTGGGATTACAGGCGTGAGCCATGGTGCCCAGCCTGCAAATTGGCAATGTTTTTTCTTACTTTTGGTCAATAAAATAATGGTCTGTCTTAAAACTGATGATGTCATCAATTATATGGAAATGGTATAAAGTTATATAGTAAATATTCTGCTTCCCACCTACTCTATATCCATTCAGTTCCTTTGTTCCCCAGAGAGCCACAATTACCATATTTTTTTCTTGATATCCTTCCAGAGATTCTTTGTGCATATATTGTCAAATACAGATATGTATATTTCCCCCCACTTTTTATTTTGAAAAATTTCAAAGCTACAAAAAAGTTTAAAGAATAGGGCAATGGGCTGGGCACAGTGACCTCATGCCTGTAATCTCAGCACGTTGGGAAGCCAGGGCGGGTAGATCGCTTGAGCCCAGGGGTTTGAGAACAGCTTGGGCAATGTAGCGAGACCTCGTCTCTACAAAAAATAAAAAAATTAGCTGGGCATGGTGGCGCACACCTGTATTCCCAGCTACTTGGGAAGCTGAGGTGGGAGGATTGCTTGAGCCCAGGAGTTCGAGGCTGCAGTGAGCTATGATTGCACCGCTGCACTCCAGCCTGGGTGACAAAGTGAGACCCTATCTAAAATAAATAAATAAATAAAATAATGCAGTGAACAACTGTATACCCTTCTCCCATCAATTATTAACATTTTGCAACATTTGCTTTATCTTTTATTTTTACTTTTTTTTTTTTTGAGATGGAGTTTCGCTCTTGTTGCCCAGGCTGCAGAGCAATGGCGTGATCTCCGCTCACCGCAACCTCCGCTTCCGGGGTTCAAGCGATTCTCCTGCGTCAGCCTCCTGAGTAGCTGGGATTACAGGCATGCACCACCATGCCCGGCTAATTTTGTATTTTTAATAGAGACAGGGTTTCTCCATGTTGGTCAGGCTGGTCTTGAACTCCCGACCTCAGGTGATCCGCCCGCCTCGGTCTCCCAAAGTGCTGGTATTACAGGCGTGAGCCACCACGTCTGGCCTATTTTTACTTTTTAGAGACAGGATCTTGCGTTATTGCTCACTGAAGGCTCGAACACCTGGGCACAAGTGATCATCTTGCCTTAGCTCCTCATGTAGCTGAGACTACAGGCACACACCACCATGCTTGTTTCTGCTTTATGTATATGTATAAAATTTTTTCGCAGAACCGTTTGAAAGGACGTTACAGACCAGACACTGCTTCTAAAGACCAGCGTGTGTCTTCTAAGAACAAAGGTGTTCTACAGGCCGGCATGGTGGCTCACGCCTGTAATCCCAGCACTTTGGGAGGCCAAGGCGGGTGGATCTCTTAAGCCCAGAACTTCAAGATCAGCCTAGGCAACATGGCGAAACCTTCTCTCTGCAAAAAATACAAAAATTAGCTGGGCATGATGGCACACACCTGTAGTCCCAGCTACTCAGGAGACTGAGACTGGAGGATCTCTTGAGCCTGGGAGGTTGAGACTGCAGTGAGCTGTGATTGTGCTGCTGCACTCCTCCAGCCTGGGTGACAGAGTGAGACCCTGTCTCAAAAAAAAAAAAAGAAAGAGAGAAAGAAACAAAAACATGCACACATACAATACCCAAGAAATTTAATAGTGAATAGTAGTATCTACTATGCAGCCTATATTCAAGTTTCTCTAGTTGTCCTAAAAATGTCCTTTATAGCTGTGATTTTAAAATCCAGGACCTGGTTGGGCGCGGTGGCTCACGCCTGTAATCCCAGTACTTTGGAAGGCGGAGTTGGGCGGATCACGAAGTCAAGAGATGGAGACCATCCTGCCCAACATGGTGAAACCCAGTCTCTACTAAAAATACAAAAATTAGCTGGGTGTGGTGGCGTGCGCCTGTAGTCCCAGCTACTTGGGAGGCTGAGGCAGGAGAATCGCTTAAATCTGGGAGGCAGAGCTTGCAGTGAGCCGAGATCGTGCCACTGCACTCCAGCCTGGGTGACAGAGTGAGGCTCTTGTCTCAAAAAAAAAAAAATCCAAGATCCGGGCCTGTAATCCCAGCACTTTGGGAGGCCAATGCAGGCAGATCACCTGAGGTCGGGAGTTTGAGACCAGCCTGACCAACATGGAGAAACGCCATCTCTACTAAAACTACAAAATTAGCTGGGCGTGGTGGTGCATGCCTGTAATCCCAGCTACTCCAGGCTGAGGCAGGAGAATCGCTTGAACTTGGGAGGCGGAGGTTGCGGCGAGCCACGATTGCACCATTGCACTCCATCCTAGGCAATAAGAGCGAAACTCCGTTTCAAAAAAAAAAAAAAAAATTCTGCCAGGCTTCCCCATTGCATTTGGTTGCATGCCTCTTTTGTCTCCATTAATTTAGATAAATTCCCCCTGCCAATTTCTGTCTTTCATGACATTAACATTTGTCTCGTAGAATTTCCCACAATCTGAATTTGTCGGATTGTTTTTTCATAATTATTTTCAGATTAAACCTTTTTTTGGCAACAGTATTCATACATGACCTTGAGTCCTTCTGTGCACAGCATAGCAGGAGGCACATGATGTTCTTTCTTTCTTTCTTTTTTTGAGACGGAGTCTCACTCTGTCGCCCAGGCTGGAGTGCAGTGGCGCGATCTCGTCTTACTGCAACCTCCGCCTCCCGGGTTCAAGCAATTCTCCTGCCTCAGCCTCCCGAGTAGTTGGGACTACAAGCACGTGCTACCATGCCTGGTTATTTTTTGTATTTTTTGGTGGAGACAAGGTTTCACCATGTTGGCCAGGCTGGTCTGGAACTCCTGACCTCAAGTGATCCGCCTCGGCCTCCCTTTTTTTTTTTTTTTTTTTTTGCTTTGTTTTTTTGAGATGGAGTCTAGCTCTGTCACCCGGGCTGGAGTAGAGTGGCGTGCTCTCGGCTCACTGAAACCTCCGCCTCCCGGGTTCAAGCTATTCTCCTGCCCCAGCCTCTGGAGTAGCTGGGATTACAGGCGCCCGCCACCACACCCAGTTAATTTTTTGTATTTTTAGTATAGACAGGGTTTCACTGTGTTGGCCAGGCTGGTCTCGAACTCCTGACCTTGTGATCCTCCTGCCTCGGCCTCCCAAAGTGCTAGGATTACAGATGTGAGCCACTGAGCCAGGCCCTCCCTCTCTTTTAAAAAATAAAATAATAATGTCACTTTGGACTCATGGATTAATAATAAAAAAAATCTATGTGGGCCGGGCACTGTGGCTCATACCTGTAATCCCAGCACTTTGGGAGGCTGAGGTGGGTGGATGGCTTGAGGCCAGGAGTTCAAGACTAGCCTGGCCAACATGGTGAAACCCTGTCTCTACTAAAAATACAACAATTGGCCGGGCACTGTGGCTCATGCCTGTAATCCCAGCACTTTGGGAGGCCAAGGCAGGTGGATCACGAGGTCAAGAGATCGAGACTATCCTGGCTAACACGGTGAAACCCCGTTTCTACTAAAAAAATACAAAAAAATTCGCCAGGTGTGGTGGCGGGCACCTGTAGTCCCAGCTACTGGGGAGGCTGAGGCAGGAGAGAGGCAGAGCTTGCAGTGAGCCGAGATCACGCCGCTGCACTCTGGCCTGGGTGACAGAGCGAGACTCCATCTCAAAAAAAAAAAAAAACAATTAGCTGGGTGTGGTGGCGGGTGCCTGTAATCCCAGCTACTCGGGAGGCTGAAGCAAAAGAATCACTTGAACCCAGGAGGCGGAGGTTGCAGTGAGCTGAGATCATGCTGCTGCACTCCAGCCTGGGCAACAGAGCGCGACTCTGTCTCAAGAAAAAAAAGAGAGAAAAAAATCCACGTGGTTATTACTTTTGATAGTCTAATTGTCCCAAATTTGGTTGGTGGTAGCCCTTTCAGACTGGTTCTTGTGTCCTTTTGACTTGCCTCCATTAGTTATTGAGTACTTTCTTCTTTATGATACCACAAGATGTTCCAGGCTAACCTTGTATTTCCTTTTCCTGGCTTGGGACCAGCCATATATATTTTTAAAATTCTGTGTTCATACTGATACCTCCGCTTTGAATCCAACACCACAAGGCTCTTTCTTACCTTTCCGCGGTCTGAATTGTATCTCCTACAGTGAGAAACCACCTTCCCCAAATAATCAGCACACTGATTCATTTGCCCTCTCCTGTAGTATACGGGCAAAGCTTTAGAGTCGTCACAGCAGTACCAGCAGTAAGAGTAAACTTGCTAAAATTCATGACTTGTTTGCAGTTTCTTTTTCTTTTTTTGAGACAGGGTCTTGCTCTGCCGCCCGGGCTGGAGTGCAGTGGCGCAATCACACTTCATTGCAGCCTCGACTTCCTGAGCTCAAGTGATCCTCCCACCTCAGCCTCATGAGAAGCTGGGACTACAGGCGCACATCACCATGTCCCGCTAATGTTTTTTTTTGTTTTGTTTTTGTTTTTTTGAGACGGAGTCTTGCTCTGTCGCCGGGCTGGAGGGCAGTGGCACGATCTCGGCTCACTGCAACCTCTGCCTCCCAGGTTCAATCAATTCTCCTGCTTCAACCTCCCGAGTAGCTGGAACTACAGGCACATGCCACCACGCCCAGGTAATTTTTGTATTTTTAGTAGAGAACAGGGTTTCACCATATTGGCCAGGATGGTCTTGATCTCTTGACCTGGTGATCTACCCGCCTCGGCTTCCCAAAGTGCTGGGATTACAGGCGTGAGCTACCATGCCTGGCCATGTTTGTATTTTTTGTAGAGACGGGGGTCTTGCTGTGTTACCCAGGCTGGTCTCGAACTCCTGGGCCCAAGCGATCCATCTGCCTTGGTGTCTCAAAGTGCTGGAATTCCAGTCATGAACCACTGCACCCGGCCTGTTTGCAGTTATTTTTGCCCTTGAGGTTTATCTTTCTAGGAGAACATAGGAGAACCCAGAATTACTGTGATCAAAAGTTACTTGGGCTCTTTTTTTTTTCTTGTCTGTGAGATTGTTATCAATTTAAAGTATAGTTAGCTTGATTTGTTTTTGTTTCAGTTTTAGAGTTTGCTTTTCTTTTTGGTTTAAGTTTTTGAAATATGGAAGTCATTTTATGTGTACAAGTATATTAAAAAAACTTATTAATAAGTATATAAAGAATGGAAGTCTCTCTACTCATCGTAGCCCTTCCGTTATGTAGGTGACTATTTCATTACTTTCTGGTTGATTCTTCCTGTGTTTCTTTTGCAAAAATAAGCAAATTCATATGTGCATTCTTACTTCCCCTTTCTTACATAAGGGGTAGCATATGATTTACACTTTTTGTGCTCTGCTTTTTTTTTTTTACTTAATATATCCTGGAAAGCATTCCACAGCAGTTTACTGAGCTCATCTTTATTCTTTTTTTTTTTTTTTTGAGACATGGTTTCACTCTGTCACCCAGGCTGGAGTGCAGCAGCGAAATCTTGGCTCACTGCAACCTCCGCCTCCTGGGTTCAAGCGATTCTCCCACCTCAGCCTCCTGAGTAGTTGGGATTACAGGCTTATGCCATCATGCCTGGCTAATTTTTGTATTTTTTTGGTAGAGATGGGGTTTCACCATGTTGGCCAGGCTGGTCTCAAACTCCTGACCTCAAGTGATCCTCCTGCCTTCGCCTCTGAAAGTGCTGGGATTACAGGTGTGAGTCACCATGGCTGGCATCTTTTTTACATCTGTGTAATACTCTATTGTATGATGCACCTCGTATATTCAAATAGTCACATTTAGGTTGCTTTAAGCATTTTGCTAATGCAAATAGTGTCATGTCGAATAACGTGTGTGTTTGTCATTTCTTATATCTGGGTAAATGACTAACAGGAGCAGGATTATTAGGTTAAAAGGAAAATATATTCTTATTATCTTCTCTTCCTTTTTTTTAATATGAAAAGTATAACATACAGACTGTTGTACATCTTGCTTTTTTTAACTACTCATCTTTTTGGAGACTTTTGCATATCAGTACCCAGAGAACTGCTTCCTCTTTTTAAAATTTTTAACAGCTGCAAAGCATTTTTAAAAATAGCTGCGGAACAGTCCATTGTATGACTACCATTGGTTTAATCAGTCCCCTATTGATGGTTTCTAATCCTTTGTTATTCAAAACAGTGCCGCAATTAATGCACCTGTGTATGGGTATCATTTCCTGATTGTCTCTATCATACCCTTCTCTTCTCTTTTTGTGGTAGATGTTACTGGGTTTTTGTATCTGTATTTGATCCCATATCACAAAAGAGTCCGAAGATTGTAATTGCCCGATCTTTTAATCAGGTCCAGAAGAATTTGACTGGAATGCTAGAAGTTTGTGTGTGTGTGTGTGTGTGTGTGTGTGTGTGTGTGTGTGTGCTTTTTTTCCTTTGAGACAGTCTTGCTCTGTTGCCCAGGCTGGAGTGCAGTGGTGCAATCATGGCTCACTGCAGCCTCTACCTCCTGGACTCAAGCAATCCTCCCACTTCAGCCTCCTGAGGAACTGGGACTACAGGCACGCACCATCGTGCCTGCCTAATTTTTTATTTTTTGTAGAGATGGAGTCTCACTGTGTTGGCCAGACTGGTCTTGAACTACTGGGCTCAAGTGATCCTCCTGCCTCGGACTCCCAAAATGCTGGGATTACAGGTGTGAGCCACTATGCCCAGCCTGAAGTTTTTATTTTAAAGCAAACTTCTCATGGAAGTCTAACACACAGGAGATTGCACAAGTTGTAACTGTATGCTTGGAGAATGTTCACAAAATCCATACCTTTGTGTATCCAGAACCCCGACCAAGAACAGATGCCGGGCCCCCAGTCGCTGCCCCATCAAGGGTAATACTATCTTGACTTCTAACACCATAGATTTAGTTTTTCCTGTTCCAAAACTTTAAGCAAATTTCTGCCCAGCTTTTAAATGTTGCATTGCCTTAGCACTTGGTTGTGGACCATTTTCTGCTGTTGACTATATAAATGTCCACCAAAGTCACTGTTCTAACAAGGTGATTGCTGCTTGGTTTCCTTGGCCTTAACTTGCCAGTGATTACTTAGCATGGGTCAGCCAGGCCTCCTGCTGAACTCCCAGGAGCAGAGCATGTTTGTACCCTCCAGATTCCTATAAGACGCCCTGTCCAGGTGTCCCCCAGCGTCTCTACCCTGTATGTCCCTAGCACAGCTGCTCGTCCTCCCCTGGAACCTCCGCCTCATCTCACACAGGCTTGTCATGATGGGTCTCCACCATCCACTCGGGGTTAAGTGGGCAGGGAGTCTTCCAATTGCTCCCTTTCCCCTACTCCTTAAAACCAAGACCCCTTCAAACTTGTCTCCTAAGGGTCTCAGGAAGCACATCCTGCCCACCTTGCCTTTCCAGCCTCATCTGCTGCCCCCTCATTTGCACTCTGCTTTGGCCATAGTGGCTTTCTTTCCCTTATGATGGGTGGCTCATGCCTATAATCCCAGTGCTTTGGGAGTCCAAAGCGGGAAGATTGCTTGAGGCCAGGAATTTGAGACCAGCTGTGCAACACAGCAAGACCTCCTCTCTACAAAATATTAAAAAATTAGCATGGTAGTCTGTCCCTGTAGTCTAGCTACTCAAGAGGCTGAGGCAGGAGGATGGCTTGAGCCCAGGAGTGCCACTTTACTCCAGCCTGGGTGACAGAGTGAGACCCTGTCTAAGAAAAAAAAAAATGTGAAGCTCCTTCCTAGTAAGGAACTGTCCCTGTACGATGCTTTCCCATCTGCCTAGAAGGCTGTTTTGCCCGGGGAACTCCTCTTCATGCTTCAGGTTTTTACTACCACTTGTATTTAATTTCCCTGAGGCTGGGTGCAGTGGCTCATGCCTGTAATCCTACCACTTTGGGAGGCTGAAGCAGGTGGATTGCTTGAGCCTAGGAATTCAAATTAGCCTGGGCGATATGGCGAAACTTAATCTCTACAAAAAAATATAAAAATTAGCTGGGCCTGGTGGTGCATGCCTGTAGTTCCAGCTACTCAGGAGGCTGCGCTTGGAGGATCACCTGAGCCTGGGGAGGCTGAGGCTGCCGTGAGCTGGGATTATACCACTGCACTCCAGCCTGGGCAACAGAGAGAGACCCTGTCTCAAAAAAAGTTTTTTAATTAAAAAAATTTAATTTCCCTGCCTCTCCAGACCAGATTAGATCACCAGGACATGATGTGTATGTTTTCACGGTGGCTGTGCTTGCCTTTTGTATGATTTACTGCAGAGGTGATTGACTGTTTCATGGGGAGAGCAGGGACCACATCTGTCTCACTCATTCTTCCAGCACCATATAAGTGTCCTAATAAATGAACAAAGGCAAAAGGAGCAAAGGGAGGCTAGCCTGTGACCAAGGCCGAGGCTCAGTCTGTAATTCAAGGTCAAGGAATAGAATGTCACTTGGCTTTCCCTGTATGGGATCCCCTCCCAGGTTCCTTTCCTACCCTTGGATGGGGTTTTCAGAGAGTAGATTTTGTGCCTTGAAGCAGAGGGCGGGAGCAGCTGGTAAGATGCAGCTGGTGGAAGGGTGGCTCTGGGAGGAGGGGAGCTGCCTCCATTGCATTCACGGCACTGTGGGAGTATGTGCTGGGTCCTGTCCTGGGGAGCTTGCAGCCCAGATGAGGAGTAGAGAGGGACTGGGTTGGGTGTGGCCCTGATCTCATCCTTCTCTGGCTTTTCTTTCCTTGCAGTTCAGGACAAAGAGGTGTGGGCAGGCCACTGGGCCAGCTGGTAACATCATGGCAGGTAAGGAGAGGGGCAGGCTGTGTGGGTAGGACATGACAGTGAGCATAGCGTGGATGGCCCTCTTCCTGGTTCCCTTATCTCCCCTAGTCTTTGGAGGCCAGGTTCTTTCCATCTTACTGTCCCCAAGCTTTCCCCACTCTCTCCACTGAGGCCTGTCTGAGAACTTCAACATGACATTGTCTAGCCCTCTGTCAGATCTTTGGTCCTATGGACCAGGAATTGAGCACCTTGATGTCCTTGTCTTACTGTCCATCTGCCTGATTAGCTGCATGAGTGGCTCAGCCCTCCTCCCCTCTGTCTCTATTGCTTTCTAATACTCTGAGGCCTTTTTTATCTGGTTCAGAAGGCTCAGAGGTGTAGAATGCCAGAGCTGGAGGGAACTTTAGGGACCGTGTAGCCCAGCCCCCACTCCAGCAAATAAACTGAGGTCTAGAGAGGGGCGATGATTTGCCCCAGAGCACAAATGCTGAGTGGAGGCTGGAACCCACGTCTGTAGATTCTCACACATCCGCTTCTTCTGCCTGGAGCTGCCCCCACTGAGAGGGTGGTACCTTGAGGCCCTGAGACAGTGTCACTCAGAATTAAAAAATAATAAATGCTGTCTGTCAAGGTGACATTGTTTTTTATTCTGAGTGACACTGTCTCAGGGCCTTTGGCTACTTTGGGATCATCACAGCTGACCCGGGGAGGTAGGGACGGCTGGGTGGGGAAAGCAGAGTGGCCGGTGGCCACAGGGGCCAATGGGGCAGCACAGCCAGGGGAAGGATGGGCGTCTTGGATTGTCGGGTGGAAGACTGGAGGTGATGTTGTGCAATGTGTCTCATCCACAGAGAAAGTGAACAACTTCCCACCATTGCCCAAATTCATCCCGCTGAAGCCATGTTTCTACCAAGACTTCGAGGCAGATATTCCTCCCCAGCATGTCAGCATGACCAAGCGCCTCTACTACCTCTGGATGTGTGAGTGCCATGGGATGGGGGTGGGCCAGGGTGGCTGGAGGAGGCAGGAAGACTGGGCGTGCTGGGCAGCGGGGTGGGGTGCCCACAGGCCTGACTGTCCTTCAGTCCCACTTGTGGCATATGCATGGACCATAAGTCTTCCCCTGCCAGGCTCCCAGAGGCTTCTTCCATGGGCCACCTCCCCGACTGGGCCTCAGTTTCCCTCAACCTCCCCCATCTAGGCCTCTCTTCCCTTCCTTCCCCTCCACCCTCCTTTCACAGAGCATCTGGACAGGGGTCCCTCTCTGCAGTGTAATCCCTGTCTTCTTGCTTCCCCTTTCCCTTCCACTGGAGTAACTTTCCAGGGAACCTCTGGGGACTGTCAGGACCTCAGGATTCTGGATTTGGAGAGGAATCCTTCCCTCAAAGCCTTATTTGTCTTGCTTTCTCTGGAAGATTGCTCAAAGAGAGGAGGATTCAGCTGGGAGTTGGGAGCTGTGGGATCAAGTTTGCCTGGTCACTGTGCTTGCCAAGCAGCAGGTTCCTCATTTGTAGGAAGAAAGTATTGGCTTGGCGATTGCTGTGGTTCCATGCAGCTCTGTGTTGGGTGGTCTATACCTGTAAGAGTCTAATGTCAGGCACAGTGGTTCACACCTGTGATCCCGGCACTTTGGGAGGCTGAGCCAGGAGGATCACTTGAGGTAAGGAGTTTAAGACCAGCCTAGGCAACACAGCAAGACCCCTGTCTCTACAGAAAATAAAAAAATTAGGCCTGTGTGGTGGCTCACACTTGTAGTCCCAGCTATTCAGGAGGCCAAGGCAGGAGGATCCAATGAGCCTAGGAGTTTGAGACCAGTATGGGCAACATAGCAATACCCCATCTCTTTAAAAAAACTAGCTGGGAATAGTGGCACATGCCTGTAGTCCTAGCTACTCAGGGGACTAAGGTGGGAGGATCACTTGAGCCCAGGAGTTCAAGGCTGCAGTGAGCTATGATCATGCTACTGCACTCCACCCTGGGTGACAGAGTAAGAGCCTGCCTCTAAAAAAATAATTAAATAATCTAGAATTCTTTATTTAGAAAACCTTAGCATCAATGTTCTAAGGTTTTAAGGCTGAGAGTGTAAAGGCCTCATTTCTGGTGATCTGTAGCAGGGGGTGGGAAAGGTGTCTTCTTGGGGGGATGGGACTTGGCTGTGCTGAGGCTAGTTAGAAGGTACCTCTTAGGCATGTGAGGGGGAGGCAAGCTGGCTATCCTGTGCTGGGTGTGAGCCCCAGGATCCCAAGATACCCGCAATGTAACTGCAGTTGGGTTCTGCTATATGTGACACTGCCCTGAGTGAGGCCTGCACTTAGCTGCCTACCTGGGCAGATGCTTGCATGTGCCGACAAGGTGGTAAAATATACTGTCTTTGCAGCAGGTCCCTCATGGCATGGTAGGAAGAGGATGGGGCAGACAGACTCAGTTTCAAGGCCTGGCTTGGCCTTTGAGTGAAGAAGGGATCTCCCACCATGTAACCTGAGAGAAGGGGGGATGGGACAGGTGTGGGTAAGTCTGTAGATGTTGGGAAGCAAATGAAGAAGTTACCTCTGATGGCTTCCATTTTTTCCATCAAATATGATGTAGTGTGGAGAGTGGGCTCACAACGAGGCCATGTTTGTCGACGGATAGTGAGGACACTCTCCAAAGAAACCCGGCCCCTAAGATTTCTGGGCCACACACAAGGTTCATTTGACATTGGCTGATGTGAATTTACAGTCTTCCTCATGGGGTCCCCTTTTTTCTTAGCAACATTCAGCTCAGGTACAGATGAGAATTATGTTCATCTAGGGTGAGTGTGGCCAGAAGGCAGGGCAGGGGAGGGAATAAGAAAATGAGTAATGAATTATGGAATCTAAGCTGGATAAGGAGAAGAGTGAAGACAGAAAGAAGCTGATGGCTAGAGAGAGAGAGGGGCTGAGCTCATGGGTATCCATTCCAGAGAGGAAGCAGAATAATTGCAGCAGAGGTGTTTGAGCAAGGGAGCTGGGGCAGGTTGGACTGGGGAGAGATGTGAACCAATATAATAGGTTAGTGTCTTTTCTATATAAAGAGCAAATAAAATCAGTTTTAACACCAAGCCTCCAGGAGATTTTGGGGCAATGAACAGGGATAGAGGAAATACAGCTGAAATGTACAGGAAGAAATGCCCACCCATGAGGGGCCCTGAGATGGGTGACACGGTGGTCAGGCCAGGCTTGTAGGTCACTGTGTCTGACCTGGGCTCTGGGAACTCAACTTCTGGGAACATCTCATCCAGAAGCTGGATTTAAGGGCTATAAATATCTCCTTAAGTCCTCACTAGGCACCCGCAGGTGCTTTACTCCCAAGGAAATGTATATAACCCTTGAGGTGCTTAAGGGTTCTATTCAGAAGACAGGACCACAGATGCCTGGCTGTTTGAGGCCACGGTTGAGCCCTCCTTCCTTTGTTTATTCAGCAGGTCTTTGTGGACTTAGCTTTGTTTTCAAGGAAGGGAGTGCCCTGATGTTAGATAATGATGTGCTGCACAGACCCGCATGTGTGTTAGTACCAGCATCACTTTTATCTGTAAATCTTTGAGGTCCCTGCTGGCCGTGACTCAGTGACACTGTGCCTCCTAGTTCAGCTAGATGAGGTGGGGACAGAGGGGGGGGGGCCTGGGTCCTGTTCTTGGGGAACTTTTAGTCTGGTTGATGGGCTGGGATTTATATCTGGGGAACCTTGAGAGCAGCCCAGGTCTGTAGAAGGTCAGAGGGATGGGAGATGATGAGGTTGCAGTAGCAAAGGAAGACTTCTTCAAGGAGCTGGCATGAGTGTTATCTAAGAAATAGATTAGATAGCTGGGCACTGTGACTCACACCTATAATCCGGCACTGTGGGAGGCCAAGGCGGGTGGATCACCTGAGGTCAGGAGTTCGAGACCAGCCTGGCCAACTTGGCGAAAAACCATCTCTGCTAAAAATACAAAAATTAGCTGGGCGTGATGGCAGGCACCTGTAATCCCAGCTACTCAGGAGGCTGAAGCAGGAGAATCGCTTGAACCTGAGAAGTGGAGGTTGCAGTGAGCTGAGATCGCGCCACTGCACTCCAGCCTGGGCGACAGAGTGAAATTCCATCTCAAAAAAAAAAAAAAAAAAAAAGAAATAGATTAGATAAAGACTGAGATTCCAGCCGCCAATGCCTGCCCCATTTAAGTGCAAGGTAGATGGCACAATGGCTAGAAGAGATGTTTCCACAAGGCCTTTTATTTTTCCCTTTCCATGCCCATATCTCGAAAGAGAAAGTGTAAGGTCGGTTTCCCATGTCTTGGGCTTGGTGATTGCTGTGAGTCTGGGAGGGTCAGGGGCTGAAGCCATTCTTGACAAGGACAAGAGCATTTCTACCACCCTGAGGCTTTGGGGCCCTTCAAAGGGGCTTGCTGGGCAGAAGCTCTGGGTTCTGGAGGCTGTGCTCTCCAGATTTCTCAGGAGTGGGTGCTGGGGTTGAGGGGTGGGGGTTGGTTCGAGCTCCCAGCTTGCGTTCTTACAGTCTTTACTCCTCTGCGTGTGTATGTGTGTCTCCTGTGTCTCTGTATGTATTTGTTGGTACGGGTTGTGGGTCTTTTGTGTGGGTGTGAATCTGTGAATGTGTCTGCATCTCTCTGTGCTTGTCTGCGCTGTTGGCCTGGCTTGATTGTGGGTCTCTGTTGCGTTACTGGTGTGTGTGTGCCCATGTCCGGGTGCTCATGTGTCTCTCTATGGGCCTGGGTGTCTGTCTCTATGTGTGCATGTGCTCCTGGGCCTGCAGTGAACAGCGTCACGCTGGCCGTGAACCTGGTGGGCTGTCTCGCGTGGCTGATCGGAGGCGGGGGAGCCACCAACTTTGGCCTCGCCTTTCTCTGGCTCATCCTCTTCACACCCTGCTCCTACGTCTGCTGGTTTCGGCCCATTTACAAGGCCTTCAAGTAAGTGGTTGGTGCTATCCGCAGTGCCTAGCCGTCTCTGCCCATCTCCCCTGTCTCTTCTCCATATCTTTTCTCACTTCTTTTTTTTTTTTTTTACCCTCCCCCAAACTCACTTTCCCTTGCTCACCTTTGGCTCAGATTGCTAGGTAGGGCCTGGGCTTTCTGGGGGTGCCAAGTTGAGGTGAGAGGGCTGAGAGTTAGTTTCTTTCCTCCTCACTCTACCCTTGGGTGGGGGAAATATAGACAGACCAGGCCTATTTTTTCTTCTGTCATCCCCTTCCTCAGGCAGCTGCATGTTAAATTTTGCCTGTGGGGCTGCCTGTCTTGGTGGAGCTGCCCATCCTAGTACCTGTGGGGCTAGCCGACTTGGTGCCAAGGACACCATCTATCCATGTGCCAATGGGACCAGCCAGCCATGTACCATTGACACTGTTCATGTGCAATGAGGTCATCCAACTGTGTGCCAAAGGGAACACCCATCCACATATCAGTGGGGCTTGCTGTCTTGGTGCCAGTGGGTGTCTACCTAGTGCCAAATGGCATTTTCAATCTTTGTGCCAATGTGACTATTCATCAATGTACCAAGGCTATCTGTCTTGGTGCCAGTAGAATATCCATCTCAATGCTAATGGGGCCTTAAATCTCTTTGTGCCAATCAGGCCATCCATCTAAGTGCCAATTAGCTACTGTTTTGGTGCCAATAGGGTGTCCATTCTAGTTCCAATGAGACTTTCTATCTCTGAGCCTATGAGACCATCCATCCATGTACCAGTGGAGCTAGCTGTCTTGGTGTCATTGTCCATCCCCTTGACAATGAGACTATTTATTCCTGCCTCAGTGGAGCCATCTATTTCTATGCCAATGAGGCCGTCCATCCATGTACCAGTGGGTGGTCTGTTCATGGGAAATCCCTCCCTGTGTAATGTTGCAACACACAGGTCTACCACGTGGAAACTTGCAAAGATGTATGGGTAGAACTAACCCCTTCTGACCTCTCAATTAAGGCCTTTAAATGTCTTCTGTCCATTATGCACTTAAACTTGGAAGGGCTTGGGGGCCTTGAAGGCAGGGAAGCCCTGGCCCTCTGCCCAGGTGACGGGAGCCACCTCCTCTGCCGCAGGACTGACAGCTCCTTCAGTTTCATGGCATTCTTCTTTACCTTCATGGCTCAGTTGGTCATCAGCATCATCCAGGCCGTGGGCATCCCAGGCTGGGGCGTCTGGTAAGAGGCAGGGGTGTGGCCTGGGGCTGGCAGGGGTGGCGTTGTGGGTGTATCTTTTGCTTACCTTTGTGTGCTAAGCTGTCTAGCCTATGGGGCCTGAGTGATGGGTTGTTGGGAGAGTGAGAGGATTCGGGATAGTGTAGTAGTACAACCATAGCATCAGAGGGAAGGAGAACCTGGCAGTGGTTTCTTGGGGGCTGAGGGGTGTCAGGGATTATAGGAAAACCTGGGGGAAGAAAGTGTTGTATCTGAAGAGCACCTCTGAGCCACAGGGATGGGGTCTTCTTGAGCCACTGGCACAGGTTCTTTGGGTATCAGTAAGATGGTCCCTCTGCATCCAGTGATATGTTTCCTCCCTGTGGCAATGAGACGGTCCCTTCCTCTAGCGGGGGGCTCCTGGGCACCTCTTATCCTGCCCGCAGCCCCACACTGGCCTCTTCCTGCAGCGGCTGGATTGCTACCATCTCCTTCTTCGGAACGAACATTGGCTCGGCGGTGGTGATGCTAATTCCCACTGTCATGTTCACAGTGATGGCCGTCTTTTCCTTCATCGCCCTCAGCATGGTACGTGGTCCCCTCAAGGGTGAGAAGGTGGCTTTGGGAAGGGGCCATGTTCTGAAACAAGCCCTCCTCCAAGTTGCAAGAGGATCCCGAGGTCTTCCAAGGGACTCACTCTGGAATGGCCTGCAGGACTCTCCTACAGAGGCATTCATGGGGAGGGAGCACTGTTTTTTTTTTACAGATGGGTCCCATCTATTTCCTGGATGGGCTGCCTTTTCTCTTTGATTAACCCTTCTTTACGCTCTTTTTCCTACAGGTTCATAAATTTTACCGGGGAAGTGGGGGGAGTTTCAGCAAAGCTCAGGAGGAGTGGACCACAGGGGCCTGGAAGAATCCACATGTGCAGCAGGCAGCCCAGAACGCAGCCATGGGGGCAGCCCAGGGTGCCATGAATCAGCCTCAGACTCAGTATTCCGCCACCCCCAATTACACGTACTCCAATGAGATGTGAACCAGCCACGCCTACCAGGTGGCAGAGCTGGGGCCATTGGGACAGGGGGCTCAAGCCACATCGTCATTTGTGGTTACCAAGCAGGGTTCCCCCTTCCCTTTTCTCCTTCCCTACTTTGTACAAAGGACCAGAGTTATATATATATATATATGTATATGTCTGTACCCCAGCCCCCACCTTTCAGATTCTGCTCTTGGCACTCAGCTGTGGGCTGCACGTGGAGCTGTCCCGTGCGGTAGTAGCTGTGTCTGTGTCCCCTCGTGAAATAGTGTGCAGTGGAGGTCTCTTGTGGTGCTAGATGTGTGTTTAGAGCTAAACCAGCCCCCACCCCCACCCTCCACCTGCCCCTCTTGCCTCTGGCCCCTCTGACCCTGGCCCAGGGACCCCTCACGGGGCCAGGGGAGGCATAGCAGAAAGACTGGCCCCTTCCTAGGGTTATGAGCTGGAACTGTTTCTACTTTCAGTCTTCCTGGGAAGTAACAGTACTTAGCACTCTTGGTGGTGGGTGGGAGGGTGGGTACAGGCCAGGGATATTCCCTTGCTCTTTTGATCCCTCCAGGCCTCGCCTCCTTCAGCCTCCTCCTCCCTCATCTGTTCCCTGATGTCACATTCCCTGTGCAATCTTCCCTTGCCCATGGTCTGTCTATCTCTTTCCTATGTGGCTTTTCTTTGTCTTCCCCAAGGCTGAGTGTCCCAGTTTTATCTGCTCCTGAGACTGAGCCCAGATCCCCAAATCTAATCTGATTTACAGTTCAAGGAAGCTGATGGGGAGCTGGGCCTTACCCCTGATGTAGGAGGGGCACACAGCTGGGGGTGCAGAGCCCACCTGGGTACCTGACCCCCAGGGGATGAAAATGCAAGGATGAGTCTGCTTGGGCCTGAGAGTTTGATCTGCAGGGGCAGGCTCATCTTTTCTCTCCCCTGCCTTCTCCTCCTTCTCTCCCCAGAGCCCCCTTGAGCCCCTCTGCCTATGTCCCTCTGCCTCCTCCCCATGCCCCCAGTTGCTGTGGCTTGATTCTGCTACCCTGACCCCACCATGTGCCAGGTGGCATCTGCCTTACTGCCTTCCCTGAGGAGCTGGGACATGCTGGGCAGTTGTCAGATGTAAAGGCACAGCTGGAGCAGAGGGCATGTCAGTAATGATTGGTCCCTGGGGAAGGTCTGGCTGGCTCCAGCACAGTGAGGCATTTAGGTATCTCTCGGTGACCGTTGGATTCCTGGAAGCAGTAGCTGTTCTGTTTGGATCTGGTAGGACAGGGCTCAGAGGGCTAGGCACGGAGGGAAGGTCAGAGGAGAAGGCAGGCAGGGCCCAGTGAGAGGGGAGCATGCCTTCCCCCACCCTGGCTTGCTCTTGGTCACAGGGCGGTTCTGGGCACTTGAACTCAGGGCCCAAGCAGAAGCACAGGCCCAGTCCTGGCTGCAAGCACAATAGCCTGAATGGGATTTCAGGTTAGGCAGGGTGGGAGGGGAGGCTCTCTGGCTTTAGTTTTGTTTTGTTTTCCAAATCAAGGTAACTTGCTCCCTTCTGCCTACAGGCCTTGGTCTTGGCTTGTCCTCACCCAGTCGGAACTCCCTACCACTTTCAGGAGAGTGGTTTTAGGCCCGTGGGGCTGTTCTGTTCCAAGCAGTGTGAGAACATGGCTGGTAGAGGCTCTAGCTGTGTGCGGGGCCTGAAGGGGAGTGGGTTCTCGCCCAAAGAGCATCTGCCCATTTCCCACCTTCCCTTCTCCCACCAGAAGCTTGCCTGAGCTGTTTGGACAAAAATCCAAACCCCACTTGGCTACTCTGGCCTGGCTTCAGCTTGGAACCCAATACCTAGGCTTACAGGCCATCCTGAGCCAGGGGCCTCTGGAAATTCTCTTCCTGATGGTCCTTTAGGTTTGGGCACAAAATATAATTGCCTCTCCCCTCTCCCATTTTCTCTCTTGGGAGCAATGGTCACAGTCCCTGGTACCTGAAAAGGTACCTAGGTCTAGGCCCTTCTTCCCTTTCCCTTCCTCTCCCCTACCCCAGAACTTTGGCTCCCTTTCCCTTCTCTCTCTGGTAGCTCCAGGAGGCCTGTGATCCAGCTCCCTGCCTAGCATCCATGACCTGTTGGATGTTACCTCCAATCAGTTTCCTGTCCTACCTGCCTCTTTGGCTTGGACCTATATGGCCATGCTCTGGCTCTACCCTTGGGAAGCCTGATCCCGGTGTGTGGCCCAGCTTGTTCAGGCCCTGGGATGCTGCATCTCCAGGCAACTATGCACTTTCCCGGGGAGAGAACCAGTATGAGAAGTGGGGGCAGGGCACACATTCATCTTTGTAGGAAGGTCTGGCCTGGGGTCGGGTGAAGGAGGGCCCAGGTCAGTTCTGGGGTCCCAGTGACCTGCTTTGCCATTCTCCTGGTGCCGCTGCTGCTCCCTGTTTCTGGAGCTGGATGTTCCCCAGCTGGCAGTTGAGCTGCCTGAGCCAATGTGTCTGTCTTTGGTAACTGAGTGAACCATAATAAAGGGGAACATTTGGCCCTGTGTGTTCTGCTGTGTCATGTGTCTTCCTGTGGACTTGCGTGGAGCCTCACAGCGGGCTGTGGGGCAGGGGCATGAAAGTATGGGGGGTGGGTGGATCTGTGGTCTGTCATTCCCCGAGACCTAGAGCTATACGACCCTGTGTGGCTCCTTCTCTGAGGCAGCCTTCAGTAGGTGATGAAATTGCCACCTAGGCCCCCTGCCTTGGGAGGAGGAAGTAGAAGAAGCAGGCTGGATCGGCCGGGCGTGGTGGCTCACACCTGTAATCCTAGCACTTTGGGAGGCTGAGGCGGGTGGATCACGAGGTCAGGAGATCGAGACCATCCTGGCTAACACGGTGAAACCCCATCTCTACTAAAAATACAAAAAATTAGGCGGGCGAGGTGGCAGGCACCTGTAGTCCCAGCTACTCGGGAGGCTGAGGCGGGAGAATGGCGTGAACACAGGAGGCGGAGCTTGCAGTGAGCCGAGATCGCACCACTGCACTCCAGCCTGGGCGACACAGCAAGACTCCATCTCAAAAAAAAAAGACACGGCTGGATCCCTGCGTAAGGGATGGTTTGGCCCAGATGGTCCACTGCGGCTAAGGGCGGGGGTAGAGCAGAGGCCCCACCTCAGCTCAGGGCAGGGGACCCGCAGCTGGTTCAGCCACCTCAATGAATACAGAGGTTCCTGGGGCCTGTGAAGGCTAGAAAATGAAGGGGGCAGGGAAGCATGCCAGTGTGTGTTCTTCTGCCGCCTTCCCTTTGCCCATTTGATGCCTTCCACCTGGATCGCTATTGGGATCCTCTATCTAACCTCCTGGCTGTCCTTCAAGATTCATTTCAAGTCACTCCTTCAAGAAGGCTTTCCTGCCTAGAGGTGTTGCTTCCTCATGGAGGATCTTACCCTGTCATTTTCTGTGTCCCTGTTTGTCTCAAGAACAGGGACGCATCTGATTTATCTCTGTATCCTGTGCACCTAAAATAGAAGAGGCTTGGTAAATATTAAGTGCCACGAGCCCTCTTTTACTAAGGACCTGCCAACATGGGCCCCATTCACACTAATACCATGAAGATAGCCCTTTTCTATACTTCGTCATAAAAAAGTAATACACACACCCGGGCAGCAACTTCCACACAAACAACACATGTGCAAGGAGATCACCATTATTTCCAGCAAAATGCTCCCCAGGGCCGAGCGTGGTGGCTCACTCCTGTAGTCCCAGCACTTTGGGAGGCCAAGGTGGGCGGATTGTTTGAGCCTAGGAGTTTGAGACCAGCCTGGGCAATAGAGTGAGAACCCGTCTCTACAAAAAATACAAACATTAGTCTGGCATGATGGTGCACTCCTGTAGTCCTGGCTACTCCATAGGCTGAGATAGGAGGATGGCTTAAGCCCAAAAGGTGGAGGTTGCAGTGAGTGGAGATAGCACCACTGCGCACTCCAGTCTGGGTGACAGAGCCAGACCCTGTCTCAAAAAAAAAAAAAAAAACAAAAAAAAAAACAGCTCCCCAACAAGATAGCAGGCTACAACATGCATGTGATGAAGCTGATTTGAAGCGCTCAGTGAGAGGTATCTGCATCAAGTTGCAGGAGGAGAAGAGAGAAAGGAGAGATAATCATGTTCCTGAGGTCTCAGCCCTGGATCAGGAAATCATTGAAGTATTAACATATCCTGACATTAAGGAAATGCTGATGTTTTTGGACTTTGGCAGTCTGTCCAACCTGCAGGTCACTCAGCCAACAGTGGGGATGAATTTCAAAACGCCACGTGGAAGCTGTTTGAATCTTTTTGAGATACTGTAATATTTTCAATAAACCTGGGACAACAGCAAAAAAAAAAAAAAAAAAAAAAAGGCCCCAAGCAACAAGCAGTGTGTGTGGGGCTGATAGGAGTGAGGAAAGGAGGTCGGACAGTTATGCCAGCCCCTATCGAGAGTCCCAGCAATACAAAGAACAGGGCCAGGGTTTGCTCCAGGATTTCCCCAGTGGACTACAACTCCCGGAAGGCAGAGAAGTGGACTACAGCTCCCAGAAGGCTGCGCGACATACAGCCAGCCCGGTGCTCTCGTGAGGCGTGCCAGTCAGATTCCGCGGGAGAGCGGCAGAGATACCGCGATATTTGGGAGCGGCCCCGAGACGCGCCTGGCGCGGGTGAGCAGTGGAAGGGGGCTGGGAAGCTGGGTTCTCGCGGCGGCGCGGGAGGGGAGGTTCGGGGAGCTGTGTCCGCGAGCGTGGGTCCACGGCTGTCTGTGTGTGTCCTTATTTTCCCCTGTGTGCCCATGAAGCTCTGTTTGCGACTGTGCGTGGGTAGGCGGCCGTCCATCTGTGCGACCTCACTTTCCCGGCTGTACGGGTGGGGCCGCCTGGAGCAGGAGGGACCCCCGAGCCCTGAGTGGAGGGTTTGCATCTGTACCCGTCCAGCCCGACTTTGTGCTGCTCTGCGATTATTTGTCCAGTGTCGTTTAATCTAGTTTAAATGATGGCCGTGTCAGCTCCTCACACTGAACGCTTACCCGGGCTGCCCAAAGTACAAAGTGTATTTAAAAAGTTGGTAAAATTAAAAAAGGAAAGCCATGGGATGTTGGAAGTAGCCCTAGGCCTGCCAAAAAGTGCTGAGTGCTATTTAAAAATTAGGCCAAATCTTGTCAGAAAAGAACTTCCTGCTGTCCTTGAAGTATTTGGAAGCAGGTGCTAGATGGTGAGCAGGAGAGGTTGCCAAGTTGGGGAAGTGGTGGTTGTCCTGGAGCAGGGGTTTCCACATCTCTCACAGTGGCTGGGAAGTAGCAATTCGCAGTCACTGCCTTTCTAGTAGCCCACGTGTGTGAGTGTGTGTGTTAGATACATTTATCCCTCAGTATCCGCAGGGGATTGCTGTATACTTTTTTTTTTTGAGACAAGGTCTCATTCTGTGACCCAGGCTGGAGTGCAGTGGCAGGAACATGGCTCACTGCAGCCTCGACCTCCTGGGCTCAAGGGATCCTCCTGCCTCAGCCTCCTGTGTAGCTGGAACCACAGGCATAAACAACCATACCCGGCTAATTTTTATTTTATTTCATTTTTGTAGAGACAGGGTCTCACCATGTTGCCCAGGCTGGTCTCAAACTCCTGGCTCAAGCTATCCTCCTTCCTTGGCCTCTCAAAATGCTGGGATTACAGGTGTGAGCCACCACATCACCCTCCTGTATACTCTTTTTTCTTTTCTTTTTTTTTTTTTGAGTCAGGGTCTCACTCTTGTCTCCCAGGCTGGAGTGTAGTGGTGCAATCATAGCTCACTGCATCTTCGAACTCCCTGGGCTCAGATAATCCTCCCACCTCAGCCTCCCAGGTAGCTGGGACTGCAGGCACGTGCCACCACGCCCTCCATATAATTTAAATAATCTCTAGATTACTTATAAAACCTGATACAGTGTAAATGCTATGTAAATAGCTACACACTTTTTTTTTTTTGTGGTACTATTATTATATTTTGAAATGGTCTCTCTCTGTCACCCAGGCTGGAGTGCAGTGGCACAAACATGGCTCACTGCAGCCTTCTAGGCTCAAGCGATCCTCCTGCCTCAGCCTCCCAAGTAGTTGAGACCACAGGCATGTGCCACCACACCTCACTAACTTTTAAATTTTTTGTATGGGGTCTTGCTATGTTACCCAGGCTGGTCTCGAGTACCTGGGTTTGCTCAATCCTCCCACCTTGCCCTCTTAAATTGCTGGGATTACAGGTGTAAGCTGGAGCAGAAGCCTGGGCAGCCGGTAGTGAGGGGCTTTGATGTTAGGCTAAAGGATTCAGGCTCATAATGGATCTTGGATCCCTGCCTACCCACCACCCACTTCCCTTGTTTGGTTCTGCTTTGTCTTAGGCTCAGTTCTCATCCTTCCTGTATTGAGCTTGAACGTATACCCTGTCTGGCCTTGCTTTCCTTGCTCTGTCTTTAGTCTGGTTCTGTGCCAGCTCCACCTTTGCCCATATAGGGACTGGCAGGTATCCCTGAAACCTAAAACTCTGCCCTGAATTAAACTCATCAGAGGAGACTTAAACATCACAAGCTGAGGCTCTTTGCTCTGTCTGTCCCTGTCTTTCTGGAGGATAGAGAAGCTGCCATTTTTCTGGCTGTGGCTTACCTGCTTGGCTAGTGCCCTGGGATCTTGAGGCTCAGTAATCAAAGCGTGTAGCCCTATAACCTGCCCACTTGCCAACTCTTTTTGCTGCTCAGGAGTTCCTGTGAATTCAGCAGAGCCCGGGGAAGTCAGGTACTACAGCTACCTGTGCAAATAGGTGACTCCAACAGGTTCTGGTTACAGTAATAGACTTACTGGTTTGGAATTTGATCCTCTTTGCAAGCAAATGAAGGAATCCTGCCAGCCATCACCCTTCCTGGAATTCTCAGGTTGAACTGATTGGACCTCGCCTCCAAATGTTGGTTAAATGATCCACTTTCTATTCTTCAAGTATATTAAGCACACACATACACACACACACCCTCTTTTTTAGGAAGGTAGGTAGGTTTGATCCTTAGCACAGCTTTGCTAAGCAGGCTAAGTACTGTATTTCGGACTATAGTGCCTGCTGTGGGGAAGCAGTTGAAGTCACTAATACAGATTCCTGCCCCAAGTTTAACTGACTGCTTTCTGTAACCTGTTTCCTAGGAATGAGATCAGCTTGATGTGGAGGAGGTTCAGGGGCCTCAGAGATAAAATTTGGCTTCTGGTTTTGCAGGAATCTACCTATCCTAGCACCAGTTGGCTAGGGTGGGACAGGGTCAGGGTTTGCGATCTGGCAGGTAGGTTTCCCTGGAGAATAAAGAATGTGCCTCCATCACCTACCAATGATGTGTTCTGGGAAGAAGCTGGCTGGTAGCCCTTCTGTACCTTGTCAGATTCTAACAGGGCTCCCCACTCCCTGGGGTAAACTCAGTTCTCCAACTCTGGCCAAGCATTGCCCTGGTTGGGGCCCTGCAGTGGAGCAGACATTGAGATTACTGGCAAATCAAACTTTGGGTGATCTTGCCCTAGGGAACCAGCCTGTGCTTAACCCCTGCTGAGAAGTGGGATAATGCAGCCAAACATGATCCTCAGCCCACGTGGGTTGTGCTCAAGTGCTGAAGGCAAATCCTGGGCAGAGAGGCTAGAGAGCCAAGGGGCCTGTGAGTGAAGAGGAGATAGGCCCCTGTGGATGCTCAGCCATGGAGGTAGCCATTGGACAACTCACCAGCGCTGCTTCCTGGGCAGCTGCCTGGGTTTCCCTTGCCATGCTGATTCTTTTTTGAGTGCATCTTCTAGGACCTTCTGTCTTGGAAGGAGAGCCCCTTACTGCTCTCTTTCATGTATTGACTCAAAGTTTCTGCTGGAAGGAGCTTCAGAGATCATCTGGTCCTACCTCTGCATTTTTCAGATGAAGGGACAGGTCCAGGGAGGGAATGACCCTGGACCAGGGTCACTCCAGGTCAGGAGCACACCATGGTCAGGGCCCAGGGCTTCTGCTTCACAGGCTAGGTATCTGTCTTCTGCTCACACTGCCTTGGAGGGTATAGTTATTCATTCAGCACCTGTTCAGGACTGCCGGCTAGTGGACTGCTGGTTGGCAATTAGACCCGGTCACACATTCAGGGAGCTTGCTGGTGGAGGGAGAGGCAAGGAAACTGATGTGTTAATTGAGTCTGTGATCACCAAAAAGGTGCATCCCAGGGAAGGACTGATCTCAAATAATTTCAGACAGGTGTCATTCCTGTCTTCTCAAACTCAACCTACAGATTCCCCAGAGGCAGCTACTGTGTTTTCCACAATTCCTTTGCATGGTGTTCTTTGTAATCGGTCCTCAGTGATGGTTGCTGATGAAGCACGTTCTGCTGGCCCAACCCGCCACGTGTAGGTTTTGGTGTCCATCAGCCATATTATCATGAGTGCACACTTCTAGCAACGTCTGAGAGCCAGAGGAAGAAGCAAACCAGCTAATCTCCTGGGGTGGCCTGCATCCCCTTTATGCTGGTTTCTTCCTGGGCTTTGATTTGTACGGTGGTGCCCATCTTGATTAACAGGGACAGGGACAGAGAGGCAAATCTCTTGGCTCCCTGGAGCACCCAAACCTCCCTGTTGCCCAGGGTTCCACCTCATGAGCATCTTTGGAACCCATCCCTTCCTGCCGCTTCCTTTCACCAGTCAGCCCAGTCCACCGCAGCAGCTCCTCTCGCCCTCCAGTCTCTCCACTAACAGGGTCCCTTTGACACTGTCACCAGGTGCCAGCACCGTCTTTCTAAAACCAAAACTCCTCACCCTGGCCCTCGCTGCCCACGGCATTCTGGCCTCACCCTGACTTTCAGTCTCACTTTCTGCCCCTCTACCACCCCCCATCACAGTCCGGCCTCACTAGTAAGCCACTCCCTGTTCCCCAACCTGCCACCCTCCTCAGGACCTTCACCTTGGCAAGATTGTTCCTTCCTTTGAAGTGATTTCTTCCTGTCTCTGAAAAACTAACTCATCCTTCAGGACTCAACCCCAATGTCATTTTTTCTGGGATGCAATCTCTGACTTCTAGAGATGGTCACCCTGAGCAGCCACGCACCTGGTACAGCCCTTCCCCACAGCACTGCATCATTCCCTTGTGACTGGCCCATGTGTGGGGAAGGTGTCTCACTTTCTTATCAAACTGTGTGCTCCCTGAAGCCAGGACTGCTGATCCCTTCCGCTGCCTCAGCCTCTGGCCTGGGGCCTAATACGTGGTGCTCCATACATTCTGGTCGACTGTATGAATGAAGGGGGTGGCCCTTGTTCTCCTTTTAGATCCTAAATCCCGACAGCTTTATAGAGCCCAGGCCTGGCAGGCTCCCAGAACTTGAAGCCACCAGACCCCACATGGAACCAAAGGCCTCCTGTCCAGCTGCTGCACCCTTGATGGAGAGAAAATTCCATGTTCTTGTGGGTGTCACGGGGAGTGTCGCAGCCCTGAAGTTGCCTCTTCTGGTGTCAAAGCTTTTGGACATTCCTGGGGTGAGTATCCTCACCAGATAAGCATGGCAGCCTCCGGCATGGGAGGCCGGTGCTCCCGGGGATGGCCCATTGCTCTGCAGTACATGCAATTTTCTTTTTCTTTATCATGTTAATCATGCTTGTGGAGGTCCTGTGTGTGTGGTGCTCTGTGGAGGATTCAGGAGACAGAGACCAGTGCCCAGTGTAACCAGGGGCTAGATTAGATAGTACAGACAGGGCATGAGGGGAGACTGGGAAAGGACCCAGTGAACGGAGGGTTTGGGCTCCCATACATTAACCCTGAGAATCCGTGAAGTCCTGTGTGGGAGGAGGGCTGGCTGGAGAAGTGCAGCAAGTTCTCAGTATCCCCTCCTGCCTTGGGCTTCCCCATCCCTGCTTTCATTCCGCCTTGAACACTGCGGCTGTGTTCTCCCTCCTCGTGAGACCTCATGGTTGTCTTGTCAGTCAAATGCTCTGAAACCCCATTGTCTGAAGCTCTAGGTTCAAACTTTGCTCCTTCAGGTGTTCAGAGCTGCCCCAGGGGCCCCCGACTGTGTGCTGGGGTGAGGGACTCTAGCCCCCGTCCTTGGCCAGACCCTCAACTTGGATCTATTTTCTATATTGGGGTTCTGGTGCAGAAGTTCAAGGCTTTAAACAGCGTGAAATCTAACAGGGAGTGGCCCCACTTCCTAGTTCCACCTCCAGGGCCCTTAGTTGGTCTGTCTTATCCCCCTTGGTCTTTGCGTGGCTGGGCCCTGCTAGGCTGGCTGCCCTCTCTGCTCCTCTCTCGCCTTTTCACATTCTGTGCAAAGCCTTCCCTGTCTGCCCCAGCCCAGCCCCTGTGGTTTTGGCCCCTTCTTTTAAACTTATTTGACATAGAACTATAGGTTGCCTTAGACACTGCTGGTGTTACTGGCCCCTAGTTTTTGGTGGGGTCTTGTGAAGTTGCTGGGCCCCAGGCCTGGCTTTTCCCTCTTGTTATCAGCTGAGCACCCAAGGTGCAGTGGCCGTATCTGGCATGTCCAGCAGGGGGCGGTGCTTACTCACAGATGACCACGTGGTCACATCAGCTGGGGCTGGGCTGGGAAGTGTTTCACTTTTTTACTTTCCACCAACTTCCACCCAGAAAGTCACCCCATCACCCCACCCCCAGGGCTGGGATAAGCCATGAAGCTGCCAGCCAGGGATGACAGCCAGGCCAGAGTGGGGGAGGGAGGAGAGTCTCGTGGCACTCTGACACTGGGTGCTGCACTTTTAGGGCAGTGCTGCTTAGGCCCAGCCACCCGCTGTGTACCCAGAAGCATTGGTAGGAGCTGCCCAGCTAGAGCCGTGAGGGTGGGAGGCCTCTGCCACCACCCCCTGGGGAGGGAGGGAGCCATGCAGTTCCCTTTTCCCATAGCCCCAGGGCAAGTGAGTTTCCGGACTAGGGGTGGATAGGGGCGGGGAGTCCTATCCCAGGAAACAGATGGGCAGCCTCAGAGCGGAGGGAAATGGCAACCCTACCGCTTCCTCCCATCCCACGCAGCCAGCGTTTGGTGGGAGGGGGGTTGTGAGGAAAGGGTTGCCTGGAGCAGGGAGGTGCTCCAGCCCACCCCAGGGCCTTTTAGCCTGGGCCCCATGGGATGGCAGGCCATGTCTGGAACAGGACTTGGCTTCCCCTCTCTGGTTGGAGTTGATGCCAAAAGTGAGGCAGCCAGAGGGCACTGAACTGGGAGGGAGGGCTCCCCGACTCAGCCTCTTGGAGCTTGCCTTTCCCATTTGAAAATAGGGCTGATTCCTGCTGCCCATCCCCCAGACTCTTGTCAGGCTCCCTGAGATGTTGGCTGGGGTGGGAGGGGTCACAGATGAAAATGGTCCTGTGCCAGTGACTCAGCACAGAGCCTGGCATGTTGAAGCACTCGGTTGTGTGTGTTTCCTGGCCATCACCCTGTCCTTTCCCCTTGTTCATGTCCTTTGGGCCAGCCACATGGTGTGGGGCAACCCCACTGGGAAGAGCCATGGAAGCCACAGTTCACCTGCTCTTGTGGAGGGCCCATGCCTTTCATCTGCAGGGAGACAGCTCTCCAAGCCTGGCCTTGCTTATTAGGGCCCTCGTGAGGTGTTGGGATCCAAAGGTAATCCCTGGATTGCCTTGTGTTGGCCCCAGTGGTGGCGTCTATCCCTGCACACTCCCCTTCACTCCCTGATGGCCCTGATCTCCACATTGCCTCCTGCTGGATCTCCTGCAGGAGCATCATTGTCCCTTGGAGCAGTCACTTTCAGCTCTTCACCTGCTGAGTCGTGGGTTCAGGTGCTCAAGGCTTTCCGGAACTTCCTTAGGTACATCCAGATTTTGTCTAGCACATGAACAGCTGGGGTGTGGGCTGCAGGGAGCTGGGGGATTCTACAGATCTGGCCCATCACTGTTCCTGATTGACCAGTATGTCCAGACATCCCGGGAAAGCCGCTAATGTCAAGGTAGCCAAATCAGGGAGACTGTGAGGGGTGGTGGAGAGACATGGATTAGCCACAAGCCACACACACCAGCAGTCAGGGAGAGTAGTCACTAGCAGAGATGACCTTGAGTATGTTGGGGCAGGTGGGCAACCGTGTCACAAGAGAGGCAGCTGAGCACATTTCTGACGCTGGGACCCTGGGCAAGTCCGTTCTTTTTGGCCATAATTTTCTTATCCACACAGTGAAGGAGGGGCAGGTTCTCAAATGATCCATCTCCAGGGCCTCTTCTGGCACTGGTGTTAGAAGATTCTAGATGTGAGGGCAAAAAGGACTAGGACCCAAAGGCAGCCTGAGAGAAGGTCCTGGGGCTCAGGAGCTTCAGGATGCCGGGGGTTTTGTAGTTCCGTAGTTGTCATGTAATTGAGTGGCAGTAAAATCCGGGTTGTCAGCTCAGGCAGTTTCTTCCCTGGGGTTGGCAGCCTGGCCCATGCAGGGGAGCAAAAATGGCTTTCCTCCATCTTGCTAGGCTGCTTGGCTGGGCTATGAGTTCAACTGACTTATAAACAAAATTAACAGGGCCGGGCGCGGTGGCTCACTTTGGGAGGCTGAGGCGGGCGGATCACTTGAGGCCAGTTCGAGACCACCCTAGCCAACATGGTAAAACCCCAGCTCTACTAAAAATACAAAAATTACCCGGTTGTGGTGGGCGCCTATAATCCCAGTTACTCAGGAGGCGGAGGCAGGAGAATCGCTTGAACCCAGAAGGCAGAGGTTGCAGTGAGCTGAGATCATGCCACTGCACTCCAGTCTGGGTAACAGAGCAAGACTCCATCTCAAAACAATAACAACAAAAAACAAGATCAACAGGAGAAAACCATATTTAGTTACATATCTGCACATGGGTGTACCACAAAATATGAGATTCCCAGAAGGGTGAGATGGCTGAAGCCTGTATAGCAGCCTGAGCTACAGAAGGAAATAGGGGCTTGGGGCTTCTGGGGGTGGTGGCGACACAAGTTATGGGAGGGTGAGGGGAGGAATTATACGGTCTTGTTAGGCAGATAAAAACCTCTCAGATAATAAAAGATGCCTCAGCAGATTGTCAATAAGTCAGTCTTCCTTTCTCAGGGAGGGGGACTCAGGACAAGGGGAATCCCTCTTTAGGCAGATAAGAGAAGTTCAGAGAAAGTTCCTCCCTGCATTTGTTTTTCCCCCAGTGCCTTCAGGTTTGAAATAATCAGCATACCAAAGCCGCATATTATGGGGTGGCATTTCCTGAACTCCTTCATCCACACCCTTCAAACTTGGGAGGAGAAGACAGACATCGCCCTAGCTTTTGCCAGGGCAGGTGTCAGCAGAATTCAGAGCCAAAAGGGGATTTCTAAAGATAGAGAAAACCCCCAACTCAAGGAGTCAGCAGGCCTCGGGCTCAGAGAAGGATACATTTCTAGGGTGTCTGTCAGGACATCCAGGTCTGTCGAGGGTGAGGAAAAGAAGGCTCTGCTCATATGCAGTGTGGAGTAAATTCTGACTTTCTGGAGGACCACTTGACAATATTGAGAGAAATTAAAACATCTTCATAGTCCTTGATTTACCCACAGGATTAAACTCTGTGGGGTGTATTTACAAAGTGAAAGGATGTCCATTATAGCATTATTTATAATTTCAAAGCAAAACTGGAAGCAAACAAAATATCCAGCAGTAGAGAGCTGTGGTGCCCTTATGATTTATGGGACAATCTCTCAGTGGATTACTTGGCAATGATTCAGAAAAATGGGGTGGCTCTCTCTGTGCTGAAGGGAGCAATCATCAAGATGGAAGCGGAATAAGCAGGGTGTAGGAGCTAGCAAACTGGACCCCCCCCCCCAAGGCCAAATTCGGCTCTGCCTGTTTTTGTATAGCCTACAGCTAAGAATGATTTTTACATTTTAATTTTTATTATTTATTTTTGAGACAGGGTCTTGTTCTGTTGCTCAGGCTGGAGTGCAGTGGTGTGATCACTGCTCACTGTAGCCTTGACCTCCCAGGCTCAAGCAGTCCTCCCACCTCAGCCTCCCAAATAGTTGGGACTGCAGGCGTGCCATCACACTCTGCTAATTTTTTTGCATTCTTTTTGTAGATACAGGATTTTGCTATGTTGCCCAGGCTGGTCTCAAACTCCTGGGCTCAAGTGATCTGTCTGCCTCCACCTCCCAAAGTGCTGGGATTACAAGCATGTGCCACTGTGCCTGGCCTGATTTTTACATTTTTAAATGATTAAGTCAAAAGAAAAATAGTATTTTATGACTCGGAAAAAAAGTGATATGAAATTCAGATTTCATGTCCAAGACAATTTATTGGAACACAGCCATACCCATTCATTTACGTATTGCCTATGGCTGCATTCGTGCTACTACAGAGTTAAATCATTACGACAAAGCCTAAAATATCATCTGGCCCTTTATAGAGAAGGTTTGCCGACCCCTGGTATGCAGCCTGATTCCTTCTGTGTGTTCTTATACTGAGTTACTGCACACAGTTTTTTCCTCTGGAGGTGGTTACCCTTGTGAAGGGGGACCAGTGGAGGAAGGGAAACTTGCATTTTTCATTTTTGTATCATTCTGTTCAGTTTTAATTTGTAACCTATGTGTATATTTGTGTGTGTGTGTTTTTTTGTTTGTTTGTTTGTTTTAAGTCAGTGGGGCTTTTGGTGGGAATATTGGGGAACATTCTTGATAAGTTTGTGCTTTTTTTTTTTAAAGTGCTCACTGAGGAAAGAGCAGAAGACATAAGGCCTGGTTTGAGGATTTCTCTTTTTTTCTGGGTGGGGGCCACCTGCCCGCTCTGTGTCCTGATGTGGAAACTCTGAGACCTTTATTTGTGCCTCTGCCTGCTTGGCTGGCCCCTTCCTCCTCTGGCCTGCAGCCCTGTCACCTGCTCCTCTAGGGACAGAGCTCTGTCGGCCTCTGGGCAGAGGGTCCCGCACCCCAGGGTCCTTCCCTGATTGCCCAGAACAACGTTCCTGTGCAGAGCCTCCCTAGACCACCTCCCTGGTTTCCTTCTTGAGAATTTTCTGAAGTTGGGGAAGCACACAGAAGGGTTGGCATGAGGAGCTGACACAACCAGAACACCAGCTCCCCCAGGGGCAGATGAGAGCACGACTGTTTCCTGCAGAGCCAGGTGGGAAAGGTCAGGGTCACAGAAGGGCTGGGGTGGTACGGTGAGCTAGATGGAGCCCTACCATGTGGTCTAAATGGCCCATGCATGGGTCATAAGGGGAAACCAGGCACAGAGGAAGAGGGTCTCGCCCACGGCCTTCCAGGGAGTGAGTGAGTTAGCAGAACTGGGGGCTTGAGGCCAGGTTTCCTGGGTCCTATCAGTGAGTGAATTGAAGAGCTCAGACCTGGAGCTCATTCTCTGCTCAAGCTCACCAATGCTTGAGGATGGTGGAATTTGTGGATTCCTATCTTGGTCTGCCTTGCAGTTAGGGGTTACCTGTACCCCACCTATCTGTTAGACTGAGCCCTAGGAGAGGCCAGAGCTTGGATCTTATCAGCCCTGCCCCCACCATATAAGAGGCTTAGTAAATGTTTGCCGAGTAGAGGCATCATCATGAGCCATGGAACCCACTGAGCCAACCGGAACTCCCTTGGGGGTTTTGTTAAGGAGGCCACCTCCTTCACAGCTCCCGCGCCTCATGTGCCAACCGCACTGGGCCCCAAGAATCCTTTGTCCTAGAATGTACCCACCAACTCCCCTGCTCAGGTTAGTGTCAGCTTCTTAGCTGGCCGCTAGGACCTGGGCACAGATCTGGAGCATGCCATCGTCAACACTGGTAGACCCAATGTCAGAGTCCTCTGCTGTGCGTCCTGGCCCAGAGGACTGGGCCACCAAAGCCCTGGGTTCCTTGTCTTGTCACAGATTAAGTGCGGGGCTACCACTTCCTCTTTAGAATCCTCCTTGGTCTCCAGTGGAGGCATCATCACGCCCTACTAGAAACGCCTGCTCTCCAGCCACTCAGCTGCTAGTTCCAGTTGGGCTCTTCTCCTTTTCTTGTATATGCCAGAGCTGTGCTATCTGATATATTTAAATTTTCTTGTATATTCCAGAGCTGTGCTATCCGATAAATGTAAATTTGAATGTGGCAGCCGCTTGCCACATTCAAATTTAAATTTAAATTAATTAGAATTTAATAAAAAATTCAGTTCTTCAGTCACAGCAGTCACACCTCAGATGCTCAGTGGCCACATGTGGCCAGTGCTGCCACACCCTACGGCACAGGTAGGGCCGTTCCCATCATTGCAGAGATGGAAATGCTCTTCACGGATAATGCTGTAGAGTTGTGGTTCTCAACGGGGGTGATTTTCCCTCCCAGGGGACATTGGATAATGTCCAGAGACATTTTTGGTTGTCCTAACTTAGGGATGGTGGTGCTACTGGCTCTTGGTTCTAGTGGGTAGAGGCCAGGAATGGGCTTGGCGGTGGAGACTCAGGCCATGGGATTTGTCTCATCCTGTGGCTGCGAAGTGCCTCTCCACGAGTTCCTTTGATAATCTGCCCCAGACGTAGCCTGGCCACACTAGGGGCCTGAAGTAGAAACGGGAGGTATCACTCTAAATCCTCATTCCATTTCTCCTGACCAGACCCAAATCAGGATTCCTGATGTCTCTTCAGCAAAGAAAAGGAAACTAGACTTGCCAACTGGTTTCGGGAAGGAATCTCTATACATGCTAGATAAAATGCAGGCAGCTTATGTAATAGGGTCTGTCCAAGCCTCAGTCACATACACAAAGAGATTTAGCTTAAAACTATTAGCTGTAAAAACTTTTCTCAGGTAGGCTGAGCGTGGTGGTTCACACCTGTAATCCCAGCACTTTGGGAGGCTGAGGTGGGCAGATCACCTGAGGCCAGGACTTTGAAACCAGCCTGGCCAACATGGTGAAACACTCTTTCTACTAGAAATACAAAAATTAGCTGGGCGTGGTGGCGCACAACTGTAATCCCAGCTACTCTGGAGGCTGAGGCAGGAGAATCTCTGGAACCCAGGAGGCAGAGGTTGCAGTGAGCCGAGATAGTGTCATTGCACTCCAGCCTGCACAGAGCAAGACTGTGTCTCAAAAAAAAAAAAAAAAAAAAGGAAAAAAACTTTTTTCTAAGTGGTGTCAGCAGGGGACTAAGCCGGGAGCTGCCTTTCAGGAATTCTGTAGCATATGGGGGATTCTTTTTTAATGCCCAGCGCTGCTTCTACCAGGACCCACAAAGGTGTAAGAGAAAGCCAAGGAAGGCTCCTGCCCTCAGGGAGTTTCTGCCCTGCCAGGGCTCCTTGGCATTTGCTGGGAAAAGGTCAAGGTAAATGAGTAAACGGTCAGAATTATTTAGTATCATAGAAGATAACACATGGTTTTATTTATTTATTTATTTATTTTAATGTGTACAGGGCCCAGCCCTTGGCTCCCAGGACCTTTTGGTGGAGTGAATGAAAATAAAAGAACAAAGCCCATAGGGCTGATGAATCAGATCAAGTGACATCCCTCTAAAACCAGAAAAACTAGTCTGGGCCTGCTAGACAGCACTGGGGTCAGTCAGGGTCACCTCCAAGGAGAGTCAGCTGCTTCAGTGGGTCAGAGGTGGGGCATCAGGAAAGACCCGCCCATCACATACTCTTCGCATTACTCCTTAGTGAAGACCTTGACCCCAGGAGGCTCCCTAACAATGTGACTGTAACCTGGGAGGGTGGCTAGAGAGTGGAGCCTCTGAGAGGTTAGGCAAAGAGCTTAGAGGGAAGATCTCAAGCAGGGTGAGAGGCTTAACAGGACCCCGGGTGGAGCTCCCCAGGGGACAGTGGGGGCCTAAAGGCTCTGAGACCTTGAGTGACGGTGTAGGGAAGGAAGAAAGGGTAGAGTTGAGAGGGAGGCGAGAACCCCTGAATCAAGGGCATTACCAATTTGGGGATGATTCTTTTTATTTTTTTATTGATGGATGATTGATTGATTATTTTTTTTTTGTAGAGAAGGAGTTTTGCCCTGTTGCCCAGGCTCATCCCAAACTTCTGAGCTCAAGCAATCCGCCCGTCTCTGCCTCCCAAAGTGCTGGGATGACAGGCATGAGCCACCATGCCTGGCGCCCAATTTGGGGATGATTCTGAAGGCCAGCACTAGGCAAGGTTCTCCGCTTTGCAAACTGGAAGATGGTTTTGGGAGCTGGGGAGAGTGGAGGACCTAGACCTTCAGGAAGTAGCTTTCCAAATTTCAGAATAGAGGCGATGAACCTGGGACATTCTTAAGTAGCAAATGGTTCAGGATGGTTGGGAAGCTCTTAGAAATGAAAGATGGTGGTCCCATGAGCAGAAGCAGGCAGTGTATTAGCAGAGATGTGGTCTCTGGCTACCTGAAGCCTTCTGTTGAAGGAGCTGGAAAACAGTTAAGTGGAAGGGAGGACATGTAACCAGAGATGAAGGAAGAATGTGGTCCAGAGCCCCCCAGGGTGAGCTGAAGCTTATGGCAAAACTCAGGAGGCTCGAGAGGGCTGTTTTATGTATTTGGAAGAAGAACAATGAAGCAGTGTCTGGTGCTGGAGGCCAGTGGTAACATTAGCAGAGGATAAGAAGAAATGGGAGGGGCTGGGCGCGGTGGCTCATGCCTGTAATCCCAGCACTTTGGGAGGCAGAGGCATGTGGATTGCCCTAGCTCAGGAGTTCGAGACCAGCCTGGCCAACATGGTGAAATCCTGTCTCTAGTAAAAATTCAAAAATTAGCTGGGCATGGTGGCGCATGCCTGTAATCCCAGCTACTTGGGAGGCTGAGGCAGGAGAATTCCTTGAACCTGGGAGGTTGCAGTGAGCCGAGATTGCGCCGCTGCACTCCAGCCTAGATGACAAAGTGAGACTCTGTTGTTGTTGTTGTTGTTGTTTTTAACAAAGAAATGGGGGGATTCTTTGATCTCATTTTGTTCATCTTCTCTTTTGAGCTTGTGGTGGTAGGAGGGACCTGAACCGAGGCTGGGTGATTCATCTCCTGTCCTGGGCAAGTTCTCTCCTGGGGTGCTAGGGTACTGTGGTTGGTGACCTACAGGAAGTGTGGGAAACGTCAAAGGGGCCAGGGGCAGGAGATGGCTAGTATCCATTTATCAAAAAGGTGAAGGAGGTGAGCTCCACAAATTGCTACAGATGAGGCTTGTAAGTGCTAAGAAAAGCTAGATTGGGATCACTAGGAACAAGGCATATCGATTTTAGTTTATGTTTTGGATAGTAGACAAAGTATTTTTCGATTTAGATGAGGCCTTTGATGGAATCCTAGGACCTCTCCCTAGACCACCTGGGGATGTTGTCAGCATGTTATAGCCAGTGAAAGATCCAACTTGGAAAGAGTTTCTTCTTGGTTCTTTCTCACCCCTTGCTCTGCTGCCACACCCACGCCCGTGGACATTGTGGGTGGCCTCTGCCCTTGACTTTGTTCTGTTCATAATTTGGATTAGTGTCTCTGGGGGCTACTGATGGTGGTGCTGGCTGAGAGGAGGAGCAACAGGATTGAGCTCTCAGGAGCTCTCTGTAGGCTGAGCAAACAGCAGACCAACTCTGGTGAGGGGAAGTTTACCAGGGACATGTGAGGGACAGCATTTGGGACCAGAAAAATAACTGCTCAGATACAGCCTGGCGCTTGTGGCTTAGTAGCAGCATGAATGAGAATAATTTTTTTGAGTTTTTGCTGATTGCAAACTCCATACATCAGCAGAGGGATGTGGCCACCAGAAGAGCTGCTGTGGGCTCAGGCTGCACCAATAGACATGACGCTCTAATTTCTTCATGAACCTAACAGTGGGGTTGCCTTCTCCGACCCCTGGAGGCAGAGTAAATGGCTCTCACCTGTGGGTTCGTCACTTCTGGGAAATTTAATTTAATTTTTTTTTTGTAATTTTCTCCTATTTTTCTGTTCTCTCTGGAACTCTTTAATCGTCAGATTTTTTAACCTACTGAATTGATTCAATTTTCTCATCTTTTTTCTACTATTATCCGTTTCTTTATCTTTTTTTTTCTCCTTTCTGGAAGATTTCTTTTAGACTTGTGTTGAATTTTTTATTTCACTGTTTATAATGTTAATTTCTAAGAGTTCTTTTTTGTTCCTTGAATACTCATTTTAAAAAGTGTTATGTTCTTGTTTCTTGGGTGTAGTCTCTCATCTTTAAGTTTTCTTCTCCCTCTATTGTCTCTGGGTTTCTATTTTCTGTTTGTTTGTGTAATCTCTTTCTTGCTAGAGGACTCTCCTCAGATATCTGATACTCCTTGGCTGTTCTTATTTGGGTGCCAAAAGTTGATTGGAAACTCTGTCTTCACTGCCAGGGACTTGGTACTCATCTGGTATTGAAATGTTTTGTTGGTGGACCTCTGAATTCCATATCTGAAGGTTTCCTTCCCTACCACATCTCCCTACTGCCAGGGTTATTTGTTTTTTCCAGAAGGACCCTATCAGTAGTCTCCTGCCTGGTTGACCTTGCGTTCTTAGGGTCAAGTAGGGGAAGCAGGCTTGGGTCTCTGTTTGGTCTGTAGATACTCACTTCTGCTCCAGGACTCCTTTGACCTCTGTTGTGCTAACTCTGCAAGGGTAGTATGTTTGGCTGCCTTGGGTGGGAAGAAGACCTGGGGGGACTTTAGCTGTTCCTTCTACAGGTCAGGAAGTCCTCCTGTATTCAGCTATCTGCCTCATGCTCACCTTTGTGGTACTCACTGCCTCAAGTCCTAGGCTCCTGGGCTCTAATTGGCTTGTGTCTCAGTTACTGTGTAGGCTTTGGATATTTTCTTTTCTCATCTAATCTAATCTTATCTTGTAGGATCTGCTCTGCTAGTGCTTCCTTTCGCTTCCATCTTCTGAAAGCGCATTGGCACGTCTTAACTGCTGTTGGTTCCTCTTCTTTTTGTTCTTGAGAATTTACTTCTTTTCTTTCTTTGTTTTTTTTTTTTTGAGATGGAGTTTCACTCTTGTTGCCCAGGCTGGAGTGCAATGGTGCGATCTCAGCTCACTGCAACCTCCACCTCCCAGGTTCAAGCGATTCTCCTGCCTCAGCCTCCCGAGTAGCTGGGATTACAGGCATGCGCCACCACACCCGGCTAATTTTGTATTTTTAGTAGAGATGGGGTTTCTCCTTGTTGGTCAGGCTGATCTCGACCTCCCCACCTCAGGTGATCTGCCCACCTTAGCCTCCCAAAGTGGGATTACAGGCGTGAGACACCATGCCCAGCCGTTCTCTTCTCTTCTATTCCTTGACAAGGTCTCACTTTGTCACCCAGGCTGGAGTGCAGTGGCATGATCTTGGCTCACTGCAGCCTCGACTTCCTGGGCTCAACTGATCCTCCCACCTTGGCCTCCAGAGTAGCTGGGACTATAGGTGTGTGCCACGATGCTGGCTAATTTTTTTGTATTAGAGATGTGGTTTCACCACGTTGCCCAGGCTGGTCTTGAACTCCTGGCCTCAAGCAATCTGCCTGCCTCAGTCTCCCAAAGTGCTGGGATTACAGGCGTGAGCCACTGAGTTTAGATCGTTTTAAAAAAAATTACTTTACTTTTATTTTAATGGGCTTCTGGGAGGGAGCAGAGTTTACCTTATTTAACTAAAAGCTTTTTCTTCTATTTAACCTTTATATGTTCTTTTGCTTTAAATTTATCTTTTTATACAAGATATTGATGGATTAAACAATATCCAAGATAAGAATCTGAATTTTAATACAGAAGATGAGCCTGTTATATATTTACTATAATTATTATTATATTAGGATTTACCTATGCTGTCTTATTTAATGCTTGCTTGCTTTTTATTTTTTTATTTTTTTATTTTTTTTGGAGTTAGGGTCTCACCCTTTCACCCAGGCTGGAGTGCAGTAACTTGATCTCTGCTCACTGCAGCCTCTGCCTTCCCAGGCTCAAGGGCTCCGCCCACTTCAGCTTCCCGAATATAGCTGGGACTACAGGCGCACACCACCATGCCTGGCTAATTTTTGTATTTTTTGTAGAGATGGGGGTCTCACCATGTTGCCCAGGCTGGTGTTGAACTCCTGGGCTCAAGCAGTCTGCCTGTCTCGGCCTTCCAAAGTGCTGGGATTACAGGCATGAGCGTAATCCCATTACTGCTCCCGGCCAAATGCTTTATCATATATTCTCTCTGCTTCTTTTTCTCCTTTCGTATCCTTTATGTGTAGATTGAATTTCCTTCTGTGGGTTTGAAAGGTAAAGGTTATTCTTCTTATGGTTACCATAACTTATTGTGCCCTCTTCTTTACCTCATCACTATCTTGTGTCTTCCCCACGAAAGAGACAGGGCCTTCAGCATGGCCCCGCCCTGCCCTGCTCTCCCAACCTGTGCTGGCCCAGTGGCATCTCCAGGACTGGGTTCCGGGGAGGGATAATGCAGCCCTGCTCATTTGCCATCTTACTCAGAACTGGGCAAGGCTTATTCAGGGCCATCCTAGGGAGACTCCAGCATTCAGTGGGAGTTTGGTTTAAATGACCTCTAGGCTGGGCATGGTGGTTCATGCTTGTAATCCTAGCACTTTGAGAGGCCAAGGTGGGTGGATTGCTTGAGCCTAGGAGTTTGAGATAATTCTGGGCAACATGGTGAAACACTGTCTCTACCGAAAATACAAAAAATTAGCTGGGCATGGTGACATGCACCTGTAGTCCCAGCTACTCAAGAGGCTGAGATGGGAGGATCACCTGAGCCCAGGGCAGTTGAGGCTGCAGTGAGCCATGATCACACAACTGCACTCTATCCTGGGCAATGGAGTAAGACTCTGTAAATAAATAAATAAGTGATGGACCTCTGAAAAGGTCCTTGAGGTTTTTTTGCAGGTTCTGGGCATGGTAGATCCTAAGGGGGAGTGAGATGGAGAATGGACAAGTCAATAGAACTCAGAACGCCAGACTTTCTGAAGTTCTTCCTCAGTCTTCTTCTCTGAGACTTCTACTCCTTGGTCCTAGCTTTGTTCCTAGGCGCTGTGCCGCTGTGTCATCCACCCTGCCCTGTACAATATGCAGGAAGCAAGCGAGGAGGGGGTGCCTCAGAGAGACAGTAAGGAGGAATGAGGACAAGGTGGAATTGGCATGGGCACGTCCTACAGAGTGAGAGGCAGGCCTTAGGGCACCACGTCGCTCTCACGTAGGAATGTGTGTCCAGCAGCGCCTAGCCTTCAGCTTTTCACAAGAACTCAGGAAATTGAATTTTCTATGCGAAATCTTCCAACTTGGACATGTTGGCTCAAAAATGTTAATAATCTTGTGTAGGCCAAACAGCATGTCTATAGGCTGGGTCTGGCCCAGACATGGCCCATGACTATAGCTCTGGCTGGTTGATGGTTCTGTCCTTGTCACCCTTGACTTTTCTTTCTTCTGGATAAATGTCCAGAGAAACAAATGTCCTCTCCTGATTCATTGGTTTCCCCCAAAGATGTGGTTCCCTATACACCCCTCTCCCCAACAGCTACTTCCTCTGGGCCCCTGTACTTTGCCAGCTCGTTAGTCTAAAATCTTGTTTTACAGGCTGGGTGCGGTGGCTCACGCCTGTAACACTAGCACTTTGGGAGACTGGGGCGGGTGGATCACCTGAGGTCAGGAGTTTGAGACCAGCTTGGCCAACATGGTGAAAAACCTCGTCTCTACTAAAAACACAAAAATTAGCCAGGCGTGGTGGTGTGCACCTGTAATCCCAGCTACTCGGGAGGCTGAGGCAGGAGAATGGCTTGAACCTGGGAGGCGGAGGTTGCGGTGAGCCGAGATCATACCACTGCACTCCAGCCTGGGCGACAAAGTAAGACTCCATCTCAAAAAAAAAAAAAAAAAAAAATCTTGTTTTACAAATGATAGCCAACCCATCTAGTGCCCTTCACACTCCTGGGTGCTGTTTTTCACAGCCATGTGTTCTGTTAAGCAGATTGCAGGCAGCCCTGGTTTGCGTTAGTAATTTCTTAGTGAATGGGTAGTGTACACCAGGTAAACCTCATTCTCACCCCATGAGTGTAGGGCACACACAGGCTGGGTTCTCCAGGAGCCTGTCTGCAGCCTGTGCCCACGAGGACTTGTTCCTAGAAGTACGTGAAGGGATACTGTCTGCTTTCTCTTCGGGTCATGCATGCACAGAGGACATGCCGCGCCCCAGCCCCCAGCGCCTTGGCCTGCAGAGGGCAGAGCTGCTGTGTGGCACAGAACTCAGGACCTATGAGCCTCCTTGGGTGGCCCCTCCTGCCTGCTGTGGCCTCTGCGGCCCTGGCCTTGACTTCCTTTCCTGTCACTTGCGTGCCTCTGCCACTGGGCCTACCTCTGCCCGAGTGGCAGGAGCTTGCAGCTTTGTATATACGGGCAGTTGGTGACTCATTCCTCAGCAGCCCCTCAGATAGGGAAGTGAAACAGCCACACCTGATAGGGCCTGACCTTTGGGTGACAGCAGAAGTAGCTAAGCAGACATGAGGCTTGCAGCTAAGGAGGGAAGTCCTCTCTCAAGCCAGCCTGTGAAGACAGCACCTGCCTGCCCTGACCCTCCTGTGGCCTCCAGGCCTGTGGCTCTGGTAACAGTTTCTTCCTCCCTCCCCGCCACCCCCTTCTTCTTGGTGACAGCTGGAAGTAGCAGTGGTCACAACTGAGAGAGCCAAACATTTCTACAGCCCCCAGGACATTCCTGTCACCCTCTACAGCGACGCTGATGAATGGGAGGTCAGTGCTGGGGCCCCTGGGCTGAGTTCCATTGAGTTTCCACCAGCAGGACAGAACAGTCCTCCCTACGGCCTATGGTCTGGCAGCTGGAACAGACAGGCTGGGCTCAAGTCTGTGGTCAGGGCCCTCTGGGCAGAGGCAATGAAGAAAACATCTGTCTAGCTTCTGGCCTGCAGGAGGCCCTAGTCTCCTCCCGGCCCAGGCAGAGCTGGGCTTTGGCCTGGTGCCTGAGGTTGAGTGTCCTTGTACTTATCTGGGCTGATGAAACCACAGAGGAGCTCTGTTCCCACCACCCTTGTCCACGTGGTTCCTGGCGTCAGGGCTGAAGAGAACGCCTCACTTCCCACGGCCGCCGGGCTCTGCTGCATCTCCCCTGCGGATGGGTGGGCACTGGCTGATTCACCAGACGCTGAGTGTGGGCCTCACAGGGGTTCCCTGCCAGGCATTTTCAAACATTCTTAGCCTAGAACATTTCCGGCTGGCCTGTCTTCCCCGCCCCCACCCCCTCCATTTCTCACTGCCCCGGAGCTTTCCACTGGCTTGGACAACCCAAGCATCCGCCTCAAGCAGACAGGCCGGGAGCTCCCTGCCAGATGTCAGTTCTCTTGAAAGCCAAACCATGAAGGGAATAGCTCAGAGAGACAAGGGGCACTTGTTTCCTCAGGCCTGGTTCTCTCGGCTGCTGGCTCCATGGCTAGCGCTCGCCAGCTTAGCTGCAGGAGGGAACGGAGGTTGGCCTGGGCAGGGCAGGTCAGTGGGTTCCTCAGTCTCCTGACTTACCGTACCTGGCCTGCCTTGGCGCTGCATCCTGCTTCCTCCACACTGACCCCTTTTTCTTCCCTCTGCCAGATATGGAAGAGCCGCTCTGACCCAGTTCTGCACATTGACCTGCGGAGGTGGGCAGACCTCCTGCTGGTGGCTCCTCTTGATGCCAACACTCTGGGGAAGGTGGCCAGTGGCATCTGTGACAACTTGCTTGTGAGTGATGTCCTGGTGCCCTCGTCCGTCCCTGGGCCTCACACCCAGTTTGCTGAGCTGCAGACATCCTTGTACAAGGAGACCTGCTGCTGTGGGGCCCCGGTCTGCCCAGGGAGATCGTGCTCCGCCATTCCCCACATCGCCCCCAGTGCTCTCACCTTCTCTGTAGCACATGGGCACAGCCCTGGTCCTGATGGGTCAGTGTGACCTGCCACTGCTCCCCAGGAGTGTCCCCCTCTCCCCTGCCCTTGCACCCAGCCAGGTGCCCACAGGAAGACCCTTCTTCCTTGCTCTTTGTCCCTCCTCGTGGGCTGCCTGGGTGTGCTCTTCCACTGTCTCTGCCCAGCCCCATCGCCTCCCGCTTCAGCTCTGCCTTCTCCGCAGATCTGGGTATACACGTGGGCAATGTAATTGGGGGTTCACTTCTTCATAGATGGCTCATATACACTTTATCACCCTTGTAGCTTTCCTGTATATTAGGGGAAGCTTAGAGGGGAAGAGGGGAGAAAGACGGGGCAGTGGCGAGAGCCGATGGGTGGTAGGGAGAAATGGAAGTCCAGCTGTCCAAAGTGGGCACTGTCCTAGGCCTAAGATGCCTCCAGGGAGCTGTTGCCCTTAAAGGGGAGCTGCCTTTGTTTATATGATCGTCCTGGGAAGATTTGGGTGTGATTTCTCTCCTCCTTCTCCCTAATTGCCACCCCCCACCTCATTTATTGAGCTTTCGCCTACCACGTACTGTACTGGGGTCTGTTCTGAGAGCCTCACAGGACACAGGGAGCTCCCAGGCTGGAAGGAGAATGCCAGGCTTGATCACCCATGCCGTTGGGAAGGGAGTATCCTCTGGTGAGGGGTACAGTCCTGAATGACCCCAGTCAGTCCTTTCTATGGAGTCACCACCTTGCATAGTGCTGGGCCTGTGGTAGACATCCAATAAATACTTACTGCATGTATGCGGTAACTAGCAGTTTTACTTTTGCGAGTAGCTGGGAGTTTTTCAGAGTTTCATGTGGTGAAGAAGGTGGATGATGAAGCTGGGACAGGATGTTTTTTGGGGTCACAGATTAGTGTTCTTGTATACTTGTCAATGGGCTCTTAAGGCACTCCTCAAAGAATCTGCCAGTGATTTAAGCATCATTTGAATAAGAGCACAGGGTGAGCAGAAGAACAACTTGTGTGGCCAGGAGCAGGGGTAGGGAGTGCAGAGAAGAGAGAGCCTGGGTGCAATGTCATCAAGAAGGCTTTCCCTATAGTCCCAGCTACTTGGGAGGCTGAGGTGGGAGGGTCGCTTAAGCCCAGGAGTTCTAGGCTGCGGTGCCCCTTGATTGTGCCTGTGAATAGCCAGAATAGCCAGTGCGCTCCAGCCTGGGCAACATAGCAAGACCCTGTCTCTAGTTAAAAAAAAAAAAAGGGAAAAGGCTAGGCATGGTGCCTCATGCCTATAACCCCAGCACTTTGGGAGGCTGAGGCAGGAAAATTGCTTGAGCCCAGGAGTTTGAGACCAGCCTGAGCAACATGGTGAAACTCCATCTCTACAAAACATATAAAAAAAATTAGCCAGGTGTGGTGGTGCATGCCTGTGGTCCCCAGCTACTCAGGAGGCTGAGGTGGGAGGATCGCTTGAGTCCAGGAGGTCAAGGCTGCAGTGAGCTGTGATTGTGCCACTGTACTCCAGCCTGGGCTACAGAGGTGAGACTCTGTCTCAAAAAAACAAAAAGGCTTCCCAGCAGCACTGGTGCCACAACTGACATGGCAGCTGCAGCTAGAACAGTTGAGTTTCTTGGCTGCTCTCATCAAATTGGGTCAGAGTTGTGTGTGGCCAGCACCATCTCACCAAATCTCCAGGCTCCCTGCTGGCGGGTCAGCAGCAGCTGGTGTGACAAAGTACTGGCCTCTGGGAGCTAAGCCCCGGCCTGGGCCAGCTCTGCAAGGGCGCTTTCCTTCTTCCTGCAAGCTCTGCTTCCCCTTTTCCTTCTAAGCTGCCATCACTTCATGAAATCCCTGGGCTTCCCTCCTCCAGAGTTGGCTGGGAAGTGAAACATGTTCCCAAGACCAGCCCCCAGATCATTTGCCTCAAAGGTTTTCCCTCGAAGTCACAAATGTTTCAAGGAATCTCAAATTTTACAAAGTTTGAAGTGTGGGCATTGGTGGCCTGTGGCTGTGTCCTCTCTCTGTAGCTGTTTTCTCCCTACATCCCTGAAAGGAAGTTGAGCCTGCTCCTCCATCCGCAGACCTCCCTTTCCAGCGCCCAGGGCATGGGGTGCTGTGAGGGCAGCATGCTAGGTGTGACCGTGCTCCTGGCCTCCAGGCCCGTGTCCCTCTGTCCTCTAGCCCACTAAGGCCCTGGCCCATTTGTGCTAAACAGGCAGTCGGACCTAGAAAGAGCAGACAATCTCTCTGGGTCACCAGTCTGGCTAGGAGCTGGTCTCCTGACTGGGATCCAGGCCTTCTCCCCTGCCCATGTGAATTCCCAGGGGCAGAGCCTGAAATGTTGAACACAGCACTGGCCAAAGAGATGTCACCGTGGGAACCGAGGCTCTCTTCTCCTCCTGCCTGCTTTCGTGGGTTCAGAGTAGCTGAGGCTTGTCTGAGAGGAGTTGGAGTGCTGGTTTTCACCCTGGTTGGTGTGCTTTGCTTTGAGGGCACTTAGAAAGCCCAGCCCAGCCCTTGCTCCTGCCCTGCACACAGCGGAGCGACTTTTCTAGGTATGCTCTTGATTTCTGCAGAAGCAGCAGGTGGCATGGAGCCAAGAGGAAGTGTGACTGAAACTGTCCACTCATAGCCCGGCTGCCGTATTGAGAGGGCTTGGTGGGAAACTAATGCTGGTGGCTGATGCAAGCAGCCAGGTCCCAGGGCTGTTTGCTGTCCTGCTTCCTCCCTGTCCCTGGGACTTGGGGGAGGTGCTGGTCCTGTCCTGTCGGGGCATTGTTCTCTGGACTCCTTCGCTCTTTTCCCAGATGAGCTTCCCTTCAGGGGAGGGGTTTCCAGCCTGTTACCCTGAGGAGCTCACAGCCCTGGAAGAGGTGTCTGGAGTAGTCAGAGCACTGGGAGCTTCTCTCTCCCCCAGGCGGCCCCCAGCCCAGGGAGCCTGTGCCTGTGGGAAGCCCAGGAGTCACTGCCCTGGAGCCTGTGTTTTGTGCCTGGCCCTGCGCTCAGAGCTTTGTAGCCATTCTCACCTCAGTCCTCACAGCTGCCCAGGGAGGGACCTTTCTAGAGAGGAAGCCAGGCCCTGGCCTTCAGTCCCATGTCCAGGTTCTCACAGCTAGTAATACACACACAGCTAGTGCTCTCACAGCTAGAGCACAGTCAGGATTTGAACTCAGGGCTACGTAATTTCAAAGTCCGTGGCACAAAGGACTCTGTGAGCTGGATGGCTCCTTTCACAACTGCTCAGGTCTGTGGCTTGGTGGGACGGCCTGGATTTGGGAGATGGTGAGGCTGTGCAGTGGAACATTGCCTGGGTGGTGCCCATTGTCCGGGTGTGGGCGTGGATGACTGCTTACCTCTCAGGGAGCAGCTCCCTATCTGTGAAATGGGACAGCACCTTCTTTATAAGGTCTCAGTGAGGGTTAATGAGATCCTATATATGAGAAGGTTTTGGTAACGGCAGATGTTTTCATTGCCAGACTTTAGTTGGCCTCGGAGAGCTGATGTCAAGTAGATGAGCCCCACCTGAGGAGCAGCCTGGTCCTTTGCTTTCTGGTGCAACCAAAAAAGCCTGCCTTCTGCTCCCCAGGGTTGCTTTTCCCAGGAGGTGTGAGCCTACCTGGAGGAGGCTTAGGCACAGGGATACCTGCTGGAGGTCTGAGCGTTGGTTGAGCACCTCCTGTTTGTAGGATCCTGTGCCAGAGCCTGTGGGGAGGTGGAGAGAGGCGAGGAGACATAGCCCCCACCCCTGAGGGATGAGACAGCTCCCTGCAGGCAGGCTGTGCCCAGTCATCTCAAGCCTACAGCTGGGCTGCTGGCTGCAGGGTCTGGAGGGCGGTGGGGAGGGTGGCAGACAGAGTAGCAAGACCCCCACTTCCCTGGCCTTCTTCACAGACCTGCGTCATGCGGGCCTGGGACCGCAGCAAGCCCCTGCTCTTCTGCCCGGCCATGAACACCGCCATGTGGGAGCACCCGATCACAGCGCAGCAGGTAGACCAGCTCAAGGCCTTTGGCTATGTCGAGATCCCCTGTGTGGCCAAGAAGCTGGTGTGCGGAGATGAAGGTGGGTGTCTTGCCAGGCTTATAGCCCAGGGCTGTAGAAGGGGCTCAGCTTTGGGGTCATATCTCAGTTCAGTTCCTGGCCTGTTAATGACCTTAGCAAACCATTCTCTGAGCTTAGCTTTCTCAGCTGGAAAATGGGAATCGTAATTCCTGCCTCCAGATTGGTAGGGTAAAATGGGGTGGAATGTGTAAAGTACCTGGTAGAGTCCCTGGCACGCAGCCCACACGCAGTTAAGGATGGCTACTGGAACGAGTCCCAGGGTCTTGCCAGGGGTCTTGGGAGAGATCTGATGTGTCTGGCTCAGGCAAAGACAGACCTTGCCCTCTCAGGCCTTGGGCTCTGGGTGGAGCACTTGGAGCAATGGGCAGGGGTCTGCAGGGCTACAGGCACTGTTGGCCTGTCTGGCCACAGCGGAATTTTGCTCCCAGGTCTCGGGGCCATGGCTGAAGTGGGGACCATCGTGGACAAAGTGAAAGAAGTCCTCTTCCAGCACAGTGGCTTCCAGCAGAGTTGACCTGGGATTTCTGTCATGGGTGTCCCTCTGTACTCAGAATGGGTTCAGGCCAAGTCGGTGAAGATGGATGTTGGCAAAATAGGAGGATACCCTCATTTGCTGAATGGGGGACCTGCTCTGAGCCTGCCCAGGGGCCAGGCCTGCTCCAGGTTAAACTGGACGGAAGGCCCAGGTCTCAGTTTCTTTCAACCAGGAGAGGCCGCTGCCTAGAGCCCCTCCCCACCTTTTCCTGGATGGGTGAGGCAAGCCAGGAGAGCAAGCAGTGTTGTCCTCACGGGAGGAGGACTGAGCGACTGGGAAAACTCGGCTCTACATCTCACCCAGAACGGCTTTTAGAAACACCACAGCTGGAGAGTCCTGGCTGAGCCTTGGGAGTTTCAGCTCTTTGGCGGGGTGCCCAGGTGCCATGCGATCAGCGAAGCCTGCGAGTTGGCAGGACTCTGAGGTTTCCTGCAGACCATGCCATGAGATTGAAGGTGCGGGGAAATAAAGAAAAATCACCATTTAGGAGACTCCATTCTTTCCCTACAACCCAGCTGTGGTCCCAGAGATCAGGGGGTGTTGCCAGGTGTGGCTGGGGAAGGGTCTGGGTTCACAACTCACCGGCACTCTTTAGTCCCCGTATAACATGGTGGTTAAGGATAAAGATCTGAAGCCAGACAGCCCCTAGTTCCAATCCCAGCTCTGCCGCTTACTAGCAGTGGCAGTTTGGTTCAGGACTTAGCCTTCCTGACCTTCACTTACCTCAGCTATCTTGTTATCCTACCCTCAGGGAGTTGTTGAGAGGATTCAGTGAAATTTTGTGTGCAGAATACCCATGCCACTGAGTGCCTGGAACGTAGTAAATGTCAAATCAATGGAAGTTAAAACTAGGCATGCATATATGCCAGAGAGCTTTCCTAGCATTTACTGCAATGCCCTGTCTCATTTTGGGAAAAAGGAAATCCTGGATGCTAAGTTGACACATCCCTTTATGCAAGTGACAGGTAAGCAGCCAGGAGGGTTGACCCTGCCCTGGGTCCCAGGCCTCTTGCCTGCTTCTTGGTTTCCTCTGTTCTCATCCTTTCAGCTTTGCTGGACCTGAGGCAGGGGCCTGGGTGTCTGTGCCTCCCTACCCCCCAGTACACATGACCAAGGGAAGTAGATCCAGAGACACCATGCACTCTGGCCCAGAAACCCTCTGCTACCCAGCTTTTGACTTAATTGCCATTTGGTGTGGCTGCAGCGGGGAGGGCTTGTCTGCGTATTTGGAGCTGAGGCTGAGGCTGGCTTCCTGCCCTCTGGCTTCCAGGCCAGGTGTGAGGGACATCCCATGTGGGCTCTGAGAGCACTGAGAGTAGAGGTGCCTTGAGGGGACCAGGAAGCCTACTGGCTGGAATCAGTGCTCCAGCAGCCTCCACAGCCTTTATCTCAACAGCACTTGACTTCACCAGGTGACCCTTTGGGATAAAATTGCCTTAGGGTATGAAATAAACTATAACTAAAATGGTAGCATCAAGAACCAACTTCTTTGGCTGGTTTGGGGATGGGGCATGGGGAGAACCTGGGTAACTGAAACCCGGAGACGGTCCCAAAAGTCCATTTACAGGGTTTCCAAATTCCTTCTTGTCCACATTGCCCTTCCTCTCCCTCAGCAACCCACTAGTAAATGGTGAGGCTTCCCAATTTTATTTTTATTTATTTTTTGAGACGGAGTCTTGCTCTGTCCCCAAGGCTGGAGTGCAGTGGCGCGATCACAGCTCAAGCCATTCTCCCTCGTCAGTCTCCTGAGTAGCTGGGATTACGGGTGCCCGCCACCACGCCCAGCTTATTTTTGTATTATTTGTAGAGATGGGTTTTGCCATGTTGGCCAGACTAATGTTGAACTCCTGACCTCAAGTGATCTGCTGGCCATGGCCTCCCAAAGTGCTGGGATTACAGGCGTGAGCCACCGCGCCCAGCCGCTTCCCAATTTTAACAGAAACTGATAGCATTTTCTGAGTGTTCATCGTGGGCGAGGATCTATGCCAGGGATTTTAGGGAAGGCAGTCACCCAGGGAGATCAACCACAAAGTGCCTGTGTGAAAAGGCCATGGGAGCAGGGAAGTTCACAGGCCACTGTCCCAGAGCTCTGAAAACAGCTGTGGCTGCTCAGCAGGACTGCGCCTTGTTGGCTAGAAGGGAACATATATCCCTGTGGACTCAGGCCAGCTGGAGGCCCCTGTCCCTGGGGGTTCGTCTCTCCATCTCCTACCCACAGCAGTCCTGCATCCCTGCCGCCCATTTTGAAGCGGGGGGTCTGGATGAATGGGTCTGGGCTGGGCCTAAAGAGCCCAGCTGTTCCCTGCACCAGACTGGAGCTAAGAGGAGCAGGTGCTGCATTTAGCTGGCCCCATCTGCCAAGGAGGTGCTGAGTGGGGAGTGACAATCACTGCTTTCCCCACGAGGGGTCCAAGCACTTGAAGTTACCTTCATCTTGGGGAGAAATGTTTCTCAGAGAAGATTCTAGCCTCCCTGATGATTTTTTATAGAATTCTGGAAGTTTCAGAGAATAGAACATTTGGGTCTGAAATGTGCACTCTTTTGTGGCAGCCATGAGCCCTTCAAGGCTGCTGTGGATGCTGCTGGGTGGGAGGCAGAAGCCACCAAACCAAGGCCCAGCTTCCACCCTGGGCCGCCTCCAGCCCTTCCTGCACCCCGCTGGTCAGGTGCCGCTGCTGCCTCCCCACTGCCTCAGGTCAGGCCCAGACTCCTGGGCAGTACACACCTGGCCCTTTGTGATCTGGCTCCTGCCTACCCTTCTAGCACTGCCCTTTACCACATGCCAACCCTGAAGGGCTCCGTATTCTCTTGCCAGACTGGACAACCTTGAACTTGTGAGGCCTCTTGCCTGTGCACATGCTGCTGCTTTTACTGGGATAAGACTGACTCCCACACATGCCTGTGGATGTACCTGGGTGCTACCTCCTTTGGAAAGCCTTCCCTGGCCAACTGCAACCTCCTTGCCCAGGTTGCCATGGTGCTTCCCACTATTATTTTTTATTTTTATTTTTATTTTTTGAGATGGAGTCTCATTCTTTCGCCCAGACTGGAGTGCAGTGGTGCGGTCTCAGCTCACTGTAAACTCTGCCTCCCAGGTTCAAGCAATTCTCCTGCTTCAGCCTCCTGAGAGGCTGGGATTACAGGTGTGCACCACCATGCCCAGCTTTTTTTTTCTTTTTCTTTTTTAAAATTTTTAGACGGTGTCTTGCTCTGTCGCCCAGGCTGGAGTGCAGTGGCATGATCTTGGCTCACTGCAAGCTCCGCCTCCCTGGTTCACGCCATTCTCCTGCCTCAGCCTCCTGAGTAGCTGGGACTACAGGCGCCCGCCACCACGCCCGGCTAATTTTTTTTTTGTATTTTTAATAGAGACGGAGTTTCACTGTGTTAGCCAGGATGGTCTCAATCTCCTGACCTCGTGATTCACCTGCCTCAGCCTCCCAAAGTGCTGGGATTACAGGCGTGAGCCATCGCACCTGGCCTGATTTTTTTTTTTTTTTTTTTTGTATTTTTAATAGAGACGGGGTTTCACCATGTTGGCCAGGCTGGTCTCGAACTCCTGACCTCATGATCTTCCTGCCTCGGCCTCCCAAAGTGCTGGAATTACAGGAGTGAGCCACCGTGCCCGGCCACCACTATTTATTACAACAGAATTGTAATTGTTAGTTTACTTTGTGTCCTCCTAACATTGGGTTCTCTTGGAGAGCAGGAGTTGTCCTGTTCCTTACAGAACCCAGTAAGTCACTCCAAGCTTGTACTGATCAAAAAAGTGGTGTGTGTGTTGGGGCTATTGGTTCCTGCTCCTTTCTGTGCAAGAGACAAAATTTAGCAACCACAAAAGCAAAGATTGATAAATTTGACTATAGAAAAATAGGTTCACTGAGCAACAACCCAAAGTCAAGGTCAAAGGACAACATGCTGGGGAAATTATCTGCAGCTCATAAACAAAGGGCTGATTCTCCTAATATATGAAGAACTCCTATGCATTGATGATAAAAAGACCAAGGGCCGGGCACAATAGCTCACACCTGTAATCCTAGCCCTTTGGGAGGCCGAGGTGGGTAGATTGCCTGAGCTCAAGGAGTTGAGACCCACCTGGCCTACCTGGTGAAACCCTGTCTCTACTAAAATACAAAAAATTAGCCAGACATGGTGGTGCATGCCTGTAGTCCCAGCTACTTGGGTGGCTCAGGCAGGAGAATTGCTTGAACCTGCGAGGCGGGGGTTGCAGTAAGCTGAGATCATGCCACTGAACTCCAGCCTGGGTGACTGAGCAAGATTCCATCTCAATAAAAAAAAAAAAAAAAAAAAAGAAAGAAAAAGAAAAAGGAAAAAAAGACCAAGAACATGTATTAAAAAGTGAGCAGAAGATACGAAGAATTCACATTAAAAACAAAAAAAAAAACAAAACCAAAAACCCAGTCACACAAAGGGCCCTTAAACAGCTACTCAGCCACATTCATGAGGAGAGTGGTGCAAATCAAGCTAGACCTAAAACTTTTGCCTGTTAGACTGGTGGGGGTGTGGGGAATTGGTGCCCTCATGCATTGCTGGTAGGAGCGTAAATTGATGGCAACTTCACTGGAGAACAATCTCGGAGTATCTATCAAAACTACGTATGCACCTTACCCTTTGACCCAGCAATTCTACTTCTAGGGATTTGTCCCACAGATACACTCACTTCTATGACATTATGTCTAAACAGATTTATTGCAGGCTTGTATATGGTACTGAAAGACCAGGCCAGGCACAGTGGCTCACGCCTGTAATCCCAGCATTTTGGGAGGCCAAGGCGGGCAGATTGGCTGAGCTCAGGAGTTTGAGACCAGCCTGGCAACATGGCGAAACCCCGTCTCTACTAAAAATACAAAGTCAGGTGTGATGGTGCATGCCTGTAATCCCAGCTACTCAGGAGGCTGAGGCAGGAGAATCGCTTCAACCTGGGAGGTGGAGGTTGCAGTGAGCCAAGATTGCACCACTGCACTTCAACCTAGGTGACAGAGAAAGACTCTGTCTCAAAAAAAAAAAAAAAAAATTACATATGCACCTTACCCTTTGACCTAGCAATTCTGCTTCTAGGGATTTGTCCCACAGATACACTCAGTTGTATGACATTATGTCTGAACAGGAGATTTATTGCAGCCTCGCATATGGTGCTAAAAGACTGGAAACACCCTCACTATCTAACAGCCAGGAGATTGGATAAATAAATTAGTGTGTTCCTTCATACACTGGAACTCTACACAACCATAAAACAAAGTGTTGAGGAAGCTGATTTGGGAAGACTTCTGAGGTACATTGTTAAACAGAAAAAGCAAGGTGCAGAAGAATGTCACATGCATGCTTGTGCAGAAAAAATGGGGGTGGGGAAAGAAAAGGAGGATATATTCTTATTGGCTTGTGTGTGCATCAAATGCCTTTAAAAAGATAAACAGAGAAAAACATTGTCTATTGTTTTTCTCTTGGCAGGGGAACTAACTGAGTGGTTGAGAAACAAAGATAGGAGGCAGGCCAGGACTCCGTCTCAAAAAAAAAAAAAAAAAAGATAGGAGGTGACTTCATTTTTAATTGTTGGGCCAGATGAATATACTATCTACCACAAAATCAATAAATACATTTTAAAAAGAGTTCCTTGTGGTCAGGCACAGTGGCTCACACCTGTAATCCCAACACTTTGGGAGGCCAAGGCAGAGGGATTAGTTTAAGACCAGAAGTTTGAGACAGGCCTAGGCAACACAGTGAGACTCCATCTCTACCAAAAGAAACACAACTAACTGGACATGGTGGCACACGCCTGTATTCCCAGCTACTTAGGAGGCTGAGGTGGGAGGATTGCTTGAGCCCAGGAGTCCAAGGCTGCAGTGAGCTATGGTCATGCCAGTGCACTCCGGCCTGGGTGAGGAGTGAGACTCTGTCTCTAAAAAATTTAATAATAATAAATAAAAATATAAAAAGATTTTTCTGCTCTTTTTGTTTGTTTTTTAAGACAGGGCCTCACTCTGTCATCCAGGCTGGAGTGTAGTGGCACAATCACAGCTCACTGCAGACTTGACTTTCTGGGGCTCAAGTGATCCTCCCATCTTAGACTCCCGAGTAACTGGGACTACAGGCACCCGCCACCATGGCCCGGCTAATTTTTGTATTTTTGGTAGATACGGGGTTTCACCATGTTGGCCAGGCTAGTCTTGAACTCCTGGCCTTAAGTGATCCACCTGCCTCAGCCTCCCAAAGTGCTGGGATTACAGGTGTGAGCCTGGCCTCTTTCTGTTCTTTATCTGGAAGTTCTTAAAAATGATGGCAGGGAGTTACTGCAAACAAACACACAGACTTGGCAGAGGCATCTGGAAATTTTCTTTTTGTTTTTGAGACTGGGTTTCACTCCGTTACCTGGGCTGACTGCAGTGCAGCAGCACAATCACAGCTCACTGTAGCCTTGAACTCCAGGGCTCAGTTGATCCTCCCACCTTAGCCTCCCCAGTAGCTGAGACTACAGGCACATGACACCATGCCTGGCTAATTTTTTATTTTTTGCAGAGATGGGGTTTTACCATGTTGCCCAGGTTGGTCATGAACTCCTGGACTCAAGTGATGCTCCTGCCTTGGCCTCCCAAAGTGCTGTAATTACAGGCATGAGCCACGGTGCCTGGCCTGAAGATATTCATCAAGGCCTTTGGAGTAGAAATGGGTCTGCTTTTCTTGTCACAAGCTAACAGAGGAAAATGAATTTTGAGTATCCTTGTGTGCTTTTAATAAACCTTTGAGATCCCTGATCTCAAGGAACTTATGTTCTTATGGGAGAAAGATTCACAGTGATCAAATAACAGCAAACAATGAAAGTGAGACTGTGTGGCATGGACTCTACTTCAGAATTGAGCAGTCAGGATGGGTCCCCTGGACGGAACAGAACTTGGGCTGGGGCTTACAGGAGGACCAAGGATACAAAGGGTGAAGACATGCTGCCATGTGCTTGATGTAGGACACCCAGGGAGGAACTCCGGCTCCACGTGCTGGGGAGGTTGGGAGCTGTTCAGTAGGGGAGGCACATGGTGAGTGTGGCGTGCGGTCAAGATCAGCGGGGCGGTATGTGCAGGACAGATTGGGTCTGGATTGAGAAGCTGGAGTCTAGGAGGAAGCCAGGATGCTGAGAAGGGGAATCTAGGTTGTGCTGAAGGCCTTGACCACACCCCTGATTCTGGAAAAGGGGTGACAAAAGTAACAATGTGAAGAAAAATCAACACCATTAAAAACTGTAAAAACCACGGTCTTTTCCAAAGGTGGTGTGTACTAAAAACAAAACAAAACACAATATCCAACAAACAAACAAACAAAAAACAACCCACTGTCCTTGTGGCCAGTGGAGGGAGGGAGACTAAATGACACTGTATGTGTGTGTTGGTGCAAGATTTATAGCAATCTTCAGCCCCACCCATGAAAAATAATTTTGCTTTGCTTATTATAGTATAGTTTTTTTCTCTCTCCTGACCTCACAGTATTGTTCAATCTGTCTTTGTGGCCAGGCGCAGTGGCTCATGCCTGTAATCCCAGCACTTTGGGAGGCCAAGGTGGGCAGATCACTTAAGGTCAGGAGTTCAAGACCAGCCTGGCCAACATGGTGAAACCCTGTCTCTACTAAAAATACAAAATTAGCCAGGTGTGGTGGTGCATGCCTGTAATCCCAGCTACTCAGGAGGCTGAGGCAGGAGAATTGCTTGAACCGGGGAGGAAGAGGTTGCAGTGAGCTGAGATCGTACCACTGCACTCCGGCCTGGGCAGTAGAATGAGACTCCATCTCAAAAAACAAAACAAAACAAAAACAATCTGTTCTGTGGTTCCTGGGCACTTTGTGGTGTGGGATTAGAAAAACAGATTGGTGGTGGCTCACGCCTGTAATCCCAGCACTTTGGGAGACCAAGGCGGGTGGATCACAAGGTCAGGAGTTTGAGACCAGCCTGGCCAACATGGCAAAACCCTGTCTCTACTTAAAAAATACGAAAATTAGCTGGGTGGTGGCAGGCGCCTGTAATCCCAGCTACTCGGGAGGCTGAGGCAGGAGAATCACTTGAACCTGGGAGGCAGAGGTTACAGTGAACCGAGATCGTGCCATTGCACTCCAACCTGGATGACAAGAGCAAGACTCCGTCTCAAACAAAAAAAAAAAAAGAAAAACAGATTGAGATACAGAACTGGGAAGATGGGAACAAATGGAGGAGTGAAGGAATCTTTTTGTTTTTTTTTTTTTGAGCCAGAGTCTCGCTCTGTCGCCCAGGCTGGAGTGCAGGGGCGCGATCTCGGCTCACTGCAAGCTCCGCCTCCCGGGTTCACACCATTCTCCTGTCTCAGCCTCCTAAGTAGCTGGGACTACAGGCACCCACCACCACGCCCAGCTAATTTTTTGTATTTTTAGTAGAGATGGCATTTCACCGTGTTAACCAGGATGGTCTCGATTTCCTGACCTTGTGATCTGCCCACCTCAGCCTCTCAAAGTGCTGGGATTACAGGCGTGAGCCACCGCGCCTGGCCAAGGTTTTTTTTTTTTTTTTTTGAGATGGAATCTTGCTCTGTCGCCAGGCTGGAGTGCAGTGGCGCAATCTCAGCTCACTGCAGCAATTGTGATTGAGGTTCTTTTTAAAGCCCTTTGCAATGTGTGATTCTCTGAGTGCAGCTGAGCAGGACTGAACTGTGTGGAGCCCTAGATAAGACTTGGGTTATGGGTACGTGTTACATGTTCTCCATATTGCCAAGTGTTTCTTTAATCTCATTTCACCCTCCTCACATAACAGCTTCACGATGGAGTCAATTAGCATATGTAGCTGTTTCATAGACAAGAAACTGAGGGCCGCACAGCCAGTGCAGTGTGCTAGGGTTTTCTCTTTCTGCCCTACAGCTACCTGCAAACAGGCTCCTGCACAGGACTTCTACCCTTATTTGCATTTACCTCCTTGGGGTCAGTTGAAACACCCCTTCCACCATACATCAGCATCCCCAGATGCCTGCCCTTTCAGTCCCAACTGGACAGCTCCTTCATTACCTTTTTCTGCTCATGGCTTCCTTCCTTCATGTATTGTGGTTTCTAGGGCAGGATGAAAATCCTAAGTGTCACGCAACTGCCTCTGAGCAAAGAAATCAACCCCAATAACTGACAAGTTGTTTACACTGAGAGCTTCCTGGTGGAACCAAATATTCTACAATATTTAAGCCAGGTTTGGTACCCCTTGCGGCAAGGCAATGGGAATGATCAGGCCAGAAGAACTACCAGTTGTCTCATAGCAAAGGAATGTGGGGAGTGGGTGGGTGTGAGGACAAGAGGCAGATATGTGAGCTTCAGGGCTTTTGGAGGACATGCAGCTAATCCAGGTGGAATCTGGGAGCATGTGTCGTTCCCTTGCTGCAATGGGCTCATTTCATGGTGGCTTTATCTGCTGAGATTACATGGTGATGCTTTGCCTGCTAGCCTAGACAGCAGGTCCTTAGGGACTGGAGGCCCAGCAGACTCCCTTTCAGGCCTCTGGATTCCTGGAAGAGGAAGGAGTGTTCAAAGGTGAATTAAAAGGTGCCTTCCATCTGTGTAGGCAAAACAATGTTACCAGCCATAGCGATGGACTTGGAAGCAGCCAACATGAGTTGAACATGAACACATGGATGCTGAAGATCCTTTCTTTCTCTCTTTAAATTTTCTTTTTTTTTTGAGATGGAGTCTCGCTCTGTCGCCCAGGCTGGAGTGCAGTGGCGCTATCTTGGCTCACTGCTAGCTCCGCCTTCTGGGTTCATGCCATTCTCCTGCCTCAGCCTCCCGAAGTAGCTGGACTACAGACACCGGCCGCCACGCCTGGCTAATTTTTGTTGTATTTTTAGTAGAGACGGGGTTTCACCGTGTTAGCCAGGATGGTCTCGATCTCCTGACCTCGTGATCCACCCGCCTCGGCCTCCCAAAGTGCTGGGATTACAGGTGTGAGCCACTGCACCCGGCCCTCTCTTTAAAATTAAAAAAAAGAAAGTTTTTTAACTTTAACTAGGTCCTGACCAGACATAAAATTTTTTTAATTAAAAAATTTTTTTGGCCAGGTGTGGTGGCTCACACCTATAATCCCAGTACTTTGGGAGGCCAAGGCAGATGAATCACAAGGTCAGGCGTTCAAGACCCACCTGGCCAAGACGGCGAAACCCCGTCTCTACTAAAAATAAAAAATTAGCTGGGCGTGGTGGCGAGTGCCTGTAATCCCAGCTGCTCAGGAGGCTGAGGCAGAGAATTGCTTGAACCCGGGAGGCAGAGGTTGCAGTGAGCCGAGATCGTGCCACTGCACTCTAGCCTGGGCGACAGAGTGAGACTCCATCTCAAAAAAAAAAGTAAATAACATTTTTTTAAGAGACAGGGTCTTACTCTTTCATCCAGGTTGGACTGCAGTGGTGCGATCATGGCTCACATACAGCCTCGACTTCCCTGGACTCAGGTGTTCCTCGCACCTCAGCCACCAGAGGAGTAGCCAGGACCACAGGTGAGAGCCACCACACCCAAGCAATCTTCCTGCCTCAGCCTCTCAAATTGCTGGGATTAAAGGTGTAAGCCACCGCTCCTGGCCCTGAAGATTTCCTCCTCTCAGAAGAGACCGTGGCCTGGCCCTGGCTTGGGAGCTGATATGTTACCTGGAACTTCTGGAAATTGCTCTCCTGGCAGGGGAGAAGTTGAATTCTGGTGTGCCATGCTTGGGGGAAGCTGGCATGATGGAGGGAAGAGAGAGAAGGCTGTGGAAGGGAACTCAGGTTTATCTGGCTCCTGGCCTGTGCCAGACCCTGCATTTAAGCCTCCTAAACATCCTTCCAGATGGGCATTGTTATTCCCATTTAAGAAATAAGAGGCTGGGCGGCTGGGCGCGGTGGCTCATGCCTGTAATCCCAGCACTTTGGGAGGCCAAGGCAGGCGGATCACGAGGTCAGGAGATCGAGACCATCCTGGTGAACACGGTGAAACCCCGTCTCTACTAAAAATACAAAAGATTAGCTGGGCATGGTGGCAGGCACCTGTAGTCCCAGCTAATCGGGAGGCTGAGGCAGAAGAATGGTGTGAACCCAGGAGGTGGAGCTTGAAGTGAGTGGAGATCCTGCCACCCCACTCCAGCTTGGGTGACAGAGCGAGACTCCATCTCAAAAAAAAAAAAAAAAAAAAAAAAAGCGGCTGGACACAGTGACTCATGCCTGTAATCCCAGCACTTTGGGAGGCCGAGGTGGGTGGATCACGAGGTCAGGAGTTCGAGACCAGCCTGACCAACATGGTGAAACCCCGTCTCTACTAAAAATACAAAAATTAGCCAGGTGTGGTGGCATGCACCTGTAATCCCAGCTACTCAGGAGGCTGAGGCCGGAGAATCGCTTGAACCCAGGAGGCGGAGGTTGCAGTGAGCAGAGATTGCACCACTGCACTCCAGCCTGGATGACAGAGCGAGACTCTGTCTCAAAAAAAAAAAAATAAAAAAAGACATAACCTGTGCTAGGTGTGGTGGTGTGCACGGGCAATCCTGGCTACTCAGAGGCTGAGGCAGGAAAATCGCTTTAGCCCAGGAGTTTGAGTCTACAGTGTGCCATGACTGAGCCTGTGAATAGCCACTGACTCCAGCCTAGGCAACGTAGGGAGACCCTATCTCTAAAAAATGATAATAATAAGAGGAACCTGAGGCCCAGAAAGAAGGATATAACTGAAATTGACCCAATAGTTCCATAGACAGCTTTTCCTGATAAACAGAAATTGACATATCTTGTCTTAAAGCTGGAAACTCACCAGATTCAGACAATGAGATACCAGGTCTCTCAAAAAGTATCAAAGAATCTCATACACAGTTTTTCCTGATAAACAGAAATGGACACATCTGGTCTTAAAGCTTGAAACTCACCAGATTCAGACAGTGAGATACCAGGCCTCTCAAAAAGTAGGAAAGAACTGAAACTCACAGAGCATAGCATCCAGACAATGAGACCCAGGCCCCTCATTATCATGATTGCTTCCTTACCCCTCAGGAGTTCCTGTTTTCCCTTACATTGTTAAGTTTCTTCCCTGCTGTACAAACCCCTAATTTTAGCCAGGGAGATGGATTTGAGACTGAGCTCCCATCTCCTTGGCCACAGCACTCAATTAAAGCCTTCTTCCTTGGCAATCCTGTGTCTCAGTCATTGGCTTTTTGTGTGACCAACAGCAGGACCTAGACCAAACCCCTGGTGTGTCAGCAACCTAACCACAAACCAAGCATGGCCTCTTACAGGGGAAAGTAGAAATAGTGGTGCTGCTAACACAGGCTGGACCTGAGCTAGGAATAGAAAGAAACACAGGCTGACTGTATTTTGTCTAAACTGGGCACTTCTGAGAGTGAAAAAGGGCAATTAACATGCCAGGAAAATAGGCATCAACTGGACTGTTCTGGGCAAACCAGCATGTATGGTCACTACTCACAGAGCACCAGAAGGAAGCCATGCTCTGTGAAGCAATGGCCACCATTTACAATTTAATTCTCACAGCAACCCTAAGGTGGATATTGTTGTCCCCTGGCCATTTCTCCTGAGAGCAAGAATTTGACAAATGAGGACGCTGAGGTTCAAATAAGTTATTTAACTTTCTTTTTTTTTGAGACGGAGTCTTGCTCTGTTGCCCAGGCTGGGGGTGCAGTCTTGGCTTACTGCAGCCTCCACCTCACGGGTTCAAGTGATTCTCCTGCCTCAGCCTCCTGAGTAGCTGGGACTACAGGTGCGCATCACCATGCCCAGCTAATTTTTTATAGTTTTAGTAGAGACGGGGTTTCACCATGTTGGCCAGGCTGGTCTCGAACTCCTGACCTCCGGTGATCCACCTGCATTGGCCTCCCAAAGTGCTGGGATTACAGGCGTGAGCCACTGCGCCTGACCGGTTACTTAACTTTCTCAAGGTCCCACAGCTAGTAAGTGAGGAAGCTCTGGCAGGCTCCAAGCCCTTGCTCTTTCTGTGAGTCATGTTGCCTCCAAGGCCCAGGGCCATTGGAGGAAGACCAGAGGAGGAGGCCAGCTGGAGGGAACAAAGCTTGGGTCTTGGAGGGTGACAGGCCAGTCACCAGACAATCCCTGAAGTCTCCATATGGCCTCTCCCAGGGCTGGCTTGCAAGAGAAGGTGAGTGTGTAGTGGGGGTTTAGGGCGGGGTAGAGGCCCCCCAGGCTTCCACAAGGATCGTCCTGGGCTTCCAGGAAGGCGTGACCAAGGCAGAGGCTTGCCTGGGAATTTTCTAGGAAAGAAGTCATGCCCTGAGTTGCCCCATTTTTATGATTGGAGAACAGGAACACTGATACATCGAATGGCAGGTATCCTGGAGCCAGGACTGTCCCCTCTGGTCTATAGATTCTGCCATGGCCCTGGCTCAGTCTCTCTGGAACTCAGAGAATCGTGGTGGTCTGGGATGCAGGAATACTCCAGATTAGCAGCAGAAGGTGTGCAAGCATATGCATGCATGCAGAATTTGTAAGCCTCAGGGGTTAGTTCTTGCTCCATTCACAAGCCAGCCTGACCCTCCAGAGTGGACCAGTGGCCACAGCATAGAAAATGGAGGGCACAGGCCAAAGCTCAGATGGCCTTTGGAATCACCTTGACTTATGACATCACAGGCAGATGGGTAGGAAATAGGCCACCAGTCATCCAGTCAGGTGGATCACAGCACCTGCTCGCACCTGGGCCTGGGCCAGTGCTGGCTCTCGGGGACAAGTCTGCCTGCGGTACTTCACACAAGCACAATGGCCTGAGGCCTCTGCAAGCCAAAGTTGCATAAGCAAGGACTGATCATATGTCTTCATTCATTTATTAATTTTTTTAATTAGTAAGGTTATTTGAAGTAGTTTTAAGTTCACAGCAAAACTGAGTGGAAAGTACAGGGAGTTTCCATATCCCATATCCCACTGTCCCCACACATCTACAACCTCCTTTCATTCATTCATTTTTTTTCTTTTTTTGAGATGGGGTATCACTCTGTCACCCAGGCTGGAGTGCAGTGGTGTGATTTTGGCTCACTGCAACCTCCGCCTCCCAGGCTCAAGTGATCCTCCCACCCGAGCCTCCCCCGTAGCTGGGACCACAGGTGCGTCCCACCATGCCCAGCTAATTTTTTTGAATTTTTGGTAGAGACAGGGTTTTGCCATGTTGCCCTGTCTGGTCTCGAACTCCTGAGTTCAGACGATCCAACTTGGCCTTCCAAAGTGCTGGGATTACAGGCATGAGCCACCATGCTTGGCCTGTGAGAAAACATTTCAAGTGGTCAGTTTTCAAGGCATGATAAATCTAAGTACTGGCAGCCAGCCTGAAAATGTAACAAACCACAGGGCTCATGCATCTAGAAGGTCACAATAAACAAACAGAATGTAGAAGAGGGGTCAGCTCATAAAAGGGAAAAAAGTTTCATTATTGGGAAATCTAAACTTAAGTGGGGAAGGGGATGGGGTATAATCTTATAAGGGGGATAAGAAAACGTAGGCAATATCCGGGAAGATTGTAACCCCATAGTACTCAACCAATGAGGAACTGGGGGAGGGACTTCTGTGCTAAGGGATAAATTACCTGCTGTGACTGTCCCAGGCGTGCCTGCCTGCAAGACACCTGATCTTGCAAGACCACTATTAGAAGTCTCACTTTAACTGTTCTTCATGCCTCTAAGTCCATTCTTTGGGTTTGGACAGGTGAGCATGTTTCTCACAACCTGGGGGCCTGTCTGGGATCTCTGTGCCTGCATGGAGTGGGACTCTGGCCAAGAGGGGAGACATGTCCTACTCAATTTAGGTGGCCTGCTCTGTCGGGCATCCCGGCTCCCCACAGAAGCCATAGACAAACCCAAGACTTATTCAGGAGACAGTTGAGATGACACAGGGAGAAAAGCGGGCATCGTGGCAACCAGGCAACCTTGTGTGTGAGCCAAGGTGGAAAATTGGACTGTAAGTACTGCCTTGGTGGTTGGGCATTTTCGGCGGTTGAGTGTGTGTGTGACTGAGACGTATCTTAGATACAAAGTGAGTGCGGAGTCCTAATCCGTGGTTCTGTTCTCCCGAGAGGGAAATGGCTGGACACAGATGAAGCGATTCTCGGGGTGTGCAAGAAACCTCCAGTAAAGGGGGGTTGAGTACACAGGGAAACTCAGACACAGAGACTGACTGAAAATGGGAAACAGGAATTCTAGGCCTAGGGGACAAAGGAAAGAGGGAGCCAAAGAGACTCCTCTGACATTCCCCCAGATAGTCCTTTGGGGAGAATGTGGCAGGTTTGGAGGGACAACCCTCGAACCAGGGACAAGGAAAAGCAAAAGATAATAAAGCATTGCTGTTTTATCTGGCCCAAAGACCCCATTTGTAAGCCTTCAGGGTTTTGGCCCAAGTTTGGCTCAGATGAGGATTGGGTGTGCCAAGTTTTAATTCTCTATGTGAATGATAAAACCCCACCCTCACAAGAAGAGATGTTATGCTCTCTGCTGGATCAAGGAATTAGCCCCCATGTTTCCCTTCAAAGAAGAAGAAAAAGAGCCTAGTAAAAAGCCCTCACCCAGGGAAAAGCCCTGGGACCCCCTGTCATACATGCCCCCTCCATATGTCTCACAAAATAGGGGACAGGAAGATCAAGGGGCAGCAGGAGGGTTAGAGGAAGAAAGACCTGGAGACCATGGGGAAGCTGAACCAACTGCTCCTTTAAATCCTTATCCAAATTTGAAAAAAGAATTAGAACAGTGTAAGAGGGATATTGAAAACTTCCCTATCCCTTTCACACAGCAGGCATCTAGCATGTTCCCTTTTAGGGAAGTTCTCGTGGGACAGGGAGAGATTGGCTTTGTAAATGCTCCTCTTACAAGTACTAATGTTAGGAATTTCAAGAAGGAAATGAAACCACTCCTAGAAGATCCCCTCGGTTTAGCAGACCAACTGGACAAATTCATAGGACCCAGCTTTTACACCTGGGCTGAAATGATGTCTATCTTAAATATCCTGTTCATAGGAGAAGAAAAGGGAATGATTAGGAGAGTGGCCATGACTATCTGGAAGAGGCAACACCCTCCCAGGCAAGAAGTCTTGACAGTCGAACAAAAAACTTCCAAATGTCAATCCCAAATGGGATAATAATGATCCCAGGGACTAGGCCCAAATGCAGGACCTCAGAGAACTGATAGTTAAAGGGGTCAAGGAGCCCACTCCTAGGACACAAAATGTCTCAAAGGCATTCGAGATTCAACAAGAAAAAGAAAACTCCCTCTGCATTCCTGCAGAGGCCAGAGATCAGATGGAAAAAAAAAAACTCCAGATTAAGTTCAGAGAACCCAGTAAGGCAAAGCCTTTTAAAAGTTAACTTTGTAACTAAGAGCTGGCCTTGTGGGCCAGGAAGTGCAGCTGCAGGTTGGGGGGTGGCAGGTGTCGCAGAGCAGGAGCAGACAGCTGAAATAAAGGTAGACAGTGTGAGAGAGCTAGTGTGAGTAAACCCCTGATAAAAGAACTAATGTCTATAGTACACAAAGGGAGTCACTGGGGACCCCAGGCTCTGTGTAATGCAATACTTAGTGAGGCAGCCTTGTTGGCTGGGGTGGATGCCAGGATTCTTGGTCTTGCAGCTGGGGAGATTGGGGTTGCACAGGTGGAGTGGGTTTGGAGTAGGAATTTCGTGGCCGTGGGAGGGACCAGCTCTGCATTGAAGGGGGGGTCCTGAGCCGGTTGCCAAGTTGCAATAAAAATGTCAGAGTTTTCATAAATGGGCTAGTGAGGAGGGGGCTAGTGAGGAGGGGATGTCTTATCCTCCTAGGGCCCAATGATTTGGTTGTGACCAGATGTGCTATCTGTTTAGAGCAGAGTTTCTATCAGCCTTTACCTAATTGTGTCACTTATCTGGGAGGGAGAGTATCTGTGTCTGTTCCAGGTATCTTGCAGCTTCAGGCACCCACCCCCACACCCCAGTCCACTTTTAGCTTCCCTATCTTAGTGTGCCTAAAGGGAAAGGAATGTGCTTATTAAGGCCCACTGTTTTTACTGGGGCCCATTGTATGAGAGTGAAGTTTGGTGATTACCCAGGAGACTTCCCCCGAATCTCGATCCCCCCCAACCCCCCTCCTTCTGTGCTTGAGCTCTTTATCTGTGATTTACAGGCTGAGCTTTCAGGCGCCATTTGTTAGAAGAGAAGTAATTTCTTTGAACTGCATGAGGTTAGAAAGGGAGCTATTTCTGAGCTGCTTTTTAATAGAAGGAAAGTTTTCTGCCAGGGACTCACTTTACCTTGTCTACCTAAATTTCTTTCTGCCTCCTATAACATTAGGAATTATGGGTGTATAGGGACTTATACCCTCACTAAACAAGTATGTGGAAATTGTGTAACTTGTCAAAGGATAAACCAAAAGGTAATTAGAAAACAGGCCACAGGAGGAAGACCTCCTGGACTAAGACCATTTCAAAGCATTCAAGTATATTTTACAAAAATGCTCAAAGTAGAAAGACGAAAGTATTTACTGGTGATCGTAGATCACCTTTCCAGCTGGGTGGAAGCCTTTTGCCTCCCAACAGCCACCACCAGGTATATGGTCAAAATTATATTAGAACAGATTGCACCTAGCTTTGGCCTGGTGAAAAATATTGATTCAGACAATGAGAGCCACTTTACCTCAAAGGTGTTAAGGGGAATTATGGAAGGTTTACAAATTAGATGGGATTATCACACCCCTTGGCATCCCCCTTCCTCTAGAAAGGTAGAAAGAATGAATCAAACTCTCAAAAAGCATTTCACCAAACTAATCTTAGAAACTAAAATGCTTGGACCAAATGTCTCCCAATAGCACTCTGCAGGATTAGGACAGCTCCAATAAAAGACTTGGGATTGTTCCCTTACAAGTTATTATATGGGCTCCTGTATTTAGGCAGAGCTACAGATCTCCCTACTATGGAAACCAAGGATCAATTCTTAAGAAATTATATACTGGCCATATCCTCCACCCTGTCATCCCTTAGGTTAAAAAGACTTCTAACTCAAACTCCACCTCTTAAGTTTGTGGTTCACCACTTCCAGCCTGGTGACTTCATGCTGATTAAGACTTGGAAATAAGACAAGCTCCACCCAAGCTGGGAAGGTCCCTATCAAGTGCTCCTGACCACTGAGATGGCCCTGCAAACAGCTGAATGGAGGTGGACTCACTATATTCGAGTCAAGGGACTGGTAAAAGAGATCCCGGAAGGGAGGGAAAAAGATCAGTGGAAAGTGCCCGAGTCTAACTTTAACTCTTAACTTTAAGGAACCCTTAAAGTGAACTCTAAGAAAAATCTAAAAAGAAAACATGAGCTGGCCCCATTTCTGGAAATTAACATGGCTGGGATGGGCTAATATACAAAGAGCAGAAGGTCAAAATGGAAACTGGCAGCAGACTCTTCTCTACCCAGTCAGGTTGGTGATTAATGTGACCAAGACAGTAGCACCCCAGACTATAAGATTTAATGCCTGCCAGGTTTTACCTTGTGGAAATTTAAAAAATCAGAGACAGATCTCACAGGCAGATAAATATCTTTGCCCTAAACCAAATACAGGTTACAGTAGGGCATCACCCTACCCCAGCTGGGATAATATATGGTGGACTACCCAATTTCAGGGCTGGACAGTAAACATGGGGTGGGTAACTCCAAGCTGGAGACCCCTAAAGAATAAACTACATCTGTCCAAGAGCTCCCTGCCAAATAACTGCCAGAATTTTTTTCTTTTTTTTTGAGACAGAGTCTCCCTTTGTCGCCCAGGCTGGAGTGCAGTGGCTGATCTCGGCTCACTGCAAGCTCTGCCCCTCAGGTTCATGCCATTCTCCTGCCTCAGCCTCCTGAGTAGCTGGGACTACAGGCGTCTGCCACCATGCCCGGCTAATTTTTTGTATTTTTTAGTAGAGATGGGGTTTCACCGTGTTAGCCAGGATGGGCTAGATCTCCTGAACTCATGATCCGCCCGCCTCAGCCTCCCAAAGTGCTGGGATTACAGGTGTGAGCTGCTGTGCCCGGCCCCAAAGCACACTCTCTTGACACTGCATCCTCTCGCTCAGCCTGGGGAGGATGGAGTGGTGTAGCAGTCGAGGGCTTTGCATAACCAGATCAACAAGGATGCCTCATTTACAGGTCCACTCAGTCCATCTTTACTGTATGTATATGTGCTCTGTGCTAGGCACTGTGCCCAGTGCTGCGGACACAGTGGGGAAAAGAATCCACATGCTCCCTGCCCTCAGGGTCCTTTCTGAGATAGCTGCCCACAGGTAAGGAAGAGTAGACACCCTGATAAGCACCATGGAGGAAAAGTACGGGGTACTGAGAGGGGATAACCTTGGAGCCTAATTTAGGCAAGGGCAGGGGTTTTCAGGAAAGACTTCCTGGAGGAGGTAAGTGGAAGCAAGATGAGTGACCAGGAGTTCGCCAGGGGAAGATGAACCAGGGCATTTCAGACCCAGGCTATTACATGTGCAAATGTGGGAAGGGGAAGAGCTGGCTGGGGCACATAAAAGTTTTGTGAGTGGGGCAGAGTGCAGTGGGTGAAGGAGGGCAGATTGAGTAGGGGCCCAGTGAGGCAGGGACTGGGTGGGGATCATGGAGAGGCTCTGGGAAGCCAAGGTGGTACTTGGGAAACAAGAACTCCCTCTTTTTCCCATCAGGTAAATGATAACCACACACTGCATGTAGCCTCCTTAGCTAATAGCTTGGGCTGCATTAATAGTGGTATAGCATGCAGGTCAAAGGAGGTGATTTTTCCTCCTTCTGGCTCAGACTGCATCTGAAGGATTGTGGTCCTTTTGGGGCCCCTGCTGCCCAACATCTGCAGGAGAAGAGCCAGCATGCTGAAGGCTTTGCAAAAGCCAGGCTGGATGAGCAGGGAAGAGCAGCCTCAGGGGACAAGAGTCTATCCTAGAACTCTGAGAAATGACCTGGAGGCAAAGTTCAGCCCCAGAGAAGGAAAATGTCCTGGCACCTAGAGCTTATGGAAATGGAGGGAGTGACTGAGGGAGTGAGCCTCCTGCTCTGGGGAAGTTTGAGGAGACACTGGAGGACTAGAGGTGTGAAGAGGGCCCCTGCTTAGCTTCATGGGTGGCCTAGAATCAGTCCTTGCCATTGCTCGAGCATCTACTGTGTGCTCCCTCCCTTCCACCTTCGTGCTGGAGACTCACCACACATGTCCCCCAAACACAGGATTTTGGACCTCACAAATGGTGGGGCTGACCCAGGCTAGTCTGGGGCGGACTCAGGTCTTTTTTCTGCTCAGACTGCTTTGGGGGAAACCAGGGATTGGGAATAGTGGTGGTCTCAGGCCCATGGGCTGGCTGCTGCTAGTCACCCTCTGAAGTTATCTCCCGGGGCCTGCCTTTCAGAGTCCTGAGTGTGTTCTGGTGCTCTGAACCCTCCAACTGTCAGCCATACCGTCCTCACCTATTCGAAACTTGAGAAGTCAACACATCCCTCTTCCACTTCCCCTTCAACTGTGTGCAGACTGGGACTTCCCAGTCGTCTCTGGGTGTTCCCCAAACAGAAGGCTGCCCTGGCTCTCATACCCCAGACCTCTCACTCTTGGCTGCCTCTGTCTCTGATGTTATGTTAGTCCCCAGGCCCTCACCTTCTTTCTTGGTAATGGCTCCAACTCATTCCCATGGCTCTTTCCCACTGCCATCACCGGGCCTCCAGAGCTGGCTTCCCTGGAGGTCCTGCCACCTACCTTCCACTCCCCGCTTGGCCTGTCTACTCTCTGCTGAGTTCTGAGACCAGGGCCAGTTACAGTTTTTTAAAAAAATTGAAGTATAACACATATGGTAAAGTGCACACATCTTAAGTGTACAGCGTGATGGATTTTTTTTTCTTTTTGAGACAGGGTCTGTCTCTGTCACCCAGGCTGGAGTGTAGTGGTGCAATCACTGCTCGCTGCAACCCAGCCTTGACCTCCTGGGCTCAGGTGATCGTCCCATCTCAGCCTCCTGAGTAGCTAGGATACAAGATTGTGCCGCCATGCCCAGTTAATTTTTGTAGAGATGGGGTTTTGTCATGTTACCTGGGCTGGTCTCGAACTTCTGGGCTCAAGAGATCTGCCCACCTCAGCCTCCCAAAGTGCTGGAGTTACAGGTGAGAGCCACCACACCTGGCTGGCCTGCATGATGGATTTTTAGAGGTGCACACACCTGTGAACCACCACCCAGATCAAGCTCGAGAACTTTTTCAGGCCCATTCTCCCAAAAAGCTCTGTCCTCTAGGCTCCCACAGCTTTACTGTGGGATACTTGGCAGATAATTGCCTTACATTCCAACTAGCTAGAGGGCCGGGACCCCTCCTGTTTGCTGTTTTTGTTTCACCCTGCCAACCTAGCATGGTGCAGTGCTCGTAGGAAGTGCCCCTGAGGCCCATTAGATGGAGGGGTTTAGAGTTCATTCACAGTGTTCCAGAATCTGTGCCCAGTTGTCCCTCAGAAATGTGGGAGAGGTGACAGAGATGGAGGATGAGGTCACCAGAGCGCACAGGATCCCTGAGCACCCAGTGTGCTGGTTCTGCTCAGGTGACCTGCCACCCCAGGGATGATATGCACAGGGCTGGAGGCAGACATTCTCAGCAGAGGGCTCAGGAGTGTGGAACTCCTTGTATGGACGCCCTGCCCAGTGGACACAGGCTGCAGCATAGCTCTGCCCAAACTCCCATCCCAGACCCAGAGACACCTGTCTTGAGTGCCCACCATGGCAGGCTCAGAGATCTGAAGGAATAGGGCCAGGCTGTGCTTAGGGGAGCCTTTGAAGTCAGGCGCCTGGTGCAGAACGCTCTGGGAGAGGTCAGAATGCATAGCTTCTCACCTGGAGGGTAAGACCTCCTTGGCTGGCTTCCCCCTTTCCCTGGAACCTGTCCCTTCCCTCTCCTTGGTGCAGGGCCCAGCTAGGGAGATGATACCACCAAAGGAACAGAGTCTCAGCCTAGACTTGAGCAGCAAGATGGGGATGGCAGGTGGCTGGAGGTGGGTGGGAAAGCAGGGCAGCATGGGTGTATGGTGCATAAAGTCCAACAGCTGTCTTGGAGAGCTAGGTCTCCAGGCTGCCAGAAGACTAGAAGATGCTTCCTCTGCTCTAAGGCACAACCCTCCAAATCTTTGAGGGGGAGAGAAAGAGCCCTTTTCTGGGGTCCAGATCCCAGTTGTCACTGGGAGGGTTTCCCTTGGGTGGACTCTTGAGTCCTGGAGACCATATTGTTCCTGTCTCCTCTTTGACTGTAGTAAATACGGGTCTCACACCAGGCTTGGGGCTGCTAGGTAAATCTTTGTTTTTACATCACATCTGCTATTTCGGTGATCGATGCAGGCCTTGGATCCCAGACACCAACATATGTCTTCTTAACCACTTGCTTAAGGCAGCATGGTGGCAAAGTCTTATTATCAGAGATGGTCTGTCCCTCCATGATTGGTAGAGGCATGGCCTTGAGCATATGAGGTCAAAGAGGGAGGGAAAGAGAAGGAAGAGAAATGAACATCAATGGTCAATGCAGGTGGTAAGTACCTTAGATGAACTGAAGTACCTTAGTTCAACTTCTGAAAGGGGAAGCCTGAAAAGTTAACATTTCTGGAGTGTCTATTCTTTGACAAGCGCTTGCTTGCTCTTGTGTGATCCACAGGATGTCTTACTATCTTCATTTTACTGAGAAGGAAATTGATGCTCAGGGGAGTTATCCAATCAGAATAAAAAAGCAGGCAGATATGGAGCTGGATTTTGAGCCAGGTGTATCCAACTCCAAGGCTGGCTCCTTCTCCTCCATGGAATGTACTCTCTAGGGGCCATAAGCATGCTTTCTTGGTGAGATGTCCTGTCCCACACCAAGGAGCCCCTCTCCAGAGACTTTTTTTGAGATGGGGTCTGGCTATGTTGCCCAGGCTTGTCTTGAACTCCTGGCCTCAAGTGATCCTCCCACCTTAGCCTCCTGAGTAGCTGTGATTATAAGCACGAACCGTCATGCTCAGCTTCTCTAAAGATTTGAGGGAAGCTTCCAACATGTAAGAGAGAGGCCAAAACAGCAGAACAAATGGAACTCAGAGGAAACAAAGATGATGCAAAGAGCAGAAGAAAATGTTGAAGAAACTGCAATTGATCATCTCAGAGAGATTGGAAGATATATTGCATCCACAAAACAGGAACTGGATGCCATAGAAGGGGGAGCAATCAGAGAACAAGAATTTAAAATGTGAGAGAGTGGTAGAAAGATAAAATCAAGGAAATCTTTCAGAAAGTTACACAGAAAGACTCAGAGATGAACAACAGGATACAAAAAATAAGAAAATTAGATCAATCTGAGATTCAACATCTGACTGATTCAACTTCCTGAAAAAGAGGACAGAGATAATAGGTGATAAAGAGTTAAAAACACAATAAACGTTTTCGGAAACGACAGAAGTGCTTAATTGAGAGTCTAGTGAGTGCCTAGCAAAATGAATGTATATAAAACAAAGCAAAATCTCTCACCAAGGCTCATCATTGTGAAATCTTAGAACACTAGGATTAAAGAGAAGATTTTAGGAAGAGGACATTTGGAATGCTGTCAGGAGGAGCTCTGCAGACAAAACAACCATAACTGATGAAAAATAATTTTAAAAACAACCATTCACATTCTCTGGAATTTTTCTTAAGGCCATATGGCAGATAAACATTTATTGGCCAGATGCAGTGGCTCATACCTGTAATCCCAGCAATTTGGGAGGCCAAGGTGGGAGGATCACTTGAGTCCAGCAGTTTAAGACCAACCTGGACAACAAAGTGAGACCCCATCTCAAAAAAAAAAAATTGGCCAGAGACGGTGGCACATACCTGTGGTCCCAGCTACACGGGAGGCTGAGGCAGGAGGATTGCTTGAGCCCAGGAGGTCGAGGCTGGAGTAAGCCATATTCGTGCCACTACACTCCAGCCTGCGCAACAGAGCAAAGGGGCTTGAATTTAATTTGATCAGACTGTGGAGAAATTTATGCCCAAGTGATTATAAAACAATAGAGGAACCAGTCAGCAGTTAGTAGAGGCTAACAGTTGTGTGATACTAATATACAGGTTAACAGAAAGCTCAAGAACAGACACAAAGAAAGCCATCTTAAAGCCATTGTCATTCCAGGGTGACAGTACACACGCACAAGGCTGTGGCTTCTTAGGCATGACGTCAGAAACTGCACACAGCCGGGAAATAAACTTCCCTAAAATAGTCCAGCCAGGCCACTAAATAAATAAGCAAACAACAAAAACAAGAAGCTGTGTGCATGTGGCAGAGGGGTAGTGGTTAGTATCCAGAGTTGCTACAATTTATTATCTGAAACATTAATATATTTTATTTTATTATTTTTTTGAGACAAAGTCTCTGTTGCCCAGGCTGGGGTGCAGTAGTATGATCTCAGCTCACTGCAGCTCCCACCTCCTGGATTCAAGCAATTCTCCTGCCTCAGCCTCCCAAGTAGCTGGAATTACAGGTGGTGCCACCAGGCCCAGCTAATTTTTGTATTTTTAGCAGAGATGAGGTTTCACCATGTTGGCCAGTCTGGTCTTGAATTCCTGACCTCAGGTGATCCACCCACCTTGACCTTCCAAAGTGCGGGGATTACAGGCGCAAGCCACCGTGCCTGGCGAATGTTAATATATTTTATGCTATAAATATATATTATTTTAGCATAATATATAACTATGTATATACTATATATAAGTATATTATAAATTATAATTTTTAACAAAAAATTATGGGACATGCATAGAAACAGTAACATGTGACCCATACACAAGAAAAAAGTAGGCAACAGAGCTGCCTTTGAGAGGGTCCAAATGTCAGACTTAGCAGGCAAAGACTTCCAAGCAGCTATTAAACAACTAAAGGAAACCACACTTAAAGAAGTAAAGGAGGCCAGGTGTGGTGGCTCACACCTGTAATCCCTGCACTTTGGGAGGCCGAGGCGGGCAGATCTCAAGGTCAAGAGATCGAGACTATCCTGGCCAACATGGTGAAACCCTGCCTCTACTAAAAATACAAAGGTTAGCTGGGCATGGTGGTGTGTGCCTGTAGTCCCAGCTATTTGGGAGGCTGAGACAGGAGAATTGCTTGAACCCAGGAGGCAGAGGTTGCAGTGAGTCAAGATCACACCACTGCACTCCAGCCTGGCGACAGAGCAAGACTGTCTCAAAAAAAAAAAAAAAAAAAGAAGTAAAGGAAGGAGGGGCATGGTGGCTCATGTCTGTAATCCCAACACTTTGGGAGGCTGAGCTGAGAGGATTGCCTGAGGCCAGGAGTCAAGACCAGCCTGGGCAACATAGAGAGGCCTCATCTCTACAGAAAATTTTAAAATTGGCTGGGCACGGTGGCTCATGCCTGTAATCCCAGCACTTTGGGAGGCTGAGGTGGGCGGATCACGAGGTCAGGAGATTGGGACCATCCTGGCTAACACGGTGAAACCCCATCTCTACTAAAAAATACAAAAAATTAGCTGGGCATGGTGGTGGGTGCCTGTAGTCCCAGCTACTTGGGAGGCTGAGGCAGGAGAATGGCATGAACCTGGGAGGCGGGGCTTGCAGTGATCCGAGATCGTGCCACTGCACTCTAGCCTGGGCAACAGAGCAAGACTCCGTCTCAAAAAAAAAAAAAAATTTAAAATTATCCAGATGTGGTGGCACAGGCCTGTAGTCTCAGCTACTTGGGAGGCTGAGGCAAGAGGAGTGCTTGAGCCCAGGATTTTGAAGCTGCTATGAGCCATGATCTCACCTTTGCACTTCACCCTGGGTGACAGAGTAAGACACTGTTTGGAAAAAAAAAAAAAGCTAGGCTTGGTGGCTCACTCCTGTAATCCTGGCACTTTGGTAGGCTGAGGTGGGCAGAGTGCTTGAGGCCAGGAGTTTAAGACCAGCTTGCCTAACATGGCAAAAACCTATCTCTACTAAAAATATAAAAATTATGTGTGCACACAGTGGCTCATGCCTGTAATCCCAGCACTTTGGGATACCAAGGCAGGCAGATCATTTAAGGTCAGAAGTTCGAGACCAGCCTGGCAAACATGGTGAAACCCCATTTCTACTAAAATAAAATAAAAAAAATTAGCCAGGCATGGTGGTGCATGCCTGTAATCTTAGCTACTTGAGAGGCCGAGACACAACAATCACTTGAACCTGGGAGATGGAGGCTGCAGTGAGCTGAGATCATGCCACTGCACTCCAACCTGAGTGACAGAGTGAGACTCTGTCTAAAAAAAAAGACAAAGAAGTAAAGTATAATGACAGTGTCTCATCAAATATATTGAGCATATCAACAAAGAAATAGAAATTGTATAAGAAAAAGTAAAATGGAAACTCCAAAGTTGGAAATTACAATAACTGAAATGAAAAATCCAGTAGAGGAGTTCAGTAATCAATTTGAACTGGCAAAAGCAAGAATCAGTGAACTTAAAGATAGATTGATAGAGAATATGCAACCTGAAGAATGAGGAGAAAAAGGAATGAAGAAAAATGAACAAAGCCTTAGAGAAATGTGGGCTATCATGAAGTACACCAAAATAGATATAATAGGAGTATCAGAAAGAGGAGAAAAAGAAAAGAAGACAACATATATTTGAAGATGCAATGGCTGAAAATTTCTCAAAAATGATGAAAACCACTCAGTTACACATCTAAGAATCTTAAGGAACTCCAAGTAGTAGAGAGCCACACTCAGATACACTCTATTAAAACTCTGGAAAGCTAAGGACAAAGAGAATACACTGAAAACAAGAGAAAAATGATTTGTCATGTCCAAGGGAATCCCAATAACAATAACAGCCACCTTCTCATCAGAAAAAATGGAGGGAAGAAGGCAGTGGGATTACACATTCAAACTGCTGAAAATAACCTGTCAACCAACAGTCTTTTCCAGCAAAACTAGTGTTATGGGATATTTGGGGTTTCGATTTTATGGCCAGAAACCTGTGGCTGGTGGCACCTTTGCTCAAGTTCTCGTCCTGTGTCCAGGAAGAATGAGGAATGCAGACAAGTGAAGGGTGAACAAGTCAAAGAGGAGCTTTATTAAGTGTCAGAACAGCTCAAAGGAGACCCACAGTGGGTAGCTCCTCTCTGTAGGCAGGTCGTCCTGTTGAGTGTTCAACTCTCAGCAGAGAGGAGGCCCTGGAGAGGGTGGTTCCCCTCTGCAGGCAGGTCACTCTGATGTCTGCTTCTCTCAGCAGAGAGGAGGCCCTGGAGAAGGTAGCTTGTCTCTGCAGCTGGTCATCCCATTGTCTATTCAGCTCTGGCTGAGCCTGGGGCTTTTATGGGCCTCAGAGGGGAGGAAGTGTGCAATGATTGGTCCATGGGCAGCCATGGTGGCCTGGAAAAGGCACCAGTTCTTACTCCAGCTGTGGGATTGGCAGCCTGGTCCCCAGCCTTCAGGCCTTCCCTGACCTGAAGGTGGGGCCTCACCGGGGACCTGTTTTCTTCTGCCCAGGAATTGGTCCACTTCCTGCTGCTGTTCATGGTGTCGGGGCTTGGTCCCAACATTGCTCCAAGATTGGAGTGGGTGCCAACAGCAGGGAGAAGCCAGGCAGTGGGAGCAGGCACTTCTGACCCTGAAAAGCAAGGGGTGCCTTTCTAGTCCCTCAAGAATGCAGGGATGCCTGAGTCTTCAGTCTGGTTTGGATGGCTGCAGCCGTGCCCAGGAAGGCAGGGCTCCTGCCTGCTCTGTGGAGCCAGAGGTGAGGACGATGCCTCCCTGCTGCAGCTGGTGTCTTGGCAATGGCCACTCTAGATGGGTCACTGTTGCCATTACTAGATTCCAAAAAGAAAAATGAAATATAGACATTTCCAGATAAGCAAAAATAAACATAATTGGTTGCTACCAGACCTACCTTACAAGATATAATAAAGGAAGGTCTTCAGAATTTAAGTAAGTGACCCCCAACAGTACTCAAAAACCATATGAAAAAACAGAGTGCTGGTAATTAAGTATAAAAGACAGTATAAATACATATTTCTTCTTCTTTCTGTTAACTAATTGTAAAAAGCAATTGTATAAAACAATGTCAATTATCATTGGGTTTATAGCATATAGAAATGTGATATAGTCAATAACAGCAGCACATAGTAGGTGTTCAAAAGCTGGGACCTGCCGTGTTGTTGTTGTTATTATTGACTGGCCTGTTTAGGGGCACAAAAGTGGATTATAGGAACTCCAGAAAGGGATGCTTGATTTCAATACTCAGAAAAATTTTAAAGGAATGTTAAAATGCATATAGAAGCATTTTGAAAATATTGACTATTTACTTCTGTATCCAGAAACATGCAGACTAATTGAGTAGAGAAATCCCTTCCTAAAAATGCTGAATAAAACATCAAATATGTCTGTGTGAAAGCACAGATGAACGGATGTTAAATAGGGAACCAGTCAGAAGCCAGAATAACAAGAGCATGACCCCATCAGGGTGAGCCTGCACCAGGGCCTGTGCTTCCTGAGGCCCTGGATTGTAAATGGCCAGCGTGCCAGGCACCTCCTGGGCACCACTTCAGTCCGCTTGGCCCCAGTTCTGATTCTGGCCACTGCTGAGGTGATGAGTGTTCTGTGGGCCTCATGCAGGTGCTGCCTCACCTTGGGCACATGGGGCCCACCCCTCCCTTCCTGTCTGAGTCACACAGGGAGGATGCTCTCGGGAATCCCCTGGACCAGTATGCATATGCACACCCCAAGTTCAGGGGAGTTCATGTCTGTGAGGCCACTCTTGACCAATGAGTGACACAAGCAAATACTCAATGTGTCTTTTTTGTATCTCCCATTTCATAAGACTCTTTGGAAGATCCTATGGAATCAAGCACCTATCAGAGGTCCCCTTGAAAATGCGACCTTGTCCCGGGCTTCCCTCTTTATTTGTTTCTCTCTCCAGCCCTCACTCCTACTCCCTGGGATTACGTCCCAAATTAATTACACAAAAACCTTTGTCTGAGGCTCTGCTTTTAGGGGACCCAAAACTAATCAGGAAAGAGGAGAAAAGGCCTGAAGTCTGGTCCTGGGAGGTAGGACCCTTCCTCTCCTCCAAATTTGGGACTTCTCAGAAGTTAATACCCTAGGGGAGAGAGAGGGAAAAAAACTCACCTACAGAAGACTTTGCTGTATCCACTTAGTTGTGGCTGGAGAAGCAATACAGGGTAAAAAGGAAGTCCGAAAGCCAACATTCATGCAGAGAAAAGCCCAAAATTATATTCCCTGTATGACCAGAAAAACACTAAGCCAAAAAAATGTTTAAAGTGGTTCTGAGTTGGAAGTACTTTTAGGTGCCTGGCAAAAGCAAACAAAAAGCCTTTCTGGAATAATATATTTTAAACACAGATTCAAAGAATTCCCACAAAGAATTACAAGAAACATGACCTCATAATTAACAATTAATAAGTTCATATGGAAACAAACCACAAGGAGTATGCGTCAGCAGAAACAATAAATAAATAGCGGGGTGAGACCCACAAATACTGCATAAGATAGAATGATGAGACACAGAATAGAAGATAAGTATTTTAATGTATTTAATGAAGTGAAAAAAGATACTGAAAATATGAGAAAGAAACGAATAATATTAGGCATATTTATTTATTTATTTTTATTTATTTATTTTTTTGAGATGCAGTCTTGCTCTGTCACCCAGGCTGGAGTGCAGTGGCGTAATCTCAGCTCACTGCAAGCTCCACCTCCTGAGTTCAGGCCATTCTGCCTCAGCCTCCCGAGTAGCTGGGACTACAGGCGCGTGCCACCATGCCTGGCTAATTTTTTGTATTTTTAGTAGAGACGGGGTTTCACTGTGTTAGCCAGGATGGTCTCGATCACCTGACCTAGTGATCCACCTGCCTCGGCCTCCCAAAGTGCTGGGATTACAGGTGTGAGTCACCACGCCCAGCCTAATTAGGCATATTTAAAGATGAACCAGATAAAACTTCTACAAATGAAACTGCAATAATTAAAATAAAAAGACTCAAAAGACAAGTGAAAAAGCTGAATAGACAAAGGTGAAGACAGAATAGTAAATTGAAAAGTAGAGCTTAAGAAATTACCAAGAATTCAACAAAGAAAGGTAATAAGGTGAAATATGAAAAAGAAGAGACATGGGAGAAATTCAACATTTATTCATGATAAAACCTCTCAGCAAACTAAGAATTAAAAGGCACTTCCTCAACTCAGTGAAAGACATCCACAAAAAACCTATACCTACTGTCATATTTTATAGTGAAAGACTGAAGTCGGCTGGGCGCGGTGGCTCACGCCTGTAATCCCAGCACTTTGGGAGGCTGAGGCGGGTGGATCACCTGAGGTCAGGAGTTTGAGACCAGCCTGGCCAATGTGGTGAAACCCTGTCTCTATTAAAAATACAAAATTAGCCGGGTGTGGTGGCGCATGCCTATAATCCCAGCTACTCGGGAGGCTGAAGCGGAGGTTGCAGTAAGCAGAGGCCGCACCATTGCACTCCAGCCTGGGTGACAAGAGTGAAACTCTGTCTCAAAAAACAACAACAATAACAACAAAAAATAACACCGAAGTCTTTTACTCTAAGTTCAGGAACAAGCAAGGATGTTCACCCTTACCACTGCCATTCCGCTTTCAACTGGAGGTCCTAACCAGGGCTAGAAGTCAAGAAAAATATAATAAAATAAATAAAAGGCTTACAGATTGGAAAGGAAGAAATAAACCTGTCTCTGTTAGTAGAATACATAATTGTTTATTTAGAAAATCACAAAGAATCTACAAAAAAGCAACTACAACTAATAAGTAAATTTATCAAGGTTACAAGATACAAGATCAACAGAGAAGAATCACTATGTTTCTATATATTAGGAATGCCCAATTAAAATGAGAATTTTAAAAACGGTGCCATTTTAAATAGCATAAAAACAAGGAATACTTGGCATAAATCTAACAAAACATGCAAGACTGACATGCTGAAAACAACAAAACATTGATAAGAGACACTAAAGAAGACCTAAATAGAGGCAATGGGTTGGAAAATATATATATATTTTTTCTTTTTTGCTTTTTTACACTATCCACCTGGAGACAGAAAAATCCATATTTTAAAGTCCAAATTCTCCCCAACTTGATCAGTAGATTTAATGTAATCCCAATCAACAGCCCAGCAGGATTTTCATAAAAATCAATATGTTGATTCTAAAATATTTATGGTAATACAAAGAAACTTGAATATCCACAAAAAATTTTGAGAAAAAGAACAAATTAGGAAGACTCACACTGCTAGATTGTAAGAATGTACTTTAAAACCAGGAATACTAACAAGCAAGTTTAGCAGGATCACAGTATGCAAGATCAATATACATAATCAAAAAACTTTCCACAAAGAAAAGCCCAAGCACAGATGACTTCACTGGTGAATTTTATGACCCAGTTGAAGAATAATTAATAACAATTCCTTATAAACTGTTTCAAAACTTAGAAAACGAGAGAACACTTTCCAAATCATTCTACGAAGCCAATAATTCCCCGATACCCAAAACAAAGACATCACAAGAAAAAACAGACAGACAAAAATGAAGAAAACTACAGACCAATATCTTTTGTCAGTATAGATGTAAAAATCTTCAAAACAAATAGAATCAAACAATACAGCAACATATGAAAAAGAATGTACAACATGGCCAATTGGGACTTTTCCCAAGAAGGTAAGGTTGGCTGAAGATATGAAAATCAATCAATGTTACATACCATATTAATAGAATAAAAGATTGAAGCTTTAAATCGGGTCAGTGATGCAGAAAAAGCATCTGAAAAAAATCCAATACCTTATATGATAAAAATTCTCAGAAAGCTAGAAATAGAAAGGAAGTTCTTTGAACTGATAAAGATCATCTACGAAGAGTCCTGCACTAATATAGTACCTAATGGTGAAAGACTGAAACTGTCTGACCCCTAAGATCAGCAGGAAAGGATTTTTCCTCTTACTACACCTGTTCAACATTGTACTGGAAATAATAGCCACCAAATTAGATCCTCCCTTCCTGCCCCAAAATGAAAGAAATAAATGGCATCACTGTTGAAAAAGACGTAAAATTACTTCTATTCTCAGATAATACGATTGTTCTATGGAAATAATTATTAAATCTTATGGAAGCCACAAAAACCTATTAGAGATAATAAATTTAGCAAGCTTGCAGAAATTAAGAAAATAATTCAATTTACAATAGCATAAAAAAGGATAAATTGGCCGGGCACAGTGGCTCATGCCTGTAATCCCAGCTACTTGGGAGGCTGACACAGGAGAATCGCTTGAACCAGGGAGTCGGAGGTTGCAGTGGGCCGAGATCGTGCCACCACACTCCAGCCTGACAAAAGAGCGAGACTCCATCTCAAAAAAAAAAAAAAAAAAAAAAAAAAAAAAAGAGATGGAGGCCATCCTGGCCAACATGGTGAAACCCCACCTCTGCTAAAAATACAAAAATTAGCTGGGCATGGTGGTGCATGCCTGTAGTCCCAGCTACTCGGGAGGCTGAGGCAGGAGAATCACTTGAATCCGGGAGGTGGAGGTTGCAGTGAGCCGAGATTGTGCCACTGCACTCCAGCCTGGAGACAGAGTTAGAGTCCGTCTCAAAAAAAAAACAAACAAACAAAAAAAAACCACACAAGATTCATATGCTGCAAACTACAAAACATTGAAAGAAATTAAAGAAGGCTTAAGTAAATAGAACGATATTCCATATTCATGGATTGGAAGACAATATTGTTAAGATGGCAATACCCCCTAAATTTGTCTACACTTACAATGTAGTAGTACACTTTCAAAATCCCAGCTTCTTTTTGCAGAAATTGAAAAACTGATTCTGAAATTTGTATAAAAATGCAGCAGACCCAGAATTGCTAAAACAATCTTGAAAAAAAGAACAATATTGAAGGACTTACACTTCTTGATTTCAGAACTTCCTGCAATGCTGCAGCAATCAGCATTGTGTAGTACTGACATAAGGACAGACATATAAATTAATGAAATAGAATTGAGAGTCCAGAAGTAAACACATACGTTTATATTCCATTGATTTTTTAACAAGGGTGCCAAGATAATTTAACGGAGAAAAATATCTTGTCATCAAATCACTGATGTTGGGACAACTGGATATCTACATGCAAAAGAATGAAGTTGATCCCTTCCTTAGACCATATACAAAAATTAAGTCCGATCTGCAAATGGCTCAGATACCTAAATATGATAGCTGTAACTCTAAAACTCTTAGAGGAAAACGTAATCATAAACTTTCATGATCTTAGGTTAGGCAAAGCCTTCTTACATGCAACAGAAAAAGCACAAGCAACAAAAGATGAAATAGATAAATTGTACTTCATCAAAATGGAAATCTTTTGGCTTCAAAGGACACTATCAAGAAAGTAAAAAGACAACACAGAGAATGAGGTAAATTATTTGCAAATTATGTATATGATCAGGGACTAGTATCCAGAATATAAAATAGCAACTACAGCTTAAAAAGACATATACCTCAAAAATTGGGCAAAGGATTTAAACAGATATTTTTCCAAAGAAGATATACCAATGGACAACACCACATGAAAAGATTGTAAATATTATTATCCATCAGGGAAATGCAAGTCAAACCCACAAGGAGATGCCACATCACACATACTAGGATGGCTATAATAAAACAGATGGACAATAACAAGTGTTGACAAGGATGTGGAGAAATTGGAACTCTCATACATTGCTATGGGAATGTGAAATGGTGCAGCTGCTTTGGACAAGCCTGGCAACTCCTCAAAAAGCTAAATATAGTGTTACCGTATGACCTAGCAATTTCATTCTTAGGTATATACCCCCCAAAATGGAAACATATTTACACAACAATTTGTACACAAATATTCATAGTGGTGTTATTCATAATAGCAAAAAAGCAGAAACAAGCCAATGTTCATCAGTTGATGAATGGCTAAATAAAATGTGATATATCCATACAATGGAATATTATTTGCCCATTAAAATGAATGAAATACTGATAATGCTACAACTTGTATAAACCTTGAAAACATCATGCTAAGTGAAAGATGCCAGCTACAAAACGCCACATATTTTATAATTCCACTTATATGAAATGCCAAGAATAGGCAAATCTCTAGAGACTGAAAGTAGATTAGTGGCTGCCAGGGTATAAAGATAGGAGACAGTGAAGACTGACTACTAATAGATACAGGTTTCTTTTGGTGTAATAAAAATATTCTGGAATCAGATAGTGGGGATGGTTACACATCTTTGTGACTATAGTAAAAAATACATAATTGTACATTTTTTTTTTTTGAGATGGAGTTTCACTCTGTCACCTGGGCTGGGGTGCAGTGGCACCATCTTGGCTCACTGCAACCTCCACCTCCTGGGTTCCAGCAATTCTCCTGCCTCAGCCTCCCGAGTAGCTGGGACTACAGGCGCAAGCAGCCACGCCTGGCTAATTTTTGTATTTTTAGTAGACGGGGTGTCACTATATTGGCCAGGCTGGTCTCGAACTCCTAGACCTTGTGATCCACCCACCTCGGCCTCCCAAAGTGCTGGGATTACAGGCGTGAGCCACCGCACCCGGCCAACGATGGGGTTTTCTAAATATACAATCATGTCATCTGCAAACAGGGACAATTTGACTTCCTCTTTTCCTAATTGAATACCCTTTATTTCTTTCTCCTGCCTGATTGCCCTGGCCAGAACTTCCAACACTATGTTGAATAGGAGTGGTGAGAGAGGGCATCCCTGTCTTGTGCCAGTTTTCAAAAGGAATGCTTCCAGTTTTTGCCTATTCAGTATGATATTGGCTGTGGGTTTGTCATAAATAGCTCTTATTATTTTGAGATACATCCCATCAATACCTAGTTTATTGAGAGTTTTTAGCATGAAGGGCTGTTTGATTTTGTTGAAGACCTTTTCTGCATCTATTGAGATAATCATGTGGTTTTTGTCTTTGGTTCTGTTTATATGATGGATTACGTTTATTGATTTGTGTATGTTGAACCAGCCTTGCATCCCAGGGATGAAGCCAACTTGATCGTGGTGGATAAGCTTTTTGATGTGCTGCTGGATTCGGTTTGCCAGTATTTTATTGAGGATTTTTGCATCGATGTTCATCAGAGATATTGGTCTAAAATTATTTTTTTTGTTGTGTCTCTGCCAGGCTTTGGTATCAGGATGATGCTGGCCTCATAAAATGAGTTAGGGAGGATTCCCTCTTTTTCTATTGATTGGAATAGTTTCAGAAGGAATGGTACCAGCTCCTCTTTGTACCTCTGGTAGAATTCGGCTGTGAATCCATCTGGTCCTGGACTTTTTTTGGTTGGTAGGCTATTAATTATTGCCTCAATTTCAGAGCCTGTTATTGGTCTATTCAGGGATTCAACTTCTTCCTCGTTTAGTCTTGGGAGGGTGTATGTGTCCAGGAATTCATCCATTTCTTCTAGATTTTCTAGTTTATTTGCATAGAAGTGTTTATAGTATTCTCTGATGGTAGTTTGTATTTCTGTGGGATCGGTGGTGATATCCCCTTTATTATTTTTTATTGCGTCTATTTGATTCTTCTCTCTTTTCTTCTTTATTAGTCTTGCTAGTGGTCTATCAATTTTGTTGATCTTTTAAAAAAACCAGCTCCTGGATTCATTGATTTTTTTGAAGGGTTTTTTGTGTCTCTATCTCCTTCAGTTCTGCTCTGATCTTAGTTATTTCTTGCCTTCTGCTAGCTTTTGAATATGTTTGCTTCTGCGTCTCTAGTTCTTTTAATTGTGATGTTAGAGTGTCAATTTTAGATCTTTCCTTCTTTCTCTTGTGGGCATTTAGTGCTATAAATTCCCTCTACACACTGCTTTAAATGTGTCCCAGAGATTCTGGTATGTTGTGTCTTTGTTCTCATTGGTTTCAAAGAACATCTTTATTTCTGCCTTCATTTCGTTATGTACACAGTAGTCATTCAGGAGCAGGTTGTTCAGTTTCCATGTAGTTGAGCAGTTTTGAATGAGTTTCTTAATCCTGAGTTCTAGTTTGATTGCACTGTGGTCTGAGAGAGAGTTTGTTATAATTTCTGTTCTTTTACATTTGCTGAGGAGAGCTTTACTTCCAACTATGTGGTCAATTTTCAAATAAGTGCGATGTGGTGCTGGGAAGAATGTATATTCTGTTGATTTGGGGTGGAATGTTCTATAGATGTCTATTAGGTTGGCTTGATGCAGAGCTGAGTTCAAATCTTGGATATCCTTGTTAACTTTATGTCTCATTGATCTGTCTAATGTTGACAGTGGGGTGTTGAAGTCTCCCATTATTATTGTGTGGGAGTCTAAGTCTCTTTGTAGGTCTCTAAGGACTTGCTTTATGAATCTGGGTGCTCCTGTATTGGGTGCACATATATTGAGGATAGTTAGCTCTTGTTGAATTGATCCCTTTACCATTATGTAATGGCCTTCTTTGTCTCTTTTGATCTTTGTTGGTTTAAAGTCTGTTTTATCAGAGACTAGGATTGCAACCCCTGCTTTTTTTTTTGTTTTCTATTTGCTTGGCAGATCTTCCTCCATCCCTTTATTTTGAGCCTACGTGTGTCTCTGCATGTGAGATGGGTCTCCTGAATACAGCACACTGATGGGTCTTGACTCTATCCAGTTTGCCAGTCTGTGTCTTTTAATTGGAGAATTTAGCCCATTTACATTTAAGGTTAATATTGTTATGTGTAAATTTGATCCTGTCATTGTGATGTTAGCCGGTTATTTTGCTCGTTAGTTGATGCAGTTTCTTCCTAGCATCAGTGGTCTTTACAATTTGGCAAGGTTTTGCAGTGGCTGGTACTGGTTGTTCCTCTCCACATTTAGTGCTTTCTTCAGGAACTCTTGTAAGGCAGGCCTGGTGGTGACAAAATCTCTCAGCATTTGCTTCTCTGTAAAGGATTTTATTTCTCCTTCACTTATGAAGCTTAGTTTGGCTGGATATGAAATTCTGGGTTGAAAATTCTTTTCTTTAAGAATGTTGAATATTGGCCCCCACTCTCTTCTGGCTTGTAGAGTTTCTGCTGAGATATCAGCTGTTAGTCTGATGGGCTTCCCTTTGTGGGTAACCCAACCTTACTCTCTGGCTGCCCTTAACATTTTTTCCTTCATTTCAACTTTGGTGAATCTGACAATTATGTGTCTTGGAGTTGTTCTTCTCGAGGAGTATCTTTGTGGCATTCTCTGTATTTCCTGAATTTGAAAGTTGGCCTGCCTTGCTAGATTGGGGAAATTCTCCTGGATAATATCCTGAAGAGTGTTTTCCAACTTGGTTGCATTCTCCCCGTCACTTTCAGGTACACCAATCAGGTGTAGATTTGGTCTTTTCACACAGTCACATATTTCTTAGAGGCTTTGTTTATTTCTTTTTACTCTTTTTTCTCTAAACTTCTCTTCTTGCTTCATTTCATTCATTTGATCTTCAATCACTGATACTCTTTCTTCCACTTGATCGAATCAGCTACTGATGCTTGTGCATGCATCATGGTGTTCTCGTGCCATGGTTTTCAGCTCCATCAGGTAATTTAAGGTCTTCTCTACGCTGTTTATTCTAGTTAGCCATTCGTCTAATCTTTTTTCAAGGTTTTTAGCTTCTTTGCAATGGGTTCGAACATCCTTCTTTAGCTCGGAGAAGTTTGTTATTACTGATCGTCTGAAGCCTTCTTCTCTCAACTCATCAAAGTAATTCTCCATCCAGCTTTGTTCCGTTGCTTGCGAGGAGCTGTGTTCCTCAGTTGGGAATGCAGAAATCACCCGTCTTCTGTGTTGCTTATGCTGGGAGCTGTAGAGTGGAGCTGTTCCTATTCGGCCATCTTGGAACCACTGACTCTCATCTTTTAAAGATGAGATTTGGACACACAGCCAAACAATATCAGACCCTGTCTCAAAAAAAAAAAAAAAGATTAATTATTCACCTATCATGTGACCCAACCATTCCACTCCTAGGTATTTACTCAAAAGAAATGAAAGCATATGTCCATACAAAGACTATACATCAATGTTCATAGCAGCTTTATTTGCAATGGCCCCAAACTGAAAATAATCCAAATGTCCATCAACAAGTGGGTGGTAAACAAATGGTGGAACATCCACACAATGGAATACTACTCAGCAATAAAAAAGACGAACTAGTGTGTATGGTGTGGATCCCTAAGTGAATGAATCTCAACAATTATGTTAAGTAAATGAAGCCAGACAAAAAAGAGCTTATCCTGTATAATTCCATTTATATAAAATCCTAGAAGTGGGAGGATCGCTTAAGGCCAGGAGTTTGAGACCAGCCTGAGCAACATAGCAAAACCCTGTCTCTAAAAAAAATAGGAAAAAGTTAGCCAGGTGTGGTTTGTGTGCCCACAGTCCCAGCTACTTAGGAGGCTGAGGCAGGAGGATCACTTGAGCCTAGGAGTTTGAGGCTGCAGTGAGCTGTGATTATACCACTGCACTCCAGCCTGGACAACAGAGCAAGGCCTCATGTCTAAACATAAATAAATAGGTTGGGAACAGTGGCTCACGCCTGTAGTCCCAGCACTTTGGGAAGCCGAGGCAGGTGGATCACAAGGTCAGGAGTTCAAGACCAGCTTGGCCAAGATGGTGAAACCCCATCTCTACTAAAAATATAAAAAATTAGCTGGGCATGGTGACATGCACCTGTAATCCCAGCTACTCAGGAGGCTGAGGCAGGAGAATCTCTTGAACCTGGAAGGCGGACATTGCAGTGAGCCGAGATCATGCCATTGCACTCCAGCCTGGGCGACAGAGCAAGATTCCATCTCAAAAAATAAATAAATAAATAAAATAAAAATAATAAATAAATAAAAATATAAGATGACATTCTAGAAAATGCAGATTAACCTGTGGTGATAGAAAGTTGACTAGTGGTTGCCTGGGAGCAGGGTGGGTGAAGAATCAAATTAACAAAGAAGTACAAGGGCACCTTTGGGGCTGATAGATGTGGTCATCTTTTTTTTTTTTTTTTTTTTGATATGGAGTTTTACTCTTGTTGCCCAGGCTGGAATGCAATGGTGCAATCTCGGCTCACTGCAACCTCCACCTCCTGGACTCAAGAGATTCTCCTGCCCCAGCCTTCCAAGTAGCTAGGATTACTGGCACCTGCCACCATGCCTGGCTAATTTTTGTATTTTTAGTAGAGACAGGGTTTCACCATGTTGGCGAGGCTGTTCTCGAACTCCTGACCTTAGGTGATCCACCTGCCTTGGCCTCCCAAAGTGCAGGATTTACAGGCGTGACCTATCACGCTTGGCCTGCACGTGGTCATCATCTTGATTGTAATGATTTGCACACCTGTGTCAACACTTATGAACACTTGTGTACACTTCAAATAATTCAGTTTCTTGTACTTCAATTATACCTCAGTAGAGCTATTTTTAAAATACGTATCTTTGATTAGATCATGGTCTTAACAAAGCCGCTCTAACTCAAATTTTGGAGAAATGTGACATGAGACAAGGTATCACATGATGTTAAGAAATTATTGCAGCCAGGTGTAGCGGTTCATGCCTGTAATCCCGCACTTTGGGAGGCCAAGATGAGAGGATTACTTGAGCCCAGGAGTTTGAGACGAGCCTGAGCAATGTAATGAGACCCCATCTTTACAAAAATATCAAAAAATTAGCTGGGCATGGTGGCACATGCCCATAGTCGCAGCTACTCAGGAGGCTGAGGTGGGAAGATTGCTTGAGCCTGGGAGGTTAAGGCTACAGTGACTGATCACGCCACTGCATTCCAGCCAGGGCCACAGAGCAAAACCTCATGTTAAAAAAAAAAAAAGATAAATTATTGCTAATTTTTTTTTTTTGAGACGGAGTCTCACCCTGTCGCCCAGGCTGGAGTGCAGTGACACGATCTCAGCTCACTACAACCTCCGCCTCTTGGGTTCAAGCAATTCTCCTGCCTCAGCCTCCTGAGTAGCTGGGATTACAGGTGCGCACCACCACACCCTGCTAATTTTTTTGTATCTTTAGTAGAGACGGGGTTTCACCACGTTGGCCAGGCTGGTCTCGAATTCCTGACCTCAGGTGATCTGCCCGCCTTGGCCTCCCAAAGTGCTGGGATTACAGGCGTGAGCCACCGTACCCGGCCTGCTAATTTTATTAGTTATGAAAATGTAATAAAATGTCCTAATTTATTTTTAAAATGTGAGGAGGGATGGGAGGCCCTCAAATGGGCTCCATAAACAGCTCTGGAGCTAGCTTCCACCTCATGGCCAACCAGGGGTGGCTATGCGCTAGCCTGCAGGTCTCCAACCTGTCCAGCCCAGTTGTCTTGGAGATGGGGATGGGAAGTGGGCAGAGAGAAGCTCTCAATCCTTCTGACTTCCTTGGAAATGTCCTTGGAGCCATTGTACTTAACAGTAAATCTTTGCCTTCTGCACAGGGACTCTTTGTCTTAACCCTCTGGGGCCGCTGGCTCTGAGGCAGTCGCTGTTGTCTAGATCAAGTTTCTGTCTGTACACCTCTTTCTTTCTTGCTGGCAGAGACACCATTTGTATGTGTGTCACACTCCTCCCAGGGGCTCAGGAAAATCATTCTATTCTACCCAGCTCAAGGGGTAAATCCTGATTGGTGTAGGCTAGTCTTCTTTGCAGAGATTGGTTTAGGAGTTGGCATGTGAATCAATGAGATTTGAGAAAAGGATGGGGAGGGAGACCGTATTAGTCCTTTCCTGCCACTGTAACAAAATACCTTAGACTGGAGAATTGAGAGATAGCATAACTGTATTGCTCACAGCTACAGAAGCTGGAAGTCCAAAATCAGGGCACCAGCAGATTCAGTGTCTGATGAGAGCTTAGTCTCTGCTTCCAAGATGGGACCTTGTTGCTGTGTCCTCTGGAGGGGACAAATGTTGTGCCCTCCCATAACACAAAAGATGAAAAGGCAAAAAGAGATGAATGCTGTTTCTTCAGGGCGCAAAAGGTGGAAAGGCAAAAGGAAGACAGGCCAGCTAGTTCCCTCCTGCCCTTTTGTAAGACACGAATCCCATCCATGAGGACAGAGCCCTGGTGGCCTAATCATCTCCTAAAGGCTCCACCTCTTAATACTGCTGCACTGGGGATTCAGTTTCAACATGAATTTTGGAGGAGGCACAAACACTCGCACCATAGCAGAGTCTTCTGGGAAATGTTTCCTTGCTCTTAAAAAGGGCTCCAAGGGCTAGGCATCCTTCCTCTCATAGCGGATATTGTTGTTTCTGGATATGACGCCTAGAGCTGTGGCAGCTCTCCTGAGACAATACGCAGAGCCCTTCCTAGGACAGACCAAGCCAGTACGCATGGGAGAGGAAAGACAGGAAGAACCTGAGCCTGACGCTGCTGCTGAGTCACAGATTAGCCCATTCTGGAGCTGCCATCACCTCCCCGCTTCCTGCTGTATGAATTAATAAACTTTCCTTATTGTTTTTTTGTTTTGTTTTGTTTTTCAGATGGAGTTTCACTCTTGTTGCCCAGGCTCACCTTCTTGATTCTTGCCGTATGAATTCATAAACTTTTTTTTTTTTTTTTTTTTTTTTGAGACGGAGTTTCACTCTTGTTGCCCAGGCTGGAGTGCAGTGGTGTGATCTCGACTGACTGCTGCCTCCGCCTCCCAGGTTCAAGTGATTCTCCTGCCACAGCCTCCTGAGTAGCTGGGACTACAGGCGCCTGCCACCACACCTGGCTAATTTTTGTGTTTTTAGGAGAGATGGGGTTTCGCCATGTTGGTCAGGCTGGTCTCAAACTCCTGACCTCAGGTGATCCGCCCGCCTCAGCCTCCCAAAGTGCTGGGATTACAGGCGTGAGCCATCGTGCCTGGCCTTATTGTTGAATCCATTAAAGATGAACTAACATAGGCTGGGCACAGTGGCTCACGCTTGTAACCCCAGCACTTTGGGAGGCCGGGGAGGGCAGATCACGAGGTCAGGAGATCAAGACCATCCTGGCTAACACGGCAAAACCCCATCTCTACTAAAAATACAAAAAATTAGCCGGGCGTGGTAGCTGGCGCCTGTAGTCCCAGCTACTCAGGAGGCTGAGGCAGGAGAATGGCATGAACCCGGGAGGCAAAGCTTGCAGTGAGCCAAGACAGCGCCACTGCACTCCAGCCTGGGCAACAGAGCAAGACTCTGTCTCAAAAAAAAAAAAAGCTGGTCACGGTAGCTCACGCCTGTAATCCCAGCACTTTGGGAGGCCGAGGCGGGCGGATCACGAGGTCAGGAGATCCAGACCATCTTGGCTAACACGGTGAAACCCTGTCTCTACTAAAAATACAAAAAAATTAGCTGGGCGTGGTGGCAGGCACCTGTAGTCCCAGCTACTCTGGAGGCTGAGGCAGGAGAATGGTGTGAACCCGGGAGGCAGAGCTTGCAGTGAGCCGAGATCGTGCCACTGCACTCCAGCCTGGGCGACAGAGCAAGACTCCGTCTCAAAAAAAAATAAAAAATAAAAAATAAAAAACAAAAGGTGCAAGATACAAGGTGCTAGACTTCAACAAAATTGCTCATTAAAAGGGACCATGAAAAAAACAGAAAAAGCAAGCTGCAGGCTGGGAGAAAACATGTGCAAAACATATATTTGACCCCCTCCCTCCAAAAGAAATCCATCTGGAAAATATAAAGAATGCCTACAAATCAATAATAAGACCAATTACTTGATTTTTAGAAATTGGCAAAAGTCTTCAACAGGACTCTTACACAAGAAGCTACTTAAATGGCCAATAAGCACATGAGGGGATGCTCAACATCATTAGTCATGAGGAAAATGCAAATTAAAGCCACAAAGCTACCACCATGCACCTACCAGAATGACTAAAGTGAAAAAAAGTAATAACAATTACACATTTGACAAGGCTGTGGAGCAACTGGAACTCTCATACACTGCTGATGTGAGTGTAAAACTGCACAACCACTCAGGAGACCTGTTTAGCAGCTTTGAATAACATTAAGCACTCACTTACCTTATGACCCAGCAATTCTGCTCTGAGGTATATATTTAAGAGCAATGAGGGCATAATGTCTGCAAGACTTATACAAGAATATTCATAGCAACTTTATTCATATGGCCAAAACCAAGAAACAATCAAAATGCCTATCATCTAGGAGAATAAACAAAATATGATATATTCATATAATGATATAGGACTTAGCAAGTAACAAAACAAACTGCTATGGATACATGCGATAACATGGATGCATCTCAAACACATTATGTCAAGTAGAAGAAGCCAGATGGAGAATTTGTGCTAGGATAATATCATTTTTATGAAGTTCAAGAACAGGCAAAACTAATTGATGGTGATAAAAGTTAGAACAGTGGGCCGGGCACGGTGGCTCTCGCCTGTAATCCCAGCACTTTGGGAGGTTGAGGTGGGCGGATCACTTGAGGTCAGGAAATCGAAACCAGCCTGGCCAACATGGTGAAACCCCGTCTCTACTAAAAATACAAAAATTAGTCAGGTGTGGTGGTGCGCGCCTGTAACCCCAGCTACTTGGGAGGCTGAGGCAGGAGAATTGCTTGAACCTGGGAGGTGGAGGTTGCAGTGAGCCAAGATCACGACACTGCACTCCAGTGTGGGTGACAGGGCAAGACTCTTTCTCAAAAAACAAAACAAAACAAAAAAAACAGTGCTTAGCTCTGGGTTATGTGAATATCAGCTGTACAAGGGCAGAAGGGAACTTTCTGATGTGATGCACATGTTCTATATCTTGAGCTGAGTGTCAGTTACATGGGCATGCAAACGATAAAATGTATCAAGCTATACATTCAAAATTTGTGTATTTTTCTGTGTGTAAATTATACCTCCATAGAGTACTACATTCATGCATTGCTTAATGATAAGGATACATTCTGAGAAATGTATCCTTAGGTGATTTTGCCATTGTGCAAACATTCTGGAGTGTACTTACACAAAACTAGATGGGATAGCCTACTACACACCTAGGCTATGTGTACAGCTTATTGCTCCTAGGCTAAAAACCTGTACTGCATGTTACTGTACTGAATAGTGTAAGGAAGTAGTAACACAATGGTTATTTGTGCCATGGTAATTTTTAAGCTCCATTATAATCTTATAGGACCACTGCTGTATATGTGGTCCACCATTGACCATGACGTTGTTGTGCAGTGCATGACTGTATTTGCATTTTTTAAGAAATACCATTCACCAGAGAAGCTGGTCTATTCAATTTTTAAAAAGAGTTTAGCAGAGGGCCGGGTGCGGTGGTTCATGCCTGTAATCCCAGCACTTTGGGAGGCCGAGGCAGGCAGATCACGAGGTCAGAAGATCGAGACCATCCTGGCTAACACGGTGAAACCCCATCACTACTAAAAATACAGGAAATTAGTCGGGCAGGGTGGCAGGCGCCCGTAGTCCCAGCTACTCGGGAGGCTGAGGCAGGAGAATGGCCTGGGAGGCAGAGCATGCAGTGAGCTGAGATCACGCCACTCACTACACTCCAGCCTGGGCGACAGAGCAAGACTCCGTCTCAAAAAAAAATAGTTTAGCAGAGTTGCCAGATATAAATTCAATATCTAATAAATTAAAGTTTAATGAATGTATATACATCATCAAGTTAGAAAATGCAAATTAAAAATTTACAATAGCAATGAAAAATATAAGATATTGAAAATAAATCTAACAGGCCGGGCGAAGTGGCTCACGCCTGTAATCCCAGCACTTTGGAAGGCTGAGGCGGGCGGATCACGAGGTCAGGAGATCGAGACCATCCTGGCTAACACAGTGAAACCCCGTCTCTACTAAAAATACAAAAAATTAGCCGGGCGAGGTGGCAGGCGCCTGTAGTCCCAGCTACTCGGGAGACTGAGGCAGGAGAATGGCGTAAACCTCGGGGGGCGGAGCCTGCAGTGAGCTGAGATCGCGCCACTGCACTCCAGCCTGGGCGACAGCGAGACTCCGTTTCAAAAAAAAAAAGGAAAAAAAAGAAAATAAATCTAACAAAAGATGTGTAAAAACCTTTTTTTAAAAGAAGTGGGGTCTTGCTATATTGCCTGGGCTGGTCTTGAACTCCTGGGCTCAAGCAATCCACCCACCTTTGCCTCCTAAAGTGCTGGGATTACAGGCATAAGCCATTGTACCCAGTCCTGTAAAATCTTATAAGCCACTGTACCCAGCCCTGTAAAATCTTTTTTTTTTTTTTGGGACGGAGTCTCGCTCTGTTGCCGAGGCTGGAGGGCAGTGCCGTGATCTCGGCTCACTGCAAGCTCCGCCTCCCAGGTTCAGCCATTCTCCTGCCTCAGCCTCCCAAGTAGCTGGTACTACAGGCACCCGCCACCACGCCCGGCTAATTTTTTGTATTTTTAGTAGAGATGGGGTTTCACCGTGTTAACCAGCATGGTATCGATCTCCTGACCTCATGATCTGCCCGCCTTGGACTCCCAAAGTGCTGGGATTACAGGTGTGAGCCACCACACCCAGCCTGTAAAATCTTTATGTAGAAAATTATAGCACCTTACTGAAAGGCAATAAGAAAACCAATTGGTGAGCAACAACATGTTTGTGGAAAGACTCAATGCTGTAAAACTGTTATTTCTCCCCAGATTGATTTAATACTGTTTCCATCAAATCATAACAAAACTTTGCACACATTTCACCAAAAAAAAAAAAAAAAAAAAAAATTAGTGCCTAGATCCTATAAATCAATTAGGAGGACAAAAAATTCAATAGAAAAATGTTTAAAAATATGAACAGGTGCTGGGTGTGGCGGCTCATGCCTGTTAATTCCAGCACTTTGGGAGGCTGAGGTGGGCAGATCACTTGAGGTCAAGAGTTCAAGACCAGCCTGGCCAACATGGTGAAACCCCATCTCTACTAAAAATACAAAAGTTAGCCGGGCGTGGTGGCAGTCCTCTGTAATCATAGCTACTCAGGAGGCTGAGGTAGGAGAATCACTTGAACCCAGGAGGTGGAGGTTGCAATGAGCTGAGATCACACCACTGCACTCCAGCCTGGGCGACGGAGTGAGACACTGTCTCAAAAAACCAAACCAAACCAAAACAAAACAAACCATAAACAGGTATTTCACAGAAAACACAAATGGCCCATTAAATATATGAAAATATACTCACCTTCATTAGTAAAAAGGGGAAATGTAAATAAAACCACAAATTTTCATTTCATGCCCACTAGTTTGGAAAAAAATTAGAAGACTGACAAAATGCTGGTGAAATGTAACTATTAAACTGCAGTGGGACTAGAGGTGAGTACACTCACTTTGAAGAAAAGTTTTACATTATTTGGTAAAAGTGAACATTCACACACCCTGAGACCCAGCAGTTCTACTCCTGGAGATATGGATGGAATAGTCACAGAGCACTGTTTATTAGATCAAAAACAAAATAGCCCAAGTACCCATTACAGTAGAGTGAATAAATGAATTGTGGTTCAGTCACACAATAGAATACTATATTATAGTGGAACAGAAAACTATAGCTCCATACATTAACATGGATGTAGCTGATGATATTTTCCAGACGGCCACCACCATACAGCCCGTCTCATGTGCTCTTCTCACCTTTTGAGATGCCAGTGACATATTACATCTTTCTTGTAGTCCCACAGGTCCCTGAAACTGTTTTTTTTCCCCTCCTGCAGTCTATTTTCTCTCTGGTTCAGTTTCAGTCTATTTTCCCTGTGGTTCCAATCAGGTCATTTCTATTCTGTGTTTCAGTTCACGGATTCTTTCTTCTGTCCTCCCGTTCTTCTGTTGAGCACATCCACTGAGCTTTAAAATTTTAGTCATTGTCTTTTTCAGTTTGAGCATTTCCATTTGGTGCTGCATATGTTAACTAGCTTGATTTAGCCATTTCACAATGTCTACATATATCAAAACATCATTTGTATACCATAAGTATATATAATTTTTTTTTGGTCAACAAAAATAATAAAATTTCTATTTGGTTCTCTCTCTCTCTCTCTTCCTCCCTCTGTCCCTCTGTGCCAATGCCTGTAAGAATACTTTTTTATTGTTTTTGTTGAGACGGAGTCTCACTCTATCGCCCAGGCTGGAGTGCAGTGGCACGATCTAGGCTCACTGCAAGCTCTGCCTCCCGGCTTCATGCCATTCTCCTGCCTCAGCCTCCCAAGTAGCTGGGACTACAGGTGTCCGCCACCACGCCCGGCTAATTTTTTGTATTTTTAGTAGAGACGGGGTTTCACTGTGTTAGCCAGGATGTTCTCGATCTCCCGACCTCGTGATTCGCCCGCCTCGGCCTCCCAAAGTGCTGGGATTACAGGCGTGAGCCACCGCGCCCGGCCAATTCCAGCACTTTGGGAGGCCGAGGCAGGTGGCTCACGAGGTCAGGAGATGGGGACCATCCTGGCTAACACAGTGAAACCCCGTCTCTACTAAAAATACAAAAAATTAGCCGGGCGTGGTGGCGGGCGCCTGTGGTCCCAGCTACTCGGGAGGCTGAGGCAGGAGAATGGGGTGAACCCGGGAGGCGGAGCTGGCAGTGAGCCGAGATGGCGCCACTGCACTCCAGCCTGGGCGACAGAGCAAGACTCCGTCTCAAAAAAAAAAAAAAAAAATTGCTGTGATTACAGGCATGAGCCACCGCTCCCGTCCTTGACTGGTGATTTTCTACTGAAACCCAGACATGTTAGGTATTACGAGACTCTGGGTCTTACTGAAACCTTGCTTCCCACGCTGCTACTCCAGCACAGGAGGGGAGGTGCTGCCGCGTTGCTGTGAGGTGGAGGCGGAAGTCCAGGTTCCCCACTCAGCACCCATGGACTCTAGAGAAGGGGGCACTGTGCCTTACTTTGGAGGGTGTGGGAGTCCTAGATTCTACTAGACCAGCACTGGCTGTGCGGGGTGGGGGTGTCACCTTACTGCTCTTTCATGGCCTCCACTTTCACCATATTCTCAGGATGGCAGTGACCTTGGAGTGGAGAGAGGGGATGTGATTGGGCAGGAGACGCAGGAGGCTTCAAAAGAACTGTGAATGTTTTATTTTGTAGTTGAGCAGTAGGTATACAGATGTTTCTTTCTTTCTTTCTTTCTTTCTTTCTTTCTTTCTTTCTTTCTTTCTTTCTTTGAGACAGAGCCTCGCTTTGTTGCCCAAGCTGGAGTGCAGTGGCACAATCTCGGCTCACTGCAACCTCTGCCTCCCAGGTTGAAGCGATCCTCCTCCCTGAGCTTCCTAAGTAGCTGGGATTACAGGCGTGCACCACCACGCCCAGCTAATTTTTTTGTATATTTAGTAGAGACGGGATTGCACCATGTTGGCCAGGCTTGTCTCAAATTTCTGACCTCAGGTGATTCACCTGCCTCTGCCTCCCAAAGTGCTGGGATTACAGGCATGAGCCACTGTGCCCAGCCGGTATACAGGTATTAATTTTATTATTATTATATATTACGGAATGTTTTAAAAACAGAAAAACCTAACCACAACAGAGTAGAAATATGCTGTGTTTAGAATATTTGTAACACAGTTAGCTGAGCTCCTCAGACATAGCAATATCCATCGTCTGTAGTATTAAGCACTATCCATGTGCCAGGTGCTGTGCCAAGCACTTCACACACATCATCTTATTTATCCCTCACCACACTCCTAGGGGACAGATACTAACCCACTTTACATACAAGGAAGCTCAGGCTCAAAGAGGTTAAGTCGCTTGCCCAGAATCACAGAGTAATATGTGGCTGAGGTGGGACGGGAGCCCAGGCCTGTCTGCAGAGACTGTATTCTTCAACCCACAGCATCCGAACAAGGATGAAACCAATTAATATCATTCATTGTAATCATGGCATGCCATGTCCTACCCACAGCTGATAAAATCCGACAGAAAGCATTAGACTCCCACAGGATGGGTAATATGTCTTGGGAGGACCTTGTGGGCAAAGTGAATACAAGTGGCAGCTGCACCCAAACAAGCCCAGGGTCAGGACCCACCCAGGTGAGCAGAGCTTGGAATTAGCCAGTGAGGCAGGAGCTGTGGCTGAGGCCTGTCCAGCCGTGTGGCAGGGCTGTGAAGGCAGGCAGAATAGCAAGGGAGGGACGCCAGAGATGGGGAACCATGAAAGATGTCTCGCCTCCTGTTTCAGAGGGAGGGATCCAACTCGCGGGGCAAGAGCGGCTGGAACTGGAGGGAGAGAATAGTGTCTGCAAGAGCAGAATACCAGACATCAGAGTTAGCAATCCAGGCAGGAGCCAGAACCCAGGGCCACAGAGAGCATGGTCTGCCCTGTCCCACCGCTTTCTCTGTGACACAGGGGAAAGAGGTTACAGAAATTGAGTGATAATGGCTAAGGTGAATCAGCCACGAACTATAGCCCTCTCAGGAGCTGCAGGCCCTGCCCTACCCAGCCTGCCCAACTGGTGGGTGGCAAAGACCTGTCCACCCACTAGGACAGGGCAAGAGGCAGAGCTACCAGTTAGGAGCTCACGTGGTCACTGTCCATGGGAATGGTGGTTCAGGCCAACAAAATCAGATTGTCCAGCGACAATTGTCAATTCCCACTGTAAGGCCACAGCCCTGGGATGGGAATCCTGGTTGGACTACAGCTCACAGTCAAGGTTGGAGTATTTGTGTAGCCCAGATTCAGGCTGAGTCCCTAGCAGCTGAGAGCCTGCCTAGGATACAGGAAGTGTAGTTGGGCATCTCTGGGTTTAGACATCAAACAAGGAAGGGCGGGGTGAAATGAGGAAAAGTGACCAGGATGGCAAGGGACCCACACCTTCCCCTCAGAGCTGCTGCAAGGGCAGTTCTCCTAGCCCCAGTACATCCTAGGCGCCGGTTCACAGCTGGTAGCCTCCTGTAACCTGGACTAGCTGGACAAGTTGGGCCAAATAGATTGTTCCTTTGGAGTCTGATTATTATGAAATATTCTACTTTTTCTCTCATAATACTTCTTGACTTAAAGTTTGTATAATATTTCCATATTAGCTTTCTTGGGATTAGTGTTGACATGAAATATTGCTTTCTAACCTTTGACTTTCACCTTTTTATGTCCTTATATTTATATTTATTATATTTATTTATTTATTTATTTTTGAGACAGTGTCTCACTAGGTCTCCCAGGCTGGAGTGCAGTGGCTTAATCTTGGCTTACTGCAACTTCCGCCTCCCCATGTCCAAGCAATTCTCATGCCTCAGCCTCCTGAGTAGCTGAGACTACAGGTGTATGCCACCACGCCCGATTAATTTTTTTTTTTTTTTTGAGACCGAGTCTCACTCTGTCACCCAGGCTGGAGTGCAGTGGCGCCATCTCGGCTCACTGCAAGCTCCACCTCCTGGGTTCACACCATTCTCCTGCCTCAGCCTCCTGAGTAGCTGGGACTACAGGCGCCCGCCACCACGCCTGGCTAATTTTTTGTATTTTTAGTAGAGATGGGGTTTCACCATGTTGGCAGGCTGTTCTCAAATGCCTGACCTCAAGTGATCCGTCAGCCTTGGCCTCCCAAAGTGCTGAGATTACAGGCGTGAGCCATCGTGCCCAGCCTACGTCTATATGTGTATGTGTGTGTATATATATATATATATATAAATATATTTTGTTTGTTTGGTTTTTGTTTGTTTGTATAATATTTCCATATTAGCTTTCTTGGGATTAGTGTTGACATGAAATGTTGCTTTCTAACCTTTTGCTTTCACCTTTTTATGTCCTTATATTTATTATATTTATTTATTTATTTATGTTTGAGACAGCGTTCACGCCATTCTCCTGCCTCAGCCTCCCGAGTAGCTGGCACTACAGGCGCCCGCCACCATGCCCAGCTAATTTTTTTTGTTTTCTTTTTAGTAGAGATGGGGTTTCACCGTGTTAGCCAGGATGATCTCAATCTCCTGACCTCGTGATCTGCCCGCCTCAGCCTCCCAAAATGCTGGGATTACAGACGTGAGCCACTGCGCCCAGACTTAATCAATATTTTTTTAAATAATTTCATTTTGTTCTGCTGTTAGCTTTTTTTTTTTTTTTTTTTGATGGAGTCTTGCTCTGTTGCCAGGCTGGAGTGCAGTGGTGCGATCTTGGCTAACTGCAAGCTCCGCCTCCCGGGTTCAACAGGTTCAAGCCATTCTCCTGCCTCAGCCTCTGGAGTAGCTGGGATTACAGGCGCCCACCACCACACCCAGCTAATTTTTTTTTTTTTTTTTTTTGACAGAGTCTCGCTCTGTAGCCCAGGCTGGAATGCAGTGGCACAATCTTGCTCACTGCTACCTCTGCCTCCTGGGTCCCAGTTCAAGCAATTTTTCTGCCTCAGCCTCCCGAGTAGCTGAGATTACAGGCATGTGCCACCATGCCCAGCTAATTTTTGATATTTAGTAGAGACGGGGTTTCACCATTTTGGCCAGGCTGGTCTTGAACTCCTGACCTCGTGATCCACCCGCCTCAGCCTCCCAAAGTGCTGGGATTACAGGCGCGAGCCACTGCACCTGGCCTAATTTTTGTATTTTTAGTAGAGACAGGGTTTCACCATGTTGGGCAGGATGGTCTCAATCTCCTCACCTCTTGATCTGCCTGCCTCAGCCTCTCAAAGTGCTGGGATTACAAGCACGAGCCACTGTGCCTGGCCTACTGTTAGCTTTTTAATTGCATTTTCTTTTACTACTATTTTAGTGGTCATCTTAGAGATTATAAAATGCATCCTTGATTTATTTCAATCTACATTAAGTTAGAACATTTACAATTTATACTTAAATGATGCAATAACCTTATAACAGTTAACTCCCATTTAGTACCCACCCTCTTTGGTTTTATTGTTGTCATATATTTACTTTTTTGATTTTTTTTGAGACAGGGTCTTCCTGTGTTGCCTAAGCTGGAGGGCAGTGGCATGATCTTGGCTCACTGGAACCTCAACCTCCTGGGCTCAAACGATCCTCCTGCCTTAGCCTCTCCAGTAGCTGAGAACAGTAGCTGAGACCACAGGCATGCATTGCTGTGCCTGGCTAATTTTTTTTAAAATTTTTTATAGAGATAGGGTCTTGTTATGTTGTCCAGGCTGGTCTGAAAATCCTGGCATCGAGTAATCCTTCCACATGGGCATCCCAAAGTGCTGAGATTACAGGTGTGAGCCACCACACTGGGTCTCATATACTTGCTTTTATGTGAAAAATCTTATGAGATGTTGTTTTAAATAGCCAATATTTGATTCTCATTGGACACATTTTTACTCTTTCCTTGTGCTCTTCATTCCTTCTTGCAGTACCATCAGGGCTCATTTTCCATCAGCCTGAAAAATTCCCTCAGCCTGGGCAACATAGGGAGACCTCATCTCTACAAATACTTAAAAAAAATTAGTTGGATATGGCGGTGCACGGCTGTGGTCTCAGCTACTCAGGAGGTTGAGGCAGGGGGATAGCCTGAGCCCGAGAGGCCAGGGATGCAGTGAGCTGTGACAGCGCTACTGCACTCTAGCCTGGGTGACAGAGCGAGAGCGAGACCTGGTCTCAAAAAATAAAAGACAAAAACAAAAATAAACCTTCTCTAGTTTTTCTTTTCTTTTCTTTTCTTTTCTTTTTTTTTTTTTTTTTGAGACTGGGTCTTGCTCTGTCACCCAGGTTGGAGTGCAGTGGCACAATCACAGCTCACTGTAGCCTCGAACTGCAGGGTAGCTGGGACTATAAGTGTGCACCACCACTCCTGGCCAATTTTTTATTTTTTGTAGAGATGTGGTCTTACCATGTTGCTCATATGGTCTTGAATTTCTGGCGTCAAACAATCCTCCCAAAGTGCTGAGACAGGACCCATGAGCCACCGTGCAAACCTCCTCAAGTATTTCTTATAGTGCAGATGTGCACTAGTAACAAAGCACATTCTTTCCGCTTTTGTCTGTCTGACAACATGTTTCTTTTACTTTATTTTTTGAAGTGGGCATATAATTGTAGCTTGGCAGGTTTTTTTTTTAGCATTTTATTTTATTTTATTTTTGGAAGAGAGTCTGGCTCTGTTGCCCAGGTTTGAGTGCAGTGGCACAATCTCGGCTCACTGCAGCCTCGCCTCCTGGATTCAAGCGATTCTTATGCCTCGGCCTCCTGAGTAGCTGAGATTACAGGCATGCACCAGTATGCCCAGCTAATTTTTGTAGTTTTAGTAGAGATGGGGTTTTGCCATGTTGGCCAGGCTGGTCTTGAACTCCTAACCTCAAGTGATCTGCCTGCCTCGGCCTCCCAAAGTGTTGGGATCACAGGTGTGAACCACTGTCCCCAACTCTTTTTAGCATTTTAAAGATGTCATTTCATTATTGTCTGGCTTCCATAGTCTGCCATCAGTTGTATTGCTGGTATCTCTGTCTCTCTCTCTCTTTTAAAATGTGGTTTCTTTTAAGACTTTCTACTTTGTCTTTGATTTTCAGTAATTTAACTGTGATGAGGCTAAGTGTAGTTTACTTTATGCTTACTCTGCTTGGAGCTCATTGATATTCTTGAATCTATGGCTTGATGCCTTTCATCATATTTGTGGAATTCTCAGCCATTATTTCTTTTTCTTTTTTTTTTTTTTTTTTTTTGTTGAGACAGAGTCTCACTCTGTCACCCAGGCTGAAGTGCAGTGGCACAATCTTGGCTCACTGCAACCTCTGCCTCCTGGGTTCAAGTGATTCTCCTGCCTCAGCCTCCCAAGTAGCTGGGATTACAGGCACGAGCCACCATGCCTGGCTAATTTTTGTATTTTTAGTACAGACAGAGTTTCACCATTTTGGTCAGGGTGGTCTCGAACTCCTGACCTCAGGTGATCCGCCCTCCTTGGCCTCCCAAAATGTTGGAATTACAGGGATGAACCACCACGCCCAGCCTTCTTTGTCTTTTCTTTTCTTTTCTTTCTTTCTTTTTTTTTTTTTTTTTGAGACAAGGTCTCATTCTGTTGCCCAGGCTGCTGGAGTGCAGTGGTGCAGTCATGGCTCACTGCAGCCTCACCCTCCCTGGCTGATGTGATCCTGATCCTCCCACTAAAGTAGCTGGAACTACAGTTGTACACCACTATGCCTGGCTAATTTTTGTATTTTTTGTAGAGACAGGGTTTTGCCATGTTGGCTAGGCTGGTCTTGAACTCCTGGGCTCAAGTGATCCTCCCACTTCAGCCTCCCAAAGTGCTTGGAATACAGTCGTGAGCTACCATGCCCAGCCCATTATTTCTTCAAATACTGCTTCTCTCCTATTCCCTCTCTTCTCTCCTTAAGGAATTCCAAACACGTATGTTAGACCTTTTGAGCACATCCCGTGCATCTCTTATACTCAGTTCTGTTTTTCCTTCTATTATTCTTTTTGCTTTGTGCTTCAATTTGAATAATTTCTATTGACTGGTCTTTAAGTTCACGAGTCTTGCCTTCTGCTGTATATAGTCTTTTGCTAAACCTATCCAGTGAGTTCTTAATTTCAAATATATTTTGCAGTCCAAAATGTCAGTTTTTTGGCTGGGTGCAGTGACTCATGCCTGTAATCTCAGCATTTTGGGAGGCTGAGGCAGGTGGATCACTTAAGCTCGGGAGTTTGAGACCAGCCTGGGCAACATGGCAAAACCCTATCTCTACAAAAAATACAAAAAATATCTGGGTGTTCCCTTTTCCCTTCCCCTTCCCTTTCTTTTCCTTTCCTTTTCTTTGACGGAGTCTCGCTGTGTCGCCCAGGCTGGAGTGCAGTGGCACAATCTCAGCTCACTGCAACCTCCTCCTTCTGGTTTCAAGTGATTCTCCTGCCTCAGCCTCCTGAGTAGCTGGGATTACAGGCACCCGCCACCACGCCTGGCTAATTTTTGCTTTTTTTTTTTTTTTTTTTTTTTTTGAGACAGAGTCTCACTGTGTTGCCCAGGCTGGAGTGCAGTGGCACGATCTTGGCTCACTGCAAGCTCGCCTCCTGGGTTCAAGCGATTCTTCTGCCTCAGCCTCCTAAGTAGCTGGGAGTACAGGTGCATGCCACCACGCCCAGCTAATTTTTGTATTTTTAGTAGAGACGGGGTTTCACCATATTGGCCAGGCTGGTCTCGAACTCCTGACCTCATGATCCGCCCGCCTCGGCCCCCCAAAGTGCTGGGATTATAGGCGTGAGCCACATCGCCCGGCCAATTTTTGCATTTTTAGTAGAGATGGGGTTTCACCATGTTGGGCAGGCTGGTCTCAAACTCCGACCTTGTGTTCCACCCACCTTGGCCTCCCAAAGTGCTGGGATTACAGGCATGAGCACCACACCCGGCCAGATACTTATTTTCTTGGCCCATTGAGACTGTGACTTCCTGCTTGGTCCACTTCCTTGCACCTGAGTTTGGGAAATGGCTTCATGGAGAAAGCAATTTAAATGTGAGGCTTGTCCAGGCGAGGTGGCTCATGCCTGTAATCCCAGCACTTTGGGAGGCCGAGGCAGGTGGATCACCTGAGGTCAGGAGTTTGAGACCAGCCTGGCCAACATGGCAAAACCCCATCTCTACTAAAAATACAAAAATTAGCTGGGCGTGGTGGCACACGCCTGTAGTCCCAGCTACTTGGGAGGCTGAGTCAGGAGAATCACTTATATCCAGGAGGCAGAGGTTGCAGTGAGCCAAGATCATGCTACTGCACTCCAGCCTGGGGGACAGAGTGAGACCCTGTCTCAAAAAAAAAAAAAGTGAGGCTCACCTCATGTGCATTCCTTCTCCAACGACCATAACCCTGCATTGGCTGCTGTCCAGTGCCTACAAACTGTTGTTGGATATTCTATTTTGCCCAGTATTTATGGTTGTTTACCATGGTAGGGTAAATCTGAGATCAATGAGTCTGCCTTGGCTGGAATCAGGTTTCTCCCTCAGGGGTTTGAGTGGTTGAGGCTAAGTTGAAAGGGTGTGTTTCAGAGCAGCCACAAAGCTGTCTGGACTCTGAGGTCATGCCCAGGAAGCTGAGAGATGAGGAAATGGAAAAAATGAGTTTGCGGAAGCTGGGAGGACAAGAAAAAGCTGAACAAATGCAGGGTGGTTGTGGGGTGTTTGTGAGGGAAGGGAGCGGATGCTGAGAGAGCTCAGGAAGTGCCATAGGACCACTCACCACACCCTGTTGTCTTGAATCCCTAGTGCCCACACGCAGTACCACTCTCCAGCCCCAGGGTCCATGCCTGGACAAGGTCCAGGTCCTACTCTTGGAGTCCTGTGAGGGCCTGTCTCCCTTACTGATAATAATCCCCCAGACTCAAGGGAATCCAAGGGACCTGCTGATCTGGCAACCAAAAGGACTCAACCTCCCACCACCCCAACAGGTAAAGAAACCAAGGCACAGAGAGGTTAGGTTCCCTTCTGAGGGCCACACAGGAATAAGTTGTACAGCCAGGATAAATACCCACATACTGTAAACTCATGAGCCTGAGCTCTTAACAAATGGGTTCTCCTACCTCCCATGAACAAGCACAATCCAGTCTCTTCTCATGAAAGAAAACCTTCTGGACTCAAGCCCCCAAGGCGGCCCATGAGCTCAAGTAGCCTGTGCCCCCTGCACCCTTGGAAGGCATGAGCTTCCTTGGGCCTATACATGGAAGACAAGGCTCTGAACAGGTAGCAAAAGGTCTGGTTATGAACCTTGCTCTGTTAATGATTTGCTCGGGAACCCCAGGCAAGTCACCGTCCTTCTCTGAGCCTCAGTTTTCCCCAACACTTGTGAGGCTATTGTAAATTGATGATAAACCCATGTGGGAGGCTGGGCATGGTGGCTCATGCCTGTAATCCCAATACTTTGGGAGGCCGAGGCTGGTGGATCACTTGAGGTCAGGAGTTGGAGACCAGCCTGGCCAACATGGTGAAACCCCGTCTCTACTAAAAATACAAAAATTAGCCAAGCATGATGGCGCACACGTGTGGTCCCAGCTACTCGGGAGGCTGAGGCTTGAGAATTGCTTGAACCCGGGAGACAGAGGTTGCAGTGAGCTGAGATTACGCCACAGCATTCCAGCCTGGGCAACAGAGCGAGACTCTGTCTCAAAAAAAACAAAACACAAAAACCTATGTGGGAAACAGCCCTTGGGGCTCCCGGTGCCCAGCAGTGCCGGGCCTGTCACTGACCTTGCTCTAGGATGATTCACAGGGACGTCGTGGGTGGCCAGAGGGCTCGTGGGTGGCCAGAGGGCCCCTTGCCTGCAGCAGCAAGAGCAGAATGGCTGGTGTGCCAAGCTTCGGGGCACCAGTGGGCAATAGGAGAATTCTGTCAGTGCTGGGGAAGGGAGTAAGGAAGCAAGAACAGCCTTCAGGCGTGGGTCTCCCAGCCACAGGGGCTGTAGGGGAGACCCCGGAAGGAGGATGGGGCAGCTGTCTTAGAATACCAATCACCCAAAGGAGCCCATATTCCATGTTTACCAGGAGTACCAGGGTCCTCAATATCGTCTTCACTTGCATTTATTTGCATTTTTTGCTTATAATTTGTCATTTGGTGGGGTCTCATTTCATATCACAGTCTCTACTTTTTCCTCCCTATTTGGGCACAGGGAGAGGTGGACCTTCAGCTAAGTCCTCCTCGGGGAATTTCATTTTAACTCTCAATATACCTTCAGACTCCATTAGACCCAATTTTAATTTTAATTTTTAACCAACCTTTCTTTCTTCTTTCCTTTCCTTCGTTCTTTCTTTCTTTCTTTCTTTCTTTTTTTTGACAGGGTCTCACTCTGTCTCCCAGGCTAGAGTGCAGTGGCACAATCTCAGCTCACTGCAACCTCTGCCTCACAGGTTCAAGCCATCCTCCTGCCTCAGCCTCCCGAGTAGCTGGGACAACAGGTGCGTGCCACAACGCCTGGCTAATTTTTGTATTTTTTGGTATTCTTATTTTTAGTAGAGAGGGGGTTTTGCCATGTTGCTCAGGCTGGTCTTGAACTCTTGAGCTCAGTGATCTGCCTCCCTCGACCTCCCAAAGTGCTGGGATTACAGGCATGAGCCATCATGCCTGGTTGAAGTTTCTTTTTTGAGCAGTTCAAACGATTTATGAGGATTATTTTATTACTTTTATTTTTTCACGGAGGTCTCCCAAAACCAAAGAGAACTTTTATTTATTTATTTATTCATTTATTTTTTTGAGATGGGGTTTCGCTCTTGTTGCCCAGGCTGGAGTGCAATGGCACAATCTCAGCTCACTGCAACCTTCACCTCCCGGATTCAAGTGATGCTTCTATCTCAGCCTCCCAAGTAACTGGGATTACAGGTGCCTGACACCATGCCCAGCTAATTTTTTTTTTGTTGTTGTTAGTAGAGACAGTGTTTCACCATGTTGGCAGACTGGTCTCAAACTCCTGACCTCAGGTAATCCTCCTGCCTTGGCCTCTCAAAGTGCTGGGATTACAGGCGTGAGCGACTGCACCTGTCCACTTTCTTTTTTTTTTTTTTAATAAAAAAGAATGAAGGGCTGGGTGTAGTGGCTCATGCCTGTAATTTCTGCATTTCCAGAGGCCAAGGAGGGCAGATTGCTTAAACTCAGGAGTTCGAGACCAGCCTGGGCAACAGGGTGAAACCCTGCCTCTATGAAAAAATACAAAAATTATTTGGGCTCAGTGGCACACCCCTGTACTCCCAGCTACTTGGGAGGCTGAGGTGGGAGGATTACTAAGCCCAGGATGCAGAAGTTGCAGTGAGCCGCTGCACTCCAGCCTGGATGACAGAGGAGACCCTGCCTCAAAAAAAAAAAAAAAAAAAAAAAGAAGAAGCTTATTTTATCTTGTAATTATCATATGGATCTACTGGATCATTTGTAAATCTAAAATATATTATGAGATCTTCATGATCTTATTTTTCCTATATCATAAAACATTTTGCTATTGTATTCCCTCAGGAACTATTTCATCATTACTCATCAATTATTCCCAACCCATGCTTTGAAAAAAAGACTAAAATAGTAAGAAAACAGAAGAATGATGGAATTGCCTGAATGACTCAATAGTGACATGAGTCATTGCTATTTCACCAATTTTCAGTTTTCTTATTGCCTTGTCCAAAGCATTAGGACCGTCTTTCAAGAAAGTGTAAAAAGTCCAGAGATATCATCTTTGTATTTTTTTTTAGCTTTCATTGCACACAGTTAAGAATTCAGAATTGTTCATTTTCCTACAAAGAGGAAAGAGAAGGAAACTGACAGAGGAAGACATTTCACAGCTATTAGAGCAATCAGTAGATGAATGCAACGCGACAAACAGCAGCACTCTAGACTGTAATGATGAGGTAAAAGCATCGTATGAGCAAAATCTTCAGATGATGACATCATGCATGAATTTTCTCAAACCCAAGAATTGTCCCTATTTTCCCAGGGGTAGGGGAGAACTAGAGAGGGATGGCTCTTTGCCCAGGGTCACTCAGCTCTTGCTCTGTCCTGTTGCTCAGAGATCTGTGACTGAGCCAGCCCCTCCTGTAGCATACAGTAGATGCTGCCCCGCAGGATGGGACAGGGCTGGACCTTGAGGTGAAGAGGCTGTCTGGATACCTGCTCCTGACTGCTAGCTCTTCGCCCACCTCACCTGCCACCTGTCCTTTGGCGTTGGGTTCTTGAGGCCGTGGTTTCCCTCTGGGTGGTGACTCAGTGCCCACAGCCCGCCTTGCATGTGATCTTCCCCTCCCCTGGGCCTCACTGACTGCCCCAGCAAGAGGCAGCTGTGGTTTCCCCTGAAGCAGCAACCACGAACTGCCAAGCCCACCCCACCCCTCCGTGTCCTAGCCCCAACCTCGGGGCCTCAGCTGAAGGAGAGATGGGGAGGCCTCATAGGCCCATGGCACTTGGTGTTTACAACGAGCTTAGCCCTCACAGCATGAGTGTGGAAAGTATTATCCCTATTCAATTGATGAGGAGAGTGAGGCCAACATGTGTGAGGGGCTTATTTCATTTATGCATTCATTTATTCTACAAGCGTCTCTCAAAAGCCCACTAAAACCCAGGACAGTAGACCCAGAGACACGATGTCCAGATGTACCTCAGGAAGGACTGGCCCTGGCGGCGGGAGGGTCGTGAGTGCTCAGCTCTCCAGGGATTGCCCCCAGCTGCAGAGATTTGCCTCCTCTGCCTCGGCCTCCCATGCCTTTCTCTGGGCAGCCTCATATCCAAGGACTAATCCAGCTGGGTACTAATTCAGGCCCGGCTATTTAAGCCCTGTGTGGGGCGGTGACAGGTCATTCGGAGCTCCCAGTGAGGCAGCTGAGGCCAGGGTTGGGCCTGTCTTGCAGCTGGACTTCTTCTCCCTCTGCCCAGTTTGGCCTCTTTGCCTTCCCTTCTCCAGGTGCTGTCTGCAAGAGCTCTCCCTAACAGACATCCCTCACAGTAACTCCGAGCCCAAATCCACTTCCTGAGGAACCCACCCTGCAACCCTCGGCTTTCAAAGAGTGGCCAGCCTCATGGCACAGAGGCATGTAAACCACCCGGGTGGGGAGAGAATAGGCCCAGGGAGACACAGCCACCGGGGCCCAGAAAGCTGGCTTTGGTTTTGTGGGGGGTGTGGGCCGCAGAGTTCAGGATTGGGGCGTGGCAGCAAGGCAGGGGCCCAAGCGCCTGAAAACCACAGCCCACCCCCTTGGCTTGGAGAAGGGCGAGGTCCCCACCTGTCTACCATGATTTTCTCAGACCCAGTCTGCTCCAATAAGCAGCCCCCGCTCGGCTGGACCGTCTCCCAATTTCCCTTCCCAAATACATACTCTGACTGTGGGTCTAGATGCCTCCTACATCCTGAGTGCCTTGTGGCCAGCCAGCAGCAGCAGCAGAGCTGCCCAGAGGAACTGTGCTGGATCTAGTAGGGGGAGAAGGGAGAACAGGCCCTTCTGGGACCCCAAGATCCCGTGCAGGGAGCACATCTGGGTTCCAAACCCACAAAAGGAAACGTGGCCAAGAAAGCAACCAATCTCCACCCCCGGCAGGGTTGGGCTGCACCGCCATACTGTGACTGTGCTGGCTACAGTCCCATGGCGATGGGGAACTCACAGCCCCGTGCCCCTCCAACCAGAGGTCCCTGGGCTGGGCAACTTAGATAATTAGGAAGGTCTTCCTTCCCTTAAGGTCCTCCTCTGGCCTCTGGAGCTATGGGATCTGCTGTTCTTTGGTACCAGTAATCCACATGTGAGGCCCCATTTTTCTCCTAAGTCACTGTAGGATCTTGGGCCTCAGTTCTCCATCTGTTTAGCAAGGGAGAGCAGAGGAGAGCCAGTCCTTCCACTTCCCACCTGCCCTGACATTTTATGACTCAGTGATACACTGACGCCTGTCCCGTTCTGCCTCCTTGCCTTCTCTCCTCCAAGTTGCCCAGCTCCATCACCTTCCCTGCCCCTCCCTTGACCTTCCACCTCCCCTGGGCTGACAAGAGCTGAGGGTGGTCAGAAGTCGGCCCGGCTTCCCACCTGACACAGAGGACTGCTCGAAGGAGATGCTGGTCACTAAGAGCAGGGCAGCAGCTGTAACAAGCCAGCATTCTGGAAGCTCCTGGAAATCATATTGCAGAATGCTGGCCTGGCAAGGGGTGAGGGTAAGGGTCTAGGGTGGGGAACAGTGAGTTCTATATAGCAGGGGAGCCAGGACAAGTGCTGTCCATGCTGGAATGCTTCGTTCTGAGCAAGAATGACATCACAGACAACCCCTGCTCCATGCTTATTACCATGGGCTGCCCAAACCCCCACCCACACAGGGAGGGCAGCGGGAGGGGACAGAAATGAATGGGCACAAGCTGTGGCATAAATTCTGGTGGAGGATGGAGGGAAACGATGCCAGAGCATCTAGCCAGGCCATAGCCTCACAAGCTCTGTCCCTGAGACAGGATTTCTGCAACACTGGAGAGGGATGGTACCCAGCCATCCATGACTTCTGTGCCAGGCCCGACTTGTGTTTAATTGTATACATTATTAATGGAACTGGTGGCAAGGGGCTGGGGCTCAGTCTGTGACCAGCATCAGGGCTCAGTCTATGACCAGGTTCAGTGCTTTATCTAGGACCAGGACCAAGACTCATTCTGTGGTAGGATCAGGGCTTAGTGAGTGATCAGGATGAGAGCTCAGTCTGTGACGAGATCATGGGCTCAAGCCTATAGCTCACATTAAGGATCCCCTCCGGGTGGGGCTCAGAGCCAGGGACATTGTGGAAAGTGTCTGAAGGCAAGGTGGGGTCAGCTGGGAGAGAGGGGAGAAGTGGAAGCATGAAGGCCAAGAGGTCCCTGGGCCTGAGGCCAGCTGTGTGAAAACAGAAAAGAGAGTCAGGACTCCAGCTCTGCCACTCACTGGCTGTGTGATTTTGGAGAGTTACTTCCCTTTTTGAGGTCTATGTTGTCTTGTGCGTAAAATGGGAATATTAGGCCGGGCACAGTGACTCACACCTGTAATCCCAGCACTTTGGGAGGCCGAGGCAGGCAGATCACGAAGTCAAGAGATTGAGACCATCCTGGCCAACATGGTGAAACCCCGTCTCTACTAAAAATATAAAAATTAAAGCCCAGGCGAGGTGGCTCACGCCTGTAATCCCAGCACTTCGGGAGGCCGAGGTGGGAGGATCACGAGGTCAGGAGATCAAGACCATCCTGGTTAACACGGTGAAACCCCATCTCTATTAAAAATACAAAAAATTAGCCTGGCATGGTGGTGGGCGCCTGTAGTCCCAGCTGCTGGGGAGGCTGAGACAGGAGAATGGTGTGAACCCAGGAGGCAGAGCTTGCAGTGAGCCAAGACTGCACCACTGTACTCCAACCTGGGCAACAGAGTGAGACTGTCTCAAAAAAGACAAAAAATGAGCTAGGCGTGGTGGCAAGCACCTGTAGTCCCAGCTACTTGGGAGGCTGAGGCAGGAGAATCACTTGAACCCGGGAAGCAGAGGTTGCAGTGAGCCAAGATCACGCCACTGCACTCCAGCCTGGCAACAGATCAAGACTCCGTCTCAAAAAAAAAAAAAGGGGGGGAATATTAGTTAGGTGCAGTGGCTTACAACGTTAATCCAGCACTTTGGGAGGCCAAGGCGGGAGGACAGATTGAGCCTAGGAGATTTGAGACCAGCCTGGGCAACACAGTAAGACCCTGTCTCTATAAAAAATTTAAAAGGTAGCTGGGCATGGTGGGGCCCGCCTGTAGTCCCAGCTACTTGGGCGGCTGAAGCAAGAGGATCGCTTGCGCCCAGTAATTCAAGGTTGCAATGAGCTACAATTGGGCTACTGGGCTCCATCCTGGGTGACAGAGTGCGACCTTGTCTCTGAAAAATAATAATAATAAAATTTTTAAAAGTGGGAATTTTGACTTCTGTTCTGCCTTTGAGATAGAGTCTTGCTCTGAGTCACCAACATGCAAGTTACTATTTCACAAAGCACCAAGAACCCTTATCAATACCTGCCTCCCAAGATTATTCACAGGAGTGAGAATGCACTTCATGAGACAGCAGAAAAAATGGGGAGGGGTTGTTTGCTCAATTTCCAAAGGAGAATTGCTTCAGACAGGAAAATCTCAAAAGGAAACAGCCTTACTGTTGTCATGGCTTCTCCTCACAGTTCTTCTGGTCAGTTTTTATTCCCCAAAATAATGTGTACAGAGTATTTACAGTCAGAGAATGCTAAAGGATTACAACAAAAATAACACGCTCTTTACCCCACGTCAGCCTGCTCGCCAAAAGCAGCCATTTCAACTTATTCAGTTGTTTCTTCTGGTTTTTACTCCCTAAATAAAGCATTGATTTCAATTCTGGTTATCTCCCAAGAGGTCCAATTTAGATGCTGTCTCTAGGGCTCCCTATTGTGACAGAGGAGGTTCACTTACACTCTTTCTCCTCTCCTTTCAATATCATACCACCACAACTCTTGGTTACATTCACAATCACTAAAAAGTGTTTATGGCTGAAACAACTAATATACTATCTTTTTCAATCTCCTTTCCCCCACAGAGTTAATCATTGTCTCATTTTTTTCACTTGCTTATTTTCTTTGACCCATGATTAGATCTTCTGCAAAAGCCCAGTAAGATAATTCTCAATACTGATTTTCACTATCAGTTCCAGTTCCTTAATTTTTTTTTCCCTTGAGACACCCTTTCTGGAGCCCTCAGTTCTCCTGCCTCCATCTGAGCCAGAAGCTTTCCAGATCAGCAGCACAGTCGTCATCCAGAGGCTTCCCTTTGCCAACATTCTGCAACGTCATTTCTTCTCTTTCCTCTATGGATCTCTGATTTTTCTGGGTTCCATTTCTTCTTTCTTGGTTTATGCCCTTTTAGGGTGGAGCACATCCTCCAGTTCCTTCCTGAGGAAGTTTTCACGGAAGACAATTTTTTTTTTTGTCTGAAAATGTCTTATTTTCTACCCTCACACTGGGTTGATACTTTGGCTGGGTATATAATGATTTTCCCTCAGCAACTTTAAGGCATTGTTTCATAAACTTCTAGTTTCTAATATTGCTGTTGAGAGGTCTAATACTGATCTGGCTCAGATTCTCTCTCTCTCTCTTTTTTCCTTTTTTTTTTTTTTTTTGAGATAAGAGTCTTGCTCTCTTGCCCAGGCTGGAGTGCAGTGGCACGATCTCGGCTTACCTCCACCTCCCAGGTTCAAGGGACTTTTGTGCCTCAGCCTCCCAGGGAGCTGGGACTAGCACCACCACACCCAGATAATTTTTGTAATATTCTTCCCCTGAGATGGAGTCTTGCTCTGTCACCCAGGCTGGAGTGCAGTGGTGTGATCTCGGCTCACTGCAACCTCCACCTCCCGGGTTCAAGCAATTCTCCTGCCTCAGCCTCTCGAGTAGCTGGGATTACAGGTATGAGCCACTATGCTACCCATTTTTTTTTTTTTTTTTGAGACAGGGTCTCACTCTGTCGCCCAGGCTGGACTGCAGTGGCACAATCACAGCCCACTGCAGCCTTGACTTCCCAGGATCAAGCAATCCTCCCACTTCAGCCTCCCGAGTAGGTGGGACTACAGGTGTATGCCACCACCCTTGTCTAATTTTTTTAGTTTTTTGTAGAGCTGGGCCTCACCATGTTGCCCAGGCTGTTCTTGAACTCCTGGGCTCAACAATCCTCCCACCTTCGCCTCCCCAAATGCTGGGATAACAGGCATGAGCCACGGGGCCCAGCCAATCTTTAAGTTCTTTAAACAAATGTTTCAGTTTTCAGAGTATATGTTTTGCCTTTCTTTAAAAAAAATTTATTTCTGGAAGATCTGGGGCTCCGAATCCAGCTAGGATGGCTGTGGTTCCGCTACTGCTGTCTGGGGGTTTGTGGAACACCGTGGGAGCGTCCAATCTGGCTGTTACTCGCGGCTCTATGGTGAAGCTGCTCGAAATGCACTACAGTGTCCATCTGCAGTCACACGATGTGCTCTATGGGTCAGGTACTGGGCAGCAGTCAGTGACAAGTGTAACCTCCATGGATGACAGCAACAGTTACTGGAGAATATGGGTAAGATCACCACAGCTGGTGAGAGGGGAACCCCCATCAAGTGCTGCCAGCCCATCCGGCTGACACATGTCAACACTGGCTGAAACCTCCACAACTTTCTGAAAACCAGGAAGTGGGTGCTTTTGGTGAGGAAGGTGAAGGTAGTCACCTGGATGACTGGACCATACTCTGTAACGGGCCCTACTGGGTGAGAGATGGTGAGGGGTGGTTCAAACATTCTTCCATTGAGGAACCGCTGTCTGTCACAGGAGAACGATATGGTGGACCCATCAGTGGGCAAAAAGAGACGCATGGTCTGGCCTAGCCAAGCCGAGCAACGACTGGAAAGCCATGGAAGGCATCTTCATGAGGCCCAGTGAGTTGTTGAAGGCAGGAGGCCACCATGCAGAGGTAGGAGTCTGGAGGCTCTGAGCCACTGTCACTACACAGTTTGTAGACATCTGTGCTGCTTCACCTTGGGATCCCTGCCACAAGTTCCCCAGGAGTGGCCATGTTACTACTGAGATGAAGATGTGCAATGGAAAACAGTGGCTGTGTTCACAAGCTCCAGCCCTGCACATTTGAATTGGCTGCTCTCCCAGACTTGGGTCAGTACTTTCTGAGTAGAGGACTTGCTGGTGACAGGGTGGATGCTTTTTATTCATACTGGTGTGTCCGGAATTGGTGGGTTCTTGGTCTCACTGACTTCAAGAATGAAGCCACGGACCCTTGCGGTGAGTGTTACAGTTCTTAAAGGCGGTGTGTCCGGAGTTTGTTCCTTCTGATGTTCGGATGTGTTTGGAGTTTCTTCCTTCTGGTGGGTTCCTGGTCTCACTGGCTCAGGAGTGAAGCTGCGGACCTTTGCCGTGAGTGTTACAGCTCTTAAGGCGGTGCGTCTGGAGTTGTTCGTTCCTCCCGGTGGGTTCGTGGTCTCGTTGGCTTCAGGAGTGAAGCTGCAGACCTTTGCTGTGAGTGTTACAGCTCATAAAAGCAAGGTGGACCCAAAGAGTGAGCAGCAGCAAGATTTGTTGCAAAGAGCGAAAGAACAAAGCTTCCACAGTGTGGAAGGGGACCCGGGTTGCCACTGCCAGCTCGGGCAGCCTGCTTTTATTCTCTTATCTGGCCCCACCCACATCCTGCTGAGTGGTAGAGTCCAGTGGTCTGTTTTGACAGGGCGCTGATTGGTGCGTTTACAATCCCTGAGCTAGACACAAAGGTTCTCCACGTCCCCACCAGATTAGCTAGATACAGAGTGTGGCCACAAAGGTTCTCCAAGTCCACTCTGTATCTACCAGAGTAGCCAGATACAGAGTGTCCACTGGTGCATTCACAAACCCTGAGCGAGACACAGCGTGCTGATTGGTATGTTTACAAACCTTGAGCTAGATACAGAGTGCCAATTGGTGTATTTACAATCCCTTAGCTAGACATAAAGGTTCTCCAAGTCCCCACCAATCTCAGGAGCCCAGCTGGGTTCACCCAGTGGATCCTGCACCGGGGCTGCAGGTGGAGCTGCCTGCCAGTCCCGCGCCGTGTGCCCGCACTCCTCAGCTCTTGGGTGGTCCATGGGACTGGGCGCCTTGGAGCAAGGGGTGGCGCTCCTGGGGGAGGCTCCGGCAGCACAGGAGCCCACGGAGTGGGGTGGAGGCTCAGGCATGGCGGGCTGCAGGTCCCGAGCCCTGCCCCGTGGGAAGGCAGCTAAGGCCCGGCGAGAAATTGAGCACAGAAGCTGCTGGCCCAGGTGCTAAGCCCCTCACTGCCCGGGGCGGTGGGGCCGGCCGGCCGCTCCGAGGTCCGCTGAGCCCACGCCCACCCGGAACTCGCGCTGGCCCGCAAGCACCGCGCGCAGCCCGGGTTCCCGCCGCGCCTCTCCCTCCACACCTCCCGGCAAGCTGAGGGAGCCGGCTCCGGGCTTGGCCAGCCCAGAAAGGGGCTCCTACAGTGCAGCGGCGGGCTGAAGGGCTCCTCAAGTGCCGCCATAGTGGGAGCCCAGGCAGAGGAGGCGCGGAGAGCGAGCCAGGGCTGTGAGGACTGCCAGCACGCTGTCACCTCTCACTGGTAAGACACACTGAGGGGACATCCCTCTTAGCTGTGAAACTTCTAGTCCTCAGGAGCTTGGCGTCCTGGATTGTTAAACTTCATGACTTTATCCCAATTTTCTTTCTCCAAAATGATGTTTTTTTTGAGACAATCTTGCTCTGTCGCTTAGGCTGGAGTGCCATGGCCTAACTCAGCTCACTGCAACCTCCGCCTCCCGGGTTCAAGCAATTCTCTTGCCTCAGCCTCCCAAGTAGCTGGGATTACAGGTGCCCGCCACCACACCCGGCTAATTTTTGTATTTTTAGTAGAGACAGGATTTTACCATGTTGGCTAGGGCTGGTCTCTTAACTCCTGGCCTCAACTGATCCACCCCCCTCAGCCTCCCAAAGTGCTGGGATTACAGGTGTGAGCCGCCATGTCGGGCCTCCAAAATGATTTTTTTTTTTTAAAGAAAGAATTTTATTATTAGCCTCTGTGTTATTTATTAGGTGTGCTATTTCATGATTTGCTTTATCCTTGAGTCCTAAAACTCTTTTGAGATGCTGGGAACCTTCAATGTGGGGGCCTTTTAAGAGCTTTAGTTGCATCCGAACCTTTTCTCTTTCTACTTTCATTTCTCCGCAGGTACCTCATTTTTAATAGATTTTTGACTAATTATGGCCAAAGACTCTCAAAGAATACAACACAATAAACAGCCAAATAATTTTATTCCTAAGTTGTTGGGGTGATCAGACCCAACACCAGGCCGTGGGGGATATGAAGTCCCGCGGAATCAAACCCATGAGAAAAGACAAGAGAGAAAGTCGGACCAGGGGCCCAACTATAGGGAGGCTGGGAAGGCCCTGAGCTCTGGGAGCCCAGGCTATTTATTGGTGATCAAACAAAGAAACAGGTGTTGAGGATTGTAAGGAAGCAGTGTATCAAGCGAATGAGCTACAGCTGTGATGGTTTAGCATTTTCTTTGAAACATATGGCTACTTGAGATAATGGGAGTGCTAGAAGCAAGGAGCCAGCAAATCTAGGCACATTCCAAAGGCCACGAGGGGTTTTAGACCCTGGACCGCCGACATGTACCAAGCCCTGCTCAGCTTCTCTCCCAACACTCAGCTTTTCTCCCAACAGTAAGTATTTTATTCTTTTTGATGCTATTGTATAGAATTGCTTTCTTAATTTCATTTTTATATTATTCATTGCTAGCATAAAGAAATATGGTTGACTTTTATATATTGATATTATACTCCTCAAACTGATTGAATTCATTAGTTCTAGTAGTTGTTTTTAGTGGATTCCTTAGGATTTTCTCTATTCAAGATCATATGCTCCGCAAATAGAGATGGCTTTACTTCCTCCATCCCAATTTCAGTGGTATTTGAAATTAAATTTTAATTGCCCTGGCTAACTGCCCTGGTTGGATCTCCAGGACAATGTTGAGTAGAAGTTGTGAGAGTGGACATCCTTCTCTGGCTCCTGATCTTAGGGGGAGGTTTCAGTTTTTCACCATTAAGTATGAAGTTGGTGTTGGGTTTTTCATAGGTGAACCTTAACAGGTTGAGGAAGTTCCCTTCTATTCCTAGTTTGCTGAGTGTCTTTATCATAAAAGAGTGTTGGATTTTGTCAAATTCTTTTTCTGCATCATTGAGATGATCTTGTGGTTTTCTTCCTTATTCTACTAATATGGTGCATTGGATTGATTCATTTTCGTAAGTCCAGCCAACCTTGCATTCTTGGGAAAAATCCCACTTGGTCAATCTTACATGTTGCTGGATTCAGTTAGATAGTATTTTATTAAAGATTTCTATATCTATATTGACAAGGGATATTGGTCTGTAGAATTTTTGTTTCTGTTTTTGTTGTGATGTCTCTCTGGTTTTGGTATCAGAATAATAACTGGCCTCATAGAATAGGTTAGGAAGTATTCTTTCCTCTTCTGATTTTTGGAAGACTTTATGGAGAATTGGAGTTCATCCTTCAACTGTTTTAAAATTCACTAGTGAAATCATCCCTACTTTTTCTTTGTGAGAAGTTTTTTGATCATATATATTGATCTTGCATACTGTGACCCTGCTACATTTGCTTATTAGTTCTATTAGTACTTAAAGTGCATTCCACAGGGCCAGGTGTGGTGGCTCACACCTGTAATCCCAGCATTTTGGGAGGCTGAGGTGGGAGGATCACTTGAGCTCAGGAGTTCAAGACCAGCCTGGGCAACATAGTGAGACCCCCCCCATCATTAGAAAAATAAAATACCCTCCAAAGAATTATCTACATACATGTCTTCTGCAATTAAAGACATTTTTACTTATTATTTTCCTACCTACATGCCTTTGTTTTCTTTTCCTTCCCTGATTTCACCAGCTTGAAATTCCAGGGTAATGTTGAGTAAGAGTGGGGAGAGAGAATGTCCTTGCCTTTTTCCTTATCTTAGGAGAAAAACATTCAGTCTGCACCATTAAGTATTAAGTTAGCAGTAGTTTTTTGGTAAATAGTCTATTGTGAAGTCCCCTTTTTTATTGCTGATTTTGGCAATTTGTGTATTCTCTCTTTTTTTCTTGGTCTCTATTAAAGCTTGTCAATTTTGTTGATCATTAAAAAAAGAAAAACGACTTTTGGGCTGGGGGCGGTGGCTCACACATGTAATCCCAGCACTTAGGAAAGCTGAGACAGGCGGATCACAAGGTCAAGAGATTGAGACCATTCTGGCCAACATGGTGAAACCCCGTCTCTACTAAAAATACAAAAATTAGCTGGGCATGATGGCACATGTCTATAGTCCATCCCAGCTACTCGGGAGGCTGAGGCAGGAGAATCACTTGAACCTGGGAGAGGGAGGTTTCAGTGAGCCGAGACTGCGCCACTGCACTCCAGCCTGGCGACAGAGTGAGACCCCCCATCACTAGAAAAATAAAATACCCTCCAAAGAATTATCTACATACATGTCTTCTGCAACTAAAGACATTTTTACTCATTATTTTCCTACCTACATGCCTTTGTTTTCTTTTCCTTCCCTGATTTCACCGGCTTGAAATTCCAGGGTAATGTTGAGTAAGAGTGGGGAGAGAGAATGTCCTTGCCTTTTTCCTTATCTTAGGAGAAAAACATTCAGTCTGCACCATTAAGTATTAAGTTAGCAGTAGTTTTTTGGTAAATAGTCTATTGTGAAGTCCCCTTTTTTATTGCTGATTTTGGCAATTTGTGTATTCTCTCTTTTTTTCTTGGTCTCTATTAAAGCTTGTCAATTTTGTTGATCATTAAAAAAAGAAAAACGACTTTTGGGCTGGGGGCGGTGGCTCACACATGTAATCCCAGCACTTAGGAAAGCTGAGACAGGCGGATCACAAGGTCAAGAGATTGAGACCATTCTGGCCAACATGGTGAAACCCCGTCTCTACTAAAAATACAAAAATTAGCTGGGCATGGTGGCACATGCCTGTAGTCCCAGCTACTCGGGAAGCTGAGGCAGGAGAATCACTTGAACCTGGGAGAGGGAGGTTTCAGTGAGCCGAGATTGCGCCACTGCACTCCAGCCTGGCGACAGAGTGAGACTTCATCTCAAAAACAAACAAAACAAAAAGCAAACAAAAAAAAAGGCCGGGCGCGGTGGCTCACGCCTGTAATCCTAGCACTTTAGGAGGCTGAGGCGGGTGGATCACGAGGTCAGGAGATCGAGACCATCCTGGCTAACATGGTGAAACCCCGTCTCTACTAAAAATACAGAAAAAATTATCTGGGCGTGGTGGCGGGCGCCTGTAGTCCCAGCTACTCCGGAGGCTGAGGCAGTAGAATGGCGTGAACCCGGGAGGTGGAGCTTGCAGTGAGCCGAGATGGCGCCACTGCACTCCAGCCTGGGCGACAGAGCGAGACTCCGTCTCAAAAGACAACACAAAAAAACACCAACTCTCTTTTTTTTTTTTTTTTTTTTTTGAGACAGAGTCTGACTCTGTCGCCCAGGCTGGAGTGCAGTGATGCAATCTCGGCTCACTGCAAGCTCCGCCTCCCGGGTTCACGCCATTCTCCTGCCTCAGCCTCCCGAGTAGCTGGGACTACAGGCGCCTGCCACTATGCCCGGCTAATTTTTGTATTTTTAGTAGAGACGGGGTTTCACCGTGTTAGCCAGGATGGTCTCGATCTCCTGACCTTGTGATCCGCCCGCCTCGGCCTCCCAAAGTGCTGGGATTACAGGCTTGAGCCACCGCGCCCGGCCTATTGTTTTTTTCTATTTCATTGATTTCTGCTCTTATCTTTATTATTTTCTTCTTCTTACTTTGGGTTTGATTTCCTTTTCTTTTTTGAACTACTTGAGGTGGAAGCTTAGATTATTGATATTTGATTCGTCTCCCATTGCAGCATAAGCATTTAAATTATGTAAATTATAAATTTACTTATAAGGCTGGGCACAGTCGCTCACATCTGTAATCCCAGCACTTTGGGAGGCTGAGGCAGGCAAATCACTTGAGGTCAGGAGTTCAAGATTAGCGTGGTCAACATGGTGAAACCCTGCCGCTGCTAAAAATACAAAAATTACCCAGGAATGATGGTGTGCACCTGTAATCCCAGCTACTCGAGGATGAGGCAGGAGAATCGCTTGAACCCTGGAAGCAGAGGTTGCAGTGAGCTGAGATCACGCCACTGCACTCCAGCCTGGACAACAGAGCAGATCACTTGGCTGGTCTTGAACTCCTGGCCTCAAGTGATCTGCCCACCTTGGTCTCCCAAAGTGCTGGGATTACAGGTGTGAGCCACCACACCTGGCACCCTGATGGGATTTTGACTGGTATTGCATTAACTCTGTTGGTTGCATTGGGAAGAGTTTGTCACTTAACCATGTTGATTTTTCTACTTTATAAACATTTATGTAGATATTTTTTAGTTTCTCTCATCGGTTTTGTTTTGTTTTCTGCATACTGCTCTTGCACATGTTTCGTTAGATTTTTACAAAGTAGGAATCTGTTTCTTATGCAGTTCTAAATGGTACTTTTCAAAATTTCCAATTTATTTATTGCTAATCTATAGGAATACAATTGATTTTTTTTTTCCTTCTACAAATGTCTGAGGTAGGAAAACAAGGCTGCCCAGCTTGTGGCAGCCCTGATAATCCTCAAAGGCTGATCTTGGCCTCCAGCCCTGACTGAGGAGAAAAGGGGCCACCCATAGCCCCACTGGCACAATTGGTTTTTCTATGCTGACCTCATATCCCATAACTTTGCTTAAGTCATTCATTGTAGGAGCTTTTTGTAGATTCTTTGTGATTTTCTATAAAGGCAATTATGTATTTTGCTAACAGAAACAGGTTTGTTTCTTCTTTGCCAGTCTGTAGGCCTTTTATTTGTTTTTCTTGACTTCTTGCACTGGTTAGGGCCTCTAGTAAAATATTGAATGGGTGTGTTAAGAGGAGGTATCCTTGCTTCTTCCTGAACTTAGAGTGAAAGAATTCAGTTTCTTACCATAAAATATGACAGTAGATGTAGGGTTTTTGTGAATGTCCATCATTGAGTTGAGGAATTCCCATTAGTTCTTAGTTTGCTGAGAGGTTTTCATCAGGAATAAATGTTGGATTTCTTCCATGTCTTTTAACTTCTCTTTCATATTTCACCATTTTTTCATTCTTTGCTGAATTTTTAGTAATTTCTTAAACTGTTTATTTTATTTTATTTTTGAGACAGTCTCACTCTGTTGTCCAGACTGGAGTGTGGTGGCGTGACATTGGCTCACTGCAACCTCCGCCTCCCAAGTTCAAGTGATTCTCAAGCCTCAGCCTCCCGAATAGCTGGGATTACAGGTGCCGGCTACTATGCCCGGCTAATTTTTGTATTTTTGGTAGAGACAGGGTTTTGCCATGTTGGCCGGGCTGGTCTCAAACTTCTGACCTCAAGTGATCTACCTGTCTCAGCCTCCCAAAGAGCTGGGATTACAAGTGTGAGCCACCACACCCAACCTCTTTTGAGGTTTTAAATCTTAATAATTATAGTTTCATTCCTGAGAGTTTTATTTGGTTCATCTTCAAATATGCCTAATTAATTTAATTAGTTTATTTGCCATATTTTCAGTATCGCTTTACAATTCTTTTTTTTTTTTTTTTTCAGACAAGGTCTTGCTCTGTTGCCCAGGCTGGGGTGCAGTGGCACCATCTCGGCTCATTGCAGCCTCCACCTCCCGAGTTCAAGCAATTCTCCTGCCTCAGCCTCCTGAGTAGCTGGAATCACAGGCACGCACCACCATACTCGGCTAAGTTTTGTATTTTTAGTAGAGACAGGGTTTTGCCATGTTGGCCAGGCTGGTCTCTAACTCTTGACCTCAAGTGACCCACCCATTTGGCTTTCCAAAGTGCTGGGATTACAGCTGTGAGTCACCGCACCTGGCCCGTTTTACACTTCTTTAAACATATTAAAAATTTTTTTTCAGCTGGGCATGGTGGTTCATGCCTGCAATCCCAGCACTTTGGGAGGCTGAGGTGGGCAGATCACCTGAGGTCAGGAGTTCGAGACCAGCCTAACCAACACGGAGAAACCCCATCTCTACTAAAAATACAAAATTAGGTGTGGTGGCTCATGCCTGTAATCCCAGCTACTTCGGAGGCTGAGGCAGGAGAATTGCTTGAACCCGGGAGGTGGAGGTTGCAGTGAGCCGAGATTGCATCATTGCACTCCAGCCTGGGCAATAAGAGCAAAACTCCATCTCTCTCTCTATATATATAATAAATATATATATAATAATATATATTATATGTCATATATAGTTATATATTATAATTATATAATCTATAAATATATAAAAATATATAATATATAATATATATTTATAATATATAATATATATTTTTCCGTGTGTGTGTGTATATATATGTGTATATATATGTATTTTTTTTTTTTTTTAGAGAGAGAGAGATGGGGTCTCACTCTATTGCCCAGCCTGGTCTTGAACTCCTGGCTCAAACAATCCTCTAGCCCAGGCCTCCCAGAGTGCTGGGATTACAGCCGAGCGCCCGGCCTGAAACACTTATTTTCTATCCTGCATCTCATCATTCTATTTTATGTAGTATTTGTGGGTCTCATCTTGTTATTCGTTGTTTCTGCTGACTCATGCCCTTGTGGTTTGTTTCTTTTTGAGTTTATTGATGTTTAATTATGAACTTATGTTCCTTGAAATTCTTTGTGGGAAGTCTTTGAATCTGTGTTTAAAATATATTCTTCCAGAAAGGATTTTTGTTTGCTTTTGCCAGGCGCCTAGGGGTACTTCCAACTCAGATCCACTTAAAAATTGTTTTTGGCTTAGTGTTTTTCCAATCACATAGGGAATATGATGTTGGGCTTTTCTCTGTGTGAATATCAGCTTGTTATGCATTTTACTGGATTTCTTTTTAGCCTGTGTTACCTCTCCAGCACAGCTAAGTGGGTACGGCAAAGTCTTCTGTGGCTGAGTTGTTTTCTCCCCATTTCTCCCTTAGGGCACTGGCTTTTGAGAAGTCCCAAATTTGGGGGAGAAAGGAAATCTTTGATAACCTACTTCCCAGGACCAGACCTCAGGTCTTTTCTTCTCTTTCCTCATTTTGTTTCCCCTAAAAGCAAAGCCTCAGACAAAGGTTTTTGTGTAATTAACTTTGGAAGTAATCCCAGGGAGTAGGAGTGAGGGCTGGAGAGAGAAAGAAAGAGGGAAGCCCGGGACAAGGTCGCATTATTTAAGGGGACCTCTGATAGGTGCTTGATTCCATAGGATCTTCCAAGGAGTCTTATGAAATGGGAGATACAAAAAAGACACAATGAGTATTTGCTTGTGTCAATCATTGGTCAAGAGTGGCCTCACAGACATGAACTCCCCTGAACTTGGGGTCTGCGCATGCATAATGGTTCAGGGGATTCCCGAGAGCATCTGCCCTGTGGGGTCAGTGAGACTCAGACAGGAAGGGAGGGGTGGGCCCCATGTGCCCAAGGTGAGGCAGCACCTGCATGAGGCCCACAGAACACTCATCACCTCAGCAGTGGCCAGAATCAGAACTGGGGCCAAGCAGACTGAAGTGGTGCCCAGGAGGTGCCTGGCACACTGGCCATTTACATCCCAGGGTCTCAGAAAGCACAGGCCCCGGTGCAGGCTCACCCTGATGGGGTCATGCTCTTGTTATTCTGGCTTCTGACTGATTCCCTGTTTAACACCCTTTTATCTGTGCTTTCACACACACATTTTTGGTATTTCATTCAGCATTTTTAGGAAGGGATTTCTCTATTCAGCTAGTCTGCATATTTCCAGATAGAGAAATAAATGGTCATTGTTTTCAAATGTTTACATATACTTTATTTTTAAATTTTTATTATTTGAGATGGAGCCTTGCTCTGTCGCCCAGGCTGGAGTGCAGTGGCACGATCTTGGCTCACTGCAACCTCCTGCTACTGGGTTCAAGTGATTCTCCTGCCTCAGCCTCCTGAGTAGCTGGGACTACAGGCGCGTGCTACCACGCCCGGCTAATTTTTGTATTTTTAGTAGAGATAAGGTTTTGCTATGTTGGCCAGGCTGGTCTCAAACTCCTGACCTCAAGTGATCCTCCCACTTCGGCTTCCTAAAGTGCCGGAATTACAGGCGTGAGCTACTGCGCCCGGCCTCAAAATGTTTATATATACTTCAATATTCTTTTTGTTATTATTTGCTAAGTATTGAAACCAAGCATTCCTTTCTGGAGCTCCCATAACTCACTTTGTGCCCTGTTTTGAAAAACAGGCCAGTCAATAATGACAGCAGCAACGCAGCAGCTCCCAGCTTTTCAACACCTACTGTGTGGCTGACACCTGCTGTGGCTTTATAGGCATTATGTCAGTGAATTCTCAAAACTACCCTAAAATAGTCACTCTGGTTCCCTTTTTTCATATATTTTTTATTTTTAAAATTGAGACAAGGTTTTGCTGTGTTGCCCAGGCTGATTTCAAATTCCTATGCTCAAGTGATCCTCCCACTTCGGCTTCTGGTTCCCTTTTCCCAGCCACTGGTTCCCTTTTCACAGAAGAGGAAACCATGGCCTGGAAAGGGGCCAAGGCCACATAGTATTTACGTCAAGCTTGTCCAACCCACAACTCACGGGCCACATGCGGCCCAGGATGGCTTTGAATGCAGCCCAACACAAATTCATAAACTTTCTTAAAATATTATAATTTTTTTTTTTTTTTTTACAAAAAATTAGCCAGGCGTGGTGGTGCATGCCTGTAGTCCCAGCTACTTGGGAGGCTGAGGCAGGAGAATTGCTTGAACCTGGGAGGCAGAGGTTGCAGTGAACTGAGACCGTGCCACTGCACTCCAGCCTGGGCAATAGAGTGAGACTCCATCTCAAAAACTAAAATATAAAATAAAATAAAATAAAAATTTTTTTGGCAAAATTTTTTAAGCTCATCAGCTATCATTAGTGTTAGTGTATTTTATCTGTGGCCCAAGACAATTCTTCTTCTTCCAGTGTGGCCCAGGGAAGCCAAAAGATTAGACACCCCTAATAAGTTGTTGAGCCAGGATTGTGTCCAAAGCTTCCCCACTTTTACTACATCGCATGCCTTTCTATGGAAAAAAGCCTTCCCTTCTTCCCTAGTACTTCTCCCAAAACACACACTCATATAGAGTAGCACTTGAGATCCAGTGCCCCTTGGCAGCCGATTGCAGTGGGTAAGCTGAGCTCAGGGTTGCAGGCCAGCAGGGCGGCAGTCAGCACACAGAGCTTTCCTATCCCCCCAGGAAACCTGCAAGGACCCCAGTAGGCCTTAGATGGCCAGTGTTGGCAAATCCTAACTGGGAGGCAAACTGGGAGAGCCCACTGCCGTTGCAGACTGGTTACTGTCCCCGCTGGAGCCCTGTGGAAGTGGGTAGAAATCCAGGCCTAAGGAGGGTACCAAGCCAGAGCCACCTGCCCCCTAGTACCCCAGCCTGGGGGGGCCACCCAGTGAGCATTTCTGTCTCCTCGGGTGCTGTAGTCAAGGTGAAAAGCAAGTTGCAACCTGAAGGCTGGGCATTCCAGGTATAGGGCTTCTTCTGGTTAAAATGTGTGGGTACGGGGACTAGGGGAGGCTTGGAAGGGGCTGTCCCCAGAGTTTCTATGAGTGAATATATACTTTGAAACACTTAGAACCTTATTGTCAGCATGGACAGACAGGGACCTTGGGGACAGAGGGACATTAAGGCCAACATCTTGTTTTATAGATCAGTAAACTGAGGTCCAGAGACCCATGGCCTAGCGAAGGAGGTTCAAGTGCAGGCCTTCCTGACCACAGTGCACCGCCAAGGCTCCTTCTCTACACCACTGCATGTGTGCGTGTGAGTGGGCAGCTGCACACCATCGTATACGTAAACGTGTTTACGCATGGAGTACATGTGCTTTATGGTGCAGGGGTGAAGGCACAAAGGCGTGTGTATGGGGGGGCTGGGGTGTTATACTAGCAGGCTGAGCAGACTGTAACAAGGGGACACACATCTCTCTTTTGGGCCAACCCATGTTTGGAGAAGACAGGAGCTTTCTCATGCACAAGCGCCAAGAGAGGAAAGTGAACCCAGGTTTGGGCGGTCTGTGGTGACTTGTGCCATGGACCATGTGGAAGCCTGAAGATGCCTGGGGCCTTCGTAGTACCATTGCCTTTAGCCTCCCGTGGCCACCTGCAGCAACTGCCATCACCCTTACTGTGGACGGGAGTTGCACTGCTAAAGTCCCCACGGCCCTGCAGGATGGCCAGAGATGTCTGCCCTCACTCCGCTACCCTCTCAGTCTTCTTTGACCACTCTGGTCCCCCAACCTCAATGTCGACCCCACATCTGCAAGTGACATCACTGTCCATGTAGCTCTGTAAGTCTTCAAACTGGGAGTCAGCCTACCTCCTGCCATCACTGACCTTCAAGCAATCCAGATGAAAAATGCCTCTGGGCATTTTGGGGACAGGAGATATAAGGAATGAGTCATAAATATCCTGTCATATAAAATAGGATGCTATGAAACACTCCCCGGGTCATGTCAAAAGGAGACAGGAGCCAACCTGAATACACTTCCACCAGCCAAAGGCGAGATTTTTTGAGCACCAGTAAGATTAATAACTGCAATGGATTGACACCAATCAGACATGTTTAAATCCACTGATTCACACATATTTAAAAATAACTAGTTTTTCACCTTAGGGGGATGCTAGGCAGCTGGTAAATAAAGGGAAAGCATTAAATATTTGTCATGTCTTTTGCATATGATCTATCTCTCAGGATAACTAAATAATCAATGAGGGCAAGTTTCACTTTGTAGAAATATGCAGGTTAATAAAATAAGAAATAATACAGTTATAATGTCACTATTTTGCAATTCCTCATGAATTTAAGTAATGATCATCCATGGCTGCAGATGTTGCAAAATGAGACACAACCAGAAGTTAGGTGCTTCCTGATGGAAGCACATATCACCATCTAGGAGGTGGTCTTGAAAAAAATAGTTGGACGTGAATTTGTTCAAGCCTCCCTAACTAAATACAGAAGACAGAAGACATGTTAAATGGTACCACAGGGTTGCAATCAACCAAATTCAGACTGTGGGAAACTGCAAGGATAAACAACCTAGTTTCCAGCTTGGTGCGGTAGCTCACGCCTGTAATTCCAACACTTTGGGAGGCTGAGGCTGGTGGATGACTTGAGGTCAGGAGTTCGAGACCAGCCTGGCCAACCTGGTGAAACCCTGTCTCTACTAAAAATACAAAATTTAGCTGGGTGTGGTGGCACACGCCTGTAATCCCAGCTACTCGGGAGGCTGAAGCTGGAGAATCACTTGAACCCTGGAAGCTGAGGTTGCAGGGAGCCGATATCACGCCACTGCACTCCAGGCTGGGTGATAGCAAGACTCGGTCTCCAAAAAAAACCAAAAAACAAAAACAAAATTAAAAAAATCCCCCAATTTCCTTAACAAAACAGTATTACAAAACAAAAAGAGACGGAGGGGAAACTTGCAGGTTTTAAGATTTATCAACCAAGCCCTATTTATAGACTTTATTTGTATATTAATTCAAACACCTGTTAAAAAAGAAAATGAGGCCAGGAATGGAGGCTCACACTTGTAATCCCAGTGCTTTGGGAGGCTGATGCGGGTGGATCACTTGAGGCTAGGAGTTCCAGATTAACAAAGTGGGCAACAAAGTGAAACCTTGTTTCTACAAAAATTTTAAAAAATTACCAGGCATGGTAGTGCACGCCTGTAGTTCCAGCTACTCAGGAGACTGAGGCAGAAGGATTACTTGAGCCCAGGAGTTTGAGGTTGCAGTGAGCTATAGTTGAACCACTGAACTCCAGCCTGGGTGACAAAACAACATCCTGTCTCAAGAAAAAAAAAAAAAGAAAAAGAAAAAATTATAATTGAAGAAATAGAAAACACCAACTGGATTATAATTTCCATTAATGACTTATTATTGATTTTTATATGATAAAGTAGTGACTTCTTTCTTTCTTTCTTTTCTTCCTTGCCTTTCCTTTCTTTCTTTCTTTTTTTTTTTTTTTTTGAGACAGATTCTTGCTCTGTCACCCAGGCTGTAGTGCAGTGGCTCGATCTCAGCTCACTGCAAGCTCTGCCTCCCAGGTTCACGCCATTCTCCTGCCTCAGCCTCCCAAGTAGCTGGGATTACAGGCGCCCGCCACCACGCCCGGCTAATTTTTTGTATTTTTAGTAGAGAGGGGGTTTCACTGTGTTAGCCAGGATGGTCTCGATCTCCTGACCTTGTGGTCTGCCTGCCTCAGCCTCCCAAAGTGCTGGGGTTACAGGCCCAGGAACAGGATAATGATAATATCTGTTCCAAACAGTGTCTTCACTAAATAATCCCAACCAGTAAGAAATAGAATCATTTCAATCACAAGACTCAAGTCACTCCAAAAAGATGATGCTAAGAGCTGTTGATCACGTGTTCCTACAGCGATCCATACCAACATACTGATGAAGCTACAGCTAAGGTATTAGGCTACTGTGCTCCCATCTAGGAAGTGACCCCCAGGGATTCTTCACCCTGTGCTTTCACCAGCACTCTGTATATGAACTTAACCACCTCAGCACTCCCCCCTGCTTTTGCCATGTCTTCTGTGTTTGGATGTTGAGTATTGCTGGATGGAAAGCTTTGCTATCAGCAGAACAATGGTTGAGGTTGTAAAAGCCTACTAAGTGCCATTCTAAAATGGGTCGTTGTGCTGTATGAAACAACAACCACAACAACTCAGAAGCTTCAAACAATAATCCTTTATTGTCACGCTCATGACCTGTGGGTCAGCTGTACAATTCAGCTGAAATTGAATCGTACCTTGGTTGATCGAGGCTAGACTCCAAGCTGCAGGCTGAGTTCAGATCTGCTCGGCATGTCCCTCGTTCTCCTGGGACCAGCGGCTACCCAGGGATTATGGCCTGTTCCTGGAGACTCATTCCTGGACCCAGAAGGAAGGAGCAGCAGCTATATGGGGCACGTTCTTGTCATGGCAGATTACTGCAGCATGAGAAGGCATGTCCAACTGAGCAAGCACATTTCAAAACTTCTCATGTCAGGTTCACAAGTTTCCTACTGGCCAAAGCAAGTCACATGGCCAAACACAAAATCAAAAGGTGGGAAAGTATTCTCTGTCCACCATGGCAAGGATGTGGGTGGATAATTATATTACAAGGGACAAATAATTCAATCTTTCACAGTCTTTGGGGATCCAGGGCACTGCCTTTGTTCATGCCCCAGCACTTCTCATCAAGACAAAAGAACATCCTGCTAGGAGACTTTCCTGCCACTAGCAGAGCCCCTTCAAACCTAGTGGCAGCTAGAGTGATTTTTTTTTTTTTTTTAACTAGCTCTCCTCTAGTTTTGTCTGTTTGTGTGTATGGTAAAAAAATGCATAAGATAAAATTTACCATCTTTTTTTTTTGAGACAGAGTTTTGTCTTGTTGCACAGGGTGGAGTGCAATGGTGCATTCTTGGCTCACTGCAACCTACGCCTCCCAGGTTCAAGCTATTTTCCTGCCTCAGCCTCCCGAGTAGCTGGGATTACAGGCATGCGCCACCACGCCCAGCTAATTTTTGTATTTTTAGTTGAGACAGGGTTTCACCATGTTAGCCAGGCTGGTCTCAAACTTCTGACCTCAGGTGATTCACCAGCCTCAGCTCCCAAAGTGCTGGGATTATAGGCGTGAGCCACCACACCCATGCCTGGCTCCCCTTTCCTTTTTTTTGTTGTTTTTTTTTTTTGTTTTTTTTGCATAGAGTCTCACCCTGTTGTCCAGACTGGAGTACAGTGGTGTGAACTCGGCTCACTGCAACCTCTGCCTCCTGGGTTCAAGCAATTCTCCTGCGTCAGCCACCTGAGCAGCTGGGACTACAGCCGTGTACCACCACACCTGGCTAATTTTCGTATTTTTAGTAGAGACAGGGTTTCACCATGTTGGCCAGGCTAGTCTCGAACTCCTGACATCAAGTGATCCACCTGGCTTGGTCTCCCAAAGTGCTGGGATTACAGACGTGAGCCACTGTGCCTGGCCAAAATTTACCATCTTAACCATTTCTAAGTATAGAGTTAAGTACCGTTAGTTAAATTCGCATTGTTATGGAAGAGCTCTCCGGAATTTTTTTAGCTTGCAAAAGTGAAACTATACCCATGAAACTAACACCTCTGTATTTCCCTCTCCCCAGCCCCTGACAACCACTATTCTACTTTCTGTTTCTATGAATTTGACTACTATAGACAACTCATGTAAGTAGAATCACATAGTATCTGTGTTTTGGGGACTGGCTTATTTCACTTAATAAGATGTTCTCAAGGTTCAACCATGTTGTAGCATGTGTCAGAATTTCCTTCCTTTTTAAGGCTCAATAATATTCCGTTGTATGTATATACCTCATTTTCTTTATCCATTTGTCAGTGGACACTTGGGTTGCTTTTGACCTCTTGGCTATTACAACTAGTGCTGCTGTAAGCATAGTGTGGAAATATCTCCTTGAGATCCTGTTTTCAATTATTTTGGCTGTAAAACCAGAAGTGAGATGGTTGGGTCATAGGATAGTTCTATTTTTAGTGTTTTAGGAACTTCCATATTGTTTCCCATAGTAGCTGCCCCATTTTACATTCCCACCAGCAGTGCAGAAGCATTCCAGTTTTCACACATTATTGCCAACACTTGTTATTTTCTGTTATTTTGATACTAATTATCCTAATACGTGTGTTTTTTTTCTTTTTTATTTTGGAGACAAGAGTTTTGCTCTTGTCTCCCAGGCTGAAGTGCAGTGACGCAATCTCAGCTTACTGCAACCTCTGCCTCCTGGGTTCAAGTGATTCTCCTGTCTCAGCCTCCTAAGTAGCTGGAATTACAGGTGCCTGCCACCACAACTGGCTAATTTTTTGTATTTTTAGTAGAGACAGGGGTTTTACCATGTTGGCCAGGCTGGTCTCGAACTCCTGACCTCAGGTGATCCACCTGCCTCAGCCTCCCAAAGTGCTGGGATTACAGGCGTGAGCCACAATGCCGGGCCTCAATTTTTTAATTAAATTTTTTATTTTGAGATAATTATAGATTCACATGCATTATAAGAAATAATATAGACAGATTCCATGTACTCTTCACCTGGTTTCCTTCTCATTTCCTCAGTGGCAACATCTTGCACAATAGTACAATATCCACAGCCAGGAAATTGATATTGATACAATCCATAGATCTTGTTCAGATTTCAGCAGCTTACATATTCAGAGTGACATTTTAAACAAGCAAATCTGATCCTATCACTTACCTGCTTAAAACTTTTCCAAGGATGTTCATTACATAATTGTTTGAACTGGTTTATTTTTGAGACGGAGTCTCGCTCTATTGACCAGGCTGGAGTGCAGTGGTGTGATCTCGGCTCACTGCAAGCTCCACCTCTGGGTTCATGCCATTCTCCTGCCTCAGCCTCCCAAGTAGCTGGGACTACTGGCGCCCACCACCATGCCCGGCTAATTTTTGTATTTTTAGTAGAGACGGGGTTTCACCGTGTTAGCCAGGATGGTCTCGATCTCCTGACCTTGTGATCCGCCCGCCTCACCCTCCGAAAGTGCTGGGATTACAGGCGTGAACCACCGCGCTGGGCCTGAACTTGTTAAAAAATGAGAACCAACCTAAATGTCCAGCAGCAGCAGGATGGTTGAATAGATTACATTGCGTCCATATAATAGGCACACAATCCAGCCAGGAAAACTTGGAGCAGTCGTATGTACGCTGATATGGGCTGGGTTCCATGGTCTATTCTTTTCCTACGGAAAAAAGCCAGGTACAGGATTGTGAATACCTGGCCGGGCACGGTGGTGCACGCCGTAATCCCAGCATTTTGGGAGGCTGAGGCGAGTGGATCACCTGAGGTCAGGAGTTTGAGACCAGCCTGACTAACATGGTGAAACCCCATCTCTACTAAATACAAAAAATTAGTGGAGTGTGGTGGCACATGCCTGTAATCCCAGCTACTTGGGAGGCTGAGGCAGGAGAATCACTTGAACCCGGGAGGCAGAGGTTGCAGTGAGCCGAGATCATGCCATTGCACTCCAGCCTGGGCAACAAGTGCGAAACCCTGTCTCAAACAAATAAATAAATAAAAATAAATAAATTGTGGATACCTTTTGGGTATAAAGGCATACAATATAGGAAAGGGTACATAGTACACTGACCACAGTAGTTGTCTCAGCAGGCTGAGATTGTGTAGTGGGATGGAAAGTTAATTCACTCTGTTTTGTAGTGGTTCTCAAAGTTCTGCGTTTGAAGAACCCCTCAAAGTTCAGGACCCCTCTACACTCTAAAAATTACTCAGTGTCCCCAAAAACATTTTCATTAATGAGGGTTATCAGAAATTAAAGCTAAGAAATTTAAAAAATATTTACATATTAATTCATTTAGAAATAACAATAGGCCAGGCGAGGTGGCTCGTGCCTGTAATCCCAACAATTTGGGAGGCCAAGGCAGGCTGATCACTTGAACTCGGAAGTTCGAGACCAGCCTGGCCAACATAGTGAAATGCCATCTCTACAAAATATACAAAAATTAGGCTGGGCGTGGTGGCTCATGCCTGTAAACCCAGCACTTTGGGAGGCCAAGGCTGGTGGATCATGAGGTCATGAGATCGAGACCATCCTGGCTAACACGGTGAAACCCCGTCTCTACTAAAAATACACAAAATTAGCTGGGTGTGGTGGCACACGCTTGTAGTCCCAGCTACTTGGGAGGCTGAGGCAGGAGAATGGTGTGAACCCGGGAGGCGGAGCTTGCAGTGAGCCGAGATGGTGCCACTGCACTCCAGCCTGGGCAACAGAGCAAGACTCCATCTCAAAAAAAAAATTATATATATATATACACACAAAAAAATTAGTCAGGTGTGGTGGTGGTGTGTGCCAGTAGTCCCAGCTACACAGGAGGCTGAGACTGGAAAATCACTTAAGCCCAGGATGCGGAGGTTGCAGTGAGCCGAGATTGTGCCACTGCACCCCGGCCTGGGCAACAGAGTAAGACCCTGTCTCAAAAACAAAAAAAAAAAAAAGAAAGGAAATAACAACAATAAAGCAATTATATGTTAATATAAATGACAGTTTTGTAAAAAGTAACTATCCTTTCCAAAACAAAAACATTTAGTGAGAAAAATGACTTTGTTTTGCATTTTTGCAAATCTCTTTAATATCTGACTTAATTGAAAAATCTTCATTCTCATATCTGTTTCTGCATTCGATCTATCAGAATACATTGTTTTGGTTGGAGTATGTGAAGAAAATTCATGTCAGTAAGATATGTAGTTAGAAAAAAGAGACTTTAAATAGCCTTTTGTGGGTATTCTTTGATAGCACATCGACTGGACAAGCAGCAGTTTCTCAAAGCAATGTAGAATCTGAAACCATAGCAATGACATATTCATACTGTTACATTAAAACTCATTGTTCCGGCTGGGCGCCGTGGCTCATGCCTGTAATCCCAGCACCTTGGGAGGCTGAGGCCAGACGTATTACATGAGGCCAGGAGTTTGAGACTAGACAGGCCAACATGACAAAACCCCGCCTCTACTAAAAATACAAAAATTAGCTGGGTTTGGTGATGCACATCTCTAATTCTAGCTACTTGGGAAGCTGAGGCACAAGAATTGCTTGAACCCGGGAGGCAGAGGTTGCAGTGAACCGAGATTTTGCCACTGAACGTCAGCCTGGGTGACAGAGCAAGACTCTGTCTCAAACAACAAAACAAAACAAAAGCCATTGCTCTCTCTTGTCCCCCCACTTTTTTTTTTAAGACAGGGTTTCACTCTGTCACCCAGGCTAGGGTACAGTGGCTTGATCATAGCTCATTGCAACCTCAGACTCCTGAGCTCAAGCAATCCTCCTGTCTCAGCCTCCTTAGTAGCTGGAACTATAGGTGTGTGCCACCACACCTGGCTAATTTTTTATTTTTTAAAATAAAGATGGGGTCTTGCTATGTTGCCCAGGCCGGTCTCCAGCTCTTCGCCTCTAGTGATCCTCCCACCTCTACCTGCCAAAGTGTTGGGATTACAGGCATGAGCCACTATACTCAGCCCTGTCTTGTACCTTAAGTGAATCTTTTATGTGAGTGTAGTTCTGTAACATTATGCATTTGTCATTTGGAAAGTACTGATAGAGTTATGCAGATCATCCAATTTTTGACACATTTTGTTAGACAATATTGAAAAATCATGTGTGTTAATATCACTACTAATCTCATAAGAAAATTGTTTAAGTAAGGCTGGGCACGGTGACTCATGCCTGTAATCCCAGCACTTTGGGAGGCCGAGGTGGGTACATCACCTGAGGTCAGGAGTTCAAGACCAGCCTGGCCAACATGGTGAAACCCCATCTTTACTAAAAATACAAAAATTAGCCAGGTGTGGTGGCGTGTGCCTGTAATTCCAGTTACTCAGGAGGCTGAGGCAGGAGAATTGCTTGAACCCAGGAGGCAGAGGTTACAGTGAGCTGAGATTATGTCATTGCACTCCAGCCTGGGTGACAGAGCAAGACTCCATCTCACACAAAAAAAAAAAAAAGAAAAGAAAGGAAAAAAAAAGTGTTTAAGTACTTAGAAGCTTGTTAAGCTCACAATGGTGGATACACATTTTCCAAAATTCTAACTTTTGCTTGAAAGCTCAAATTTTATCATTGGCAACAAATGCTGTCAGTTGCTTTTATGGAGTGACAGTTTCACTTTATTTATTGTTAAGAAATGTCTGCTAAATACCAGTCGGAATAACCATAGTTTGTCAGTCTTTCAAGTAAAAATGGTGTTCTATGAAAAAAGCAGCTAGTTTGGCTGACAACTCAGACAATCACACAAGCGCTTTTCCTTAGAGAAGCCCATCATCCTTTGGTAAGCAGCAGAAGTGCTTTCTACATACTCCTCCTTTCATCACACAAAATATCAAGCATAGAAAGATATATACTGCTCACAGATTGAGAGTTAATAAAAGTATTTTTTACTGTTCCATCAAGGTCATTCATAAATGAAATGTTTTTAAATTGCAAATACATGGCAATGAAGAATACAATGCTAGCCTGGGCAACATACTGAGACACCGTCTCTACAAAAAATAAAAAAATAGCCGATGTGGTGGTACGTGCCTGTAGTTCCAGCTAATTGGAGGCTGAAGTGGGAGGATCGCTTGAGCCCAGGATGTCAAGGCTGCAGTGTCAGGGAGGAAAAACGTTTTGTCTGCACTCAGGTTCATTGATTAGAGGTCTGTGAATTAAACTGACAAAGGACAGAATAACAGGAGAAAAGGCACACAACTTTTATGAATATTTACCTGCATGAGAGTTCACAGAAAAGAACTGAAACTCAAAGAAGTCATTAGACATGGGGACTTACACAACATTTTAACAAAGGAAAGAGGGTTTGGGCATCAAGGGTGACAAATTGTGGGGAAGTGGCTAGGAAATATATGGGGGAACGAATGGACGATAGAGGTTATTTTAGTAAGGTCTGTTTATGCAAAATCATCTTGGTATTCACAAAGGGAAATTTATGCCCTGTTTTTTGCAGCTAAGAGGAAAGCAGAGAACTCATCCTGCAACTGTTGATTCCCAGTTGCATTCCACTCAAAATAGTTCTTCTGCCAAAGTGGCTTATTTTGGAGTGGCATATTTTGATCCTCTCAGGCACTACTGCCTTAACTTGTGTTGAAGCAATGACACGTTCACTCGCCATTGCTCTCAAGCAGTCAGTCAAATGATAACACATCATTTGAATGAAAAGGGCATAGAATGTCTGAGTATTACTATAAACATAGTTTTGACCTTGCAGATCTCTAAGTATCTTGGGGACCTCCAGGGTCCATAGGCCATACTTTGACAACACTGCTGTTCCGTATTGTATTACTTGTTTACTTACTTTAACCAACAAATAAATAATTTTTTCAGACAGGATCTTGCTCTGTTACCCAGACTGGTGTGCACTGGCATAATCATAACTCACTGCAGCCTTGACCTCCCGGGCTCCATTGATCCTCCTGCCTCAGCCTCCTGAGTAGCTGGGGCTACTGGTGCATGCCACCATGCCCAGCTAATTTTTGTATTTTTTGTAGAGTTGGGGTTTCACCATGTTGCCCAGGCTGATCAGAAATTCCTGGGCTCAAGTAATCCTCCCACCTGGCCTCCCAAAGTGTTCAGATTACAGGTGTGAGCCACCACACCCAAATAAACAATTTTAAAGCACCTCTTCCATGGCTCTCTACTGCTGAGTGTAAAGTACAGATGCCTTGGCCTAAGATCCAAAGCCTTAAGTGACTGGCCTTTGCCTCTTTGCCACTGGCATGTCCTCGCTCTTTATCCAAACACAGGTCAAGCCACAGAAGTTACTGGGATTCCCAGAACGTATTTGCATGCGTTTCTGTCCCTGCGTCCATCTCCATTTTCTCCCAAGCATTCTTTAAGCCCAAGTACCACAGTCAATCTCTCTGACTCCTCCAAGAAAAGGCCATTGCAGCCATGATTAGTGAAGGGCTGCAGATACACAAGTAAGGTGGGATGCACTGCAACTCACCTAGCATCCTCCCAGGGCTTACTCTGCCATAGGATCTCTGGTGCCAGACCTAAAAATGTGTGCGGAAGGAATGGAGGCAGGTGCTGGGGAGAGGGGAGGCCTGCCAGGAATTCTAGAATGCACCAAAAAAGGCCACTTCCTTCTGTTGCCAAGGTCCTGGGTCTCTATGCTTTAGGGCAAGGGTGTCTGGGGATGGTCCTTGTGAGGGGCAACTGGGGACCCTAGTGGGGCAGGCCTAGGGCTGCCAGATAAAATATAGAAAGCTTAGTTAAAATTAGATTTAAGATAACAAATACTCTTTTAGTATAAGTATATCCCAAATACTGCATAGAACCTCCTCATCCTAAAAAAAAATTCAATGTTTATCTGAAATTCAAATGTAATGGAGTCCTGTATTGTTGTTTGGTAAATCTGGCAATCCCGTGTAGGCCTTTGCTATTCAGCTCGCTGAGCAAAGTGGCCCCTCTTCACTTACCTTGCCACCTACCAGACCTGCCCAGACCTGGTCCTGGCTGCCTCCAGGCAGCACAGCCCACTGAAAGGAACCCTTTCCGTCCCAAAGCTGCCCAGAGCCTGAGAACAGAAGCAAACTGCGCGCTTGGATGGATATGGCGGATTAGGCTATGCCTTTGGAGAACTAACTCCTCTCGGAGAAGGGGGCTCTCTCTCACAGCCAGGACCTTCTGGGGTGCCTATGCGGAGACGCCCTCCTTCCTTGACCCACTTCTTCTCCCCACTCCCCGCTGATGCCCAGCCCTCTCTCTAACCTTCCTGAGTTGCTGTCTCTGCAACTCCCCCTGCCAGGACTGGCTATCAATCCCTTCAGAAACTAAAGCCCAGTCCAGCCCCTGGGAGGCCTCCTGGGTGTCTGGGATTCCCCTGGTGGGATGCGTCTGGCCTGAGGTTGGAGACAATGATGCGTTCTTCCTCCCAGCCAGTGGCTTCTCTACCAGCCAGACTGCTTTGCCTTTTCTCCTTTTAAGGACCTGAGGGCAAACTCTCCTTCCCTCTGGGAGGACTTCTTTCTTCCAAAGGTCCCAGAGGGGGGTGTGTCCTTTAGCTTGAGGCCCTCGCTTTCCTCCATTCTCATGACCTTGCCCCCTTCCCTGTGGAGGGTCTTGTTATGCTGAAGGCACCTTTCCCTCCTTCCGGACTGGCGTTCCTAGCATCCCCACGGAAACCGAAAATGCCTCCTGCAGAACCATCTGGCCACATGGCTCCAATCTGCCCTCTCTCCCACCCCCGGTTTCCCCTCCTGGAAGGGGGACACAGGGAAGGAGGCTTAGGCAAGGCATCCCTGGCGTGCCTCAGTCCCTGAGGCATAATAATATAATGATTGTTGCTGTTTCATGCCACTAAGCCTTGGGGTGTTTTGTTACATAACTGTAACTGGAATGTATTTGATCACAGGCTCCATCCTGCACCAGGAGCAGCCTCGGGTTCGCGTGTGTGGGAGCTGCAGAATGCCTGTACAAACTTCTATACCCTCCCCATGTCCCTTTGCACAAACAGCCCCCATTGGCCATCCTTTGGGCCTAGAAGTTCATATCCTGCTGCCTGTTCATGTCCTGGGAAGCAACGTGGGTTGGAGGCCAGCTGAGCTCTGGAAAGTGGGCTTGGGGTCTAGAAGAAGGTCGTGGGCTCCACATGGGTTCAAGCCTTAGTCCCAATGGGCCGAGGAGCAGAAGAGGACCACAGTGAGGTTCTCTAAAGCATATGGCTTAGACAAGGGCCCCATGCCACAGCTAAGGGCAGTACTAGCTGAGCACTTCATATCTTTCATCTCTTGTTTGTTTGCTTGAGAAAGAGGATCTCCTTCTGTTGCCCATGCTGGAGTGCAGTGACTATTCACAGGCGCAATCACAGCTCACGGCAGACCCAAACTCCTGACCTCAGGTGATCCTCCCACCTCAGCCTCCCAAGTAGCTGGGACTACAGACATAAGCTACTGCACCCAGCACTATCCGTCATCGCTTGATCCTCACCCAGTCCTGTTCCATTGGGCTTATCGTCTTCATTGCCCCAGTGAGAGCACCAAGGCTCATAGAAAAGCCAGTCGCTTGCCCAGGGTCCTGGGACATATGTCTGAAGCCAAGGCCAGGAGCTCTCCATTATACCATATGGCCTCAAAGGCCCTCCTTGGTTCAAAGACACTTGATGGAGCATTTTGTAGAAACATCATCTCCTTGGCTTTGTTTAAAATCAACATCACCACCCACAGCCCCCCACCACACACACACAAAAAATATATCTGTGCACAGTGGCTCACGCCTGTAATCCTAGCACTTTGGGAGGCCGAGGCAGGCGGATTGCCTGAGCTCAGTAGTTCAAGACCAGCCTGGACAACACAGCAAAACCCCATCTCTACTAAAAATAGAAAAATATTAGCCAGGTGTGGTGGTGCATGCCTGTAGTCCTAGCTTCTTGGGAGGCTGATTCAGGAGAATTGCTTGAATCTGGGAGGCAGAGGTTGCAGTGAGCTGAGATCACATCACTGCACTTCAGCCTGGGTAACAGAGCGAGACTCTCTCCAAATAATAATAATAATAATAATAATAATAAAATAAACTTCAAAACTAAAACAACTTTAGGCTAACTGGGAAAACTGAAATAGGAAGACCTCGCCTTGACCCTAGGGAATGAAGCCAAAACTCAGAGGGCTGGAGGTATCCAGCTGCCTAGCTGCTGTCCAGCTAGGAGCACAGTTTCTTTGGAGGTCCCCAAACCATGCTGGTGGAGCCTCATCTATCTCTTTAGCTCCCCATCAAAGGGATCACTTTATCAGCTGCACAGTCTTTAAGCCCAACGTCCACAGCAGGACTCTCTTTTAAAACAGTTTGGCCTTGAGAGAGGCAGTCCGCTTGTTATCTATGTTTTGTTTTGTGTTGGCTTCCTGGCGAGTTATCAGGGAGACTTTGGTTTCTTTGTCTTCTGTTATCTCCCTGCTGGGTTTCAAAGCTGCCCTCTGAGCTGCTGTCAGCCTGAGCTGTGTCTTCCCCTGCAGGGACAGAGAGCCGGAGGTGGAAGGGGCCACAACTCTACCAGAGCCTTCCCTTCCAGCTGTTGTCTCCTGGGCGCCCACCCCCAGTGCCTGGAACTTGCCAGCTCTCATCAAGGCTGGCTAGGTGTCACTTGTGGCTTCTCCAGGGGCATATAACATCAAGAGAGTGGGCCTCATAGGGCCAAGATCAGGGGAAAGGAGGGGGGTTTGAAACACCCTTTACAAAAATTATAACTAAGGAAATTATGACAGTGAAAGAGATCAGACCTAACTGACTCCATCTTGCTTCTAACCTTTAAGTTGTCCTGGTTCATTCCTGGACATAGACAGAACTAACTTTGGGAAGGAATTCAGTTTATGGTTTGACTCGGAAACAAAATTGATAATAGACCTTTCCTGAAAAGACCCCCTTCTTGCCTAGGACCCGCCTTTGCACAACTAACAAATTAGCTACAAGATGAGAAGCTGTGGTTTAGGGGTCATGCAGCCTCTGGCTCCAAGAGTCTGAACCTCCCCAAATTGCTCCTGTGGATAATATCACTATTGTAAAACCTAGATCAGCGCTTGAGATATTTTGCAGACCCTGCACTGGATGGATCAACTGATACCACCCAGACTGGTAATCTGGCTCAACCAGTTCTGCCATCCTACCCAGGAACAGAAGACAGCAAGAAAACATCACTTAAATCCCCTATTCAATCCATCTCCAACCTAACCAATCAGCACTCCCCGCCTCCCAAGCTCTTACCCACCAAATTATCTTTTAAGACTCTGATCCCCATATGCTTGGGAAGACTGATCTGAATAATAATAAAACTCTGGTTTCACCCACAGCTGGCTCTGTGTGAATTACTCTTTCTCCATTGCAGTTCCCCTGTCTTGATAAATCGGCTCTATCTAGGCAGTGGGCAAGGTGAACCCATTGGGCAGTTACATGTTCACAGAGCAGCCACTTTCTTTAAAATTGAGGGGCTGAGAGTGGTGGCTCATGCCTGTAATCCCAGCATCTTGGGAGGCCGAGGCAGGTGGATTACCTGAGGGCAGGAGTTTGAGACCAGCCTGGCCAACATGGTGAAACCCCGTCGCTACTAAAAATGCAAAAAAATTATCTGGGCATGGTGGCAGTGCTTGTAATCCCAGCCACTCCAGAGGCTGAGGCAGGAGAATCACTTGAACCCGAGAGGTGGAGGTTGCAGTGAGCTGAGGTCACGCCATTGCACTCCAGCCTGGGCAACAAGAGCGAAACTCTGTCTTGAAAAATAAATAAATAAAATAAACTTGGGGAAACCAACATAGACTTGTCACTTTACCTTTATATGTTTGTTTGCCAACTACAATACAAAAAGCAACTTATGGCCGGGCACGGTGGCTCACGCCTGTAATCCCAGCACTTTGGGAGGCTGAGGCGGGTGGATCATAAGGTCAGGAGATCGAGACCATCCTGGCTAACAAGGTGAAACCCCGTCTCTACTAAAAATACAAAAAATTAGCCGGGCGCGGTGGCGGGCGCCTGTAGTCCCAGCTACTGGGGAGGCTGAGGCAGGAGAATGGCGTGAACCCGGGAAGCGGAGCTTGCAGTGAGCCGAGATTGCGCCACTGCAGTCCGCAGTCCGGCCTGGGCGACAGAGCGAGACTCCGTCTCAAAAAAAAAAAAAAAAAAAAAAGCAACTTATATTGCTTAAAAAGAAAGAGGATGTTTTAACTCCCAGTGAATAGGAAGAAGCCCTTTGACCCTGAAGTCCTGTGAAGGGAAACAGGCTTAGAAAAGTTGGCCCTCCTCAGGAGATTGCCAAGTAGTTTAAGGTTTGGGGGAAATTAAACTCTTCCCAGTTTGGGGGATGCATCTGAGGGGAGTATCCTGGGGCATAGTGATGCAATTACCCGTCAGTGAAAAGAAGACAAAGGAGGAAAAAAGGAAACAGCTCTTTTTTTCTTTCTCCAGAGTCTGAGGCTCAAAGGAATTCCAGTGATTTAGGATGCACTCGTGAGGAGTGCAGGCGGAAAATGATTGGTTACCCATCTGGAAAGGGGAAAAACATGTCCCTTTGTTCCTTTCTCTTTCCAGTGAATACCCAGGGTACATAAGGAAGATAAAAAAAGGCATCCCTTTCTTTCTTCTGATCTTATATCCCCAAGTTGCAGAAACTTTGCAGGTGCCACCCATGGGTGCAAGTGTGACCTTCACCCATGTAGCAGGGAGGCCTAATGGGTAGGGATATTCGCACTTACCTATGTGCCACCCTATCCTCCTGCTGTTGGTAACCTTTGGGTTCCCTATACCTTCTCTATGCCATGGATGTGAGCATGACTTCCATCCATGAAGCAGGAGGGCCTAGTTGGCAGGAATTAGTCATGCTCACCTGCGCTGTGCCTCCTTCCTGAGGTCAAGCTTCTCCGCCCTGCAGAACATAATTTGGCCACAGCTTTGTGCAAAGGAATATGAGATGTCTTTTCTGTGTCTCATGGTGCTTGGCACTACATTGGCAACCAAGGAAATGACAGGGACATTTTTGCCATGAATTTACTTGCAGATACCAAGGCACACTTTACCTCATCTGTGCTACTCTTAACCTTCCAGTTTATACTTTTGATGATTAAGCCAAATGCTCATTCTACCCAGTAATATCTGTGGTTTGCAACAACATCCTTAACATTTAACACTGTATATAAAGAAGAGATAGGAACCATGAGAGCCATGAAAGAAAGAAAGAAAAGAACAATAGGAAAGACTGGAGGTCCTAGGGCCGACACCCTTATGGGCAGTTGGGGCCTGGAGTTAGTCAAGGAGCCTTTGGATAACACCAAGATGTGGCCTTGGTGAGATACCCTCAGTTGCCCCAGGACCTCCTTCTGGTCCCATGCGATGGCTAGACCTCCATGAAGGGAAACTAGATTGGAACAAAGCCAACATTCCCAACACCCGAAGGTGATGGGGGATTGACATTGTCCTCCCCAGCAAGCCTGTCCTCCATTTCTTAAGTCTGGCAGCTGTGCTAGTTGCTTTTAATTGGCTGACAGAGGCCTGGTATTTTTTCTTTCATTTTGGCTACTGTGGAGTCTGAAAAAAGGACAGAATGAGCAGATCCAGCCAGGCACAGCAGCTCATGCCTGTAATCCCAGCACTTTGGGAGGTCAAGGCAGGCAAATCACTTGAGGTCTGAAGTTCGAGACCAGCCTGGCCAACATGGTGAAACCCCACCTCTACTAAAAATACAAAAATTATTCTAGGTGTTATGGCACATGCCTGTAATTCCAGCTACTTGGGAGGCTGAGGCAGGACAATCACTTGAACCTGGAAGATGGAGGCTGCAGTGAGCCAAGATCACACCACTGCACTCCAGCTTGGGTGACAGAGTGAGACTCCATCTCAAAAAAAAAAAGAAAAAAGTAAGAAAGAAAAGATCCACTTTTATTCACCCTTCCACAGATCCTGGATGAGCCCCCAAAATGTTACAGGATCCTTGGGGTGTCACTTTGCCAGCTGGAAACCTCTGTGGCCAGTGGCACCTTTGCCCGAGTTTTTCTCTGGCCTGCTGGGCTCATTCTGCCCACTCACACTGGCAGGCTGCTCTTGGCTCACGCTACCGGCCTGGATCCCACACCTGCCAGGGGTGAGCCAGGCGTAGTGTAGTGAGGGGTATGTGAGCGAGCATGGGCTCCAACCACTGTGCACAGCCAGGCACTCTGGCTGCAGCAGGGTGAGCAGCTCCAGGTGCTGGCATGGGCAATGGCTTCCTGCAAGGCTGCAGCTGGACCAGGCATACCATAAGTAGCTACCACAGTTGATGCTGGGGAATGTTATGGTGCCCAGAAGCTTGGAGATGCCAGGAACCACAGAGCCCTAAAGGGTGTCACGGCCCTGGTTTGGGGAGCTCCTAGGTCTAGGCTCCCTGAAGGGCTGTAGCTCTTCTCTCCTTCTCTCTTCTCTCCTTCTTGTCATGTACAACATGGTGAGCAAGGGGCATGTTTCAGCCCTGTTTGTGTTGTAGCTCTTTTAGCCCTGTCATTTGGCAGGTCCCAAGTTCTTGTCCTGCATCCAGGAAGAATGAGGTATGCAGACAAGCGAAGGGTGAGCAAGATGAAGAGAAGCTTTATTGAGTGACAGAACAGCTTAGAGGAGACCTGAAATAGGTAGCTCCTTTCTGTAGCCAGGGTGTCCCAATGAGTGTTCAGCTCTCAGGAGAGACGGTAGCTCCTCTCTGCAGCTGGTCATCATGTTGTCTCTTCAGCTCTCAGCAGAGAGGGTAGCTCCTCTCTGCAGCTGGTTGTCCCATCATCTTCTCAAGTCTGGCTGAGTCCAGGGCTTTTATGGGCCTCAGAGGGGAGGAAGCGCATGTCAGTTGGTCCATGGGAAACCATGTGCAGCCCCAGAAAAAGCATCACAAGTTCCCACTCTGGTTTGTGGGACCAGCAGTGTAGTCCCCAGCTACAGGCCCTCGCCAGCTTCAAGGTGAGGCTTCACTGGGGAACTTTTCCTTTCTGCCCAGGAGCCTGTCTCCTGCCTCTGTTCATGATGTCCAGGCTGTTCATACCAAAGGGCACCTGGAGGCCAGTGCCAAGCTGCCCTCAGCACCCCCTTGGCCTCCCTCTGGTGCTTGCTGGTGCCCAAAGTCAGGAGGGGGCTAAGGTGGCAGGGGGCTGGCGTGTTAACACTGCCCTGAGTGTACACACACATGGCTGGGTTGCGACAGTGCCCAGGCTTGGCCCCAACCTTGCTCTGAGATCGGAGCAGTTGCCAGGAGTTGACAGAGATCAGGCAGTGAGATAAGACACCTCAGAGCCTGCAGGGGGAAGGGGGTGGCCTTCCTAGGGCTCCAAAAGTGCAGAGAGGCCTGGGTCCACAGCTGCAGCTGAGTGGCTGCAGCTGCTCCTTGGGAGGGTGGGGCTTCTACCTGCTCCCAGCCCCCAAAAGCACAGGGAGGCCTGGGTCCACAGCTGTGACTTGGGTGGCCACAGCCACGCCCAGGAATGCCAGGCCCCTGTCTGCTCCTGGCTCTCACTGGCTCCTTGGAGTGTGGCACTGGCCTGGGCCCAGCTCCATATCAGGGCCCCTTTCTGCCCACCCCTCCATGCTCAATTACACTGCTCCCCCGTCAGTGGGTGACTCAGCCCAGCCTCATCACAGTGGCTCCCAGGGCAGTGGACTCTAGGGGGCTCCCAGGGACAGGCTCCAGGGAGTGCCTGCCTGCCTCCTGTCTGCATTTTCCCTGCAGCAGTCATGGGCAAGGTGCAGGTGGTGCTGTAGCCCCAGTCAACCCCACACAAACAAACCAAATGCTCTTGGGGCTGGCCCCAAGAGTCCCCAACTGTGCCCTTGGCCAGGCGTGCAAGATTGTGACCACGGTGGAGACTCTGGGTCTGGGAGCAGGTTCTGCCCAGCCATGAGAGGATGGGGGTGGTGCAGCTGACTGCCTCAGGGATGCAGGGCACAGGGGACATGGGGCACAGGAGTCCCACTACTGCCACTGCTGCTCCCACAGCTGCTCCTGCCACCACCGCCCATGCCTCCCTACTGCAGCCAGTGTGATGGCAGCAGCCACTTTAGACGGCCCCCTGCTGCCATCAAAAGCAGAGGCCAGGCACCGTGGCTCATGCCTGTAATCCCAGCACTTTGGGAGGCTGAGGCAGGCAAATCATGAGGTCAGCAGTTCAAGACCAGCATGGCCAACATGGTGAAACCCCATCTCTACTAAAAATACAAAAAATTAGCTGGGTGTAGTGGCAGGAGCCTGTAATTCCAGCTATTCGGGAGGCTGAGGCAGGAGAATCGCTTGAACCCTGGAGGCGGAGGTTGCAGTGAGCTGAGATCGTGCCACTACACTCCAGGCCAGGCAACAGAGCCAGACTCCATCTCAAAAAAAAAAAAAAAAAAAAAAGCACAGCAGAATTTTTTAAGAACATTGTTCTGTTCTAAAAAAAATTGTAAAGGGTTATAAAAGGTTTATAAGAATCTTACCTTGGCTGGGCACGGTGGCTCACGCCTGCAATCCCATCACTTTGGGAGGCCGAGGTGGGTGGATCACGAGGTCAGGAAATCGAGTCCATCCTGGCGAACATGGTGAAACCCCGTCTCTACTAAAAAATACAAAATAAATTAGCCAGGCATGGTAACGGGTGCCTGTAGTCCCAGCTACTCGGGAGGCTGAGGCAGGAGAATGGTGTGAACCTGGGAGGCAGAGCTTGCAGTGAGCCAAGATCACGCCACTGCACTCCAGCCTGGGTGACAGAGTGAGACTCTGTCTCAAAAAAAAAAAAAAAAAAAAAAGAATCTTACCTTATGGTCAAGCTAATTAAAACTGGATACACTTATAGAATTTTATTAAAAACTAGCTTTAGCATTAAAGATGCACTAATGCATACATGAAATTTAGTTTTTTTTTTTGTTTGAAAAAGATTTTTATGTAACATTAAGAGACAATGAAAGATTTTTGTTTGTCTTTTAAGTGAACTACAAAAAGCACTGGTGGGAGGGGAGAGAGAAGAGACAGAGTCAGTTGGCCTCATGTCTTCATTGGGTATTGTTTATAAAGCTGAATCTCCTCTCTATCAGAATAAAGATTTTTCCTTAAAAAAACCAAAAAAACAAAAAAGAAACTTTTTTTGAGATGAAGTCTTGCTCTGTCACCCAGGCTGGAGTGCAGTGGCACAATCTTGGCTCACTACAACCTCTGCCTCCTGGGTTCAAGAGATTCCCCTGCCTTAGCCTCCCTAGTATCTGGGATTACAGGCCCATGCCACCATGCCCAGCTAATTTTTGTATTAGTAGAGACAGGGTTTTGGCATGTTGGCCAGGCTGGTCTTGAATTCCTGATCTCAAGAGATCTACCCACCTTGGCCTTCCAAAGTGCTGGGATTACAGGGTGAGCCACAGTACCCAGGCTAAAAAATTTTTGAGTTATTATTTTGGTTAAATGAATGACTTATGGTAACCTAGGATTCTATTTTGTAATATCCAATGTTTTAAGCCTTTGATATTTAACAAACCTTTCAAAATCAAGCTCTAAGTTAAAAAGAGAAAAAAATTAGGTGCCCTGAAGTCCAAAAAGACATATTCAGCTTATTTAATGTATTAATACCATGCAGGAAACATTGTCAAATATAAAATGGTGTTTAACTTTCTTTGGGTTATATTTATATAAATTTGTTTTTAGTATGTGTTGCAAAATTGTATAGGGTTCCTGTAATTCTGATATGCTACAGTATATGTTATTAATAATTATAATTGTTGTGTTGAATTATTGTGTGCCACAGAGGTAACAAATTTCCTTGTCAACTGTGTCTTTGACTGTGGCTTCCCTAAATGCTTTTGTCATCCACAGTCAATTGCTGTCTTTCCTTGGTCCTCTTTAGAAAGTGGTTTTATAATCAGCTATTAAATGTTGACAGGTGCTCTTGAATGAAAGTTTCTGATAACTATGGAGATTATTATTATTATTATTATTATTATTTGAGACGGAGTTTTGCTCTTTTTGCCCTGGCTGGAGTGCAGTGGCGCGATTTTGGCTCACTGCAACCTCCGCCTCCTGAGTTCAAGGGATTCTCCTGCCTTAACCTCCTGAGTAGCTTGAGATTACAGGCGCCCACCACCATGTCTGGCTAATTTTTTGTATTTTTAGTAGAAATGGGGTTTCAACATGTTGGCCAGGCTGGTCTCGAACTCCTGACCTCAGGTGATCCATCCGCCTTGGCCTCCTAAAGTGCAGGGATTACAGGCATTACCCACTGTGCCCAGTCACTATAGAGATTATTACATTACAATAAAGAAAAAAACTTTCAGGACTCTCATGGAGAGCTGAAATGTTCATGAATATCAAGCAGAACAGGAGTTAACTGAATAGACTCAACCAATAGAAAATTAAAGCAATTTTTTTTTTTTTTGCTTAAAAGATTGCTGATCCTTTTTGTTTCTCAGAGTTAAGAAAACTTTTCTTTTGAGCTATTTTCAGCTTTTAACAATTGAGTAAAGTATATTCCTGTGAACAAAATTTGAAGCATATTTGTTTCTCTTTACCCGATTTCTCCAGATTTTGGAAACTATTTGTGAGTATTCTTAACTTAATGGCAATATAGTTATTTGCATAAGTACAATAAGAATGTTTTCTTTTGCAACAGGACACAGTTGGAGAAACTGGTTATTTTACCAAAACTTTGACTGGAATGACGTGCTTTCCTTTAAGGAATTAAACTTGACTTATAGAGCCAATAAAATCCCCTTGGGAAAACTGGCCTCATACCTTGTCTACACAGTCCCTGTACAGGGTTCCTGATTTGTGATAAGTAAAGAATGTCACTTTCTGAGAGTCCCAGGAGCCCCGAGTTATCTTGGGACCTCAAGAGGAGAGGAATTTACCCAACTCATAGGCATTTGAGGGTACAAACCCATGGCTGGTCTCAGCTTTAAAAAAGTCTTATCTGAGATTCTTTTGGAACACAGTTCCTTCAAAGCCAATTTTTTAAAATTTATTTTTATTTATTAATTATTTTGAGGTGGAGTTTTGCGCTTGTCACCCAGGCTGGAGTGCAATGGCACAATCTCAGGTCACTGCAACCTCTACCTCCCAGGTTCAAACGATTCTCCTGCTTTAGCCTCCTGAGTAGCTGGGATTCCAGGTTCCTGCCACCACGCCTGCAAAGCCAATTTTAAAAGCCTATGTGAGGCCAGGCACAGTGGCTCATGCCTGTAATCCTAATCCCAGCACTTTGGGAGGCCGAGGTGGGTGGATCACGAGGTCAGGAGTTTGAGACCAGCCTGGCCAACATGGTGAAACCCCGTCTCTATTAAAAATACAAAAAAATTAGCTGGGCATGGTGGTGGGCACCTGTAATCCCAGCTACTTGGGAGGCCTAGGCAAGGAGAATCACTTGAACCTGGGAGGCAGAGGTTGCAGTGAGCCGAGACCGCACCATTGCACTCCAGCCTGGGAGACAGTGTGAGACTCTGTCTCAAAAAAAAAAAAAAAAAAAGCCTGATGTGAAAAATAATTATTCTTGCTGTGCCTTATGCAAATAATCAGACCAAGTATAATACAACTAAAGTTTATTTTCCAAACAAATCAGTCCTATTATAATTTGTTTTTAATAAAAATAAGGACTGCAGAGAGAAAAATTATGTTCCAAAAACTACAGTATACTTATTGTTAGTTGTTTTTGAGTTTTTATTTGTATTTTTCTTCAATTTAGACTAAATCCTGAATGTTTTTTGGACTACAAGTCCCCAAACTAATGCTTTCAAATCTTTACTTCTAAAACGGGGAATTGCACTCCTTATCCTAGAACTCATTATTTGCCTTATAGTACACTGTCAATTTAAATGCTGTACTGAAACTATAGATGATGAAGCCACCATGGCAAAATTATAACTGAGACAGTGAAAGAGATCTGAGCTAACCAAGTCCATCTTGCTTCTAACCTCCAAGCTGTCCTTATTCATTCATGGGCGTAGGCTGAACTGACTTTGGGAAGAATTTGGTTTATAGTTTATAGTTTAAAACAAAGATGATGACAGACTTTTCCAAAGGGAAATCCCTTTCTTGCCTGGGGACCAGACTGCCTTTGTAGGACTAACAAATTAGCCACAAGATTAGAAATTATGGTTTAGGAGTCATGCTGCTGGAGGCTATAAGATTCTGACCCTCCCTAAACTGCTCCTAAGATCGGTGCTTGAGATATTTTACAGACCTAGGACTTGATGATCAGCTGGCACCACCCACATCCATAAACTGGCTCATCTGATCTTGTGGTCCCCACCCAGGAACTGACTCAGTGCAACAACTGTCTCTGACCTGACCAATCAGCACCCCAGTGCTGGCTCATTGGCTTCTCCCCACCCACCAAGTTGTCCTTAAAAACTCTGATCCTGGAATGCTCTGGGAGACTGATTTAAGTAATAAAACTTCAGTCTCCTACACAGCTCACTCTGTGTGAATTACTCTTTCTCTATTGCAATTCCCCTGTTTTGACAAATCAGCTCTGTCTAGGCAGTGGGCAAGGTGAACCCATTGAGAGGTTACAATGAGAATAGTAACACCTTTGTCATGAAAGCCCCAGAACCCCAGCTCAGTATGCTGAGTATGTGGGAGTATGCTCAGACAGCTCAGACAGCTGCAAAGCAGTTCCATTCCTCTCACCTTGGGGTCAACACCTACCCGTTCCATGCCCCCTGTCAGCAGGAAGAATCCAGAGCGATTGACAACCTTTTCCCATCTTCATAGCCCACACCTTAAGAATAAGATACTATGAAACCAAAAGGGGGGGATTGAAACTGCCTTTGCAAAAATTATAACTGAGGAAATTATGACAGCAAAAGAGATCAGACCTAACTGACTCTATCTTGCTTCTAACCTTTAAGCTGTCCTGGTTCATTCCTGAGTATAGGCTGAACTAACTTTGGGAAGGAATTCAGTTCATGGCTTGACTCTGAAACAAAATTGGTAACAGCCCTTTCCCGAAAAGACCCCCTTCTTGCCTGGGGACCAGTCTGCCTTTGCAGGACTAACAATTAGCTACAAGATTAGAAATTATGGTTTAAAGATGGGTGCAGTGGCTCACTTCTGTAATCCCAGCACTTTGGGAGGCTGAGGCAGGTGGATCACTTGAGGTCAGGAGTTCAAGACCAGCCTGGCCAACATGGTGAAACCCCATCTCTACTAAAAGTACAAAAATCAGCTGGGTGTAGTGGTACACATCAATAGTCCCAGCTACCCTGGAGGCTGAGGCAGGAGAATCACTTGAACCCAGGAGGTGGAGGTTGAAGTGAGCTGAGATTGTGTCATTGCACTCCAGCCTGGGTGACAGAGGGAGGCTCTGTCTCAAAAAAAAAAAAAAAAAAAGATTGTGTTCTCTACTCCCAGCCCCACCCTCTCCCAAAAAAGGACAGCTGGCAACCTCGCATGATTCCCAAAGCCTGGGCTACACTGGCCACTGGGCAGATATTAAGACCCAGATCTGAGGAAAGGAGGTTCTTGGAATCTCACAGGGCTGCCTGGTCCTCACACGCATCAGGCTGTTTGCTCACCGTGCTTCCCGTGGCACACTCACACTCACACTCATCATTCACACTCAGGTCAGGCATCTCCTCCTTCCAGCAGGGCTGGCTTCATGGGATGAGAGCTGTGAGGTCACACAGAGCCCTGTGCTCAGTAGGGCCCTGTGCTTAGTTTAATCCTCTGCTGCTGACATCTTGAAATCTGAATAAGAAGCCTTGCACTTTCGTTTTACACTGGGCCATACAAATAATGTAACATACTTCCATAACATCTTTTTCTTTTTTAAAGAATTTTATTAACCATACTATTCCTTGCAAAGCAGGGTGAATTCATAGGCAGTGTGCCCAGAGTTGGCCCATAATATCTTTCTGATGTCACCTCTCAATCTAAGTTGAATCTGGTGCCTCTCCTGGGCTCACACAGCCCCCCTGCTCACTCCCCTCCCTAACAGCCCTGATCCCTCTAAACTGTAAGCCTTTACTCACTTATCTCTCTACCCTCTAGACTGAGCTCCTTGAGGGCTGGGGCAGTCTATCTGTACAACACCATACTTAACACACAGTAAGTACTCATTAAATGTGTGCTGAAATGAACAGAAATAGGAAGGCCTGGTCCAGTTCCCTACATGATTCTGGCCAGAGCAGGGTTTAAACCCATGTCTCTTACTTTAGGGCAAAGACAACCCTTGCTACCCTCTCACTCTCCTGATCGATAGCCAAAGGCTAAAATCAACCCAGATCAAAGCCAAATATAAATTTGTTTTTCTGACCTAGGGCCCAAATTAATGCATTTTGTTTTTCTCAAAGGTACTCTGTTGTTTTCTAGAACAGTTCAAGCCAACTAATCCAAAAATCTTAACACTCAAGGGGGAGTGGGGGCCCTGCTGGGTCACAGGGGGTTCAAACTGGTTCCAGAGGAACTGGTGAGCTGTGGGCAGTCCACATTCTTATGTGTGTGGGGGGGCAGAGGTTGGGGGGTTCAGTGGGGAATGCTGAGGCTGGATTTTACAGGGGTCAGAAAAGGAAGGGAGGATATGGCTTATACTAGTTCTGCCAAATCTACCATGTAACCTCCTTACAGCCATTCATTCATTCATTCACTCACTCATTCATCCATTCAAACAGGGGATGAGGAGGGTGTGCCAAGCACCAGAAAGGAAGGGCACAGGTCTGCTTTCTAGAGCTGCAGTCTCCATGAAAGAGTTTTTGAAGGATGGAATGACCAGGCCTGGGCAAACTGACTTCTGGACAATTCTGGAGTGTGGGTACAGATGATCAGTGCTTGGCTGGTCAGAAAAGGGAAAGCCAGGAATGTGGGGGAGGTGAAAACAAAATGTTTCTATTCTCTAAATTCACAAAAGGGCAGGGAAGGGAGCGGCCAGGCTCAGTGGCTCAAGTCTGTAGTCCCAGCCTTTTGGGAGGTGGCCAAGGTTGGAGGATTGCTTGAGGACAGGAGTTCAAGACCAGCCTGGGCAACATAGCAAGACCCTGTCTCTACCAAAAATACATAAATTAGCAGGGTGTGGTGGCACATGCCTGCAGTCCCAGCTACTATACTCAGGAGGCCGAGTTGGGAGGACTGCTTGAGCCCAGGAGTTTGAGGCTGCAGTGAGCCATGATCGTGCCACTGCACTCCAGCCTGGGTGACAGAGCCAGACTCTGTCTTTTAAAAGCAAGTAAAAAGGCGGGGGGTGGGGGACTGTTTTGAGAACTAGTCTGAAGCCAGGAACAAGTCACACAGACTTATTTTCAACCTGGTCCAATCAGTCATTGATCACGTTACTTCAGTCCCCTGAGAGCCAACCAATCAGCAACAGCTTCATTCCAGGGACCATGCTTCTGAGAGCCAGCCAATCAGCAAGGGTCTTACTCCAGTGATTTGCTTCTGAAAGTCAGCCAATCCCTAACTGCCAAGACTGAAAGTCAGCCAATCTGCACACAGTCCAACTTTTGAAAATCAGCGAATTGCTGAATGCCATGCTTTCCATACCCTATATAATATCAGCTCTAGGGTTGCTTTGGATCTGGGGTTTTTGTAAGTAAAGTTAGATTTTTTTTTTTCGGTACTGCAAGTACTGAATTCAGCCTCATTGTCTCTGAAATATATCCTGGAGAAGGAGGACTTGAACTCTTACATGTCCCAGTGGCCCATACGGGGGTCTGTGGTACTGCCCCCTCCCCCCACACACCCCCATCCCAAGGCTGGGCAGGTCCCTGGGCCCCCTGGCCACAGCCACTTCACTAGCAGTTTCAGGGCCTCCTGGCCACTTCTCTAAAATCCCATCCTGTTCTTTCTCCTGTGGTTTCCTGAGAAGTAGGGAGGGAGGCTGTGGTTAAAGAGACTGGGTGGAGGGGGTTTCTCCACAAAGCCTTCCATGGGGCCCACAGGCAAGGGGGAGGGGCTCAGTCTAAGGGGGGTACACTGAGGGGAAGACACAGCCTGCTCTCCAAGTGGCAGTCTGAGAGGGACACTGATGGATGGGGGGCACATTCCAGGGCATCACGTCTGACTGGGTAACGTAGTCTGATGGGAGAGGCAGGATGCCTAAGTGTGCCCAGGAAAACAACTCTGGTGATCCAAGGCCGCAGAGGGTCAGGTCTATCTTCTGGGGCATGTACTAAGTACTGAGGTGGGTTGGGGACGAGGATGCAGAGAGTAAGTCAGAGAAGGCTTCGTGGTGGAAGTGAAGCTTAGGGCCAGAGCGCCTCCCCCAGCCATGCTGCTGGGTCAGGGCATGGAAGAGGACAACAGGGCTCACCCCTCTTTCTTCTCCCAATCCTCTCCCGCAGTGTCCCACAGGCCAAGCCTCTGATGAGGTAAACCCAAGGCTGGAGATCCTTTCAGAAGAGAGCTCCTGTGGGCTTTGGAAGAGGGGACCCGGGTTGGCCTGGAAGAAGGGTGGGATGGGCCACTGAGAGTGGCTGGAGCAATAAACAGAATGAGGTTGCTGTGAAGGTTCCGGATCCTTTGCCGGCTCTGCCCCGTCCCACCCCTTCCCAAACACCGTCTCCACCCCTCCCCTCCCCGGCAGAACCCAGTCTTCTCTGTGCAGTGGGTACAGTACCCACCCATGCCCCCTCCCATGCCCAGCAGTCTGGCTGGGGTGCTCTGTCCTTGGCCTCTCCACCCCCACCGTCATCCCCATGCAAACCTCAAAGAGGCTGACTTGGCGTAGCATTTGCCTGCACTTACCTGTGGCTCTTCTGTTTGGAGCCAGCCAGAAACTCCTGAGTTTGGTTCCAAGGTGCTCTACCCCTCCTGCCTGCGGGAGGACTAGGTTCCTCAATCCTTCTCCTGAGGTCAGGCTGGGACTAGAGTGAGGCAAGCAAGGTGCCTAGGGCAAAATTTTAAGGAGGCTTGCCCTCCCAGGTGCACCTGAATGGCCCTGAGGGCCAGTGCCCCCTTAAATTGTGGGCCCTTAGGTGCCTCCTTGCTTTACCCACCATGCCCCCAGCCAGCCCTGACCCTGCTGGGTGTTCTGGCCTCGAGAGTCTGAAATCTTATAAAATATGCCCTAAAAGCTGGTAGTCCGGAGTCCTTGGGCTGGCCTGGGCAGCCAGGTGCCTGTCCTCCCCATCTCCTGCCCTTAGCCCTTTTGGGAGAGGAAGCCAGAAGTGCTGAAGCCTGGGGCGGCTGGGACTGCGAGATCGGTATAAGGATGGGGGACCTCCACCCTCAAGGAACTGAAAACCATGTGGAAGGAACAGAATGGTCTGCCCGCAGGGGAAACCAAGCAAACCAGGCCTTTGATTGGGACCAAAGACAGATGTGAAACCCAGGACTCTGAGCTGACCTTGACTCCACCGAGCTCTGCCCTGGGGATCACCGGGCACCTCCAAGAGAGATCTGAATGGCTCTGGGAGATGCCAGGCTGAAACAGGGGACTTAGGTCCCAGGTCTCTGATGGAAATTAGCTGTGGAAGGGGACAGGTGTGAGCACCAGGAAAGATAAGGCAGTAAGGGACCCTGCCTGTGTGTGTCAGGAGCAGGGATCTGAGAGGGGTCTCCCACATCTCCATGCCCAGGCCTCAGTACTTGGGGGGGTCCCTGGGGCAACCCTCCCCCTATCTCGGCCACTGGGGCTGGGGCCTGTGCCCTGGGTCCTCTCTGCAGGTAGCATGGTCATGCCAGAGCCCTTGGGCATCCTTTCAAAACTTACCTTGAGCCAGGAGCCTCCCTGTTGAGATCTTTGTCTAATTGGGTCTTGGGGTGTCCCTTGGAGAGGTACCATAAGCCGAGATAGCCGCTCTCTAAGGGGCGAGGGGAGTTAGGGTTGGGCGTGTGTCAGGTGAGACACATGGAATAACAGGAGCCTTTCATTACTCACAGATCCATGAGAGAAGCCAGCGCCGATGAGGGCCAACAGGAATCCCGGAGACAGCAGGGTGTTCAAGTAGCAGGTAGAGAGTGAGAGAGAGAGGGGACCTGTGGGACCAAGGCCTTTATGGGGTCCAGGGCGTCACCCAGGCAGGTTTCCTGAGGGGAGTAATAATTGGGTTTAGGCCAGGTGCCGGTGGCTCACGCCTGTACTTTGGGAGGCCGAGGCGGGTGGATCACGAGGTCAAGAGATTGAGACCATCCTGGAAAACATTGTGAAACCCCGTCTCTACTAAAAATACAAAAATTAGCTGGGCGTGGTGGTGCGCACCTGTAGTCCCAGCTACTCAGGAGGCTGAGGCAGGAGAATGGCTTGAACCCGGGAGGCGGAGCTTGCAGTGAGCCAGGATTGCGCCACTGCACTCCAGCCTGGGTGACAGAGCGAGACTCCATCTCAAAAATAAATAAATAAAATAAAATAAAATAAAATAAAATAAAATAAAATAATTGGTGAGTTTAGAGCAAGCAGGGTCACGCTATGGCTGAGAGAGGGTCACTGGCCTATCTGCAACAGTCCATGCGGGCTGTGGGGTCAGCGGGACCAGTCAAGTGGGCTGTATGTAGCTGTCCCACAGGGAGGCAGTCACCGGGAGATGACTGTCTAAGGTAGATATCTGGATTGAGCACATAGAGGAACTGGGAGGAAGCAGGGAGCTGGAAACAGTGTCAAGGTTGACTGAGCCCTGCTTCTAATGTAAGAAAGTCCAGATTATATTCAAAACGGATGCCAGGGCAACATTAAAGTACAGGAATTCACTACACTCCCTCTGTGCCTGGGTCACTGTTTATGGTCCTCAGGAGGGGGGGCCCTGCTCATTGGCCTCTTCTGGTACTCGGGTGGGGTTGGGGTGGTCTGTAGCCCCATGAGGGCAGGATGGGGGCAAACCAAGTGTAGGGCGAGCATCCCCCTATGTCTTGGGAGGTACTGAGCTAGAGCTACAATGTGTGGATGGGGGGTGCTCCCCAATTAGTCTAGGCTGCGCCTTCTGCATTCCATTCTCTGCATGTCTGGAAGGCCTGAGCTCATGGGACAGACCCCACCCTGGCACCTGGTGGGCGGGGCATTGCTTTCAAGAGGTCACCTTTGTTTGGGAAAGGAAAAAACAAAGACGACATAGCTGGCTGGCGATTCTGAGTCTCACCTCCCAGGGTGTGGAGTGAGCCCAAACTCCTTGCCTCCCACATCTCCCCTGCCACCTTTCCCAGGGCCGGGAAACCCCCAGGAGGATCGAGACTCAGCTTCCACCCAACCCCTAGAAGACCTCTAATGGTCAGGCCTCCAGCCTTGGCTTGCATCCCTCCAGTGATGGGTAGCTCACTGCCCCCCAGAGAGTATTAGGTCATTAAAACAAAAACAAAAACAAAAACAGATTTTGGAGGTGGAACTGAGAGGCAGTGGCCTGGGGAAGCTGGAAGGACTGGATCATGAGCCAGAATTGCTAGGGCAGACACCACACCACTGACCCCACACCTGGAACAGTGTCTGGGGCTATGTCAGCTAATGGGGTAAGGTTCCAGGGAGGCAGATTCCAGCTCAATAAGAAGGGCCAGGCCGGGTGCGGTGGCTCACACCTGTAATCCCAGCACTTTGGGAGGCCAAGGCGGGAGAATCACGAGGTCAGGAGATCAAGACCATCCTGGCTAACATGGTGAAACCCCGTCTCTACTAAAAAAAAAAAAATACAAAAAAAATTAGCTGGGCATAGTGGTGGGCGCCTGTAGTCCCAGCTACTCAGGAGTCTGAGGCAGGAGAATGGCGTGAACCCAGGAGGCAGAGCTTGCAGTGAGCCGAGATGGCGCCACTGCACTCCAGCCTGGGCAACAGAGCGAGACTCCGTCTCAAAAAACAAAAAACAAAAAAACAAAAACAAGAAGGGCCAGCCATGGTGGCTCACCCCTGTAATCCCAGCACTTTGGGAGGCCAAGGCGGCTGGATCACTTGAGCCCAGGAGTTTGAGACCAGCCTGGACAACATGGTGAAAACCCATCTCTACAAAAAATACAAAAATTAGCTGGGTATGGTGGCGCACACCTGTAGTCCCAGCTGCTTGGGAGGCTGAGGTACGAGAAGTGCTTGAACCCAGGAGGTGGAGGTTGCAGTAAGCTGAGATTACACCACTGCACTGCAGCCTGAGTGACAGAGCAAGATCCTGTCTCAAAAAATAAAAAATGAAAAGAAGAAGGACTACAGACTTCCTCTCAGCAGAGCCAGGGGCCAGTGATAAGGTGTTTTGGGGGAGCTAATGAGTTCTTTGTCACTGGAGGAGTGCAAGTAGAGAGTAGCCCATCATCAGGACTGCCAGGGCTTCCGGAAGGTCCCCAGCTAAAGGGATAGGACCCTACCTACTCTGGAAGGATGACCAGGAAATGTATCCTGTCCCCAAATCCCAGCTGGCCTGTCTGAGATGGCTGGGGGGTGGGGGATGGGGAAGTGGAGCCTGGGGGTCACCTGCGCGTCCCACTTTCAGGAATACCCGCCTCTGGGCATCAGTAGTTTGCCCTTAGCTTCTTCCTCCAGCCACATTTCCATCTCGGCTGGTCCCCTGACTCAACCCCTTCTCACAGCCAGGTGAAGGCAGGACTGGGGTCAGATGCCAACTGTGCCTAGCATTGGATTAGGACACCCCTGTCTCCCTCAGACTCTTCAGGGCTGGACGCTGCCTACCTCTAGTGCCTTTTGGACCCAGGTGGGTGAGGCGGCCCTTCTGAGGGCCGCGGCTTGCTGCTGGGGTAAAGTGGCTGATGTCTGACAATAGACCTTCCCCTCTCGCCTGACCCTCCCAGGGAGAGTGGCTTCCCAGCCAGGCTCAGGCAGGGCCAGGCTGCTTCACAGGCAGTGGGGGTGCGCTCACAGGGAAGTGGGGTTTGGCGACACTGCCCAGGGGAGGTGTTTGGGGCCAGAAGTGGATCTCTGAGCCCTAGGACCCTACAGGTCTGCCCACTCTGGGTGTGGGGCAGCAATATGCAAGTCCCCCCTGCAGTGCCCCAGCCAGTCCTCGGGCGTCCCTTCTCCCTCTCCCTCCTGCCTGATGGCCCAGGGAAGCCAGGTCTGGACAGTCCCCAAGGAGACACCTGCCTTAAACTCCCCCCCAGGAGATGTGCCTTCCTTCTCTCAGCCTCAGTTTCCCCATTTGAACCATCTTTATGAGCCTGTCTCATGTGAACTGAGGTCTGGGAGGTTATCCTGCCAGGGCTGGGAGTAGGGTTGGAGGTGGGGAGGTCTTGGAGGCCACAGAAAGAAGGAGGCCGTCTCAGCCCTGGGAACTGACATCATGCGTGTGGCCGTCAGCCACTGGCCCAAGGGTGACAGATTCTATCCTAATAGAATAGAATAAAGCCTATCTATCTGCCTTTTATTCTCACCATGTGCTGGTAATTCTGAACAATGTCAGTGATACAATACTTCTTTCTGAAAAAGTATTTTATTGGTCAAAGTTCTAAACGATTGCATGATTACTGTGGAATGTTAATAATTTATAAAATGAGCTTCAAAGTAACACCTTTATTCTTTATTAGCAGCTTATTTTTAAATAAACATTGTATGCTATGTGAAAGTCAAATCAGAGAATGATTTCCCTGTTATACAGATTGCAGACTTAGCTGCAATCCTGTATTTGTATTTCATTTGTAATTCCTAACCAGTTCCTCCTTCCTCCCTTCTTTGCTATAGTTGCTATTTTCCAAGCCCTGTGGTACATGTCCCCATGTTTAATCAGTTGATTATAAATAAACAGTGGTAGAACACTGATTGTAAAGACAAAGACACAGAACATGAGTTCCTTCAATTCTGCCACTCTATATGACAGCTTGGAGGTTTTATCTGTGTTTGGAATTGAAAACAAATAGCGGAAACCAGGAGATGTCATGTTTTTGTTTTTGTTTTTGAGATAGAGTCTCGCTCTGTTGCCCAGGCTGGAGTGCAGTGGTGCGATCTCGGCTCACTGCAACCTCCGCCTCCCAGGTTCAAGTGATTCTCCTGCCTCAGCCACCCAAGTAGCTGGGATTACAGGTGTGCGCCACTACACCTAGTTAATTTTTGTATTTTTGGTAGAGATGGTGTTTCACCATGTTGGCCAGGCTGGTCTTGAACTCCTGACCTCTAGTGATCCACTCGCCTCAGCCTCCCAAAATTCTGGGATTACAAGCGTGAGCCACCGCCCCTGGCCATGTTTTTATTTAATAAATGCAAATTTTAGTTCATTATTGTCTTAGTCTGTTCCTTCTGCTATAAGAAAATTACCTGGCTGGGTGTGGTGCCTCACGCCTGTAATCTCAGTACTTTGGGAGGCCAAGGTGGAGAATCCCTTGAACCCAGGAAGTTGAGGCTGCAGCGAGCCATGATCACACCACTGCACTCCAGCCTGGGCAACAGAGGGAGATCCTGTCTAAAAAGAGGGGGAAAAATTATCTTAGAGTAGATTATTTATTTATTTATTTTTGAGACAGAGTTTTGCTCTTGTTGCCCAGGCTGGAGTGCAATGGCCCAATCTTAGCTCACTGCAACCTCTGCCTCCTGGGTTCAAATGATTCTCCTGCCTCAGTCTCCCAAGTAGCTGGGATTACGGGCACCCTCCACCATGCCTGGCTAATTTTTTGTATTTTTAGTAGAGAGGGGTTTCACCATGTTGGCCAGGTTGGTCTCGAACTCCTGACCTCAGGTGATCCACCTGCCTCGGCCTCCCAAAATGCTGGGATTATAGGCATGAGCCACTGCTCCCGGCCTAGAGTAGATAATTTATAAACAACAAAAATGTATTGCTCACAGATCTGGAGGCTGGGAAGTCCAAGATCAAGGCACCAGAAGATTCAGTGTCTGGTGAAGCCTGCTCTCTGCTTCCAAGATGGTGCCTTCTCATTGCATCCTCACACAGCAGAAGACACGAATGCTGTGTCCTCTCATGGTGGAAAGCCAAAAGGGACAAACAGGCTCCCTCAAGCCCTTTTATAAGGGTACTAATCCCATTCATGAGAGCAGACCCTCACAACCTCATCACTTCCCAAAGCCCCCACCTCCTAACACCATTACCCTGGGGGTTAGGTTTCAACATATGAATTTTGGGAGGACACCAATATTCAGATCATAGCAATTATGAAATATATTTGTTTCATTTCATGATACTTACTGTATAATCATGTAGAGGGAAGGGTTAAAGAATGTTCCACTGTGAGAGTCAAATGTGCTATGTGTATGCTGCTGGCTTGTACAGCTCTGCAAAAGGGGACCCAGCCAGTTCCATGCCTGGGGAGACCTTGACTCCATGAGGAGGGCTGGGGAAGTGGTCAGCCTCTCTGGTCAGAGGAATGGCCTGGGCCGGACCTCCAATCCTGGGCTTCCCAGCCCAACCATAACAACTCTCCATCTCAGCTCAATTCATCTATGAATGAGGTTCTCCAGGGATAGCCTACAGCCGCCTTATTGCACTGGGTGGAGGGGCAGAGGGACGCAATAGCTTTAGGTTAGCCCTGAGCAAATGCTGATAAGGAGCAGAAGTTCCAAGGGCACCAACTTGGGCCAGGCAGGGCAGACTGGACAGTGGCTAGAAAACTGGCAGATGCCCTCCAGCCTTACTCTGCCATCCTCTATCCTACCCTGCCCTCTCCCCTGTCATGATAGAAGGGATACAAAATATACCTCTGTGGCATAAGGATTATTTTGAGTGGGTGACATTTGAGAATCAACAGATGCAGGAAGAAACTTTTTTTTTCTTTTCCTGAACTCCCTTTATCTGCCTAAAAGCTGAGCCTCCCAAAAGAATTCAAATGTCATAAATCCCCTCCCCAGAGTTTGAGAGTTTCCCAGTCAGGGAAGATGGGCTCCTTTTATGAGACTAGAAGAGAAATCACACCAAGATAAGAGATCAACTAAACCAACATTGTCACAAAACTATCATATCTCCCATCTTTTCTCCTAAGGGTCCATTTACCTTTCCTAAAAGGCGCTTGTCTTCCCAAAAGTGTCTTTTCTCTTTTTTCCTTCCCCTATTAAGATGTTACGTCAGCCTCAAATTCTAAATCACTTTTTGAGTCACATTTTCAGTGAGTTCCTTCTTTTCTATGTGAATAAATTTTGTCTTTCAGATTAGAAATTATTAGAATAAAAAAATTAGAATAAAAATTATTCTAATTATTCTAATAATTATATAATAATTATTCTAATTATTCTAATTATTCTAATTATTCTAATAATTATTATTCTAATAATGTTGTCTTTGTGCCTATTACTAGTTTATCAGTTTAATTTGCAGGCTCTGAAGCACTGAACTGAACCTATGTGGGTAGAGGAAAAGTTTTTCCTCCCAACATGATTATTTACTCACTTACTTATCTTCTTTTTTTTTTTTTTTTGAGACAGAGTCTCACTCGGTCACCCAGGCTGGAGTGCAGTGGCGCAATCTCAGGCTCATTGCAACCCCGCCTCTTGAGTTCATGTAATTCTCCTGCCTCAGCCTCCTGAGTAGCTGGGATTACAGGCGCCTGCCACTCCACCCAGCTAATTTTTGTATTTTTAGTATAAACAGGGTTTCCCCATGTTGGCCAGGCTGGTCTTGAACTCCTGACTTCAGGTGATCCACCCACCTTGGCCTCTGAAAGTGCTGGGATTATAGGGGTGAGCCAGCGTGCCCAGCCTCCCAACATGATTAGAATAAAAATAATCCTGGCCCCAGCCACGGTGGCTCACCCCTGTAATCCCAGGACACTGGGAGGCCGAGGCAGGTGGATCACAAGGTCAGGAGATCGAGACTGTCTTGGCTAACATGGTGAAACCCTGTCTCTACTAAAAAAATGCAAAAAATCTGCTGGGCGTGGTGGTGGGCACATGCAGTCCCAGCTACTGGGGAGGCTGATCGCTCCACTGCACTCCAGCCCGGGCGACAGACTGAGACTCCATCTCAAAAAGAAAAAAAATAATAATCCTAGGTAACCTTCGTTGCACATGTGCTATATGCCAGGTCCTGTTCTAAACCTTTATATATGTTATCGAATGTATTCTTCCCAACAACCCTTTGAGATGAGTGCTATTGTTACATCCACTTTATAAATGCAAAATTGAGGTGCAAAGAGGTTAAGTCACTGGCCTAAGGCACAGAGAATAGGTGATGGAACTGGAATTTGAACCTAGTGATTTCCAGAGCTTAAGCTCTAAATTTGCACGAGGCTACAGGTGTTGTGAGTCCTGCTTCTGGCTCTGCCACCACTGGCTAGGTAACCTTGGGCCTCAGTTTCCCTGTCTTCAAAGTGAGGTGGTAAGTTCCCTCTTGGCTCTGACAGTCCTCAATCACAAGACACTGGGGCTGGCAAGGAGGACACTAACTTGAGCGTGATCTGTCTACATGGTCAGCAGAGGGAATGTCATGCTACCAGACTCCATTAGCTGCTGACTGGGGGCTTTGTACTGAAGGCCTGAGACTCAAGCATTCTACCCAGCTCTGCTACTGCCTTGCTTTGGGGCTTTGGGCCAGTTGCCTGCCCCTCCTGAGTCTCAGTGCCTTTGTCTCTCATCTGCTTGGTCCTTAGTCTATGGGAGCAGAGGAGCGGTATAAACTATATAGAGTAAACTCACAGTACAGAGTCTGTTACTGCCTGATAGTCTGTTACTGCATGAACTGTGACTCTCAAGTTCCAGTGCTACAGTGACCACAGCATCTTATCAGTTTCAACAGAAGAGGGTTGATTATTTGCATATTTATTTATTTATTTGAGATAGAGTCTCGCTGTCTCTCAGTCTGGAGTGCAGTGGCATAATCTTGGCTCACTGCAACCTCCACCTCCAGGGTTCAAGCAATTCTTATGCCTCAGCCCCCCAAGTAGCTGGGATTACAGACATGCACCACCAGGCCCAGCTAATTTTTGTATTAGTAGAGATGGGGTTTCACCATGTTGGCCAGGCTGGTCTCAAACTCCTGGCCTCAAGTGATCCGCCTGCCTCGGCCTCCCAAAGTGCTGGGATTACAGGTGTGAGCCACTGCCCCCGGCCTACAAACCTGTCTCTGTTAGCAGAATACATAATTGTCTATGCAGAAAATCACAAAGAATCTACAAAAAAGCAACTATAACTAATAAGTGAATTTAGCAAGGTTACAGGATAAAAGGTTAACCGAGAAAAATCATTATGTTTCTATATATTAGGAATGACTGATTAAAATGGGAATTTAAAAAACGGTGCCATTTTAAGTACCATAAAAAACATGAAATACTTGGCATAAATCTAACAAAACAAGGTGCCAAGTCAATTCAATGAAGAAATAACAGTCTTTTCAACAAATTTTGCTGGAAGAATTAAACATTCAATTTTTAATTTTAATTTTAATTTTATTATTTTTTGAGATGGGGTCTTGCTATGTTGCCAAGGCTGGTCTTGAACTCCTGGGTTCAAGTGTTCCACCTACCTCAGCCTCCCAAAGTGCTGGGATTATAGGTGTGTGCCACCACACCCAGCTAATTTTTGTATTTTTAGTAGAGACAGGGTTTCACCATGTTGGCCAGGCTGGTCTTGAACTCCCGGCCTCAAATGATCTGCCCACCTTGGCCTCCCAAAGTGCTGGGATTATAGGTGAGCCACTGCGCCTGGCCTAATTTGCACATTTATCAGAACTACAGCCAGATTTGAGAGGTTTGTGGAGCCAACATATGCATTAATCCTATCAAGATCAACAAGTTTAGCTACTTTGCATATAACCAATCATGTGAAGAAATGAATGGCAACAGCCCTAGGGAACCTGTGGCATAATCTGAGATATTATATAGATATAATTTTTTTTGGATATAATATTTCTATATAGTATTTTTTATATATGATATATAACATATTATGTATATACATCAATAGTATATATGTATGTCTTTGTCTCAGGTTCCTGGCACAGAGCTCCTGAAACCCTTGGTGTTTTCTCAGTAATAGAAGTGTGTTTTGTTATTCATAACAAGCCCCTTTGTTATACCTGAATTTATGCTAATGGGGTGACTTTGGGTGGGGCTCCTAGATAGCTACAGGGTGCTGCTCACTAGAAAGAGGAAACGTGATTAGAGGGTGGAAACAGGGAGGGGACCTGAAGATTGGGTTATAAAGACAATAAGGGTTGGAAGCTTCCAGGTCGATGAATGCTTCTAAGTGCTGCAGGTGGGGAGTGGGTGTCCTCGATGGACTTGCCACAACCCACACCCCACATACCTTGACCTAGGTATCTCTCCCATTTGGCTGTTCCTTTATATGCTTTTTAATAAACCTGTAAATGTAAGTAGTGTTTTCCTGAGTTCTGTGAGTCATTCTAGGAAGTTAGAGAACTTAGGGGGTGGTCATGGGAACTCCCAATTTTTAGCCAGCCTAGTGGAAGTGTGGGTAGCCTGGGCAGCCCACTTGTGCTGGCCTCTGAAGCACTCTTGTGGGACTGAGCCCTTTAACTTGTGGGATCTTGTGCTTACTACGGATAGATAGTATCAGAATTTAATTGTTGGACACCTACCTGGTGTCAGAGAATTTATCTTTTTTTTTTTTTTTTTTTTTTTTTTTTTTTGAGACGGAGTCTCGCTCTGTCGCCCAGGCTGGAGTGCAGTGGCGGGATCTCGGCTCATTGCAAGCTCCGCCTCCCGGGTTCACGCCATTCTCCTGCCTCAGCCTCCCAAGTAGCTGGGACTACAGGCGCCCGCCACTACGCCCGGCTAATTTTTTGTATTTTTTTTTAGTAGAGATGGGGTTTCACCGTTTTTAGCCGGGATGGTCTCGATCTCCTGACCTCGTGATCCACCCGCCTCGGCCTCCCAAAGTGCTGGGATTACAGGCGTGAGCCACCGCACCCGGCCAATTTTAAATTATTATAACCAGGCTCAAACACATCTTTATTAATCAAAATAGGAACCATTACAATGAATACATTTTTGTGCTTTGGGATTTGACAAACTCTTGGAAAAGATTTTCTGCATCCTACTGGTTGTGGAAGTATTTTCCATGCAAAAAGTGTCAAAATGCTTGAAGAAGCAGCAGTTTGTTGGCGAGAGGTCAGGTGAATATGGCAGATGAGGCAAACCTTCATACATAGCTCAATTCATTCAACTTTTGAAGCGTTGGTTGTGCAACATATGGTTGGCATTATTGTGGAGAATTGGGTCCTTTCTGTTGACCAATGCTGGCTGCAGGCATTGCAGTTTTTGGTGCATCTCATGGATTTGCTGAGCATACTTCTCAGATGTAACAGTTTTCCAATCCAGAAAGCTGTAGTGGATCAGACTGGCATCGGACCACCAAACAGTGACCATTGTAAAAGTTCAAGAAAGAGGAAAGAAACACGAAACACAGCTGACAGTTAAAGACAGGTTTTCTTTTCTTTCTTTTTTTTTTTTTTTTTTTTGAGACAAGAGTTTCGCTCTTGTTGCCCAGGCTGGAGTGCAATGGCGTGATCTCGGCTCACAGCAACCTCTGCCTCCTGGGTTCAAGCCATTCTCCTGCCTCAGCCTCCAGAGTAGCTGGGATTATAGGCATGCTCCACCACGCCTGGCTAATTTTGTATTTTTAGTAGAGACAGGGTTTCTCCATGTTGGTCAGCCTGGTCTTGAACTCCAGACCTCAGGTGATCCGCCCACCTCGGACTCCCAAAATACTGGGATTACAGGCGTGAGCCACCGTGCCTGGCTGGTTTTCTTTAGATAAAACCTGAGAGGTGCTCCTGGCCGATTTTTTTGGTCAAAAGCGCTTTCTCTTACAGACTAAGAGGATATATTGGTTTTAGGGTGAGGGGGTTTATCAGAAGCTTGGAATGTTTATGTGTAGGGAGAAGCTTATGGCAGGGTTGGAATCTCTCTGGGAGGAGGGGAGGTTATTTTGGGGCAGACATCTTTCCGGCCTGGTGTGGGGTTATCTTGGGGCTAGCATGTCTGTGGTCAGGGAGGAGTTTGGAATGTTTCTGTCTGGAGATGTTATTTGTGGTTTATGGTCATGCTGACCTTAGCCATTAGGCTGATGCCCTTTGGATTAAGCAGTTTTTTATTAAGGTGAACTTTAGAATGAGGGGCTTGTCCAAGATGGCGATGCTCCTGCTCTGTCAAACATGACCCATTTTTGGTGCAAGTTTGGCTTTGGGAAGTGCTTTGGAGCTTCTTCTTGGTCCAATCACTGAGTTGGTCATCGCTGGTTGTATAAAATACACTTTTGTTGCATGTTACAATCCGATCGAGAAATGGTTCATTGTTGTGTAGAATAAGAGAAGATGACACTTCAAAATGACGATTTTTAAAGTTTTCATCAGCTCATGAGCCACCCACTTATCGAGCTTTTTCACCTTTCCAATTTGCTGCAAATGTGAATGAGCATAGAATGGTAGATGTTGAGTTCTTCAGCAGCTTTTCAGGTAGCTGTAAGAGGATCAGCTTCGATGATTGTTCTCAGTTGGTAGTTGTCAGTTTCTGACGGCCAGCCACTATTCTCCTCATCTTGAAGGCTCTCATCTCCTTTGCAAAACTTCTTGAACCACCACTGCACTGTACGTTCATTAGCAGCTCCTGGGCCAAATGCATTGATGTGAGTTGTCTCTGTTACTTTCTGATCCATTTTGAACTCCAGTAAGAAAACTGCCAGAATTTGCTTTTTGTCTAACATCATTTCCATAGTCTAAAATAAACAGCAAGTAACAAGTCATAAGCAAAAAAACATAAAGTGAGAAATGCCCATTAAAATGATGTATAACATAACCACATTTATTTAAGAATGTATTCTAATATCAAACAGTGAGTTCTAAAAATGCAAAAACCATAATTATTTTTGCACTCACCTAATATAATACAATATCTGGGTAATTTATAAACAACAGAAAGTATTTCTCACAGTTCTGGAGGCTGAGAAGCATATTGTGTCTGGAGAGGGCCTGTTCCTCATAGATAGTGGCTTCTGTGTCCTTGTAACCACCCAACAGTTTCACCTTGCCCGTTGCCCAGACAGCTGATTTATCAAGACAGGGGAATTGCAATAGAGAAAAAGTAATTCATGCAGAGCCAGCTGTGTGGGAGAACGGAGTTTTATTATTACTCAGATCAGTCTCCTAAAGCATTCAGGGATCAGAGTTTTAAGGATAAGTTGGTGGGTAGGGGCCAGTGAGTCGCGAGTGCTGATTGGTTGGGTGGGAGATGAAATCATAGGGAGTTGAAGCTGTTCTCTTGCACTGAGTCAGTTCCTGGGTGGGGCCACAAGATCAGATGAGCCAGTTTATCAATCTGGGTGGTGCAAGCTGATCCATTAAGTGTCTGTAAAATATCTTAAGCACTGATCTTAGGTTCTTAAAATCAAAATATCTTAAGCACTTAGATCCCAGGAGTGATTTGGGGAGGATCAGAATCTTGTAGACTCTGGCTGCATGCTAAACTGGAATTTCTAATCTTTTGGCTGATTTGTTAGTCCTGCAAAGGCAGTCTGTCTAGGCCCCAGACAAGAAGGGGATTTGTTTTGGGAAAGGGCTGTTAACTCTTTGTTTCAAACTATAAGTTAGTTCAGCCTACGCCCAGGAAGGAACAAGGACAGCTTGAAGGTTAGAAGCAAGATGGAATCGGTTAGGTCAGATCTCTTTCACTGGCTCAGTTACAATTTTGCAATGGCGGTTCATCCTCACTTAATGGAAGGGGCAAAGAAGCTTCCTTGGGCTTCTTTTCTAAAAACATGAATCCCATTTAAGAGGGCTTTACCCTCATGACTTAATCATCTCCTAATTATAATTTTGGGGACACATTCACACCATAATAGGTCCCCACTGCAGACTGTAATAACTCCGAACTTTCTTACTGAAACCGCCTTTCCAAAATTATGATTGAGACAGTAAAAGAGATCTAACTTAACTGACTCCATCTTGCTTCTAACCTCCAAGCTGTTGTTTTTCATTCCTGTGTGTAGGCTAAGCTAACTTTGGGAGAAACTTAGTTTATAGTTTACGGTTTAAAACAGATGGTAACAGCCTTTTCCCAGAACAGACCACCTTCTTGTCTGGGGACTAGACTGCCTTTGTAGGACTAACATTAGCCACAAGATTAGAAATTATGTTTTAGGAGCCATGCAGCTGGAGGCTACAAGATTCTGACCCTCCCTAAACTGCTTCTAAGATCAGTGTCTGAGATATTTTGCAGACCCTTTTCTTGATGGATCAGCTGGTACCATCCAGATTGATGAACTGGCTCATCTGATCTTGTGGCCCCCACCCAGGAACTGACTCAGTGCAAGAAGACAGCTTCGACTCCCTGTGATTTCATCTCTGACCAATCAGCATTCCTGGCTCACTGGCTTCCCCCAACCCACCAAGTTGTCTTTAAAAACTCTGCTCCCTTAATGCTGGAAGAGACTGATTTGAGTAATAATAAAATTCTGGTCTCCTGCACAGCTGGCTCTGTGTGAATTACACTTTCTCTATTGCGATTCCCTTGTCTTGATAAATTGGCTCTGTCTAGGCAGTGGTCAAGGTGAACTCCTTGTGTGGTTACAAATTTGGGGGCTCATCTGGGATTGCCCTTGTGGCTACCTGCCTGGGTTTGGTGGCCCCTCTCTAGCAATGGATCCAGAGGCCAGCCCAAGCGGCTGCCTAGTTCTTTTGGACTGGGGGCCGACTCTGGTACTCTACTGGTAGGGTGCTGCTGACCCAATGTGCATGGATTTAATTGTAGTAGAGAAACAGTCCTGGGGAGATGTCCCTCAACTGTAGCCCTGTCACAGGGTGTCTGTAGCCCCGTTGCAGGGTGTCTGGGTTGGCGAGTATCCTAGGCTCTGCCAATGCCTCCTTCCTTCTCCTGACTGGTTCTGTAGTTCCATGGTAGGGTGTCTATAGCCCCATTGCAGGATGGGGTGTCTGTCTCGGTTTGGCTCCTGGCAGGGGGTGGTTGGCTCTCCCTAACTAGTAGGAAGAGCCTTGGTTCAGGAGACCTCCACATTCAGGAAGATTTTGAGGTGATTTCTCAGACAAAGAATAGGATAGTTTGGAAGGGATACTCTTAGAGTTCTTGGTTAGGTATCTGATTCGGAAGGCCTTCTGTCCTTGTCTTTGTGTGTGTTTGTATATGTGGAGGGGATCTCAGAAGGAATTGCTGATGGACGTCCAGCAGGCCTACCTCAAAGAACCCTCCTTATTTGTCTGGTTACGTTCAATGAGCCCTGAAGAAAGCTCAACAGGCCTGTCTTGGGTGACTATCTGCTCTTTGCCTTGCCCAGAGACCCCATTGTGAATCATTCGGAGGTCATCCTTCCCCACCTGGAGTAGATCAAAGACAACAAGGACCAACAGGAAGAATGTTGAGCGTTGCCAGGTTGATACTGGGTGCTGAAAAAGGTGACTAATGTCTGTTTTGTTATGTGTATTTTCCTGGGATGGAAAATGTTAATTCGGTTTGCTCCTCAGGCAGTGCCTCCCATGTCTCTTCTGCAGGACAGAAACTTTTATCTAAATAGATGAAATAATTCTATTATATATTGAGTACCTTTATGTTGAATAATCCTATAATATGAATGATTTTGGAATGCCACCCATCTTAGCCTGGGTCATCTAAAAAACAGAGCTTGGGTCAAGGATTAAGGTGGCTGTGGAGGCTAAAGCAACTCCATCTTGGATGCCAACCTGCCATGTTGACTTCTGATTAACCCCTGTTCAAAGAATGCCTCTAAGACTTCTAATTTATCTACTGCTACCATAAACCCTGCTCCTAGGTCAAAACAATCTTATTTTTTGTTTTGGGGAGCGTAAATCCTCCCCTTAGGCAGATTCACATAATACTTTTGCCTTTCCCTGCAGGGCCAACTTCAGTTGTCCTACACATTCTTTCCCTATGGTATATAAGCCCTTGGTCTGGGGGATAATGGCAGGGCTCCACCATCTCCTCTTGCAGCTACTGAGACAATGGCTTCTGTGCCTAAGTTATTATTAAATGTTTCTTTCAGAGAAACTACATTTGTCAGCCTCTGTCTTTGGCCTCTCAGCTTCCTCAGCCTTTAGGGATAGGTTTACATAGGGCTGCTCCCCGGGAACAGTGCCAATACTTTATCTGGGAGATGCCAGCCCAGGATGGTGAGAGTGAAGAATGAGGGAAGTAAGGCCAGGGCAGATGGAATGCAAAGTGGCTGATGTGCTACTGTGCTGGCCACAGCTTCATGGCTAGCCTGGGTGAGACACAGCAGGTCGCTCAGCAGGCATGTCGCTCTGCATGGGGACTTGTCCAGAGGGATGCAGGGAACTGCACCTTGGAGCAGTCCAAGGAGAGAAAAAGGAGGGAGAACTTACCTTCCCAGTTCCTTCCCATCTCCTGTTTCTCATAGGTCAGGTTTCACCTGGCAGGTGCGGGGAGCTAACTCATCCATACTTTTGTGTTTCATCACCGAACTCCTCAGTAGCCAGTTTCATACCTTTTTTGATGTGGAATGTTATCCAGTTCTAAAAACGGAGGAGTGACCTGGCACTGGTCTTATGCCAATCAAGAGAAATGAAGCAGATTGCTGGGGGAATCTGAACAGGCACCCAGGGTTTGCATCTCCAGTTTTTGGGGCTCCAAAATTTTGGAGTTCCACAAATTACTCTGAGGCCAGTAGAGGTTGGTGTAATGAGTTCATCATGGGTTGACACACAGTTTCTCCATCTATGAAATGAGGGGGCTGGCTAAGGATGAGCTTCCTCCACATCGCCACCGTCCCTGCCCCCCACAGTTCTGTTTCCTGGGGAAGAAGGCCAGCAAAGGCCCAGCACAGTCACCTACTTTTCCCTACCATGTCGCCACAAACCACTCTCTCAACACAGCCCGCCAAGGCCCAAGAGTTCCATCCACATTTCCCAGTACCACATCCTGTGTACCAGAAAAAGCACACAGAAGTGAGTCAGACCTTCTCTCTACTATCTGATTGCTAATGATAATAATAGCCACCCTGTTTCCATCCTGTGGTATTGAGCGCCAGCTCTGTGTCCAACATCTACACATGAACATAAACACAGGCAACTTGTTTAATACTCAACTCAATCCTGAAGATATGCATCATGTTCCCATTTTACACATGGAGAAAGTGAGGCTCAGATACGCCCTGGGATTTGCCCAAAATCACTAAGGAGTACACAGGGCCAGGTTTAGACTCAAACAGCCTATGGTTTGAGTTTCTCTCTTATTTTTTTCTTTTTTTTTGAGACAGGGTCTCGCTCTGTTGCCCAGGCTGGAGTACAGTGGCATGGCCACGGCTCACTGCAACTTTGACCTCTCAGGTTCAAGTGATCCCCCAGCCTTAGCCTCCCCAGTAGCTAGGACTACAGGCATGTGCCACCATGGCCGGCTAATTAAAAAAAAAAAATGTTTGTAGAGAGGGGGGCTCTCACTATGTTGCTTAGGCTGGTCTTCAACTCCTGGGCTCAAACAATCTTTCCAGCTTTAGCCTCCCAAAGTGCTGGGATTACAGGCATGCGCCATGGCGCCCAGCCTATGGTTTGAATTTCTGTGGGGAAACCTATAGAAGAACATGCTGGAGAAGGCCCACTATTCCTTCACCATGTGGCTTTTATCAACATGCCATGGAGGTGGTTTGTGTCCACTGCACCTGCACACACTTCAGGACAAGGTTCCCCGGCTGCTTCCTGCCTGTATGTCTGTATGTTTCTGTGAGTGCTGACCTGCCCCAGTGAGGCTCCTGCCCTTCTTTCACAATGCAACACAGTCCTGAGAGCCATGGGCTGGGCCTGGGCTCCCAGCAGCGGGATTACCATCTGGACAGAGCTGGGGGTATGCAGAGTGGGGCTGCTTGCATCAACAGGCTGTGGGGGCGTCTCGTCCTCTGCCCACATTTGCAGCCCTCTTCCCTGGTGAGACACCCCTTCCAGCAGCTGGCCCAGAGCATCTGGCCACTCCTGAGAAATGGAAACTATACCTTCCTGGACTGGGGCCAGCGTGGTTTGAGAAGCGCCCCTTTCAAATTCCCTTTGTCAGGAAGTTGATGCCTGGGCCATCACTCATTCATGTCAAGGGAATGATTATTCTTGATACATGGAAATATTTCTTAAGCCAAAAAGCTGTTGTTCTAGATTTACTAAAACTAGGTCAATAATTTGGCTTCAATCCCCAGGACAAATATCAGTATGGAGAAAACTTTTACAGTTGTGGGTATTCTCTAGACCAACGAATGCAACCAATTATACATTGCACAGATGGGCAGTGAATTGAGTGTTTCAAAATGTTATCTTTCACCTGTTTAGAAACAAAAGGTCAATTTTTGGAAAGTATTTCTCAAAAAGAGAAAAGCGGCACCATGCAGATATAAAAATGGAAGCAATGGTGCAGATGGTGGATGATAAATTTCTGTAACAAAGGCTGTATTTTTTTGTTTGACAAGTTTTTGCCAAGTTGCGTGCATGCTTCCCCAAAGTAGGGGAGATTTCTGAGGAGGGAGGTGAGTCACCTGGCCTTTACTTCCCTCAAGGCACCCAGGTTTCTCTAATGTGGGGACTAAAAGACTAAAGTTCCTAAGGAATGATCCTGCTGGGCCACTCTTTTTTTTTTTTTTTTTGAGATGGAGTCTCACTCTGTCACCCAGGCTGGAGTGCCGTGGTGCAATCTCGGCTCACTGCAACCTCCGCCTCCCGGGTTCAAGCAATTCTCCTGCCTTAGCCTCCTGAGTAGCTGGAATTATAGGTGCATGCCATCACGCCTGGCTAATTTTTGTATTTTTAGTAGAGACAGGGTTTCACCATGTTAATCAGGCTGGTCTCGATCTCCTGACCTCAGCTGATTCACCCGCCTCGGCCTCCCAAAGTGCTGGGATTACAAGCATGTGCCACCATGCCCAGCCAACCTGCCCACCCATTCTTATCTCACTTGGATAACACATATAGTAAGGCCCCCTTCAGTGCAGCCCACAGACAGAGCCCTGCACTTGGAAGGGCCCAACCAAGCTTGGTTGAATGCACTAGGACCAAGCAGTACTTTGAAATTCTTCGTAATTTAACTTTGAATTTGTCTTTTTTTTTTTTTTTTTTTTGAGACAGAGTCTTGCTCTGTCACCCAGGCTGGAGTGCAGTGGCGCAATCTTGGCTCACTGCAACCTCTGCCTCCTGGGTTCAAATGATTATCCTGCCTCAGCCTCTGAGTAGCTGGAGCTGGGATTACAGGCACGTGCCACCATGCCCGGCTAATTTTTGTATTTTCAGTAGAAACGGGGTTTCACCATCTTGGCCAGGCTGGTCTTGAACTCCTGACCTCAGGTGATCCACCTGTCTCGGCCTCCCAGAGTGCTGGGATTACAAGTGTAAGCCATCATGCCCAGCCAAATTTGTCTTTTGTAAGTGAAGTCCAATGGGGTCATGTAGCACGTGCTGAGGGCTTGGAATCTTGGCCTGAAGCATGGTCATGCCTCCTGCCACCTCCATGCTTCCCTGGAATGAGTTCTTGGCTATCCACTCCCTCAACCTCTGGTGCCCCAGTGCCACCCAGCCCCCTTGTCACCCCTGCCCTGCAACACTGCCACCCTTTGCTCCCTTGAGGGCCTGGGTGGGGGTGGGTGCGCCAGGGCCAAGTACATGCACCCCACAGTGTCAGAGCGGACAGGTGGTGGCCGTCCTGTCCCAGGCTGGCAGCAATATGCCATGTTCAGTGGGTGGCTTAGGGAGGGTGAGCCTCTCTCCACTCCTATCCCAGTCCCTAGTGCCTCCTGGCTACGAGGTTGGGACATAGTTGGGACTGTGGGCCTTTAGGAAGGGAAGATGCCTGCCTCTACTTCCCAATAAGTCTGTCTGGTGGCTGCTGGAACGGGGAGCCTGGTAGTTACTAGGTTCCACATGTGCCACCTCCCCGATCTGTGAAGGTCCGCTCTTGCCCTGTGCGTGTCCCGAGCTGGAGGGAGTAAGAACATTAAGTGTAAATTACCAAAAAACGCAACACCATGACAGGTTGTGAGAGGCATCATGGAAAAAAGGGAAGACATTCCCCCATGCATTTTGAACAGGGAACCTGCAATTTCATTTTGTATTGGGCCTTGCAAATTATATAGCAAATCCCACAGGCAGTGCTGTGTTGTGGCCTGCCAGCTCTCACTAGGTCACAGTTCACTTTCTGTGATGTCATGTTGGTAGCTTTGAAATGGCCACGGTGGGCCGGGCGCGGTAGCTCACGTCTATAATTCCAGCACTTTGGGAGGCTGAGGCTGGTGGATCATCTGATGTCAGGAGTTCGAGACCAGCCTGGCCAATGTGGCGAACCCGTCTCTACTAAAATACGAAAATTAGCTGGGTGTGGTGGTGGACGCTTGTAGTCCCAGCTACTCAGCAGGCTGAGGCAGGAGAATAGCTTGAACCCAGGAGGTTGAGGTTGGAGTAAGCCAAGATCTTGCCATTGCACTCCGGCCTAGGCAACAAGAGCGAAACTTGTCTCAGAAAAAAAGAAAAAAAGAAATGGCCATGGTGAGTATTAACAGCACGGAAATAGGGCAAACACTGCAAAACAGAACTTTTATTTTATTTTATTTTATTTTAGATGTAGTCTCACTCTATTGCCCAGGCTGGAGTGCGGTGGTGTGATCTCAGCTCACTGCAACCTCTGCCTCTCAGATTCAAGTGATTCTCCTGTCTCAGCCTTTTGAGTAGCTAGGACTACAGGTGCGTGCCACCTTGAACACCCAGCTAATTTTTGTATTTTTAGTAGAGATGGGGTTTCACCATATTGATCAGACTAGTCTTGAACTCCTGACCTCAGGTGATCCACCTGCCTCGGCCTCCCAGAATGCTGGGATTATAGGCATGAGCCACTGCGCCTGGCCTAGAACTTTAAAAAAATGTATGTAGAGCTGGTTTTTAACATTTACCAGCATAGCACTGTATAGAGTACCCAATAAAAGTCGGAAACTTCTTATCCTTGTTAATTTAATTGGTTAAATAGGGCAGGCCCAAACTTCTAGGAAGACAGTGCAGAGGCATGGAAGGAAGGCTAAGGAAGAAAACAGCTTAGTAAGTGCCAGGCACTGGTCCAAACCATTTCACCACCTTTTCAGGAATGAGGAAATAAGCTCAGAAAAGTAGTGGGACTCAACCAAAACCACACATCAGGCCAGCTACTGAGCTAACATTCGGACCCAATGTCCTAGCTCTTCTCACAGCAAAAGGAGAGGTGTTCTTTTTAAAACTAGAGATAGGGTCTCACTATGTTGCCCAGGTTGTTCTCAAACTCCTGGGCTTAAGCAATCCTCCTATCTTGGGCTCCCAAAGTGCTGGGATTACAGGCATGAGCCACCATGCCCAGAGAGGTTCTTTAGAGTCACATGTCTCTCTCTCTCTCTTCCTTTCCTTTCTTTCTTTTTTTTTCTTTTTTTTTCTTTCTTTCTTTTTTTTTTTTTTTGAAACGGAGTCTCACTCTGTTGCCCAGGCTGGAGTGCAATGGCACAATCTCGGCTCACTGGCAACCTCCACCTCCCAGGTTCAAGCAATTCTCCTGCCTTGCCCTCCCAAGTAGCTGGGACTATGACTATAGGCACATGCCACCACGCCTGGCTAATTTTTGTATTTTTAGTAGAGATGGGGTTTCACCACGTTGGCCAGGCTGGTCTCGAACTCCTGACCTCAGGTGATCCACCTGCCTTAGCCTCCCAAAGTGCACAGGGCCTCGCACAGGGTTCTGAACTCCAGGAATAAACTGGGGCTCAGGAGTAGGCAGGAGGGGGGCTGGCGAAGGACCTAGAAGTTCCCACCCTGGGCTCTTGATCTCTTGCAGTAACTTCACAGCCTGAGGCAGAAGCCTAGATGAATGAGAAGCAGGACAGAATGTTCCAGCAGCCACCAACTAGAGCAGAGACACAAATATTTACTAAGCCTAGGGGCCTCCCCAACATGCCGGCAGAGTTGGAGGGAACAAGTGTATGAGGCCTCTCTCTGTAAGGGCAGGGAATACATGGCAGGGAGAAGCCCCATGGAGAGGTCTCCCCTGACTCCAGCCTATCCGTCACATTGGTATATGAGTCCCTCACACCCTCAAGTATGTAAAGCCAGTCACAAAGCACCTTCTCAGCCATGGGCAGCGTGGGGAGCTGATCTCCATCTTATAAATGAGGAAACTGAGGCCCACAGAGGGAAGATAACATACCCAAAGCCAGAGGGCTGGGAAATGCTAGAGTCTGCAGTGGAAGGCTGGACTGGAAATGCTGCCCCCAATACCAGTAGTCTCCAATCCTGCATCTGCCCACCACACCCCCTCCCCAGGAACTTCTCTTGACCCTGGCTGGCCTCCTCCCTGACTGACCCCCAGACCCTCTTCTTTGGTGAGATCTTTTGCACCCTTACTTCCTGCAGCTCCCGGGCTGTTCTCTTCCCAGGTTAACCTCCCCTTTCTTCTTTTTTTTGAGACAAGGTCTCACTCTGTCACCCAGACAGGAGTGCAGTGGCACGATCATGGCTCATTACAGCCTTGACCTCCAGGGCCCAAGCAATCCTCCCATGTCAGCCTCTCAGGTAGCTGGGACCACAGGCATGTGCCACATTTTTAATTTTTGGTAGAGATGGTGGTCTCACTATATTGCCCAAACTGGTCTGAAACAATCCCCTTCCCCAGCCTCCCAAAGTGCTGGGATTACAGGTGAGTGCTATCCCACCCAGCCCATCCCCTTTCTTCCTATTTCCCACCTCAGAGAAGCCTTCTCACCTCACACCTCTCTCTCCAAATCGTGCCCCTCCTCCCTCATCTAGCTGAGGCCTGGCCTCTTATCCAGGAAGCCCTCCTGGACTGCTCCCAGTTACAGGGCTCTTGGGCTCTCAAGATTGCATGAAGTATGTTCATATTGTACTGTCTATTTAAAAAAAAAAAAGCGCATGAGAGACTAGCACACGGGTTTAGGTCCTAGTTGCAGCTGTCGCCAACTTCCTAGGGTGACCTCAGGCTCCCCTGCTCTCTCTGAGCCTCAGCTCCCTCATCTGTAGGCAGCCTGCCTGCCTCACCAGGGAATGGAGAGTCTAGATGAGAAAACCCTGGCAGTGGGCACAGGTCACAGCTGTTGGGGTTTTTGCTGGCATCAGCATTGCACCCTCTAGATCTGTTCCCATCCATTACCATCTGGCCACACACTGCCTTGTTCTTGCTCTCCCCTAGGGGTGGGAGGCCTGTGTCTGGCTGGAGAGCCCAGTTCGAGAGGGTGCTGTGTGTGCAGGGAGCCCTGCTGTTCCCCACTGGCCCCAGTGAGCCAGGCCCTGGCTTGGGGCTGGAAAGAGCCCAGGACTGGGAATCGCTGCCCTAAGTGAGGAGCCCCAACCCCTAAGCAGTTCTGCCCTTCAGCCCTTCAGGGTGTTAACTTTGCCTAGCCAAGAGCAAACTCTCTTTCTCTGTGCCAGGAGTAGTAGAGCCCCTGGGAAATGCTGTTTTTGTCCCCTGAGGCAGACTTTTGGGGAGTCCAAAAAAGGGCTCCCCACGGTGCCGGCTATCACAGAACAGGAGACAGGAGCAGGAGACAGGCCGGGAAGATGCGGCGACTGGGGGACCGGATAGGAGGGCCCTTGTCCTGAGGCTGCGTAGGCATAGCAAGCTCCGGGATTTTACTTCGTTGGAATGTTCTTTTGAGCTACTTTGGGGGCCGTGACTGAGAGAGCTCGTGGGGGACTCAGGCCCTTTCAGAGTCACCCGTGTGGCTCGGCCACTGCGCCAGGTCTTGGAACATCTAAGGCAGAAACAGGACCAACACCCGCAAGCCTCCAACAGCCCCTGGGGCTCCGTCCAGCCGTTGGGGTGGAGGGGTTGGGGGGAGGTGCAGGGGCGGGCACTGTGGGGGGTGGGGCGGGGCCGGTGGCCGCGACTCCACCCCGCGCCCCTAGTCGAGTAAACAAGCCACGGGCGGCGCCTGGGGGCCGCTCCTGCAAGCCGGGGCGCTGGGTTACATCACGGTTCCCTGGAGACTCCCGCCCCAGCGGCCGGGTCCCTGAGGCCCGCGCCCGCCCGCCGCCTGTGTCCGAGAAGCAGAGAGCTGGCAAGGGCCCGCCAGGGCGGGAAGGCTCCCACGTTTTCTCCGGAGGCCCCTGGGACTTTGTTGCAATTGGGTTCAGCCCGGGCATGGGCTGAACGTGGACGCGCGGGAACCGCGCCTCGGTTTCCCCATCTGTGAAACCTGGAGGCTGTATTAGGATTCTGTGCCTCCTATTAGGATTCAGCTGGGGGAAGGAGAGCGGCAGCCAGGGCCAGGGCCAGGGCCAGTCCCAGGCAGGCTGTGACTGGAGCCGGGCTTTCTACGTTAGGGTTTTGGTGGGTACCCGCTCAGCCACGTGCCAGAATGCACCCTCCCTCTGAGGGGACATGGAGACCACTCGCTGGGCCAAGGCACAGCAAGGACGACCTTGTATCCTAGCATTCTCCTGTCCCCACTTGCTGCTGGACACGGACCCTCTAGGTAAAATTCAACAATAGTTCCTGCCAGCCACCCTCACGGCGGGTTTGTGCCAGTGCTTTGGGAAAGATGTTGGGTTGCCCACTTAGGCGGGAGGGAGATTTCTGCTCAACATCAACAACTCAATCTACCACGGAGCCTGAGCCACTGGTCTGGAGGAAGCTGCGGGGGAGGCAGGGGTCGTGGGCACCCAGCTTGGGGACACTCAAGCAGAGTACGGGCTAGGCACGGGGAAGAAGGTGGCAGAGGGCATGCTTGCCAGCGTCTCCAGGAGCTGTCCTGCCCTGGGGTTCCATGATTTAATGATTCTGCACCTGCACCATCTGATAAGGTAGCCGCATATGACTGTTGAGCACTTGAAATGTGTGGGAACCCACTAGGAGCCCCAGAGTTGGCATAAACATTATTTTAAGCTGAAGACATTTGAGATTCAACAGACGCAGAAAAAAGCCTCCTAGGAGCTTCCTTTATCTGACAAAAAGCAGTAACTTCTGGGAAGTAAGGCTACCATAAACTCTGTCATAGGGGTAGTTTCATGGCCCCAAGAAGACAGAGCGACCACTCATACCTATATAGACAAATATTTCACAAACTTTATCACCTGTCGGTTCTCTTAAAACCCCATTTGTCTTTGCTAAAGAAACCTATTTGTTTTTCCCACAGAAGCCCTTTCTTTCCCCTCCCTTTTCCCTACTAAGTTAGGTATATAAGCCTTCAACTCTATTTAACCAGCCAGCTACGTCCTTTGTTGGTACGGTATGCAGACATAATAAACTTCTTCTCCTGTTAATCTGTCTTTTGTCAGTTTAATTCGAAAGCTGCAATCACAGAACAAGAGAGTGTAGAGGAAAAGTTTTTTCCTCTCCTGCAGGGGCTAGTACACATTGATATGGGCAGTAAGTGTAACATATACACAGGATTTAGGAGACTTAGCATGAAACAAAAGAATGTGAAATATCTTAATAATTTTGTATATGATTAAATATTGAAATGGTAACACAGGGTTCCATTAGATAAATTGGGTTCTCTTAAATATATTGCTAAAATTGATTTCATCTGTTTCTCCTTACTGTCTGCTAGAAAATTTCAGATAACATATGGCTCCTATTTTATTTCCATTGAATAGCATTGCTAAATGTCAGGTGACCTTGTGTCTTTGGGTTGGCTTTTCCCAAGCAACACCACCACATCTCTATTAACTGAATGCTCTTGTGTCGAGTCCTGAGCAGCGTGGGCAGTGGAGAGTGGAAGAGGAGGGGGCGCAGTGCCAGCCCTCGGGGAGCTGCCAAGCCCCTCTTGGCTTCCAACTTGGTCTGGCCACATCCTCCTGCAGTCCTGCTTCCCCTCCTCCACAGGACAGTCAGGCCAGCAGAAAGCTGGGCAGAGGGTTCTGGGGCTGGCCAGGGCTCTGAGAACTCAAGGAGGGAGTTCTGTGTGGGCCAAGGATTCAGAAGACAGTGTGGCCAGCAGCCAGGAACTATGACTGCACCGAGTGCTGTTCCCATGCCCAGGACCACAGATGCATCCCGGGCCTCACTGCCCAGCACCTCCCGGCTTAGTGGCCACAGAGTCCTCTTCCTGCTCTGCCAAGCACCATCTGGCTGTGGTGGAACAGGCTCCCCTGCTCTCCCATCCTCTCTGCCATCTCCCATTCCCTAGGCCTTGCTGGATTAAAACATTTTCCTGATAATCATTCAGGGATATAGGCTAAGGTCTGAGAAAGTAAGCTACCCTAAGGCCCCTGAAAAAATAAAACAAAATAACAAACTGTAGTTGGTATTTCTGATGAACAGCCCACACCTGGCAATTTAGAGGGATGGTCCCGGTTGGTGTGACCCAGGTTTAACCCCTGCAGCTGATATGAATGTGACAGCTTTACAGCCCTGTAAAGCTAACCAGACCTGTACATAGTTAAACAACCTTATCTAACATTCCTCCTTCTTCTCCTATATAAACTTGCTCATAACAGCCAACACTCACACCATGCTTATTGTGTGCTAGGCACTGCTTTGGGGATCTTACATGCTTTTTTGTGTGTGTGTGTGTGTTTTTTTTTTTTTTTTTTTTTTTGAGACGGAGTCTCGCTCTCTCCCCCAGGCTGGAGTGCAGTGGCCCGATCTCGGCTCACTGCAAGCTCCACCTCCCAGGTTCACGCCATTCTCCTGTCTCAGCCTCCCAAGTAGCTGGGACTACAGGCGCCCACCACCACGCCTGGCTAATTTTTTGTATTTTTAGTAGAGAGGGGGTTTCACCGTGTTAGCCAGGATGGTCTCCATCTCCTGACCTCGTGATCTGCCCATCTCGGCCTCCCAAAGTGCTGGGATTACAGGCATGAGCCACAGTGCCTGGCCGGGATCTTACATGTATTAATTCATTTAAGGCTGGGTGCGGTGGCTCACGTCTGTAATCCCAGCTACTCAGGAGGCTGAGGACGGAAGAATTGCTTGAGCCCAGGAGTTTGAGACTAGCCTGGGCAACATAATGAGACCCTGTCTCTACAAAACATAAAACATTTACCTGGGTGTGGTTGAGTGCATCTGTAATCCCAGCTACTTGGGAGGCTGAGGTGGGAGGATCTTTTGAAGCTGGGAGTTTAAGACCAGCCTGGGTAACACAGCAAGACACTCCCCCTACAAAAATTAAAATTAAAATTAATACATGTAATTTGGATTAAATTGGATTTCAGGCACAACAAACCCGTGAAGTGAGTGCTATTATTATCTGCTGTTCACAAGTGAGAAGCTGAGGCACGGAGAGGTTAAGTAAACTTGCTCAAGGTCACACAGCTACAAAGAGGCAAAACCAGGATTGCAACCCAGGCCATCTGGCTCAGTATCCGTGCTCCAAATCACTGCATGACATAGCTTTTCCCGCAATGCTGGAGGACTCGATTGTGTTTTGTTTTCCTAAACTTGTTCCCTTTTGTTTTCCTAAACTTGTTCCCAACTTATGATAAACCTGTGACAGGTGTTCATGATCCAAAAAGTGTCTGAGATTGGCTTTAACAAATTAAACATGAGATGGGAAAGTGACCAAATGCATGAGGAAGAAGAAAAAAATTCCAGAAGAATAAATCTTTCTACCATCCTTTGTCCATGTGTCTGTGTGGGTGGACAAGGGAATACTGTGTAAGAATGGGTGCAGCTTGTTCAAAGATAAACTGTAGTTGAAAGTTGCAGCCTGCATTGATAGTTGCCCCTAGTTTAGCAAGCTGCCTGAGTGGGCTCCGAAATGGAGACCTATCTGATTTGCAGAGGCAGGGCAGGAGGGCTAAATTGCCACAAATAAGAATAAAAGAACAGGCGTTTCAAACAGGAATGGGGGTGGGTAGAAACCCAAGAAGGCGTCAGCAAGCTGTGACCTGAGTGGGGTGTAGCAGCACAGGAAACAGCTCTGATGGGTTTTCAAACAAGGACGGCTACTGTTTAATCGTCCCCGTTGCTTGTGCTGAGCTGCGATGTCATTCTTCTCAATCTCCTGACCTTTGGTCAAAGCCTAACATCAACCCTGCTTTATGACCATCCGTGCTGAGACAGTCAGTGCTAAGGGGTGAGGGGGCATGAAGCCTGGGGAGGACCGGGCCTGGAGGCCATGGGCACTGGGCAAGTTGCTGAGTGGGGAGTTGGCCTGGAGAAACATAAGCCCCTTTGCCATCCTCAGAGTCACTAGGGGCGCCAGATTCCTGCCAGGCACAGGATGTCCAGCCAGAGTAGCATCTAGCTCCTGAAATCCAGCACATGCTCTCCTCCCAAGTCAGGTGTCCTGGCCCGGGGCTCTGTCTGCAGAGAGTGGTGCCTTTGGGCTGGCAGTGGTCCTGCATGGATCCTCTGCTGAAAGCTAAGGACCTTGGGTCCCAGGCACAGGGCAGGCCCTGGGCTACTGCTCTAGACTTCCTGAGTCAGAGAAAGCCCCGCTGGACCTCCCAAGGCCTCATCCTGGCACCTGAGTCAGCCTCCTCCCTCTTTCTGAGCCACCCTCGGCTGACCTCCCCCAGCCAGCCTGCCTCTAAAAGTGGGGCTTCATAGGGACATTGTAATGGGGGAGCAGACTCCAGGTCTAGTTCATTTATTTATCCATCCTTTCCTGTTGTTTATATTGACCTGTATGCCAGATACATAGGTTTTCTTTTTCTTTTTTTCATTGCACTCAGGCTGGAGTGCAATGCCATGATCTTGGCTCACTGCAACCTCCGCCTCCTGGGTTCCAGAGATTCTCCCGCCTCAGCCTCCTGAGTAGTTGGGATTACAGGCACCTGCCACCACACCCAGCTAATTTTTGTATTTTTAGTAGAGAGGGGGTTTCACCATGTTGGTCAGGCTGGTCTCAATCTCCTGACCTCAGGTGATCCACTCACCTTGGCCTCCCAAAGTGCTGAGATTATAGGTACGAACCACTGCACCCGACTGATACATAGGTTTTCTAATTTAGTCCTACAATACACCAAAACATAGGTTGTGTTTTTGTTTTTTTGAGACAGGGTCTTGCCGTGTTGCTTAGACTGGAGTGCAGTAGCATGATCACAGCTCACTGCAGCCTTGACCTCCCAGGCTCAAGTGATCCTCCAACCTCAGCCTCCTGAATAGCTGGGACCATAGGTGTATGCCACCGCACCCAGGTAATTTTTAAAATTTTTGTACAGATAGGGTCTCACTATATTGCCCGGGCTGGTCTCAAACTCCTGGGCTCAAGAAGTCCTCCTGTCTCCCAAAGTGCTGGAATTATAGGCATGAACCACTGCACCCGAATGGTATTTTTATTCTTTTCTTTTTTTTTTTTTTTTTTGAGACAGAGTCTTGCTCTGTCGCCCAGGTTGGAGTGCAGTGGCATGATCTCGGCTCACTGCAACCTCTACCTCCTGGGTTCACACCATTCTTTTGCCTCAGCCTCCGGAGTAGCTGGGACTACAGGCGCCCGCAACCATGCCCGGCTAATTTTTTTCTATTTTTTTCTAGTAGAGACGGGGTTTCACCATGTTAGCCAGAATGGTCTTGATCTCCTGACCTCGTGATCCACCCACCTCAGCCTCCCAAAGTGCTGGGATTACAGGCGTGAGCCACCGTGCCCAGCCGGCATTTTTATTCTTAAATTACAGATGAGGAAACTGAGGGGCCAGGGGTAGCTGGGACACAAGTCCTGTCTGAATTGTGCTGGTCTTCCAGCTTGGTGGGGTGGGATGGAGGCAGCCTGGGCTGGGGACCTGAAAGCAGAAGAGGGGATGAAGGGAACTGGGTAGGCTTGTGGACCACAGGCCCACATGGGAGCCACACCCTGGCAAGAGAGGGGATTGTGAAAGAGAAGGCAGGTGGGGTTCAGGACAAAGATGGGAAAATGGGGGCAGGGAGCAAGAGACCCTCCAGGCCTTGCAGATGCAGGAGTTGAGCAGGTAGAGGATAGATGGGGTGGAAGGGAGGTGGGTGCCCAACAGGGATGACCCTGCAGGTGAGGTCCCGGGCAGTAAGCGATGAAACTACTTTGAGTGGGGGCAGCCCACCCAATACCTCCTCCTCTGGGCTAAAGAGGAGGGAGGGGAACTAGCTGGGCGATCTGTGCATTCAGCCATCCCTAGGGGCTGTCCAGGGGCACTTGTCCCCAGAGAGGAAGGCCAGCTCTGTCTTTGGAGGATGAGAGTGAGTAAGCAGACAAGCACCGTGCTAGTTGCGTTTCATTCAAGATCTTCCCACCACACCCAGTAAGAAAGGCATGACACTAGGAGTTTGAAACCAGCCTGGGCAACAGAGCGAGACCTTGTCTCTACAAAAAATTTTTAAAAATTAGCCAGGTGTGGTGGCACATGCCTATAGTTTCTTTTTTTTTTTTTTTTTTTTTTTTTTCTGAGACGGAGTCTCGCTCTGTCGCCCAGGCTGGAATGCAGTGGCGCGATCTTGGCTCACTGCAAGGTCCGCCTCCAGGGTTCACGCCATTCTTCCACTTCAGCCTCCCAAGTAGCTGGGACCACAGGCACCCGCCACCACGGCTGGCTAATTTTTTGTATTTTTAGTAGAGACGGGGTTTCACCATGTTAGCCAGGATGGTCTCGATCTCCTGAGCTCGTGATCTGCCCACCTCGGCCTCCCAAAGTGCTGGGATTACAGGCATGAGCCACCGCGCCTGGCCAATGCCTGTAGTTTCAGTTACTTGGGAGGCTGAAGTGGGAGGATCACTTGAGCCCAGGAGTTCAAGGCTGCAGTGAGCCATGGTGGCACCACCACCTCCAGCCTGGGTGACAGAATGAGACCCTGTCTCTAAAGAAAAAAAAAAGGCATGACAGCCCCATTTTAGAGATGAGAAAACTTTGGCCAGCCATGTCCAATGGCCTGCCTGAGGTCACAGAGTTAGGCTGGAGTGCAGCCAGGATGCAAACTTGCCTTTGCTAGTCTGGTGAAAGAGCTAGGTATAAATAGAAACCCCAAAGCAGTGGGTGCCAGGCACAGGACTGGAGGCTATGAGGGGAGCAGGGGTGACTGAATACCCCCACCCCAATACTACCCCCAAGGCATCTGCTTATTCTGGACCCAGAAGGAGAGGCTGGGGGCATTTCTAGGTATCCTGTGGATACCACAGAGGTTATGCACACTCTGGCATAGTAAGCCAGGCAGAGTGGTCTGAGGGAAGGGAGTGGGGATGGGGGAGGGGGTAGAAGAGAAGGTAGGGAAGGAAGTGGGAGGAGGGACTGAGGGGGAGATGGAGAACGGGCGGGGGAAGGAGGGAAGGGAGGGAGGGAGAGGTGGAGGGGAAGGGAGGAAGAGGGGGAGGGGGAGGGAGGGAAGTAAGGAAGGAAGGAAAGAGGGAGGGAGGGAAAGAAGGAAGTGGGGAGGGAGGGAGGGAGGGAGGGAAGGTTGGTTGCCGGCCATGGTTGCACGTGTGTGCCTGGCTGGTTCTGTGTCCCTCTGTGTGTGTGCATGCATGTGTTCGCATGTGCATGTGTACATGAGTGCAACAGTTTTTTCTCCTTGGTCCTCTAAGCTCCTGTGAGTCCTGCCGGGCCAGGAAGTCTCCATTTGGGGCATGGCATTGGGATCCCAGTCAATAGCCCTAGACTTGTCCACTGGCATTGGGGGTGGGCAGGAGGGTTGGACAGGCAATGGGGAGGGGTAGGAGCAGTGAAGCCTTCAGGCTTGGGGTGGCTGGGAGGGGCAGTGAATGCCCCAGGCAGGCCTATACTCTGGGGGGCTTTCTTGGTTGTTCCAGGCCAGACAGTCCCCAACACGCATGTGTATTCCAGGCTGCACGGACCAGCTGGGATCCTTCCCCACCCCTTAGGCTTACTTTCTCCAGAAGCACTGGGCATTGCTGTGCCCATTCTGCACTGGGTTCTTCATATTCACAGTCAGTTGATCTGCCTGATTATCCCTTGATGTGGTTAATGCTTATCCTCATTTTTTTTTTTAAAGAATATCACTGTATTTATTTTCCTACAGGTAATTTTTCTATGGCTTCAGCATTTTCTCTTCAAATCAAAAGAAAAATTTCCCAAAGTTTAGAACTGGATCACTTGGCCCTTTCTCTTATCTCCTTCCAGTTCAAAATGCTTGCATCTCTTAATGGCCAGCATCCTCTTGGATCTGCAGTTAGGCTCAACACATTCCAGCCTTAGCACAACCTTCTTTGTGGTCTTAGCCTTCTTCCAGAAAATTGGCTATGTCTGCCCACCATGGCTACTCTGCTTCCGATCATAGCACCTCTTTCCCTGGGCATACAAGGAATCCTTGCTCTTCTTATACTGTGTCACTTTGTGAGGCTGATGCTTGCCACACTTCTTACCGAAGGCTCTTCGGGTTTTAGGTACATTGACCATCTTTGCAGCACGGCTGTTCTGTCTATATGATGAAAACAAGAAACAGCGTCTGAGACCCTTACCTCGCACAGCTCTCCCCTAACAGGAAAGGGCCTTCTTTTTTTTTTTTTTTAATTTTTTTTTTGAGACAGAGTCTCCCTCTGTTACCCAGGCTGGAGTGCAGTGGCACAATCTCAGCTCACTGCAACCTCCACCTCCTGGCTTCAAATGATTCTCTTGCCTTAGTCTCCAGAGTAGCTGGGACTACAGGCACGCACCATCATGCCCTGCTAAGTTTTATATTTTTAGTAGAGACGGGCACTCCATGTTGGCCAGGCTGGTCTCGAACTCCTACCTCAGGTAATCCACCCACCTTGGCCTCCCAAAGTGCTAGGATTACAGGTGTGAGCCACCACGCCCGGCCATCCTCATTTTTTTTTTTTTTTTTTTTTTGAGACAGTGTCTTGCTCTGTTGCCCTAGCTGGAGTACAGTGGTGTGATCATGGCTCACTGCAGCCTTGACTTCCTGGGCTCAATGATCCTCCCATCTCAGTCTCCTGAGCTGGGACCACAGGCACATGCCACTACCATGCCCAGTTAATTTTTTTTTTTTTTTTTTTGCCAGGGGGAGATGGGGGTCTTGCTATGTTGCCTAGGCTGGCCTTGAACTCCTAGGCTCAGGCAATCCTCCCACCTCGGCCTCCCAAAGTGCTAGGATTACAGGTGAAAGCCACCTTGCCTGGCCTTATCCTTTTTTTTTTTTTTTTTTTTTTTTGAGACGGAGTCTCGCTCTGTCGCCCAGGCTGGAGTGCAGTAGTGCAATCTTGGCTCTCCGCAAGCTCCGCCTCCTGAGTTCACGCCATTCTCCTGCCTCAGCCTACCAAGTAGCTGGGACTACAGGCGTGAGCCAACACACCCGGCTAATTTTTTGTATTTTTAGTAGAGACGGGATTTCACTGTGTTAGCCAGGATGGTCTCCATCTCCTGACCTCGCCTGATCCGCCCGCCTCGGCCTCCCAAAATGCTAGGATTACAGGGGTGAGCCACCGTGCCCGGCCCTCATTTTTTATATCTGTGTAAACTGAGCCCCAGAGAGATGAAGTGACTTGCCTATGGCAGCACAGCTAAGAAGTAGCAGAAGCAGGATTTGAACCCAGGAAGACAGGGCACCAATCTCAGCCCCCAGCCCCTTCAGCATAGAGTGAGGGTCCCCTGCCTTCTACTCCACCCTACCCTCCCAGCCTCAGGAGCACATTCACAAGTACAGGTTGGGCCCCTCTTCTGTTCTGTGAGGCCTGTATCAATTTGTCATGGGGTGGAGAGCCCAGCTCCCTGGTGGAATCACATCAGGTCATAGTGACAGAGTCCTGGCTCCCCAGGGACTGACTCCCAGCCACAGCACTGGGAGCTGGGATAGCACTCTACCCCACTGAACCTGCAGCACAGGGCCAGCCAGTCATGGAGCCCCTCAAATCCATTGGTGCACTGGGGGCCAGAGGGCTTGCAGGAGTGGATGAGAGGTGGCTCAGCCTTCAGTAGGCCCTGGCTGAGAAATAAAGAGGCTGTTCATGAGCGCAGATGTGGTTCTGGTCGGCTGGGCCCCAGGGATCCTGAGCAGGCCTTTCTTGTCTGAACCCAAATCTACTTCTTGGGTTTGTCAGCATTCCCTACCACCACCCTCAGCCCCACAGCCTGGCCGAGCAGTGGGCGCAGTCTCTCAACTTGCCCTGAATGCCTTCGCAGGCCTCTTGCCTTCAGGAGTTGCATGCTGCACCTTCTGGAAACAAACAGGGACCATGATACCAGGCGGGGCTAGGCTGCCACTCCTGCCCTCCCACTGGCTGCAGTCAGATGTCAGCACATGGCACTGGGGGTGTGGGTCACAGGAAGGCCCTGTGGGCCTCTGGAAGGTTCTGCTCAGAAGAAACATCATGGGCAAGGAGGTCTGTGCAGGGGCTGCAGGGGCTGCAGTCACCCCTCCGATTGCCTGTTACAGATGGGGAGCTGTGGAGGTTTCTGTGTCCCTTCCTTTTAACTAAACAACCCCAGCTGGACACGGTGGTTCACACCTGTAATCCCAGTACTTTGGGAGGCCGAGGCAGGTGGATCACCTGAGATCAGGAGTTCGAGGCAAGCCTGACCAATATGGTGAAACCCTGTCTCTACTAAAAATACAAAAAAATTAGCCGGGCAGCTACTTGGGAGGCTGAGACAGGAGAATTGCTTGAACCTGGGAGACAGAGGTTGCAGTGAGCCGAGATCTCACCGCTGCACTCCAAGCTGGGAGACAGAGTGAGACTTTCTCTCAAAAAAAAAAAAAAAAATTGAACAACCCCTTTCCAGGCCTTTTGTCCCCATTAGGAGTGTCCTGTTGTGGTCCCTGGCTACTGCCCCAGACTTAGGTTAGGAATGGGGACAGAACTGGGCCTGGGAGCTGGGATTAGAATGGGCTGGGATTGGGATGAAGATGGTCTAGTCTGGGCTGGGCAGAGCTTGGGATGGGGGTGGGAGGCCTGAAAGCAGAGGGCTTTACTGGAATGACTGTTTATCCCCTGCCCACTCTGCATTGAGCCTGTCAACCTGAATGATGAGATTCAGGCAATATGATTAAATACTGAGTTTATTGGAGTGCAAAGTTTGAGGAAGGCACAGTCTCCAAAAAAATGGGGTCCAAGGTGCTCTGAAGTGGAGAGATTTGAGGATCATTTATATAGGCAAGGATGTAAACAGGATTACATCATTTTTCATACATAGTTACAGCAATTGATTGGTTAAAGGCAGTGTTTCTTTTTCGGGAAAAGTATATTTGACATTCCACATAAGGATGTAATAGTTAAGGGGTCTTTCATCTCAGTCAAGGGGTCTTCTATCTTAGGGCCATCTGGTCTAAGCCAGGAACAAGGAAGGAAATTAATTTATAACAAAAGTTCAGTAATTAAGAGGTCAAGTTCTGTGACTCAGTCTCCAAAGGCAACCTTCCTCAGAGCCTAGTAACTGTTATTTTTGTTCTTGTTGTTTTGTTTTTGTTTTTGAGACAGGGTCTTGCTCTGTCTCCCAGGCTGGGGTGCAGTGGCGCAATCACGGCTCACTGAAACCCCGACCTCCTGGGCTGGGCTTAAGCAATCCTCCCACCTCAGCCTCCTGAGTAGCTGGAACTACAGGTGTGCATCATCACGCCTGGCTTTTTTTTCTTTCTTTCTTTTTTTGGTATAGAGAAGGTCTCATTATGTTACCCAGGCTGGTCTCAAACTCCTGGGCCTGAGCAATCCTCTAGGTTTGGTCTCCCAAAGTGCTAGGATTACAGGTGTGAGCCACTGCACCTGGCCCCTAATAACTTTTAGAAGCCCTAAACAGATGATCCAGTTCCTTTCACAAGCCTGTGGAAAAATGGCAGACTGAGGAGGTGGTTTTGGCTCTCTGGCCTTCACAGAACTTCTTCCTAGAGAAGGGAAAGCAGACTTCAGCCCCACGTTGTTGGGAACAGGCCCCCAAATCTGGCCATAAACAGGCCCCAAAACTGGCCATAAACAAAATATCTGCAGCACTGTGACATGCTCGTGACGGCCACGATGCCCATGTTGAAGGTTATTGTTTTACCGGAATGAGGGCAAGGAATACCTGGCCCACCCAGAGCGGAAAACCGCTTAAGGCATTACTGAACCACAAACAATAGCATGAGCGATCTGTGCCTTAAGGACATGCTCCTGCTGCAGATAACTAGCTAGACCCATCCCTTTATTACGGCCCATCCCTTTGTTTCCCATATAGGATACTTTTAGTTAATCTATAATCTATAGAAACAATGCTTATCACTCGCTTGCTGTCAATAAATATGTGGGTAAATCTCTGTTCATGGCTCTCAGCTCTGAAGGCTGTGAGTCCCCTGATTTCCCACTCTGCACTCTATATTTTTGTGTGTGAGTCTTTAATTCCTCTAGCGCTGCTGGGTTAGGGTCTCCACGACCAAGCTGGTCTCAGCACCACATCTTCTCAGAGTCCTGCCTGCTTCCTAGGAATTGGCCTGAGGAAGGAGGAACACGGGTTCACTGAGGCTCACTGCCTGCCGGGACTGATCCAGTGGCATTAGAACACTGGGCACCTGACCCTACCACAAACCTGGGGGCACAATTCATCATCCCACAGTCAAAGACCCTGGAGCTCAGAGAGGTTAAGAAGCTTGCTTCAAGTCCCACAGCCAAGAGTGCAAGTTGGGATCTGGGCCTGGATAAGGTGGCTGGTGCTGGTTTTGTCACCAGAGTATCCCTAAGAAGGCAATACTAATCCAAGCAAGGAGACACTAACAGGGGGTGTCAGCACCAGGAGAGTGATGCAGCAGTTTCCCAGCAGTGGGACTTTTCTGGAAGGAGCTGGAGGCCCATTCTGGGGTCAAATGCTGCTGCAGCCAAGCCTCCTCCACAGCTGCAGGGCATTTGCCTGGCTCCTGCTGCTGGGGTTCTAATCTCATGACTGGCCTCGGCTCAGGGTCAGCCCAAGGACACCTCTCAGTCTGGGGGCTGAGGTCAAGGCTGACTTCTGGCCTGTCTGGGTAACCTGCACCTCTCACCTGCACTGTTCACACTGGTTCCCTGGGCCTGACCTGTGTTCCCTTCACCAAGCCCGAGTTATACAGTGTGGACTCCCACCCCCCATCAAGACCCCTCTCCCTGGCCAGTGCTGCTCTATGTCAGGGAGGGAGACAACAGGGGGCTTCCCTGGAATGCTCACCTTCTGCCCTGTGCCACTGCTGCTGGCTTCCCACCACGTTGCTCCGTTGCTCACCACACTACCCACCTCTTGCCATCATCTCCGGAAGCTGGGGGCTATGACCATTCTTGTTCCAATGTTAAAGATGGGGAATCTGAGCTCAGCAAGAGGAAGCCTTGACCTCCCCTTACTCCTGAGCCACTCCACTGTGACACGGTGCCCACACGTCCACTGGCAGCACCTCACCTCTCCTTTCCTTTCTTGGCTGGAGGCTCGCTCTGACCCCACCACACAGGCTGTCCCCTACTCCCCGCTCTCAGCTCTGGCAGCCTTTCTAGCCAGAGCCCATAGTTCGGCCACTTGCAGCCTGACCATGGGCTGGGCTGGGGGGCATTCTACTCTCTTCAAGAGCTGAGGGACTGTCAGGTGAAAGATGGATGCCAGGGACTGAGGGGTCATCAGGGGGTGACGCCCGAGAGAGCCAGGAGGCCCCGGATGGAGGCCTGAAGGGATAAGCCAAGCTTCTTTCTAAATCCCTGGCTGTGCCAAAGCCACCCATGGAGACTTTCCCTTACTGACCTGACCTCAGCTGGATTTGGCATCCTCCTGGCTTCCCCAGCCAGCCAGGGCACACTGACTAGACAGAGATGGCTGAGGAAGGTGTGTGTGGAGCTGACACACGGGCCCCGGAAGTGCTGGAGAAGGCTCGTTCTGGGTGTGGACCCTCTTCTCCCTGCCCCTTACCCAATTCCCTGGGGGATTCTTTTGTTCCCCTGCCCTATGCTGGGGTGCAGGGAGGCCACCTGGGGCCTTGCCAGCCTGGACTTGCCTGAGCTCTGGGCCCTGAGGTCATGGAGACCTCCTGAAACCCTCCCCAGGGGAGCTGTTCGCAGGCAGACAGGCCCAATGAGGTGCTAATTACTGAACTAATTGGAACCTGAGCCATAGATGACCTGGTTGACAGGAGGTGGGGACTGCTGGAGCAGAGGGGGCTGTGGAATAGGGTCTGGAGGGAGGTTGAGGGAGCCCAGAGCTGGTGCAGGGTGGGCTGTGTTTGTTCAGGAATTGTTGATTTATTAGCAAGATCAGCTCTTTGAAATGCGTTCTGGTCTCCTCCATATCTCTCCTGGTCCTGGGTTTCTCTCTGGGAAAAGATTGGTGTTCTGAAGCCACTGCTTGTTGGGAGGGGTTCATCAAGAATTTGGGGGCAGAATGTTCTGCTCTGGGGAGTGACTCGAGCCGGAGGGAGGCCCACGGCCTGTCCTGAGGATTCCAGGCCTGCTGCAGCCAGCAGACGTGGCACTGGGTGGTCTTGGAGATGGGCTGTGAGAACAGAGTGACACCACTGAGCCGGGTCACCTTGGAGGGTTCTGGGACTCACCCCACACCTGGCTCTTTTGGACCTTGGCCTGCTCCTGCCCCTCTGTGAATAGCTGGTAAGGGGCCAGTGACTCTAGAGGCCTCACAAATTGGAGATGACACTGTCTGCTCCCTAAGGGGCAGGGGAGCTAAGGAGTCTACCTTGCTGCATCCAGAAAGGAAAAGCCTAGCACCCTCTCCCCTCTCCGAGACTCCCTTCTTCACAGCCCACCCTTCTGGCACAAGTCATTCTCAGCACCCTGGACCCAGGGAAGACTTTGGCCACATTGGGCCAGACCCCAACTCTCAGCAGGGTAGCATGTGGCTGTCACTCACCCATCTCTAGCCCCATTGGCTCCCCAGGGCTCCTGGCACACTCTGCACTTTCTCTGGTCTTCAGACCTTTGGCTGCCTCCAGCTCTGCCCCCTGGGCTGCTTTCTGCCTAGTCAAGTCCTCTCCACTCCACAGGCAGGCTCCGGGTTCATCTGCATAGCAGCTGAGCAGTGACCTCCTGCCTGATCTTCTGCAGCATCCCCTGCCCCCGCCCCTCCACACTCCACACACGGCCCAGGACCCAGACTGTTGGTTATGAAAGCTGGGAGGCTAACCCCCTGCCTGCTCTGAAGGCTTGTCCTCCTCTCTCCCAGAATGCTCTGAGAACTGAATGAAATGATGGATAAGAGAGGACCGTGGCAGTAACTGTGACAATTGCTCCAATTGTATGAGTGCCTATTTCTGAGCCAGGCATGGTGCTGTGTACTTTCTGCACAGGTCTCATAGCAACCCTCCAGGGCTGGAAGTTTTCCTATCCCCACTTCTCAATGAGGAAACTGAGGCTCAGAGAGGCCAAGCAACTGATTCAAAGTCACACAGTTCCTAAGTGACAGTTTGGGGACTCCAAAGTCACCATCTCTCACAATGGGAAGGGGGTTGTTGTTATTTTTTGGCCAGCCTGCTTCCTTCCCCCTTTCCCCTCCCTCCCTGCCTGCCATCATCTGCCTGGTGAGTTTGCATCACTCCTAGGGCCCAGGGGTCCAATTAGGGGACTCCCCCAGGGAAGCTGACTGAGGCAATCCATGCCCCAAGGGGGCCTCCCTGAGCTGAAGTTTTAATTAGCCATCACTGCTCTCCCTGAAACTCTGACCTGCCCATAGCTCTACCATCCCAGGCTGGCCTTGTGGCAGGAGGCAGAAGGCAGGACTGGCGTTCAACCCAGCTGCGCAGCAGAAGCTGCCCTGGCAGAGCAGAGAGATGTGGCCAGGCTTCCCTCCCACACAGCTCTCTGTATCCACCTCAGCATCACCTCATTTAGTCCAGTAAATGGATTACAAAATAAATGGACTAAGCGACTTCATCCATTAAATAGATTAAATACATTAAATGAGCTAATATTTGTGAAGCATTTAAACAGCGCCCGGTACATAGTAAAGACTAGGAGTGTTTGTTAAATTAAAAAAACAAGTCAGCAAGGATGAGGGGAACAAGGTACCACCCAGGGCCCAGAACTATTCTTGGACATAAAGATGGCACATTCCTGGGTCACTTGGCAATGGTGGGTGGCCCATGTGTGGGCGGTCAGCATCTGTAATCCTGCCCCCTGCAATGTGGGAAGCTTGGGGTGTGGAGGGAGGGAATGGATGGGTATGTGCCAGGCACTGCACTAAGCATTCATGCCCTACAAGCCATCTTAGGAGATGGGTTACCATCCCATTTTTCAGAGGAGGTGGTCAAGGTTCACAGAAGCAATCAACATGTCCACAGCTGGCAAGGTGGCTCATGCCTGTAATCCTAGCACTTTGAGGGGCCAAGTCAGGAGGTTTGCTTGAGGCCAGGAATTTGAGACTGGCCTGGTCAACATGGCAAAACCGCATCTCTACAAAAAAAATAGAAAAATTAGGTGGGCGTGGTGATGCACACCTGTAGTTCCAGCTACTTGGGAGGCTGAGGTGGGAGGATCACTTGAGCCCAGGAGGTGGAGGTTGCAGTGAGCTGAGATCGCACCATTGCACTCCAGCCTGAGCCACAGAGCCAGACTCCATCTCAAAAAAACAAAAAAACAAAACAAAAAAAACCATGTCCAAGAAAGCACAACCATGAGAGGCAGGGCAGGATTTATTGTTTATTATCATTATTATTTTTTGTTTTCTTTCTGTTTATTTGTTTTTGTTTAGGGCAGGATTTAGATCCAAAACCTAAGCCCTGCACACCAGAAAATCCGACTCCTTGTGCCCCTCCCACACCTACTCAGGGCAAGAAGGCCACAGGGCCACACCCCCAGATGCAAAAGGGAGAAGGGTGCCTTTCTCTGCTCCCACTCAGCTTCCCCTCAACCTCCAGGAAACCTGAGGGCTCTGAGTATGGCTGTTTGTGTTGAGGACCCAAAACCCCTTTTCTGGGGCCAGGCTGTGAGTCTAAGGTGAGATGATAACAGGGAGTTTCTGAAGCACTGCACCCCTACTCTGGGGAGCAGGAGGCCTCCTGACCGTGACCCCAGTCTCCCACCCTGCTTGGCTGCTCACCTCCCGCCTCAGCAGCAGCGCCGCTGTGCCAGCCCTGAGCCAGAGCCAAGCCCTCCTTGGACGCGGTTGCCTGGTAACCAGCCCTAAGTGACGGCAACCCCAGCGGGCCGCTAATGAGGGGGCAGCAGCCAACCACCTGGCCAGACCCAGCCGCCTCAGCCAGCCTTAGAAAGGCTTCCACGATAGTCCACCTGGCCTGCCCACGGTAGGAGGGGAGGGTGCCCCAGCACTGGGGGAGGGGACATGGTGGGGCGAGGAGGAGCTGGGTTGGCGGCCCCCCAAAACCTTTGAACTGGGGATCTGGGGGAAGGTGACTCCCGATGAAGGCCAAGTCTTGACCAAAGCGCGGGGCGGGCACTGGGCTGGAGTCAGGGCTGCGGGTAGGGCCCGCCCAGGCCCCAACCACCACCCTGGAAACAGCTGTGATGGCTCTGCCCAGGGCGCCGAGGCCGGGGGAAGGGATCTCCAGGGAGAGGCCCTGGATGGGGAGAGGAGGTGATGAGGGCGGCTGGCAGGAGTCCAGGCTCTGGGTAGGGGAGCAGCTCCTGCAGCACGGGGGGAAATGCATCAGCCCCTCCCCTCTTTGCAGGGGTCCCCCTCCTCTTCTCCTCACACCCCTACCCCAGGCTGATGGCCTCCAAGGAGGGGGCTGCAGGCAGCATGAGGCAGGCAGGTGGAGCTCGGCCAGGTGTTTTTCCATCCTAGGTCTGACAGGGGAGGAGGGGATAGAGAGGCAGTGGCAGAACCAGGAGGAGGCCTGGTGTATGGACTGGACAGGCCTTCAGGAGACCTGGGTTCTGGAGCTGCCTGCCTGAGACCCCAGGCAGGTAGCTGGCCCTCTCTGCGTCTCATTTGCCCCATGTTGAAATAGGGGCTAGAAACAGGCTACTGCTGGTGTCCTGGGTCCTAAGAGGCTGAGACGGGGAGTCCAGGGGCTTTAGGGGAGCTCTGGGCAGCAGAGGTTCCTTCAGGCTCTCATCTCTGGGCCTGGGTAGGTTTTTCTGCCTTTCTTCCCTTTCAGATGTGCATAGCCCTCCTTCACCATTAAACCTTCACTCCATAACTACAGCCTGACTCAGCCCTGTGGTGGGCACTAGAGTCACAGCCCAAGGGCAGACCCAGGCCCCACCCTGGAAGAGGTCCCTCCCCAGTATAAGAGAGAAGCCAGGCTTATAGCCAGGCAATTTCAGCACAGGAAGCTGAGGCTAAAATGGAGGTGAGTTCAAAATGCTCTGGGACCTCAGAAGAGATGACCAAACCCAGCCTGGAGCTCAGGGAAGGCTTCCTGGAGGAGGGATCCCAAGCCGATTTTTTTTTTTGACGGGGGCTGTGTCAGGTCTTGGTTTGTTGCCCAGCCTGAAGTGCAGTGACCTGATCACAGCTTAGTGCAGCCTGAACCTCCTGGGCTCAAGTCATCCTCCCACCTCAGCCTCCCGAGTAGCTGGGACCACAGGTGTGTGCCACCATGCCTGGAAATTTTTTTTATTTGTCCTGCTCTGTTGCCCAGGCCAGTCTTGAACTCCTGGGCTCAAGTGATCCTCCAGCCTCTGCCTTCCAAAGTGTGGGAGGATTTCAGGCATGAGCTACCGTGCCCAGCCTCTGAGCTGAGTCTGAAAGGCCAACAGGAATTAGCAAGGAAAGCCAGACAAGCAGCCAAGGCAGATGGAGAGCATATTCCAAAGTGTGGAGGTGTGACCTGAAAGGAACCTTGGCTGGCTGGGGAGACAATCGGGACAATCAGGAGACATGCCAAAGCCAGACTGGGGAACTGGAACCTGAGGCCACCGAGGAACCACAGGAGACTCCAAGCTAGGAGTGACCGGTTACACACAGGCATTAGAAAGCTCTCTGTGGAGGCAGGCAGGGAATATTTCCTGCTGCCTCCAGCACCAAGCCTCCAATGGCTGGGCTTTGGCACAGCCAGAGTGAGACATCACAGTCCCCCCCTCCCTGAGTCCAAGGCCCAGCAGTCCTGTTCCTGAGGCCTCTCTCCCACTGTGGCAGACCCACCTCCACACAAGCACCCATCTCACTGGAGGCAATGGTCTGTTTGAAGCCTGGGAGACAGCACTGGGACCCATCTACTGCTGTACCCTCAATGCCAGCATAAAACCTGGAGATCCTCAATATGTGACAGAAGGAAGGATGGGAAGGAGAGAAGGAAAATCAGCCCACCCTAGCTGTTAATTAAAGAATGTTCCCCTCCTCTGCAGGAGTCCCTAAATCTTTTTTTTTTTTTTTTTTTTTTTTTGAGATACAGTCTTACTCTGTTGCCCAGGCTAGAGTGCAGAGGCACGATCTCAGCTCACTGCAACCTCTGCCTCCCGGGTTCAAGTTCCTCTGCCTCCTGAGTAGCTGGGATTACAGGCTTGTGCACCATGCCGGCTAATTTTTGTTTTTTAGTAGACATGGGGTTTCCCCATGTTGGCCAGGCTGATCTCAAACTCCTGACCTTAAGTGATCTGTCTGCCTCAGCCTCCCCAAGTGCTGGGATTAAAGGCGTGAGCCACTGCACCTGGCCAGGGTCCCTAAATTATTGTGCATGGTTTGTTGTTGTTGTTGTTGTTGTTTTCCTAGCCAACAGGCCAGCAGATGCAGTCTTCCAGAGGGGCCCAGTGAAAGCCTGCCCCACTTCTCAGTCTTAGGGCCTCCCCTCTGAGCAAGTCTGATTTTCTCTGGAGGTAGTGGGGGGGGGGCTCCTTCGGAGTTTGAGAGGCTCCCACTCCCTGCTCACTGTGGCAAAGCAGCAGGCTGCCCCCACCCCCAGCCTCCCCTGCAGAAGGATGCCCTGATTTCCCAGTACACCTTTGGAAAGTGGCTCACCTCACCCCAATCAGACCCCATGGCCCTGTCCTCCTGCCCAGGTCCTATCCAACCCAGATCCCTACGACGCTCTGAGTCCATGCTGATGGCCACCGACGCAGCCCAGCTTCAGGCTCTGCTTGCTTTAGTGGCAGCGGGTTCCTGAACAACAATTGTGTCTGAGCCCTCCCTCAGAAGGCACTGGAGTCACACAGTCCTCCAGGGACAATCCTAGCTCTCCATTTCTTGGCTATGTGGACAAGTGGCCTCCCCCTCCTCCTCTAGAGCTACTGTTACTGGTTGAGGGTAGTTGCCCAGGTTCTTGGTGTTTTGAACAAAGAATTGGACAAAAGGCACAAGCAAGGCAGCAAAACCTCCAGCAAGAGGCTCAGGAGCACTGGTTACAGAATTTTCTGGGGTTTATATACCCTCTAGAGGTTTCCCATTGGTTCACCCTAGTAGCCCGCAACCAGTCTGATTGGTTGAAGAGTAGGCCCACGACCAGTCTGATGGGTTGTGGGAGGGGACCAATCAGAGGCACTTTCACTTTCCAGCTGCCACTCAGCAACTGCCATACAGCAAAAGGAGGGATTGCAACTACCATGCAGCAACTGCCACCTTGAAAGAGAAGGGGTTGAAGAGTAGTCTCTAATATCCAGCACCAGTTGGCCTTAGGTTCCCTGCCTCCAGACCTTATTCTCCTGCAACATCACCACTGGTTGAAACCTTACTACAAATCAAGCTGTGAAGTCACTGGAGCCCTGTAGCAAGTCATGTCCCTGTAACGATGAGTGAGCTGACAGCTAAGGGGCTTGCCTAAACCACACAGGTCAGTGGATCAAACCCCAGTGTGCTTGTTTTTCAAACTCCTGCTTCACATGGTTGTAAGAATTAAATGAGATATCAATTATCTCATAGATAGATGTAGGAGCTCCATGCCCAACCACTGACACTGAGATATCCCTCTTCTGGGAGGGGAGAGGGAGCAATGAGGAAATAGAGGGCAGACAGGGCAGCAAAAGCAGTCTGAGGGGCCTCTCAGGAGGAGGCAGTGTCTATAGCTGGGTCTGCAAGGATGGAAGGGGGCATTGCTGTGTGTCTTAGGGAAAGGTGCCATACTTCTCTGTTTCTCTGCCTGTAGAGTAGCTGCCAGCTCCACCTCACACGCCTCTGGGGTAAGGGAGCTCCTCCAAGGAAGGAGATTTGTAAATAGCAGGTGTGGCCTCATTAGAGGGAGCACCATTGTTATTAATAACCATAAAATAATGAGCCAAGGCTCAGGATCTGACCTTTTACCTTGCATTCCCAGGGAGCCAGGAGAAGTAACTGGTGTCTGGGGTGGGGTGGAAGAGGAGTGTGTGTGTTGCATGTGAAACCTGGGCAGACCTGGTAGTGGTAGGGGTGGGGTGGGGTGAGGAGAAACCTCCTTTTTACACTACTTTCTTTTTCTGTGTTAACTCTACTCGGGAAGGCCATATAAGGACAGACTGTTCCCTTCTCTGCTTTTATTCACACTATTCCTTCTGATTAGAATATCACATCTCTGCAAGACCACAGTCCTGATAAAAACATGTGGAGCTCCCAAGGCAGTTATCTTGTATTGATTGCCTTCATTCTCTATAGGCTCCACAGACGACCATTGGTATAGGGAGGAAAATGGCAAGGTCAGAGCCTTCAGGAGCTCATAGTCTGGGGACACTCTATGAGCTTCCTAGAGTTTACAAGCAATTTCCCACACTGATGTTGGCCGACACCACAGTTGCTAAGGCAGGTCTCTCACTGCTCTCTTTTTGCAATGAGGAAATTTGAGGCTCAGAAAGTTACAAAGTAGCTCCCAAGTCCCCCAGTGTTGCCTCCTTTCTTTGGCAGTCCAGGGTGTTTAAGTGATGCCGAAAAGGAACAGACATACTGTTGAGTGGGGCTGCTGTCTGTGTGAGGTGTCCCTGAATTAACACAAGGCTCAGCAGTGCTGCAAATCTTAACTAGCCCCTATTGTCTCAGATGGCTGCTCATCCTGGCCTGGTTGGGTCCCATTCCAACTCAGGGAAATTGGAGAGACCACTGGGCACATCTGAGCACACAACCTGAGCGTCCTAGACCCCAAGGGCTAAGAACACAGCCCTCCTTCCACCCCACTAGCAGGGCAGGGACAGGGTCGCCGGCGCGGTGCTGGAGGAGGAGGGGCGAGCAGAGTTGGTAAGGGGCAAGAGCAGTGAATAGCCTGTGACCCACGGGGCTGCAGGCTGGGGTTAAGGGTATGATGTTTGGTGTGACCCCTAGCTGTCCGCGCGCAGATGTATTTTCCTGACGCTAAGGTGTGGCTGCAGGAAGGGCCCCAGGCTGGGAGCCAGGAGATCTGGGATTTTGTCCCAGCCTGCTGAGTGACCTGGGGAAAGCCCCAACCCTCTCTGAGTGTCTCTCCCTATATGGTTCCCGACTCTATTTCTAAGGTCCTTCCAGCTCTAAATGAAGTGACACTCTCCCCCCACCTCCCGCCCCCGCTCCCCAGGTGACCTCACTTCCTCTTCCTACCTGCAGCGCCCAGCCCCTCCTCCTCAGCTCCAGCTGCTCCAGCTGCTTGGTGATTCTTGGAACCTGCAGCCTCAGGCCTGCTCTGCTCTGACTCAGGCAGAACTTACCTTTGGGATCTGAGGGGATAGTTTTGCTTCCTGAACTGACTCTGACCTTTGGCATGTCCACCTGCCCTCCCCTTCCCCACTGCACACACCTGTTCCCAGTCCTCGGGCAGCCCAGGAGCTTTGACGGACCAGATTCCTTCAGATAAAGTAGCAGCACTGAGGGGCTCTCATCCACAGTCAGATGGTCCAGGGAGAGGCACCCCTTCCCCCCTCCAGCCTCTCTTTGCAACACACCATTCCTGGCTGGGCGTGCTCCACTCCACCCGCCTCACAGGCTGCGCGCCGGTCTGCCTCATGGAGGGAGCCTCACCCAGGCTACTTTGCAAATCCCCCAGCACCCTCATTCCCGGCCCTTCCAGGGATGGGGAGATTGCCGCTTCCTCAGACAGTTGCCGTGCCCTAGCAGGAGTCTGGAAATTGCCCTCATTGACTACAACGAAATGAGGGGACAGATCAAGGAGCCCTTCTCCAGCCCCCTAATACACTAGTGCTGGACAGGGGAATGCCGGCACCTACTGTGTGCCAGATATTTGCAAACACCCTTTTCCAAGCTTACACCGCCACCGCTATGAGGAAGACAGAATTCCACTTTTGCAAATAAGGAAACTGAAGCTCAGCGAGGTCAAGCGGCAGGCGCAAGGTCACATCGCAGCAAGTGGCAGTGAATGAACGATCTAAGGGAGCGACTGAGGGCGCGTGACGGGCCCGCCGGGCACTGGTTCGTGGAGCGTGGCGGTTACGGGCGGTGCACAGCGCCCGCAGCCCGCTCCTAGCGAGCTGGCCCCACGCGGGCCCTCCGCACCCGCTGCCCACAGGAGCGCAGGCTCCCAGAGGCGGGGCCGGGCTCTTCCCCAACCCTGCGAGTCGCCCCGCCCCCGCCCCGCCCCCAGCCCGCCCCGCCCGGGACCGCAGACGGCGCCCAGCGGCGGCGCGAACGGCAGCTAGGAGGGTTGCTCCGGGCTTGGTGCTCACTGCGACTTCCCGCGCAGGGCCCGGTCGGACTAGGACCCGCGGCCTGAGAGACGCTGGAGGATGCGGACGCGGAGGCCGCCTGGGGTAGCGGCGGCGGGAGTCCTGGCGCTCTGCAGGTAGGAGCTCGCCCGCTCGGCGGGCGCGGAAACTTGGGCCGAGTTTGCGGGCGGCGCGTGGAGAAGGGGCGGGTGGCGCTGCCCCAGGGCGCCCCTACCGGCCGGCCCGGGGACTGAGGGAGCCGCGCCTGGGCCGAGGGGCTGCGGCTTCTGGCTGCCGCCGGCCCCCCGCGAACGGGCTGCGGGGCAGGGGTGGCGCTGCTGCTCCGACTTTCCCCGGACTTCGAGGCTCCCGGGACCTGGTAGCGCTCTGGGTCTCCGGCGGAGAACAGGCGCCTAATCTGGCGAGAAGGAACTCAGGCCGAGCCCTCCGGCCTCCCGCAGGACCCTGTCACGTGGATTGCTGGGGGATGGCGTTGAGGAGGAGGTATGGGGACAAGGGGGCACTGGAGGGCTGGGCCTGGGGGCGCCGGGCGCTGAGGCACCGCGGGGCCCTGGACGCGCCCTGCTGGGATGGGACGGCCCTGCGGTTTTCTCGCCACCTCTTGACTCACCCCTCTGGCCTCAGCCCAGGCTGGCAGGATCGCCCTGAGGCGGAGGCTGCCCGGACCCTGTCGCCGGGCCGCCCCTGTTCCGGGACCTCCCGCCGGTCCGCGGGCGTCGGTGTGGGGCTGGGTGCGCGGGCCTGCCTGCGTGCACACGTATGCCCGGGGCCCGAGCGAGGGGAGAGCGCAGTTCTGGAATGGCGTGTGTGCAGATGTGGGCCATGCACGTACGTGCAGGCACGGGTTTGCATGCGTGGCGGCGGCCTGTGTGTCAGCCTGCTGGATGCACGTGCGTCTCGGCGCCGCCGGGAGGGGCTTGGGGACACCCGGAAGCCCGCCAGGTCGGGTGCGGCGGCAGCCTCTAAGCGAAATCGGCTGTGGGCCCTAGGCACCCGAGTTATGTTCAGGGCGGGTAGGGGAAAGGGGATAGAGACCGATCCCGTTCGCTTTCCCCTCCACTGGAGACTTTGGGCTGCCCCAGGTTGGGTTGTAGCGTCTGGAGAGCCCAGAGCCTCAGGTAGGGAAGGTGGGAGATGGGAGAACACTCGGCGAGGCCCGATCCAGCCCTCCGGGAGAATCCAGATGCTGGCCACAATTGGGCAGGAATCGCGCTCTTCTTCCTGGTCTTTGCCATCGGCCATCCCGAGGCCCCTAGAAGGTGAAAGTGGGAACAGAGAGCTGTTTCCTTTCCCACTGCGTAAGGCAGGGGCGGTGCTGCGGTGGTGGGCTCTTCTCCGGGACCCTGGCCTGGGTGCTGGCTGAGTGACGTTGGAGCTTGGCAGAGAGGATCAACAGAGCTGCCTCTCAAGGATGATCTGAGCCTGCTCCCTGGGCACCTGCCCTTTCCGAGAGCTTGCTTGCCTCAGTATGGGTCAGGGAAGGAGGCACCTACATTTTGGCAACTGTCTTGAGTGGAGGAGTCGTCTCCCTTGAGAGAGTGTATCCTGGGCTTTCCACCTCCTACTGGCAGGAGATCAGGTCATTCCCACACCCCTAAGAGTTCTCTGTTGGCTCCCTGAAGCCGCCACCCCTCCCACAAAGACTCCTGAGGGTCCCAGGTGGTTTCCTGTCTATTGACTGGGTCCCAGATAGGGGCCTCAAGAAGTCTCCAGAGCAAAGGGTATTCCATGGGCTGAGACCCAGGAGAGAGGGACTCCTGGGGTGGGGGTGGGGACCCAGCAGACCCCAAGAAGCATGTGGGGGAGGTGAGACCAAAGTCAGTACTTAACCCAGAGTGTCCCAAGGGTGGAGGTGGGGAGGATCCACACTTCAAAACCCTACAGTTCCTTCTCACAGCATTGCTGTGGAGTGAGATGGGGGCTTTCACCCCTCGATAGCAGGTTTCTATCATAGGACACTGCTGTTGGGACTGTCACCTGTGTCCTAATGGCCCCTCTGTGTCTTCTCTAGGCTGGCCTGAGGTGTGGGGTTCTGTCCAGGAGATGAACCAGCTTGCTTTCTGGGTCTGCCTTGGTGGAAGTGGGCATTGGCCCCCACACTAGCCTTGTGTTTTCTAACCCCAAAATGTGCCGGTCTAACTCAGCCTGTGGCTGTCATTGGCTCCAACCAGAAGAGGCAAGGAGAGGGCTGGTCCTTGCTTGCCAGTCACTGAAACCTGTGACACTTTGCCCTAATCATAGCAAGATTGAGCTAGGTGGTCCTTTCTAAGCTACTGAGAGTTTCCAGGAATAGGGTGCTGGCTGGGGGAGGTAGAGGTAGGTCAGTGTGGCCCCAGAAGACAGGCTTCAGATGAGCCCCTAACGGGTTACTGGGTGCCTGCTGCCCTGAGGGGCCTCAGTCCCCATCCTTCCTTGGTCTTGTCTTAGAGCTTTGTCTTTTTTCAGCACATAGTTTTTCCATCAATACAATGGGAGTAGTGGCTAAGTAGCACTCTGGCCCCTGGGGCCTCCCTCCCTGGACTTTTTTCTTTTCTTTTCTTTTCTTTTTTTTTGTTTTGTTTTTTGTTTTTTGTGTTTTTTTGAGGTGGAGTCTCACTCTGCTGCCCAGGCTGGAAGTGCAGTAGCACAATCTTGGCTCACTGCAACCTCTGCCTCCTGAGTTCACGCAATTCTCCTGCCTCAGCCTTCAGCGTAGCTGGGATTACAGGCATGCACAACCATGCCTGGCTAATTTTTTTGTATTTTTAGTAGAGACAGCGTTTCACCATGTTGGTCAGGTTGGTCTTGAACTCCTGACCTCAAATGATCCGCACACCTCGGCTTCCCAAAGTGCTGGGATTACAGGTGTGAGCCACAGCACCTAGCCACCTCCCTGGACTTTCACACACGCCCCTGACGCTGTCTTGGCCCCACCCTGCCATGTGCCTAGGAATCGCCATCTGCAGCTTGGGGGCTGGGGGTGGATCCAGGCTCCTCATGCTCTGGGACCTTCCTGCTGGTGCTGCAGCACCATCTGCTGGGCTGCCCTGACTCCTGCGGAGGGGGAGGAGTGGGGCGAGAGGGGTGTGGCTTGTACAGACTGATGTCCCCAGTTACCTCTCCTAGGGGACTGCTCTCCAGAGCCAAGTCCAGTATCTCAGCATTGGCTTTGGGCCTAGGGACCTGGGCTGGAGGCCCGACTCTGCCATTTTTGACAAGATCAGCAGGTCAGAGGAGTGTCACAAGAAATCTGTGAATTTGTAGACAATACTCAGATTCCATGTTTTGGCTGCAGTGGGCATCACTGTGGCATCTTGGAATAGGACCCTGTGGTGGGAGGCAGGAGGCCTGCTTCTCGTTGTGTCTATTTCATTGGTGACTTTGGGATGAATGGGTCTCCTCATCTGTATATGAGGGGGTGGCGGCAGGGTATGTCAAGTGACCCTGAGACCCAGTGCCCCTACAAATTCTGAAATCCCAAGAAGGAGGGGATCTTGGGAGTTGTATGGAGGAAAATCGAACAGAAGGGGCTCCTGGAGTGGGGATGGGTGGGGGTTCTGTGTAGAATAATTCATTAAACAAAGGGTTCTGCAGCTTAAAATATACGAGTTGGGGTCAGGAGCAGTAGGTGGTTCATGCCTGTGATTTCAGCATTTTGGGAGGCCAAGATGGGAGGATCACATGAGTCCAGGAGTTCAAGACCAGCCTGGGTAACATAGTAAGACCCTGTTTCTACATAAAATACTAAAATGAGCCGGGTGTGGTAGCAGGCACCTGTGGTCCCAGCAACCTGGGAGTTGGGAGAATCACTTGAGCCCAGGAGGTTGAGACTGCGGTGAGCCAAGTTCATGTCATTGCACTCCAGCCCGGGCAACAGAGTGAGACCCTGCCTCAAAAAATACATACACGAGTTGGAAACCTCTGTCACGTGGCTCATGCACTCACAGTCTTAACTGAGCATCATTTAAGCGCCAGGTTCTTAGGTGTAGCCGTGAGCTGATGAGAGCAGCAGCCCTCTGTTGCTTTGCCTGTAGCCTGTTTTCCTGACAGCCCCTGCCTTTCTCTCTCTATCCCAGGTCAGAAGTTGAGTAGCAGGGGCCTAGGAGGGCTCGAAGCCTTCACAGCGATGGCAGAGAAGCGACCCCTGAGAACCCTGGGGCCTGTGATGTATGGCAAGCTGCCCCGCTTAGAGACAGACTCCGGGCTCGAGCACAGCCTGCCCCACTCTGTTGGTAACCAGGATCCCTGCACCTACAAGGGGTCCTACTTCTCCTGCCCCATGGCAGGTACTCCTAAGGCCGAGTCTGAGCAGTTGGCGTCCTGGACCCCATACCCACCCTTGTACTCTACCGGTATGGCAGGACCCCCACTTCAGGCAGACAACCTGCTGACCAACTGCCTGTTCTACCGCTCGCCAGCAGAAGGCCCTGAGAAGATGCAGGACTCCAGCCCTGTTGAGCTCCTGCCCTTCAGTCCCCAGGCTCACTCCTACCCAGGCCCACCACTGGCAGCACCCAAACCTGTCTACCGCAACCCTCTGTGCTATGGGCTCTCAACTTGTCTGGGGGAAGGAGCAGTGAAGAGGCCACTGGATGTTGACTGGACTCTGGCGACTGGGCCCCTGTTGCCCTCAGCTGACCCACCCTGCTCTCTGGCCCCAGCTCCTAGCAAGGGCCAGACTCTGGATGGCACCTTCTTGCGGGGGGTGCCAGCTGAGGGGTCCAGTAAAGACTCCTCAGGGAGCTTCTCCCCATGCCAGCCCTTCCTGGAGAAATATCAGACCATCCACAGCACGGGCTTCCTGGCCTCCAGGTACACAGGTCCTTACCCTAGGAACTCCAAGCAAGCAATGTCTGAGGGGCCCTCAAGTCCTTGGACCCAGCTGGCCCAGCCCCTGGGGCCACCCTGTCAGGACACCGGGCCCACCCACTACCCACCACCCCACCACCCACCACCCCACCCTCCACAGGCCCTGCCTTGCCCTCCAGCCTGTCGCCACCCAGAGAAGCAGGGCAGCTACAGCCCAGCACTCCCACTGCAGCCTCTGGGGGGCCACAAGGGGACCGGGTACCAGGCTGGTGGGCTGGGCAGCCCCTACCTGAGGCAGCAGGCAGCCCAGGCACCTTACATTCCCCCACTGGGGCTGGACGCTTACCCCTACCCCTCTGCCCCTCTCCCAGCACCCTCTCCAGGCCTCAAGCTGGAGCCGCCTCTCACTCCACGGTGCCCATTGGACTTTGCCCCCCAGACACTGAGTTTTCCTTATGCCCGGGATGACCTCTCTCTCTATGGAGCATCCCCTGGGCTTGGAGGGACACCACCTTCCCAGAACAATGTGCGGGCTGTGCCACAGCCTGGTGCCTTCCAGAGGGCATGCCAGCCTTTGCCAGCGAGCCAGCCCTGCTCAGAGCCTGTGAGGCCTGCACAGGAAGCCGAAGAGAAGACCTGGCTGCCCAGCTGCAGGAAAGAGAAGCTCCAGCCCCGGCTCAGTGAGCACTCTGGGCCGCCCATCGTCATCCGAGACAGTCCAGTTCCCTGTACCCCCCCAGCACTGCCCCCCTGTGCCCGGGAGTGCCAGTCTCTTCCACAGAAGGAGGGCGCAAGGCCACCCAGCTCTCCACCAATGCCTGTCATTGACAATGTCTTCAGCCTGGCCCCCTACCGTGACTATCTGGATGTGCCGGCACCCGAGGCCACAACTGAGCCTGACTCTGCCACAGCTGAGCCTGACTCAGCCCCAGCCACCAGTGAAGGTCAGGACAAAGGCTGCAGGGGGACCCTGCCTGCCCAGGAGGGCCCCTCAGGGAGTAAACCCCTAAGGGGCTCACTTAAGGAGGAGGTAGCCCTGGATTTGAGTGTGAGGAAGCCCACAGCAGAGGCCTCCCCTGTCAAGGCTTCCCGTTCTGTGGAGCATGCCAAGCCTACTGCAGCCATGGATGTGCCAGATGTGGGCAACATGGTGTCAGATCTGCCAGGCCTGAAAAAGATAGACACAGAAGCACCAGGCTTGCCTGGGGTGCCAGTGACCACAGATGCCATGCCAAGGACCAACTTCCACAGCTCTGTGGCCTTCATGTTCCGAAAGTTCAAGATCCTCCGTCCGGCACCTTTGCCTGCAGCCGTGGTCCCGTCCACGCCCACCTCAGCTCCTGCTCCCACACAGCCTGCACCCACCCCCACATCTGGGCCCATTGGACTGCGGATTCTCGCTCAACAGCCCTTGTCTGTGACCTGCTTCAGCCTGGCACTGCCCAGCCCTCCAGCCGTAGCTGTGGCCTCCCCTGCCCCTGCTCCAGCTCCATCCCCTGCTCCGGCTCGAGCTCAGGCTCCAGCTTCAGCCCGGGATCCAGCTCCAGCTCCAGCTCCAGTTGCAGGCCCTGCTCCAGCATCTACTTCAGCCCCAGGGGACTCCCTGGAGCAGCATTTTACAGGACTACATGCGTCCCTGTGTGATGCTATTTCTGGCTCCGTCGCCCACTCTCCTCCAGAGAAGCTTCGCGAGTGGCTAGAGACGGCTGGGCCCTGGGGCCAGGCTGCGTGGCAGGACTGCCAGGGTGTGCAGGGGCTGCTGGCCAAGCTGCTGTCTCAGCTGCAGCGCTTCGATCGCACCCACCGGTGCCCCTTCCCCCATGTGGTGCGAGCTGGCGCCATCTTCGTGCCCATTCACCTGGTGAAGGAGCGGCTCTTCCCTCGGCTGCCACCCGCTTCTGTGGACCATGTGCTGCAGGAGCATCGTGTGGAGCTGCGGCCCACCACGCTGTCGGAGGAGCGGGCACTGCGGGAGCTCGCCCTGCCAGGCTGCACCTCACGCATGCTGAAGTTACTGGCGCTGCGCCAGCTGCCGGACATTTACCCCGACCTTCTCGGCCTGCAGTGGCGCGACTGTGTACGCCGCCAGCTGGGTGAGCATGGGGCAGCCCCAGTGGCCACCGGAGCTGTGTGAGCAAGTGACAGGTGTGTGTGCTGTGTGAGTGCGTCACAGCTGGGGCTGAGTGATTCCAAGGACTCCTGCCCGGGTAGGGGGCTTTAGGATGAGCTCTAGGTACCCCCACCCCTTGACCCTCCAGACAATCAGTGAGCACCTTCATAGCCTCTTTTGTAGGCTTCTGAACATGCCAGCTGCTCTGTCCCCATGGAAACTCCTCGGCCTCCCCTGGTGCTGCACCTTCTTGGATTCCCTCCTCCTCTGCCTGTGCCTTCTCCATCTTTGGTGCAGTGTTTCCGGCACTCTGGTTAGGCCCTGTTTTCTAGCTGAGATAATTTCCCTGATCTCCAGCCTAGCATCCCCTTTGTGAGCTCTAGCCCTAAATAACCCACTGCATGCTGGGCCTCAGCCCCTGGGTCTCTCTCCCACACTGAACTCATCCCAAATCACACTCCCGAGCCTTCCCCTCAGCTCACTTCCCACAACCAGTTCTTTTCCATGTCAGTGAAGGGCACCCCCTTTCACAAAGCTCCTCATGCTCTAGACCTGGTGAGGGCCACAGCTGCCTTTTTGAACGTGTAGTTTTGCAGTCCTCCCCGGCCCTTACATACACAGAAGTGTGCGCATAAGTCGCATTGTTTTGTGGTTTGCTTTTCCTCTACTAAATGATGTGCCTGCTGTTCTCCAGCTTGTTTTCTTTTAATGTCCTGGAGGACCACACAACTGCCGAAGTGTTGTGTGGCGTGTATGATCACACTTCTTCAGCTAGGGATCTGGTGATGGGACCAAGTGGATTCTGTTATTGCCCCTCCTGCGTCAGTACACCTGGCATTGCAGCCTGAGGCCCCCTCTAGTTTTTCTCTCCCTGCTGCCCCCAATTCCACCCTCTCCCATTTCCACTGCCCAGCCTCTTCCCTGTAGAAACTGTTCCTAGTTCCATCCCCGTAGTGGCAGCCTTGCCCCGGGCCCTTACCTGGTTGGGATGGGGAAGGGCCTGTGGCAGTGAGGTGCAGATGAGCTTAGGGGCTGGCTGACCAGAATCCCTGATCCCTGAGTACTTACAAAATTGGAGCAGATGCCTTAATGGGATGCAAAGGAAATCCAGACTCAGGCGATCTGTTACTGAGTGAGGGTCCCACATCACTCAGGGCTGGGCTGCCCAGCTCAGTCCTCTCCCCATACAGTTGGGCTGTCTGGGGCCCAGAGAGGGTCAGGTCTGTTTCTCCTGGGCTGCCTGATCAGCAGTGGAGTCTGGGCACTCCACACAGTCCGAGGTGCTCTGACTGGAGCTTGCAACAATCGGGGGGCCTGGGAAGCAAGTGATTGAGACCAGGCTTCTGGCTTCTGGCTGAATTTTGTTGCCCCTGTCCTCACTCCCTCCCACCTTGGGGGCCGTTTTTCTCTGTGTGCCCCTAGACAGTTATCCCTGCCTTCCTTTGTTGTGGGTGGGTTCCTGTGCTCCCCCAGCATGGCTCTTAGGACAGTCCCTACCTGGGCTCGGCCTCGGGCTTGGGCTTGGTCTCTGGGGCTGGTATGGCAGAAACATGATGGCTGTCTTATATATGGCAGGGTCCTCTGTTCCCATGCCTCAGTTTTCCATCTGAGCAATGGGTATTGGACCAGGCCAATGGTTCCTGACCTGCTGAGCCCCTTTGCTCTCATCCTTGTACCCAAACAGCCTCTCCTGAGTGGTGCCCTCATCAGATAGAGTTCTGGTGTCACCTGGGGAGAAGCACATCTTTTTTGCTTGGATGGTCTGGCCAGTGGGCATGTGTGGGGAAGAGTTGTGATGCCAGCCTGACTTGGGGCAGAGCAGAAGCACTGTTTGGATGGCTTTGGAAGCCAGGAGGTGGGACCTGAGGGTATGGGGTCTGCAGGCTGACTATGTGTTCGTTTTCCAGGTGACTTTGACACTGAGGCTGGAGCTGTGTCCTCCTCAGAGCCCACTGTGGCCAGAGGTGAGCCAGAGAGCCTAGCCCTGGCTCAGAAGTCACCGGCCCCCAAGGTCAGGAAGCCAGGCAGGAAGCCACCAACCCCTGGCCCGGAGAAAGCAGAGGCAGCTGCTGGGGAAGAGTCCTGTGGTGCCTCCCCTACCCCTGCTACCAGTGCCAGCCCACCTGGCCCCACACTGAAGGCCCGCTTCCGCAGTCTGCTGGAGACCGCCTGGCTCAATGGCCTGGCTCTGCCCACCTGGGGCCACAAGTCCTCAAGACCAGACCAGCCCTCACCCTGCCCACAGCTGCTGGACAGCCAGAGCCATCACCTGTAGCACTGGTTGCCAGTGCTGTGTGTATAGCAGTCACTCTCCACCCTTCCCTTCTGCCTGCCCAGCTGCCCCGGGGCCACGAGTGGATGCTGGGGCTGTGGCTGCTCCCCTGGAGGGGTTCCATCTCTGACCCTGTGGCCCATTCAGGGTGGGCTGAAGAGCCCCTGAGCTTTTAACGTGAGGGTCTTTATTGGATAGGACTACTCCCTATTTCTTGCCTAGAGAACACACATGGGCTTTGGAGCCCGACAGACCTGGGCTTGAATCCCGGCTCGTGTTCTTGCTGCAGGACCTGGGCAAGAAACTTCACCTCTGCTGAGCCCTCATTCCCCATGTGTAAAATGGGACAACGCAACCTACCTCACAGGGTTGTTGTGGGGATGCTGCCTGATACATACCCTGTCACCATTTGGTCTCTGCTTCCTCTCTGGGACAGGGCCTAGAATTGGAGGCAGAGAACCTTCCTATAGAAAGTCTTCGTGTGTCCTAGGACTTGGCTATCGTAGAGTGGTACCTTAGGCAGTGGATGTGACTCACACTTTCAGGAGTCACCCCCCAGCATTTGGGGTTGGGTTGGCCCTACTCCAGCCTGGAGCTCCCTGAGGGAGCCTGCACTCCCTGCTCCCAATCCCCGCTACTGGTGCAGGGATGCAGCCTGGAGCTGGCGTCCTTGTTCTGGGCCTGCTGCTGCCGCCACCCCAGGAGGCCCCAGGCCTGTCCTGAATTGACATCAGTGCTTCCCTGAACTGCCTCCCCCACCCCTGGCATTATCCCAGGAAACTTATGTTTTCTAGAAGCTAAGCAGCTGCTGGGACTCAGGGACTGGTGCAGGTAGGCTGAGTGGCAGCTCAGTCCTAGAAGGTCTCTGAAGATCTGGACTGAGGACCCTGCTGCTCCCCAAGCCAGAGCCCATCAGCCAGGCCTGCTGTGAGCCACCTGCCTGTGGAGTGCTGAGCTCAACCAAAGGCTGGCAAGCTCTGGGCCTCATTTAAGGGATTCTGATGAGCCGATGGGCCCTGGAGGCAGCCCATTAAAGCATCTGGCTCGTTTTTGGAAGTGGGGCCTGTCCGTGTGTTTGGGGATGGTCGGTTTCATGTTCCGTCACTGTGTGCTTAGCCCTTTGCTCGCAGGCTGCTCTCCCTGCTCCCAGTCCAGAAGGTGCTTCTGCACCCTCGTGCAGATGGCTGTGGCTCTGTGGACCCCTCTCACACACATACTTGCTTGCTCTGGGAAAGCCCTCTCTCCTGAGACCCCGTGGGTCCTCGTGGTTGTTGGTCTGTGGGCTACTGCCTGGTGAGAAATGCTGGTCATTAGACCCAGCACGTGCCTCTCTCCCAGGGCCAGACATGTCTTTCATGGTCTGGGTAGAACTGTTACAGCCTCCCCATTGCTGGTGACCATGCATCCCACTGACCTTAGCTTGGAGGGTGGGGGGTAGTGTGCTGGGCCCACCCTCTGGAGACCCTGCCCCTGCTGGGCTCTGTTCCCCCAGAGGCTTGTTCTCAGGGCAGCTAAGGTGGCTTCCTGGGCCTGTCTTCCCACTCCCCCTGGGCCAGGGGCCAGTCCACTGGGGCTTGTTGGACCTGTGTGGCATCCTGGTGGTGGTCACTGAGCCCAGCTGCACTGTCCCTCCTGTGCCAGCCTGGCCTTAACACTAGGCTGGGATTTGGAGTGGCAGCTGCCATTGTCCCCTTCCATTGTTCATATAGGCCCAAGAAGAGCTACTGGGCTGTGAAGGGATAGGTAACCACAACACATTGTGGCTGCTGCAGTGACAACCAGGGTGGAGGGTCCTTGGGTCCCAGAAGAGGTGATACCTGAATTGGACCTTGAAGACAAATACAAAATCACATGCAAAGTGGGGTCTGGGTAGAGAGAGCCGCACGTGCAGAGTCTTGGTGAGTCTGGAACAGGAAAATCCCCAGGCGAGGCTGGAGCTCCCAGAACCAGAAGGGGCAGGAGCAGGGCTTGGAAGCCTGGCTAGAAATCCAGCAACCCAGGGACTCAGTCCCACAACCTGAAGAATGGGGATGTGAGCCACGTGGAATCATTTGACACTACTACAGGGAGGAAAGAATTGCAGTGGAGGTGGAGTTTCTGAACTCTGGGCCCCCCGGGCCCTGGGCAGCCATGGGCACCTCGTCAGCCCCATCAGTCACATCCATCTCATCGTCAGCACCTTAATGGAGTGAGCGCTTTATTCCTTTTCCTTCGGTCCTCCCTTCCCGCCGTCCTCTCCTCTCCCTCCCTCCCTTCACACCTGTGCCCCTGCTGTATGCCTGACACACATCTTACCAATGGTGACCAGGCAGAGTGAGGGCTCAGAACAGGTAGGGCTTCGCACCTGGGTTCCTCTGTGGCCCCAGAGGACTCAGAATGGTGCAGAGGCCAGGCTGGGGTGGTGGAGAGCCAGGCCTGGCTGGGGTGGTGGAGAGCCAGGCCTGGCTGGAGTGAGGTGCTGCTCTGCGACGACAGCTCTATGCAGGGAGGCCCTCTCTTCCCCTGCACCAGTCTGAGGGAAGAGACTTAACCCGGACTTGGGAGTTCTAGTCTAAGGAAGGAGATATGACAGTGTCCCAGGGACCCCCAGTCTGAGGTGGTGGGGGCAGGAACCAGACTCTGCCCAGGACTCCTAGTCTGAGGGAAGCAGCGCCCTACCTAGGGCTGCCACCCCTAGGGCAAGGAAGGAGTGAGGGCAGTGGAGTGTGCTGGCCCCGCCCCCACCCCCAAGGAGACCCGAGCAGGTCCACCTAAGAATGGGGCTCAGGTGAGACCCAGCCTCACCATGCCCCACCTGGCACCCTAGCCCAATACAAAAGGCAAAGGGCCTGGGCGGCCGGCTTTGCTGACAGGAGTGGAGCTAGCAAGGTAGTGAGTGGGAAGGATGACAGCCCTGTCTTGGGGGACTCGGAGAGTAGGAGCTGGGAAGGGGAGAGGGGCTCCCCGGACAGAGTCGTCTCATAGGGAACAGCACCTCCAGCCAGGCTCAGCACTACACCACCCCAACCTGGCCTTGGCAGGGACCCTGGTGCTGAGCCCTGCTTGTCCTGAGGCCTCATTCTGCCCTGTCGCTGCTGGCAACGCCCATGTCTGGGGTGTTGTGAAGACCCCAAAGCCCCTTCGTGACTCCAGACGCCTCTTTCCCTCTGTCATTCCTGGCCTCATTGATGTTCCTCTTCCCGTGAGTTTGTTCTCACTAAGGGGGTTGAGTCGAGCCAGCTGAGTCTTCCCTCAAACCTCCTTTGGGGATCCTCGGAGCAGGACCCGACTCTGACCTGACTGGCTGTGACTCTTCTCATCCTGCAGTTCCTGTGCCGGAGAAGGGAGGGCCGAACCCCGAGCCCAGCCTGCTGCCCCAGCTGGTGGTGGGAGGCGGGCCATGGGGACGCTTCAGCCCGTGGACATGGCCTTGCTGCTGGCTATATGCTGTGCTCTCTCCATGGGCAGCTCCCCAAGACCCCACCTCCAGACACCCCCTCAGTGGGGAGCACCCAGTGCAGCTCTTCTGGAGCCCTGTCTGCCCAGGAGATGGGAATGGGGGAATGCTGCCAAGCCCCTCCTGTCTCTCCTGCTGCACATGGACCCCTTTTCCAGGGTGGCGGGAAGCTGGGGGCCTCCTTGAGGACGCTGCTGCCTCCATGGGGACTCCAACTCTGGATGTTCTAGCTATGGCCCACTCAGAGGTGCCTGTGTCGATGAGCCCTCCACCCCTCCTGCCACAGCCCCTAGCCTCAGCCTGCCTGGCCACTGTTCCTCCCACACCCTGCCTTTGTCCAAGAGGGGCCCAGCTTCCAGGTCCCTGTGATTTCTTAGGACAATTGGAACCCAGGGTCCTAGGAAGGGGTGCTGAGCCCCTTGGAAGGACCTCAAGGGGCCTCTTCTATGATTTCTGGGTTTGTCAGGGGATCCCTTGCTTCTTCAAGAGCCTCTGATAAGGCATCTGCAGACCCTTTTCCTCCTCAGATTTGGATGATGGGACCAGGGCAGGCCCCTCCTGTATCCCCTAGCTCCTCTCCATATAATTCAGAACTTGGGGTCCCAAGCTTGGCTGCACCTCCTCAAACCCTGTAAACCTCTTAGACCCAATCCCACTACACCCTCAGAGGGGCTGGGGCTTCAGCTTGGGCCCTACTACACAGAAAGCTAGTGCTTCTCTGCCTCCTGCTGAGGCCTTGATGACTCCTCAGTGAGGCCTGGGCTCCCAGCTGCCTTAAGTAGGCAAGAGACCCTGGAGACAGCCGCTACTCAAGGAGGCCTGGGTTCTCCAACAGACCTGGGGAGCCCGCCTGCCTTTCCACAAGGCTTGGTACCTCCCTTGGGCTAGATCTGGGGTATCCCTGTCCATCCTTTGCTGCCACCCTTCTGCTTGCCACTTCCTGGCCCCGCGGACATACCAGGACCCTAGCTTCCAGAGGCCAGGTCTTCCCCAGCCCCACCCTGCCATCTGCTGCCACCCTGGCATCTCTAAGCCCAGCAGGCCACAAGAGTCCCTAGCTACTAAAAGACTGGTCCCCACCAGATCTGCCCAGTGCTTCCCCAGAGGCCAGTGAGCATGCCCAGCCCCCAGCCCTTGGTAGCCCAGCCCCTTCTGGGTGTTGCCAGCTTGGAGCTTTCTTCTAGACCTGTGGATGCTATCCTATCTGGAGTTAGCTTAGACCTCTCCCCTGGCCTCCTGGGCACTTCTGGCCCTAATCCCCTGGCAGCCTGTTTTCCAGCATTCCTGGGACTGGTGGGGAGGCCTCTGCCAGCTCAGCGGGTGCCCCTCTGCACACCAGACTTGCTTTCCTTGCAACCCCAGCAGGAAGCCTCATTCTTTGTGGCATCCAGCCCACCCCTCTGATGTGGGCCCTAAACCTCCAGCTGGCCCAGCCCTGCAGAGTAGGTGCCCAAAGGTATCTTCAGCGGTTCCTGTCATGCTGGTCTCCCCCCAGGGTCCCCTTCTGGAGCCTGGCACCATAGATCTCGGTGGGGTGGGGAGTACAGCTCAGTCTCCCTTCCCCCTCACACCACTCATAGGGGGCCCTGTCCACCAAGGCCCCTGACTGCTGGGGGACCCACACCCACAGCCCCCTTCTTTCTGACTGCTGGCCCTTCCCCAGCCTGGATACTCGAGCCCTGGGCAGAGGGGTAACGATCCCAGGACTGTCTTCGCAGGCAGAGAGGCCACTTGGTACCAGGCCCTGACTCCTTGGGCTGAGCTCAGCAGCAGGCGTGTCACCAAGGCCCCCTGGGCAGAAGGGGCTCAGCCCTGAGGGCCCATCACTCGCCACGCCTGCATGTTCCTGCTAGGCATCCACCCTGAGGACCCAGCTTCCCCCTGCCCCCAGCTGCTGGCAGCCCCGTCTTGACTCATCCAGGGTTCTGGAGGCCACGCCAGGAAGTAGCCTGCAGCTGGAAGAAGCACCTGGTGTTTCTGCGTCGCCCAGGCTGGAGTGCAGTGGCGCGATCTCAGCTCACTGCAAGCTCCGCCTCCCAGGTTCACGCAGTTCTCCCGCCTCAGCCTCCTGAGTAGCTGGGACTACAGGCTCCCACCACCACACCTGGCTAATTTTGTTTTTGTATTTTTAGTAGAGATGGTGCTTCACCGTGTTAACCAGGATGGTCTCGATCTCCTGACCTCGTGATCTGCCTGCCTCGGCCTCCCAAAGTGCTGGGATTACAGGCGTGAGCCGCCGTGCCCGGCCTCTGCATCTTTTTTTATGGAGCTGACTTGGGTGGGAGGGGCTACAGACTCAAGGGAGACTGCAGGCCACCCCTTCCCCACTCCCTGGCTGGGTGGGTTTCCAGCTCAGGAGTCTGATTGGAAGGATGGGACCGTCCTGTCACAGAGGCAGGTCTGAGTAGTCCAGGCCCAGTTTTACCCTCCAGCAGGGCCCCTTTCATTCATTTGTCCAGCTGGCTTTGCCCAAAGCACAAGTGATGTCTATGTGGACTGTGTCCCCTGTCCCCAAGGGGAGTCTGGCTCCAGTCCTGGCCTGGAACTCGGAGACCTTAGAATTAGAGGCCACATCTGGCAGGGTGGACCAGCCAGGGCAGGTACCATGTTGGCAGCCCCAGACCTGACACCACGGCTCCCGTGTGCCCTCTCCACTTCCGTCCTGCACATCACCTATACTACGTGCTGTCCCTGATGAATCCAAGCTGTCAGCTTCCATCAGCTTGGCTGGGAAGTCAAGCTGACCAAAGGGGAATGGTGCAGCCTGAGTTGGGGGCTGAGTAGGAATGGGCCTGGTGTGGGGTGGGGGAGGTGGGGGTGAGGCGGGTGTCTGGCACCTCTCTGCTTATCTTCCCTTCTCCCTTGCCCATAAAGGAGGCATCTTCTCCATGTCCCTCTGCCACCCTGGGGACATAAAATACTGCCCCAGGTCTGTCTTCCCTTGGACATAGCCCACCTACCTTCCTGTGGGACTCAGGGCTTTGTTTTGTCCTGTGGCCCACATGAGAAGCAGTTATCCCTGCTCTGCTCAGCTGAGAGAGGACAAACTGAGGCAGAGCAGGGGAACAACTCTGTCATAGTCTGGCTGTTAATGGCAGAGTCAAGACCACTGAGTGTCTAGTGGACCACCAGGTCCACTGGACACCAAACGTGGAGGCTGTATTAGCCCGTTTTGTGTTGCTCTAGAGGAATACCTGAGACTGGGTTATTTATTTATTTATTTATTTATTTATTTATTTATTTATTTTTGAGATGAAGTCTAGCTCTGTCACCCAGGCTGGAGTGCAGTGGTACGATCTCAGGCTGCTGCAACCTCTGCCTCCTGGGTTCAGGCTATTCTCCTGCCTCAGCCTGCTGAGTAGCTGGGATTACAGGCATGGACCACCATGCCTGGCTAATTTTTTGTATTTTTAGTAGAGGCAGGGTTTTGAGATAGAGTTTCGCTCTTGTAGCCCAGGCTACAGTGCAGTGGTGCAATATCGGCTCACTGCAACCTCCGCCTCCAGGGTTCAAGCAATTCTCATGCCTCAGCCACCCAAGTAGCTGGGATTATAGGCGTGCACCACCATGCCTGGCTAATTTTGTATTTTTAGTAGAGACAGGGTTTTACCAGGTTGGCCAGCCTAGTCTTGAACTCCTGATCTCAAGTAATTTACTCGCCTTGGCCTCTCAAAGTGCTGGGATTACAGGCGTGAGCACCGCTCCTGGCCCTGAGACTGGGTAATTTATAAAAGAAGTTTATTTGCCTCATAGTTCTGCAGGCTGTACAAGCATCTGCTAGGCTTCTGGTGAAGCGTCAGGAAGCTTTTACTCCTGGCGGGAGGCAAAGAGGGAGCAGACGTGTCGCATGGTGAGAGAGGGAGCAAGAGAGAGGAGGCATCAGGCTCTCCTGTGAACTAATAGAAAACTCACTCATTGAATCACTTGAACCCAGGAGGTGGAGGTTGCAGTGAGCCAAGATCGCGCTACTGCACTCCAGCCTGGGCTGTGAGTGAGACTCTGTCTCAAAAAAAAAGGAAGGAAAGAAAGAGAAAAAAAAATTAGAAATTAGAAAACTCACTCATTACCATGGGGAGGGCACTAAGCCATTCATGAGGGATCCCCCACCATGACCCAAACACCTCACACTATAGGCCCCACCTCCAGCACTGGGGATCACATTTCAACACGAGATGTGGATGGGACAAGTATCCACACTATGTCAGAGGCCTCCCTGTCATCAGAGTCTTCTGTCCTCGGTTCAGGTGCATGCTGGCTTCCATGCCTGGCTTCCTAGGAAGTCATCTTGGCCCCATGGGGTTGGGCCGGGCCACTAGGCTGAGGGTTGGAGCCCTATCTCTCCTAGTCCCAGCCTGGGTCTCCATCACTGACTAGCCCGCTCTGCTTGCTGCATTCTCTCCACACCTGTTCCCTGTAGCCCAGGGGTCAGTCTGGGTGCAGGCCTGGGTAGAGGTCCAGGAGCAGATTCTGCCCCCCAGCTCATACCTCCTGTGCACCATGGCAGCCAAAATGCACCAGCATGACCAGGAGTGCTGGCTTGTCCCTGTAATCCCAGTGTTTTTGGGAGGCTGAGGTGGAAAGATCACTTGAGACCAGCCTAGGCAACATAGCCAGACCCTGTCTCTACAAAAAATAAAATTAGGCATGGTGGCGTGTGCCTGTAGTCCCAGTATAGCAGGACAAGCCGCAGACAAAACTTCGTAGACACCGAGTTGTAGAAGAAGGGCTTTATTCAGCTGGGAGCATCGGCAAGCTACTGCCTTAAAATCCGAGCTGAGTGCACAATTTTTGTCCCTTTTAAGGCCTCACAACACTAAAGATTTCACATGAAAGGGTCGTGATTGATTTGAGCAAGCAAGGGGTACGTGACAGGGGCTGTATGCACCGGTGGTCAGAGTGAAACAGAACAGAGCAGGGAGTTTCACAATGTTCTTCCATACAATGCCTGAAATCTATGGGTAACATCGGGTTCTAAGTCATGAGTTGATTTTTAACTACTAGGTTTAGGCCAGGCAGGCCCAGGCCTGGCTTTGGGCCTGGCGCTGGGCTGCCTGTCTTTGATTTCACTTCCTTGTTTTTTTCTTAAAACAGGTACTGAGTATAAAACAATATGAGAGAGCCTCTCTCTTCCCTCACCAGCTACTCAGGAGGCTGAGGTGGGAAGATTGCATGAACCCAGGAGGTCAGGGCTGCAGTGAGCTATGATTGTGCCACCACATTCCAGCCTGGGCAACAGAGCAAGACCCTGTCTCTAAAACAAGAAACAAAGTGCACCAGTGTGTGGATTCCAGCTTCTCCTGGTGTGTGGACATGACCTCACTCGGCCCCATCAGTGAGTGGGAGGCTGCCTGCTGTCTTCCAGAACGTTCTCATCACTACACCTGTGTTCCTCCTGCATTCTCTGGCAGGCTTTGTGAGGGGACCTGTCACCTACCTCTCTGGCTGCCCTAAGGCCCAGCTCAAACCTTCCCTGCCCCTGAGAACCTTTTCCTGAAGAGTCTTTTCCCCACTGGCAGGCCTTCTTATTTCAGAGCTTTTGGTAGGGTGAGTAAAAGGATCGACTCTCTGCTACCAGCCTGGGAGGAATTGTCCCTAGGGTTGGGTCTCTGGATGGCATATGAGGGTCTAGACCAGGACCCAGATGACTGTAACCTGAAGGGCAGGACCTCAGCTGCCCCAGCTTGACACAGCCCCTTGTCCAGCCTGACCTTCTGGGACAGGCCCGACCCCTGCATCCTTTGGTCTTGGTCCCTACTGGGAACTCTGGTTACCCTGGCTTACCTACTTTGACTCCAAAGGCAATGCTGACATCCCCCGTGAGACACAGTGACAGACTGAGACTAACGTAGGGTTACCTGGCTCAGAGTCACCATGGCCAGGCAGAGGTCAGGTCCTGGCCTGGTTCAAGATCTTCCCCAATGCCCTTCTAGCTCTGGTGCCCTGCAGGGTCTACCTTGGAGCACCTGGAGCCCGAGAAGCTGCCCCTCACCTTTGAGATCCCAGGGACCCCCTCCCTGATCATGATGAAGGCGGAACCAAACCCGCTGAGGTGCCTGAAGGAGGAAGGGTCAGCCTCTGCCTCCCACGGCCTCTCTGATGGGGAGGATGTTATCGCAGCAGCGTGAGCTGGGAGCGGAATCGGGAGGATAGGGGTTTTCTCTATGGGTAGCTCTGGGCTCCAGGGTGGAGCCCTTTTAACCTGGCCCCTCCCCTGTGACTCTCCTTGGCCCCAAGCAAAGAAAGCAGCTTGCCCGAGGTCACCTGACAGGTAGGAACAGAGTGGGACCTGGGTTCTTTCTCACCCAGCTGCAGCTCCCCCGGCTTGCCCCACAGCCCCTTCCACCAGGTGACACAGAACCTGGCAGGCTGTGCCCCATAGAAGAGTTCACTTTCCTTCTGGTGAGGGATGGGAACCACCTTGGGGCGGGAGGGATGAGGGGTCTGGGGGCTCTCCCAGCCCTGCCTCACATTTGAAGGATGGCATCTGGGTGGCAGCATGGTTTAGGCTACACAGGGCGGCCCCGAGGTTTATAGCCTGGCCTCGGGCGGATGCTGCCATGCCACCTTCTCTTTTGCACATCCTGACCTGGCACCCTACCTAGTTAAAGGTCCTCAGGTCTCCTGGGCATTGCCCCCACTCCCTGCCCAGACACAGCTGTCCTTGTCCTGGACTAATCTTCAGAGATTCTTGTCCAGCCCACAGCTTTGCTGGACATCGCAGGCTGGGCCAGGTCCCCTGCCCAGCACTAACATCTCTTTGTGAGTCTCAACCAGACTGAGCTGTAGCGTCAGGGTCAGGGTAGGCTCTGACTTAATTGATGGTGTCAATAAACCCCCAGGACAGGGGGGTTTATTGATGGTGTCACATCTGCTTACATTCTTGGCCTCTATGGTCTCTTTGGGGCATGATACCCCTCTGTCCCATGCTTAGGTGCCCACATGTGGCCACAAGTGCCTTTCCTACCACTATCCCTACTTGAGGCCGGTGTCCAGGAACCTGTGGCTCCAGGCAGAAGGCTGAGCGCAGAGCCAGGCCTGGGCAGACATTCCGCAGGGGCTGCAGGAGCTGACAGCCCTGACCACCCAGCCCGTGGCCATCCATTCCCCTTCACCGTGGCTGGCCCCTCATCCACCATCCTTCCAGGGGCCAGGCCTGGGCCCAAACTGACTTTTGCCTGCCCCAGTCCCCCTCGTGTTCTTGGCTGAGTGTGATGGTCTTGCCCGTTTCCTTGATTATCCTCAATCAGAGGTTTATAGAGCCACTTGGGGACATCACATCTATCTACCAGGTCCTCACCAGAGACATGACTGCCTTGGGCCGGGCCTGGGATAGTCAGGGGTCAGACTCACCTGTTGGGACCTGGCTTCAGCGGCTTCAATGTGGGCAATGGCCTGATGGGCGGCTGCCCCTTCTCCTCTGCTTGGGGGAGGTAGGAGAGGAAGGTCAGGCAGGAGATCTGCTTCCGGCCCACCTGACGCTGGTTGGAAGCAGGGCGCCCACCTGTGCCTGTCTCACCTCGCTGCAGGTGCATCGGAGGCTGAACCGCTCTCCTGATCTCCTGCAGGTGCAGATTCCACATTTCCAGTGGGTGTCGGGGTGGGCTCCAGAGCTCTCCTGGCCCTAGGGAACCCTGGGCTCCATGAGGCCTTGGCCTAGCCAGATTGTTTCCCACACTGTCACCTCCCCATACCGTCACCTCCTCAAACATGGGGCTGCATGCTCTGTGCCCTGGGTGGGACATTGGAAGGAGTTCCACCTTCCAGGTTTGGATCACAGTAAAGCCTCTGCCATGGGGATGTGCTGGCTGAGACAGATGGGGTTGAACCAGCCCTGTCACTTTGGCCTTGGGCAAGTCACCTGTGCCTTGCTTCCCTTTCCCCAGCAGCCAGACGGGGATAATAGCACCCATTTCACCCGTACTCAGGTGCTCACTTGTTAGCGGGAACTGAGTCCCAGAGGAGGTGCAGGCAGAGCCATCGAGAAAGCACTGCAGCTGGACCTGGGTCTGAGTCGCAGTTCCTGGCTGTGAGATGCGTCTCTCCCTCTGTTTATTCATCTGAAGGACAGGGCTGTGCTGTTCTGGGGTCACTGTGACAATTCAGCTGGCCTGTGTGAGTTGGTGGTGGCTTCCTGAGATGGTTTGAGGTGGGCTGGAGGTGTGTCTTGAATGCCCCCTCGCCTCCATGGGGAAGACCCACTTAGGGAAGACTCGTGGCTGTATGGAGGAACCCACGTTCCCTGCCCCCCAGCTGTCCTCTGTCCTTTCCCAGCCCCCTCTGCTGTCCTGCAGTTTCTGGCAGTGGCCATCCAGCTTGTTGGTCATCTGGCTGGTCCACTCTTCCAGGTGGACCCTCTCTCCTCATGTGGTGCAGGTCCCATTGCACCACCACCAGACAGGCCATGCTAGCCCCAGGGCCCCCTTTCCCTGTTACCCAGCCCCCACCCCCAGCTATGTGCCCCCTCCCTAAAGCCCACTGTGTCCACCAGCTGTGTTTGAACTGTCTGTGTGCAAGACCTCATGCAAAGCCTGAAACAGCCTGGCTTGTAGAGGGCCAGGAGACCAAAGCTTGAAGAGAGAGTGACGGTCTCCCAGAGCCCACTTAGCCTCAGCCCCAGGGCTGTGTCCATGCTGGTCCTGGCTCCATTGAGCCAATTCTCTCCCATGACGCCTGTAAGGGCTCCAGTGGTGATGGAGGTAGCTGGAGAGAACAAGGCTGCCATAACCCTCCCTCCCTGAGAAGGCCCAATGGGGAACGTTTTAGGCATCAGGGCATTCTGGGGGCATCTTCCAGGGACCCCTCCTACACCCTGCCCTGCCCTGGCTCTCTAGTGAGAAATTGCAGTTGCTTGGACAGTGGGGCTGACCCAGGACAAATGCATATATTGGGCTGGTCTTTGGGGTGCTGGGGTGGGGGCATGGGCGCTTCAGGGATAGGAAGGAGAGGCCTGTGTATTCCAGAAGTACAGAGGAACCTGGTGCCGGCCACAGTCAATCCCGATGTGATGATCTTTCTACCCGCCCTCTTTGATGTCTTGGTGCTGGCTGCTGTCTTTGGCCACATAAGCTCATGGTCTGGGTTCCTGGGGTCCCCTCGCTGGGCCTCCACACTGCCTGCAGGTAGAGGAGCCTTCAGGCCAGGACTATCCTTGGCTCCCCTTTCCAGGTCATGGGTTCAAAGACCATTCCTGGGTTCCACCACCGCCAAGCCTCAATGGTGTCCTGATGGGCACGGGAGCTGCTGGGGCGTTCTGGGTTAAGACCCTTGCCTATCCCAGTGTTCCCCCCTGCAGTGGGGCTGCAGGGGTTGGCCTCAGTCTCTGCCCTGGGAGCCTGCCTCACCTTGGCCTGGCGGCCCCACACCTGCCCTGGAAGACCCCCCCACACTCAGTGGCTCTGATTCACTGTAGAGCAGCCAGGGCCCCCGTTGCTCACACCCTCTGGCCTGAGGCTGACTGGCTCTGTGGCTGGGTTTGGGGGTCAGGGAGGGGGGTGGGCCTTGCCCTCAGCAGCCCCCATTCCCACTCCGACCCCTTTTCAGTCTTCCTCCTCTTGTGGGCTCTACCCTGGGGCGCCCCCAGCTCCTCACACCATATGACCGTCTAAGTATCTAGAAATCAGTTTTTTAAATACCAACTTTGGATTGCTTCCTGACTTTTCCATACCCCCAAAGGGCCAGTGTTTGTCTTAGGACTGACAGTCCCTCCAGCTCTACTGGGCCAGACCAGGCGGGCGTAAGGGTGCCCCTGCCCCAGCCCTCTTTGGGGCGGGCTTCTGTCCCCTTCCTGCTGCCTCTGCAGCTGAGTTCCTGCCCCAGGGAGAGAAACTTAACCCAGCTCTGTGGGGATGAAGGTGCCCTGCAAAGCGCCACGGGAGGGCTGCCAGGCTGCCGTGTTCTGCTGTCTGAGGCCCGCCATGCTGGGCCACGCCCAGAGCCGGCCTGAGTGCCCCCACCTCAGTGGGCTTTGTGATGTGTATGTACAGGATCACACCTTGCCCTTTCCTCCGGTCTGACCCTTCCCTATCTCCCCGCCTCAACCCCATGTCCTGTGTGTGAGCACCCAGCTCACTCTCGTTCCTCCCTCTCCAAAGTGTGGTCCCTGGCAGCACGAGTGGCAAGAGGGTCAGCAGAGACTGCGGACACCTGAGCTGTGCCTAAGTCCTCTGTGTGGTCTAGCTGTGTGTGCTGGGGGAGGCTCTTGGCCACCATTTCCCCCTCTGTAAATGAGACCGATACCTGTGGCATGGAGGGCGGGAGGCTGGTGTGAGTGCCAAGCACTTGGAGCAGGGCCCTGAGTGAGCATGGACGTGGGAGCAGGGGTGTTTCTCAACTTTGTGCACCTTGGGGATGGGAGTGGGGCTCCCCGCGTGGGTTGACAAGGCATTGCTTTCCCCCACCCCACCTCTGTCCCAGCCCTGCAAGTCCAATCCTTGGGGGTTTTGGAGGGAAGAAGCCCTGGCTGTGTGTCCTCGAGCTGGTCCTTGGCCCTCTCTGGCTCTGAGTTCTGGGGAAAGTCAGTGGTGCTGGAACTCCGGATTCATTCCTCAGGGTTGAGGCACCGTCTGTGGAAGCCATGGGGCAAGGTGAAGGCAGGGAGAGGAGAGGTTTGGAGTTTGGGTTTCAGCAGAGGGAGCAGCAGCATGAGGGGTCACCTGTGTGTAGAGGAAAGGGAGTGAAGGCCAGGAGTGGGGAATGAGTCTGAGTGCACCCAGGACGGTGCTGCGCCTCCTCCCACATCCACTTGGCCCCGGGGGAGGGAGAAGAAAGGCCATAAGACAAAGGGGAAGCTGAGTTGGGTCCACACATGTCCTTCCAGGACCTGGAGGTGCCACTGTCTGGCCCTCATGCAGTGGGAAGTGGGGGAAGGAAGATTCCCTCCCCACACCTCCTGTTCTCTGTCCCAGGTCTCCTGGCCTCCTGTGCTCCTAAGTTCAGTCTCTGTCGGCCCCCAACATCATTTCTAGTGTTGGTGGGAGGGAGCTGGGAACAGGCGAGGGGTAGGTGGGGCCTGCTTGGGGGAGTCTGCCTGACTGCCTGGGCCACTGCCCACAGTACTGGGGAGCTTTTCTGGCACACCAACTGCACCCCCCAGGCACTGCCAATGACAGCCCCCGGGGAGTGTTTGCAGAAGGCCTTGGCAGGAGGCGCGGTGGACCCCACCCAGAACAAACAATTGGGGTGGGGTCAGGGAGAACCGCCCTCCACTTACCTGTCTGGAGAGGGTCCTCTGTACCACACTGTGTGCTTCTACACACCCAGGCTGAACACCCCATGGGAGGCCCTCCACTTTAGCACCTTGACAAGAAGGGTGGGGACACTGGGATCAGGCCCAGCCCCCTGGCCCCAAACCGTGCAACCCCAGCTGGAGGATGAGGAGATGCTGGGCTTGGGTGGGGGAATCAGGGGTGTAAAGGGGCCTGCTCACCCCTCAGCTTGGCTTAAAGGCTCAAGAGGTCAAAGGCTTAGGCTGCCCCTCAGGAAGGCGCCCGGGCCCAGCCAGACACTCACCAGGACAAGGGCCAGTGTGACGAGCAGGAGGCCCAGGATGAGGAGAGCCACGGCATAGCAAGGGATGGAGGCGTCCAGCGGACTGGAGACTTCAGGGCTGGGGGTGCCTGGAGCAGAGCAAGAAGGCCATGGCCAGGCGGGGCCCTGCCTCCCAGACTTCTGAGAAGGCAGAATCTGGGCTCAGAAGGTGCTGCGGGACCAGGGAGCTGGGGCTAGGAGCACCTTGGAGGGCTCCATGAGGAGGGGAGGCAGGCTTCAGATCAGGGCATGTGGAGGCAGCGAGCCCAAGGGAGGAGGCAGATGGACAGAGGGAGGGGGCCTGCAGAGGGAAGGAGGTACTGACCGAGGTCTGGGATGACCATCTCCACCAAGAGGCCCTCTGCCTTCCCCAGGGTGTGCAGACCCTGGCGCAAACGGTCCCACATGAGAGCCTGGGCTGGCGCCGCCCTGAAGAAGGTGGCACCCATTCTGGCAGTCAGTGGCTCCGGCCTGGTGGGAGGATCATCACAGACTTCAGGGGGCTGGGCAGCCTTGGGGGACTAGGGGAGGTCATCTCTTCCAGCCTCCTGCCCTCAACCCCAGAACCCAGGTCTGAGCCCTGGGTCACCCAGGGCCACCCTGAACCCACGGGAATTCCTCCACCACCACTTGGTCAAAGTTCTGCAGAGGTCTGAGGATGAAGTTCAGCTGGGGGGTCAGGAGAGGATGAAGAGGGTCACAGCTCTACCAAAGTCTTGTCCAGTCATCCCCCATCTTCCCGAGGCCTCTTCCTCGACCCCCCACTTCATCCCGCCACTTCACCCATCTCGTCAGCTGCCCTTGAAGTGCCCAGAACTCAGGGCTGGTTTTGTCCTCCAAAGCCTTGGTGTAGGGCTGGACCAGGATCTGCAGCCAAACTTCATACAGCACCAGCTCTGCCTTCTCCCCTAGAGTGATGGGGGTGGAGGTGGCATCAGCCTGCATCCCCTCTCCTGGAAGCCCTGGAGTGGGACACACACCCAAGCTCTTATGCTCCATCCAGGGGTCAGCTGCCACTGGTCTAAAAACCAAATTTCTTGCTGCCTGTTTTTGTGTGGCCCATGAATTAAGAATGGCTTTTACATGTTTAAATGGTTGAAAACATGGAAAGTAGAATCGTATCTTGTGACACATGAGAAGTACGTGAGATGCAAACTTCCATGTCCATAAAGAAAGGTTTCCGGGAACGTGGCCACGCTCATTTGTTGACATGTTGCCTAGGGCTGCTTTCTTGCTAAGAGGAGGGTTTGAGTAGGTGGTGACAGAGACCCAGTGGCCTGCAGAGCCTTAAAGAGTTCCCATCGGGCCCTTTACAGAAAATGCTTGCTAACCCCTGTACTAATCCATCTAATGGAATACACTGCCCACTCCGTGAGTTGATCCTAGTAGGAAATGTTGCTGATAATTTAACAGCTGCTGCTTTTATGTTTTATTTTGTCCCTGATCCGGTGGGAGACACGTAAGAAAATTCACTCCCTGGGTGGAGGTCATGGTGGGGCTTGTGGCCATCAATGGTGAAGCCTCTTTAAGAGGACACATGGGGAGCTCTACCATCTGTTGAGAGGGTTGTGAGGGGCCCTCTGTGTTGAGGAATGAAGAGGGAACGCTGCCTGTGTGCTGGGAGCTGGCTTTCTGGGGAGCAGAAGAGATGGTGGTTCGGGCCTGCGGAGGCAGAGGCCCAAACCAATCTGGTCTCTGGGGCTGCCGGCAGGGAGAGTAGTTGTGTAGGAGTGAGTGCAGGGGCAAAGCCCGAAGGAGGGCACCCCTGAACGCACCCCCGACCGCACCCCCAGGAGGCTGTGGTGGTGGGGGTGGGGCAGCACTGTAGGAGGACCAGCACCTTCTGTGGCTGAGGGGTCCTCGGAGAGCAGCTCTGGGCTGTGCGTAGCTGGAGGGGACTGATTTGACCCAGCGCTCTCCTAACTTGGGTGTGGAACAGCTCTCCCTGTTTGAATGGCAACAAGCTTGCAGAAGTCATCCTGCAGGAGGCCCCAAGAGGAGATATGGGCTTCTTGCAGCCCCTGCACTGGGGCAGAGCTGAGGGCTTTTGCCCCTGACTTGGTGGGACAGATCTTGTCATGCATGTGAGGACTCAGTGAGGTCCTGGGCAATCAGGGAGGTGACGGGACCCTCTCATCCTTCTGATCTTGACTGCTTCTCGCCTCTGTCCAGCTCCTTGCTAAAGCTCTATGCCCCATTCCTCTCTGTGGCCCCAACACATGAGCAAGTGTTGTCTGAAGGAAATTCTGCCCATTCTCTAGAAGGGGAACACCAAGGTTTAGAGAGGGAAAGAGCCTGCTGGCCCAGAGACACACAGGGATTGCAGCCCCGACTCACCATTGGCCACGATGCTGGATTTCTGGAGGATGGGATCTGTTATGTTTTGGGCCAAGTGATTAGCCAGGCCTTGGAGGTGGGTAGTGATGGGAGTCTGGAACTTGTATTCGATATAAACACCCACCCACTGGTCCGCATTGCTAGAGAAGCACAAGGGGAGAGTGCAGAGGTCACAAGCTCTTTGCCAGCACGTTTCTAGAGCAGGTAGAGTCCCCCAAAATGCACACCCTCTGGCGTGGGGGCCCCCTACCTTCTAGGCAGAGCTAGCTTACACAGCCAAGCTACAGCTACCTGGGGCAAAGTCCTTTCCCAGCTAGCCCCAAACCTACACCCCCACATCCTGGTTCTGGGTCACAGAGCTGCCTCCCTCTGTCCCAGGGCAGCCCCCAAGAGAGCAGCAGGGCAGGCTGAGTGGATGGGAGGGGGACTCGACCCACCTGAAGAGGAGCAGGGGCCTCTCCTGGGGACTCGCCTTGTAGAATCCTGACACCACCGGTGTGACCTGTGGGAAACCCTGGAGGTCAGGGCGGGCCTGGGAGCTGTATCTCCTGAGACCCAGTGTGGGATGGGGACCAGGTGAGGTGGGAGGCAGGACCTGGGAGGGAGCGCACCCTTAAACACGGCGTCCTGGGTAGGAGTGTCTGCTTACAGAGCCTGGCTGTGTTCCCATTCGGACAGTCACCTCCTCCTTCAGAGAACCCTCTCCCCCAGGGTGCCCTCTATGACTGCCTTCCGCCATAGTGCCATGGCTGGGTGCTGCCTCCATGCTGGGAGGCCTGCTTCAAGGGAGGTATAGTGAGTGTCCTCACTATGCCACCTCACCTGTTGGAGGATCTGCCTTTCCAGCAGGACAAAGGAAACAGAACCCGGTACGAGGAGCTGCGGCAGGAAGGACCTCATGGCTGTGAAGCGGATGCTGATGGTCTCCCGGGCCAGGGTGATCAAGTCGGCCCCTGTAGAGCCATGGGTGAGAGTTCCGGAGGCGCCAAGACCCTCCTTGCCCACCGCACCACCAGGTGCTTCGGGGTCAGGGCAGAAGTTGGATCCCTCCAGGAAGTCCACCCAGTGCTCCCCCTGGGGAGGTGAAAAGGCACTGCGGTAGGGGCGGCTGGGGATGGGACTCACCATCAGAGGTGAGGCTGTTCTCAGCCAATGAGAGGTTCCCCAGCATGTGCCCTGAGGTCTTCACTTTGCGATACAAAGCCCAGAGGAGTTCACAGGGAGAGGGGCCTGGGGCACGGCCCCCAAATACAAGGGAGGCGTTCACCGCTACAGAGCCAGGCCTGTGGGGGCAGAGCCACGTCCTCAGCCAGGGCCAGTGGGGGCATGAGGGGTCCTGTGCACCCGGTGGGGGCCAGGCTGGTGCACGAGTTGGCATCCCAAGGGAGGGAAGTCCACAGGGGAAGTCATGGGTCACGCAGAGAAGAGCCTCCCTGTGTAACTCAAGGCAAGTCACCTCACCCGTCTGGGCCTTGGCTGCCTCCTCAGTAAAAGGGAGATAATGATCCCTTTCCCAGAGGATTGCTGTGAGGCCTGAATGACTCAGCCACCAGCATCCAAAGCAGGCACTCAGTGAAACTGAGTTCCCTTGGACACCCCAACAAGCCGGCTGTCATGGGAATACCATGAATCCCACCCAGGGAGCTCCCAGGGCAGGGTTACTCAGCCAGGCTGCAGCTGGCTGTGAGCTCTCAGGGTGATAATCTGGGTCACACTGAGAAAAACATCTTTGGCTGCATCACAAGGAGCAGGGGCTCTGGAGAGAGGGAGATGACAGGCCTGAAGAATCTCTGAAAGCCAGTGGGAGATGGACCAATTGCCCATGGCCTGAGGAGGTACCCTGGCCTCAGTAAGGCACTGAAGGAGCTTTCGGGGAGAGACCAGGAAACAAATAAGAATCCAGAATAACTTTTGTCCTTCCCCTGAGCACTTGCGTGCTGTGCATCTTGGGGGTGGGGAGAGAAAACTTCTCTTCAGGCCCAGGGCAGGGAAGTCATAGAAGGCTTCCATTTATTAAAAGGGAAAACTGTCTGAGCAGCTCAGGAGCATGGCCTGGAGAGAGAGTGAGCTTCCTGTCACTGGGAGCATTTGAGCCTTTAAATTACTTACAGGATTCAAAGCCCACAGTGAGCTCACAACTCAAGTGGGGCTGCAGTGATTTGGACCTTCTCAGCCTTTCTCATGACATGGCAGGGCTGCTCTCCGCTGGCAAATATGGTCTCGGTCTCCCTCAACATCCTCTTCCCCCAGACGCTTAGAGTGGAGGGCCCTGCCCAAGGGATTTGCATCCCTTTGCATGTCATTTACAAGCCTGCTGCCCTTGCTGCCTCTGCCTTCCCCACTGCACTCAGACAATGCCTGATGTTCCTGCCCACATCCTGCAGCTGGAATCAGGGCTCAGGGCAGGCCAAAGGGCATATGAGGTCACACAGCATAGCCAGTGGCAGAATCAGACGTGGGCCTCCTCCCTGCCTGTCCAGGGCTCTTCCTGCCTCTGTCCCCAGGTGCTCCTGAACAGGGGGTGGGACGGGCAGAGCTAGGCATCTGGGACAGTGCCTTTGTGGCTGAGAAGGGTCAGAGCAGCTGGTGGGTGATGGGTGGGCCCTGAGAGCCACGTGCACTCACCTGAAGACCAGGACACCGATGCCCTGGAAGCCGGGGAAGGCCTCGTGGTAGAGGGGCTGGAGCTGAGGATGGGCAGAGGCATGGAAGGCCGGCACGTGCCACCCCCCACCTTCCCTCCTGCCCTAACCCACCCCCTCTCTGACCCTACCACCTACCCTCGTCCACCCTCCATCATCTTGGCATGGTCCCTGCAATGGTCCCTCACGGACCACCTGGGATTCCCAGGCCCCGCCCAAGCTGTTCCTCACACAGTGGCCAGAGATAACCTGCCAGTCATCCTCTGCTGAAAGCCTCAAGGTCTGTCTGGGCGTCGTGGCTCATGCCTGTAATCCCAACACTTTGGGAGGCTGAGGCGGGAGGATCGCTTGAGCCCAGGAGTTCAAGACCAGCCTGGGCAGCATGACGAAATCCCTTCTCTACCAAAAATACCAAAATTAGCCCGGCATGGTAGTGTGTGCCTGTAGTCCCAGCTACTCGGGAAGCTGAGGTGGGAGGATGGTTTGAGCCCAGGAGGCAGAGGCTGCAGCAAACACCCAGCCTTCCTAGGTTTTTTCCTCTCTGCCGTTTTCTTGAAAATCGCTCTCCAATGCAGTCATTCTCAGCTCTGCATTGGACAGCTGCCATGTTGGCCTGCCATCCAGACCTCTCTCACCTGGACGACTGCCCTGCTCCTAACAGGCCTCCCCTTCTCCCTCTCCCACCCCTGTTCCAAATGCTTCTCTTTACAGCCCCTCTCCCCGGTGTCCCTGTGCCTCTGCTGCCTCCAACCACCTCTTCACCTCAGGGTCATCACAGGTGCTGTTCTCTGCCTAGAAAGCCCCTCTGTGTTTCATCTGGCCACCTTCGGTGTCCCAGTTAAAATTCCCAGTTCTCAGAAAGGTGTGGTCTGGGCAGCCCCCTCTCCCCAGCAGCCCCCTCTCGCTGCTATCCTGTCTGCACTTCCCCTTTCCATAGCTTATCACAACTACGATGACATCTGGATTCATTTGATCACTCCTTGTAGGGCTGTCCTCTCCTCCAGACTGCAGGCTCCCTGAGGGCAGGGGCCATGCTTGCTTTGCTTACTGTGGTGTTCCCAGCACTTAGCACCATACCTGGTACCGTAGGTGCTCAGTTAGTGGTAGGAAGAAATGAGTTAGTTGACTAAATGAAGGGATGAACTAATAAATTAATGGACAGAGACTCAGAGTTCCCCCTGGATGCCAGTCAAGAAATGGCACTTGCTGGCTAGGGCACCCATGGTTCCAGAACCAAGGCGGAGGCGGATTTGGTTTTGGCTGCAGGAACTCTGCCTCGCTTTGCCTTACTGGCCACCTGCACGCTGGAGGAGGGGCCCTCACCTGGTGGTGGATGATCTTACGCAGCAGCTGGTGCTTCCAGGAGGCAGGGTTCAAGAGTGCAGCCGAGAAGGCTTCATTGGTGATTGTGAAGGTCACGGAGCGCGTCATGTGACTGGGTCCTGGGGTAGAGGAGACTGAGTCCTGGAATGAGAAGGTCTGGCTGCGATAAGGCAGGGCGGAAGACTGGATGGGGTCAGCACCCCCAGGGACCCTTGGGGAGCTGGGGCTGGGTGGGGCAGAGGGAAGGCGGGAGGAACATCTGAGAGGGAGGGTGGCTGTGGTGGCTGGGCTGGCAGGGACCCCTGGCCCAGGCTGGACTGTCCCCTGAAGTGTGGCTGGCTCTGCAACCATCAAGGGTGGTAGGGTGGGTGGGAGGCTGGAGGATCAGTGGGAGAATCTGTGCTTGTGTGTGGGAATAGACACAGAAGGGTCTGCAGAGGTTCTGGCTCTAGTACTTACAGGGGAAACTGGGGCCAGGATTGGGGATAGTGATGCAGTTGGTGACTGAAATGGCCATTGTGGTGGGGAAAGTGACAGTGACAGCGACAAAGATGGAACAATGTGTAGTGGGGACGAGGACGGGGCCAACACAGGTGAGAGGCATGGGGAGAAGGACAGTGATGGCTGTGAAGGTGGTGCTGCTGAGGGCGATGGCAACGTCAAAGGAACACTGGGCCCCGGGCCCCGGCTGGAAGCCACAGCCTCTCTGGGTGACCCTGAATCCCCTATGAGGACTGGGGAGGGACCTACAGGGGTAAGAGGCTCTGTGACAGCCAACGTGTTAACGATCGACGCAAGCACAAATGGGCTGGGGGGTTCTGAGGACACAGCCTTCCCCGTGGTCCCTGGAGCCAATGTCAGCGATGAGGAGGCTTCTGGGCCAAAGCTGCTAGCCCCTGACGCAGGCAGCATCCAGGCATGGGGACTGAAGGTGTGCCTGCTTGGGAGCCAGGGCATCCGCGGTGGGGATCCCAATATGGGTGCAGAGGTGGTGGGGGCAGAGGATGTTCCAGATGGCTGCTGGGTAGGTCTGGGGGTGCCAGAGGTCCTCAGGGTTGCAGGGGCAAGAGCATGAATTGTCACAGACAACTCAGGGGCCTCACTGGACTTTTGCCCAGACCCGAGATACCTTGGGCCAAGAGAAGCTGATGGTGGTAATGGGGCAGCAATCTCTGGAGATCCAGGGACCAACATCTCCTCTGCAGGTCCAGCCACAGATCCAGACACAAGTCCGGCCACAGAGGACACTGGCTGGGATTCAGGGGTTCTGTGGGCTGTGGGCCAGGCCAGTGCTGATGGGGCTGGTCCAGGTGGGGCCCTGCCTGGGACCCCAGCAGTTCCTGAAGGGACAGCCTGGTCCGAGGAGGAATCCAAAGACAAGGCGAGAGGAGCTTCCTGGTCCCCAGATACCTCGGGAGAGAGGGCTTCTGCCCTTGTGCTAGGAGCCTCCCCTTTCCTCTCCGCTGAGAGAGAGACTCCATCAACGATGGCTGGCAGGATGTTCAGTGACAGGAGTGTCTTCTTGCTGTTGCCTTGCAAAGCGGACGTGCCAGGGGCTGAGGGAGGCCAGCCGGGGTCTTTGTGAGTAGAAGGAAGGTTCAGGGCGGAAGCTGAGACCATCCAGAGAGCTGCAAACAGGAGATGCCTGTTCTGCCTGCCACCCGGGGGACTGGGGGGTGGGACTGCCCACAGCCTGTCAGATGCCACACCTTCCCTGCCACCTCCCTCGTTTGGGAAGGGGCCTGCGGAGATCCAAACCCTGGCCCAGCTCCGGCCCCAAACCACTGAGCTACCCCAGGAAAACATGCTGATCCTAACCCACCAGAGCTGAGGGAAGCAGGAGGGGACACTGACACTCCTCAAGGACCCCTCCCTGTGCCTCCCACCCCAACACCACCCATCGCAGGGTCCCTCCCCAAGGGCCTCAAGAGCTCCCCAGGGCGATGCTGTCTCCAGGCTGGGGGCCCTGGACTGTTCTGTTTGAATGACCTGTGAGGTCCACGCCAGCCTGAGGGTGCCAGGAAGTGCTGCCCAATCCTCATCATAAGACAAGGCTGTTGCCTTATCACATCCTCAGAACACAGCAGGCTGACAGCTGGACCTTAAAGTATTTTGTGGGGAGGGCGGGGGCCATCTCTGAAAGCCCTGGGGGCTAATTCCACACCTACCTACAAGTGTACACTGAGATCCATGCGGGGTCTGCCCTGTGCCAGGCTCCCCAAAGCTGGTCACCCTGAGTGCCCTCTGGGAGCCCCAAGCCTGGGGGACTGAGGAGTGGACCCTGGCCATGTCTTGGTATCCCCCAGGCTGTTCATGGCCAGACCCACATGAGGACAATGAAGGCCAAGCCAGATGTGGAAATTGATTGAGAAAGAGGACCCCTGGTCCAGGCCCAGCCCACCCTAATCCCTTACCAGCCAGGAGAATCCCAGCAGCCAGAAGCCACTGCACGCCCATGCTGAAGGCTCTCAAGGCTTCTAAGGCTTCAGAAGCAGGTGGCAAACACGAAGACACTCTCGAATTTCCCTTCAAGAAAGGACTGATGTTGCCCAGCCTTTCCCACATTTCCACCCCTGTGGCTGGGGGTGCAAGCCTGGCTGCCCTAACTCGCCGGGTGCCCTTCAGCAAAGCCCTTGACCTCTGGGGCTGCAGAGTCTTGAATGGGGGCAGCCTGTGCCTGCCCCACAGCCTGGGAGGTTATGGGCCTGAAAACACATTGAGGAGGAGTTCAGAGTCCTATCCAGTCTTCAAATGGAGGTGGTGACCATGCCGGTGATGGGGGTATGAGTGTGGGTTTGGGTGTGATGTGGAATGACTGTGGTGAGTGTAGTTGTGAGGACAGTGGCTGCAGGGATGCTGGAGGTGCTGATTGTGGCTGTGGTGGGAGCTCTATGTCCAGGTGGTATGGAGCTCGCTGGGGAGGGGTTGGTCCATGTCCCATCCCCTGGCCAGCTCCTGTCCCAGTTTGGTCCTGCTCCTATTCCATCGGGCTGCGTGGGGGTTTGGAGAGGGGAAGATCAGAAGAGAATAGTCCTCCTCCTGCAGTGCTTTTCCCGTGTGGAATCCTGATCAGAGCCCTGGACTGGGCAGGGTGAGTGTGGAGGTGGGCGCACCTGGATAGAACCATCCTTCTCGGGTCCCCTGCGCATTCCTCTCATGCCCCTGCCCCCTCCCCAGCCTCTGACACAGGAGAGGGCCATGGCAGCCCTAAGAGGCTTAGAGAGCTGCCAAAGGACAGGCAGGGTGGGAGGCTGGCGCCTCGTGGGATGGCTCAGGTCTCAGATCTAGCCTCCCACCCCACCTGCTGGGGTCCTGGGGAGTTTCCAAAGCCTCTCCCACCAGGCTCCTGGTGTCTGTGTGACCCTGCCATGATTTGTCCCAGGTCACCAGAGCCTCCTCTGGTGGGAAGATAATGGCTGGAAACCTTCAATAGGAAATCAGACCTGGAGAGGGCCTTGGCCAGACTCCTGTCCTCCCCACCCAGCTCCTTCTACCTGGATACCCCTTCCCCCATCTCCTGGGTCCTCATCTCCTGTCCCCTCCAGATCAGGCTGGCTGGAGCCAAAGCTGGGGGGCAGGGCTGTCTCCCCTCCCCGTTGGAGCTATTTTCCAAGGGTTGGGGAAAGCAATCCTCCACAACCCACCCCTCCACCGCAAGGCCTGTAACCCAGGCTGTACACACCTCCCAAAGCAGCCCCTCTTCCTCCCAGTTCACCACAACTCATCTGTTTGGAAACCTTGCATCCTCCGCTGTTTCCTGGCTCCTCTGGGAGAAGCTGTTAAGGGGCCAGCCTGGCCAGGTCGGGGTGGGGACGGATGGCTTCCCAACGACAGGGAGGGAGGCTTGGGCCTTTGGCAACTTCTACCTCGAGTCCTGGTTTCATTGGCCCCATTCTCCCCCAAGCCCTTCCACAGGCCACCCATCTAGGGGCCCGTGACCCCATCTCCAGGCCAGCCAACCCACTCTAGCACCCCCATTCTGCCTCCCTTCCCTGTGCCCCCAGGATGCCCAGGTCTCACCTGGTGGACCTGGTGCTGCTGAGAAGCCTCTGTCTGTGGAGGCGCTGGTGTCCCACAGAGGCAGGGTGAAAGCAGCATCAGCACCCTCTGCCCAACCCCTGCTGGGCCTGGAAGGGCCACCCCTTTCCCTGGCACACTCAGGGCCAGGAAGATCTGCTCTCTGATGGCTCTGCCCACACCCTAGGACACTGGGTCCTCATCTCCTGTACCCTCCAGATCAGGCCGGCTGGAGCCAAAGCTGGGGGGCAGGGCTCTGGCATTGCTGGGCCTCTGCCGAGAGTCTGTCAGTGCTGAGGCCTGCTTGGCAACAGTGGGGAAAGCAGCAGCTCCCTGGGACATGATGAGTGATAAGGGACAGAAACACACCTGAAGGCCATTCCATGCCATCGGGCAGAGGGCTCAGGATCCAGGAGTGGGGAGGTGATGCAGGAAGCCAGGCACACGCTCCCTTTTCCCACCAACACCCTGTCCTGACCAAGGACAATTTTGGAGAAAACTCAACCAAGAACTGGAGATCCAGGCTCTCTGTGGGCCAGGGTCAGGGTTCAGTCTATGTCTAAGATCAGGGCTCAGAGAATGGCCAGGATCAGGGCTGAGTCTGTGACAAGTGTCAGGGCTCAGTGTGGGGTCAGGGGTAGGCGAGTCTGGAATTTGAATGCTTGCCAGGCTAGACCTAGGCTCTCTCTCACACTGTTCTTCCCCTGCCCTACCCTCTCATCAGAGGGCATCTGAAGACCTGAAATAACCCATCCTGATACCTGAAATAAATTGGATGGGAACTCTGGCCTCACATCAATAAATGTTTCAACAATAATACTTTGAAAACAGCCACAGTGTCCAGGACAGGATGGGGGTTGGGCCCCGAGGGTTGGGTGATATTCCTTCTGTCATGAGCCAGCTTCAGCCCCCTGGGCCAGGGCCTCCCTGGCCCTCTAGTCCACGACAGCATTCCCCTTCTCCTCTGAGCTCCAGAGCCTTGCTAGGCCTGCAGTCCAGGTGCAGTTACACCCTGCTGTTCCATGGTAGAGTCCTGCCCCTCTCCACACCCCTCCATGCGCCTCCCTGCACAGCTGAGCACAGAGGGGACCCTTCTCCCACTGACCGTTCAGGGCCGTGGCTTCCCAGCTGCTCCATTCCACTTGGCTCCCTGGGGCAGGAGGAGGGGGCTGCACGAGGCTCATCCTGTATCCCTCCTCCAGGGCCAGAGGAGGGGCTGTGTGGAACCCCAAAGGGTCCTGGAGAGTAGTGGGGGGCAGCGGGCAAGGTGGGGCCCCAAGGGGAGGAGCAGAACAGAAGCAGGTCACTCGGGGGCTGAGCCAGGAAGACATTTGCCTAGACAAACGGGCCATGGGGCCAGCAGATGATGCACTTTGCCTGTGTACCTTCCAGGGCAGGCTTCCCTAGCTGCAGGGATGGGGGGCCAGGCTGGCCTGCTCTTTCCTGCCTCCCAGCCCAAGCTCCGGTGGAGGCGGGGCGGCATTCCATCTTACTCTCCTGTGTGGCCCTTGGCAAGTGCCTGCCAGATCCAGACCTTAATCTCCTATCTGTTACCTTACTCATCAGAGAGAAGTGCTCTGAAGGTCTGGGGGCCCAGGCCCCTTGATCAGGACAGAACTTGGGGCTCACAGGAAGAACAGGGAAGAAAGGGTTGGGGAACCTGGGACCCTGCACATCGTCTGCAAATTCTGAATTCTCCATGTGGCATTCAAGGCCTCGGTGCTTCAGCTGCAGCCTGCCTTGCTGACCTCAGTCCTGGGGCTGGGTGGACCAGGAAGTGCTCACAGTCCCATCTCTCCCCCATCCCTCTGGTCACATGCCAGAGCCCTCCAGTTCCCTCCCTAACCCAGGGACCCAGTCAAGGCTCTCTGAGGGCCTGGGAAGGGTCTTGGGTTTACAGCCCTGCTCACTGCCTCATCACCCAGATATCGAGAATGGATGTCACACACATCTTCCAAGCAGGTTGACAGGATCGGAATTGGTCTGTGAGCCACTGTTGGGGGCAGGGATGAGTGGATGTCCCCGCTGAACGAGGCAGACTACCTGCCTCCCTGCCCAGCCTTAGTCCCACTGGCTGCCTGTCCCTTCTCCCTGGGAATAATGGTGTCCCAGGCAGGAAACTCGGCCCCAAAACCAAGACTTTCCCTTTATCTCCAAAGGCACTTCTTCCTGGTCAGGGCCCTGACACCCAATGTCACTCACTCCTCCTGAGCTCTCAGGCCAGGCTGGTATCTGTCCTGCTAGAGCCTCTGCCTGGATCCTCTATGCATGGTGTTGAAAGATCATTTTTTTAAGAAAGGAAAATCTTGATTCTCATATAGATAAAAATTGAACATATGTAAAAGATTGTATTTAACTCATTATTAACGAGGGAACCTGGAGATGTTACAACCAGTTCAAAGGAGAAGTCAAAGAAGCATATATTTATATGGAGTCAAGGAATGTTGAAATAAATTTACAAACAGATATATAAAGCTGGCTTTTTTACTTGGGGGAGGGAGTCAATTTAACCTCCACTGGACCATTTACTTGCATGATTATAGAGATGAATGATTTTGCATTGCGATCTGTCATCTGCAAGGTACAGAGTTGTAAAACAGCTAGAAGGCAATGAAGGGCTAGAATCATTAGTCAGAAGGGTGGGCTCTAATTGAAACAATGCAGTTTTCCATTGGAGACATCCAATAATGTTTTTTTCTTATTCCAAATTTTCTTACAGTGGTCTGTCTCTCTGAGCTGTGGGGCAGAAGAAGAGGGACTTAGGAAGTATTGGAGATGTCAGGGCAGGCTTCCTCGAGGAAGAGAAGACAAGGGAGGAGAGGAGAGGGACTAGCAGAGATCACTAGTTGTCCCCAAGTAATCCTCTTATTAAAATAATTAATTGGGAGCATGACTGAGGTGGCTATAGTACTCTGAGTTCTTTTTTTTATTATTAAAAAAAATTGAAACAGGGTCTCGCTCTGTTGCCCAGGCTGGTCTTGAACTCCTGGCCTCAAGTGATCCTCCTGCCTCAGCTTTCCAAAATGCTAGGATTACAGGTATGAGCCACCATGCCTGGCCATACCCTAGGTTCTTTTGTAAGCAAACTGAAACCCCACTCATCATGAACAGCCATATCCTAGAAAACAAAATTTTACAAAATCAGAAACTGCCAACTAACCTCTATCTAGGGACTTCACCAATCAGAAACCACCAACTAACCTCTAACTAGGGACTTCACCAATCAGAAACTACCAACTAACCTCTCACTAGGGACTTCACCAATCAGAAAACACCAACTGTCCTATAGGGATTTTACCAATCAGAAACCACCAACTAACCTCTAACTAGGGACTTCACCAATCAGAAATCACCCACTAATCACTAACTAGGGACTTCACCAATCAGAAACCACCAACTGACTTCTAAGGACATTAAGGCCACTGCTCCACTTTAACCAATCAAATGTTTTCTTTGCCTTGCTTTTGTGTGCACCTTATACAAGCTTTCCCCTCGAGCTCCAAACCACTCGCTGTCTGGCACTGCCTGATTCTTGAATCACTGTCTGCTCCAACTCCTAAAATTCTAAGTGCTTAGGTCTCTCTCTCTCCCTCTCTCTCTCTCTCTCTCTCTCTCTCTCTCTCTCTCTCCCCCCCTCCCTCCCTCCCTCCCTCCCTCTCTCTCTCCCTCCCTCCCTCCCTCCCCCCCCCTCCCTCTCTCTCTCTCTCTCTCTCTCTCTCTCTCTCTCTCTCTCTTTCTTTCTTTCTTTTGAGACGGAATTTCGCTCTTGTCCCCCAGGCTGGAACGCAATGGCACGATCTTGGCTCACTGCAACCTCCACCTCCCAGGTTCAAGGGATTCTCCTGTCTCAGCCTCCCAAGTAGCTGAGATTACATGCATGTCCCACCACGCCCAGCTAATTTTTATATTTTCAGTAGAGGCGGGGTTTCGCCATGTTGGCCAGGCTGGTCTCAACTCCTGACCTCAAAGCGATCTGCCTGCCTCAGCCTCCCAAAGTGCTGGGATTATAGGCATGAGCCACTGTGCCTGGCCAGGTTTATCTTTTAACACATCCTTAATTAGTAACAGTGTTCCTGCTTTTTAACTGGGCACATGGTGCTCCAGAATAAAGACTATATTCCCCAGCCTCCCTTGTAGGTCGGTGTGCCTGTGTGACGCAGTTCTAGCCAATAGGATAAAGTGTCATGAGGCTGTAAGTGCACTAGACATCCTTGTTAAGTCACCTTACCAATTGTGAACTGCCACCTTCAGACTTGTGTTGGTGTGAGAGAGAAATAAACTTCTCTCTCATTTGAGCCACTATTATTTGGGGCTTTCTGTTCTTCCCTGTCCTCGCCTGAGTTATACATCCACGCAGGGCAGAAGTCTTGCCTGACACGCACCCCTGCCCCACCTTGGCAGCACTCAACTCAGCCAACGTAAGTAGGACTCACTCAGTGGAGGCGGAGGGCAGTCAGTGGACAGGCATTCCCTTCCAGTCAGCCTACCCTTCCAAGCCTTCTTGGCCTTTCATAATTTTCTTTACCGTTCTGCATGTCTGGAGTGAACACCTTTCACTCTAGATGAGGGTACCCCTCATTCTTCCCAGGCTCATTCCTACCTCCATGCTTTTGCTTCTGACTCAAGGAGCAGGCAGTATGAATAGACTTAACCAAGGAAAAAAATGGGAAAAGCTGTGCAATTTTTACCTTTAATAAAAACTGGCTACAAAAAAAACCCCAAAATCTGTTTGAAGGCATCAAAGAGTTAACACAATAGTGAAGAATTTCTAGACTAAGACACAGGAAGAGACAGCAATCCAGAGAGGTAACTCAGTACTCGGAGCTACTTTTCACATGCGGTTGTTCCCCACCTCTAAAAAGGCAGCTGAGAAGCTGGGCAGTACATGTTGAACAGCGTCTAGGTGCAATGGGGACAAAAGTTTGAGTCCAGGGACTGCCAAAGCCTGGGGCAGGGTATTGTGTGTAGCTCTCATAAACCCACAGACCATAAGGTGGGGACAATGAAAGGCTGTACCTTGAGAGTTAGGGTATTCTGAAAGTAAACTGAACCTCGCAGAGACTGCAGTCCAGCTTTGAGTCGCAATTCCCCCAGTTTTTTATGTTTATTTTATTATTATTATTTTTGAGACAGTCTCACTCTATTGCCCAGGCTGGAGTGTAGTGACACAATCTCAGCTCACTGCAACCTCCACCTCCCAAGTTCAAGTGATTCTCCTGCCTCAGCCTCCCAAGTAGCTGGGATTACAGTCACCTGCCACCATGCCCATCTAATTTTTTTGTATTTTTAGTAGAGATGGGGTTTCACCATATTGGCCAGGCTGGTCTCGAACTCCTGACCTCAGGTGATCCACCCGCCTTGGCCTCCCAAAGTGCTGAGATTACAGGTGTGAGCCACCGCACCCGGCCTCAATCCCCAAAATTGAATTTAAAATTTTTGGATTGCTAGTGTATTCAGGTATGTGGAATGGGAAAACAGAATTGTCTCTGGAGGAAGACAACATTATCGTAAGCCTCAAAGCATTACAAACTGATTTTTAAAAAATGTTTGGCACACAACTAAGGTAGCTAGACTCAGTAGGACACAACACAACATGAACCAAGAACTATCAGAAAGAAGCAACGATAGAAACATGCTCGGAGATTCCAGATATTGGAATCAGACACAGGCTACAAAATAACTATACTTAATATGTTCAAGGAAGTAAAATATAAGATGCAAGAGTTTAGAAAACTACAAAAAAAATAGCACCACAGGTATTTAAAAAGTAAATTCTAAATTGAAAAGTACAATAGCATTAACTTGGGGCTCAGTGGCTCATGCCTATAATCCCAATACTTTGGGAGGCCGAGGCAGGGTTACTGCTTGAGGCCCAGGAATTTGAGACCAGCTGGTGGTCTGTGCCTATAGGTCTGGCTACTCAGGAGGGTGAGGCGGGAGAATCACCTAAGCCCAGAAGTTTGAGGTTACATTGAGCTATGATCGCACCACTACACTCCATCCTGGGTGGTAGAAGAAGGCTCTCTCTTAGAAAAAGAAAGAAAGACAAAATACAATAACTAAAATTAATAATTCCATTCATGGTTTCCAGAGCCAATTAGACACAGTTGAGAGAGAATTAATGAACTGGAAGATATTGAAAGTAATGGCTGGCCAGGCGCGGTGGCTCATGCCTGTAATCCCAGCACTTTGGGAGACAGAGGTGGGCAGATCACCTGAGGTCAGGAGTTCAAGACCAGCCTGGCCAACATGGTGAAACCCCATCTCTACTAAAAATACAAAAATTAGCCAGGAGTGGTGGCACAAGCCTGTAATCACAGCTACTCAGGAAGCTGAGGCAGGAGAATTGCTCGAACCCAGGAGGTGGAGGTTGCAGTGAGCTGAGATTGTGCCACCGCACTCCAGCCTGGGCGACAGAGTGAAACTCCATCTCAAAAAAATAAAATAAAATAAAATAAAATAAAATGGCAAAAACTGCAATTACTTTTTCACCAACCTAGTAATTCAGAAGAAAATATTCAGAATGAAACATGAAGGGACAAAAAAAATAAAACACACAGAAGAGAAAGTAAGTGATACAGAGGATACACTAGGGATCCTCTAGAGATATATTTTCATAATTTAAAAATATTTTGTCATTTAAAAAAAAAAATAGTGCTAAGATAACAGGCGTGAGCCATCACACCTGGCCCAAATATCTTTATTTTGCCTTTTTATCTGACAGATATTTTCGCTAAGAATGGAACTTGAGGCTGGCAGTTATTTTCTTTTGGTACGGTGAAGGTGTCATTCCATGGTCTTCTGGTTCCTGAGGTTTCTGTTGAGAAGTTGACTGTCAGCCTAATTATTGCTCCTTTGAAGGCAACCTGAATTTTTTCTCAGATACTTCTGGGGTTGCGGGGGGACAAAAAAGGGATCATACACTCCCAGAGTGCTGGATTACAGGGTCTCACTTTGTCACCCAGGCTGGAGTGTAGTGGTGCGATCTCAGCTCACTGCAGCCTGGATCTCCTGGGCTCAAGCAATGCTTCCACCTTAGCCCTTCAAGTAGCTGGGACTACAGGTGCACACCACCACATATTTGACTAGGCCAAATATACCTTTAATCAGCATCCCAGAAAAAAAGGAAAGAGGGGCCAGGCGCAGTGGCTCACAGAATCCCAGCACTTTGGGAGGCCAAAGCAGGCAGATCGCCTGAGCCCAGGAGTTCAATACTAGCCTGGGCAACATGGTGTAACCCCGACTCTACAAAAAATACGAAAATTAGCCAGGTGTGGTGGTGCACGCCCGTGGTCCCAGCTACTAGAGAGGCTGATCTGGGAGCATCTCTTGGGCCTGGGAGCTCTAGGCTGCAGTGAGCACTTCAGCCTGGGCAACAGAGCAAGACCCTGTCTCAAAATAAATAAATAAAGGGATAGAAAGAGATAATGAGGCAGAAGCAATATTTTAAAAAAATAATGACAGAGAATACTTTTTAAATTATGAAAAACAATAGTTCACAGATTTAAGAAGCCTCATGAACCCCAAGCAGGACAAATAAAAATAATAGTACACCTAGACACGTTATGGTAAAATTGCAGAAAGCCAAAGGCAAAAACTTTCTTTAATCTTAAAAGTATCCGAGCCAGTCATGTTGGCTCATGCCTGTAATGCCAGCACTTTGAGAGGCTGAGGTGGGTGGTTTGCTTGAGCTCAGGAGTTAAAGGCTGGCCTAGGCAACATGGTGAAACCCTGTCTCTACAAAAAATAGAAAAAATTAGTCAAGTGTGGTGGTGTATGCCTGGAGTCCCAGCTACTTGAAGTGCTGAGGTCGAAGGATTGCTTGAGACCAGGAGGTCTGGGCTGCAGTGAGCTGAGATTGCACCACTGCACTTCAGCCTGGGTGACAAAGTGAGACCCTGTAATCCAGCACTTTGGTAGTGCATGACCCCTTTTTTTGGTCCCCTACCAAAAAAGAGTATCTGAGAAAAAATTCAGATTGCCTTCAAAGGAGCAACAATTAGGCTGTCAGTCAACAGAAACCTCAGGAACCAGAAGACCATGGAATGACACCTTCACTGTACCAAAAGAAAATAACTGCCAGCCTCAAGTTCCATTCTTAGTGAAAATATCTGTCAGATAAGAAGACAAAATAAAGATATTTGGGCTAGGTGTGGTGGCTCATGCCTGTAATCCCAGCACTTTGGGAGGCTGAGGTGGGTGAATCACCTGATGTCAGGAGTTTGAGACCAGCCTGACCAATATGGTGAAACCCTATCTCTACTAAAAATACAAAAATTAGCCAGCCATGGTGGCATGTGGCTGTAGTCCCAGCTACTCGGGAGGCTGAGGCAGGAGAATCACTTGAACCTGGGAGGTGGAGGTTGCAGTGAGCTGAGATCATGCCACTGTACTCCAGCCTGGGTGACAGAGCGAGACTCCATCTCAAAAATAATAATAAAAATAAAATAAAAATTTTTTAAAAATTTTAAAAAGTAGCCCTAGAGAGTAGACTTTTAGGACAGGATCCTGGAACTCACTAATCAGGTGGCAACAGGATCCATTGTTGGTGGTAAGTGGGGTAGTGATGTGCTGGTGGGCTATAGCAATACCATCACTAGGAAACTCACCTACTGTGGATTGGGATATGGTACAGGTGGAAGGGCAGGCATTGCTGATGCAGTAGCGCTAGAACAAAGTTCTCCAAATCTGGTTCCTGGATCATCAGCAGCAGCACGGCTGCATGCTTGAGACCTGGCGCTGGAGACCGGCCTGGGCAACATAGGTAGACCCTGTCCACAAAATATTTAAAATTAGCTAGGTGTGGTGGCACATGCCTGTGGTTCCAGCTACTCAGGAGGCTGAGGTGGGAGGATTGCTTGAGCCCAGGAGGTTGAGGCTGCAGCAAGCCATGATCACACCACTCCACTCCAGCCGGGGTAACAGAGCAAGACCTCATGTCAAAAAAAAAAAAAACAAACAAACAAAAAAAAAAGAAGACAAAGAAAGGGCTGGGCACAGTGGCTCACACTTGTAACCCAACACTTCAGGAGGCCAGGGTGGGTGGACCTCTTGAGTTCAGGAGTTTGAGACCAGACTGGGCAACATGGCAAAACCCCATCTTTACCAAAAATACAAAAAATTAGCCAGGCATGGTGTTGCGCACCTGTGGTCCCAGCTATTCAAGAGGCTGAGGTGGGAAGGATTGCTTGAGCCTGGGAGGTGGAGGTTGCAGTCAGTTGAGAACATGCCACTGCACTCCAGCCTGGGTGACAGAGTGAGATCCCATCTCAAAATAAAGAAAAGAAAAGAAATGAAACAAAACGAAATGAAACAAAATGAAAAGAAAAGGGATCCTGATATCTGATATGGAGAAACTTAAGTGGATACATCTGAGAACTTTGAACCTCCAGTTTCCACTAAATGCTCTGGTCTAAAGGAAGTAGCCCCCTTTCCTTGCTAAGAGAAGGGCAGCTGCCCCTTGCCTGGAGACTAGGCAAAGAGCCTCCAACAAGGCCTTACAGCAGGATGAGGTGTGTCGTCATTGCTGCCCCACATTGACACCAGGCTATGGTCATTTCTCATCATGGCCCAAGGTCACAGGCACAATCTGCTCTGGGAGAATGATTTTTTTTTTTTTTTTTTTGCCAAAAATGCAGGAGCTGCCAAGTGCCTACTGGCAGAATCTAGGAGAGGAGGTGAAGAAGTGGACATAAGGGTGTTGGACCAGGGGGAGACTAAAGGCTGTATACATGAGAATATACTAACCTGGGGGCACTCTCAAGATTTAATGGCTTGGCAAAGACACCTGGGGCTCCAACACAGTGCTGGAGTGGCTCCTTGAAATGTGGACGGAACAGTTGCTGCAGTGAATTAGGAGGAGATTATAGAATTGCATTTGCAAAGCGTCAAAGAAGCCAGAAAGTACAGGGAGGTAGGAATGTTGGAATGGTTCATTATATGCCAGGAGATTCGGAATCCACCACTTGACTATGTGCCCTTGGAGGGCTCACAGGAACTCCCCTCTCTAGGCAAGCAAGGAAGGCACTAGTGAGAAGGGCACCTGAATCTTTGAGGGACTCAGTGGCACTATCCTTGGTAGGCCAGGATCGACAAGAGGAGATGCTGCCATGAGACCAGGCTTCGTGGTGTCAGTGGGAACGGTGGAAGGCGAGAACAGCGGATGCCAGGTGGTGGCCCTTCACCATCATCCACAAGGTGGATGTAATTAACTTAATTGGTAGGAAGGCTAGAGTGACAGCCAGGATGCCTTGACCTCCAGGGAGCTGTTGTGTTAGCTACAAACTGATGGCATTCATGCATACTGCTGCACTCCAGCCTGGGCAACACAGTGAGACGCTGTCTCAAAAACAAAACAAAACAAAAAAAGTGTTGCTATAATGGCACCAATTGTATATGAAGTTCCTGAAATTCTGACCTCCACTAATATTATTGTGTGATTAAAAAAAATTCCATACTTGAAAGCAACACACCAATAGAGGCAAGCAAACCATGTTTTGCACCAAACAACTATCAATGGTGATGGCACGTGGATCTCCCTTTCAGAACCCTGGGCTTCTCAGTACCCTAAAGGCTTTCTGCAGACAAGGTAACTATCAGAATCACATGGAGAAGACCAGAGCCTGGAAGGAAACCTGAGAATTTTTTATTTCAACCTTCTTCATTTTACACAGAGACAAAACTGAAATTCAGAAGAGTTCTGGTTTCTCAAGGCACACCACTAGTCAATAAACACACAGAGCCAGAAGCTAGATCTAGCTCAGTGTTCTTTTAAAGCTTTAAAAATTGCTCTCTGCTAGTAAAGCTTACAACCTGACAATAACATAATATATACACACACAAATACAGTTATTTCCAAAATAGATTTCGGGGTTGGGGGGGCAGACCCTGCATTTTCACAAATTATAATTTAAGAATTGCAAAATCTGTCTCCAGTATTCGTAACAGGATGTCATTAACCAGTCCCCATAGTGGGTTGGACGTCTAGGTTGTTTCCAACTATTTGCTTTTATAATTATCCATTATAATGGTGAAAAATTGGAAACAACCTAAATGTCCAACAATACAGGCATTAATTCTCTAAAAAGTGAATATCAAATAGCCATAAAAAAGACATTAAAGACCCAGAAGTGTTGCTAATTGAGCAAAAATACATTAAAGACCATTTCAGTTCAGATGCAGTGGCTCACACCTGTAATCCCAGCACTTTGGGAGGCTAAGGCGGGCAGATCACTTGAGGCCAGGAGTTTGAGACCAGCCTGGCCAACATGGCGAAACCACACTGTAAGGTACATGGATGTGCTTTGGTCAAGGAATAGGCTGAGGCGGATATCCAGGCCTGCGTGACTCAGGAGTTTGGCGTGCAAATGCACACCTCCACTTGTCATATAACCTGTTTGTGTAAGTTCATGCTTGGCTTTATGCCACTATTGTATGTAAAAGGTATAACTGACCTGTTGACGTTGTGCATAAGAGACATGGCTCTTGGGGGCTTGGCTGGTCTCAGCTCAACATGGCTTGACATGGCAGGCGCACTGGTGCCCAGAGAAAGAGAGAGCACGCCAAAGCTGTCCATCTTGCCGATGGATGGGAGGGAGCCAGGATGCAGCTGGGCTTGCTCATGCCCAGAGAGAGAAAGAGTTAAGCTGCTGACCCTGAAGGTAAGGGAGAGCCGGCTGCACAGCTGTGTGTGGGGGCAGCTGGCTCAAGCCGCCAAGACAGGGTGAACGGTAAGCTGCTAATCAGAGGGCTAGTGTAAGAAAGCTGTTAATGAGAGCTGCTGCTGAATGAAACTATCTTTCACCTGCCTACGGCCCCTTGAGTGTTCTTTCAGCTCACCCACCCCCTTTCCTCAGACTTCAGCATGGGCTGGACCTGGACCCCGGGATCTGACACACATCTCTACCAAAAATACAAAAATTAGCTGGTGTGGTGGCACATGCCTGTAATTCCAGCTACTAGGGTGGCTGAGGCACGATGATCGCTTGAACCCAGGAGGCAGAGGTTGCAGAGTCAAGATCGCACCACTGCACTCCAGCCTGTGCAACAAAGCATTACCCTGTCTCAAAAACTGAAAAAGTTAAAGACTGTTTGTACAGTATAAACTCTTTCAAAATATATACTCAAGCATAGAAAAGTCTAGAAATGTCATCAATGGTGATTTCAGGAAAGAATTCTAAGGTGACTTTTTTTGGTTATCTGCATTTTTTTTCTTTTATTTTTTTGACGTAGGGTCACCTCTGTCACCCAGGCTGGAGTGCAGTGACGTGATCAGAGCTAACTGCAGTCTCGACCTCCCAGGCTTAAGCGATCCTCCCACCTCAGTCTCCTGAGTAGCTGGGACTACAGGTGCACGCTACCATGCAGGGCTAATTTCTGTATTCTTGTATTTCTTGCAGAGATGGGGTTTTGCCATGTTGCCCAAGCTGGTCTCACGTGATCCACCCACCTCAGCCTCCCAGTGTGCTGGGATTACAAGTGTGAGCCATGTGTGCTGGGTCTGTCTTCTTTTCTATAATGATCATGACCATGGATTTCATGTACCAACATTTTTCTAACAGTAATATTTACAAAGCATACTATGAAAAATGTTCAGAGAAAAAGAATACAAAATTGTAAAAATCATATATAACGAGTTTTTTTTTTTAAAGGCAAGAAAGAAAGTAGATTGTCCAGGAAGATAGTTACTTCCACTTTGTATTTTTCCGGTGAACTCATTAAAAGGTCCAGGAGTAGAATCATGGGTCAAAGTACCCCGGCTTTAACTTCTGGTTCAGAGAATCCTAACAACTGACATTGTCACCAGCAAGGTCTTCGACTACCTGAGCAACTCTCACCTCAAAGCAATTCTTATCTGACATTAGCTGCTCAGCTTTCCGCTGATACGTTGACTCCAGGAGGCTCCTTGAGTTCTGTGTGTTCAGCTGGCCTCTGGTGGCCCCATTATTATTTTCTGCCAGGTAAAGATCAGTCACCTGCACACAGATCTCATCACTCACGATATGCTGCAGCTGGAATCAAACAAACGCAAGCTTTTAGTGAACACAGAAAACATTTCTCCATTATACAGTCAACGTTCCTTTGACTGATCCAGTCAATCAACTCAAAAAAGGTTTTGGTTTTTTTTGGCTGGCAATTTTAGAAAATTAATCACACTGTGTCATTTTCTTGGAGAAAAATCAAGCCAAGATTTTCAACCATATCAGTGGTCCACTGTAAAACTTTCATACCTATTTAAAATACAAACCATAGAGAACTCAGGTTAATGTACTGTTTATCTAAAATTCTGAGGATCTTTAAATAATTTTCCATGGGTCATACTTCTATTACATTTTCAAATCATTTAGAATTTGATTTCACACATATTCTCTCTCATTTGATCCTCACAACAGCCCTGGGAAGCAGGTTGGAGACAGACTTGGGGCCGGTTAGGAGACAAATTTACACAATGCATAAGAAAGCTCACTGTGAACCGGGGTGAGGAAGGGAGGCTTGGAGAATCATGAATGCAGTATCTATGTCTATATTCCCAGCCCAACTACAAAGCCTGAAATTCATTAGGTATTTAAGAAATAGCTGCTGAATTATTGCCTCAGGGTGCTCAGCCGAAGAAGCAGGATTGGGACTAACAGTCAAGCTCCCTGACTCCTAGCCGAATACTTTTCCAAACCCACCACCTATTTTTCTATATCTGATAAAATGTATAGTGCTTAAGTTGTACATAATGTTAACTCACTTTCAATACAGGCCAATCATGATTGACTATCAGTAGCTTTTGTGACAATCTTAGTAAATTAGAAAGTTAAACCTTTCAGAGTTCCCATTCTCATGTCGTATGCTATTTCTATTTTGAAATAAAAATCCTTCCAATTGAAACTTTATCCATCAAAATGACAGAGAAGTGAAAAATAGATACAAGAATAAAACAAAACATTAATTTCAACATCAATTTGTCTATTTTGCTTTAAAATTATCATAACCACAAAGCCTTCCTATTTTTAGGAAGATACTTTCTTTTTAAGTGTTAGGAACCATGATAACTATTTGTTCTTAAGTCCTAAATGACCAGTATGGATATTAGTAGATAACTGGACACAGTGAAAGGTCAGAACGTGACTGAGTGTGGCAGAAAGGGCAGTATCTCCAGCAACTGCAGATGGATAAATGACAATGAGTCCAGATAATGGATTATGATACAACCATTCAAATAATGCTTATGAGTACTTGCTAACATGAGGACAATCTTAAGATATAGTGTTTGAGAGAGAAAAAAGGAAAGGTGGAAAAAAATAGATGGAAAGCATGACTTCAATCATGCATAGAGATGCTGCCACTTTATCCTTTTTTTTTTTTTTTTTTTTTTGCGACAATGTCCCACTCTGTTGCCCAGGCTGGGGTGCAGTGACATCATGATCTCGGCTCACTGCAGCCTCTACTTCCTGGGCTCAAGCAATATGCCCACTTCAGCCTCCTAAGTACCTGGGACTACAGGCATGTGCCACCATGCCCAGCTAATTTTTTGTATTATTAGTAGAGATGGGGTTTTACCATGTTGCCCAGTCTCAAACTCCTGAGCTCAAGTGATCTGCCTGCCTCAGCCTCCTAAAGTGCTGGGATTGCAGGTATGAGCCGCCGCCTCTACTTTATACTTTCTTGTTGAAGTGGACTGTATTGCTGATTCCCACCCACACTCTCTTTTTGGATATCCGGCCCCTCCTCGAGTCTCTGGAAAGGGCAGCACTACAAATCCAGGGACAACTAGGGAACTCCCAGCCCCACTGCCAGGCAGATCAGATTCTCTATCCTGCTCAGTGGAAATGACACATAGAGTGTTCGATAGATTTTTTGCAGAGACGCATCTGTATGGAAAGGTCCAGTAACACTGGGACCAGGGATACTGCCAGGGCAAGCCAAAGCCTCAGAGGCTGGAGGAGCCTGGAGCACATGCCATATGTTCATCTGCAGAGCAAAGCACAAGCATGGAGCAGAAGTCCAGAGTGAAGGCATGCAGGAGAGAAAAATCACCTCCCAGCCCAGTCCTTCCATGGTGTGGTCGTATTTTGAGTTCTGTACTTGGATGTCTGTGAGGTTGCCTATTGTATTCTTAATACAAATCCCACTTAAGCCAGCCTACAATAGGTAAGATAAATGTAATGACTTGACTTGGCTGGAGTGCAGTGGCGTGATCACGGCTCACTGTAGCCTCAACTTCCTGGGCTCAGGTGATCCACTTCAGCCTCCCGAGTAGATGGGACTACAGGCATGAACAACCATGCCCAGCTAATTTTTTGTATTTTTCTCATAAAAATATTGTTCAGAAGAAATCTTACATATAATACATTGAAAATCACTGATTGCTTTTTCTTCGTCTTCTTTTCTGTGAATATGTAGGTGTTTGAGTCTCTTGTATTTCTTCTTTTACACAGGATACGGGCTGTTTGAAAACTATTTCATTATCTTCATCATCATCATTCATTTCAGCCACTTCAGATTTTCATCTCTTTAAAAATGTTGATGTACAAACCGGTGTGGGGCCCTAGGTATCCACAGTCTTCTCAGGAGTGTCAGGAGTACCTAAAACCTTTTTCTTCTTCTTACATAAAACCTGGCCTTTTGTAGACATCTGACGATTTGTTTTTGAAATACTTTCCATTTTCTGTAAAATCAAAGAAGGAAAATCATAATCAATTCCTTTTTAAGCTAATTTCTTCTCGAGTAATCCTTCTTTCTTTTTAAATCACTCCTCCATCCGTAGCTCTTGTGTAAGTGCAGGTTCTGATTATACATTTCACTGATGGATATGATTGCTGCTTAAATGGAATATTCCAGTCTTGAAAGAGTTCTTTCTGTACTTTTTCAGGTGGCATAAAATGACTCTCCAAGAGTCTTTCACCAAACATGTAGTTGTTCATTGTTTCAGCAACTATCTTAGCAACATCCTCAGACTCAAACTCCACAAATGCATAGCCTTTGCTATTTCCAGTCCTTTTCTTTCTGGATAGTCTGAACCTTGTAACAGTGCCACACTGGGAGAAATAGGAAAGGATCTGGGTTTCATTCAGTAGGTTAGGTAGGTGGCGCACATAGGCTACTCCAGGAGAAAGTTGTTCTTTTTTTTTCTTTTTTTTTTTTTTTTTTGAGACAGAGTTTCACTCTTGTTGCCCAGGCTGGAGTGCAATGGCAAGATCTCAACTCACCTCAACGTCTGCCTCCTGGGTTCAAGCGATTCTCCTGCCTCAGCCTCCTGAGTAGCTGAGATTACAGGCATGTGCCACCACACCCGGCTAATTTTTGTATTTTTAGGAGAGACGGGGTTTCTCCATGTTGGTCAGGCTGGTCTCGAACTCTCAACCTCAGGTGATCTGCTTGCCTCAGCCTCCCAAAGTGTTGGGATTACAGGCATGAGCCACCGTGACCGGCCAGTTGTTATTGTTTTTTTCGTTGGGTTATGCGCTTGCAAACCTGTGCCACCTCCTGAAACTCAGCATCTACCTGTGGGTTCAGTGACAGGATAGGCCCAGCCAGGCTGGAAAAGGCCGCCATGCCAAAAGCGGCTGACACCAACTCCATGCAGCACTCCCGGAAATGCCCAATTTTTTGTATTTTTAATATAAGCAGGGTTTCGCCGTGTTGCCCACACTGGTCTAGAACTCCTGGACTCAAGTGATCTGCCAGCCCTGGTCTCCCAAAGTGCTAGGATTATAGGCATGAGCCACCACACCCAGGCTTGACTTTGAAACGTATGTTGTACATCCAGACAGCAGTGAACTCAGGGGGAACACCAAAGATGAGGAGAATGAGAGAAGGGATACCTCCAATTAAAGGAGTTAAGAAGAGATGCTTGAACTTACATTTCAAAAAATCACTGCAGGTTGGGCACAGTGGCTCACACCTGTAGACACAGCACTTTGGGAGGCTGAAGTGGGTGAACGGCTTGAGCCTAGAAGTTTGAGACCACCCTGGGCAACATGGCAAAACCCCATCTGTACAAAAAATACAGTAATTAGCCAGGCACGGTGGTGCCTGTGGTCCCAGCTACTCGGGAGGCTGAGGTGGGAGGTCAAGGCTGCATGAGCTGAGATCCACCACTCCACTGCAGCCTGGGCGACAGAATGACACCCTGTCTTTAAAAAAAAAAAAAAGTCACTGTTTTGGGGTTTTCTGGGTGAAACCTCTGTTTCCATTTAAAAAAAAAGGGTCAAGACAGTATGTATTACTGATTCAAAATCATAACCTGATGCTTAGAGTAAATCATTGTATCTATTATTTCAAAAACCAACCTCAGGATTATTAAAAGTTAATTTTATTGGGTTTTTCTTTAAGCTTGGCTGATTCACTCAGGTCTGTCACATCCAAGCCCATGTTTTACTACTTTGTAACCCTATTTGGAAGGAAAACTTCAGCTCACATTATGATCCATCCTGAGATGAAGAGTTTCACACATATACACCACATATACCCCCCACCACAGTATGATGACACAGCAACCCAACCTTGGGCAAATGGTACCACTGCCAGCAAATGCATTTTTTTCTTTATTTAAAATTTTTTTTCTGTATTTCTTCTAACAGCAGCAAATGCATTTAACATTTTATTGAGATTCTCAACAGCTGCCATTTGGTTTGTTTAGCAAATTGTTTACAAAGTAACTTTTTTCCATTGTTGATATTTGAATGAAAATTATGTTCTTCAGTTTTAAAGCCCCATCCCTCTCCCAAAGAAAGGTTAATAACTAACTACCAAGTAATGATTATTTAGGAAAAGAAGAAAAGCAAAACCAGCTTGTAAACACTTCTGGAACGTGGGTAAGGGGCCAAAGTCAAGACCTTCTGGGCCCAGTGCAGGTGCTAGGCTTGCCTCGGGACACCATCAGCACTTCCCCATCCACAACATCCTCAACAGCTGGGAGCCATGCGCAGACCCCAGGGGGCTTCCTGTTCCACAAGCTCCCCTCTCTTTTTCCTCTCCACCCTTGCTGTTGGGCCTTCCTTCCAAATCTGCCTAACAAAGGCAGCAGGATCTTTAATACTGTTCAGCTTTGTCAATGGAGACAGGATACTCTAGAAAGTTGAGAGATTCCCTGGTCCAGTCTGGGGGAGGAAAAAATATGCAGTGTAGCATAGATGGTTGTACTTGTCCACTCAGACACATGCTCATACTTATTAGATGGATGTATCAGATGCTTCAAAAGTCCTGATGTGTAATAGCACAAAAGCTGCTTGTAAAAAGGAAGTTGCAAAATGATAAAAATTTCTGCAGCAGTTCAGGCTCCTGATGACAAAGCTGGTTCTGATAAGTAGTTCTTTTGACATGCACAGCAGCTTTCACTGTAAGTCCTGTGTTCCAGCGGTTTCATTTAGACCATAGGAAGTTGAAAGCAAAGTTTAAATGTTCTCTGCTGACAAAATGTGGTATATATCCATCAATGGACTTCTACTCAGTAATGAAAGGAACAAACTACCAAAACCTGTTATATGTCATGGACCAACCTCAAAAACCTTAGCTAAGTAAAAAGCCAGACATGTGACCACATATTGTATAATTCTATTGATTTGAAATGTCCAAAAAAGGCAAGTTGATAGAGACAGAAATGGTCTGATTTACCTCAAGAAGTAGGGATTCAAGCTCTTAGGGTACATGTGATACATACATTAGAAGAAATAAGGAAAAGAAAAGAAATTTATATGTAAATAAATGAAAATAATACTTCTCCCTGATTATAAAGAAAATTGCATTCTTTTTGTAATAATTTGGAAGACAAAATATGAAGAAAAGTCTTTAATTTTGCCACTGAAAGCATTCTGGTTTGTTGCTTTTTATATTTTTTTATGCATATGAACATTTTAAAAAGTAGAATCGTAATATATAGTCTTTTGTCACTATGTTTTGGGCATATTTATATGGCAGTAAATATATCCTTGGCATCATCTTTTTAAAAGCTCGATGTATATTAAGTTAATCATTGCCACCCCAGAAGTAAATTTTCTTATATATATATTTTAATGGACGCAAGCAAGCATTTTGGGGCTGAAGTCATAGAAGTAGAATTTCTGGAGAAAAATAACATAAAATAGTTTTAAGATTTTTAATAGAAATTTTCAAATTATCCTGCAGAAAAATTGGTTCAGTTTATACTCCCAACAGGGGCAGAGCTCCAGTATCCCGTTTCCATTTGTCCTCTTTGCTGATATTTAAGGAGAAAATCTCATTGTTTTCATTGTATTTCTTTGGTTTCTAGTGCTTTTGAAACTTTTTTTTTTTTTTTGAGATGGAGTCTTGCTCTATGGCCCAGGCTGGTGTGCAACAGTGCAATCTCGGATAACTGCAACCTCTGCCTCCTGGGTTCAAGCGATTCTCCTGCCTCAGCTTCCCGAGTAGCTGGGATTACAGGTGCCCACCGCCATGCCTGGCTAATTTTTGTATTTTTTAGTAGAGATGGGATTTCACCATGTTGGTCAGGCCCGTCTCAAACTCTTGACCTCAGGTGATCCACCCACCTCGGCCTCCTAAAGTGCTGGGATTACAGGCGTGAGCCACGGCCCTGGCCTTGAATCATTTTTATGTGCTTATTGGCCATTTTTATTCTTGTGGGAAGTGCCTGTTTCTCCATTGCCTATTTTCTGGCCAAGCTCCCAAGTCACATTTCACTTAATTTTTATCCTGCTGATTGAAAGCATTTTAACATAAACAGGAGCAGGACAGACTGTAATTATCTAGATCTTGCTCTGTCACCCAGGCTGGAGTGCAGTGGCATGATCATAGCTACCACAGCGTCGTACTCCTGAGCTGAAGCAGTTTTCATACATCAGCCTTCCAAGTAGCTAGGACTACAGGTGTGTGCCACCACCCCCAGCTAATTTTTAAGATTTTTTGTAGAGATGCGAATTCACTATGCTGCCCAGGCTGGTCTTGAACTCCTGACTTAAAGTGATCCTCCCACCTTGGCTTGCCAAAGTGTTGGGATTACAGGTGTGAACTACTGCTCCTGGCCGAGGGCTCATTTTGTTTGCTAGTGGTGATATTGGTATCTGTTTATATTTGAGGCTTTGGTGCTAGTGCTGAAGTATTACACTCACCATCCGAGGTTTGCAGGACTTTTGTTTTAATATTGAATAGATGGAACTGTTTACTTCTGCATCTTTGCAGGCATACAAAATGTGCCTACCAGGACTCTGCTTTATATCTATTGAAAGCAAGAAGTAATACAGTAAAACTTTGCCTGGCTAGAGGCTTTGGAAGAATGGAGTATTCTGATTTAATGCTATTGAAGTGTGAAGGTGAAAAGAATGAAAAACTTACATTTCCTGTTGAATGCAACTTGAAAATACAGCCAGTGATTCCACTTTTCTTCTCTAGTAAGTTTGGACATTCTGATCTACTTGGTGTTTTATTATAGAACTGCTAGTGTGCCCGAGACTTACATTGTGAAGACACTTTTTAAAAAACTTGAGAGGTAAGAGGGTGTAAATGGTATTGTGTGAGATCAGGCTGGATGAGAACTGACACTTGTAAACATACTTTTTAGGCTGAATCTCTGATTGCCGTTTGTTTTCTTATTTAACTCATAAAAATAAAACACATTGGATGGAGGGTGGGAGCAGGAAGGAGATTTATGTCTTTTAATTGCATGCCATTGTTTCATATCAAGACAGAACATATGGTATCCCTGGCTTTGGACCTACAGAAGGAAACACATTTTTCTGCCTGCTGTATGCCAGAGGTTCTTGAACACCTGGAGGGATGACTGCAGCACAGATTGCTGAGCCCTACTCCAGAGTTTCTGATTCACCATGTCCAGGGTGGGGCCTGAGAATTTGCACTTATAAAAGGTTCTCAGGTTCTGCTGCTGCTGCTAGTCCAGAGACTACATTTTTGAGAACCACTCTTGTCTACTAACTGTAAATTGTAGAACTCTAGAACAAAGCTTAGTTTGGTGTAGGAAAAGAAGCTCACAGGTTATGGAGCAAATCATGAAAGATTCAACCCTTGATCCCAGCCTAGTGTGGAATTCAGGTAACAATCAATACACAGTGACATAACACAATTCTTGGTTTTCATGATTGCAAGTCATAGCCAAGTATCAAGTGAGAAATTCAGTTTCATTTGCAAGGCTTAGAGAGGCCAGGTGATTCTAGAAAAATAGGCCTTGTATTTGCTTTAAACCAGTAAAGAGCTTTGAGTGCTTATTAAATGGAAAGCTTTGTGTTTTTATTTATTTTTGACTATTTTATTTTATTTTTTTGAGATGGAGTCTCAGTCTGTCACCCAGGCTGGAGTGCAGTGGCGTGACCTTGGCTCACTGCAACTTCCGCCTCCCGGGTTCAAGTGATTCTCCTGCCTCAGCCTCCCCAGTAGCTGGGATTACGGGTACCCACCACCACACCTGGCTAGTTTTTGTATTTCGAGTAGAGACAGGGTTTCACCATGTTGGCCAGGCTGGTCTTGAACTCCTGACCTAAGGTGATCCACCCACCTAGGCCTCCCAAAGTGCTGGGATTACAGGTGTGAGCCACCACACCCGGCCCAAAAGCTTTGTGTTTTTAAAGATATTAGACATGTTTCTTGTTTTTTAAAAAATCTTAATAATGTAGGAGAATAAGAGAAATGTTTTTTCCAAAGCCGAGAAATCATTGTGATTATTTTACCTTATTGGGATGTTGGATAATATAGTCCACTTCATTCATTAATCATCAAACATGCTATGGATTTTCCATTTTTATAGGATTTGTATCTTCACTGGGGTAATACTGGTAATTCTTATACTCCCTCTGAAGATGAAAAATGTAGGCCAAAATCATAGACCATGCATAGAAGCTGGATAATGAAGACAGCTCTGGAGGAACATGTAGACACACACACACTGACACACATATATATAAAGTATAAATACATATTTTTTTAAAGTTTATTTTTAACATTTTAAAGCAAAAACCAGCCCTCCCCTCTCCCAGAGTAGGCAGGCCCCGCCCCTCTCCCCAAGTGGGCAGGGACAGCAGTCGCATGGGCAGCTTTCCTTGTGATGTCACAGGTTCCTCTGGGCACACTGCTGCCTGGCCACGCCTCCTTTCCCTTTCATCTTTCTCATTGACCAATGGGATTGGAGCATTAAGGCCACACCCCTATTCTGCATTCTAGTGTGGCCCTGGTTACGCCTCCTCTGGCTCAGTCACACAGCAGCCTTGTAGGTGACTGGAGGTGTTCGCTGATGTGGCCCCAACCCTACCTCCCTCCCCACCCCATGATGTTAGAAGAATCTCGACAGAATAAATTGGCAGCAGCCAAGAAAAAGGTAAAAAGCCAAGAAAAAGGTCATGGCCCCCCAACCTAGCCAGAGATCCCCTCTGATGACAAGACCACTCCCAGAGTCCATACCACTCCTGAGGCACACCGGGCTGGGCCCCCCTACCCCGGCGCCTCTGGGCTCCCCCCACCAAAGTCTTGTCAGTCAGCCCCGCCCCTTCAGCAAGCAGCCCAGCCTCTGCCCTCGCCAATCACCCTGCGGTGACTTTGGGCGGATGACTACTGGGGATACCTGCTCCATATTCAGCCCTCACGTCCTGCCACCCCAAGCCCAACCTCCCTGGGTTCTTTGGGCTCACCTCTCCAAGGACCTGGGTCCCCCAGCCCCAACCCCCCAGCATCGCCAGTCATCCCGGGGTGACTTTGGGCTGGTGACTCCTGGGGTTCCCTGAGCAGACTCTGCTCTCCCCTCCTGCTGACCCAAGCCCGACCTCCCTGGGCTCTCTGGGCTGGCACCTCCAAGGACCTGGGTCCCAGCCCCACGTCCCCCCTCCCCCATCGTGGATCGGCAACTCAGCCATTGCACTGATGAGGTTTCCCCCACCCCCAGGAGGAGTGGAATGTAGTGATGTCACAGTCCTCCTAGGAACTGTCATTACTGCTGCAAGACCGGCCTTTGATCTTATAACCCAGTCCCCTAAGCATTCTCACCCCATTTCTGGTTCCTCTGGTCACAGCACAAATTTCCAGCTAGAAGGGAAATGGGGACCATGGGACCTAGGAGCAAGAGGTTTCAGGCTGCCTTACTCCCTTCACATAGACATCGACAGTGTGAAAAGCCTACACTTCCCCTGTGAGCTCAAAACGTTGACAGTATCTCTGGGTGGTAATGGGAGAATGGGTTTGGTTTGGTTTTCTCCCAGGCTTCTACTCTCCAGAGAGACTTTAACATTTTTTTCCGAGTTCTCCACCTCATATTCTAATTCTCCACGGTTCTGGGACCAGACTGCCCTTCAGTCAGTGGTCTCTGAAGTGAGATTTGCTCATCTTCTGTGGAATAGGTCTTGGGAAACTGAACTTGACAGCTTGAATCTTCCTCATATCATCTCAACTTAGGGTACATTGAGTGCCACAGGATAAATGTGGGAGATCTTTCTGAAGCATCAGTTTCCCTTGATTCTCTTGAGAGAGAAAAAACATTAATGTACTTAGGGGTGACCCTCACATAGGTTTCTAAGAGTATACCAGACTTCTCTCTGAAATGAGACTTGGGTTGTCCTCTTTCTGATAAATTCCCAGATTTAACAAAAAAGCTGCCTTCTGCCATGAGGACACATTGATATAAAAGTTTGAGAGATACTGGTGCACTTCTTCACACTAACAGACATTTGAGGATGTATGACTCTAAACCACACAGCGTGTAGTTCATGCCTATGTAATGTTTACTTTTCTACCTCTGCGTCTGGTTTTGGTCCCCGGCAGCTGCTGATTCATGGCAAAACCCCAGAGCTTGGAGTCAGAAGACTGAGTTTAAGTTCCATTATTGCCCCCCCACACTTTTTTTTTTAGCCATAATATCCATCCCTCTCAGTCACTTAAGTGATTGTGACAACACCTTGTACAGTTGTTGGTGGCATTAAATCAGATGGTGTATAAGAGTATTTTGCAAAAACTGTAAGGAGGGTGTGGCTGTAAGGGCTGGTAGTTCTCATGTGTATTACTGCTCTTCTTTCCCACAGCTAAAAGAATATCAGCAAAGGAAGAGCCCTGGTATTCCAGCAGGAGCAAAGACAAAAAAGAAAAAAACTGACAGTAGCCCTGAGACAACCACTTCCGGTGGTGGCCACTCACCTGGGGATGTGAGTCTTGGCTGGCCAGGCTCCTGGGGACAGGGGGCCCAAGGGGCAGTAGAGGGTAATTGTTGAGATTGCTGGGTACTGGTTAAGAATTCTGGGTTTGAATCCTGCTTCTTCATCTGCTAGCGATCTGATTTATGGCAAGTTGCTTGAGCTCTTTGAGCCTCTCTTTTCACATCTGTGAAATAGGGGTAGTATTGTTTGACTTCCATTTGTGAAGTTTAAATGAGATTCCTTATTGTTGTTGTTTTCATGTTAACCCCTAGTACGTGGCCTGCTGTAAACACCCAGGATACCCAGGAAATGGTCATTGCTGTTTGATTTTCCTGATCCCCACTCGCAAGGGGAAGCTGGGCTAATGAGTACAGCCACTTGCCATCAGGCTGTCCCTCTAGGAGTCACTGAAGGGGGCCCAGGGTGTGGTGAGGAGAGCCCAAGGCACTAGGAGCAAGAGAAGGTCTAACTTGCCACCAGCTTGCTGGGTGACCACAGAAAAATCACTTCTTCTGCTGGGCCTCAGTTTCCTCCTCTGTAAGATGATACTGGATAAGATCAGTGTCTTTCAAACTTGTTTTTTAGCTGAAGTCCCCTTAGTTCAAGTGAACTCTTACTCAGGAGTCTGTTTTTTTTTAATGGAGGTGGAGGTCTGGAGCTCTACCAGATTCATCGCCCATGTCCTGGGCCTGAGGAGAGGGGTCCAGTGAGCGTATTAAGATCTGCATTGGTCAGCTGACTCCACTCTGTGACTGCGTCACTCGGGGGACTTTTCCATCTATTTTTTCCTGCCCCTGGCAAGGCAGCAGGTGGCCATTTGGAAGAATGGCACAGGCCATGGTTTTAATCTCCTCTGCTCTTCTTCAGCGTTTCCTTTTCCTGAACCCACATCTTCCTCCTACCCTGACTTTCTTGCTTCTCTCTAAGCCACTTCTGTCTTTCACCCCCTGCCCTTGTTTTTCCCTTGTCACCTCCTGTAGATTCAGGACATTCTGAAGGTGCGGGTGTCCAACCTTAACCACTCCAATGGGGTAGTGCTCCCCCATTGGACAAGTGGAAGGTGAGGCAGTGCCAAGACCCCTCTCTGGCTTGCTGTCTACAGCTGTGCATGGCCCTGAGGCTTCTCTGGCTTGGGGGATGCTTGGCCTCTGCCTTGTTTTATGTTGCTGCCATTAACCTTCAGCCTGTTTCTGTCTGCTTCTTCACCTGCTTGATTGATTGGGTTTTTTCCTTCCCCGCGTCTTTTATTATCTTGGAAATGGTGATGCCTAAAAGTTTAAAAGTAATCTGGGAATAACGTACAGAGCAGGCATGTGGGATTTGGGCTCTTTTTTTTTTTTTTTTTTTTTTTGAGACAGAGTCTCACTCTGTCACTCAGACTGGAGTGGAGTGGTGCGATCTCGGCTCACTACAACCTCTGCCTCCCGGGTTCAAGTGATTCTCTTGCCTTAGCCTCCTGAGTAGCTGGGATTACAGGCACCTGCCACTACGCCTGGCTAATCTTTGTATTTTTAGTAGAGATGCAGTTTCACCATGTCGGCCAGGCTGATCTTGATCTCCTGACCTCAAGTGATCCACTTGTCTCAGCCTCCTGAACTGCTGGGATTACATGTGTGAGCCACTGTGCCCGGCTCCTTGCTGTTTTTATACTTTCTCCATATACATAACTATTTCCCATGTAAGTTTTTTTTTAATTTCTCATTTTTATTACTCCTGCATCATCTGTTACCCTGAAGGATCTGGAAGTAAGAGGCCCTGGGCTGAGGTGCAGTGACTTTGCAGGCCAGCCCTCCAACCTCCTCTCACAGTGGGGGCTGGGTGACCCTCTGCCAGCTGAGACAGCCCACACACACCCCAGCCCTAATGATTGTTCTCTCTACCTCTCCCCACAATCCTCTTCCAACTCCTCCTCTCTGCATGTGCCTCAGAGCCAGTACCAAGAACTAGCAGTAGCCCTGGAGTCAAGCTCAGTGACAATCAATCAGCTCAATGAAAACATAGAATCATTGGTAAGTCCAGTGGGGTCCCCTGATTCCATGCTGCCAATCCTGGGCTTTAGTTTCCCCTTGGGGCCCTGAAGAAAGGGGCTGGGGGCCCCTGGTGCCAAGGGCAAATGGGGAGCTGGAGCACCCAGGCCTCACCTGGAGGGACCCCAGAGCAAGGAGCACGCAGCATGGCTCTTCTGTCACTGCCCTCTTTGCCGACTCTCTCTTCTCCAGACACCCCTGCTCCAGTCCTTGCCACACACGCCCTGAGGTTGTCACCTCTCAGGGAAGCGCTAGCCTGACTGGTTGTCAGGGGCCCTGTATTTCTGCCCTGACTCAGTCCCTAATTTGCTTTGAGTCTGGACAAGCCACCTGTCCTCCTTGGGCTTGTGTTTCTGGAGGAGGTAGAGCATCAAAGTTCTCTGTTAGCTCTGAGAGTCTGAGATTTAAAGGCCCCTAGAATGGAAACCTGAGGGCCAAGGGCTCCTGTCTGTCCTTTTCCATCCTATATCTGCTGTGAAGAACCGTAGCTGGCCCGTATGTGTTCAGTAAATGTTTGTTGAATGAAGGCACCTTTCTAAATCACAAGCTGGCAGAAGGGTGGGCCTTCCTGAGACTCCCTCTCTAGAGGTTTATGTTACTGTCCTTTCAAGAGAATCCAGATTCAGGCTTTGAGTTCTGTGGCTGTGGGCAAAAACCAACAAAGACCCAAGTCCTCTGTCCTTGGGAGCTTGAGGAGGGTTGACCAGTTTGTGTTGCCATTGGTTCTGAGAATGTTGCCTTTAAAATCCATTCCTGGACCCTGCCTACCGCTTCCAGGTCTGGGGAATAGAGTTGAGGGGGCCACTCTCAGTCACCTGAATTTGACTCTCCCCACAGAAACAGCAGAAGAAACAAGTGGAACATCAGCTGGAAGAAGTAACGTGATTTCTTTGCTCACAACATGACTGCTGGGTTTGGGGGACACTCAGATGCAGAGGCGCCAGTCTCATCTTGCCCACTCCCAGCCTGGGGAAGAAGGCTCACCCATCAGATTCCACCCCATCCCCATAGGGTCCCTGATAACCTGGTCCCATGGGTGGGCCTGTCCTGGGGCATTGGTGGCATTCTGGGGGCATGTCTCTTGCTGTGCCATCTCTGCCTCCCTGTGATAAGAGCTCTGTCTTCCTCTTCCTACAGGCAAAGAAAACAAACAATGAAATACACAAAGCACAAATGGAGCAGTTAGAGGTGAGTGGAGGGTGGGGAGCTTTCTCCTGTCCTCTGGAGAATGTTTCTTTCCTTCTCTTTCAGCATTTCCTTGGCTTTTCTCCCAAACGTTCAATTCCAGACAATCAACATCCTCACATTGGAAAAGGCAGACTTGAAGACCACCCTTTACCATACTAAACGTGCTGCCCGACACTTCGAAGGTGGGAATCTGGGCATCCCGTCATCCTTCAACCTGGCACTTTGACAGGTCTTTAGGGGGAGTCTTTTGGGCCCCATCTCAACCTCTCTCATTACAGAAGAGTCCAAGGATCTGGCTGGCCGCCTGCAATACTCCTTACAGCGTATTCAAGAATTGGAGCGGGCTCTCTCTGCTGTGTCTACACAGCAGCAGGAAGAGGACAGGGTGAGTCCAACCAGCTGCCCCATCCCCTGGCAGCCTGGCTTCCCAGATAGAGGAGTGAGCCTAAAGGTCCCTTCTGCAGGATGGAGTGTCCTGCCCAGAAGGCAGCATGGTCATTTCTCACTACTTTTGTGTATGGTTGTTAGAGGCAGCCTGGGGCTGAGTCAGCTGCTGTGGGTGAGTTGGGGGGCACTGTGGGGAGTGAGCACTGGATGCAGAGCTCAGAGGCCAAGTGCCTGCCCTGCCCTTTCCTGGCTGTGGCCTTGGCCAAGTCCTAGGTGGGGTATTGGGTAGTTGTTCTGTGAAGGTACAGAAGAGCACATTTAGTATGTTACCATTTCTGTAGAGAGAGGAAAGGGGTGTGTGTGTGTGTGTGTGTGTGTGTGTGTGTGTGTGTACTATGATAATATACAAAAACATGTCTGCAAGCATTCATAAAAAACTCAGGAGAGAGTAACAGGGTGCCTGGAGACACCTCCCTTCTGTACCTTCTGAGTTTTGGACTATATGAATGTATCATCCTTTCAAAAAGTGAACAAAAGATTAATTTCCCCCTTCCTATCTGTGTCCCCACCCCCAGCAAGAAAAATGGGCTTAGAGAATAGGATAGACCTGGGTGTTCAAATCCCAGCTCTGTCTAAGTGATCTTAGGCAAGCACTTAACCTTGAACACTCGATGTTTTTCATCTACACAATAGAGGTAATCCTAGTAACCGTCTCATATGGTGGTTGTGAGGATTAAATGGGATTGCTAGCATGGAACCTGGTGAAGCACTCCATAACGGTTCAAACAGTGGTAGTAATAACAGTAATAACAATAGCAATATTATCTGATCTCTCTGGGCCTCTGTTAGCCAGCTGTAAATTCGATCTCTTTCCCTCTCCCTTCCAACTTTACTGAGTTCTTTTAATAACCAGGCCACGGGCTTGGAAATGCCTTGACCTTTACTAACCGAGTTGTATATTGAGCCTAGCCCTAGCCCTTTTAAGGGGCACTGCCCGGGCTCCCCAGATCAAAACTTCTCACTCTTCACCATCCAGTCCTCGAGCTGCAGAGAAGCGGTCCTCCAGCGGCGGTTACAGCAGACCATAAAGGAGCGGGCGCTGCTGAACGCACACGTGACACAGGTGAGGCTTTGCAGAGGGAGGGATGTGGAAGGAAGATGACCCCAGGTGGCCAGGAGCAGGTGAGGACCAGTGACAGCCCTTCCTAACTTCTGTGCCCATTTCTTGCAGGTGACAGAGTCACTAAAACAAGTCCAGCTAGAGCGGGACGAATATGCTAAACACATAAAAGGAGAGAGGGCCCGGTGGCAGGAGAGGATGTGGAAAATGTCGGTGGAGGTGAGGTCTGACCCTTCAGCCCCCACTTTAGATAGGTCACTGGATCTTTCTGGGCATCTGTAAAATGGGAATAGTACAGCCAGAGGTGGTCATGGGTCTGGGCTTTGTGGAGATGGGGACAGAGAATGAGATGGTAGCCTGTCCAGCCACCAGCCCCTCTCTCCAGGGCCCTTTCCCCTGTGCTTTGGGCAGGCTCGAACATTGAAGGAAGAGAAGAAGCGTGACATACATCGGATACAGGAGCTGGAGAGGAGCTTGTCCGAACTCAAAAACCAGATGGGTAAGATGGGGCTGGTGTGACCTCGGAGCAGGACTGGCATCAGAGGTCTGTGGGGGTGGCTTAGAATGCCCCAGGGAGGTGGGTGGGTGGAAGGGCTTTGAGGCAGAGGGAAAGAGGTCTGTGCCAGGAGACGGCAAGTTTTGTCATCTCCATGAGCCTCAGGGTCCCCATCAGCAAAGAGGGAGGAGTGCCCGTTGTCAGCCACCCACAGTGCTCTCTATGTGAAAGTGGCTTGGAAATTGGCTACCATTGGGTGCGAGGAATGATTAGCAGTGAGGCCAAGTTTGGGAAGCCTGAGAGGAGCTGTGCATCAAGAGGAGGTTTTTTTTTTTTTTTGAGGGGGATGTGGGTAGAGGGGTTGGGGAATCCAGAGGCCCTTATTGTCTGCTTCATTTCTCAGCTGAGCCCCCATCCCTGGCACCCCCAGCAGTGACCTCTGTGGTGGAACAGCTACAAGATGAGGCCAAACACCTGAGGCAGGAGGTGGAAGGTCTGGAGGGAAAGCTCCAGTCCCAGGTGGAAAACAATCAGGCCTTGAGTCTCCTTAGCAAGGAACAAAAGCAGAGACTCCAGGAGCAGGAGGAGATGCTCCGAGAGCAGGAGGCGCAGAGAGTGCGGGAGCAGGAGAGACTGTGTGAACAAAACGAGAGGCTTCGGGAGCAGCAGAAGACGCTACAGGAGCAGGGTGAGAGGCTGCGAAAGCAGGAGCAGAGGCTACGCAAACAGGAGGAGAGGCTGCGAAAGGAGGAGGAGAGGCTGCAAAAGCAGGAAAAGAGGCTGTGGGACCAGGAGGAGAGGCTGTGGAAGAAGGAGGAGAGGCTACAAAAGCAGGAGGAGAGGCTCGCGCTCTCCCAGAACCACAAGCTCGACAAGCAGCTGGCCGAGCCACAGTGCAGCTTCGAGGATCTGGTGGGTTGCCCCACCTGGGGAGCCTGCCCTCATCCCTATCCCTCCAGGCCTTTGTTTCCCCACCTGTAAAATGGGCCAGTGTAGCCCTCACATGAAATGCTACTTCTAAAGGCACCTGTGAGCTACAGCTCATCGGGCTCTGCTCTGATGGCTGTGGGGGAGAAGGGATGATTTTTCTAACCTGCCTCCACCCTTCCTGGTGATATGGGAGGCAGACACCAAGGTCTGGTGTCTCCAGCTGCAGTGGATGGCCACTGATTGCTTCTCTCTGTCCAGAACAACGAGAAAAAGAGCGCACTGCAGTTGGAGCAGCAAGTAAAGGAGCTGCAGGAGAAGCTAGACGAGGTGAAGGAGATGGTAACCTCCACCCCATCCAAGAAGGGCTGGGAGGCGGGCACCAGCCTCTGGGGAGGGGAGGTGCCAGGCCAAAGGCAGCTCCAGCTGGGAGGCAGGTGACCCCAGCACCCTCCAGTGCAGCTCTATGACTGTTTCTTGCTTCCTGCCCTCTGACTTTTAGAGGTGGGTAGCCCTGGGCTCCTCCCAGGTCTGGACATCATCATCCCAGCTAGAGACATGGAGCCCCCAATCACAGGGGAAGAGACAGTGGTACAAGAGGCTCCTTATCCAGGCACGGTGGCTCGCACCTGTAATCCCAGCACTTTGGGAGGCTGAGGCAGGAGAATCACTTGAGGTCAGGAGTTTGAGACCAGCCTGGCCAACGTGGCGAAACCTCACCCCTACTAAAATTACAACAACAACAACAAAAAATTAGCCAGGCATGGTGGCGCATGCCTGTAATCCCAGCTACTCAGGAGGCTGAGGCACGAGAATCGCTTGAGCCCACGTGGTGGAGGCTGCAGTGAGCTGAGATTGCACCACTGCACTCCAGCCTGGGCCACAGAGTGACACTGTCTCAAAACAAAACAAAAAAGGCTCCTTAGATTCAAACTGGATTCTGGCCTGGGTTCCACTGGTCACCATTCAACTACTGTTCATCTCTAAGTCTCTGTTTCTGTGACTTCAAAAGGAAGTTAGCATTTTCCTTGCAGAGGTGCTGAGGATTGAATGAGAGAATACCTGGAAAGCATTAGGCATGTAGCACACTTAGCAGATGGTGGTTGGCTCCCTCTGCTTTTCCACCAGTCTGTGGCCTACAGTTTAAATGGTGGGAAGAAGGACATGAGATTTGAGGCTGGGGAAGGAGGTATGGGGTTCTAGGCAAGGGAGGAAGCCTCTTAGGCCTGGAGCAAGGGACCAGGGTCCTGGGCAGGTGACAGAGCCCCACGGTGCCCTCGCTACCCTATTAATGGGCCCAGAATCTGGAAGCCAGCCACCATGTGCCCTCATGCCCAGGGTCTTCCTGCAGGTGGAGCTGAAGAGCCAAGAGTCTCAGAGTCTGCAGCAGCAGCGAGACTAGTACCTGGGTCACCTGCAGCAGTACATGGCCACCTATCAGCAGCTGACCTCTGAGAAGGAGGCGCTGCACAGGCAGTTACTGCTGCAGACCCAGTTCGTGGACCAGCTGCAGCAGCAGGAAGCTTGGGGCAAAGCGGTGGCTGAGATGGCCGGCCAAAAGTTGCAGGAGACCCAGGGGAGGGAGTTGCTGAGGACGGGGCCCCGAGGGGGATGACCTGGCAACCTCCGTGCCTTCTCACTCTGTTTCCCGTCCCCTTAGGAGCACCTAGAAGCTGCCAGCCAGCGGAACCAACAGCTAGAGACCCAGCTAAGCCTCGTGGCTCTCCCTGGAGAAGGTACAGGAGACCACTCAGAGGAAGAGGAGAGAGCCCCAGGAGGAAGGGGGGACTGTTAGCAGCATAGGATTGAGGGGTTGGAAGAGACCTTTAGAACAGCTGGTCGTTATGCCAACCGGGTGTCCGCACTAAGTTCAGCATCAATATGGTGACCTCCTGGGAGCAGGGGGCCACCAGGTTGCCTAAGGATGAATGAACTGGACCAGATCAGAAAGGGAGCAGGTCAGGACTCCCGCACCGACCGGTAGTGGGACTGTGCCTGGGCAATATAGCAAGATCTTGGTTCTTAAAAGGAAAAATAAAGAACAGCAGCTCACTCCCCTCTGGGGAGAGGCTGGCTCAGGGTTACACAGTCAGGGTGGGGACAGAGGTAGGCCCACAGTACCTTCCTTGTTGGGTTGTCTGAGGACCCCTCTGGCCACCTCCCCACAGGAGATGGAGGACAACATCTGGACAGTGAGGAGGAGGAGGCGCCTCGGCCCACGCCAAACATCCCAGAGGACCTGGAGAGCCGGGAGGCCACGGTGAGCCTGACTTTCCCTGCCCCGCTTTGCCACCTTCCTCTGTGGTCCCTCCCAGAGCCCGTTATGCTCTTGGTTTTCCCACCTTCTGATTTCTCTGGCCCCTCACCCCTTCCGGGAGCCAGTGGTCAGACACTTTGTCACCTGTGACCAACAGGTGCACTCTCTGAGGCCCCAAGGGAAGGGGTTGTTCTCCACCTCCCTGCCTCATTTGTTCTGTCTATGCCCCTACAAGAATACTCACCTCTTGCCTTCAAGTGGCATTTTTCAACTCCGCTGGAGCCAGTTCCCAGGAGGAGCAGGCACGGCTATGTGGGCAGCGGAAGGTGCGAAGGCTGTGCCGCCTGCACCTGGCTCATCTGGTGGCCTTGGCCTGGAAGGAGCCAGAGGCAGAGGCCCCAGCCCCAGGGAGGACTGGAGATGAGTTTGTGTGTGGGGAGAGCTACCGGGCCCTGAAGGAGGCCATGGTGAAGCTGAAAGGGAGTGAGTCCTGGCATGGGCCAAGAAAAGTGGGGGCGGGGCAGAACAGGTCACTCCCGAGGTGTGACCCCATTATTTTGGCTCCAGAGCAGCTTTATGGACCTCCCGAAGGAGAAGGCGGACGGGACGGAGCAGGTGGAGAGACGAGAGCTTGGATTCGTCCAGCCTTCTGGAGTGACAGACGGCATGAGTGAGCGGGAGGCCAGGGCACGGGCACGGGGAGCTGCAGGGCCGTCGGAGGGACCCTAGTGTCTGAGCTGTGTCCTCTCACAGGAGAGTCCTTCACCGTATATGAAAGCCAGGGGGCAGTGCCAAACACGCGGCACCAGGAGATGGAGGATGTCATCAGGCTGGCCCAGAAGGAGGAGGAGATGAAGGTAGGGCGTGCAACATCTCTGCGGGGTTGGGGGTGGGCATGGGCACTGGTGCAGGCTCCAGGGTGGGAGCTGAGCACCCCTCCCTTCAGGTGAAGCTGCTGGAGCTGCAAGAGTTGGTGTTGCCCCTTGTGGGCAACCATGAGGGGCATGGCAAATTCCTCATCGCTGCCCAGAACCCTGCTGATGAGCCCACTCCAGGGGCCCCAGCCCCCCAGGAACTTGGGGCTGCCGGTGAGCAGGATGGTGAGTAGAGCTCTCAGGCGGGGTGGGCAGGCAGGGGCAGGGGAGGCTCGCACTGTGCTCAGACCCCCGCCTCCCTCTCTCCGAAGATTTTTATGAAGTGAGCCTGGACAACAACGTGGAGCCTGCACCAGGAGCGGCCAGGGAGGGTTCTCCCCATGACAACCCCCCGGTACAGCAGATCGTGCAGCTGTCTCCTGTCATGCAGGACACCTAGGAGCACCCAGGCTTGCCCAGCAAACCCTGCGTGCCATTCTTCTACCAGGCAGCCGAGAACAGGGAGATAAACATCATCATCTTCTAAGAGCTGGTCAAGAAATTTAAAACAACAACAACAAAAAGTTACGGGGTTCATCTCCTACACAATTCATTTACTCCATTTGAATGCTAGAGCCACTCACATTTATTTGTGTTTCTAATTTACCGTTTAAATTTATTTGTAAAAAGTTAAGGGAGAGTTGGTCTTTCCCTGATGTTCTTTCTGGCATCCTTTAGCATTTTTATTTTTAATTTGATAATTGTAGGTCATTAGTATGCATATCGAGTTTGCCCTTAGGTGGTGGGAATTCAAACACACAAAGACCCACTAATTTGCACAAAACTATTCTGGCTGGTTTGGAACAGGCTGCCATGCTTTTTTAATGTTATTGCAGCATGTATATTCATTCCAGAATTCAGATAAAATGTGCTTATGTTCTGCTATTACGTTTGATCGAATCCTAACCACAGTGAGCTCTTCATTAGCTCAATATGTGGTTTGCCCTCAATTGAGCACTGTTTATTACTTTGTAATATGCCACTGTGAGTACTGACATTTAGAGTTGTTTAAAGGCCAAGAACTGGAAACAGCCTTTTCCCTATTTTCTGTGTATTGGGGATGGGAGTAATAACATTTTGGGGAGCTTTTTAAATCTCACAGAAGAGGAAAGTGGCCTGCTCTGGCAGGTGTGTGCAGGATAGAGTGTGTTTCATTTGTTCTGGTGCCAAGAATGAGCGCTGTACTATGGTAGTTCCCTTAGGATTTGTATGTGCTCTGGGCTCATGAAGATATTGCATCATGAGCTGCAGCAGTTGTACCCTTTCTTGATGACCTAAAAAGGGATTATTTCTGAGGAATGAAAGGCTCCCATCATTGACTGTGGATGTGGAAAACCTTTTCTAGCTTAGAGCATTTATATCTACAATACATTTTAAAGTCAGAGTTCATGTTACCTGTTTTAATCACGAGTATATGTCCCAGTACACAAAAGGGCACTGGTTGGCATTCTTCTTAAGGTATTTAGTGAAGATCATAAGAAATCCTTTAAGAGTTTAAATGTCCCTGGAAGAGGCATACAGGCTCTAGTCAAGAATGAATTTGAGTGAAGGAAAGCTGTGTGACACCTGGCCTTCCTCTATGTTCATGGAGCTTCTTTGAGGCTAGAAGATTGATTTTATCATCTAGACCTCTCTGGCTAATACCTATTCTTCAGCCACATTAGTTACTCTGACATAGGAATTTACTTCTTTTCTTTGAATGGAAAACACTTTAAAAATAATAACAACCATTATTATAAACCAATATATGTGAGAGTACTTAGTTGAAACAAAAAGGAGTTTTAGTAGACAGTATTATACTACACATGAAAATCAAGGCGAAGTTTATGCAACTTAAAATGTTTACAAGCTGCAGTGCAATCTAATGTTTGTGAATGTCCAAGTATTATGAGAAAAAGTGTCTATACAATGACAGACTTATGTTTCCTCACAAAGTTCTTCACAAAGAGTGAAATATGTTTTTATACCTCTCAGTTTCAGTTAGAGGCATATTTTGTGCCATATTTATGTTAATGTGCCTATACGTGATGAGTGAATTATTTCAGTCATACATTGCCTAAATCATAACTTTAAGATGCTTGGGAAAGAATCAACAGCTAAAAGTTCATGAAGTTCTAATGTCTGTGTTCCAAAATACGTCACAGTATTAGGATGCAGGGAGAGATGTGTGTGCGCTCCCTGGGGTGGGCATTTCTAGTTACTAGACCATCTCCATTTTTAGCATTTGGCATCCTCATGATACTTTTATACATATGACATTAATAGGAGAGCAATAATACGATTTTACAGATGGAATAACAGATGTGCCTGCATTCAGTGAAAGAGTGCAAATATTAAGTCCTTGTGACTTCAACTGACTCTTCCAAATTGTATGAATTTATCAATGTATTAGATAAACTCAGTTCCAGAATTATAAAGAAAAACTGTTAGACCAACGAATGTGGCTAATTAACAGTAGGACGATTTCTAGCCCGAGGGTTTAAAATGGACTTCAAGTCCTGTTCTTGCCTTTTATTTTCTGAACTTGCCACTTTTGCATTCTTTGAGTTCAGTTTAAAGACAGTTTGAGTCCAATTTAGACCCTCGGGCTAGAAATCATACCACTGTTAATTAGCCACCTTATTTGGTCTAACAGTTTTTCTTTATAATTCTGAAACTGGGTTTACCTAATACATTGATAAATTATTTCAAAGGTATTTTTATAGTTCAAATCACTTCACTTTTACCCTGATAAATATAAATGACTAGGAATGATCTTCAGCTAGCCTTTAGCACCTGCAACCAATCTGACAATAATGTGTTCATCAGGTACCTGTGGATTAAATCACACACCGGCATATTTAAGCTGAATGTCAGTCTGGAAAATGAATGTACTATATTAACTGAAATACCACTCTTTGTGTAGGTATTCTGTCATATATTTAAGAAAAATTAAATAGCATGTAAATCATATAACAATAACTTAAGTCTTTCTTCAAAGTGCATGTGGTCCTTTGCAATACCTCATTCAGCCAAGTATTTGTTCTCTTCCTCATTCAGTTTAAGGCAGCTTTCAATTTGCTTAGAAGGCAACATTAGAAGGGTAGAGTTTAATCAGAAACATAGAATTTTAAAGTGTGGGTTCAACTGAATAAATTTGAATTTCTGTAGGAAGTAAAGAATTAAAAATCTATTTAAAGATTGCAATATATAATCATTTTTAAAGTATTTGTTTAACCTGATGGGTTTTCCAGAAATGAAAACAAGTCAGTTCTAAAACCAAAGCTGATATTTAGAAAATGTGAAAATATAAATCAGCCCTATGCATAATATAGTTTCTCTAAAACTTTATCTTAAAGAGTCATTTTAAAAGAATATAACTATTCAAAAATGTAACTGCTATCTTAATGTTTTGAAATAAGTTAAAACACTTTAAAATATGAATACTGTAGTTTGAAAGAAAGAAACTGGGGGAAGGAAAAGTAGAGAAAGAAATGCCAATTCCAATGCAAGGCTTTATTTGCCAAGTTTTCTTAGAATGACTTTTACCAGTTTATGAATTCTTGTAAACAGAATGTATAATAGAAATACTGAAACACTGTTGCCTAAAGTGGCATTGTTGACTGCTACTGTGATGCTACTGTAATGTAATAAATTATTAAATTGTTGCAAAGTGCTGTTTTTGCCTTAAAATTTTGTGTGTCTTGAAAACTATAGTATTACAGGTATTGAGACTGTGCAAATGCTGGGCACGCTTGGCATGAGATAATCAGTTTTTATTTTTACAAAATTGTAATTAACTATGCAAGTGTGTTTATTAAAAGAATACAAACTAAAAAGAAGTTATGGGATTTAGAAAATGTTGTAGGATGAAAAAGTTATGGGATAAAAAATGTGGAAAAGTCGTGGCAAAAAAAGTTGTGAAAAAAGTATTTAAAGTTTTATGAAAAGTTTAAAAAAAGTATTATGAAAAAGAAGTTACGGGATTAAAAAATAAGTCATGGGATATAAATAAAAATAAATAAAAGCAGGCCTCTGTCAGCATAAGCCTGGAGAAGTGGGGCTGGAGTCTGCCGCCATCGTGTCCCTACCATCCCTTCCTACCCCTTTATCATTAGGGTAGCAAGACAAGACCCCTGTCTAATGGGGAGAGACAAACAGACCCTTTGCCACCTTGACCAGGGCTGAGTCCTTAGATTTCTGGATGATGATGATTGTTATTTAAGAGCCAGAGGCTGGTGGAGTCGGTTTGTTTGGAGGCGGCCTGATGGCCTCCCTACCCTCACCAAAGCAACTTTTCCCTCAGGGGGCTCCCATCTTCTTATTCAGAGAGGCAGCTGAGGCAGGGACAATGGGGCTAACTGTAGAGCAGGTGAGGGCACGGGCTGCTGGGAAGGCCCCAGTGTACATATAGTATCTGTGTAACATTTTGTATATTCCAGGGGGTAGGGCCACCCCCTGTATCGTACCTAGCAGAGGTTGGAGCTGGCATATGAGGAGGAGGTTCTAATCATTATTTGTGGCTGGGAAACTTATTTATTGATAGCATGGGGCAGAGGAAGGAGGCGGGGATGGGGTTGTGGCTCCCTGGTGATGCGACTCCCGTTTATTTTGCTTTTCATTTTGGAATAAATGGATTTAGCCATACTGCTCAGCCTGGTGTGTTCCTTTTTCCCTCACTGGGTCCTGGAGTTTGTGCCACTGAATGAGGAGCCCCAGAGTTGTCTGAGCATGTCCAGCTGGGCTGTTGGTGACCTTCCAGGCCTGTTACCTTTATGCTGCCTAGTGACACCTGGTGGATTTCATTGGGACTGCCATGGTGCCTATGGGGCACAGTCCAGCCCTGACAGCCAACAGGCTCAGAAGCCTGATCTAGCGGTGGCCGGGAAGACAGATACTAGCACCCAAGGGCACTGACTTCCATTCACCCCAGGAGTCTTCCAGGCCCCCTGCCCAGCACTAACATCTCTTTGTGAGTCTCAACCAGACTGAGCTGCAGCTTCAGGGTCAGGGTAGGCTCTGACTTAACTGATGTGACCCAGGACAAGGGGATTTATTGATGGTGTCACATATGCTTAAGCTCTTGGCCTCTGTGATTTCTTTGGGGCATGATACCCCTCTGTCCCATGCTTAGGTGCCCACATGTGGCCACAAGTGCCTTTCCTACCACCATCCCTACTTGAGGCTGGTGTCCAGGCACCTGTGGCTCCAGGCAGAAGGCTGAGCGCAGAGCCAGGCCTGGGCAGATGTTCTGCAGGGGCTGCAGGAGCTGACAGTCCTGACCACCCAGCCCGTGGCCATCCATTCCCTTTCACCGTGGCTGGCTCTTCATCCACCATCCTTCCAGGGGCCAGGCCTGAACCCAAACTGACTTTTACCTGCCCTGGTCCCCCTTGTGCCTATCAGGTTCTTGGCTGAGCATGATGTTTTTGCCCATTTCCTTGATTATCCTCAAGAGGTTTATAGAGCCACTTGGGGACATCACATCTGTCTACCAGGTCCTCACCAGAGACATGACTGCCTTGGGCCGGGCCTGGGATAGTCAGGGGTCACACTCACCTGTTGGGACCTAGCTTCAGTGGCTTCAATCTGGGCAATGGCCTGATGGGCGGCTGCCCCTTCTCCTCTGCTTGGGGGAGGCAGGAGAGGAAGGTCAGGGAGGAGATCTGCTTCCTGCCCACCTGACACTGGTTGGAAGCAGGGCGCCCACCTGTGCCTGTCTCACCTTGCTGCAGGTGCATCGGAGGCCGAACCCCTCTCCCGATCTCCTGCAGGTGCAGATTCCAGGTTTCCAGTGGGTGTCAGTGTGGGCTCCAGAGCTCTCCTGGTCCTAGGGAACCCTGGGCTCCATGAGGCCTTGGCCTAACCAGATTGTTTCCCACACTGTCACCTCCCCACCCTGTCACCTCCCCAAACATGGGGCTGCATGCTCTGTGCCCTGGGTGGGACATTGGAAGGAGTGCCACCTTCCAGGTTTGGATCACAGTAAAGCCTCTGCCTTGGGGATGTGCTGGCCGAGACAGATGGGGTTGAACCAGCCATGATACGTTGGCCTTGGGCAAGTCATCTGTGCCTTGCTTCCCCAGCAGCCAGAAGGGATAATAGCACCTATTTCACCCATACTCAAGTGTTCACTTGTTAGCAGGAACTGAGTCCCGGAGGAGGTGCAGGTGGAGCCATTGAGGCAGCACTGCAGCTGGACCTGGGTCTGAGTCCCAGCTCCTGGCTGTGATATGCATCACTCTCTCCATTTATTTATCTGAAGGACAGGGCTGTGCTGTTCTGGGGTCACTGTGACAATGCAGCTGGCCTGTGTGAGTTGGTGGTGGCCTCCTGAGATGGTTTGAGGTGGGCTGGAGGTGTGTCTTGAATGCCCCCTCACCCCCATGGGGAAGACCCACTTAGGGAAGACTCAAGTGTCTGTATGGAGGAACCCACATTCCCTGCCCCTCAGCTGTCCTCTGTCCCTTCCTAGCCCCCTCTGCTGTCCTGCAGGCTCTGGCGGTGGCCATCCAGCTTGGTGGCCATCTGGCTGATCCACTCCTCCAGGTGGACCCTCTGTCCTCATGTGGTGCAGGTCCCATTGTGCCACCTCCAGACAGGCCATGCTAGCCCCAGGGCCTCCGTTCCCTGTTACCCAGCCCCCACCCCCAGGTACGTGCCCCCTCCCTAAAGCCCACTGTGTCCACCAGCTGTGTTTCAACTCTGTCTCTGAGCAAGGCCTAACGCAAAGCCTGAAACAGCCTGGCTTGTAGAGGGCCAGGAGACCAAAGCTTGAAGAGAGAGTGACGGTCTCCCAGAGCCCACTTAGCCTCAGCCCCAGGGCTGTGTCCATGCTGTTCCTGGCTCCAGTGAGCCAATTCTCTCCCATGACGCCTGTAAGGGCTCCAGTGGTGATGGAGGTAGCTGGAGAGAACAAGGCTGTCTTAACCCTCCCTCCCTGAGAAGGCCCAACGGGGAACGTTTTAGGCATCAGGGCATTCTGGGGGGCATCTTCCAGGGACCCCTCCTATACCCTGCCCTGCCCTGGCTCTCTAGTGAGAAATTGCAGTTGCTTGGACAGTGGGGCTGACCCAGGACAAATGCATATATTGGGCTGGTCTTCAGGGTGCTGGGGTAGGGGCAGGGGCACTTCAGGGATAGGAAGGAGGGGCCTGTGTGTTCCAGAAGTACAGAGGAACCTGGTGCCGGCCGCAGTCAACCCCTATGTGATGATCTTTCTACCCGCCCTCTTTCGTGTCTTGGTGCTGGCTGCTGTCTTTGGCCAGGTAAGCTCATGGTCTGGGCTCCTGGGGTCCACTCACTGGGCCTCCACACTGCCTGCAGGTAGGGGAGCCTTTGGGCCAGGACTATCCTTGGCTCCCCTTCCAGGTGGTGGGTTCAAAGACCATTCCTGGGTTCCACCACCGCCAAGCCTCAATGGTCACAGGAACTGCTGGGGCTTTCTAGGTTAAGACCCTTGCCTATCCTGGTGTTCCTCCCTGCAGTAGGGGGCTGCAGGGGTCAGCCTCAGTCTCTGCCTTGGGAGCCTGCCTTACCTTGCCTGAACTCAAGCGATCTGCCTGCCTTGGACTCCCAAAGTGCTGCAATTATAGGCGTGAGCCACTGCACCCAGCCCAGCCTTGACTTTGAAATATATGTTGTACATCCAGACAGCAGTGAACTCTGGGGGAACACCAAAGATGAGGAGAATGAGAGAAGAGATACCTCCAATTAAAGGAGTTAGGAAGAGATGCTTGAACTTATGTTTTAAAAAGTCAATGCAGGTTGGGCACAGTGGCTCGCACCTGTACACACAGCACCTTGGGAGGCTGAAGTGGGTGAACGGCTGGAGCCTAGAAGTCTGAGACCACCCTGGGCAACATGGCAAAACCCCGTCTGTACACAAAATACAATAATTAGCCAGGCACGGTGGTGCCTGTGGTCCCAGCTACTCGGGAGGCTGAGGTGGGAGGTCGAGGCTGCAGTGAGCTGAGATCCACCACTCCACTGCAGCCTGGGCGACAGAGTGACACCCTGTCTTAAAAAAAAAAAAATGTCACTGTTTTGGGGTTTTCTGGGTGAAACCTCTGTTTCCATAAAAAAAGAAAAAGGTCGAGACAGTGTGTATTACTGATTCAAAATCATAACCTGATGCTTAGAGTAAATCATTGTATCTATTGTTTCAAAAACCAACGTCAGGATTATTAAAAGTTAATTTTATTGGGTTTTTCTTTAAGCTTGGCTGATTCACTCAGGTCTGTCACTTCCAAGCCCATGTTTTACTACTTTGTAACCCTATTTGGAAGGAAAACTGCAGCTCACATTATGATCCATCCTGAGATGAAGAGTTTCACACATATACACCACATATACCCCCCACCACAGTATGACGACACAGCAACCCAACCTTGGGCAAATGGTACCACTGCCAGCAAATTTTTTTCTTTATTTTAAATATTTTTACTGTATTTCTTCTAACAGCAGCAAATGCATTTAACACTTTATTGAGATTCTCAACAGCTGCCATTTGGTTTGTATAGCAAATTGTTTACAAAGTAACTTTTTTCCATTTTTGATATTTTAATGAAAATTATGTTCTTCAGTTTTAAAGCTCTGTCCCTCTCCCAAAGAAAGGTTAATAACTAACTACCAAGTAATGATTATTTGGGAAAAGAAGAAAAGCAAAACCAGCTTGTAAACACTTCTGGAACGTGGGTAAGGGGCCAAAGTCAAGACCTTCTGGGCCCAGTGCAGGTGCTAGGCTTGCCTCGGGACACCATCAGCACTTCCCCATCCACAACATCCTCAACAGCTGGGAGCCATGTGCAGACCCCAGGGGGCTTCCTGTTCCACAAGCTGCCCTCTCTTTTTCCTCTCCACCCTTGCTGTTGGGCCTCCCTTCCAAATCTGCCTAACAAAGGCAGCAGGATCTTTAATACTGTTCAGCTTTGTCAATGGAGACAGGATACTCTAGAAAGTTGAGAGATTCCCTGGTCCAGTCTGGGGGAGGGAAAAAATATGCAGTGTAGCATAGATGGTTGTACTTGTCCACTCAGACACATGCTCATACTTATTAGATGGATGTATCAGATGCTTCAAAAGTCCTGATGTGTAGTAGCACAAAAGCTGCTTGTAAAAAGGAAGTTGCAAAATGATAAAAATTTCTGCAGCAGTTCAGGCTCCTGATGACAAAGCTGGTTCTGATAAGTAGTTCTTTTGACATGCACAGCAGCTTTCACTGTAAGTCCTGTGTTCCAGCGGTTTCATTTAGACCACGGGAAGTTGAAAGCAAAGTTTAAATGTTCTCTGCTGACAAAATGTGGTATATATCCATCAATGGACTTCTACTCAGTAATGAAAGGAACAAACTACCAAAACCTGTTATATGTCATGGACCAACCTCAAAAACCTTAGCTAAGTAAAAAGCCAGACATGTGACCACATATTGTATAATTCTGTTGATTTGAAATGTCCAAAAAAGGCAAGTTGATAGAGACAGAAATGGTCTGATTTACCTCAAGAAGTAGGGATTCAAGCTCTTAGGGTACATGTGATACATACATTAGAAGAAATAAGGAAAAGAAAAGAAATTTATATGTAAATAAATGAAAATAATACTTCTCCCTGATTATAAAGAAAATTGCATTCTTTTTGTAATAATTTGGAAGACAAAATATGAAGAAAAGTCTTTAATTTTGCCACTGAAAGCATTCTGGTTTGTTGCTTTTTATATTTTTTTATGCATATGAACATTTTAAAAAGTAGAATCGTAATATATAGTCTTTTGTCACTATGTTTTGGGCATATTTCTATGGCAGTAAATATATCCTTGGCATCATCTTTTTAAAAGCTCGATGTGTATTAAGTTAATCATTGCCACCCCAGAAGTAAATTTTCTTATATATATATTTTAATGGACGCAAGCAAGCATTTTGGGGCTGAAGTCATAGAAGTAGAATTTCTGGAGAAAAATAACATAAAATAGTTTTAAGATTTTTAATAGAAATTTTCAAATTATCCTGCAGAAAAATTGGTTCAGTTTATACTCCCAACAGGGGCAGAGCTCCAGTATCCCGTTTCCATTTGTCCTCTTTGCTGATATTTAAGGAGAAAATCTCATTGTTTTCATTGTATTTCTTTGGTTTCTAGTGCTTTTGAAACTTTTTTTTTTTTTTGAGATGGAGTCTTGCTCTATGGCCCAGGCTGGTGTGCAACAGTGCAATCTCGGATAACTGCAACCTCTGCCTCCTGGGTTCAAGCGATTCTCCTGCCTCAGCTTCCCGAGTAGCTGGGATTACAGGTGCCCACCGCCATGCCTGGCTAATTTTTGTATTTTTTAGTAGAGATGGGATTTCACCATGTTGGTCAGGCCCGTCTCAAACTCTTGACCTCAGGTGATCCACCCACCTCGGCCTCCTAAAGTGCTGGGATTACAGGCGTGAGCCACGGCCCTGGCCTTGAATCATTTTTATGTGCTTATTGGCCATTTTTATTCTTGTGGGAAGTGCCTGTTTCTCCATTGCCTATTTTCTGGCCAAGCTCCCAAGTCACATTTCACTTAATTTTTATCCTGCTGATTGAAAGCATTTTAACATAAACAGGAGCAGGACAGACTGTAATTATCTAGATCTTGCTCTGTCACCCAGGCTGGAGTGCAGTGGCATGATCATAGCTACCACAGCGTCGTACTCCTGAGCTGAAGCAGTTTTCATACATCAGCCTTCCAAGTAGCTAGGACTACAGGTGTGTGCCACCACCCCCAGCTAATTTTTAAGATTTTTTGTAGAGATGCGAATTCACTATGCTGCCCAGGCTGGTCTTGAACTCCTGACTTAAAGTGATCCTCCCACCTTGGCTTGCCAAAGTGTTGGGATTACAGGTGTGAACTACTGCTCCTGGCCGAGGGCTCATTTTGTTTGCTAGTGGTGATATTGGTATCTGTTTATATTTGAGGCTTTGGTGCTAGTGCTGAAGTATTACACTCACCATCCGAGGTTTGCAGGACTTTTGTTTTAATATTGAATAGATGGAACTGTTTACTTCTGCATCTTTGCAGGCATACAAAATGTGCCTACCAGGACTCTGCTTTATATCTATTGAAAGCAAGAAGTAATACAGTAAAACTTTGCCTGGCTAGAGGCTTTGGAAGAATGGAGTATTCTGATTTAACGCTATTGAAGTGTGAAGGTGAAAAGAATGAAAAACTTACATTTCCTGTTGAATGCAACTTGAAAATACAGCCAGTGATTCCACTTTTCTTCTCTAGTAAGTTTGGACATTCTGATCTACTTGGTGTTTTATTATAGAACTGCTAGTGTGCCCGAGACTTACATTGTGAAGACACTTTTTAAAAAACTTGAGAGGTAAGAGGGTGTAAATGGTATTGTGTGAGATCAGGCTGGATGAGAACTGACACTTGTAAACATACTTTTTAGGCTGAATCTCTGATTGCCGTTTGTTTTCTTATTTAACTCATAAAAATAAAACACATTGGATGGAGGGTAGGAGCAGGAAGGAGATTTATGTCTTTTAATTGCATGCCATTGTTTCATATCAAGACAGAACATATGGTATCCCTGGCTTTGGACCTACAGAAGGAAACACATTTTTCTGCCTGCTGTATGCCAGAGGTTCTTGAACACCTGGAGGGATGACTGCAGCACAGATTGCTGAGCCCTACTCCAGAGTTTCTGATTCACCATGTCCAGGGTGGGGCCTGAGAATTTGCACTTATAAAAGGTTCTCAGGTTCTGCTGCTGCTGCTAGTCCAGAGACTACATTTTTGAGAACCACTCTTGTCTACTAACTGTAAATTGTAGAACTCTAGAACAAAGCTTAGTTTGGTGTAGGAAAAGAAGCTCACAGGTTATGGAGCAAATCATGAAAGATTCAACCCTTGATCCCAGCCTAGTGTGGAATTCAGGTAACAATCAATACACAGTGACATAACACAATTCTTGGTTTTCATGATTGCAAGTCATAGCCAAGTATCAAGTGAGAAATTCAGTTTCATTTGCAAGGCTTAGAGAGGCCAGGTGATTCTAGAAAAATAGGCCTTGTATTTGCTTTAAACCAGTAAAGAGCTTTGAGTGCTTATTAAATGGAAAGCTTTGTGTTTTTATTTATTTTTGACTATTTTATTTTATTTTTTTGAGATGGAGTCTCAGTCTGTCACCCAGGCTGGAGTGCAGTGGCGTGACCTTGGCTCACTGCAACTTCCGCCTCCCGGGTTCAAGTGATTCTCCTGCCTCAGCCTCCCCAGTAGCTGGGATTACGGGTACCCACCACCACACCTGGCTAGTTTTTGTATTTCGAGTAGAGACAGGGTTTCACCATGTTGGCCAGGCTGGTCTTGAACTCCTGACCTAAGGTGATCCACCCACCTAGGCCTCCCAAAGTGCTGGGATTACAGGTGTGAGCCACCACACCCGGCCCAAAAGCTTTGTGTTTTTAAAGATATTAGACATGTTTCTTGTTTTTTAAAAAATCTTAATAATGTAGGAGAATAAGAGAAATGTTTTTTCCAAAGCCGAGAAATCATTGTGATTATTTTACCTTATTGGGATGTTGGATAATATAGTCCACTTCATTCATTAATCATCAAACATGCTATGGATTTTCCATTTTTATAGGATTTGTGTCTTAACTGGGGTAATACTGGTAATTCTTATACTCCCTCTGAAGATGAAAAATGTAGGCCAAAATCATAGACCATGCATAGAAGCTGGATAATGAAGACAGCTCTGGAGGAACATGTAGACACACACACACTGACACACATATATATAAAGTATAAATACATATTTTTTTAAAGTTTATTTTTAACATTTTAAAGCAAAAACCAGCCCTCCCCTCTCCCGGAGTAGGCAGGCCCCGCCCCTCTCCCCAAGTGGGCAGGGACAGCAGTCGCATGGGCAGCTTTCCTTGTGATGTCACAGGTTCCTCTGGGCACACTGCTGCCTGGCCACGCCTCCTTTCCCTTTCATCTTTCTCATTGACCAATGGGATTGGAGCAGTAAGGCCACACCCCTATTCTGCATTCTAGTGTGGCCCTGGTTACGCCTCCTCTGGCTCAGTCACACAGCAGCCTTGTAGGTGACTGGAGGTGTTCGCTGATGTGGCCCCAACCCTACCTCCCTCCCCACCCCATGATGTTAGAAGAATCTCGACAGAATAAATTGGCAGCAGCCAAGAAAAAGGTAAAAAGCCAAGAAAAAGGTCATGGCCCCCCAACCTAGCCAGAGATCCCCTCTGATGACAAGACCACTCCCAGAGTCCATACCACTCCTGAGGCACACCGGGCTGGGCCCCCCTACCCCGGCGCCTCTGGACTCCCCCCACCAACGTCTTGTCAGTCAGCCCCGCCCCTTCAGCAAGCAGCCCAGCCTCTGCCCTCGCCAATCACCCTGCGGTGACTTTGGGCGGATGACTACTGGGGATACCTGCTCCATATTCAGCCCTCACGTCCTGCCACCCCAAGCCCAACCTCCCTGGGTTCTTTGGGCTCACCTCTCCAAGGACCTGGGTCCCCCAGCCCCAACCCCCCAGCATCGCCAGTCATCCCGGGGTGACTTTGGGCTGGTGACTCCTGGGGTTCCCTGAGCAGACTCTGCTCTCCCCTCCTGCTGACCCAAGCCCGACCTCCCTGGGCTCTCTGGACTGGCATCTCCAAGGACCTGGGTCCCAGCCCCACGTCCCCCCTCCCCCATCGTGGATCGGCAACTCAGCCATTGCACTGATGAGGTTTCCCCCACCCCCAGGAGGAGTGGAATGTAGTGATGTCACAGTCCTCCTAGGAACTGTCATTACTGCTGCAAGACCGGCCTTTGATCTTATAACCCAGTCCCCTAAGCATTCTCACCCCATTTCTGGTTCCTCTGGTCACAGCACAAATTTCCAGCTAGAAGGGAAATGGGGACCATGGGACCTAGGAGCAAGAGGTTTCAGGCTGCCTTACTCCCTTCACATAGACATCGACAGTGTGAAAAGCCTACACTTCCCCTGTGAGCTCAAAACGTTGACAGTATCTCTGGGTGGTAATGGGAGAATGGGTTTGGTTTGGTTTTCTCCCAGGCTTCTACTCTCCAGAGAGACTTTAACATTTTTTTCCGAGTTCTCCACCTCATATTCTAATTCTCCACGGTTCTGGGACCAGACTGCCCTTCAGTCAGTGGTCTCTGAAGTGAGATTTGCTCATCTTCTGTGGAATAGGTCTTGGGAAACTGAACTTGACAGCTTGAATCTTCCTCATATCATCTCAACTTAGGGTACATTGAGTGCCACAGGATAAATGTGGGAGATCTTTCTGAAGCATCAGTTTCCCTTGATTCTCTTGAGAGAGAAAAAACATTAATGTACTTAGGGGTGACCCTCACATAGGTTTCTAAGAGTATACCAGACTTCTCTCTGAAATGAGACTTGGGTTGTCCTCTTTCTGATAAATTCCCAGATTTAACAAAAAAGCTGCCTTCTGCCATGAGGACACATTGATATAAAAGTTTGAGAGATACTGGTGCACTTCTTCACACTAACAGGCATTTGAGGATGTATGACTCTAAACCACACAGCGTGTAGTTCATGCCTATGTAATGTTTACTTTTCTACCTCTGCGTCTGGTTTTGGTCCCCGGCAGCTGCTGATTCATGGCAAAACCCCAGAGCTTGGAGTCAGAAGACTGAGTTTAAGTTCCATTATTGCCCCCCCACACTTTTTTTTTTAGCCATAATATCCATCCCTCTCAGTCACTTAAGTGATTGTGACAACACCTTGTACAGTTGTTGGTGGCATTAAATCAGATGGTGTATAAGAGTATTTTGCAAAAACTGTAAGGAGGGTGTGGCTGTAAGGGCTGGTAGTTCTCATGAGTATTACTGCTCTTCTTTCCCACAGCTAAAAGAATATCAGCAAAGGAAGAGCCCTGGTATTCCAGCAGGAGCAAAGACAAAAAAGAAAAAAACTGACAGTAGCCCTGAGACAACCACTTCCGGTGGTGGCCACTCACCTGGGGATGTGAGTCTTGGCTGGCCAGGCTCCTGGGGACAGGGGGCCCAAGGGGCAGTAGAGGGTAATTGTTGAGATTGCTGGGTACTGGTTAAGAATTCTGGGTTTGAATCCTGCTTCTTCATCTGCTAGCGATCTGATTTATGGCAAGTTGCTTGAGCTCTTTGGGCCTCTCTTTTCACATCTGTAAAATAGGGGTAGTATTGTTTGACTTCCATTTGTGAAGTTTAAATGAGATTCCTTATTGTTGTTGTTTTCATGTTAACCCCTAGTACGTGGCCTGCTGTAAACACCCAGGATACCCAGGAAATGGTCATTGCTGTTTGATTTTCCTGATCCCCACTCGCAAGGGGAAGCTGGGCTAATGAGTACAGCCACTTGCCATCAGGCTGTCCCTCTAGGAGTCACTGAAGGGGGCCCAGGGTGTGGTGAGGAGAGCCCAAGGCACTAGGAGCAAGAGAAGGTCTAACTTGCCACCAGCTTGCTGGGTGACCACAGAAAAATCACTTCTTCTGCTGGGCCTCAGTTTCCTCCTCTGTAAGATGATACTGGATAAGATCAGTGTCTTTCAAACTTGTTTTTTAGCTGAAGTCCCCTTAGTTCAAGTGAACTCTTACTCAGGAGTCTGTTTTTTTTTAATGGAGGTGGAGGTCTGGAGCTCTACCAGATTCATCGTCCATGTCCTGGGCCTGAGGAGAGGGGTCCAGTGAGCGTATTAAGATCTGCATTGGTCAGCTGACTCCACTCTGTGACTGCGTCACTCGGGGGACTTTTCCATCTATTTTTTCCTGCCCCTGGCAAGGCAGCAGGTGGCCATTTGGAAGAATGGCACAGGCCATGGTTTTAATCTCCTCTGCTCTTCTTCAGCGTTTCCTTTTCCTGAACCCACATCTTCCTCCTACCCTGACTTTCTTGCTTCTCTCTAAGCCACTTCTGTCTTTCACCCCCTGCCCTTGTTTTTCCCTTGTCACCTCCTGTAGATTCAGGACATTCTGAAGGTGCGGGTGTCCAACCTTAACCACTCCAATGGGGTAGTGCTCCCCCATTGGACAAGTGGAAGGTGAGGCAGTGCCAAGACCCCTCTCTGGCTTGCTGTCTACAGCTGTGCATGGCCCTGAGGCTTCTCTGGCTTGGGGGATGCTTGGCCTCTGCCTTGTTTTATGTTGCTGCCATTAACCTTCAGCCTGTTTCTGTCTGCTTCTTCACCTGCTTGATTGATTGGGTTTTTTCCTTCCCCGCGTCTTTTATTATCTTGGAAATGGTGACGCCTAAAAGTTTAAAAGTAATCTGGGAATAACGTACAGAGCAGGCATGTGGGATTTGGGCTCTTTTTTTTTTTTTTTTTTTTTTTTTTTGAGACAGAGTCTCACTCTGTCACTCAGACTGGAGTGGAGTGGTGCGATCTCGGCTCACTACAACCTCTGCCTCCCGGGTTCAAGTGATTCTCTTGCCTTAGCCTCCTGAGTAGCTGGGATTACAGGCACCTGCCACTACGCCTGGCTAATCTTTGTATTTTTAGTAGAGATGCAGTTTCACCATGTCGGCCAGGCTGATCTTGATCTCCTGACCTCAAGTGATCCACTTGTCTCAGCCTCCTGAACTGCTGGGATTACATGTGTGAGCCACTGTGCCCGGCTCCTTGCTGTTTTTATACTTTCTCCATATACATAACTATTTCCCATGTAAGTTTTTTTTTAATTTCTCATTTTTATTACTCCTGCATCATCTGTTACCCTGAAGGATCTGGAAGTAAGAGGCCCTGGGCTGAGGTGCAGTGACTTTGCAGGCCAGCCCTCCAACCTCCTCTCACAGTGGGGGCTGGGTGACCCTCTGCCAGCTGAGACAGCCCACACACACCCCAGCCCTAATGATTGTTCTCTCTACCTCTCCCCACAATCCTCTTCCAACTCCTCCTCTCTGCATGTGCCTCAGAGCCAGTACCAAGAACTAGCAGTAGCCCTGGAGTCAAGCTCAGTGACAATCAATCAGCTCAATGAAAACATAGAATCATTGGTAAGTCCAGTGGGGTCCCCTGATTCCATGCTGCCAATCCTGGGCTTTAGTTTCCCCTTGGGGCCCTGAAGAAAGGGGCTGGGGGCCCCTGGTGCCAAGGGCAAATGGGGAGCTGGAGCACCCAGGCCTCACCTGGAGGGACCCCAGAGCAAGGAGCACGCAGCATGGCTCTTCTGTCACTGCCCTCTTTGCCGACTCTCTCTTCTCCAGACACCCCTGCTCCAGTCCTTGCCACACACGCCCTGAGGTTGTCACCTCTCAGGGAAGCGCTAGCCTGACTGGTTGTCAGGGGCCCTGTATTTCTGCCCTGACTCAGTCCCTAATTTGCTTTGAGTCTGGACAAGCCACCTGTCCTCCTTGGGCTTGTGTTTCTGGAGGAGGTAGAGCATCAAAGTTCTCTGTTAGCTCTGAGAGTCTGAGATTTAAAGGCCCCTAGAATGGAAACCTGAGGGCCAAGGGCTCCTGTCTGTCCTTTTCCATCCTATATCTGCTGTGAAGAACCGTAGCTGGCCCGTATGTGTTCAGTAAATGTTTGTTGAATGAAGGCACCTTTCTAAATCACAAGCTGGCAGAAGGGTGGGCCTTCCTGAGACTCCCTCTCTAGAGGTTTATGTTACTGTCCTTTCAAGAGAATCCAGATTCAGGCTTTGAGTTCTGTGGCTGTGGGCAAAAACCAACAAAGACCCAAGTCCTCTGTCCTTGGGAGCTTGAGGAGGGTTGACCAGTTTGTGTTGCCATTGGTTCTGAGAATGTTGCCTTTAAAATCCATTCCTGGACCCTGCCTACCGCTTCCAGGTCTGGGGAATAGAGTTGAGGGGGCCACTCTCAGTCACCTGAATTTGACTCTCCCCACAGAAACAGCAGAAGAAACAAGTGGAACATCAGCTGGAAGAAGTAACGTGATTTCTTTGCTCACAACATGACTGCTGGGTTTGGGGGACACTCAGATGCAGAGGCGCCAGTCTCATCTTGCCCACTCCCAGCCTGGGGAAGAAGGCTCACCCATCAGATTCCACCCCATCCCCACAGGGTCCCTGATAACCTGGTCCCATGGGTGGGCCTGTCCTGGGGCATTGGTGGCATTCTGGGGGCATGTCTCTTGCTGTGCCATCTCTGCCTCCCTGTGATAAGAGCTCTGTCTTCCTCTTCCTACAGGCAAAGAAAACAAACAATGAAATACACAAAGCACAAATGGAGCAGTTAGAGGTGAGTGGAGGGTGGGGAGCTTTCTCCTGTCCTCTGGAGAATGTTTCTTTCCTTCTCTTTCAGCATTTCCTTGGCTTTTCTCCCAAACGTTCAATTCCAGACAATCAACATCCTCACATTGGAAAAGGCAGACTTGAAGACCACCCTTTACCATACTAAACGTGCTGCCCGACACTTCGAAGGTGGGAATCTGGGCATCCCGTCATCCTTCAACCTGGCACTTTGACAGGTCTTTAGGGGGAGTCTTTTGGGCCCCATCTCAACCTCTCTCATTACAGAAGAGTCCAAGGATCTGGCTGGCCGCCTGCAATACTCCTTACAGCATATTCAAGAATTGGAGCGGGCTCTCTGTGCTGTGTCTACACAGCAGCAGGAAGAGGACAGGGTGAGTCCAACCAGCTGCCCCATCCCCTGGCAGCCTGGCTTCCCAGATAGAGGAGTGAGCCTAAAGGTCCCTTCTGCAGGATGGAGTGTCCTGCCCAGAAGGCAGCATGGTCATTTCTCACTACTTTTGTGTATGGTTGTTAGAGGCAGCCTGGGGCTAAGTCAGCTGCTGTGGGTGAGTTGGGGGGCACTGTGGGGAGTGAGCACTGGATGCAGAGCTCAGAGGCCAAGTGCCTGCCCTGCCCTTTCCTGGCTGTGGCCTTGGCCAAGTCCTAGGTGGGGTATTGGGTAGTTGTTCTGTGAAGGTACAGAAGAGCACCTTTAGTATGTTACCATTTCTGTAGAGAGAGGAAAGGGGTGTGTGTGTGTGTGTGTGTGTGTGTGTGTGTACTATGATAATATACAAAAACATGTCTGCAAGCATTCATAAAAAACTCAGGAGAGAGTAACAGGGTGCCTGGAGACACCTCCCTTCTGTACCTTCTGAGTTTTGGACTGTATGAATGTATCATCCTTTCAAAAAGTGAACAAAAGATTAATTTCCCCCTTCCTATCTGTGTCCCCACCCCCAGCAAGAAAAATGGGCTTAGAGAATAGGATAGACCTGGGTGTTCAAATCCCAGCTCTGTCTAAGTGATCTTAGGCAAGCACTTAACCTTGAACACTCGATGTTTTTCATCTACACAATAGAGGTAATCCTAGTAACCGTCTCATATGGTGGTTGTGAGGATTAAATGGGATTGCTAGCATGGAACCTGGTGAAGCACTCCATAACGGTTCAAACAGTGGTAGTAATAACAGTAATAACAATAGCAATATTATCTGATCTCTCTGGGCCTCTGTTAGCCAGCTGTAAATTCTATCTCTTTCCCTCTCCCTTCCAACTTTACTGAGTTCTTTTAATAACCAGGCCACGGGCTTGGAAATGCCTTGACCTTTACTGACCGAGTTGTATATTGAGCCTAGCCCTAGCCCTTTTAAGGGGCACTGCCCGAGCTCCCCAGATCAAAACTTCTCACTCTTCACCATCCAGTCCTCGAGCTGCAGAGAAGCGGTCCTCCAGCGGCGGTTACAGCAGACCATAAAGGAGCGGGCGCTGCTGAACGCACACGTGACACAGGTGAGGCTTTGCAGAGGGAGGGATGTGGAAGGAAGATGACCCCAGGTGGCCAGGAGCAGGTGAGGACCAGTGACAGCCCTTCCTAACTTCTGTGCCCATTTCTTGCAGGTGACAGAGTCACTAAAACAAGTCCAGCTAGAGCGAGACGAATATGCTAAACACATAAAAGGAGAGAGGGCCCGGTGGCAGGAGAGGATGTGGAAAATGTCGGTGGAGGTGAGGTCTGACCCTTCAGCCCCCACTTTAGATAGGTCACTGGATCTTTCTGGGCATCTGTAAAATGGGAATAGTACAGCCAGAGGTGGTCATGGGTCTGGGCTTTGTGGAGATGGGGACAGAGAATGAGATGGTAGCCTGTCCAGCCACCAGCCCCTCTCTCCAGGGCCCTTTCCCCTGTGCTTTGGGCAGGCTCGAACATTGAAGGAAGAGAAGAAGCGTGACATACATCGGATACAGGAGCTGGAGAGGAGCTTGTCCGAACTCAAAAACCAGATGGGTAAGATGGGGCTGGTGTGACCTCGGAGCAGGACTGGCATCAGAGGTCTGTGGGGGTGGCTTAGAATGCCCCAGGGAGGTGGGTGGGTGGAAGGGCTTTGAGGCAGAGGGAAAGAGGTCTGTGCCAGGAGACGGCAAGTTTTGTCATCTCCATGAGCCTCAGGGTCCCCATCAGCAAAGAGGGAGGAGTGCCCGTTGTCAGCCACCCACAGTGCTCTCTATGTGAAAGTGGCTTGGAAATTGGCTACCATTGGGTGCGAGGAATGATTAGCAGTGAGGCCAAGTTTGGGAAGCCTGAGAGGAGCTGTGCATCAAGAGGAGGTTTTTTTTTTTTTTTTGAGGGGGATGTGGGTAGAGGGGTTGGGGAATCCAGAGGCCCTTATTGTCTGCTTCATTTCTCAGCTGAGCCCCCATCCCTGGCACCCCCAGCAGTGACCTCTGTGGTGGAACAGCTACAAGATGAGGCCAAACACCTGAGGCAGGAGGTGGAAGGTCTGGAGGGAAAGCTCCAGTCCCAGGTGGAAAACAATCAGGCCTTGAGTCTCCTTAGCAAGGAACAAAAGCAGAGACTCCAGGAGCAGGAGGAGATGCTCCGAGAGCAGGAGGCGCAGAGAGTGCGGGAGCAGGAGAGACTGTGTGAACAAAACGAGAGGCTTCGGGAGCAGCAGAAGACGCTACAGGAGCAGGGTGAGAGGCTGCGAAAGCAGGAGCAGAGGCTACGCAAACAGGAGGAGAGGCTGCGAAAGGAGGAGGAGAGGCTGCAAAAGCAGGAAAAGAGGCTGTGGGACCAGGAGGAGAGGCTGTGGAAGAAGGAGGAGAGGCTACAAAAGCAGGAGGAGAGGCTCGCGCTCTCCCAGAACCACAAGCTCGACAAGCAGCTGGCCGAGCCACAGTGCAGCTTCGAGGATCTGGTGGGTTGCCCCACCTGGGGAGCCTGCCCTCATCCCTATCCCTCCAGGCCTTTGTTTCCCCACCTGTAAAATGGGCCAGTGTAGCCCTCACATGAAATGCTACTTCTAAAGGCACCTGTGAGCTACAGCTCATCGGGCTCTGCTCTGATGGCTGTGGGGGAGAAGGGATGATTTTTCTAACCTGCCTCCACCCTTCCTGGTGATATGGGAGGCAGACACCAAGGTCTGGTGTCTCCAGCTGCAGTGGATGGCCACTGATTGCTTCTCTCTGTCCAGAACAACGAGAAAAAGAGCGCACTGCAGTTGGAGCAGCAAGTAAAGGAGCTGCAGGAGAAGCTAGACGAGGTGAAGGAGATGGTAACCTCCACCCCATCCAAGAAGGGCTGGGAGGCGGGCACCAGCCTCTGGGGAGGGGAGGTGCCAGGCCAAAGGCAGCTCCAGCTGGGAGGCAGGTGACCCCAGCACCCTCCAGTGCAGCTCTATGACTGTTTCTTGCTTCCTGCCCTCTGACTTTTAGAGGTGGGTAGCCCTGGGCTCCTCCCAGGTCTGGACATCATCATCCCAGCTAGAGACATGGAGCCCCCAATCACAGGGGAAGAGACAGTGGTACAAGAGGCTCCTTATCCAGGCACGGTGGCTCGCACCTGTAATCCCAGCACTTTGGGAGGCTGAGGCAGGAGAATCACTTGAGGTCAGGAGTTTGAGACCAGCCTGGCCAACGTGGCGAAACCTCACCCCTACTAAAATTACAACAACAACAACAAAAAATTAGCCAGGCATGGTGGCGCATGCCTGTAATCCCAGCTACTCAGGAGGCTGAGGCACGAGAATCGCTTGAGCCCACGTGGTGGAGGCTGCAGTGAGCTGAGATTGCACCACTGCACTCCAGCCTGGGCCACAGAGTGACACTGTCTCAAAACAAAACAAAAAAGGCTCCTTAGATTCAAACTGGATTCTGGCCTGGGTTCCACTGGTCACCATTCAACTACTGTTCATCTCTAAGTCTCTGTTTCTGTGACTTCAAAAGGAAGTTAGCATTTTCCTTGCAGAGGTGCTGAGGATTGAATGAGAGAATACCTGGAAAGCATTAGGCATGTAGCACACTTAGCAGATGGTGGTTGGCTCCCTCTGCTTTTCCACCAGTCTGTGGCCTACAGTTTAAATGGTGGGAAGAAGGACATGAGATTTGAGGCTGGGGAAGGAGGTATGGGGTTCTAGGCAAGGGAGGAAGCCTCTTAGGCCTGGAGCAAGGGACCAGGGTCCTGGGCAGGTGACAGAGCCCCACGGTGCCCTCGCTACCCTATTAATGGGCCCAGAATCTGGAAGCCAGCCACCATGTGCCCTCATGCCCAGGGTCTTCCTGCAGGTGGAGCTGAAGAGCCAAGAGTCTCAGAGTCTGCAGCAGCAGCGAGACTAGTACCTGGGTCACCTGCAGCAGTACATGGCCACCTATCAGCAGCTGACCTCTGAGAAGGAGGCGCTGCACAGGCAGTTACTGCTGCAGACCCAGTTCGTGGACCAGCTGCAGCAGCAGGAAGCTTGGGGCAAAGCGGTGGCTGAGATGGCCGGCCAAAAGTTGCAGGAGACCCAGGGGAGGGAGTTGCTGAGGACGGGGCCCCGAGGGGGATGACCTGGCAACCTCCGTGCCTTCTCACTCTGTTTCCCGTCCCCTTAGGAGCACCTAGAAGCTGCCAGCCAGCGGAACCAACAGCTAGAGACCCAGCTAAGCCTCGTGGCTCTCCCTGGAGAAGGTACAGGAGACCACTCAGAGGAAGAGGAGAGAGCCCCAGGAGGAAGGGGGGACTGTTAGCAGCATAGGATTGAGGGGTTGGAAGAGACCTTTAGAACAGCTGGTCGTTATGCCAACCGGGTGTCCGCACTAAGTTCAGCATCAATATGGTGACCTCCTGGGAGCAGGGGGCCACCAGGTTGCCTAAGGATGAATGAACTGGACCAGATCAGAAAGGGAGCAGGTCAGGACTCCCGCACCGACCGGTAGTGGGACTGTGCCTGGGCAATATAGCAAGATCTTGGTTCTTAAAAGGAAAAATAAAGAACAGCAGCTCACTCCCCTCTGGGGAGAGGCTGGCTCAGGGTTACACAGTCAGGGTGGGGACAGAGGTAGGCCCACAGTACCTTCCTTGTTGGGTTGTCTGAGGACCCCTCTGGCCACCTCCCCACAGGAGATGGAGGACAACATCTGGACAGTGAGGAGGAGGAGGCGCCTCGGCCCACGCCAAACATCCCAGAGGACCTGGAGAGCCGGGAGGCCACGGTGAGCCTGACTTTCCCTGCCCCACTTTGCCACCTTCCTCTGTGGTCCCTCCCAGAGCCCGTTATGCTCTTGGTTTTCCCACCTTCTGATTTCTCTGGCCCCTCACCCCTTCCGGGAGCCAGTGGTCAGACACTTTGTCACCTGTGACCAACAGGTGCACTCTCTGAGGCCCCAAGGGAAGGGGTTGTTCTCCACCTCCCTGCCTCATTTGTTCTGTCTATGCCCCTACAAGAATACTCACCTCTTGCCTTCAAGTGGCATTTTTCAACTCCGCTGGAGCCAGTTCCCAGGAGGAGCAGGCACGGCTATGTGGGCAGCGGAAGGTGTGAAGGCTGTGCTGCCTGCACCTGGCTCATCTGGTGGCCTTGGCCTGGAAGGAGCCAGAGGCAGAGGCCCCAGCCCCAGGGAGGACTGGAGATGAGTTTGTGTGTGGGGAGAGCTACCGGGCCCTGAAGGAGGCCATGGTGAAGCTGAAAGGGAGTGAGTCCTGGCATGGGCCAAGAAAAGTGGGGGCGGGGCAGAACAGGTCACTCCCGAGGTGTGACCCCATTATTTTGGCTCCAGAGCAGCTTTATGGACCTCCCGAAGGAGAAGGCGGACGGGACGGAGCAGGTGGAGAGACGAGAGCTTGGATTCGTCCAGCCTTCTGGAGTGACAGACGGCATGAGTGAGCGGGAGGCCAGGGCACGGGCATGGGGAGCTGCAGGGCCGTCGGAGGGACCCTAGTGTCTGAGCTGTGTCCTCTCACAGGAGAGTCCTTCACCGTATATGAAAGCCAGGGGGCAGTGCCAAACACGCGGCACCAGGAGATGGAGGATGTCATCAGGCTGGCCCAGAAGGAGGAGGAGATGAAGGTAGGGCGTGCAACATCTCTGCGGGGTTGGGGGTGGGCATGGGCACTGGTGCAGGCTCCAGGGTGGGAGCTGAGCACCCCTCCCTTCAGGTGAAGCTGCTGGAGCTGCAAGAGTTGGTGTTGCCCCTTGTGGGCAACCATGAGGGGCATGGCAAATTCCTCATCGCTGCCCAGAACCCTGCTGATGAGCCCACTCCAGGGGCCCCAGCCCCCCAGGAACTTGGGGCTGCCGGTGAGCAGGATGGTGAGTAGAGCTCTCAGGCGGGGTGGGCAGGCAGGGGCAGGGGAGGCTCGCACTGTGCTCAGACCCCCGCCTCCCTCTCTCCGAAGTTTTTTATGAAGTGAGCCTGGACAACAACGTGGAGCCTGCACCAGGAGTGGCCAGGGAGGGTTCTCCCCATAACAACCCCACTGTACAGCAGATCGTGCAGCTGTCTCCTGTCATGCAGGACACCTAGGAGCACCCAGGCTTGCCCAGCAAACCCTGCGTGCCATTCTTCTACCAGGCAGCCGAGAACAGGGAGATAAACATCATCATCTTCTAAGAGCTGGTCAAGAAATTTAAAACAACAACAACAACAAAAAGTTACGGGGTTCATCTCCTACACAATTCATTTACTCCATTTGAATGCTAGAGCCACTCACTTTTATTTGTGTTTCTAATTTACCGTTTAAATTTATTTGTAAAAAGTTAAGGGAGAGTTGGTCTTTCCCTGATGTTCTTTCTGGCATCCTTTAGCATTTTTATTTTTAATTTGATAATTGTAGGTCATTAGTATGCATATCGAGTTTGCCCTTAGGTGGTGGGAATTCAAACACACAAAGACCCACTAATTTGCACAAAACTATTCTGGCTGGTTTGGAACAGGCTGCCATGCTTTTTTAATGTTATTGCAGCATGTATATTCATTCCAGAATTCAGATAAAATGTGCTTATGTTCTGCTATTACGTTTGATCGAATCCTAACCACAGTGAGCTCTTCATTAGCTCAATATGTGGTTTGCCCTCAATTGAGCACTGTTTATTACTTTGTAATATGCCACTGTGAGTACTGACATTTAGAGTTGTTTAAAGGCCAAGAACTGGAAACAGCCTTTTCCCTATTTTCTGTGTATTGGGGATGGGAGTAATAACATTTTGGGGAGCTTTTTAAATCTCACAGAAGAGGAAAGTGGCCTGCTCTGGCAGGTGTGTGCAGGATAGAGTGTGTTTCATTTGTTCTGGTGCCAAGAATGAGCGCTGCACTATGGTAGTTCCCTTAGGATTTGTATGTGCTCTGGGCTCATGAAGATATTGCATCATGAGCTGCAGCAGTTGTACCCTTTCTTGATGACCTAAAAAGGGATTATTTCTGAGGAATGAAAGGCTCCCATCATTGACTGTGGATGTGGAAAACCTTTTCTAGCTTAGAGCATTTATATCTACAATACATTTTAAAGTCAGAGTTCATGTTACCTGTTTTAATCACATGAGTATATGTCCCAGTACACAAAAGGGCACTGGTTGGCATTCTTCTTAAGGTATTTAGTGAAGATCATAAGAAATCCTTTAAGAGTTTAAATGTCCCTGGAAGAGGCATACAGGCTCTAGTCAAGAATGAATTCGAGTGAAGGAAAGCTGTGTGACACCTGGCCTTCCTCTATGTTCATGGAGCTTCTTTGAGGCTAGAAGATTGATTTTATCATCTAGACCTCTCTGGCTAATACCTATTCTTCAACCACACTAGTTACTCTGACATAGGAATTTACTTCTTTTCTTTGAATGGAAAACACTTTAAAAATAATAACAATCATTATTATAAACCAATATATGTGAGAGTACTTAGTTGAAACAAAAAGGAGTTTTAGTAGACAGTATTATACTACACATGAAAATCAAGGTGAAGTTTATGCAACTTAAAATGTTTACAAGCTGCCGTGCAATCTACTGTTTGTGAGTGTCCAAGTATTATGAGAAAAAGTGTCTATACAATGACAGACTTATGTTTCCTCACAAAGTTCTTCACAAAGAGTGAAATATGTTTTTATACCTCTCGGTTTCAGTTAGAGGCATATTTTGTGCCATATTTATGTTAATGTGCCTATACATGATGAGTGAATTATTTCAGTCATACATTGCCTAAATCATAACTTTAAGATGCTTGGGAAAGAATCAACAGCTAAAAGTTCATGAAGTTCTAATGTCTGTGTTCCAAAATACGTCACATTATTAGGATGCAGGGAGAGATGTGTGTGCGCTCCCTGGGGTGGGCATTTCTAGTTACTAGACCATCTCCATTTTTAGCATTTGGCATCTTCATGATACTTTTATACATATGACATTAATAGGAGAGCAATAATACGATTTTACAGATGGAATAACAGATGTGCCTGCATTCACTGAAAGAGTGCAAATATTAAGTCCTTGTGACTTCAACTGACTCTTCCAAATTGTATGAATTTATCAATGTATTAGATAAACCCAGTTTCAGAATTATAAAGAAAAACTGTTAGACCAACTAATGTGGCTAATTAACAGTAGGACGATTTCTAGCCCGAGGGTTTAAAATGGACTTCAAGTCCTGTTCTTGCCTTTTATTTTCTGAACTTGCCACTTTTGCATTCTTTGAGTTCAGTTTAAAGACAGTTTGAGTCCAATTTAGACCCTCGGGCTAGAAATCATATCACTGTTAATTAGCCACCTTATTTGGTCTAACAGTGGGTTTACCTAATACATTGATAAATTATTTCAAAGGTATTTTTATAGTTCAAATCACTTCACTTTTACCCTGATAAATATAAATGACTAGGAATGATCTTCAGATAGCCTTTAGCACCTGCAACCAATCTGACAATAATGTGTTCATCAGGTACCTGTGGATTAAATCACACACCGGCATATTTAAGCTGAATGTCAGTCTGGAAAATGAATGTACTATATTAACTGAAATACCACTCTTTGTGTAGGTATTCTGTCATATATTTAAGAAAAATTAAATAGCATGTAAATCGTATGACAACAACTTAAGTCTTTCTTCAAAGTGCATGTGGTCCTTTGCAATACCTCATTCAGCCAAGTATTTGTTCTCTTCCTCATTCAGTATAAGGCAGCTTTCAATTTGCTTAGAAGGCAACATTAGAAGGGTAGAGTTTAATCAGAAACATAGAATTTTAAAGTGTGGGTTCAACTGAATAAATCTGAATTTCTGTAGGAAGTAAAGAATTAAAAACCGATTTAAAGATTGCAATATATAATCATTTTTAAAGTATTTGATTAAATCTGATAGGTTTTCCAGAAATGAAAAAAAGTCAGTTCTAAAACCAAAGCTGATATTTAGAAAATGTGAAAATGTAAATCAGCCCTATCCATAATAGTTTCTCTAAAACTTTATCTTAAAGAGTCATTTTAAAAGAATATAACTATTCAAAAATGTAACTGCTATCTTAAGTTTTAAAATAAGTTAAGACATTTTGAAATATGAATACTGTAGTTTAAAAGAAAGAAACTGGGGGAAGGAAAAGTAGAGAAAGAAATGCCAATTCCAATGCAAAGCTTTATTTGCCAAGTTTTCTTAGAATGACTTTTACCAATTTATGAATTCTTGTAAACAGAATGTATAATGGAAATACTGAAACACTGTTGCCTAAAGTGGCATTATTCACTGCTACTGTGATGCTACTGTAATGTAATAAATTATTAAATTGTTGCAAAGTGCTGTTTTTGCCTTAAAATTTTGTGTGTCTTGAAAACTGTGGTGTTAAAGGTATTGAGACTGTGCAAATGCTGGGCACGCTTGGCATGAGATAATCGGTTTTTATTTTTATAAAATTGTAATGTAACCATGAAGTGTGTTTATTTGAAGAACACAAACCCAAAGTTATGGGATAAAAAAGGTTGTGGGATGAAAAAGTTACAGGATAAAAAATGTTATGGAAAAGTTGTGGCAAAAAAAAGTTGTGGAAAAAACGTAAAAGTTTTATGAAAAGCTTAAAAAAAGGGCCGGGCTCGCTGGCTCATGCCTGTAATCCCAGCACTTTGGGAGGCCGAGGCGGGTGGATCACGAGGTCAGGAGATCGAGACCATCCTGGCTAACATGCTGAAACCCCCTCTCTACTAAAAATACAAAAAAAAAAAATTAGCTGGGCGTGGTGGCGGGCGCCTGTAGTCCCAGCTACTCGGGAGGCTGAGGCAAGAGAATGGCGTGAACCTGGGAGGTGGAGCTTGCAGTGAGCCAAGATCGCACCACTGCACTCCAGCCAGGGTGACTGAGCAAGACTCCATCTCAAAAAAAAAAAAAAGCTTAAAGTATTATGAAAAAGAAATTATGGGATTAAAAAATAAGTCATGGGATAAAAATAAATAAAAGCAGGCCCCTGTCAGCATAAGCCTGGAGAAGTGGGGCTGGAGTCTCTGTCCCTACCATGCTCCTACCACCCCCTCCCAGTCACCCCTTTACCATTAGGGTAGCAAGACAAGACCCCTGTCTAATGGGGGGAGAAAAACAGACCCTTTGCCACCTTGACCAGGGCTGAGTCCTTAAATTTCTGGATGATGATGATTACTATTTAAGAGCCAGAGGCTGGTAGAGCTGGTTTGTTTGGAGGAGGCCTCATGGCCTCCCTACTCTCACCGAAGCAACTTTTCCCTCAGGGGGCTCCCATCTTCTTATTCAGAGAGGCAGCTGAGGCGGGACAGTGGGGCTAACTGTAGAGCAGGCGAGGGCACAGGCTGCTGGGGTGGACCCCCTTCCGCAGTGTACATATAGTATCTGTGTGACATTTTGTATATTCCAGGGGGTAGGGCCACCCCCTGTATTGTACCTAGAGGAGGTTGGAGCTGGCATATGAGGAGGAGGTTCTAATCATTATTTGTGGCTGGGAAACTTATTTATTGATAGCATAGGACAGAGGAAGGAGGCGGGGATGGGGTTGTGGCTCCCTGGTGATGTGACTCCCGTTTATTTTGCTTTTCATTTTGGAGTAAATGGATTTAGCCATACTGCTCAGCCTGGTGGATTCCCGTGTCCCTCACTGGGTCCTGGAGTTTGTGCCACTGAACGAGGAGCCCTAGAGTGACTGAGCATGTCCAGCTGGGCTCTTGGGGACCTTCCAGGCCTGTTACCTGTATGCTGCCTGGTGACACCTGGTGGATTTCACAGGGACTGCCATGGCGCCTATAGGGCACAGTCCCGCCCTGACAGCCAACAGCCTCAGAAGCCTGATGTAGCAGTGGCCGGGAAGACAAATACCAGCACCCAAGGGCACTGACTTCCACCCCAGGCATCTTCCGTTCCATCCCCCTGCCTCCCTCGCCTGTCTGCACCCGGTGGCCTGTTCTGTCTGTCCCTCCAGTGTACCTGGTGGCCTGTTAGTGCTGGCTGCCCCGCAGGCTCCTCCAGTCTGAGTTCATGGCCCTGCCCCCTAGTGGCCAGAGCCGGCTTCGCAGGATAAAAGCCAGCTAAGCTCCAGGGGCTTTCCAGGAAAAGTGTCCCTTGGAAAGGGTGTGTGGCCTTTTCACTCCTCCCAACAGCACCCTAGAAATGGCTTGGCCTTTTCCCTCCCCTGCGCTCCACAGAGAACACAGCCAGTAGAGGACACATTCCCCATCATCCAGAAATGGGTTTGATTCTCAGCCGAGGGACAGCAGGACTGGTAGAGACTGTCAGGCCACACAGCTGCCTGCACAGCACCCCCATTCTTGGTGGGGGGTGGGAGGGATGGCGGGGGCTGGCTGTCCACAGGCCGGACATGACAGGGAGGCTCACTGGAGGTGGCACACTTTGGAGGGGCAGTGTCAGGGGAGACCTTCCTCTTGTTGGGCCACAAGACTCCACAAGGACAGCACGGTGACAGATTCCCAGTGCTAGAGGCGAGGCGGTCAGCCATGTGTAGGTGTATATATATATATACGTATATATAACTAGATATATATATAGAGAGAGAGAGAGAGAGAGAGAGTATTTATAGATATTTATAGAACAGGGCAGGGGCATACCACAGAGGGGGCACAAGTTTTCAGCAACGGTCACACCTGGATCAGCTCACCACTATGACAGACTAAGTCACAGATGAAGGGGGCTGGCTTTGGGGCTGGGGAGCCACTGTCCAGTCACAGGACACCCGCCCAGGCAGGCTTGGAAAGGGAGGCCTCCGAGAAGAGGAGGATCTGTTTAGAGGTCAGAGTGGGGCTGGGGCTCTCAGGACGGGATGGACTTGCCTGACCTGATCAGCTGGCAGTTGGAGAGAAAGCAGAGAGAAAATGGGAGAGAGAAATGTGAGCAGAGAGCTGGTGAGGCAAGCACAGAGCACAGGCGTGCTGCAGCAGCTGTGGGAGGGCCGGGGAGGGGAGGACACAGGTGCAGGTGTGGCAAGGTTCCTGGAAAAGAGGGGCTGGAAGGAAAAGGGGAGGAAGATGGAGGGAGGAGCCGGAGCTTCACAGGTAGTGCCTGGGGGCTGTGGCAGCCCTCCCCAGCCCACACACACTGGCCTCTCCCACGGCACCCAGGCAGTGCACCCACAGTTCAGACCAATGCTCAGCCCCCTCGGGCTTCCCTCTTCTCTGGTCACCCTCCCCTTCCAACCCACTGGCCCAGGGCCACCTCTCGCCTTGGGGAGCCCCACCCAACAGCCACCAGGCCTGATAGAGAAGGAACACTGCTTGACCCAGGATGGTGAAGCTAAAAGGGATGGCTGGACTGAGTGAGCGCCAGAGGCCCCTCTGGGTCATCAGAAAGCCCAGGACCCTCTGAAAGGACCCTGGGGGAGGCAGGAAGGGCATATGCCACTGGCCATAGACTTATAAGTCTAAGGGGGGAGCCTCAGCTGGTTGTGGGGGCCTGCAGGTTGCATAGGTGAGCCTGGGCCCCTCCTGCTGGGAAAAGCAGAAGAGGGAGAGTCTGTGGCAGGGGAGGTGGGTGGGCTGGCTATGTGGAGCTCAGCTGGGCCAGCAGGGACTGTGGTCCCCTTGGCTGAATAGCACAGGTGACCCCTAGGAGCAACAGGCCAAGGTGCATGAGCCCGCTGGCTGGCGGTAGTGTTTCAGCAGGGGCCAGGGACCCTGCCTTCAGTCACACGCTAGCAGGTATGATGGTATCTGGGAGGGAGGGAAGGGGGCTGTGTGTTCCTGCCTGGCCTGTGAGGTGTGTTGTGGGATGACCATGTGTATGGGACTCTCAAGATTTTATCCTAGATCACCACTGGATTGCCAACATATAGAGGAGGTGGGACCCTGACTATCAACCCTGCTCTGCAGTGGATTTGGCTCTCGGCACTCCCAGACTGGGAACTGGATACCCTGCCCTGGCAGCATGACTCAGACTGCACGACAGTTATGTTGTGCCCAGGTGACATTCCTAGGCCTCTGGCCGCCTCAGAGTCCAGCCCCACACACAACGCCCTCCACATTCCCAGCCCCTACACCATAAACCATGAGTTCTCTGCCCTCTCCGAGGACTCTAGAGAGCACCCACATCTGCCAACTTGGGCATGGAGGCTGTTCCAAGAGCCCACAGTCTTAGCCATGGAGGCTGGGGGGCTTTGGGGCCGTGGGGGCCAGCCCTGGTACCTGCATCCAGTAGGATGCTCTGCACCTGCAGTCAGGAGTTGTCCATGGGCCCCCGTGGGCGTGCTGATTGTGTTCATGACCGCTGTGCCTGCTCTGCCGACTCCTCCATCAGCATGTTCTTGTCCCCATGCAAGTACAGGTTGGCCAGCAGCTCCGAGAAGATAAACTCCTTGTTCTGAGAGTGGGCAAAGAGGGAAGGAGGTTGGGACCTGATGCCTGTGCCACCCTGGCCACCCTGCCAGGCCCTGCTGGGGCTGTACGCTGGACTTGGAGCCCCGGGTATGGCTTTTCAGATGCGGCTTCTACACTGCTTAGACTCGAAGACCCACCTCCCCACCGCTTTTTCTCACTCAGATGGGGACACTGAGGTCCAGAGGAAAAGTCACCTGCCCAAGGTCACAGATCTGGGAGGGGACCCAGGATCTATCATGCCACCAGGACACCTGTCTACTCAGTTTTTAATTTTTGGAGATAGGATCTCTCTCTATTGCCAGGCTGGAGTATAGTGGGCAAGATCATGGCTCACTGCAGCCTCAACCTCCTTGGCTCAAAGTGATCCTCCAAGGTTAGCCTGTTGAGTAGCTAGGACTACAGGCAAGTGCCACCACCAGGCCCAGCTATTTTTAAAATTTTTTTGTAGAGACCAGGTCTCACTATGTTACCCAGGCTGGTCTCAAACTCCTGGGCTCAAGCGATCCTTCTGCCTTGGCCTCCCAAAGTGCTGGGATTACAGGCATGGGCCACTGTGCCCAGTCCCACGTTATAATTCTATGGGACAGCTCTGGTCTGGACCGTGCCCCTCTCCCTGGACCTGGTCCCATAGGGCTGGTTGTCATCTCTGGCAGGACAACATGGCCACCTGTGTCCCCAGTGCCACAGGAGCCCCCTGCCCCCATGAGGCGGTGCACGCACGTTGTTGATCATGAGGTGCATGATGGTCTTGGGTGTGAGACCAACCATGAGGTCCCACACGGTCTTGTTGACAATGGCCACATAGGAGTCCACCAGGCTCTGGGTGGTCTCCATCTGCCACTCCAGCTGTGGGACCATGGAGTGCATGAAGCTGTTGGAACCATTCTCCTCGGCCTTGCTGGCCTGCTGTGGAGAGCACGAAGGCATCAGGGCGGCCAGGCCATGCAGCCAGGCTCCAGGCATCCCCAGGATCTCAGCCCCCTCCAAGGGTACCTGGAACATTGAGGCACAGGGAGAAACAACTGGCCAGAACACACACCCAGCTCCCCACACAATCTAGAGGGTTTCAGGTCTCTGCCTCTCAGGACCCCAGACTCTCCCGATTCAGCCTCGTCTTAGTTCTGACTCTAGTACCCAGAATTTGCCTCCATTTCCCAATCCAGAAATTGGAAAAGAACATCTCCAGGTCCCTCACTTGAAGACATGGCCAGAGGTGGTGCCATGCTACAGACACCTGGCAGGAGGTGGGAAGGGCATACTCACTTTCCCCTTGTCCTGGGAGGCCCACACACCAACATTGCCGCCACCGCTGCCACCTGGGAGCACAGCCAAAGTAGACACACACAGGAAAAGGGGAAGGGTTGAGTGAAGCTGGGACACTGCACCCCAACTTTAATGTGTTGATGAATTCAATCTGCTAATATTTTGTGGAGGATTTTTGCATCAATATTCATCAGTGATATTGGCCTGTAGTTCTCTGTTTTGGATGTATCTTTGGTTTTGGTATCAGGGTAATACTAGCCTTGTAGAATGAGTTTGGAATAGTTGGGTAAGGCCTCTAGTTTTGGAATAGTTTGGGTAAGGTTGGTATGAGTTCTTCTTTAAATGTTTGGTAGAATTCAGCAGTGAAGCACCAGGTCCCAGGCTTTTCTTCGCAGGGAGACTTTTTATTACCGCTTTGATGTCATGGTTTCTTATTGGTCTGTTCAGGTTTTGGATTTCATCACGGTTCAATCTTGGCAGGCTGGATGTGTCTAGAAATGTATCCATTTTTAGTAGGTTTTCCTATTTCTTTGCATACATTGCTTATAACAGCCACTAGTGAGCCTGTGAATTTTTGTGGTATCAGTTGTAATTTTCCTTTTTCATCTTAGATTTTATTCACTTGTGTCTTCTTTTTGTCTTAGTCTTACTTTGGCTAAAAGTTTGTCAACATTGTTTCTCTCTTCCAAAACCCAACTTTTCATTTCATTGATGCTTTTGATTGTTGTCTTCATTTCAATTCCATTTATTTCTGCTCTGATCTTTATTATTTTTCTTCTACTAATTTTGGGTTTGCTTTGCTCTTGCTTTTCTATTTCTTTAAGATGCATTGTTAGGTTGATTATTTGATGCTTTTCTACTTTTAAAAAGTAGGAGTTTATAGCCGTAAATTTCCCTCTTAGTACTGCTTTTGTCGTATCCCATAGGTTCTGGCATGTTGTGTTTCCATTATCATTTAAGAAATGTTCCAATTTCCTTCTTAATTTCTTCACTGACCCAGAGCATATTATTTAATCTCCATGAGTTTGTATAGTTTCCAACATTTCTTGTTACTAACTTCTAGTTTTATTCCATTGTGATCAGAGAAGATGTTTGATATTATTTCATTTTTCTCTAATGTTTTAAGATGTGTCGTGTGACCTAAGATATGGTGTGTCCTTGAGAATGATCCATGTGCTGAGGAAAAAAATGTGTATTCTGTAGCCCAAGGGAGAAGACACCTGCCCCCACTCTGCTGCAACACACAGCGCTCTGCTCAGGGATGGGGCAGTGGTGTGCTGTTGTTACACAAGGGGCTCTCTGTCGGGGAGGGAACAGAAGTCTGTTCTGTAGTGTTTGCCATTTTCGGTGGTGCAAATATTCCATGGCTGATTTCAAACTGCCACCGTCTTCTCAGCCTGGGCTTGTTTGTACCCACCCTTGGGAAGGCTTTCCAGGTATTTGAAAGGATGTGGGTGTTGTGATCTCAACTGTATCTTTATTAGGGGACACTCCAAGCCAAGTTACGCTAAAGTTCTTGCAGACTCAGAGGAACTGCCCTGATGGTCTTGGATAAGATCTAGAAGAATCATCTGGGCTACCAGGCATTAGAGACTCTTATTCTGTACCTGTAATTTTTCTCCAAAAAAACAGTCTGTCTATCTGTCTGTCTGTCTCTCTCTCTCTCTCTTCCTACCTCCCTCCCTCCCTTTCTCTCTCTGCTGGGTCACTTGGAGCTGGGGTGGACTGATACAACATCCCTATGGCTACCACCACTGGGACTGCACGGGGTCAGACCTAAAGCTTGAGTAAGCTCAAGGCCCACTGTCAACACTACCCGGCTATTGCCTATGCTAAGATTCAGATTATTCACAAAATGCTCCCAAGTGAAGAAAATACTTTAACCACATGAAGTATCATGCTACACAATATGGTGTGGTGGGGAAGGGTGCAGGCTCTAAAACCAGAAAACACGGGTTCAAGTCCTGGCCCTACCACCTTAGCAAGGTTACATGGTCTCTCTGTGCCTCCATTTCCTCATCTAAAATGTGGGGATGACAATAATAGTGTCTATTTCACAGAGTTGTTTTGAGGAAAATAATATATGTAAAGCACTGTGAACAGCAGTTAGTGCTATGTAAGTGTTTGCTCTAGTTATTTTAACATTTCAGATGATAAATATCTACCCTGTTATTCAGATGACAAGCGTCCCTAAGCTGATAACATGATGAAGAACTTTTGGGTTTCTTAATTACCATCAGTTTTGTGAGGGAAAAAATACCACATGAAGAAGAGCAACTGAAGCAGGCGTGAGGAGGAAACTTGGCTTAAGATTGGGGGGCTTGGGGTTATTAGGCTTTCATCTTCTCAAATGTCCTAAGCTCCACTGATAAGAAGACGCTTAGTATCAATCCAGCTAAAAAGGAACAATAGACCCCACAAGACACTGAGTTAGAGACAAAAATAGCAGGGTAATAAATGAAATATGGAAAACTACACAACCAGAAAAATAAACAGCTACCAGTACCCAAAACGTGGTTAAATCTCACAGGATTATATTGAATGAAAGAAGCCAGCCACAAACGTGCACATACTGAATGATCCCATTTATATGAAGTTCCAGAACAGGCGAAACTAATTCATGGTGACAGAGGTCAGGATCCTGGTTAACTTTGAGGGGACAGCAACTGAGAAAGGGCAAGAGGGAGCCCTCTGTGTTGATGGGAACATTCTGTATCTTGAGCTGAGTGGTGGTTACATGAAAGTGCACATATGTAAATACTATGGAGTTGGCCAGGTGCAGTGGCTCACACCTGTAATCCCAGCAGTTGGGGAGGCTGAGGCAGGCAGATTACTTGAGGTCAGGAGTTCAAGAATAGCCTGGCCAACATGGTGAAACGCTATCTCTACTACAATACAAAAATTACCCAGACGTGGTGGTAGGTGCCTGTAATGCCAGCTACTCAGGAGGCTGAGGCAGGAGAATTGCTTGAATGCAAGAGGCGGAGTTTTCACTGAGCCAAGATCGAGTCACTGCACTCCAGTCTGGGCAACAGAGAGAGACTCCATCTCAAAAACAAAAAAAATATGGAGTTGTAACTTAAGGTATATGCACTTCACTGTATGTAAGATACTGTCTTAGTCCATTTGTGCTGCTATAACAAAATATATGAGACTGGGTAATAGGTAAAGAATAAAAATTTATTTCTCACAGTTCTGGTAGCTGGGAAGTCCAAGATCAAGGTGCCAGCAGGTTTGTAGTCTAGCGAGGGCTGCTCTCTGCTTCTAAGATGGCACCTTGAACACTATGTCCTAACATAATGGAAAAGACAGAAAAACAAAAGAAGAAAACCGAGCTAGGTAGCTCCCTCAAGCCCTTTCATAAGGTCACTAATCCCATTCACGAGGGGGCTCCTCCCTTACAGCTTAGTCATCTCCTAAACACTTCACCTCTTAATGCTATCACATTGGGGTTTAAGTTCCAATATGAATTTTAAAGGAGACACAATCATTCCAACCATAGCAAATATACTCTACTAAAAAGAAAAAAAGGAAAATCTTGTCTCTAAACATAATATTTTAAGAGTTTACATATTTACAGCTCAATTTTCTGCTTGCTTACATACATATTTGTGACCATGAGTGTCATTATTAGCCGAGAAAAGTTTCAGTAAATTAAATTTTTTTCTCACATTATCTATTAATACCTTATTCAGATAAAACCAAATTTCTAACCTAGATTTTAGGTTGAGACAGAAACCCATAGTCGTTTGTTGCAATGTGAGAATGACAGAGAGAGAGATTAACTAGCAGGATCCAACTATAAAAATAAATTTAAGGGAACAGTTCTCTACTAATGACTCCCCCAGCAAATCATTACTTGGATAGCAATGAATCAACTAAAAATGGAAGTGAGAACAGTTCGAGTCCTTTTTGCAATGGATGGATGTTTATGAGACTATTAAGTGAAGAGGTTCACAAACAAGGGGATAAATGGCATGGTAATTTGGAGTTGAATGGAGTAATCTTGGAAATATAAAAATCGTGCTTAATGGGACTTGTCTACTTGCAATTCAATAAGCCAACATACGTAAATTCAAACAGACGATGGACATGAACACTCAGAACAAAATTACAGAAGCAGGGCTGGGTGCAGTGGCTCACGCCTGTAATCCCAGCACTTTGGGAGGCTGAGGCGGTTGGAGAGGTCAGGAGCTTCTGACGAGCCTGGCCAAAGTGGTGAAATCCCGTCTCTGCTAAAAATACAAAAATTAGCCAGGCGTGGTGGCGGGCACCTGTAGTCCCAGCTACTCGGGAGGCTGAGGCAGGAGAATTGCTTGAACCCAGGAGGCGGAAGTTGCAGTGAGCTGAGATTGCACCACTGCACTCTAGCCTGGGCGGCCAAGGTAAGACTCCGTCTTAAAAAAAAAAAAAAGAAAAAAGAAAAAAAAATTAGCCAGGCGAGGTGATGGGCGCCTATAGTACCAGCTACTTGGGAGGCTGAGGAAGGAGGATCACTCGAACCCAGAAGGTGGAGGTTGCAGTGAGCAGAGATTGCGCCACTGCACTGCAGCCTGGGTGACAGAGCAAGACTCCGTCTCAAAAAAAAAAAAAAATTTTACAGGAATAAATTTAGCAAAGAGGCACCAAAGTTAAGGTAAGGCCCACTGTTCCACCTCTGACGTCTTTAATTCTTGAGTCATGGGGATGGCAAGCCAGGAACAGAGTCTTCTGACTGGAAGCTAAAACCAGCCTTTGAGGTGGGTGCAGAGAGACTGTTCAGACTAAAGATGAGAAAATGTTCAGACTAAACATGGTCGAAAATATCCCGAAGGCAAGGGCATTTTCAAAGACAGTGGTGCTTCGAGAAAGAGAATGCTGTGTGTTTAAAAACAAAAGAATGGAAACAAGGAAGAAAAATTGACCGGAGCGTAGGGTGACCATATGCTCTGGTTTGCAAGGTACAGCTAAGGTTATGTCTGCTGTCCTGGTGCAATTATTATAGTGCCCCTTTCACTCTGAAGTGTCTGGATTTGGATGATAAAGCATATGGTCACCCTACCAAAGACAGGAAGTTAGCCAGAAGACCCATGTGTCCATTTTAGGCAGTATGGACTGATCCACAGCCAGGCTCGTGCCACTTCCCAGCTGAGCGGTGTGCACCACCTCTGCCTCGCCCTATTCCGCCCTGCCCGGGTTTCCAGGAAGGCTGGAGCTGAACCCTCGGCTCCCGCGCTGCTCTGGTGCTACCTGCAGGTTGTGTGGGGGAACTGCTTCTCCCCACCCCGAACCTGGACAGCCTTGGACTTGGCAAAAAGACTGTCAGGTGCTGTTCCCCACATCTCTTGTCTTTCCGCTAACACTTTAGGATAGTGAGGAAGCAAAAGAGCTTGAGCTTACTAAGCTCCTACTGCGTACTGGGCACAGAGTGGGCACTTTTCTCTCCAGCCTCGCAATTGATGGGAAATAGGTGATTGTACAACTAGGATACAGGATCAGAGTGGGCTAGCGACGTGCTCACAGTCTCTCAGCTGAAACTGGAACCCAGGGGTCTTTGACTCTAAAGCTAGTGCTCTTTTTGGGTCTCCAGCTTGAGCAATAGTTGCAAAATGCAAAGAGCACCATGAAAATCTAATATTGATCCACATAAGACCGTATTGCAAACAGAAACATGCAGTGTCTTCGTGGGAGTGATGGCGAGGTGGGGAGATTATCTCAGTTCTATGTAACCTGGGAACTCTCCAAGGAAAATGAATGAAGCATGACCGAGTGCAATTTGTCTGATAAAATCTGTCAGAACGTGGGGCCTTGTGGGTCCTGAGTGAAGGCAAGAACCCATGGTGCTGGACATTTGCTAAGGTGTTCTTTATGAAATCACTCAGGGCCTCAGTGCCTCCACCTTCTCCATGACCCCAGGCAGTTTCCCCGTCTGTCTTCATCCTACTGCCTGGCACACTATCCATCAAACTGCTTTTGGGGTTATGTCTCAATAAAACAAAAATCATGGTGGGAGTCATTTACACCCTAGTGAGAGTCATCTAAGATTCCCTTATCTTCTCAGACCTTTTAGCTGAAGTTGGTTATGAGAGAGGATGGGGAGGGGGAAAAGGGTCGGGGCAAGCACTTGGAGCTTGCACTGTTTCTTGCCAACGCCCTGGCACAGTGTGAATATGTCCATCTAAATGGAGAGCTCTATGCATGTTCCTCTCTATTCCCTTTGTCACCAATACCAATTCCCAAGGCAGAGCCCCGGGTGGGCTGGCCTGAAGGACCTGGAGGTAATAGGAAACACTTGGCTTTGGGTTTCAGGTCAAGCTCTGCCAGTGACTTGCTGTGTAACATCAGACAAGTCAGTTCACCTCTCTGCACTTCAGCGACCTCATCTGTAAAAGGCTGGTTTGGACTAGATCATTAATTTTCTTAAGTTTTGCAGTTGTTTTTTATTTTAACAGTATATTCAATTCCTCCCCTATCTTTATTAAAGTATAATTGACAAATAAAAATTGTGTATATTGACAGTGTTCAATGTGATACATGCATACATTGTGAAATGATTAAAATGAGTTAATTAACACTTTAATCACCTCACATACTTTTTTTTGTGGTAAGAACATTTAAGATGTATTTACTTAGAAATAGTGTTTACTAGAGGTGAGGAAGGGTAAGGGGGAGAAAGTACCCAAAGGTTGGCTAACAGGTTAACAGATACAAGAGTACATGGCTGAGTGCAGTGGCTCATGCCTGTAATCCTAGCACTTTGGGAGGCTCACTTGAGCCCAGGAGTTTGAGACCAGGCTGGACAACATAGGAGATCCAATCTCTACAAAAAAATTAGAAATTAGCCAGGCATGTTGGTGCATGCCTGTGGTCCCAGCTACTCTGGAGACTGAGGTAGGAGGATCACTTGGGCCCAAGAGGTCAAGGCTGCAGTGAGTTGTGATTGCACCACTTCATTCCAGCCTAGGGAGCAGAGTGACACCCTGTCTGGGGAAGAAAAACAAAACAAAACAAAAACAAAGAGTACAGCCAGATGGGAGGAATAGTTCTAGTGTCTTTAGCACTATAGGGTAACTATAATTCATGACACTTTATTATATATTTTTAAATAGCCAGAAGAGTGGATTTTGAATGCCCCCAGAACAAAGAAATGATAAATGTTTGAGGTGGTGGAGATGCTAATTACGACTTGATCATTACACATTGTATATATGTATAAAAATATTATACTGTATCCCATAAGTATACACAATTATGTTTTGCTTAAAAATAATAAAAGCAGGCCGGGCATGGTGGCTCACGCCTCTAATCCCATCACTTTGGGAGGCCAAGGCAGGAAATCGAGACCATCCTGGCTAACATGGTGAAACCCCATCTGTACTAAAAATGCAAAACATTAGCCGGGCGTGGTGGCGCGTGCCTGTAGTCCCAGCTACTCGGGAGGCTGAGGCAGGAGAATCACTTGAGCCTGGGAGGCAGAGGTTACAGTGAGCTGAGATTGTGCCACTGCACTCCAGCCTGGGTGAGAGAGCAAGACTCTGTCTCAAATAATAATAATAATAATAATAATAAAAGCAAAAAATCTACTCTTAGTAATTTTCAAGTATACATTATTAACTATAGTCATCATGCTGTACAACAGATCTCCAGAACTTACAACATTATATTTAATTCTGATCAAACTACTAGTTACACAGAAGTAACAACAAAATGATATCTGTTGCAAGAAATCCTCAGTAAAACAAGAAAAGAAGAAAAAAAGAACAAAATGGTAGTGAAAGGCTTATATCAAAAAGCATTTCCTCTGCCCTTTCCTTTCTTGCCTTTGAGTCCTAATTCCTATAGGTCATCACTTTAAACTCATTTTGCGACTTCCCCTGGTATGTTATCGTCATATTTCTAAAGAATGTTTATGTTGCTATTTCTTGATTTGTTTTCTTCAGTATCTGTCAGTTCCTGGCATAGCTCAGTATAGGGCTTACCTTCCTATGAGGTCTTAATTTCCTTGCCTCCATTTCACTAATTTGACTGGATCACAATCGCATGAAATCAAAAGCATTTACATTCTTGTAGCCATCTAAATATTGACCCTAACCCAAGTCCCGCACTGAAATTGTTTCATCTCTTTCCTTTCTTCCCCTGGAGTTAATAATTGCTTCAGATTATTATCCCTCATTTGCTTTTTTTTTAACCAATTACCTACCTATTTTTTCAGATGCTCCAACCAATCTATCAAATGCCTAGTGATAATTATCCAAAAACTAAGATACACTGGATACTCTATCAGCCCCATTATTTTCCTGGAGGCTTCCCTCTCTCCCTTGCCCTCCATCCTTCTGCTCCAAACTGGACTCGACTCTCAGCCCATGGCACGGCTGGCATTCTGACATGTCTCTGCACCATCGTGTGAATTTTCTTGCTGCCTCTTCTGTGTGCACCTCCTGTTCCCTGATTTACTCTCTCATTGTGTTGCAGTACATCTTCCAGTGTCTTCCCGAGAAAGAGTGAATGGAAGCCAAACTTTCTGACCCTCACACATTTTAGAATGTCATTGTTCTACCCCAACTCCTGATTACTAGTTTGGCTGGATGTAATGCTCTAATTTAAGTGTAACTTCTCCTCACATTGGGAAACATTGCTCTATTATTTTCTAGTTCCCAGTGTTGTTGGGAAGAAGTCCGTGTCATGCAGAGTCTCGGCTCTTAACTTATGACCTGTCTTTTCTCTCTGGAAGATTTTAGGATTTTCTCTCTATCCTTAGTTTTCTGGAATTTCCTAATGATGTGCCTTGCTGTAGGTCTTTCTTCATTCACCGTGCTAGTCACCTGATAGACTCTTTTGAACTAGAAAATTATGTCCTTCTATTGCGGGAAGCCACCAGCAGGTTCATGTGAGCTGGGTAATCACATTCTTTTCTTCCAAGGACGGAGGTATCAAGGCCCTGGGAACCTTATAAGTGGATGGGGAGAAAGGGGGCCTGAGGTGAATCCAACAAAGCTGCAGCACCCACTGAGCTCATGTCCCAGGGCTAGGCTCTGCCTGAGGACAGGAGACATGGGTGAGACCCACTTCCTGCCCAGTCGCATGGTGGGGCTCAGGACACACATGGTCCAGGAGGCCCCCAGCCCCAGCTACATTGACATGCACCTACCTGTATGCAGCGATCAGTGAGCCACAGGACAACTTAGGGGAAGGGGCAGCTCCAGAGTGCAGGATAGGAGGGAAGTAAATAATCATGGGGTGGGGAGTGGCCTTGTGGGGAAGGGGCAAAGGCAGGGCCGTGTGTGTGTGGTGTATTGGGGGAAATGGGGAGAACATTTTGTCTGCCCCCTTTTCTGACCACTGCACCCCTTTTATCATGAATAGTTTTTCTTCCCATCATGGACTGAGTGTCTCTGTCTCCTCCAAATTCATATGTTGAAGCCCTAACCCTCTGCATGGCTGTATTTGGAGATGAGGCCTCTCAGGAAGTCATAAAGGTTAAATGAGGTCCTAAGGGTGGGGGCCCTGATTCAGTAGGATTAGTGTCCTTATAAGACGAGACACCAGAGAGTGCACTCACTCTCTCTCTGCACAAATACAAAGAAGAGGTCATGTGAGCACACAATATGGCAGCCACCTATGGGCCAAGAGAAGAGGCCTCAGAATGAAACCTACCTTGCTGGCACTTTGGTCTTGGATTTCCCAGCCTCCAGAACTGTGAGAAATAAATGTCTGTGGTTTAAGCCACCCAGTCTGTGGTATTTTGGCATGGCACCCTGAACTGACTAATACATCTCCCCACCCTACTTCAACCACATGACACTAGAGGGCTTGGCAGTTTTGGAGTCCCAGCTACTCAGCCAACCCAGACCAGACCAAGCAGAAACTTTCTTCTGGAATTTTCTGATTAGGAACTAATGGAGGGGAGCCCCATCCTTTCTTGGAGGCAAAGCCAGGAAGACGGAAGCCCCATGGTGCCAACAGCCTGACTCCAACCTTGTGGGGAAAGTTGCTCTGAGAACACAAAACTGATCTGCAGACTGAGGTGGAGACAGAGACAAGGAAAGGAGCCTGCAAATCCTAACAGCACTGGTGATTCTGAGTCCAGGTATTCCTGAGGCCCAACTGTTCCCTGCCCTGCCCGTGGCTAACTTACTGACCAAGGAGCTTCCCTTCTTGCCTAAGCCAACTCGAGTGAATTTTCTGTCACGCACATCCAAAGAGCCCTGGCTGCAATGGCAGGGCATGGCAGGGCTGGGCTGGCTGGAGCAGAGGACGGTGTGGGTGGAATCAGCAGTGACAGGCACACAGGAAGTGCAGGTATCGAGTGGCCTCCATGAGGTCTTCCTCCAGCCCCGACTGTGAGCAAGGCTGGGCTCATACGCTCAGTAGGTCAGAGTGAGGGATTTGGTCAGAGGTGCCATGCTCAGGGCCATCTTTCTATGAGCCAGACTCTATGTCATCAAAAGCTTTGCCATCAGAGATAGTTTTAGTCACATCTTGGGTTCACTTGATCAATTGCTGTTCTCCTGCTTTCAGGATCTCTACACTAGGCTGCCCCATGTGGGTGTTAGGAAGCCATAGGCATCCTGACTAAAAACCCAGACCACAAAAAGTGCTTCTACCAGCCTGCCCAGGGCTCCAGAGGGCAGGACCGATGGGTGGTGGGGTGGGCCACGCCTGGGCAGTCGTGACATGTACACCACTCTTGATCTGTCTTCTGGAACTTTTCACTCCTCCAGTTTGGGTCCCGGTGGGGCACACGTGGGAAAGACCATGAATACCCATGTCTCTGACTAGTTTCCCCATCAGAAGTGGACGTTGCACCAAGCACCCTCCTCCATTAAAACTGGACAGACTAAGGACCACTTTCCCAATGGATGGGTCTTCTTGGTCCATCTCATGCTCCCAACAGAGCTCCCTCCCTGGGATGGGAATGCGCCATGCCAGGAGAGCCCTCTTGACCCAGCCTCCAGCCAAAGCCAGTCCCCCTGCCAAGCAGGCCCTAGAGTTACACTGGAGGGGAACAGGCCTCACCTGGAAATTTCTTGCTGAAAATTGTCAGTTTCCCACACAAGTACAGCCTGGCAGTTTAATTCAAATTAAAACCAGAAGGAGACTGCTGCTTCAGTCTCGACTGCTTGAAAATTACGTTGTGTAGAGCTTTCATTTGCTGGAAATTGTGCAGCCAGACATTGTGCAGATTGACCCAGTAGCTACAGCAGTACACACATAGGGCGCCAAGCAAGGACAAGTGTGCACATGTGTGCACGCACACACACACAGCAGAAAATCTAGAAATAAACTATTTTAATGTCAGCTGTCATGGAAGTTTTGTGTCATTTCCCCAAAAAATACAAATTTTATTTTATGATTTAGTCTTGTTTTTATTTAGAATTACTTAAGGAAAAGGAAACGTGAGTGCAGTGGCTCATACCTGTAATCTCAGCACTTTGGGAGGCTGAGGCAGGAGGATCACTTGAGCCCGGGAGTTCAAGACCAGCCTGGGCAACATGGTGAAACCCGATCGCTATAAAAAATATGAAAATAAGCCAGATGTGGTAGCATGTATCTGTGGTCCCAGCTACCCAGGAGACTGAGGTGGGAGGATCCCTTGGGCCCAGGAGGCAGAGGTTGCAGTGAGCCGAGATCACATCACTGCAGTCTAGCCTGGGTGACAGAGTGAGATCCCATCTCAAAAAGAAAGAAAGAGAAAGAAAGAGAGAAAAAGACAGAGAAAGAGAAGAGAAAAGAAAAAGAAGAGGAAATAAGAGAAGAGAAAAGAAAGAGAAAAGAAAAGAAAAAGAAGAGAAGAGAAAAGAAATAAGAGAAAAGAAACAAGAGAAGAGAAAAGAGGAGAGAAAAGAGGGGAGGGAGGGGAGAGAAGAGGAGGGGAGAGGAGCAATAGGATCCTGATATCTGGTGTGGGGAAACTTAAATGGATACATCTGAGAATTCTGAACCTCCAGTTTCCACTAAATGCTCTGGTCTAAAAGAAGTAGCCCCCTTTCCCTGCTAAGAGAAGGGCAGCTGCCCCTTGCCGGGAGACTGGGCAAAGAGCCTCCAACAAGGCCTCACAGCAGGATGAGGTGTGTCGTCATTGCTGCCCCACATTGACACCAGGCTATGGTCATTCTTCATCATGGCCCAAGGTCACAAGCACAGTCTGCTCTGGGAGAATGATTTTTTTTTGCCAAAAATGCAGGAGCTGCCGAGTGTGTACTGGCAGAATCTAGGAGAGGAGGTGAAGAAGTGGACATAAGGGTGTTGGACCAGGAGGAGACTAAAGGCTGTATACACGAGAATACAGTGACCTGGGAGCACTCTCAGGATTTAATGCTTGGCAAAGACACCTGGGGCTCCAACACAGTGCTGGAGTGGCTCCTTGAAATGTGGACAGAACAGTTGCTGCAGTGAATTAGGTGGAGATTATAGAATTGCATTTGCAAAGCGTCAAAGAAGCCAGAAAGTACAGGGAGGTAGGAATGTTGGAATGGTTCATTATATGCCAGGAGATTCGGAATCCACCACTTGACTATGTGCCCTTGGAGGGCTCACAGGAACTCCCCTCTCTAGGCAAGCAAGGAAGGCACTAGTGAGAAGGGCACCTGAATCTTTGAGAGACTCAGTGGCACTATCCTTGGTAGGCCAGGATCGACAAGAGGAGATGCTGCCATGAGACCAGGCTTCGTGGTGTCAGTGGGAACGGTGGAAGGCGAGAACAGCGGATGCCAGGTGGTGGCCCTTCACCATCATCCACAAGGTGGATGTAATTAACTTAATTGGTAGGAAGGCTAGAGTGACAGCCAGGATGCCTTGACCTCCAGGGAGCTGTTGTATTGGCTACAAACTGATGGCATTCCAGGGGAGAGTTACATAGGCAGTTGACTAGGGTGGTTTTTTCTTTTGTTTTGTTTTTTGAGACAGGATCTTAATCTGTAGCCCAGTCTGGAGTGCAGTGGCACAATCATAGCTCTCTGCAGCCTCAACCTCCTGGGCTCAAGCGATCCTCCCACCTCAGCCTCCCAGGAAGCTGGGATTACAGGCATGCACCACCATGCCTGGCTATTTTTTTTTTTCTAATTTTTAGTGAAGATGAGGTCTTGCTATGTTGCCTAGACTGGTCTCAAACTCCTGAGCGCAAGCAATCCTCCTGCTGTGACCTCCCAAATTGTTGGGATTACACATGTGAGCCCTAGGACATTTCCTGATTTGTGTATTCAGGAAAAAACAAGATCTGGCACGCAGAAGGCTGCAACAAAAAATTGCAATTTCCTACCCAGTTTTCAGACTGAGACAATTGAGACCTATAGCTCATGGATTGTAGGGGAGGCTGGGTATTCTTGGAAAAAGATCCTGCAACAACACCACATGGTATTCATTAATTATTCTCCAAAGGGATCTGGGGTCATTGATGAAAGTAACTGTAGCTGATGAAAAGGGAATACCCAGACTGTTTGAGGGCCATTCATATAGGATTAGAGCTGACCATGCCACCATAAGATCCACAATGCCACCATGTCCCATCCCCAACAAGACTGAGGACATGTGAAGGCTAGGTAATAAATGGATCCCTGGATGAAGAGGCCACAGCCCCATCCGGTTGTCATTTCTCTGTCCCTAAATATGCAATTGATATGAGTATGCTTAGAAGCTAACAGAGCTCTCACTTTACTCCCTGACCTGTGGGTATGAGCCACTATAGTAGGAAGAACATGGGGGAAGTCTCTGCAATTCCCTCTTCCCACTTCCAGGAGCAATGCAGTATTCCAGGTGGAAACACAGAGATTTATCACCTCCCTCAACTGTGACCGCTGCCTTATAATGATAGTATTCTTACATTTCCCCACCTGTCCCTTGTGCCATTCTCATGATCATTTTACTTCCACATGTTATAAACACGACAATATGTTACTACTTTTGCCTCGGTCAATTATTTCTAGACATCACAAAAGGAGAAAATAGGATCTTTTCTATTTATCCATGTATTTATTATGTCAGTGGTCTTCATTCCTTTGTGTAGACTCAAATTTCTACCCAGTGTCATTTTTCTTCTGACCAAAGTACTGCTTTTAACACTTCTCAGAGTGCAGGCCTGCTGGTGATTATCCTGGCTTTTGTTTGTGTGAAAAAGTCTTTATTTTGTCTTCATTAAAATTTTTGAAATTTTTTTGTTGTTTTTTTTTTTTTGTTTTTGTTTGTTTGTTTTTGAGATGAGGCCTCACTATGTTGCCCAGGCTGGTCTCAAACTCCTGGCCTCAGGCAATCCTCCTGCCTCAACCTCTCAAAGTGCTGGGATGATTACAGGCGTGAGCCACCACCACACCTGGCCTCATTGACTTTTTAAAACTCATTTTAATCCCATATCTGCAGAGTTAATTTTTCATCTCTAGTAATTCTTTTTGTTTTATTTTGACACAAGGTCTCACTATGTGCCCAGGCTGGAGTGCAGTGGCACGAAAACAGCTCACTGCAACCTCGACCTCCTGGATTCAGGTGATCCTCCTGCCTCAGCCTCCTGAGTAGCTGGGACTACAGGTGCATGCCACCATGCCTGGCTAATTTTAAAATTATTTATAGAGATAGGTCTCCCTATGTTGCCCAGGCTGGTCTTGAACTCCTGGGCTCAAGCAATCCTTGTGTCTCAGCCTCCCAAAGTTCTGGGATTACAGGTGTGAGCCACCGCACCCAGCCTGTGTTTGTTTGTTTTTTTCCAATATATCTTCCATTTCTCTCTTCTCATAATGTTCAGATTTAGATTTTTCTAGCCTTCTTGAACATATGGAGCATATTTATATGTTTTTTAATGTCCTTATCTGCTAATTACATCATCTCTGTCATTTCTGGGCCTATTTCCATTGATTTATTTCTCTTCTGGTTATAGGCCATATTATGCCTGTTGTTTTTTTGTTTTGTTTTTTTGTTTTTTGTTTTGAGACAGCATCTTACTCTGTCACCCAGGCTGGAGTGCAGTGGTGTGATCTCACCTCACTGCAATCTCCATCTCATGGTTCAAGCAATTCTCATGTCTCAGCCTGCCAAGTAGCTGGGACTACAGTTGCGTACCAACATGCCTGGCTAATTTTTGTATTTTTAGTAGAGACAGGATTTAGCCATATTGGCCAGGCTGGCCTTGAACTCCTGGCCTCATGCAATCTGCCCACCTCGGCCTCCCAAAGTGCTGGGATTACAGGCATGAGCCACTGTGCCTGGCCATTGCCTGGCAATGTTTTATTGACTGGTAGACATTGTTTTTGTGTTGTGACTGCTGGATTTTGTTTTCCTTTAAATAGTGTGGGACTCTGTTCCAGCACTAGTTAAGTTACTTGAAATAAGTTGGATCTATCAAGGTTTACTTTCAAACTTTGTGAGGACAGTTTCAGAGAAGCCTTTACTCCAGTGCTCATTTAGCCCCACTATTAAGGCAATACTTTTCTAAAGCTTCTCTTCCATTTCCTAAGTATTATGAGGTGTTTTCATCCGCACTAGTGAGAATATGAATTCTCTCTAGCCTGTTGTGAGCTCTGGGGATTCTTCTGTCTGCTTTCTGGCAGTTCTTTCCCTGGGTACTTTCTTCTCACATACATCCATATCAGCCCTTTGCCAAAGGCTTGAGGGCATCTTCCATAGCTCTCCAGAGCTCACGCGCTCTCTTCTCCCACCTCCTCCCTGGTACTCTACCTCACAAATTCTACCGGCCTTGAAGACCTTCCCAAGCTCTGATCTCTGTCTCCTCAATCCACCAAGACCACTGGACTTTGGATTCCCCTCCCTGTGTTGGAGCCTGTAAGTGCTTCCGGCAGTAAACCGAGGACACTGTAGGGTTCACCTTCTTTTAGGGATCATAGTTCTGCTCGACCTGTTCTCTGATGTCTGAAAACTATCGTTTTATATATGTTGTTCCATTTTTCTAGTTGTTCAAGGTGGGAGGCAAATCTGGTCCCTGTTAGCAATCGTGGCCACATGTAGAGGTTGCAGGATGTTGTTTACGTCTGTATCTTTTTTTTTTTTTTTTGAGACAGGCTCTCACTCTGTCGCCCCAAGTGGTGCCCTCTTGCCTCACTGCCACCTTCACTTTGTGGCCTCAAGCGATCCTCCCACCCCAGCCTCCCAAGGTGCTGGGATTACAGGTGTGAGCCACTGCACCCGGCCTAAAATTGTATCTTTCTTATTATCAGTGAAGTTAAACATTTTTTCCTGTGTGTCAGCGGCATTTGGGTTTCTTTTTCTTTGAACTTTCATATTTTTTTTTCCATTTTTCTTAGAATTTTTGGTCTTTGTCTTCTCTACTTTTAGAATAGAATGAATATGATATTAATCATACTTCGAATTGTGACCATGATAGAGTACCTGTATTGATGATGGTCTCCCAGCATAAACAACTACAAAGCTGGACAAAGTACATGAAGAAATTGTCTTCAGGCATTGGGCAATAGGCAGTTCCATGTACAATCTGAGAGAAGGGAATCACATGAAGTGACTGCTACATTTTTCTGGTGGGGAAAGTTTCTAAACCCTCAATGACAGCACGAGGAAGCAGAGTCCAAGCCAAGAGGATCAGTCTTGTTTGGTGAAGGAAACAGAGACTGGTGCTCAGGGCTGCTAAAATGTGTGTGGCAGAGTATCAGAAAGGACGGAGTTGCAGAGGAGAAGCCCCAGAAATCTTACAGAGGTTGCTGCAGGTCCTTGGCCAAATCCCAAACAATGAGTGTGCAGATTGAGGCTCTGCAAGGCCCAGCACAGAACAGCCGATGGGGAGCTGAAAGCTAAACAGCGATTTCAGTCACAGACTGCTGGAGATACATCTGAATTCTGGCTCAGCCAGAGTCTCCACTCTTGGAATCTCAGATCTTGATGAATATTCCAGACATTCACAGAGGGCCTAGAAGGCCATGCCTTGGGATTAAGGAAGATTCCCTGGGAATAAGGGCAAAACTGAAAAACAGGTCACCCTAACAAAGCCTAAAATGTACCCTTGACACACATGATCAAGTTAACCCACGAGTAATTTAATTCCCTGCCAAAATAAAACTCAACACTAGAGTAGGATAACATAACCCACATCTCTACAATGAAGGTTCACAACGTCCAACAGCTCAAGAAATACTAGATGTGTGAAAAAAGTGAGAAAATATATCCTAAAATTAAGAGAAACCCAGTCAATATGAACAGACCCACTGTGCATGGTGGCTCACGCCTGTAATCCCAGCACTTTGGGAGGCCAAGGCAAGTAGATCACTTGAGCTCAAGACTTCGAGACCAGCCTGGGCAACATGGCATAACCCCATCTCTACTAAAAATTCAGAAACGAGTTGGGTATGGTGGTGTGCAGGGGCCCATAACCCCCAGGCTGTGGACTGTACCCGTAGGTAACCTGGTAGGAACCAGGCTGCGCAGCAGGAGGTGAGTGGTGGACAGCGAGCATTACTGCCTGAGCTCCACCCGCCGTCAGATCAGCAGGCATTAGATTCTCATAGAAGCGTGAACCCTAATGTGAACTGCACATGCGAGGGATCTAAGTTTCACACTCTTTATGAGAATCTAATGCCTGATGATCTGAAGTGGAACAGTTTCATACCATAACCACCACCCCCAACCCCGTCTGTGGAAAAATTGTCTTCCACGAAACCAGCCAGGACTGCTGGTGGCACGTGCCTGTGGTCCCAGCTACTTGGAAGGCTGAGGTGGAAGGATGGCTTGAGCCTGGGAGGTGGAGGTTGCAGTGAGTTGAGATCATGCCGCTGCACTCCAGCCTGGACAACAGAGTGAGAACTTATCTCAAAGAAACAACAACAAAAAAAGGGCCAGGCATGGTGGCTCACACTTGTACTCCCAGCACTTTGGGAGGCTGAGGCAGGCAGATCACCAGGAATTCAAGACCAGCCAGATGAGGTGGAGGTTGGAGTGAGCCGAGATGGTGCCATTGCACTCCAGCCTGGGCTACAAGAGCAAAATTCTATCACACACACACACAAAAAAAAAGAGAGAAAGCAGACCCATAAATGGCTCACACATTGGAATTAGCAGGCAAGAGCTTTAAAGTAACTACATACATACATTAAAGAATTTAGAGAAATATCAACACCTGTGAAGATGGTGAAAAAAAAATTTAGAGAAATAAGTTTTAGTATAAGTATGTCCTAAATATGCATGGTACATACTTACTAAAAAATAGTTTATTTTTTATCAGAAATCTAAATTCAACTGGGTGTTCTATATCTTATCTGGCATCTCTACCCCAAAGCCAAGCAGGAGAGAATCCACAGTCTTATCTTCCAGCAGGTGACCTAGCCTAGGACAGGGCCTGGCCAGGGGCAATTGTGAATTGGATGGATTAGAGATGCCAGTCATTCAGTGTGTCAAAGGTTTGCCAGACCTGCATACAATCAACATTATTATTATTATTGTTATTTTAATGTTAAGATTTTATTTACAAAGATTTTTGTTGTACAGAAAGTAAAAATGCTGTTACAGTCCCAGTGTAACTGGTAGCCACAGATGGTTGACTCACCAATCACAGCTATCTACGCTACAGCAAGAGTCTCACACAAAAACCTAACAACACTTACAATTTTGTTGGGGTGAAGTCCCTAAGCTCGATGGTAGATTGGTAGATTACCAAGAGGGACTACATGGAGGAAGACGGAATGTCACAGGAACTATTCTTTGGCTCTTTGGGTGGGTGGGTGTCCTGGGGTTTGTATCAGCTACCTTTTTTTTTTTTTTTTTAACAGCTACCAAATCCATGAGCAGTCCAACCGATACTAAACAGTTCTGTTTCTGCAGGTCATCTGGGGTCTTAATCATCTTCTCCTTCATCATCCGTTTCTCTCTTCCTCTTTTTACCTTTCCTGCCTTCTTCCTCCTCCTTCATCCTCATCCTCATCTTCATCTTCTTCAAGTCCAAATTCTTCTTCCTCCTCACTGACTTCATCTTCGTCATCTCCTTCTACATTTTCATCTTCTTCATCAAACTCCTCTTCTTCACCATCTTCATCCTCCTCGTCTTCTTCGTCTTCTTCTTCGCCCTCCTACTCTTCATCCACACCATCCACCTCAGCATCTGAGTCAGGTTCCTCCTGGTCCTCTTGGTCATAGCCATCCATGTAGGTAAGCTGGGGCAGGAGCTTGAAGACACTCTCAGTAGTCATTCATGTTAGTAACCTCACAGTTAAAGAGGTCCAGGCTTTTCAGACATTCTAACTTTTTCAAAGGTTCCAAGGTGCTGATATCTTTCAGTTTATTTCCACTTAAGTTTAGACGTGTGAGATTTGGAAGCTTTTCAGCTAACATGTCCAGACCTCCAAAGATTCTATTTTCACTGAGTTCAAGCTTTTTCAATTTAGGCAGCTTGGGAAGATTTGAAACTGAGATCAAGCCTACATTTATTAAACTAAGGAACTCTAAGTTCACAAATTCAGCTGTTAAGCCCTCAATTTTTCCATCATTTGATTTGCAATTGTCCAAGACAAGTTCTCGAACAGCTGACGGGGTCCAGTTCCTCAGCTCCAGGTGGATCCTCCTCTTCATGTCCATGTTCCCCTCTTCCCCCCTCTTCAAACTTAACTTTCCGCAGCGGGGGCGGATGGGGGAGAGGCATCCTGGCCTGCACAGCGAGGGCCGTCAGAAGGGTTTGTTCGCGGCAGAGGCCGGCGGCGCGGTCCTGGGTGGCGGGCGGCGTGGGGGCAGGCGAGCGGAGCCCCCGGAGCCAAGTTACTCACAGGAGCGTAGAGGACATTATTTTTATTTAATTTTTTTTTTTTTTTTTTTTTTTTTTTTTTTTTTTTGAGACGAGTCTTGCTCTGTCGCCCAGGCTGGAGTGCAGGGGCGCAATCTCGGCTCACTGCAAGCTCCGCCTCCCGGTTCACACCATTCTCCTGCCTCAGCCTCCCGAGTAGCTGGGACTACAGGCGCCCACCACCACGCCCGGCTAATTTTTGTACTTTTAGTAGAGATGGGGTTTCACAGTGTTAGCCAGGATGGTCTCGATCTCCTGACCACGTGATCCGCCCACCTTAGGCCTTCCAAAGTGCTGGGATTACAGGCGTGAGCCACCGTGCCCGGCCTTTTATTTAATATTTTTGTCTAAAGCAACTTTAAAAATTTAAACCTGTTATTTGGAAACATAGATTCAGAGGAAATTTCAAAGATGGTACAGAGAGGTTTCATGTACTCTTCACTCAGTTTCCTCCAAAGGTTCTATTTTGTATAAATGTAGAACAATATCTAACGATGTCATGTGTCTAGGTCTATACCATTTTATCACATATGTAGACTCCTTTAACCACCGCTACAATCAAGATACAGAACTGTTCCACTGAAGGGGTGGCCTGCCCCTTCACACCTGTGGGTATATCTCGTCAGATGGGATGAGAGACTGAGAAAAGAAATAAGACACAGAGACAAAGTATAGGGAAAGAACAGTGGGCCCAGGAGACCCGCGCTCAGCATACCGAGGACCTGCACCGGCACCGGTCTCTGAGTTCCCTCAGTATTTATTGATTACTATTTTTTCACTATCTCAGCAAGAGGAATGCAGTAGGGGAGCAGGGTGACAGTGGGGAGAAGGTCAGCAAGAAAACATGTGAGCAAAGGAATCTGTGTCACAAATAAGTTCAAGGAAAGACACTATGCCTGGATGTGCACGTTGGCCAGATTTATGCGTCTCTCCACCCAAACATCTCAGTGGAGTAAAGAATAACAAAGCAGCATTGCTACCAACATGTCTCGCCTCCCATCACAGGGCGGTTTTTCTCCTATCTCAGAATTGAACAAATCTACAATTGGGTTTTATACCAAAACATTCCATTCCCAGGGGCAGCAGGAGACAGAGGCCTTCCTCTTTTATTAATCCTCCTCAGCGCCGATCCTTCACGGGTGTCAGGCTGGGGGACAGTCAGCTCTTTCCCATCCCACAAGGCCATATTTCAGGCTATCACATGGGGAGAAACCTTGGACGATACCCGGCTTTCCGGGGCAGAGGTCCCTGAGGCTTTCCGCAGTGCATTGTGCCCCTGGTTTATCAAGACTAGAGAATGGCGATGACTTTTACCAAGCATACTGCTTATAAACATTTTGTTAACAAGGCACACCCTGCACAGCCCTAGATCCCTTAAACCTTGATTCCATACAACATATGTTTTTGTGAGCTCAAGGTTGGGGCAAAGTTACAGATTAACAGTATCTCAGGGCAAAGCAATTGTTCAGGGTACAGGTCAAAATGGAGTTTCTTATATCTTCCTTTTCTACATAGACACAATAACAGTCTGATCTCTCTTTTCTCTACATTCCATCACCATGAAAATCCCCCTCCTGCTATTCCTCTGCACTCATTCCTGGCTCTTCCCCTCCACTATTCCTACTCCTGGCAACCACTAATCTGCTTTCTGTCTTTATAATCTTGTCACTTCAAGAATATTACAAAATGCAAAAATTAGCTAGGCATGGTGGCACCAGCTTGTAGTTCCAGCTATGTGGGAGGCTGAGGCAGGAGAATCGCTTGAACCTGGGAGGTAGAGGCTACAGTGATCCTGCCGCTGAAGTCCAGCCTGAGAAACAGGGCGAGACTCTCTCAATGAATGAATGAATGAAGGCCTGGCACGGTGGCTCACACCTATAATCCCAGTGCTTTGGGAGGCCGAGGCAGGTGGAACCATTGAGGCCTGGAGTTTGAGACCAGTCTGGCTAACATGGCAAAACACTGTCTCTACTAAAAATACAAAAATTAGCCAGGCATGATGGTGAGAGCCTGTACTTCCAGCTACTTGGGAGACTGAGGCATGAGAATCGCTTGAACCTGGGAGGCGGAGGCTGCAGTGAGCCCAGATCGTGCCACTGCACTCCAGTCTGGGCCACAGAGTGAGACTTCATCTCAAAAACAAAATAAAACAAAACCAAACAAAGAAAAAAAGAACATTATATAAATGGAATCACACAGTATGTGGCCTTTTGAGACTGGCTTTTTTTTTTTTCTACTCAGCAAATGCCCTTTAAGATCCATCCAAGTTGTGCATGTTCCTTTATGTTTTTTTCTGTTTGAGATGGAGTCTCACTCTGTCACCCAGGTTGGAATGTGGTGGCGTGATCTCAGCTCACTGCAACCTCCGCCTCCTGGGTTCAAGCAATTCTCCTGCCTGAGCCTCCTGAGTAGCTGGGATTATAGGCACCCACCACCATGCCTGGCTTTTTTTTTTTTTTTTTTTGAGATGAAGTTTTGCTCCTGTTACCCAGTACAATGGTGCGATCTCGGCTCACTGCAACCTCTGCCTGCCGAGTTCTAGCAATTCTCCTGCCCCAGCCTCCTGAGCAGCTGGGATTACAGGTGCCTGCCACCACATCCAGCTAATTTTTTTTTGTATTTTTAGTAGAGACAGGGTTACACCATGTTGGCCAGGTTGGTCTTGAACTCCTGACCTTAGGCAATCCACCTGCCTCGGCCTCCCAAAGTGCTGAGTTTACAGGAGTGAGCCATTGTGCCTGGCCCCCTTTTTATTGTTGAATAGCATTTCATAGAATAGATGTAGCAGTTTGCTTAACCATTCACCTATTGGGGAGTATTTGGTTGTTTCCAGTTTGGGACTATTACAAATAAATCTGCCATGAACAATCATGTATGAGTTTTTGTGCAGACATCAGTTTTATTTTCTGGTACAAATGCCCAGAAGCAATTGCTAGGTCATATATTGAGGTATATGTTTAATTAAAGAAGCTGCCAAACTGTTTTCTAGAGTGTCTGTACCATTTTATATTCCCACCAGCGATGTATGAGAGAGTTAGTTTTGTCTGCATCCTCGCCGATATTTGATATTATCACTATGCTTGATTTGAGCTGTTCTAATAGATCTGTAGTGATATCTTACTGTGGTTTTAATTTGCATTTCCCCAGTGGTTAGTGTTGAAGATCTATTCCTGTGCTTTAAGTCAATTCATTTTTAAAACCTAAATAAATGTATTTAAAAAGGAAACTTTTGCTTTGGGAGGCCCAGGCAGGTGAATTGCTTGAGCCCAGGAGTTCGAGACAAGCCTGAGCAACATGGTGAAACTCCATCTTTACAAAAAATAAAAAGTATCCAGAGTGGTGGCATGCGCCTATGGTTTCAGCTACTCAAGAAGTGAGGCAGGAGGATTGCTTGAGCCTGGGAGGTCAAGGCTGCAGTGAGCCATGATTGCATCATTATACTCCAGCCTGGGTGAAAGAGCAAAATTCTGCCTTAAATAAATAAATTAATTAAAGGAAATTTGTGATTAGTGATTCTCAGAGTGTGGACCCTGGGCCAGCAACATCAGCATCACCATCACCTGAGAACTTGTTAGAAATGCAGATTCTCAGGCGCCGTCCCAGACCTCCTGAATCAGAACCTCTGAGGCGTGGGTTCAGCGACCTGTGGTTTAACACGCCCTCCCGGTGAGAATCGGTCTCATTCACTACAGATAGAAGGAAATGGTAAAAATCAATTCATCCGCATATCGCCTAAAATCCTCTTGTGGGCCCCAGGTTGGCACAGCACACTTTTGGGCAGGAGCCCCACTCACAGAGGCCGTGACAAGAATGCTCCTGCCCCTGGGGTTGTGCAGTGACAGCTCACACAGCTCCACGTGGCGGTTCTGAGTTTGGGAAGCGCTGATGTAGTCCTACTGCAGCCCTTCCTGCCCTTCACCGGACTGAGGAAATCCAGGCTCTGAGGAGGGCGAGACTTGCCCAAGGTCACCCAGCAACATGGTCAGTCTCCTTTCCCAGGGCCCTCACAATGCGTGGCCTGTTTAAAGCCTGCCTCTATTCACTGCTGAGTGAAAAATCCAGCTCCAAAACAGAATATGGGGAAGGATACTATCTTGTGCAGCTTATGTTTATAGCTGCAGATACATGGGAAAAAAAGTCTGAAAATACTGTTGAAGCAGTTATTTAGGGAGAGAAGTGGTTTGCTGGTTTTTTGTGTTTTTAGCTTTTCTGTATTTCTTAATTTTTATCACAATAATCATGTTTAGTTACATAATCAAAATGTATTAAATATAATATTAAAAATCAACATGAAGCCTGATCCAGCCACGGCCTATTGTTGGCAGATTCAGGAAGCCTTCCAGATAGAGCAGCCCCGTACCTGCCCCAGGTCACACCCTGGGCCTGGGCACATGCTAGGTCCTCTGTCTGGATACCCTCACCCCATGGTGGCCTCCACATCTGTACCCACCAGCACCTCCTGTGGGCAAGGCCCTTGCCTGCATCCAGCCCTGGGCACCCCCTAGACCAGAGGGCACCTCATGGTCTGAGAGTCTGCCTGTCTCTAAAGAGAGGAAAGCTCCTTGGGACACGTGTTCCACTTGACTATCACCCCTGGCCTGGTACAGAAAGGTGGACGGTGGGTATTTGGTGAATAAATGAATGATTGGAATGAATCCCCAGAATGGTGATTTCCAGAGGCCCTTCTCCAGCTGGCCCAGGTGGAACCATTTCCACTTTTCACAGGAAAGCCAGGTGTGAGGAGTGGGGCAGGTGTGTGTGAGGGGCCAGGTTTTCGAAGGCTGCATGGACATGGTGCTTTGGGGGGTCTGGGGGCGGCAGTGCTGCTGTGGGAGCCTCAGGGAGGGCTCATCCCTGGAATCCCCCAGGGTATCCTAGTGCCCCCAGCTGCTGTGCGGTGTGAGAATTCCTGGCTGGTGGGGACACACAGGGATTTGTTTGGATTGGCCACCTGGTCCAGCCCAAGGAGCTGCACCTCCAGCCCCTTGGGGAAAAACTCACTTTTGATGTGTGACAACAGCTGCAGGCAAGGGGAGGAAGAGGTGTGCTGGGCCTCAGCCTTAGAAGCCAGAAGCCAGTTCATGCCCCTACCTTGGTCTAGGTGGGAAAGGGATGCGGCCTCAGCTAGCTCTAGGGTCCTGGGTTATGGTCAGAACCCTCCCTTATGGACTCAGTGACTTGGGCTGACCCAGCCCCTCCCTGAGCCTCATCAGTGAAACCAGGGCTGGGCCAGGGCCCTCAACACCTCCCAGCTCCAACCTCTGGCTTTGTCCCAGGAGGGCAGGAGATGAGACAGAGGTGACCCGGGCTCTCCTGTTTACCTCAACCTCCTTGTGAAGCCTCCCTCTTTCTGCCTGTGAGGTGGGTGGGGCCGGAAGGAGGGACCACCTGTGGGCCTCTGACATCTCTGCCCAGGTGTGCCTGCAGAGCCTGGTCTATACCCGGTGCTCTGCTACACCCTACAGCCTGGCCATGACCTCCCTGCCTCCAGAGCAGCTCTGGCCCAGGGAAGAAGCTGGTCTCTGCATCGAATGATAGGTAGAAAATGGAAGTGGGGATGATAGCTCTGAAAAGGAGTCAAGGAAGAAGCTGGTCTCTGCATTGAATGATAGGTAGAAAATGGAAGTGGGGACGATAGCTCTGAAAAGGAGTCAAGGAGGAGGTGCCTTCCCAAGGACGTGGAGGATTTTTCCAGAATGGAACTTGACTGGTGCGGGCAAACATCAGGAGGTAGGAAGGGTGGCTCCCTCTGTGGGAGCCGGGGCCACTTGCCTGGGCCAAATGGTGCTAGGCTGTGGGTAGGGGTGGGCAGAGCTGGGGTTCCCAGAGCCTGGGGTCCCTGTCCTTGCAGAGGACTCGAATGCAAAACAAGTGTCCCCTGCCTTCTGGCTGGGGGACATCCTCTGCTTCCAAGCCCAGACATACACCAGCTGCTACAAGCCCCTGGGGCTCTTCAGAGGACCAATGGGCAGCCATACCCACGCTGGGCCAGCCTGCTGGACCCACCTGCACCCTGGTCAGAGCCCATGACTGAGGGGACTCTCTGGGGACAATGGGGGCAGTCTCATGCTGCCCTCTTACAGGTGGATCCATCCCTGGGATCTGGTGTTGGGCTGGGGTGGGCTGAGGCTGTTCTCTGCTGGGGTGCCTGGTGGACAGCAGGTGGAGCAAGTTCTCCTTGACTTTCCTGGACCCCAGGACACAGCTGAACACTGCACTTTACCCTGGATGCCTTCGGATTCTCAGGGGATCCTGGGAAGGAAGAGGGGGCTGCCCCTGCAGGGGGCCAGGGCTCTGGGCCATGCTTGCTCCCCCCAGTAGGCACCTTCTCTCCAGATCAACATCACCTGATTCCTGAAGGCCTGGGCTACTGACCAGAGCCCCAACTCCTTCACCAAGGCCTGTCTTACATCAGACCAGCTAGTATGAGTTTGGAGCCGAAGGGGGCAGAGAGAGAACGCAGGGCTCTGTAAGCGTTCTCGGCTCCCTGCTGCGGTAGGCCCAGTAGAAGGCCCCCTAGAAATCTGCAGCTGCTGTAAGTCACTGGGAGGAAGCTGCAGCAGACGTGTGTTTCCCAGCCTGGTAGATGCAGAGGGGTGTCCGGGCCCCCAGGTGGGAGGCCCAAATGAGGCCTTGGTTGTGGCAGTGCAGGAATTCTAGCCAGCTCTGGGGCCCTGGGCAAGTCATTTAACCTCTCAGAACCCTACTCCTGGTCACCATGGGGCTCTTGTGTGGATGTAAAGAACCCCCCTGGCCACTTATGTCCCATCAGTGGAAGCCTAGCATGGGTGGAGACCCCCGAGACTGAACTCAGTGGTGGGATCCAGCCTTCCCAGCTCTCCTAGATAGAGCCCAGAGCCAGCAGGGTGGGCTTCCTGGAGAAGCAGGTGCTCCTGTGGGCTGGAGAGCATGAGTAGGGGTCCCTTTGGAAAGGTGGAAGAGGCTGCGGTCAGTGGAGGCCATAATGAGGCAGAGCTTGGGCAGAAGGGGCATGATTGGGGGATCTGAGGCCCAACAGAGACTGGACTGAGGACACTATGGCCACCTACAGGACACTGTGCTACTCAGGCAGTGGAAACTTAGCTAGGGCTGGGCCCCCTGGTCCTGAGTGAGGCTTCACCAGTCTTGGAAACTGTGCCCAAGGTGGCTTCATGTAAGAGCGCATCTCAGCACTTTTTTTTTTTTTTTTTTTTCTGAGACAGGGTCTTGCTTTGTCATCTAGGCTGGAATGCAGTGGCAAGATCATAGCTTACTGCAGCCTCAGACTCCTGGGCTCAAGCGATCCTCCCACCTCAGCCTCACAAAGTGCTGGAATTATAGGCCTGAGGTATGCAGCTCGGTTTTAAATCTTAATAAATATCTCCTCCTGGTCTGCTTCCCTGGCTGACACACATGCTGGAATCTTGCGCCTAGACAGACATGTTTCTGGACTTGGTTCCATTTGTTCTGACGGCCTCCTCTCTCTCAATGACCGCACATTACAGTATGTGGCTATTCTTACACATTTCTGTATAGACTTGAGGGTTAGTATATTAACGTCAAAGTTCTACTGGTTTTTCAAGGCTGGATGGAATGTTTGGGTTAATTTAGTTGTGGGCATCTTGACAATATAGGCTTTCCCTCCGGGAACGGTGATTCTGGGACGCAGGTTTTGCACATTCTGGTTTATTGCTTGGCTCGCTGCCACAGAGGGATGGCACTGCTCCACACGCCATGCCCAAGAGATGTCCCACCTTATCTTTCTAAATCAAGCTGAATATTCTCAGTTGACAGGATATCATATCAGTGCTGCGGGGACTCACTTCCCCACAACCCGAGATGAAGTGAGGTGGAGACTATGGAGCAGATCCGTGCTGACTGCATTCACCCTTCCTGACCCGCACTGCTGCTGGCCGCGGCTGTGTCTGAGTCGACAGACAGCATTGATTTGGGGACGGGGTGGGGGGGCGGTGCTGGAGAGATGCCCCTCACCTCCCTTAGCTCCTCCTGTCCAGCCAGTGCTTGGCCACCAAGGCCCCTGACTTCCAGGCCCCAGTCACCACTAACAGGGTGCTGCATGGGAACAAAGTGTAGGCCCAGAGCCTGGAGTTCAGGTCACTCCTCCTTCCAGTCGAAGCCTCTATCCCTCCCAGGTGAGTCCACCCTCATTCCTCCATGGGCCAAATATCCTAAACAAAGGCCTGGACATGGGGTCTTTATCCAAGTGCCCAGAAAACACACACAGAAAGGCTCTGCAGGCCCCCGTGGCCTGTCAGAGGTAAGAGCCTGCCCATCAAAATGCACAGTCCAGGTTCTTGCAGGGAGGTGAGGAGGGGAGGAAGAAAAGGTCTATCTCATTCTTTCAGCAGGAACCTAAACTTGGGAAAGCCAGACGCAGTACATTTCTTAATGATCCTGATACTTTTATAACTGGTTACAGCGGGGTCACATGCACAACTGTTTTCCAACATCTTTCAACGGGACACATAACATCCTGCAGCTTATTTTTTTATTTTGTAAGGCCAGGGGCAGTGGCTCATGCCTGTAATCTCAACACTTTTGGAGGCTGAGGCAGGAAGTCTGCTTGAGGCCAGGAGTTCAGGACCAGCCCAGGCAACATAGCAAGACCCAGGATACAACAGAGAAAGACCCTGGCTCAAAAAATATCTTTTCCAAGTGCAGTGCCATGATCACAGCTCACCATAGCCTCCAACTCCTGGGCTCAAGCGATACTCCCACTTCAGCAGCTGGGACTATCAGAGCGCAGCACCATATCTGGCTGATGTTTTAATTTTTAGTAGAGATGCGGTCTCACTATGTTGCCCAGGCTGGTCTTGAACGCCTGGCCTCAAGAGATATTCCCAATGCGACCTCACAATGCACTGGGGTTGCAGGCATGAGCCACCATGCAGCCCCTGCAAAATCTAACTGTCCTTCAGGTGCTCCTTTTGGACCTCCTAGCTAGACTGCCATTGGCAAATGCCAGTTGATTATCCACCCACATGTATGTTAATGGATTTCCCATGTTTTATTTGTCTAGACCAGGCTTTCTCCACAGCAGCACTGTTGATGTTTAGGGCTGGACAGTTCTCTGTTCTGGAGCTGTTTGCGCCTCGCAGGATGTTTAGCAGCATCCCCAGCCTCCGCCTGCCACATGCCAGCAGCACTCCTCAGTGTGACAGCCAAAGTGATTTCAGATACTGTCAAATATCCCCAGGGCGGCAAAATCACCTCCAGTTGAGAACTGCTGACCTAAAACCCTCTGGAACAATGTTAGATCATGGTAATGATAGCGCATACTGCTCCTGACCTTAATGGGAATACCTCTAGCATCAAAGTATAGTAGTACCTGTATACTACTGTCTGGGCTGTTATTAGTACACTGTATTAGTCCATTCTCACTCCGCTATGAAGAAATACCCAAGACTGAGTAGTTTATAAAGAAAAGATGTTTAAGTTGACTCACAGTTCTGCATGGCTGGGGAGGCCTCAGGAAACTTACAATTATGGCAGAAGATACCTCTTCCCAGGGCAGCAGGAGAGAAGGAGAGCGAATCAAAGGAGAAAGCCTGTTATAAAACCATCAGATCTCGTGATAACTCATTCACCATCACGAGAACAGCATGGGAGAAACCGCCCCCATGATTCAATTATCTCCACCTGGTCCCACCCTTGACACGTGGGGATTATTGCAATTCAAGGTGAGATCTGGATGGGGACACACAGCCAAACCAGATTATATCCTTTATATTAGCATACTGTATCGAAGTATAATTTTCTTTCTTTTTTTTTCTTTGAGATAGAGTCTCGGTCTGGCTCTGGCTGGAGTGCAGTGGCACGACCTCAGCTAACTGCAACCTCCATCTCCTAGGTTCAAGCAATTCTTGTGCCTCAGCTTCCTAAGTAGCTGGAACTACAGGTGTGTGCACCCCCTAGCTAATTTTGATTTTTTTTTTTAGTAGAGACGGAGTTTCACCATGTTGGCCAGGCTGGTGTCAAACTTCTGGCCTCACGTGATCCCGCCACTTTGGCCTTCCGAAGTGCTGAGATTACAGGCATGAGCCACCGCACCCAGCCTGAAGAATAATTTTTACAATGTTAAAAGCATGACTTTCATACAAATAATGAAGGAATATGTATAAGATATTTTCTTTAATTCACAAGGGAGTTAGCAACATGGTGAAGCAAGTTCAAGGAGCTTTTTGAGAGACAGTGTCTGTAATGCTCCAGGAAGGGCATTCTGAAATGTATTCTGAGATAGAGACAAAACTTGTTAATATCCTATAGGGAGGTCAGGCATGGTGGCTCACACCTGTAATCCCAGCACTTTGGGAGGTCAAGGCAGGCGGATGACCTGAGGTCAGGAGTTCAAGACCAGCCTGGCCAACATGTTGAAACCCTGTCTCTACTAAAAATACAAAATTAGCCAGGTGCAGTGGTGGTCACCTGTAGTCCCAGCTACTCAGGAGGCTGAGGCAAGAGAATCGCTTGAACCCTGGAGGCGGAGGTTGTAGTGAGCTGAGATTGTGCCACTGCACTCCAGCCTGGGCGGCAGAATTAAATTCCGTCTCAAAAAAAAAAGGGGGGCCGAGCGCAGTGGCTCACGCCTGTAATCCCAGCACTTTGGGAGGCCGAGGCGGGCGGATCACGAGGTCAGGAGATTGAGACCATCCTGGCCAACACGGTGAAACCCCGTCTCTACTAAAAATATAAAAAAATTAGCCCGGCGTGGTGGCGGGCGCCTGTGGTCCCAGCTGCTCGGGAGGCTAAGGCAGGAGAATGGCGTGAACCCAGGAGGTGGAGGTTGCAGTGAGCCAAGATGGCGCCACTGCACTCCAGCCTGGGTGACAGAGCGAGACTCCATTTCAAAAAAAAAAAAGAAAATCATATTGGGAAATAAAACTGCCATCTTTGGGTGTTATCTTTTCCACTGGACAGAAACCCTAAGTTAACATATATACATATTCTCAAGAATATTCATAACATATTCTGTAGTATATTTCCCTACACTAGTGGTTTTCAAAGCATGGTCTCAAATGTCACCTGGGAATATAGACACGCAATGCTCAGGCCCCACCTCAGTCCTATTGAGTTAGAAACTCTGGTGTGAGGCCCAGCAGCCGGTTTCACAAGCCCTGCAGGTGATGATGATGCACTCTAATGTGTGAGAACCACGGCTCTAAATAGTCAAATCATCTTTTTTTTTTTTTTTTTTTTGAGACGGAGTCTCACACTGTTGCCCAAGCTGACTGAAATGCAGCGGTGCAATCTCGGCTCACTGCAGCCTCCACCTCCCGCGTTCAAGCGATTCTCATGCCTCAGCCTCCTGACTGGCTGGGATTACAGGCACCCACTACCACACCCTGCTAATTTTTTTTGTTTTTTTTCAGTAGAGACAGGTTTTGCCATGTTAGCCAGGCCACCGCTCTCGAACTCCTGACCTCAGGTGATCTGCCTGCCTCGGCCTCCCAAAGTGCTAGGATTACAGGCATGAGCCACCGTGCCCAGCCTTTATTTATTTATTTATTTATTTATTTATTTATTTTTATTTTATTTTATTTTTCTGAGATGGTCTCCTTCTGTTGCTCAGGATGGATGGAGTACAGTGGTGCCATCATGGTTCACTGCAGCCTCCACCTCCCAGGCTCAAGAGATCCTCTGACCTCAGCCTCTTAGGTAGCTGGGACAACACGTGTGCACCAGGACAAGCGGGTAATTTTTTGTAGAGACTGGGGTCTCCCTATGTTGCACAAGCTGGTCTAGAACTCCTGGGCTCAAGCGATCCACCGGCCTTGGCCTACCAAAGTGCTATGATTAAAGGTCTTAACATTCTTAAAAAATTTTTTTGACATGGTTTAGGATAGTCTAGTAACTTAACGTACTGTTGTTTTCAACAGGCTAGTGGTTATGATTTGTAAAAGAACTCTTCAGAAATGAGCTCAATTTTACCATGAATTGGGGACACTTTACATTTCTATTTTATAGTGCAGTTTAATTGTCATGGGCTCTGTCTTTTAAAAACCTGAAAGCCTGCAACAATAAAACCAGCTGCACCTGTTGCATGGGATAGGCATGGAATTGAGGAGAGAGCTCAAACTACAGTCAGCCCTCTGTATCCTGAGGTTCTGGATCCTTGGATTTAACCAACTGTGCATCGAAAATATTTGGAAAAAGTAAAACAATAAAAAAACACAGGTCGGGTGCAGTGGCGGGCGCCTGTAGTCCCAGCTACTCGGGAGGCTGAGGCAGGAGAATGGCGTGAACCCGGGTGGCAGAGCTGGCAGCGAGTGGAGATCGCGCCACTGCACTCCAGCCTGGGCAACAGAGCAAGACTCCGTCTCAAAAAAAAAAATTAAAAAACTTTATAACAGCTATTTACAAAGCATTTACGTTGTATTAGGTATTATAGTAATCTAGAGATGATTTAAAGTATACGGAAGGATGTGCACAGGTTATTTGCAAATACTATGCCATATTATATCAGGGACTTGAGTATCTGTGAATTTTGGTATCTCTGGGGTCCTGGAACCAACATCCTGAGGTTACCAAAGGACGACTGTATTCAATTTTGTCTCTGGTTATTAGTCTATTCTCAAATGTATTTTTCTTGTTGTTTTGTCTTTTTGTTTTTGCCTCTTCAAGTCAATGTCGGAAACTTAGTTGTTCTAGACTACCCATTAGCTCAGAGCTACCAGTAATCAGACTACCACTGCAACCTAAGCAACCGATTTTTCTTCCCCATCAGACTGGCAAAAATTAAGATAAGCATCTATTGATGTTGAAGCTGTAGGGAGTTTTCCTGAGCAAGTAATTATGACAGCCCTTTTTGCTAGGCACCTAGATGATTCATCAAAATGAAATAAAATACCCATGCACTTGAAGAAGTTATCTGGTTTATTTCCTTACCTGGGTGCTGGTTATGTGAGGTGTACAGTTGATGAAAACTTATTAAGCTTTATAATAGGTACAATTTTCTGTATGTGTAGTAGACGTCAATAGTTTTTAAAATGTCTTTTGCCACAGCCCGCAGCTGTGAATAATGCTATTCGCTTAACAGTGGAAAACGTGTCAATGACCTGAAACACCCTGGCTCCCGGGATCCTACCCCCTTAAGTTAAACAAATGAAATAACTTCCACTGTCTTTCCTAATGTCTTAATTCGGTCCTCAGTTAAACTGGCGGTTGGCGCCAGTTTTTTCCAGGGAAGGATTCTGGGAGACGGAGGAGGAGACGCCAGCATTTCGCCCCCTGCACCTCCAGCGGGCTGCGGTCCGCTCCCGGCCTCACTCGAGCAGGCCCCGCCCTCCCAGAGGCAGTTAGTCCAAGTCACGTGATCGTCGACTCAGCTGACCCTGCGGGACCGGAAAAAGAAATTCCCGGGCCCTGGCTTCTTGGCGCGATGGTGAGGCACTAGGGGCGAAGCGAGGCTTGGGCTGCTGGAGCGGGAATGAGGGGGCGCCAAGTGGCTCCGGAAACTGGGGGAGGTTGTACTGGCCTCTCCGCAAACACAGTGTGTGCGGGCGTGAGGGCTGTGAGTCTGGTAGGGAAAAGTCCACCACTCTCCCGCTCCCGAGACGGGGGCGGGGGTACGGGGCGGGTAAGACAGAGCAGGCCGGCCGGCTTAGAGTCCCGGTGCTTCCCTGGCGGAAGGAAGGGCCCCTGCCTCCCGGGGCAGGAACTAGGGCTTGTCTGGAGCTGGGAGTCCTTTCAGGTCTTCCCCATCCCCAAGAGGACCTCCCAAGGATACCCCCTTCCCCAGCCCTGCCGTGGGGCTTGTACAAGAAGGTGCTTAGAATCAGGCTCACTCTTCCACACTGTTAGGAAGCCCCTCCGCTCTTTCCAGAGCCAGAAAGTAGTAGTTTTGGGGTTGAGACTTATCCATCCATCCATCCAATCCATCCATCCGTACGTTCTAAGCGCCTGGTCTATACCATGAAGTGTGCTAGGCACTGGGAGGACTTGAGCTGCCAAGGGAAGGGGAAATCGGAGGCTTGAATTGGAGTCATAGCTAAGGCTCCAGGGGCAGAGACCTAACTGCGCCTTGTGTGTAGTGCTAAGGGGGCTTCCTAAGGATGCCATCAAACTTAAAGGCGGATGGATGGCAGGAGCTGGCTGGCTGAAGTACAGTTTGTGTACCAGGGGTAGGGAGGCAAGGGTGGGAGACGTGTGTCTTCAGACAGGGAACAGCATGTGCAGAGACTTCAGGTTAGAGAGAGTATGGCTCCCCAGGAATGGATGCATTTCCCATAGCTGGGAGAGTATCATCTGCAGGTTAGGGAAAGATGAGGCTGGACAAGTAGAGAACAAATCTTCCTGGCTCTTGGATCACCACAATCAAGATAATGAACGTATCCACTGGCCTCCATAATTTCCTTGTGTGAGGGGCTATTTTAAGAAGTATAATCAAGAAAGGCTGTTCTGGCTGGGTGCGGTGGCTCATGCCTGTAATCCTAGCACTTTGGGAGAGTGAAGAGGGTGGATCACCTGAGGTCAGGAGTTCGAGACCAGCATGGCCATGGCACTCCAGCCTGGGCAACAGAGGGAGACTCTGTCTTATTTTTTTATTTTTTAAAAAAAGAAGGGCTGGTCTGATGTGTCACTTAAAGGATAGCAAGCCACTGGCCAGGCGCCGTGGCTCACGCCTGTAATCCCAGCACTTTGGGAGGCTGAGGGGGACGGATCACTTGAGGTCAGGAGTTCAAGACCAGCCTGGCTAACATAGTGAAACTCTGTCTCTACTAAAAATACAAAATTAGCCGAGTGTGGTGGCACATGCCTGTAATCCCAGCTACTTGGGAGGCTGAGGCAGGAGAATCACTTGAACCTGGGAAGCGGAGGTTGCAGTGAGCCGAGGTCGCGCCATTGCACTCCAGCCTGGGGAACAAGAGTGAAACTGTCTCAAAAAAAAAAAAAAAAGGATAGCAAGCCACACAGAGAGTGCAGCAGGCATGGAGGCGGGAGCAAGGCTGGTGTGCCCCAGCAGCAGCAGGGAAGCTGGAGTGGCTGGAGTTGTGTGGGTATGGGGAAGAGGGGAGAGAGTTCACTCGTCTCTGTGAGGCCCAGGACTTTGTTTTATCCCATGCTGTACCCCCAGCACTTAGAGTGGGAGCTAGCACAGAGAAGGTGCTTAATTGATGTTTGCTGAGCAGATGAATGCCTGGAGTAGACCTCAGAGCAGGGTTTGGTGGCAGGGTGGGTCAGGGAGAGAGTTTACTCAACAGCCTGGTGATAGGGGAGAACAAGAGGCCAGAGGGTATCCATCTATGTCGGGGACCAGGGGTCCCTGGTGGGCAGCAGTGTGGGAGACACACGGATCCTGGCCACACCTCAGGCCTCCCTCCAGCCTGATTACCTGCCTCCCTCCCTTGCAGAGGTTCCGGTTCTGTGGTGATCTGGACTGTCCCGACTGGGTCCTGGCAGAAATCAGCACGCTGGCCAAGATGGTTGAGTGCACAGGGTCTAGTCTGGGTGGAGGAGGGGTGTTGGGGGTGGGGATTGTGGGTGTAGAGGATGGTGAGGTTTCTCTGGGGCTAGGGCCTCAGTGCTCTCAGCCTGTGCTACCATGCTTTGTGACCTTGATCAGTGGCTGGCCTGCTCTGAGCCAGTCCCCAGGAAGGAGGGGTGAGGTTTGCCAGCCTGGCTGATGTAAGGACTTCCCTTCCAGTCCTCTGTGAAGTTGCGGCTGCTCTGCAGCCAGGTACTAAAGGAGCTGCTGGGACAGGGGATTGATGTGAGTACAAGATCCAGCACCCCATTGTCCCATGACCTTATGACCACCACTGCCCTGAAACTCTGCACTAGGCCCAGGGAGACGGGTGAGCCAGCCTCTCAACCTCTCTGGGCACCTCCCTTCCTTCTTTCCAGCCTGTCTGTTCCTTATCGCAGGATCCAGGCTGGGGGTGAGGGGCTGGTGAGCAGGGGCCTGGCACCCCCTGAAGGTCTCCTTTCCCCATAGTATGAGAAGATCCTGAAGCTCACGGCTGACGCCAAGTTTGGTGAGTATCCCGCTGAGTCTATAGGCCCCAGGCAACCCTGGGAACTTGGCCTGGTGCCTGGTACAGAGGGGCCCCCCACCCCTCCCAGCAGCATCCTTAACTTACCTTCCCTAGTGGAGGAGCATGAGGGAAAGAAAGACCGACAGTCCCACCTTCCTGTCCTCTGCCAGCTCCTGGTGGAGCAGTAGCAGTGCCTGTGGCTCCAGGAGGCCTGGGGGCTTTGAGCTAAAGTTAATAGGGCAACAGGGAGGTGGCTGGACCCACAGTGACACCCCCTGCCCCACCCACGGGTCCCTCAGAGTCAGGCGATGTGAAGGCCACAGTGGCAGTGCTGAGTTTCATCCTCTCCAGTGCGGCCAAGCACAGTGTCGATGGCGAATCCTTGTCCAGTGAACTGCAGCAGCTGGGGCTGCCCAAAGGTACGGGTTGTGGGTGGGCAGCTGGGCAGCCTGTGGGCCAAGGGCTGCTAGAGAAGGGGACAGGCCCTGTGACCCTGAGGTGTACCTGCCCTGTCTGGGCCAGGAGCCCAAGCCAGGCCCCGACATGCTACCTCCAGAGCTACTCCATTCTACCCCCAGAGCACGCGGCCAGCCTGTGCCGCTGTTATGAGGAGAAGCAAAGCCCCTTGCAGAAGCACTTGCGGGTCTGCAGCCTACGCAGTAAGTATGAGGCCAGCCAGGGTCCGGGCTCATTCTAGAAGGTGCACGCAGCACACAAAGTGCATGGAGAGTCCAGGGAGACGACTTAACCACGGTCACATGGTTACTAGCAGCCGTAGAGCTGGGACCTGGCCCTGGGTCTCCTGACTCCCCACAAGGTTTCTTGTCACTGAGGTCTGCTGTGGGTGATCAGAACTGATTATCGGGCACCTGCCCTGTTCTGAGCCTGGGTCAGCAGGATGGGAGCTTCTTAGAGGCCACATAGCCTTGAATGGTTGAGAGCTGAGCCAGGGTGTCGGCTGAGGTCTACTTGGCTTGCCTGCTTTGATCCTGAGAGCCACCCACCCCATCTCACAGTGAATAGGTTGGCAGGTGTGGGCTGGCGGGTGGACTACACCCTGAGCTCCAGCCTGCTGCAATCCGTGGAAGAGCCCATGGTGCACCTGCGGCTGGAGGTGGCAGCTGCCCCAGGGACCCCAGCCCAGCCTGTTGCCATGTCCCTCTCAGCAGACAAGTTCCAGGTCCTCCTGGCAGGTGAGGCTCAGCTATTCCTCGACGGGTGAGAGGCTCTCCCAGATCCGCCTGACTGCCTCCCACCTGCCCACCTCTTCCCTCTGCAGAACTGAAGCAGGCCCAGACCCTGATGAGCTCCCTGGGCTGAGGAGAAGGGTGTTCCAGGCCTGTGTGGAGCCGCCCTGCCCGTATGGAGTCACGCCCTCTGAACTGCTCTTCGGGAGGCAGCCCTGGTTCTAGGATGCTGAGGCCCTGGCCCGGACTCTGGCCTCCCAGATCCCCAGCTGCCTCACTTCTCTCTTGAGAACTTGGCTCAGGGCTCCTGAGGACCTTTCCCAGCATTACCTTCCCTTCCCTTGAAAGGCAATTGTTGGCTGTTTTCATAAGCAGGAAAAATAAACAGAAGTATAAAGGAATGTGTGCAGGGGGTTCTGTTTGGGTTCAGATCAAGGGTTTTTGTGAGAGAAACACAAGTGACATACAGGCCTTCTTGGTCCATCACTCATTTTCTTTTCTCAATTGCTGATTGAGGGAGGTCATAGGTAAGGCCAACTGAGGACCAAAATGCATCTGCTTGTCTGGTGAGAAGAAAATCAGGGTTCTAGCTCCCAGATCTGGGATGCTCTTGGCTCTGCTGTCTTTGCCCCCTGGCCATGTCCTCAGGCTAGCAGCACGTTGGTGGCCCCAAAGCCAAATGCCCCTTGTACAGAAAGGAGATTGCCCTTGTTTCACTGCCATCTTCTATTTATTTATTTATTTATTTAGAGACGGAGTTTCGCTCCTCTTGCCCAGGTTTCACTGCCATCTTGTTATTTATTTATTTTGAGATGGTACAGTGGCGTGATCTTGGCTCACCACAACCTCTGCCTCCTGGGTTCAAGCAATTCTTCTGCCTCAGCTGCCCGAGTAGGTGGGATTACAGGCATGCCCCACTACTCCCGGCTAATTTTGTTTTTTTTTTTTTTTTTCAGTAGAGATGAGGTTTCTCCATGTTGGTCAGGCTGGTCTCGAACTCCTGACCTCAGGTGATCCACCCACCTTGCCCTCCCAAAGTGCTGGGATTACAGGCGTAAGCCACTGCGCCCAGCCACTGCCATCATCTTTAGGAAGAGAGAAGTGACCATGCCTGAACCAGTCATTGGCAAGAGGAACGGTGTTATGGACTGAATGTTCATGTTCCTCCAGAATTCATATGCTGAAGCCTCTGTCCACACATGCACACCAGATGAGGGCCATGTGCGCACACGAGGTGGCTGTCTACAAGGCCAGAAAGAGGGCTGTCAACAGGAACTGCGTCTGCTGGCACCTTGATCTTGAACTTCCCAGCCTCCAGAACTGTGAGAAAGAAATCTCTATGGTGTAAGCCACTAGTCTGTGGCATTGTTATAGCAGCTCGAGAAGACTAAGGCAGATGGGCTTCCAGGACTGGCCCAGACCAGCCAGGGCTCCTTGTAGAAAAGGCTGATGCCAGGGTTGGCACATGGAGGGTACAAGGAGGACTCGCCTGGAGTATCTTAAGGAACCTATCGAAGAATAATGGCTTGTTCCACTGGCCAAAGATGGGACAATTTGAACATCAAAAGAGATACTTACTGACTCCACTCCTGACTTCTGCTTCTGAAAAAATGAAGTAGGTGTTTTCCCTATTCCTCCCACTAAGTACAGTTAACAACCCTGGATGTTACATATAAAACAAACAAAAAGACTCCGAGCGATGGAGAGAAGGCACCCTAGCCTGGCTGGGATCCTCAGGACCTGAGGCTCCACAGAGAGAAATTCCTGGAATCTGGACCCCATGGCCCAGTCAGGTTACACAAAACTGATCATCACAGATCTGTAGAACTATACAAAAGTGCTAACATTCATGATTAGGGTCTCAGAAGGTAAGGAGGAAGAGAGTGGAATGGAAAAAGTATTCAAAAAAATAATCACTAAAGGCCAGGTGCAGTGGCCCATGCCTGTAATCCCAGCACTTTGGGAGGTGGGACAATTGCTTTAGACCTTGCAACTGGCCTGAGCAACACAGGGAGACTCAGTTTCTCCAAAAAAATAAAAAATTAGCCGATCATGGTGGTGCGTGCTTATAGTCTCAGCTACTCAGAAGGCTGAGGCAGGAGGATCAATCGCTTGAGCCCAGGGGTTTGAGGCTGCAGTGAGCTGTGATCATACCTCTGCACTCCAGCCTGGATAACAGAGCTGAGACCCTGTCTCAAAAAAAAAAAAAAAAAAAAAAAAAAAATGTATATATACACACATTGGAATATTTTTCAGCCCTTAAAAAGCAGAAGGTTCTGTCATTTGTGACTTGGATGAACCTAGACGACATGATGCTAAGTGAAATAAGCCAGGCACAGAGAGACAAATACCTCGTCACCTCACTTATGCCTGGAGTTGAAAAAAGGGCCTGGGGCAGTGGCTCACGCCTGTAATCCCAGCACTTTGGGAAGCCAAGGTGGGAGGATCACTTAAGCCCAGGAGTTCGAGACCAGGCTGGGCAACATGGCAAACCTGTCTCTACAAAAAGTAAAAAAATTAGCCGGGTGCAGTGGCACATGCCTGTGGTTCCAGCACTTGGGAGGTTGAGGTGGGAGGATTGCTTGAGCCAGGGCGGTCAAGGCTGCAGTGAACCATGATAGTGCCCCTGCACTCCAGCCTGGGTGACAGTGAGACCCTGTCTCAAAAAAAAAAAGTTAAATTCATAGAAGTCGACAGTAGAATGGTGGTTAGCAGAGGCTGGAGGAGAGAGAGGGTGGGTTGTGGGGAAAAGGGGAGACACCGGTCAAAAGGTACAAAGTTCCAGTTAGGAGGAGTACATTCTGGTGATTTATTGCCCAGCGTGGTGACCAGTTAATAATGATGTATACTTCAAAATAGCTAAAAGAGGGTTTTAAATGTTCTCATCACAAAGAAATAAATATTTGAGGTAATGGATATCCTAATTAGCCTGATTTGATCTTTTTTTGTGTTTTTTGTTTTCTTGAGACAGAGTCTCACTCTGTTGCCTAGGCTGGAGTGCAGTGGCGTGATCTTGGCTCACTGCAACCTCCGCCTCCCGAGTTCAAGTGATTCTCCTGCCTCAGCCTCTGTAGTAGCTGGGACTACAGGCATGCACCACCACCCCTGGCTAATTTTTTGTATTTTTTGTAGAGACTGGGTTTCACTATGTTGGCCAGGCTGGTTTTAAACTTCTGACCTCAGGTGATCCGTCTGCCTCGGCCTCCCACAGTGCTGGGATTACAGGCATGAGCCACCGTGCCCAGCCGATTTGATCATTCCACAATATATGCATGTAACAAAACATCACACTGTACTCCATAAATTTATACAATTATTATTTGTCAATTAAAAATAAAACTATAGATAAGTCAAACTGGTATTCTAAAAAATGCTCCACCAGCCACAGTTGGGCAAGAAGAAGCAAAAATGAAAACTGGGAATAAACAAAGTGATAAAAAAATCACAAGGAGACTATCCTTGGCAACATGGCAAAACCCCATCTCTACAAAAAAATACAAAAATTAGGTGTGGTGGTATGCACCATTGTCCCAGCTACTCAGGAGGCTGACGTTGGAGGATCACCTGAGCTCAGGAGTTCGAGGTTGCAGTGAACCATGATCATACCACTGCACTCCAGCCTTGAGTGACAGAGTGAGATCCTGTCTCAAAAAAAATAAAAAAGAGGTTATCCTGTCTTTTTAGTCAGGATAACCAAATAGCCCTGGTCAATGAGGTAAAGCTATACTTGACAGATGGATTCTATCAAATATATTAAGAATGACAATTAGAAAATCACTTTGAGGCTGGACACGGTGGCTCACGCCTGTAATCCCAATACTCTGGGAGGCCAAGGCAGGTGGATCGCTTGAGGTCAGGAGTTTGAGACTAGTCTTGGCAACGTGGTAAAACCCTGTCTCTACTAAAAATACAAAAAATTAGGCATGGTGGCCCCCACCTGTAATCCCAGCTACTGGGAGGTCGAGGCTGCAGTGAGCCGAGATTGCACCATCGTTCTCTAGCCTGGGCAACAGAGTGAGACCTGTCTCAAAAACAACAATAAAAACCTAAAACTTTATTTTCTTTTGAGACAGGATCTCAAAGCGAACTTTCGTATTTTTAGTAAAGACGGGGTTTCACCATGTTGGCCAGGCTGGTCTTGAACTCCTGGCCTCAAGTGATTCACTCCCCCCTCGGCCTCCCATAGTGTTGGGATTTCAGGCATCAGCCACTGCGCCTGGCCAAAAACCCAAAACTTTATATTCATTGAATAGCAACTACCCATTTCCTCCTTCCCGGCAGCTCCTGGCAACCACCATTCTACTTGCTGCTTCTGTGTGTTTAACTGTTTAGGTACCTGATATAAGTGGAACCATGAAGTATTTGTCTTTCTGGGGTTTTTTTGCTTGTTTGTTTTATGAGACAGAGTCTCGCTCTGTTGCCAGGCTGGAGTGCAGTGGCACGATCTCAGCTCACTGCAACCTCTGCCTCCTGGGTGCAAGCAATTCTCCTGCCTCAGCCTCCCAAGTAGCTGGGACTACAGGTGCCCGCCACCACACCTGGATAATTTTTGTATTTTTATTAGAGACGGGGTTTCACCATGTTGGCCAGGATGATCTCGATCTCCTGACCTCGTGATCCACCCGCCTTGGCCTCCCAAAGTGTCGGGATTATAAGCGTGAGCCACTGTGTCCAGCCTAAGTATTTGTCCTTCTGTGACCAACTTATTTAGTGCAATGTCTTCGAGGTTACCCATGTTGTTGCATGTGGCAGTATTTCCTTTTTTTAAAGGCTGAATAATATTCCATCATATACCACATTTTTTTTAGGGGGGCAGGGATGGGGATAAGGTTTCACTCTGTCATCCAGGCTAGAGTGCAGCAGCATGATCACAGTTCACTGTAGCCTCTGACTCCCAGGCTCAAGCAGTCCTCCAACCACAGCCTCTGGAGTAGCTGGGACTACAGATGCATACCACTATGCTAATTCTTTTCTTATATAGAGATGGAATCTCCCTATGTTGACCAGGCTGGTCTTGAACTCGTGGGCTCAAGCAGTCCTCCTGTCTTGGCCTCCCAAAGGGCTGAGATTACATGCATGAGCCACCATGCCCAGCCTATTATATATCACATTTTAAAAAATCCATGTATCGGTTGGTTGTTTCCACATCTTGGGAATAATGCTTCAATGTGTGTTATCTCTTCATTGGGGTGGCAGTTACATGACTATGTGTTTGTCAAATATTGCAGTCTGAAAGGGGTAAATTTTACTATATGTAAATTATACCTTTATTTAAACAAGAGAACAACAAAGAAATTACTCCATAGATTATTTGGTGTTCACAAGGTATGAACCATATGTTTTCTAATGCAGAGGTCTGGCTGCCACAGCCCCTGTCTTGATCAGTTTCAGCTCCCAATAAAGTGGGACAATGAGATATTGGGTGCCTCCTGATATGATGCAATTCAAAGTACAGAGCAGTGGCCAGGCGTAGTGGCTTATCCCTGTAATCCCAGCACTTTGGGAGGCCGAGGCAGGCAGATCACCTGAGGTCAGGAGTTTGAGACCAGCCTGGCCAACATGGTGAAACCCCGTCTCTACTAAAAATACAAAAATCAGCTGGGAGTGGTGGCATATGCCTGTAGTCTCAGCTACTCAGGAGGCTGAGGCAAGAGAATCACTTGAACCTGGGAGGCAGAGGTTGCAGTGAGCCAAGATCGTGCCACTGCACTCCAGTCTGGGTGACAGAGCAAGACTCCATCTCAAATAAAACAAAACAAAACAAAAAACAACGAAGTACAGAGCAGCACCTAGGAAGTATCCCTGAATATTTATATAATCAAGCCTTTAGATCTAATTCCCAGCATGCAGGATGAACCACAGATAGAGGACCAATCTCTGTGACAATATCAGTGACACCCTGAGGATACATTCAGACAAATTGAGAATGTGATGCAGCATCTATCTCAAACAACAACTGGCTGAGACTCTTCAGAAAGGTATCATGAAGATAAAAGAAGGGGATGAAGTGGGTGGGAGAGGGAAGGTGGTTTCATCTAGATTTAAAATTATTAAAAAGATATAATCCAGCCAGGCGCGGTGGCTCACGCCTGTAATCCCAACACTTTGGGACCCCGAGGTCGGGGGATGGCTTGAGCCCAGGAGTTTGAGGCTGGCCCAGGCAACATAGTGAGACCACATCCTTACAAAACATGAATTAGCCAGGCGTGGTGGTGTGTGCCTGTAGTCCCAGCTACTTGGGAGGCTGAGGCTGAGGATCACTTGAGCCCGGGAGGTCGGAGGCTGCAATGACCCATGATTGTAGCCTGGGGGACAGAGTGAGACCCTGTCTATATGTGTATATATATATATATTTGGGACAATTGGGGAAATCTGGATGTGGACTAGCTATTAGATGATATTAAGAAGTTACTGTTGGCTGGGCATGGTGGCTCACTTCTGTAATCCCAGCACTTTGGGAGGCCGAGGCGGGCAGATTACTTGAGGTCAGGAGTTCAAGACCAGCCTGGCCAACAAGGCGAAACCTCATCTCTACTAAAAATATGAAAATTAGCCAGGCATGTGGCACACGCCTGTAATCCCAGTTACTCGGGAGGCTGAGGCAGGAGAATCACTTGAACCCGGGAAGTGGAGGCTGCAGTGAGCCGAGATTTCACCACCGCACTCCAGCCTGGGTGACACAGTGAGACCCTGTCTCAAAAAAAGAAGTTACTGTTAACTAATTTCTAATAACTTAGATATTATTAGATATTGTCAACTAATATCAAGTTGTTAATTCTATTCATTTATTATGGCAGAAGTATTTTAAAGTAAATTAGACAAATCATGACATTTCATACCCAATACTTTAACATGCATCTCTAAAAACCAATTTCTTACAAAGCCACATAATTTTATTACGCCTAATAAGGAGACGTAGCAGGGTAGTGTGAAGGAGGGGAAATCGTGGCGATGGGTTAGGTATACACTTAGAATGAAGTGCAGACTCCACACGGAGGCCCTCCCGAGGCCCAACCGGACCTGACCTGGGTTTGCTTCTCTGTCTTCACCTGCCAGCACTAACCCGCAGCTATACTCCAGCCACACAGGACTTCTTTGAGTTCTTTCAGTGACCAATCTCTTTCTCGCCTCAGGGCCTTTGTACTGGCGGTTCCTTCCGCCGGACACGTCGGGTTTCCTCGTTTTTGCGGACTGGCGCTTTCTGATTTCAGAGACTCTCCGCAACAGAACCATCTCAAGTGGGTCTACCTCCTCGCCTTTTTTTGTTGTTGTTGTTGCTTGGCTGCGCTTCTGACAGGGCAGGCCGTGATGATGTTTGTTTATGAGTTAGGTCTGACTGTTCGTTGGTGCTTAAGATCCCCACCGGGTCCCTAGGGCCTGTGCGTACCGCGCACCTGTGCACGTCCTGCGCGCAGCTGCAGGCGACTCCGCTCTGGCTCGTCGCTGCTGTTTCCTGCTGGGGGTGCCGACCCTGTCCCACGCTAGCTGGGTGACTTCCCCCAACCGCAGAGACAGCGGCGACCCGGGGCCTCAGACCTGCCCCCGCATCTCGCCGGCGCCAGGCAGTGGGAAGTCAGGTTCTTCCGCCACCTCCCAGCCAGGTAACTGCCCCGAAGCCTGCCCCAAAGCCTGGAACCCCCCAAGCTCGGGGACCCCACCCCGAAGAATCGCGACCGCTTCCCTGAGGGACTACACCTCCCAGCGGCTCCCAGCGCGCTCCCGGGCACCGCCCGTTCTGGCGTTAACCCTTTAGTGGCTGCAGTGGCGACGAGCGGAACGGAGTGCGGGTTCCCGGGGAGGGGGCGTGCAGGATCGGGTTGTGGGGGGTGCGCTGTAGGGCTAAGGAGAAGATGAGCTTTGGGGGGCCCTGAGGAGGAGGGGAGTCAGGATTAACCGAGGACAGGGTCGCAGCGGGGGCATGGGGAGGACGGGCCCGAGAGCGCCGCTCCTCCCCAAAACTAGGATTTGGAGCCTCACGTTCTCCCGCAAAACGAGCCCTGTGGGTGCCAGGCCAGGGGCGGCTCCCAGGTGTGGAGGGGGCAAGGTACGGGCGTCTGCCGTCGCTAAGTGCCCCCTTCCACTTAAGGCACACCTTCGCCTCCGATTCCGAACCGCCCGGGGACAGAGGCAAGTGGCAAAGCAGGGAGGGCGGAGGTGAGGAGTCGATACCCCCCACCCCAGGGACCAGGCGCTGCCGCGGGCCCTTTCCCTCCCCCAGGCCCGGGGCAGGAGCTCGGGGAGCCCTTCCTGGTGCCCGCCGTCCTCCTGCGGAGCCATGGGGAGCGGCTCCAGCGCATGGCGGCAGCCCGCCCGCCTCGTCCTGGCCCCTGCCCTGACCCGGGGGCGGCCGCGGGGATGTCCGGTCCGTGGGGCAGGCCCGGTTCTCGCTGCGGCCAAGCGGCCGATTCGGCCGCTCCCGCCGCTCCCCCGCGCCAGGCCGAGCTTCGCTCTTTCCCTCGGTGGTGAGCGGCCAGATCCAGGCGGGTCCTAAGTGTGGGGGGAGGGGGGCGCAGGGAGGGGCGGCCACGCGATCCTAAGACCCTTTCAGATGGTGGGAGAGCCTGGAGAAAGAGACAGCGTGTGCGGAGGGGGTGCTCCCTCAGATGGGGGGTCAGGAAGTCTCCCTCAAGTGTCTGGGACAGAGGGACAGCAGGGGCCAAGGCGGAGATGAGATCCGTGAGTGAGGGGAGCCGGGAAGAAGTAAGGCTGCAGCCGCGGCCCCGCAAGGATTGGGACTTTCGTCTAAACGCGGTGGAAGCCCATGGAAGGAAGCGGTTAGCAGCAAGGCAGAGTCCTGCTCCCTCTGCAGCCCCAGCTCCCAGCGCCCTGGGCTTTCCAGGCACCTGTCCGGGTAGGGGATTGAGGGCCGTGGCCAGGCCCGCACTTTCCTGCCAGCCGCAGCTGGCCACATGCCCATCTGACCCTCCGAGTTCTCCTCTAAAAATGGGGCTGACAGCCGCTACCTCACAAAGTCCACACCGGGCTCAACCCGCTGCCTTCCTCCCCAACAGGACTCTGCCACCCTCCCTCAGGATGCCTGAGGGCCCCGAGCTGCACCTGGCCAGCCAGTTTGTGAATGAGGCCTGCAGGGCGCTGGTGTTCGGCGGCTGCGTGGAGAAGTCCTCTGTCAGCCGCAACCCTGAGGTGCCCTTTGAGAGCAGTGCCTACCGCATCTCAGCTTCAGCCCGCGGCAAGGAGCTGCGCCTGATACTGAGCCCTCTGCCTGGGGCCCAGCCCCAACAGGAGCCACTGGCCCTGGTCTTCCGCTTCGGCATGTCCGGCTCTTTTCAGCTGGTGCCCCGCGAGGAGCTGCCACGCCATGCCCACCTGCGCTTTTACACGGCCCCGCCTGGCCCCCGGCTCGCCCTATGTTTCGTGGACATCCGCCGGTTCGGCCGCTGGGACCTTGGGGGAAAGTGGCAGCCGGGCCGCGGGCCCTGTGTCTTGCAGGAGTACCAGCAGTTCAGGTAGGGCCAGCACCAGGTGTGATGAACATAGTCGCGGGCTCCACACCTGACTCTCTTAGTGCCTTCTTGGCCAACAAGGGGCGAGTCCCTGCCCCTTCTGGGCCTCAGTTCTCTCATCTGCAGATCAAGACAGTATACCTGTCCTGGGTCAGCTCCCTGAGCCAGTGGGCATGGAAACTCAAAACTAATTGGGGGCCGGGTGTGGTGGCTCAAGTCTGTAAATCCCAGCACTTTGGGAAGCCGAGGCGGGCAGATCACGAGGTCAGGAGTTCGAGACCAGCCTGGCCAGTATGGTGAAACCCTGTCTCTACTGAAAATACAAAAATTAGCCGGGCATGGTGGCACATGCCTGTAACCCCAGCTACTTGGGAGGCTGAGGCAGGAAAAGCGCTTGAGCCGGTGAGGCCGGGGTTGCAGTGAGCTGAGACAGCACCATTCCACTCCAGTCTGGGCAACAGAGCACGACTCTGTCTCAAAAAATAATGATAATAATAACTGATGGGGGAGGAGAGAGGAGAGCCAAGAGGAGGATGGGTAGGTACTGCCCTGAGGACATGTGGCCAGTTAGTGTCAGAGAAGCTGGGGCTCCCACCCACAATCCCACACCACCTCTCAGGGCTCCCAGGAGGCTAAGAAGGTGGAGGGGCTTTAATATGGTAAGTGAGGCTGAGCGGAATTGTTTCAAGGGGATGGGGAGGGGACTATCTCATGACATGGCTTCCGCCTTGGGCTTTGTGGTCTCCCACATCCGGCCTGCCCAGTATTCTGTGTCCTGTGGTCTCCTCTGCGCCACTTCCCTGCCTGCAGTAGGGTGTAACAGCCCCACCTGGGATGTGATGCAGGTCACCTCACATGGCACAGTGTTGGCCACTTCCTTTCCTCTGAAGAGGAAACGTGTATGAGTCTCTGCTTCATGCCAGGCCTTGTTCTAGGGGCTCGGGGTACAGCAGTGAACAAGATGAATGTGGTCCCTGCTCCCACAGAACTGATGTTCACATAGGATAGGGGAATGAGAAATGGACCCATGCCTTAGGAAAACCCAACAGGTGAAGGAGGTAGAGGATGACTTGGCCGAGGGTGGGGGTACATTAGCAATGGCCACTCTAGGGAGGTTTGAGCTGAGGCCTGACTGATGAGAAGGAGCCAGCCAGAGGAAGGCATTGGAACTGGCAAGAGTCACAAATGCAGAGGCCTGGAGTAGGGTTGGCAAGTTCTCCCTTTCTGGGGGATGCTGTGCGTCCGTTGACCCTTAGGAGACTTGGATACCTGTGGGATGGGTTGGAGATGTCTCTGGTGCCTTAGAAGAAAGTTGACTCCTGGCCTTCCCCTGTGTGAACTCCAAGCACATCCCCAGGGAAACATCTGTCTTTGGTCCTGGATTCCTCCCACCTCAGCCTTCCTGGGGAGTCACGCCACAAGTTAACTCTGCCAGCTGGCTCTGAAGTTTCTCTCAAACCACGAGCATTTGGGCTGTTTTCTTAGTCCCCCAGCTGGGGCGTGTGGCAATTGGCTTACCTCAGGGATCAGGGCACCTCCCAGGCTACCCTTGTACCTTCACCCCAGAACTCTGTCTTCTGACCCACTCATCACACCCATTAGTCAGTCTTGCCATGACCCTTTTCCGCAAAGAAACAAGATGCACATCCTCTTCACGGTGAGGAGGGGAGACCCATGACCCTTGGAGGTGGGGTGGGGGCTGCTAGGGCCCTCACTGGTACTCCACATATCTCCTGCACAGAGCCAGACAATGTCCAGGATCTTGAGAAGAATGGACCCTACCAATGGCAAACCCACATATGGTCTCTAACCCACCACAAATGCTATACAGGGAGCTCCAGACTGCAAACACACTTGAGGTCCTGTGGCCACACTGTTCTCATGTCCTGAGGAGTCTGAGGTGATAAACACACAACCTCATATACAACCTCATGTTGCTTTTTTTTTTTTTTTTTTTGAGACAGGGTCTCGCTCTGTTGCCTAGGCTAGAGTACAGTGGCGCCATCACAGCTCATTGCAGCCTTAACCTCCAGGGCTCAGGTGATTCTCTCACCTCAACCTCCTGATTAACTGGAACCACAGGAGTGCATCACTAAGCCCCTGGCTACTTCTTAAATTTTTGGTAGAGATGGGGTCTTCCTTGTTGCCCAGGCTGGTCTCCTGGGCTGAAGTGATCCTCCTGCTTCAGCTTCCCAGAATGCTGGGATTACAGGTGTGAGCCACCACACCAGCCTCAAGTTACTTTAGATCAGTATTTTTCACCTTTCACAATGAATTTATTTTTAATTTTGTTTTTATTTTTTGAGATGGAGTCTCGCTCTGTGGCCCAGGCTGGAGTGCAATGCTGCGATCTCAGCTCACTGCAACCTCCACCTCCCAGGTTCCAGAGATTCTGCTGCTTCAGGCCTCCCAAGTAGCTGGGATTACAGGCACCCACCATCATGCCTGGCTAATTTTGAATTTTTAGTAGAGACAGGGTTTCACCATGTTGGCCAGGCTGGTCTCGACCTCCTGACCTCAAGTGATCTGCCCGCCTCGGCCTCCCAAAGTGCTGAGATTACAGGCATGAGCCACTGCACCTGGCCGTCCTTTCACAATGAATTTAAATCCCTTGATGTTCCCATTTAACAGATAGGAAAACGGGGGCAGGGAGAAGAGGAACTGTAACTCCCAGTTTCCTTCCCCTTGCACCCAGAAACAGGTTCTCTGAGCCCCTCTCCCCATCCCATGGAGGGTGGGGATGGGTCTTACGCACCCAGACCGTGTTCCTCCAGGGAGAATGTGCTACGAAACCTAGCGGATAAGGCCTTTGACCGGCCCATCTGCGAGGCCCTCCTGGACCAGAGGTTCTTCAATGGCATTGGCAACTATCTGCGGGCAGAGATCCTGTACCGGTCAGCAAGCAGGCATGGGCATGGGGACTGCGGTGGGCCAGGTGTGCCCACATTCCCCACTGCCTAGCATGGCTTGCCTTGCCCCCACTACAGGCTGAAGATCCCCCCCTTTGAGAAGGCCCGCTCGGTCCTGGAGGCCCTGCAGCAGCACAGGCCGGTAAGCCCAGAGAGGGATGGAGCACACGTGCTGGCACACTGGTGTCCACATGGGCCGGCAAGGAGATGGGTGGGGTCAGGTGTCCCCAGCTTAGCTCAACAACAGGGGTGGGGAGGGGATGAACTGCCCAAAGTCTGACCAAGCTCAGAGAGAAGGTCAGCTGCCTTTACATGGCCCTGCTGACAGACAGGTCCTGCCCCTGCCCCTTCCTCAGAGCCCGGAGCTGACCCTGAGCCAGAAGATAAGGACCAAGCTGCAGAATCCAGACCTGCTGGAGCTATGTCACTCAGTGCCCAAGGAAGTGGTCCAGTTGGGTGAGGCCAAAGATGGCAGCAACCTCTGCTTCAGCAAATGATTGTGTAACCCTGGGGCACTTGTCCCTCTCTGGACCTGATTCACCGATTTGGAAGTTTGTAGCCCTAGCTGATACTCAATGGACTAGGCCTCCTCACTTGTCAATAGTGTTTCCAGGCTGGGCGCAGTGGCTCATGCCTGTAATCCCAGCACTTCGGGAGGCCGAGTGGGGTGGCTCACCTGAGGTCAGGAGTTCGAGACCATCCTGGCCAACATGGTGAAACCCCATCTCTACTAAAAATGCAAAAAATTAGCCAGGTGTGGTGGTGGGCACCTGTAATCTCAGCTACTCGGGAGGATGAGGCAGGAAAATCGCTTAAACCCAGGAGGTGGAGGTTGCAGTTGAGCTGAGATCGTGCCATTGCACTCCAGCCTGGGCAACAAGAGCAAAACTCCATCTCAAAAAAAAAAAAAACAAAAAAACAGTGTTTCCTCCAAGCTGCCCATGAGACAGGCAGGACAAGGATTCTTTTATATATTTATACACACACACACACACACACACACACGCACGTTTATATATATTTTTGGTAGAGATAGGATCTTGCCATGTTGCCTGGACTAGCCTCAAACTGGGCTCAAGTGATCCTCCCACATCTGCCTCTAAGTAGCTAGGACTACAGGCTCACACCACCACACCGGGCTAATTGTTAAAAATTTTTTTTGTAGAGACAGGGTCTCCCTATGTTGCCCAGGCTGGTATTGAACTCCTGGCCCCTAGGGATTCTCCCATCTAAGCTTCCCAAAGTGTCGGGATTACAGGTGTGGCCACTGCACAGGGCCAGGACAAGGATTCTTAATCCCACTCCAGGATGGGAAACCCATGGCCGAGTGGGAAGAAACCAGCTGAGGTCACATCACCAGAGGAGGGAGAGTGTGGCCCCTGACTCAGTCCATCAGCTTGTGTAGCTGAGGTCTGGGCCAGGTCTAACCAGGCTCCCCACTCCTCCCAACCTGAGCCTGCCCTCTGATCTCTGCCTGTTCCTCTGTCCCACAGGGGGCAAAGGCTACGGGTCAGAGAGCGGGGAGGAGGACTTTGCTGCCTTTCGAGCCTGGCTGCGCTGCTATGGCATGCCAGGCATGAGCTCCCTGCAGGACCGGCATGGCCGTACCATCTGGTTCCAGGTTGGGCCCTACTGTTCACACAGGCAGAGACCCCAGGAGGCTGATGGGTGGAAACGTGGGGTCACAATAACTGGGGTGGTGATGCTCAGGGTCTGTCTAGACCCTCCAAGGACCACACTGTTCCTGAGGGTCACACCCCTCCCCTCCCATGCGTCCCAGGGTTGCAGCTAGTGGAAGTAGCCCAAGGCAGGTAGCCCAAGTGAAAGTAGCCAAGGGCAGAGCAGCTTTGCTGATGTGGACTCTAACATGGGGGATGTCCTAGAGGCTTCCTAAGGGAGAAGCTACACTGATCTGGATGGGTGTGTGTGAGTCCTGCCTCTCCAAGGAATACCGCCCCTGTGCCAACCCAGGCTGATTCCTGAATTATCCCCATCCCATTTTAGGGGGATCCTGGACCGTTGGCACCCAAAGGTAAGCTACTCCTAATGTAATAGGCTAAGAGAGCAGAAAGGACTTCACGCCTGCAAGGGCTACAGCACCCTTCTCCACCCTATCCCCCTGCAACCCTGGGAGTCACCCCTGGGCAGGATAGGACCCTCCAACTCCAACACCAGTGTCCTGCAGGGCGCAAGTCCCGCAAAAAGAAATCCAAGGCCACACAGCTGAGTCCTGAGGACAGAGTGGAGGTATGGCTGCCTGCTCCCGCCTCCTCCCCTGCACTCTGCAGCCCTGGCTGCCCCTCCCAGGCAGCTGCCTTACCCTAAGAGGGCGGGGGGAGTGGTGGGCCCTAACCAACCTCTGAACTGCTTTCTGAGCCCCTCAGGGACCCGTGTCTCCTCCATCCAGGACGCTTTGCCTCCAAGCAAGGCCCCTTCCAGGACACGAAGGGCAAAGAGAGACCTTCCTAAGAGGACTGCAACCCAGCGGCCTGAGGGGACCAGCCTCCAGCAGGACCCAGAAGCTCCCACAGTGCCCAAGAAGGGGAGGAGGAAGGGGCGACAGGCAGCCTCTGGTGGGCTTTCCTCATCACTCCCAGAAACTGGCTCTACAGGAGAGGATGGGATGGTGGCCTAGGAGCGCGTGTACAAAGGTGGGAGAAAGGCTGCCATGGCAGCCCCTGGAGTCTTAGCTGACCATCTTGCCTGTTCTTCCCCCAGGCCACTGCAGACCCCGGAAGGTCAAGGCTGACATCCCATCCTTGGAACCAGAGGGGACCTCAGCCTCTTAGCAGGAGGCTCTCCTTGCTTGCACTCACCCTTTCTTATTGTCTTGCCCTGCATCTGGGGGTCTGAATTTTTGGGAGCAGGCAATATCTGAAGGTGCAAACAGGCCCTACGGCTGTTCCCTGCACAACTCTCATGGTTTTAATTGTACCCCATCTTCCACATCTTTAAAGCTCATGTGAAAAATGCTGCATTTTTAATAAACTGATACATTTGAACTTCTTGGCACCTCTTGGTCTGAGATGGCCAGGTAGGAAGGGCCTGCTGTCCGGTCCTGGTGACAGAAGGCCCAGCTCCTCACAAGGCAAACTGAGCCCCCATCCCAGTCCTCAAGGCTCTGACTCTATCAGAGGACAGTTTGCCTCTGCAAGGACAGCCCCTCAGAGGTGGTACAAAGACCCTGGCCCCAGGCAGCCCAGGAGCCAGAGCTCCTCCAGTCCAGATTCTCCAGGGTCCAGGGCTGCCCCCTCATCCTGGCAGGAGCCAGGCAAAACCCACCCTTCGGCCCCTCCCCAGCCCCAGGCCCAGGCCCTTTACCTGCTGGCACAGGGGAGGGGCTTCTCAACTCATGGTCTCTTCACTGGCTTTTGGTGGCTCGAGGTCCCCAGTCTCTCCTGTGGGGGCTGCAACCCAGACCCTGCACGCACAGGTACCTTAGGATCTTGCCCCTACCCACCAAATACCTGGGAAGCCATCCCACCCCAGACTTCCCACCCCCACCCCAAGCGTGAGGATGGGCCCTAAGGGGACTGAGCAGCAGGGTTCCCGATCCAAGGATTTATTCCACAAGAAAAGACTGATCCCTGCTTTAGGCTGGGGAAGCAGAAATTAGGAGTCCCCAGAGCCTTCTACAAACAAAACCCCAGCCCCAGGGACTCAGTGTGGCGGAGGCTGAAGCACGAGCAACAGGGACAGCACTTGGAAGGGAGAAAAGGTGAGCTTCAGGCGGTTGTCCCGAAGGGTCAAGTGGCCAGCAGGGTCTGGTCGCTCCAAGAGATCGCAGCTGGAGAACAGGAGGGGCCATGAAGGCTCTGCGAGGGCGAGACTCGACCCCCGCCCCAATCCCACACCGCCACTCACAGGATGGCCTCCTGAACCGGCAGCGACAAGTGCAGCCAGCAGTCCACGTGGCTGCCGTGGGCCTCATACAGCCTCAGGACCAGCGAGCGGCGCTGGGGGCTGCTCTCCGCCTGCAGAGGAACACGTCTGGTGGGAGGGGCCGAGGGCAGGCCCAGTTCGGAACCCCGTCCCCAGCACGTCCCACCCCTTGCCTGCTTGACGGTCTCCAATACGACCGCGGGTGAAGACACGGAAAACGCACTCCAGGAGGTGGCGGGCGCTGGGCTGGGGGCTGGCAGAGCCAACAGGGGGAAGTTTAGGCTGTAGGCAGCTTGGATAACGCCAGCATCCTGGAAAGAGCCTGGGGTACGACCAGGAAACAATGCTGGTGGAGAATGGGGGCTACCCTCCCCTGTCCCTAGAAGGGGCAGGAAGCCAGGTTGCTGGGGTTTGGGCTCAGGGAAGGGCAGAGAGGTGTCTAGGGCTGCAGGAAGGCCCCACCGTCCCCAGCACTCACCCTTGTGCGGCATCAGTGCATAGGTGAACTCGTGGCGCCCCGTGTCAGCAGTAGCGTCCGGGGCTTTAGGCGCCCGCAAGCTGGGGTGAGGAGGGCGCGTAGGGGCCACGCTGAAGCTGTTGGAGTTGTGGTCGGGAAGACCCATTTCTCCATGCCAGCTCCCAGGCCTGGTGGGTACCCCACTTACAGCGAGAGGCTGAGGATGCTGCCTCGCACTGACGCGCCATACTTGCAGTCGTTGAGCAGGGCCAGCCCAAAGCCGTGTTCTGACAGATCCATCCAGCGATGGGCCCACACCTGGAGGGCAGATCCAAGACCCACTTGGTGGCCCTGTGCCCCTCTTTGTGCTCCCAGACTCCAGAGCTCCTGTCACTAGGCCGAGCACAAGCTCTAGAACCACACAACTGAACTCCAGCTCCCACTGTACGGGGCCCTGGGCATGCCACCCAACCTGCCTAAGCCTCAGTTTCCTTATCTGTGAAACGGGAATAAATAATAGTACTCACCCCATCGAATGATCATGAGTATCAAATTAAATGTAAAACTTTGTTTTTTTCACACAGGATCTCAGTCTGTCACCCAGGCTGGAGTGCAGTGGCTTGATCTCGGCTCACTGCAACCTCCGCCCTCCAGGATTCAAGTGATTCTCCTGCCTCAGCCTCCCAAGTAGCTGGGATAACAGGACATGTGCCACCACGCCCGGCTTTTTTTTTTTTTTTGAGATGGAGTCTCACTCTGTTGCCAGGCTGGAGTGCAGTGGCACAATCTCAGCTCACTGCAACCTCCGCCTAAAGGGTTCAAGCGATTCTCCTGCCTCAGCCTCCCGAGTAGCTGGGATAACAGGACATGTGCCACCACGCCTGGCTAATTTTTCTGTATTTTTAGTAGAGATGGGGGTTCACCATGTTGTCTATGATGGTCTCGATCTCTTGACCTCGTGATCCGCCCACCTCGGCCTTCCAAAGTGCTGGGATTATAGGCCTGAGAACACTGCGCCTGGCCAATTTTTGTATTTTTTTTTTTTTTTTTTTTGAGACAGAGTCTCGCTCTGTCGCCCAGGCTGGAGTGCAGTGGCACGATCTTGGCTCACTGCAAGCTCTGCCTCCCAGATTCACGCCATTCTCCTGCCTCAGCCTCCCAAGTAGCTGGGACTACAGGCGCCCACCACCACACCCGGCTAAATTTTTGTATTTTTAGTAGAGACAGGGTTTCATCGTGTTAGCCAGGATGGTCTCGATCTCTTGACCTCGTGATCCACCCACCTCAGCCTCCCAAACTGCTGGGATTACAGGCGTGAGTCACCACGCCCGGCCCAATTTTTGTATTTTTAGTAGAGATGGCGTTTCACCATGTTGGCCAGGCTGGTCTTGAACTCCTGACCTCAGGTGATCCACCCACCTCGGCCTCCCAAAGTGCTGGAATTACAGGCGTGAGCCACTGTGCCTTGCCAATGTAAAGCATTTAGTGCAATGCCTGGCACACACGTTAGGAAGCAGCAAATGTTGATTATCCTCTTCCTCCCCAGCCTGTTCCACACAAGCAGTCTCCCCAGCCAGGGAGGAGTCCAAGGCCACTCCCACCCTGCCATGTCAGACCTCAAATCGAGCCCAGTCCCAAGAGGTATTGTAGTGGGTAGGTCGCTGCAGGTGCCCAAACTGGATCTCATAGGTGGCCTGGGAACTCCGCACGCGAGCAGGGAACTCCACCTTCAGGAACTTGTGGGCCTCATGCCAGTGTACCTGGGAGTGGGAAGGAGGGTGGGAGTCAGGGAAGGAAGAGACACACCAAGGCCTGGGGCTGGCCCCTCCTTACCAAGCACACTTGGGGAAAACAGCCACCCCCTACCCCCCGACTACCTCGGTGTGGAAGCGGACATAGGGGCAGCCAACGTCCAGCACAACCTCCTGGCTAAGCCGACTGTTGGGGCTGATCTGTAGCAAGAACCAGGCGCTGCCCCGCAGGCCGCCCTCGGTGCCCACTGCCAGGGTCCCTGCCTGGCCCAGCACAGGCTTCCTATGGGACAGGGGTGGACATACTGATCCAGAGCAGCCTGTGTTCCCACCACCTCCACCATCCCCACATGCTGCCCAGCCTATACCGTGTCTCCAGGTGGTAGTCCATGACGTCCCATGCATCCCAGTACAAGGGGACATCATCAAATAGCACAAACTGGTTCCCCACGGCGCCCTCAGCAATGGCCTCCCTGGAAGGACATGGGATTGGTGCTGTACAACCAACTGACCTCGCTGTCTCCAGCTGCTCTTGGTGGGGTAGGGTGGAGTGAGTAGACCCAGTGGACAGGGGACTACTGCCCAGCCTGCCCTGCTCCATGTGTGGGTTCCAGCCCAGAGCCACTGGTGGGCTGCTGTGGGCAGTGTTGTGGCAAGGGGAGAGAGGAAATGGCCTGGGGTCTACTTGCCAGGCACTGGGAAAGGGCAATGAGGATTTGGCACCTGCCAGAGGCCACCAGGACCAAGGACGTCAGGCGACCAGTTGGGTCCAGCTTCACTCGGATGATGCCATTGTCCAGAGTCACGGAGCCATCAGTCTTTGTGGGAGGAGGCCTTGAGGCTGAGTCTGTAGGGGCTTCCCACACCAAAAGTCTTCCCACCCCAACCCCAGCCCCGCCTCACCACTTGCTCCAGACAGGGGAGCTCAGGACCCTCAGTTGTAAGAAAGTATCCCAGCACAGTTCCTGCCCCCCAGGGCATGCAGGACTCACCTCTTGCACTACGAACACAGGCTGCTGGGGCAGCAGGGGCTGCAGTGAGGTGGGGGGAGGAACAGGAGCATAGCCCATGCTGGGCACTGTCACCAGGGCTGGGGGTGAGGCCTGGGCATCAGTGCAGCCTTCCTGACCTTTCAGGAAGCTTGCGCAGGTGGGGATGGGTTGGTGGAAGATGTGCTACTACTCTCCAGTCAGGGGCACCCAGATCCCTCGGGGTATCCCAGGCCTGATCTGTCTGGCCTCCATCCTTCCTGCTGCAGTAGCAACCCTTCCCCTCAGCTCGTACCTAGGCTGTGGGCCCCGCCCGGTTTGGGCAGGGCCATCACTTCGATCCGCTTCCAGGGCAGTGTGTTGACGATGAGGAGGCCCTCAGGACCTGGCTCCCCAGCACACAGGGCTGCGGCTGCAGCGCTGAGCAGTGTATTGCCATGGGAACGGATGTCTGAGGAAAGACTGGCTGGTCATAGGTGGGCAACAGGTCTGGAATGTGCCCATGGGTATCCCACAGGGGACACTCTGGGCTCAGCCCTGGGGTTGGAGAGAGCAGGCAGGACTATTGTGAGCCTAACCTTCATAATGGCACATGGCTTCCTCTGCCACCATCTGGATGCAGCTTCCAGTCACCACATCATGGAACTGGTTCAGAAGAAGGAGCCTGCAGGGGCCAAGGGCAGGGATGGGAAGGCTGGGAGGGGCAGGCACAGAGGTAACTGCAGTGAGCAGTCAGGTGGATGGCAGGGACAGAACTGGGCTGACCTCCAGAGGTGCTGCAGCTGGGCTGCTGGGTATAGGAACTGGGCACTGCGGGCCAGGGCCAGGCTACTGAGCAGCTCCACGTCGTGCAGGATCCGCTCACATTCCCGGTTCCCCTTCTTGATCTGAGCCCAGGATGGGAAGATTAGTCTGGAGCCTGCTTAGCTGTCCCAGGACACCTTCCAAAGCCCTCCCTTGCTCAGAATCCCTGAGGACTCACCAAGGGCCTCGTGGAGAAGGCCTCTGGCGGGTGACCTGCCTTAAATGCCTTCCCTCTTCTCCCCGCAGCCCAAACCCTTCTTTCTTCAGGGGTTTCTGCCTCCTTCAAGCTTTCTTGACCAACCCAGGTCTTGAACTTCTCTCCTCCAAACTTCTCTTCCCCTAGATCTGGCCTGGGCTCTGTCCCCTGCTGCCTTCTCTGACCCTCTGCAGATCAAGGGCACACCCTCCCTGCACAGCCCTGCAACCTCCCCCTGACCTGGGCATGGGTGGTGTATGTGCCATTGTGCAGCTCCAAGAAGAGCTCCCCAACCCACGTGCACAGCTGCTCTGAGTCACTCTCCAGTGCTGAGAAGAGCTGTCTTGGAGAAGATAGCTGCACCCTGAGGAGACCACAAGCCTAGGTCTCCCAGCCTTGGAGACCACATGGCTCACCCTTCTTCCACACCAAAGCAAAGGATCCAGCTCCTACAGAGAGGAGCCACTCCAGAAAGCTCCCCGTTCACAGATGGCCAGCCCTGGACGCCCTAGGAGAGCCTCTCTCTCTGATGGGCTGGAGCCCTTACCAGCTTCAGCTTCTCCCCCACCCACCCCCAGGGTGGAAGTTTGGAGGAACCCGTGGTCTAGGATTGGGACAGGACAAGGTCCAGAGGAGGGGTTGGGCCCAATGTCTGAGGGAAGGCAGGGCTCATGGCAAGGGCCCAGGGTGGGGCTAAAGGAGAGCCAAGGCCTGGCCTGACCTGGGCAGCCCATCCGTATTGCTCAGGCGCTTCAGGCGGTCCAGCATGGTCTGGGTGGGGCCACCACCCCCATCCCCAAAGCCAAAGAGGAAGGCACTGTGGTTGGCCCGCCCCTTGTCCCGGTTGTTGGCCACGGTCTTCAGCACCTAGACAGGTGAGGGCAGGCCAGCATGGATCAGCCTGGAACAAGCCAGCCCTCTCCAGCCTGCCCCTACCCCACCACCCTAGGTGACCCCTCACCTCCTCCACGCTGCCCTGCATCCCATAGGAGTCGCCAGGTGGGAAGTGGACCAGTACACGGGAGCCATCCAGGCCCTCCCAGAAAAATGTATGGTGCTACCAGCAGGGAAACAGAAGCAGGGCAGAGAGGCCAGAGTCAGGGCTGAGGCAGAGCCAGGCCTTCCAGACTTGGTCCTGCCCCTGCCTGCTATGTGACCCTGGCAGAGGCAGAGTGAGGGTTTGGTGGTCTGTCTAGGACCCCACAATAAGGGGGAGAGGCAAATGGGCCAGGCGGGACTGAGGCCCACTCTGACCCTGACCCCCCGGGGGCCTGCTTACTGGGAAGGAGTTCACCAAATTCCAGCTCAATTTCTGGGTGAGAAAGCGCCTGATGCCACAGCCGTGCATGATCTGGGGGAGCTGTGCTGAGTAGCCAAAGGTGTCCGGCAGCCAGAACTGTGGAGAAAGAGGATCCTGGAGTGCAGGAACCAGAGCTCCAGGCGGACTCACCCCAGCCTCAGCCCCTCAGCACTCCAAGTCGAGCGCCAGCCCCACTCGCCCACAGCCTGGTGTAGCAGCTCTCAGCCTACCTCAGAGCACATCTTCCCAAACTCCTGCAGAAAGAAGTTCTGGCCCTGCAAAAACTGCCTCACCATGGCCTCTCCACTGGGCAGGTTCCCATCCTGGCAGTGAAGGAAGTGGGAGGCAGCCCAGGTCAGCGCTGGACGGGGAGCAGGCAGGCGCTCAGGCCAACCCAATCCCTGCAGGAGAAGCCAGGGCTGCTCAAACATGGGAGTTACAGCCAGAACTCAGGAAGGGCCCCTGTCCTTCAGGCCTGACTGTCCATCTGCCTGAGGGGGTGCCCAGGACTAGGCCATGCAACTTGTCACAGCGCTGGAGGCTCTCCTCCCCCTTGAAGTCCCAGGCCTTGAGATCCCAGGGACTAATGAGCCAGCCCTGCCACACAGCGGGGATGAGTGGCCCGTGGAAACTCACCAGCAAAGCCGGGAGGGCGGGGCTACCTGAGGGAAGGCTGTTGTCATACAGTTCAAGGCTGAGGAGTGCCCAGTGCACTTACCATCTCCACCCAGGTGCCCCCCACAGGCACAAACTGCCCACGGCACGCAAACTCCTGGATGCGGGAGTACAGGCCAGGGTAGCGGCTCTTCACCCATTCCAGCTGCTGCGCCTGTGGGCAGGTTGAAGGGAGCTGGGACCAGAGTGACAAGGGCCCCACCCAGGACTGAGCATATGGGACTCAGTGTGTGGCTGAGGGTGAGGAGCAGCCCTGACCCCAGGCCTGGGAAGCCTTCAGGGCCTGTGGAGCTCCAGGGAGGGCCACGTGCTTCCCTCCTCCCTCACAGCTGTCCCTCTGACCTGGGAGCAGGCAAAGATGAACTCAGGGTTCCGCTCCATGAGCTGCAGGGCGGTCACCCAGCTCCGGGCACATTTCCTCACAGTCTCTTTGAAGGGCCAAAGCCAGGCTATACGGGGAGTGAGGTGGAGGACAGAGGGAGCAGCAAGGCTGACCAGGCCTGGGCTGGGACTCCAGAGGGTCACCTAGCCCCCCTCCCATCCCAGGCCCTTCACCCTGGAAAGCCCTGTGGTGTCCCTCCTAAGTGGTCACTTCACTTCACTCCAGCGAGGTGGGAGGAGGGGCTGGGGAAAGGAGGCGGCAGTGCTATGAGGCCAATTATACAGGTCAGGAAATGGAGGCTCCAGGCCCCAGAATAGCCTCAGTCCTCTTGGGGAATTAGACATCCCCTAGAGGATCCTACGAGAAGTAGCAGGGACTACCCTGCCCCTGCACAAACTTGATGTATACCTGGGAACAGAGGCATGGCTCCCAGGATGGAGCCAGCTGTCCTACCAGAGGTGCTACAGCCTCTCCTGACTCCCAGGCTGCAGTTCCTCCCTTACCAGCCCAGAACCTCTCACACCTTACCCTACATCTTGGCACAGCAGAGAAAGCCCTTGTTCTGTGATCCCAAAACTTCGGCTGCATCAGAATCAATACCTTCAGGAGCTTGTTAAAAATGTGGATTTCCCGTAAAACTCAGACACTGCAAACTTGTCCAGGAAGCCTCTCTGGAATCCCCCAACCCAGCTGGAGTAAGTACCTCTCCTGTGCTCTCCAGTGCCTCAGACTCCCCACCATTGTGACACCAACTCTGCCTGCTGAATCTGTCTCTGTAATCCTACCCTCAATATCTAGCATGGGCCCCATGAGGCATCAGATTTTGTTGAAAGAATAAATGAGGCTGGGCACGGTGGGTCATGCCTGTAATCCCAGCACTTTGGGAGGCCAAGGCAGGCGGATCACCTGAGGTCAGGAGTTTGAGACCAGCCTGGCCAACGTGGTGAAACCCCGTCTCTACTAAAAATACAAAAATTAACCAGGCATTGTGGTGGGTGCCTGTAATCCCAGCTACTAAGGAGGCTGAGGCAAGAGAATCGCCTGAACCCGGGAGGCAGAGGTTGCAGTGAGCCGAGATCACACCATTGCACTCCACCCTGGGTGACAAGAGTGAGACTCCGTCTCAAAAAAAAAAAAAGTGAATCCAAAGCAAGCAGAGCCCACAGTCCAGCCCCCCGGCCCCGTTTTACAGACGGGGAAAACGCAGGTCCAAGAGGAGCAAGAACTTGCTGAGCATCACACAGTGCTTCTAGGGCACATCCAGGTCTTCAAGGGCACTCCTGCTTCCCCAGCCAGCCCAACCAGCTGCTGTCCTACCTGTATCAATGTGGCAGTGCCCTGTGGCATGAATGGTGTGTTGGCTTTCACCCCCATGTTGGCCAAAGAACCTGGAGGCCAGGGCCTGGGCCACTGGGAAGGTCTCGGGCTGGGCAGGGTCACACACGTTCACCATCTGATTGGCTGTGTACAGGGCCTGGAAGCTGCGCTGGTTGTCCTTCCCGAGGCCCTGCAGCAGGGTTCTGCCCCTTAATCCCTTTTTCAAGCACAGCTTCCAGACCTAGGCTCCACTGATCTCAGGGCTCTCAGCAGAGCTCCCCTGACCCCCAACCCTTTTTCCCTGCTGGTCCCCCTGCTCAGCACCGTCTCCCTCCTCCCCTTCACATAGGAAAATTCTCTCAACCCTCAAGCAGGTGGAAACCCTCGTCCTACTCTGGATTCCCAGAGTCCCATTTATCTGACCCAAAGAACAACCTTCTTGGAGCAGGGCTCTAGAGGGTAGCAGGGGGTACAGGGGGTGTCAAGTACCTTGGCTATGCCCAGCAGCAGCTCCAGATCCACCAGGAGCATGTGGACATCCCGGTGGAACACAGCTAGCTCAGCCCGGCTCAGCTGGAACATCTTCTCAGGGTCAGGGGCTGCAATCATGCTTCCCTTCCCGGCCCCCAGGAGCCCATTGCAGGCTACTTCCACATAGAGAGTGAGGCTACAAAGATGGGGAGACAGCCTCAGGCTAAGGGACTGGCACAGTACTCCGGGGACTTGGGGAAGGGGCACCCAGGAGGCATCCAGCTGAGCCCAACCTGTCTGCTTCCAGGATCCACTACCCAGAGGATCCCACAGTGTGACAAGAGTGCATGTGGGAGGGTTGTGGTACAAACACCAGATGGATCCCATGTCTTGCTGTCAGAGAGAATAAGTAGCAAAGTTTGGAACCATGTAAAGTACGCTGCTGTTTAGTCTTATATTTCCAAAGTTGTCTTTGCAAAGCACTGCCTTGGTCTTGGAACCCTCTTTGCATATTAAAATCATGTTCGGATCTCCCAGGCTCAAACTTTTAGACCCAAGATCTAAAACCAACACGGCCAACATGGGCGGGCCATTCATTGGAGAACAGGCTGGGCTGTGGTGATGCCATACTTAGGCTTCAGAGAGCAAACACGACTTCCTTAGGGAGGCCTTCCTGACTCCACTTCGCTGCTAAGTCTAGAGCAAATTCCTCAGTGGAGTACCCAGGATTTCCTTCCAGAGCCCTCAGTTTTGTAATTATATGAGTGAATCTGTCTCCCTTTGTTGGCAAGGGCTATTTTATTCACCACCATACTCCCAGTGTCTGAAAGCATCTGAAACAGTGTCAATCTATATAAAATACATTCATAATGTCTAAGAAGTGTTTTTAATGGTGTCATAAAATGTCCATGTTATAACATGGAATGTAAGAAGTCAGGATACAATCTTAACTAGTAAAAACTATACCGGGATGAGCCGGGCACGGTGGCTCATTCCTGTAATCCCAGCACTTTGGGAGACTCAGGCAAGTGGATAGCCTGAGGTCAGCAGTTTGAGACCAGCCTGGCCAACAGAGTCAAACCCCGTCTCTACTAAAAATACAAAAAATTAGCTGGGCATGGTGGTGGGCACCTGTAATCTCAGCTAGTAGGGAGGCTGAGGCAGGAGAATTGCTTGAACCTGGGAGGCGGCGGTCGCAGTGAGCCGAGATCGTGCCATTGCACTCCAGCCTGGGTAACAAAAGCGAAACTCCGTCTCAAAAAAATCCAAAAAAACCCCCCCGAAAAAACAAAAAAAACTATGCCGGAAAGATACACCAAGAACATGAATACTGGGCCAGGTGCGGTGGCTCACGCCTGTAATTCCAGCATTTTGGGAAGCTGAGAGGGGCGGATAACCTGAGGTCAAGAATTTGAGAGTAGCCTGGCCAACACGGTGAAACCCTTTCTCTACCAAAAATAAAAAAAAAATAGCTGGACGTGGTGGCACACACCTGTAATCCCTGCTACTCGGGAAGCTGAGGCATGAGAATCGCTTGAACCTGGGAGGCAGAAGGTACAGTGAGCTGCGATCGTGCTACTGTACTCCAGCATCGGCGACAGAGGGAGACTTCGTCTCAAAAAAAAGAACATGAATGCTGAGATGTTAATAATGTTCATCTCTATTCTAGGGAGTGGAATAACGGTAGTTATTTACTTCTTTGTGCTTTCCTGTATTTACCACAGGCAAACATTGCTATTATTTTTGAGACAAGGTCTCACTCTGTTGCCCAGGCTGCAGTGCAGCGGTGTGATCATGGCTCACTGCAGCCTCATCCTCCTGGGCTCAGGTGATCCTCCCACTCAGCCTCCCAGGGTAGTGTGGGTCACTGCACCCAGCCCATTATTTTTATGGTTAGGAAAAAATCATGCTTTTAAAAGCAAACAATGAGATGTGAGGATGATTGTGCTAGAGCAGAGGCGGGCTTATGAGATCACTCTGGGCCTCAGCTCCTCCTTGCTCACTGGTACTCCCTCCCTGACAGCACTGGTCAACCAGGGCACAGGGACTCACCTTCGGGGGTCTCTTTCCCCCAGCCTGTCAGTCAGGACATAGCTGGTCTTCTCACCCTCTTTGGTTAAACCCTAGTAGGGAGGGGAGTGAGAGAGACAAGGCTTGAGGCTTTTGGACAGTTCAGGTAAAGTGTAAGCCATGGGGAGTCAGGCCCCTCCATCTGGTTCCCAGCTCTGGGTCCTCTCTCCCAAGCAGGGCCAAGATTGGCAAATCAGGGACCCTTGGCAGTAGATGCCCCAACTCCCATGGCAGCCAGCACCATGACCGTCAAATAGCCCCTGTTTACCAGTGGCAAACCCATGGTCTTATGGGAAGGGCCCTGGGAAGGGGTTAGGCAGCCTGAGTGTGGATTCTGGTGGCCTCTGCACCCCTAAATAAATACCGGGAAAGAAACTCCGTGAAGTCAGGGGCAGGTTTGCCTCATTCCCTGCTACACCCTAGTGCTTAAGGGTATGGCCCAGAATGGACACCAGGAGATATTTGCTGAGCCAGTGAAGGGAGGAAGGGATGGTCTCTGCCTTCTTGTAGCCAGGAAGAACAGTCTTAACCCCAGATTGAGAGTCAGTCCAATTTGAAATAGAAGCTGTGTGAACCTGAGTGAGTCAACTACACATCTGTTTCTTAATTTGTAAATGGGTATAAAGACCTACTAGATAGGAGTATAAGGACTAAACCTGATAAGGGTGGAGCATGAATAAGACACTTAACAGTGGTTATAGCTGGGGAATGGGATGGGTGATAAGGAGAGATCCATTACTTTATCTAGAACTGTTTGAAATGTTTTCCTATAAGTTTGTATTATACACAATAAAAACTAAGGACCAATTGCACAGATGCCCAAGTGGCAACTTCCCTAGTCCTGAAATCCTGATACCACCCTGTGGGCAGAGCAACTCAGCTGTGGCTTCTCCAGAGTCCACAGAAGAAGGGCTGTAGTCATTTCAGGGCTGAAATGTGGCCATACCTGGCCCTAGGACAGGGTTCCTCACCTGGACAGGTTCTCCATCACGCCACACCAGACCTTCTCCATCACTTTCCCAGCAAAGGTGAACTTCCTGGCCCACCCATGCCTCTGGGATGGTCAGCTCCACCCGGAACCAGCAGGTCCACCATCTGCAAGAGAGCTGTTGTGATAGGCCTAGAGGTAGAAGTCCTATCCTGATATCCTTCCTTGGATAAAGTGTCGGCAGGGGCTTGAAACTCTCCAAGCATCTGCAGTGTCACAAGGTACTCAGCTTTGAGTCACAAGAAAGGAGCAACAAGGTGAGAAGCAAGATGAGGGAAACAGGCAGAGGCGTCAAAGGTTCGTGATCCCTAGGGTGCCCTTCCTAAGGGATGTCCAGAGGCGGCCACGTGGGAATGAAAACCATCCCCTGAAGACCCAGGGACCAGAGAGCTGTTCCCAGCAGAGGGTGCTGCTCCCAGCAGAGGGTGCTGCTCGATCCCACGTAGTTGTCTACGGCAGAGGGCAGACAACGAAGGTGTGGCTGGGAGCTGGGTTGGGACTTCCCCTAGGCCTGTGGCCCCGCCCACCCGCTGGGCGTTACCTACGTGGGTCCGAAGCTGTCGCCGACCTGCGCGGGGCGGAAGTCCCGCTGGACTGCCTCCTGGTAGGGAAGTCTCTCCGGCGTCAGGAAGCTGGAGAGCACAGCCACAGGGCAGCTGGCCCCAAAAAGCCTGCGTGGGACGGGCCGGTGGGCACATGCTGGAGGCCGCCCCGTTTCCGCCTGGGGGCCAGCTGGCCGGTGGGGCCGCACTTTCCCTGGATCCTCCGCCAAGAGGGCTGCCTGGCCGCTCCGCGGCACAGTCCATTCCCTACCCCCTCCTCCCCGGCCCCTGCCCTGCCCGCGGCGGGCACTTTGTCCCGCGGCCCGGGTGGCTGCAGCTTAGGTTTCTCCCCGGAAGGAAAGCTTGAGGCGCACGGTTGCGGTCGGCCGGCTGCGGGGGACCAGGGGCCACACCTGCCGCGGAGGTTACAGTCGGTAAAGTAGAGCGGCGACACGAACTTCTCCACCCGCTCCAGCGTGGTGCGCCAGTGCTTCAAGGCCGGCGCAGCCGCCATCGCCGGGCTCTCGCTCCTCTTTCCGGAAGGCCCCTGGCGCTACCGTTCCGCTCCACGGCAGGAAACCAAAGGTTCCGGCGTCCAGAGGGCGCCTCCCAGTCCCGGGCAGCTTTTCTTGGAACACCGGCGGCTCTCGGAAGCCCAGCTGCTGTCTGAACTTTGAGCCGAGTTGGAAGCTAGAAACTGTTTTTGAGGCTCTCCTATGTTGTCCGAAATAGTGGGCCGCAGGGAAAATCTCAAAATAAAATGGGAAATTTGACGATTAGAACTCTCGAAAGTCTCAAGACAGAGACTTAGGCCATTCGGCAAGACAGGCGGGAGCCTCAGCTGCTGCAGACCCAGCCTCAGAAGCAGCAACCGGGAGACCTCTGGCTCTAGCTGTCGGTGAACACGGAAAGTGGTGTTTGCTTAACGTGGAGCCAGACTACCCGGAATAGGTGTTTTCATACCGGACGGAGATCAGGGTGTTAGTGAGCAGGGTGGTAGAGCTTTACGCCCAAGTTACTACGACTTACTCGATTACACGCTTTACTGAATGTATATTGCTAACTCTTGCACATCACCAGAAACTCTGGAGTTTGAGGTGGCAGAACAGTCATGGCATTGACGATCCCAATGGAAAAATGTATTTCACCATACAGGACTGTAGAGTCCCGGGAAGCCATAATACCAGAAACAGACCTCCAGTTTCATTCTCATCCCTAGTACTCCACTGACAGCTTTATTTTTTTTCTCCTGGGGTTGCCAAGAGTCTTTGTCTATAAAATCATTAGGAACAAAAAAAAATACACAAGATTAGCCCTGATATTTTAATGGAAATACTGACCAAGTTTACAACATTTCAAATGCAGATCACACGGAAAGGTGACTAAGTACAGAATAACAAATGTGATTTAAAACAAAGATAACCTGCTGCTGCATATAATACAGGTTGGGTTTAGAGCTTGGAGCTCAGATGTCAGACAGCAGGAGGAATAAAAATGCTACTTGTGAAAACCCAGGCTGTAGGTAAAACTTACTCTTTTGTTGGTTGCACTGGTGGGTTGGGACTTTCTCCTGAACTGGCCTTGAAATCCTATCCTGACCTGCAGGCAAGTGCTCTGGACAAAACACTGCAGGGGCAGCAACAGCTGGGGCTGACCCTGATCACACCCCACCAATTTCCCCTATGGTTCCAGGTCAACATGACCTTTCTTGAGGGAACACGGGGATAGGTGAATTATTTGAGAAAACCTCAAGATCTTTCCCCTAAATCAGTACACATGACCACCGCCAAGTCAGACACTGCCCCAGCTTTGCCCTAAAATCTCATCCCACAAAGCTCTTTTTGGCACCCTACACTTTGGCTCACAGTCTCTTCTCCCCAGTACAAAAAAAGCCTAAAATCAGGCCAGGGTGGCTCACACCTGTAATCTCAGCACTTTGCGAGGCCGAGGTGGGAGGACAGCTTGAGGCCAGGAGTTTGAGACCAACCTGGGCAGCATAGCAAGACCCTGTCTCTACAAAAAGTTAAAAAATTAGCTGGGCGTGGTGGCATGCAGCTACTCAGGAGGCCGAGGTGGGAGGACTGCTTGAGCCTGGGAGGTCAAGCCTGCAGTGAGCTATGATCGTGGCACTGCACTCCAGTGTGGGTCATAAAGCGAGACACTGTCTTTAAACAATAAAAGCCTAAAATCAGAGAGGTCTACCATGTGTTTTGAAAATCCAGGAGCCAAAAAATTTTGTTTTTCTTTTTGGTGGTGGTGGTGATTTTTAACTAAAAAGCAAACATAAAACACACAGAACATTGCTGGTTACAACTAAGACTTGCGTAATGGTTGCTGAAGAAAAATCCACCAGAGTACTGGGAGGGGCTCAGTTGGTCTTTGTTCAGAAAGTCCAGGTTAACCACATAGAAAAATCCTAATCATTCATGTTTAAATGTCTGCTAGTTTAAATTTATGTAATTAAAAAAATAGGTATCCCATTTCAAATTCTCTCCCTCCCAACTCCATTTATAAGGTATACCACATGCCTTATGCACACTTTTTTTTCAAACACTGGTTTGGTATTTAAGTTGCTCACCCCCATCCATCACCAATGTGAATAAGAAAAAATATATAGAAATACAAACTACATAGCTTGACAACTTACCCAAATATAAAATATTTTCAGATTATTTGAACAAGGGAAAAAAACACGTACTAAAAGACTTAAGTATTCTAAGATTTTGGAATATTTTGATTTGGGACAAGTAACAAGTATTTTAAGCAAAATCCTGTTTCTACCCTGGATAAGGAACTGAAGTCAAAATCCCTGCTTCACAGTATTTTCTGGTGAGGACAAGGGACGTGGGTTGAGAGTTTATTCCTTAAGTAAGAACCAAGCTTTATTTATTTACAAAAAAAAAAAAAAAAAAGTTGGGGGCAAAGGGGAAGACAAGTTTTACACAAAAGTACTACAATGGTAACTCCCTTTGGTAAAAAGTGTAATAAATGTCTTGTACATCTGTTCATAGGTACTAAATCTGAAGCCACAGTACTATGGTACACAAGAAGCTAGAGCAGTTATGCTAGCACATCAAAGCATATTTCTTTTAATAAAAAATTGACAGTATGTACATTATGTACAAAAAAACAAGTTAAAATTGTGTGTGTGTGTGCGTGTGTGTGTCAGAGAGTAAAGCTGGTGGATGGCACTAAGGTAGACTAGTAAAGAGGCAGATACAAAACAGTTCCACGGGAGCTAAAAAGGACAACTGATTTGAACTCGTTGAGGTTGAGAACCAGAGGAGAGAAAAGGGTAGGCAGCAAGGGAATCGTCAGGAATAAAATCCACAAGATGATCAATCCCAAAGCCAAACTGCAGGTCCCAGATAAAACCTAATGGGTGATCTTAGATGTGCTCGAGTGACCAGAAAAAAAAAATCAAATCCAGCTTTTTTTTCCTTTTGTGGGGAGGGGAGAGGAGCAGTGACCATGATAGTTCCAATCCATCTGAGTATTAAGTCCTTCTCCAGTCTGTTTTGTAAATGCATCTCCATCCAGTCAAAGTGTGAACAGCATCCGGTTCCCTCATTGAAAGTTAGGCCACAGGAGACTCCAGTCTTAGCTCTGCTGGTGTGTGCAAGCAAACTGCATGTCTTTGCTTGCATGGACTTCCTTCCCCTCCAGGGCAGGCTATACCCAAAACCCTTTGGGAAAAGTTCCAGCTTCAGCTTTGTAAGGTATTCATGTTCCTAACAGGTAGCCCACTTGGTGCCAGGCTGCACCAGCCACACACAGGTCAGGTGGCCATGTCCCAGAGAGGCCCAGTGAGGCTTGAAAGGCATCTTCCTTGTTTCTTCAGTGTGTGAGTGCATAGGCCCACACACACATCCCCACACACACCCCAAGTTATCTGCTCTGGCTTTGCAGTTAAGGGGCTTTGAATACTGTGCCGTATTTGACACGATACTTGTTAATGCTCACAAAATGCAGGGTCTCTGTATCACAGGTGGTGGTACAGGGCACCAGGCCCTCCAGCCCCTCACCCATGAGCCACTTGCTGGTCTCTGCTGCCATTTCACGGGGCACATGCTCCTTGGTCCATTTATCTACCCAGGCCTGGAATCTCTGATGTAGACGCTTGCTTACACGCTCATGGGACTGCAAAACAGAAAAAAAAAATTTTATTAAATGAAGCAGAACCAAAAAAGAGCCCTTCAAATACAAAGCCTAATTTTCTTCTAAAGGAGCAAAGGAAAGATGTGGGCTCAAGTCTTAGATACCACTGTTTTTTTCTTAAAAGAAAAAAAAAAGGATTCTCTGTTTAAAGAGAAGTTAAAGAGGTAAGAACATAGAACATGTGAGGGCATGAAAATCCATAAAGCCTCCAAAGAAATGCGAACACAGGCTCTGGGCTGAAAAAGCTCGCTGTTCTCAATTTTAGCATGCGTTAGTATAACCGAGGGAATGTGTTAAAAAATACACATTTCTGACCAGGTGCAGTGACTCATGCCTGTAATCCTAGTACTCTGGGAGGCTGAGGCAGGCAGTTCGCTTGAGCTCAGGAGTTTGAGACCAGCCTGGGCAACATGGCAAAACCCCATCTCTACAAAAATACAAATAATAACTGGGCGTGGTGGCACACACCTGTAGTCCCAGCTACTTGGTAGGCTGAAGTGGGAGGATCGCTTGAGCCAGGAGGTGGAGGCTGCAGTGAGCCAAGATCGCACCACCGCACCCCAGCCTAGATGACAGAGCCAAACCCTGTCTCCAAAAAAAAAAAAAAAAAAAACCCAAAACCCCCAAAACCCACATTTCCTTGGTTTACCAATGTGCATTTTAAACCAGCAATCCAGCTGATTCTAATGTATCCTGGGTAGGACCCAGTGAGCCATTGATCACTTCTATCAGCATGGAGATCCACCTCTAAGCCAGACAGTGCAAAGCAAAGGGCTTAAAACCACTCTCCCTCCACTGTGTTACCCCACCCTGGGAAGCAGAGTCCAGGCTTGGCAGATGTTCTGCAGGGGGTTCTGTTCCCACCAACACATTCAATAAAAATTTATTGGTGTCCACATGCAAGGATACTAGAAGAGATACAAAGACAAAACTGGTGTTGCCCAGTGTCCCAAATAATGTGAATCAGAGACAGGCAGACACACAACACATAGCAAAAAAAATGAGCCAGGTGTGGTGGTGCACGCCCGTAATCCCAGCTACTCGAGAGGCTGAGACAAGAGAATCTCTTGAACCCGGGAAGTGGAGGATGCAGTGAGCTGAAATCATGCCACTGCGCTTCCCTCAGTGCCATGAGAGAAGTAGAGCAGACTCTTGAACAACACAGCTTTGAACAGCGCAGGGCCACTGATAGGCAAGTTTTCTTCCACCTCTGCCAACCCTGAGACAGCAAAAACAACCCCTCCCTTCCTCCTCCCTCTTCAGCCTACTCAACAAGATGAGAATAAGGACCCTTTATGATGAGCCACAACCACTTAATGAAGAGTAAATGTATCTTCTCTTGCTTATGACTTAACATTTTCTTTTCTCTAACTTACTTTATTGTAAGAATATACAGTATAGGCTGGGCACAGTGGCTCACGCCTGTAATCCCAGCACTTTAGGAGGCTGAAATGGGTGGGTTGTTTGAACCCTTGAGTTTGAGACCAGCCCTGGGCAACGTAAGGAGACCCCGTGTCTATTTTCATTAAAAAAAAAAAAAAGAAAGAAAAAAAGAATGCAGTATATATAATACATACAACATACAAAATATGTTGTTTATCAGTAAGCCTTCCAGTCAGTAGTAGACTATCAGTAGTTCCATTTTGGGGGAGTCAAAAATTATACACAGATTTGACTGTGCAGGGGCCAGTGCCCCAAACCCCTTGTCGTTAAAGGGTTAATTATACATTAAACTGTCTGCTCAACATCTCCCATTTGAAAGTTTTGTAGTCCTTTCAAACTTAAAACAGCACTTCATCTGTCTCCCAAACCTCATAACCCTTTCCTATTAACAGGTGAGCCCCTAAAATCTCCACTTAAGCAAAACAAAACAAACCAAAAAACCCCAAAACTAATCAGGCACCATCCTTGATGTCCTTCTTTTGCTTACCCCCACATTTGATCCAACACCATCTCTTGTCAATTAAATATCTAAATAATATCTACATCTGGGCGTGGTGGCTCACGCCTGTAATCCCAGTACTTTGGGAGGCTGAGGAGGGTGGATCACTTGAGGTCAGGTTCGAGACCAGCCTGGCCAACATGGTGAAATCCCATCTCTACTAAAAATACAAAAAATCAGCCAGGCATGGTTTGAGACACAGCGAAACTCTGTCTCAAAAATAAATGCATAAAGTCTACAATGTAATTCTTGCAATTCCACTGCCACCCTAGTAGTACGGGTGGCCCCCACATCTCATTTGGACAAGGGCACCCTTTTGAGTGGTCTCTGCTCTTCCAACTTTATATATACCCATCTCCACTGTCCTCACAGAACTCCAAGCTATCTTTGTCAAATGTCCCAGTGCATCTCAAACAAATTACAAACCATGGCCTATCATTAGACAAAGTGATGTGGCCTCTGCCTACCCTTCTAACTTCATGCAACCTTGAGCCACAATGGTGTTTGTAATTTCTTGAATATGCCAAGTCCTTTCCTCCCAGCCTTGTACTAGCTCTTTTGTCTAGAAAACACCCATCCTCTACTCTTCACCAGGCTAATTCCTTGTCATTATTCAGGCCTCAAGCATCACCTCCTTTGAGAAGCCTCCTCCAGTGAAAGCAAGGCCTGTATGCTAGTTACCCTTGATCACTTCACCTGATTTGTTTCCCTGGTAGTGCATATCATCGCATTACTTCATCTGCTCTACTTCATGGCTGTAGTCCCAGGGCCTGGCATAACACCCTATACGCAGCTGCACCAGGAAGGTTTCACAATTGAGACAGAATGTAAAGACAGGTAGGATTCATACAAGCAAAAGATCAGATACTACTTGAGATGTAAATACTGGGAGTAAATTCACCAAAAAGGTGCCACCGGGTATTTACGTGCTCTTACAGGCTGAACTGTATTCTCCTTAAAATTCTTATGTTGGCCGGGCATGGTGGCTCACGCCTGTAATGCTAGCACTTTGAGAGGCTGTGTCAGGTGAGACTCTGTCTCAAACAAACAAACAAAAAATCATACATTGAAGTCCTAGCCCCCAGTACTTCCGAATGTGACCTCATCTGGAGGCAGACACACACACACAGGTAGGAACACCATATGAAGATGAAGGCAGGGATCTACAAGCCCAGGAATGCCAAAGATTGCCAGCAAAGAACCAGAAGCTAGGAGAGGCCTAGAAGAGATTGTCCCTCACAGTCCTCAAAAGGAACCAACACTGCTGACACTTGACTTTGGACTTCTAGTCTCCACAACTTTTGTCATTTAAGCCACAGTCTGTGGTACTTTGTCACAGCATCCTTAGCAACCAACATACGTACTTCCTCAGTTAAGTCTCAGCTCCAAGAACAGGTTTGCATAAACAAAGAAAAACAATCAGAAGACTCTGGGCCTCCCCTGGTCCTAGCTAGGGTGGGAGATGTGTACAGAAATTTCAGTTACTGGTTCTCACCTGATGAGCCCGGAGCAGGGCGGTCCTCCGATACATATAGTCCTCTGATTTGATCACATACACCATCTTGTAGGAATTCAGCTTGAATCTACACTCCAGCTTATCCAGACTATCCACATTCTCCATGGTCTTCTTGCTGTTTCCTTCCTTCCCTTCCTTTTCCTGCTGCTCTCGACCACGTTGACACTTCCGGATCCGCCGTAGATTCCTATTGCAGAAAAGCCCCGGAGGATGAGAGCTCGTCCAGATGCAGATTCCCGTGACTTCCCCAAAGTGAGTTTTCTTTATTATATGCTTGCATAGTACTCATCCCAATTTGTTAAATACATACACAAATGTTCAGTTGTTTCACTGCAAAAAAAATTTCAACTGCAAAGGTACACAGAATAAAAAGCAGAAATCTTCACCCATCCCCTACTTGACTTAGCAGATGTAGCCAGTTAAGAGTTTTAATGAGAAACTTCTAGGCCTCTGTCTGTAAATTTACACATGTAATTACCAGCTACAGTTCTGCTTTGGGATTTGTTTTTAAGACAAAATAGGATCATACTATATATTTTGTCCTCAACTTTTCACTTACTGTCATGAATATTTTTTCATTTCATGATAGATTTGTCTTATTCTCTTTAACTGCTGCAGAAAAATGTACCCCAATTTACCATTCCTTAACAGTTTCTTTCAACTGAGGTTCCTCATCTGAACCACATAACAAAAATTTATTTGAATGACTATTTTTAAAAATTCCCCCAGATGATATAAACTAGTGCCATTCTACATACACAAGAAAGAAGATAATTCACATGAATGGATGCCCTGAGGGGTGGTAGGCTTGCTAAATCTCAACATCCAGTGAAAAAAGTTATCAGCTAGACAATTATATTGTTTCTCATAACTTGCTATTAAAAACACTGCTTCAGGTTGGCCACTGTGGCTCATGCCTATAATCCCAGCACTTTGGGAGGCAGGTGGATTGCTTGAGCTCAGGAGTTTGAGACTAGCCTGGGCAACATGGCAAAAACCCCTTCTCTACAAAAAAAAAAAAAAAATTAGGCAGGTGTGGTGACGTGTGCCTAGAGTCTCAGCTACTTGGGAGGCTGAGGTGGGAAGATCGTTTGAGCCCAGAAGGCGGAGGTTGCAGAAAGCCAAGATCCCACCACTGTACTATAGCCTGGGACACAGAGCCAGACACTGTCTTAAAAAAAAAAAAAAAAAAAAAAAACCAACCAGCCCAAAATATTGCTTCAGTGAGAATCTTTGTATACAAGTATTTCTGTAGACAGCAGTTCTTTGTCCAAAGGGTCCCAGGACCCTTTCAGGAGATCTGTGAGATCAAAACTATTCTCATAATAATACTAAAACATTATTTCCCTTTTTTGCTGTGTTGACATCTGCACTGGCACCATTAAAGTAATGGTGAACAAAAATGCTGGTGGTGGCGCCAAACTGTATTTGCAATATCGAACAAATTGTTACCAAATTCCAATATCAATTTGTACATCACTGAGCTTTTCATACAGTTGTCAAACTCTGTTGGTTTATCTTGTACCATCAATGAATCCATTTTACTTCCATGATTTTGCACCTTCATGCGACTGCAATTCAAGTCTTTGAACTTCACACTGACCATACAATGACATTAAGTGAAAAAAGCCAGTTTCACTTAAGAATGTTTCTGATGGGCCAGTCACAGTGGCTCATGCTTGTAATCCCAGCACTCTGGGAGGCTGAGGCAGGCAGATCACTTGAGGTCAGGAGTTTGAGACTAGCCTGGCCAACATGGGGAGACCTCATCTCTAATAAAAGTACAAAAATTAGCCGGGAGTGGTGGCGCGCACCTGTAATCCCAGCTATTCGGGAGGGTGAGACAGGAGAATCACTTGAACCTGGCTGGTGGAGGCTGCAGTAAGCCAAGATCGCGCCACTGCACTCCAGCTTGGGCAACAGAGTGAGACTCTGCCTCAAAAAAAAAAAAAGAAAAAAAAAGTTTCTGATGAAGCAGTAACATTTTCTATTAAATCCCAACCCCTCAATTTACATCTTTTTAACATGCTGTGTGATAAAATGGGAACTACACATAAAGCACCTTTGTGTGCTAAAGTACAATGGTATTCTTATAGAAAAGCACTTGAGCAATTGCTTGAGTTGTAAGTGGATCATCATTTTTACCCGAAAGAACAACTGACTAAATATAGTCAATCTCAGCCAAGTATTTGGCAGATGTTTTCTCAAAAATGAACAAGGGAGCCTATCACTTCAAGGAAAACAATGTTGCCAATGGTAAGACTGGAATTTTCAAGCAAAACTATGAATTTTGGTGAACTGGTATCAGCCACCCTGAGCTTGACAGCTTCCCAATACTTAAAGATGTGTTTGATGACCTAGCGATAGCGATATTAAATCAATGTGATTTCTTTTGGAGACACTGTAAAATATATCAACATTTAGTAGGTGTGTATAACTTATTTTCCAAATAGCCAATTGCGTAAAGTTACAAAATCATAGAGGAAAAAAAGATTCATTCATGATACAAAATAAATCAATGGATTTTTACAACTGCATGAAAAGCCCACTGATGTATAAATTGATATTCCAACTAACCTTTAAGAAACTATCACTGGGGCCGGGTGCAGTGGCTCACACCCGTAATCACAGCACTTTGGGAGGCCGAGGTGGGAGGATCACCTGAGGTCAGGAGTTCAAGACCAGCCAGACCAACATGGAGAAATCCCATCTCTACTAAAAATACAGAATCAGCCGGGCGTGGTGGCACATGCCTGTAATCCCAGCTACTCGGGAGGCTGAGGCAGGAGAATCACTTAAACCTGGGAGGCAGGGGTTGCAGTGAGCTGAGATCACACCATTGCACTCCAGCCTGGGCAACAAGAGCGAAATTCCGTCTCAAAAAAGAAAAACAAAAACAAAAACTATCACTGGTAGTTTTGTTGTCATATCAAAGAATATCCAGTTATCTGAAGGATCTGAAAATATTCCTTTTTCCAGCTACACATTTGCGTGAGGCCAGATTTTCTTCACATATTTCAATCAAACAACATACATAATGCAACAGATTGAATATAGAAGCAGACATGAGAATCCAGCTGTTCTTCTGGTAAGCCAGACACTAAACAAATTTATAAAATATAAGCAATGCCACTCTATTCACTAATTTTTGTTTTGAATTAGCTTTTCATTAAAAAATATTATTTAAGAAAATATAATAGGGATATATATATATATATATATATTTTATTTTTGAGGCAGAGTCTCACTCGGTCACCCAGGCTGGAGTGCCGTGGTGCGATCTCCACTCACTGCAACCTCCGCCTTCCGGTTCAAGCAATTCTCCTGCCTCAGCCTCCCGAGTAGCTTGGACTACAGGCGCCTGCCACCATGCCCAGCTAATTTTCTGTATTTTTAGTAGAGACAGGGTTTCACTGTGTTAGCCAGGATGGTCTCGATCTCCTGATCTCGTGATCCACAGCCTCGGCCTCCCAAAGTGCTGGAGTTACAGGCGTGAGCCACTGCGCCCAGCCCAATATTGTTATTTTTCAAATGAATTAAAGATTGAAAACATTTCTTTGTTTTTATTTCTAACTTGGTAAATATTACTAGTATAATCCATATAAACAAAAGCTTTTTGGAGTACTCATGCTCTAAGAGTGTAAGGGGTCTCAAGGCCAATAAGATGAGCCCCTTAGCTGTCAGACAAATCATTAGAAACTGAAATTCTGGAGGGAAGATTCCATACACTTCAACTACCCTGCCACCAGAACGATTATATCAATTTCCTTTTCCTCACAGTACATAAATGTGCCTCCTTCCTCATATCATGGTGAGAGACACATGATGACAGGTTTATTGTAGTATGTTATTAGCATGGAGCCTGTTTTGTTGAGAGGAACCTGACACAGAGCAACTGCTCAAATGTGTTAAATGATTCAATGAATGGAGAACCCGGCAGGGCCCTTTTTGCTGGTATCTCTTTTCCCATGTTCTCATTAGGACTCAATAAGTCTAATAACACTGGGATGATACTTTCTTGGAAACCTAAGACATAAGATTTCAATTCAAAACTTTTAGGAAGGAAGAAAGCCATTCTACCCATTTTATACTTCTTAAACTGTTTTCATATACTTGGAGGATCAGTATCACAATCTGCCTATACACAGAGGGAACATTTTTAAAATTCTGTGCAGAAAAGAGTTAATGTAGCAGGCCTAAGATTGCTATTCTTTGAAAAGCCTGCTTATAAAAGTTGGCCCTTGGCTGGGGGCTGGGATCTTGGATTTTGGGCAATGTTCTACCATTCCTTAACTCATATAAGTGTCTCACTGTACCTAAACTATTTGTACAAACTCTATAGCTTATGCTGAAAATGTGCTTTCTTTCTGAGAGTTTGGGATTTTGGTACATGCTAGGCATACAGTGCCTAGATGACTACATCTCAATAAAAATCCTGGCACAGAGTCTCTAATGAGCTGCCCTGGTAGACAGCATTTTGCATGTGTTGTCACATTCATTGTTGGAAGAATTAAGAGTGTCCTGTGTGACTCCACTGGGAGAGGATTCTAGGAAGCTTGAGCCTGGCTTCCTCCAGCTTTGCCACAGGCACCTTTTCGCTTTGCTGATTCTGCTTTGCATCTTCTCGCTGTACTAAATCAGTCTGACTATATGCAGAGTCCTGTGAGTCCTCTTCCATCGAACCATGGAGACTCTGACACACATTCCCATCCAAAGTACGGAGGTTATTGTTGATTCTCTACAACTCTCACCTCCCAGATGCTTTGACACATGCTCCAGGTAAGCTCATGTTGTGACAGCCATATAAAACCTTGAATTAGCATCCCCAGCAGATAGAACAAATGAATAAAATATGTGAAGGCCAAGAACGTGAAAGTCATTTAACTCTCCATTCCTCAATCATGCACAGTATGGACTGCTGACAGATGACATGGCTCACTCACCTGGGGAGAAATACTGGTTTCTGTGCTAGATGTTCACGAAGCTCAGGCGAGGTAGTATCTGAATTCATGTATCGCTCCACGTAGTCTGACCAGCGCTAAGATGGCAAACACAAAATACAGGTGGAAGGAAATCACAAAAACAGCTCCTAATGCATTGGGCACTCTAGTAAATTCTATGATTACAATGCCCCGAATTCATAAATTTCAAGATCAAAAAAGTCCCTTTCTATAAAGACATGATTGTTAGTAGGTATTGGAACACGGATTAAAAATTCTGTTAGCCAGCAATACTGCTAAGTTTCTGAGGTGCTAAGGTTATGAGAAGTCATAAACAGGTAGAAGCTGGCTCACTGACAAGTTTCATTTCCCCACAGAGCATTTTGTTAAAGAACAAAATTTATAGTGGCAAATGTGTGAAAGTTTCCTTCACATTACAATCTAGATTTCTGACATCGCTTAAAAAAAAAAAAAAAAAAAAAGATCTGCCAACAAGCCAACATTCCCACCAAAACAAGTCATCCCACACGACCCCCCCCAACATCATACATATGGCCTGCATCTCCTGTGTACATTATCTGCCATAACCAACTATGATAATCACACCTGTCTATTCAGGGGTTGAAAACTCTGGACTTTATCAGTCCAATAAAAAGTAAACATGACACAAAGAATCAAGATGACATGAGAAAGACCTCATTTGTTGTTTTTTATACTTTAGGAAAAAACAGGAAAGCTGCCAACCATAAGACTTCCTTAGAGGAGATAGCTTTACTAAGTGCAAGATGAGGTTAACATCTATAACCAGGCAGCCCGTCTCTTCAGCTGAAGACATGGCTGGATTGACTTGTACTTTAAGCATCCAGGTCCTGACCCTTAAACAGGCCTGAGGTGCCTTGGCCTTTTGGCAGACAGGGTCACTGGACAGACTCTCAAGGCACGCCAGCTCTGCTTGGCACCTGGGGTCTGTGATGTACTTGCTCATACCTCTGCTTCCACAGGGTCATCCGAATTCTCCTCTTCTGTGTCCAGAAGCTCAATAGTCAGCTGGACCTGGCCTTGGCTCTGAATAAACATAAGCTGCAAATAAGAAACCTAAGCGTAAACAAAAGACCGTCTCTGTAGCTGTAATCTATCTTCTCAAGGAATGAGAGGTGCAGAGGCAATAAACTTAGTAAACTTTGCTCCAACTGAAGAGATGAGGAAGATACTAGATCTTGGGTGGCCAGTGATAAAGGCAAAAGTCTACACTTACTACAAGTAAAATGAAATATATTAAAGCAAAAGGTACTATTTCATGTTTCAAACTTCTAGAATTCGCTAAAATAATAATCAATGTCAGTAAGAATGTTTTACAAAACAAATATTTTGTCAGAAAGAAATATGGCACATGTAGCCAGAACCACAAAATGTCAATGCTCTGTCCATTGGTAATCCCACTTCTAGGACGTAATAGAGGAGGTAACTATCAGAATCACATGGAGAAGGTCAGAGCCTGGAAGGAAACCTGAGAATTTTTTATTTCAACCTTCTTCATTTTACACAGAGACAAAACTGAAATTCAGAAGAGTTCTGGTTTCTCAAGGCACACCACTAATCAATATACATGCAGAGCCAGAAGCTAGATCTAGCTCAGTGTTCTTTTAAAGCTTTAAAAATTGCTCTCTGCTAGTAAAGCTTACAACCTGACAATAACATAATATATACACACACAAATACAGTTATTTCCAAAATAGATTTCGGGGTGGGGGCAGACCCTGCATTTTCACAATTTATAATTTAAGAATTGCAAAATCTGTCTCCAGTATTCATAACAGGATGTCATTAACCAGTCCCCATAGTGGGTTGGACGTCTAGGATGTTTCCAACTATTTGCTTTTATAATTATCCATTATAATGGTGAAAAATTGGAAACAACCTAAATGTCCACCAATACAGGCATTAATTCTCTAAAAAGTGAATATCAAATAGCCATAAAAAAGACAATAAAGACCCAGAAGTGTTGTTAATTGAGCAAAAATACATTAAAGACCATTTCCGGTCAGATGCAGTGGCTCACACCTGTAATCCCAGCACTTTGGGAGGCTAAGGCGGGCAGATCACTTGAGGCCAGGAGTTTGAGACAAGCCTGCCCAACATGGTGAAACCACATCTCTACTAAAAATACAAAAATTAGACCGGGTGCAGTGGCTCATGCCTGTAATCCCAGCACTTTGGGAGGCCAAGGAGGGCAGATCACCTGAGCTCAGGAGTTCAAGACCAGCCTGACCAACATGGTGAAACCCTGTCTCTACTAAACACACACACCCACACAAGCTGGCCATGGTGGCACGTGTCTGTAATCCCAGCTACTCAGGAGGCCGAGGCAGGAGAACTGCTTGAACCCAGGAGGCGGAGGTTGCAGTGAGCTGAAATAGCACCACTGCACTCCAAGCCTGGACAACCTGGACAACCTGGACAACAAGAGTGAGCCTCCATCTCGGGAAAAAAAAAAAAATTAGCTGGACATAGTGGTACATGACTGTAATCCCAGCTACTAGGGTGGCTGACGTGTGAGAATCACTTGAACTCAGGAGGCAGAGGTTGCAGTGAACCAAGATTGCGCCACTGCACTCCAGCCTGGGCAACAGTGTGTGTCCCTGTCTTAAAAAAAAAAAAAAAAAAGTTAAAGACCATTTTGTCCAGTATAAACTCTTTCAAAATATATACTCAAGCATAGAGAAGTTTAGAATCATAGAGATGTCATCAATGATAATTTCAGGAAAGAATTCTAAGGTGACTTTTTTTGGTTATCTGCATTTTATTTTCATTTTTTTGGGACAGAGTCTTGCTCTGTCACCCAGGCTGGGGTGCAGTGACGCGATCAGGCCTCACTGCAGCCTCGACCTCCCAGGCTCAAGCAATCCTTTTTTTTTTTTTTTGAGACGGAGTCTCGCTCTGTCTCCCAGGCTGGAGTGCAGTGGCGCGATCTCAGCTTACTGCAAGCTCCGCCTCCCGGGTTCACGCCATTCTCCTGACTCAGCCTCCAGAGTAGCTGGGACTACAGACGCCCACCACTACGCCCGGCTAATTTTTTGTATTTTTAGTAGAGACGGGGGCAATCCTTCTACCTCATTCTCCTGAGTAGCTGAGACTACAGGTGCACGCTACCATGCCGGGCTAATTTTTGTATTCTTGTATTTCTTGCAGAGATGGGGTTTTGCCATGTTGCCCAAGCTGGTCTCAAGTGATCCGCCCACCTCGGCCTCCCAGTGTGCTGAGATTACAAGTGTGAGCCATGTGTGCTGGGCCTATGTTTTCTTTTCTATAATGATCATGACCATGGATTTCATGTACCAACATTTTTCTAACAATAATATTTACAAAGCATACTATGAAAAATGTTCAGAGAAAAAGAATACAAAATTGTAAAAATCATATATAACTAGTTTTTTTTTTTTCTTTAAAGGCAGGAAAGAAACAAAGTAGATTGTCCAGGAAGACAATTACTTCCACTTTGTAGTTCTCTGGTGAACTCATTAAAAGGTCCAGGAGTAGAATCACAGGTCAAAGTACCCCGGCTTTAACTTCTGGTTCAGAGAATCCTAACAACTGACATTGTCACCAGCAAGGTCTTCGACTACCTGACCAACTCTCACCTTAAAGCAATTCTCATCTGACATTAGCTGCTCAGCTTTCCGCTGATACGTTGACTCCAGGAGGCTCCTTGAGTTCTGTGTGTTCAGCTGGCCTCCGGTGGCCCCATTATTATTTTCTGCCAGGTAAAGGTCAGTCACCTGCACACAGATCTCATCACTCACGATATGCTGCAGCTGGAAGCAAACAAAGGCAAGCTTTTAGTGAACACAGAAAACATTTCTCCATTATACAGTCAACGTTCCTTTGATGTAGTCATTCAACTCCAAAAAGGTTTTTCTTTTTTTGGGGGGGTGGGGGGGTGCTGGCAATTTTAGAAAATTAATCACACAAACCACTGTATCATTTTCTTGGAGAATAATCAAGCCAGGATTTTCAACCATATCAGTGGTCCATGGTAAAACTTTCCTATCTATTTAAAATAAGAACCATAGAGAACTCAGGATAATCGTACTATTTAAAATTCTAAGCATCTTTAAATAATTTTCTATAGGTCATATCTTTATTGCATTTTAAAATCATTTACAATTGGCTCTCATACATATTCTTTCTCATTTGATCTTCACAACTGCCCTGGGAAGGCAAGCTAGACAGAGAGTTGGGGCCAGTTAGGAGACAAATTTACACAATGCATCAGAAAGGTGGCTCACGCCTGTAATCCCAGCACTTTGGGAGGCCGAGGTGGGCCAATCACCTGAGGTCAGGTGTTCAAAACCAGCCTGGCTAACATGGCGAAACCCCATCTCTACTAAAAATACACAAATAGCCGGGCGTGGTGGCAGGAGCCTGTAATCCCAGCTACTTGGGAGGCTGGGGCAGGAGAATCGCTTGAACCTGGGAGATGGAGGTTGCAGTGAGCCGAGACTGCACCACTGCAAAGCTCACCGTGAGCTGGGGTGAGGAAGGGAGCCTTGGAGAATCATGAATGCAGTATCTATGTCTATATTCCCAGGCCAACTACAAAGCCTGAAACTCATTAAGTATTTAAGAAATAGCTGCTGAATTATTGCCCAGGGGTGCTCAGCTGAAGAAGGAGGGTTGGGACTAAAAGTCAAGGTTCCTGACTCCTAGCCCAATACTTTTCCAAACACATCACCTATTTTTCTGTATCTGATAGAAAGTATAGGGCTTAAGTTGTACATAAAGTTAACTCACTTTCCATACAGGCCAATCATGATTGACTATCAGTAGCTTTTGTGACAATCTTAGGAAACTAATGACTAGAAAGTTGAACGTTTCAGAGTTCCCATTCTCATGTCATGCTATTTCTATTTTGAAATAAAAATCCTTCCAAATGAAACTTTATCATCAAAATGACAGAAGTGAAAAATAGATACAAGAAGAAAGCAAAACGTTAATTTCAATATTGATTTGTCTGTTTAAAAAACTTTAAGATGATCATAACCACCAAGCCATTCTATTTTTAGGAAGACACATTCTTTTTAAGTGTTAGGAACCATGATAACTATTTATTCTTAAGTCCTAAATGACCAGTATGTGTATTAGTAGATAACTGGACACAGTGAAAGGTCAGAACGGTGACTGAGTGTGGCAGAAAGGGCAGTATCTCCAGCAACTACAGATGGATAAATAAATCACAATGAGTCCAGATAAAGGATTCTGATACAACCATTAAAATAATGCTTATGAGTACCTGATATCATGAGGAAGATTAAGATACAGTGTTTTAGGAGAAAAAAGAAAAGGTGGAAAAAAACAGATGGAAAGCATGACTTCAATCATACATACAGATGCTTCCACTTTCTACTTTCTTTTTGAGACAGAGTCTCGCTCTGTCGCCCAGGCTGGAGTGCAGTGGCATCGTGATCTTGGCTCAGTGCAGCCTCAACTTCCTGGGCTCAAGCAACCCTCCCATACCTCAGCCTCTTAAGTAGCTGGGTCTACAGGCATGTGCCACCACGCCCAGCTAACTTTTTTGTATTTTCAGAAGAGACGGGGTTTTGCCATGTTGCCCAGTCTGATCTCAAACTTCTGAGCTCAAGTGATCCACCCGCCTTGGCCTCCCAAACTGCTGGGATTACAGGCGTGAGCCACCGCCTCTACTTTATACTTTCTTGTTGAAGTAGACTGTATTACTGATTCCCCACCCATACTCTCTTTTTGGATATCTGGCCCCTCCTCGAGTCTTCAGAAAAGACAGCACTACAAATCCAGAGACAGCTACGGAACTCCCACCCCCACTGCTAAGCAGATCAGATTCTCTATCTTGCTAATTGGAGATGACAGAGAGGGTGTTCAATAGATTTTTTGAGGAGGAGCATCTGTATGGAAAGGTCTAGTAACACTGGGACCAGGGGTACTGGGAGGGCAAGCCAAAGCCTCAGAGGCTGGAGGAGCCTGGAGCACATGCCGTATGTTCATCTGCAGAGCAAAGCACAAGCATGGAGCAGAAGTCCAGAGTGAAGGCATGCAGGAGAGAAAAATCACCTCCCAGCCCAATCCTTCCATGGTGTGGTCCTATTTTGAGTTCTGTACTTGGATGTCTGTGAGGTTGCCTATTGTATTCTTAATACAAATCCCTCTTAAGCCAGCCTACAATAGGTAAGATAAATGTAATGGCTTCACTTGGCTGGAATGCAGTGGTGCAATCACGGCTCACTGCAGCCTCAACTTCCTGGGTTCAGATGATCCTCCCACCTTAGCCTCCTGAGTAGCTGGGACTACAGGCATGTGCCACCATGCCCAGCTAATTTTTTGTATTTTTAATACAAATAGTGTTTCCCCATGTTGCCCAGGCTGGTCTCCAACTCCTGGACTCAATATATCTGCCCGCCTTGGACTCCCAAAGTGCTGGTATTAGAGGCATGAGCCACCATGACCAGCCTTGACTTTGAAATATATGTTGTACATTCAGTCAGCAGTGGAATCTGAGGGAACACCAAATATGAGGAGAATGAGAGAAGAGATACCTCCAGTTAAAGGAGTTGAGAAGCTTGAAAATGTTTTAAAAAGTCACTGTAGGCTGGGCACAGTGGCTCATGCCCGTAATCGCAGCGCTTTGGGAGGCTGAAGTAGGTGAATTGCTTGAGCCCATAAGTTTGAGGCCAGCCTGGACAACATGGCAAAACTCCATCTCTACAAAAAATACAATAAATTAGCCGGTGTGGTGGCCCCTTTGGTCCCAGCTACTTGGGAGGCTGAGGTAGGAGGTCAAGGCTACAGTGAGCTGATCACACCACTGCACTCCAGCCTGGGCAATAGAGTGAGACCCTGGGTTGGAAAAAAAAAAAAAAAAAAAGTCACTGTTTTGGGGTTTTCTGGATGAAACCTGTTTCCATTAAAAAAAAAAAAAAAAAGCGGGGGGTGGGTGGAGATAGTATTTATTACTGATTCAAAATCATAACCAGATACAGTAAATAATTGTAACTATTGTTTCGAAAACCAACCTCAGAATTATTAAAAGTTAGTTTTATTGGATTTTTTTTTTAAGCTGTGCTGGTGGTATGAAAGACTTCGTTCCTAGCTGAAGCAGCAGCAAGCCTGTAATCAGCAACATAAGCACAGGGTAACTGGAGTCTGTATTTTATATAAATTTCAGGGAAGTTAAGGAAGATTAGTCTGAAAAAGTATGACTATGGGTGACTATGTATCCATCTAATGATTTCTGCCAGTTACCATCCAGACCTCTTATGGGAAGGCCTAACAACTTCTTCAACTTATTGGAAACAACTATCTGACAACTTTCCCCCAGATGTTAAGGTTCATTTATATGAAGGGCTCTTCCTCAATCCTGTGTAGATACTGTGGGAGGAGTACAGAGGCATGCACCCTTCCAAAACCAAGGCAAAAGCATGGGTACTTTGCAAAGAATTCAATATTTTAGCCCAAGAGAACATTAAGCAACAAGCTCTTTCCTTCTACAGTGGCAGTGTGGATTCTAGAATTAGAAATTGCTTTTTACAAGTTTTCACTTAAGTACTTCACCGCCTTTCTGCTGAGCTATTCTATGGAAGAGGGCTGTAGGTAGCCACGGTACCCAGGTGGAACAGCATGATCCTAAAGCCCTACTTCCACAAGGAATCGCAGTGGCCCATGGCCACGTGGTTCAACCAGCCAGCCCAGAAGATCTGCAGATGCAAGCAAAAGTATACCACATTGACCTGCACCCTGCATCTGGACCCATCTGACCCATGGTAAGCTGCCCCACAGTGAGGTACCACACCAAAGTACAAGCTGGCAGGGGCTTCAGCTTAGAAGAGTTAAGGGTGACCAGCATCCACAAGAGGGTGGCATTAGTACACCATGTCCCTGTGGGCCAATGTTCAGCACCTGAAGGAGTTAAGACTCCAAGCTCAACCTCTTCTCCAGGAAGCTCTTAGCCCCCAAGAAGGGAGACAGTTCTGAAAAACTCAAATCAGCCACCCAGCTGACAGGACCAATAATGCCCATATAGTACGTCTATAAGAAGGAGAAAGCTGGAATCATCACTAAGAACTTTAAGGTATTTGCCAGTCTTCACACAGCCCACATCAATTTTCAGCTCTTTGGCATATGGGCAAAAAGGGCCAAGGGAGCCACAGAACAGGATGCTGAAAAGGAAAAATGAAGCCCTGCTGGGGACTTGCAGTCAATCAGCAGTAGAGCTGGGTCTCCAGAAAAAGAAAAAAGCAGTTAACCAACAATCTCTCTGGGAGTTCAGAACTCAAGTCCAAGAAGTAGAAATGTGACTATCTGTTACAAGCTATTTTTTATATCATTGTTGTAAAGAACAACATGTTTACAAGTTCCCAGGGTGCCACAGGAAGAACACACAAAACCAACCAGAAACCTAACTTAGAGGGAACCGCAGATGAGTGAGGTGGGCAGAGTATTATAAAAGATGTTATGTGAACCCTTTCTTATAAAAAGAATTTCAAATATTAAACAATGCAAGTACATAAGAGTTACCAACACCTTGACCAGGCGCAGTGGCTCGTGTCTATAATCCCAGCGCTTTAAGAGGCCAAGACAGGAGGATCACTTGAGACCAGAAGTTCAAGACCAGCCTGGGCAAAACAGTGACACCCTGTCTCTATTTAAGGAAAAAAAAAAAAAACTTACCAACACCTATGGAAGACGCAATGTTCCACACTGTGTGCTTACCCATGGCAGACAAGGTAAGAGATAGACAAGTTGTGCAGGAAGCTGGGGTCAGGACCACTGCACTCTACAGGTGGCCAGCAAGAAAGGATATGGGGTAGGCAGGCTCATACACTGCAACTTTGTTAACATGAGAAATCAGGCATCACATTAACCTCCCCTCCTCTCTTCAGAACCCTACGTTCATAAACACTGTTATATGAAAAAGTTGCCTTTCCTTTTCCTTGCGTGGCCCATCTCTAGGTAAGGATTTCTTCCCTTACTCACCCTAGCCTCCTCCATGCCCTCACCTGTCTGACAATGCTCTGGATCAGTTTGTCCATGGTAAAGGCAATGTAGGCATGAATGGTGAACATCTCTCTCAGTGAATCTTCATACTGTGATGAGTCTATGTTGCCATCCAGCAGGCTCCGCACCATGTCCAGGAAAGCTGGGTAATAATCTTCTACATCAACATCCACTGTGGGAGAGATGGGATTGGTGAGGCCTTACCTTGCTAAGAAAAGACTAGGGATAGAGTACAGGGCAAATCCCACAGCTGGCCTAAATGGCATTTGAAAGTATGAACACTAGGTATTCAAAATATACTCACTCATTCCAATGTAAACAGAGATGAATTCCGACAGGTGACTACAATCACCAGCACTATCAGAGTGACTCTGCAACTTTAACAGTGGCTTCTAATATTCTGACTACCATGCTAGAAAGATACTTCTTTATGGTACTGCTGGGCCACTTTCAGAGAGGAAAATATCCTAGGGAAGCCAGTCCTTCAAAGAGCTGTTGGCTCCCCTGCTGAGAGAGGAACCTACTCTCCCAGCCTGCACAAGAGCATTCCTCACATGGGTCACTTGCTCATAAAGCTATTTCAATGAAGCATAAAGTACAGATGAGGAAAGGCAGACACAGCCATACTCCAGCACTGGGAAACCTCTTGGGAACACAAAAATAGGAGTGCAAATTAAATCCTTTATGAATAATGAAGTAATCTGCATTTGTCAAAGTCCTTTTGTTTAAAAATGGATTCGCTACGTTGTATTTCACAAATTGCATTAAATCATCTGTAGTTGCTGCACATGAATCATTTCAATCACTAGCTAGAATAAATCTCATCAGTTGTTAAAGACATTTGGCAACTAGCAGAGGGCACAAGGAGTATTAAAGAGTGCTGCCTTTAGCTTACTAAAGACCCATTTATATAAAGTTCAAAAATAGACAAATCTAATCTCTAGTGTTAGAAATCAACAAAGTGGAAAAAGGACTGGTTATCAGAGTACTGGTTATGTTTCGTTTCTTGAACATAGGTACGTCTAGTCTGTAAAAATTCACTGAGCTGCACAATTCTGATTTGTATACTTTTCTATATATACATGCCGTACCTTATATGTATTTTTTTGTAGAGATGGGGTCTCACTTATTAACCAGGCTGGTCTCAAACTCCTGGCCTCAAGTGATCCTCCCACATCGGCCTCCCAAAGTGCTGGGATTACAGGTGTAAGCCACTGCACCCGGCCTATACATTGCACTTCAACAAAAAGTTGACTAAAATGAAAAAAGTTACAAAACGAACTATTTGTCACTGACTAATTGGTTACTTGCTAGTTGTGTTTGTGCTGGAGAAAAAAGGCTAGGAGCAAAACCAAGTTGTCTCCATTTATCTGAAGTCTGACGAATTCATTAAAAAACAGGCAAAACAGGACAAATACTGTTTAAAAGAGGCAACTGGCTTGAGTTTCATCACAGACTATCACATTCTTTAGCTCCATAGAATAGGTATAGGCTATAGACTCCAAAATATACCACTGCTATGAAAACTGCTTTTATGCCAGAATAAAGTTTTGAGTCCAAACCACAGATTTGTCCAAACAAGCTGTGGTAAGTGTGAGGGTTGGCATTATCAGACAAGACAACATTATGTAAGCCTCAAACCAGGTTAAGTCAGTGGCCAAGCCAGGAATAGGCCATTTAATTTCTAATTTCTACCCAAGTAGATGGAATCACCACAATGAGATCTAAAATTTATCTCTTTCGAGCTAGGACTAGTCTAGATAAAAGCTTTCAGAATTATTTTTCAGTGTCATTAGCTCCTCAACAGATAGAAAGCTAGGGCCATATCTGGGCTTCCTACATCAGCAACACATAAAAAAAAAAAAAAAGAAGAAGAAGATACACTCCTCAGGTTGGCTATTTCCTTAAGAGCCCAGAAGAAATGCTTCATGAAAAAGCTTTTGGCTCACAGCTCAAGTACCTAATTTATGACGTGAACTGGAAGCAGGCAGCACAAAATTACATAAAGCACATGACAGCGTCCTGAACCCTCACTTACTTTCCTTTTCCTGAGTTCTACATCTTTATCCCTGTCCTGCCTGTTCTCCATGTCTCATATCACCTTTTGAGTTCCAGTCTCCTTTCCATAAACTATTTCTACATATTAAGAATGAGCCATAAACCCCACTGGTTAAACAGAAGTCCTGCTCAAAAATATGAGAAAATTCTGTTTTAAGCACTAGGAATTTATGTTCTGTCATGGATTGAAATTGGCTGTGACAGTTTAGTCTCTATCTGTACTTTGAAACAGATGGCAGTAACCCAGAAATCTGCCATTTGAGAAATTAACTGTGATACCCCCTTCCCAGGTGCGTCCACAGTACCAACCACTGACCAAGTGTCCATGATCTAAGCCCTGCATAGGATACTTTGCACAAAGCAACACCACAAGCAACTAGAGCCTCCATTTTTCAGATAAACAGGTTCAGAGAGTTTAACTACACAGACTCTAATGCCTGTGCTCTATTAATAAAAGAAGCAGTCCCAAGTCTAGGTGGCTCTAAGGTCCTCAACCTCACACATCCTCTGTAAATCAGAGGTCTCGGCACTCACTAGGTTCTTTGAGACGTAGCTGAATGGCAGGGCTGTCACTCTTGTCTCGCTTTATGCCCAGCACTTCCCGTTCCCATTCTCTCTCTCGGTTTTCTTCTTCAATTTGCCGTTCGGCTTGGGAACAAATCCGTAGCAGCCTCAGGCAGAGAATCTGGTGCAGTCGCATAAAAATATACCAGTTGTTGTTGACATAGAAGAGGTTGTATACTTCATCCATTCCTCTTAATTTTTGAGCTGCTGTGTTACTAAACAGTAACTTGGACTTAGGGGGACTGCCCCCAACACCATTGTGCTTCTTAACTGCCCCTGTGGCTTCATCTACATCCATCTCTTCTTCTTCCTCTTCCTCCACATCTGAGAGATCACCTCTTTGGGCAAAGAGCAAATCTGGAATAAAATGATGCATGATTTGTTTTATCTTATATTTGTCCTCCTTCTGAATGCCTGTCTGCCTCTTCACATGGTGGATAATCAGAGCAGCAGCATCTTCCAGTATTTGTTTGTCTTCATACGCAAGTGAGAGGTGTGGGCCAACAGGTACACCAGCATTCTCCTCCGTAGCCTGCTCTTGCCTCTGATGGGACAGAGACACAAAAGTATTCTGTGAGATGTCTACAGCGACAACATGTCTACAAGACCACATCAGCCATACATCCCATTATCAACCACAGTGTCTATATTTTTCTAATCAAAAACTTAGGACCTGGGACTGGGAGCGGTGGCTCACGTCTATAATCCCAGCACTTTGGTAGGCCGAGGAGGGTGATCACTTGAGGTCAGGAGTTTGAGATCAGCCTGGCCAATATGGTGAAACCCCGCCTCTACTAAAAATAACAAAATTAGCTGAACATGGTGGTAGGTGCCTGTAATCCCAGCCCTTGGGATGCTAAGGCAAGAGAATCACTTGAACCCGTGAGGCAAAGGTTGCAGTGAGCCGAGATCGTACTACTGCACTCCAGCCTGGGCAACAGAGTGAGACTCTGTCTCAAAACAAAACTTAGGACCTGACTATAACAATAATTTTTGTCCCTCTTCCAGAAACAAATAGGTAATGACAGAGACGTGGTTTGATGTCAAAATACAGGTACCTTCTACACACTGATGACTTACAGGGAGAGTAGGACAGAATTGGAACCATCTTTCTTTCTTTTTTTTGGCAGGGTCTTGCTCTGTCACCCAGGCTGGAGTGCAGTGGAGCAATCTTGGCTCATTGTAACCTCCGTCTCCCGGGTTCAAGCCATTCTTATGCTTCAGCCTCCTGAGTAGCTGGGATTAAGAAGTGCACCACCATGCCAGGCTAATTTTGTATTTTTAGTAGAGATGAGGTTTCACCATGTCGGCCAGGCTGGTTTCGAACTTCTGGCCTCAAGTTATCTGTCCACCTCAGCCTCCCAAAGTGATGGGATTACAGGCGTGAGCCACTGTGCCCAGTGGGACTATCTTTCAAAATTCTGGATTAGTATCTATATAAAGGATATGATATGAGATCTGTGATTTACTTTACTTCTGGGGTGGGGGTATGGAGGGTGACAAAGTAACATCAGCAAAATATGGAGGATTAAGTTTATTTATTTTATTGATTTTGAGACGGAATCTTGCTCTGTCACCCAGACTGGAGTGCAGTGGCATGTTCTCAGCTCACTGCATCCTCCACCTCCCAGGTTCAAGCCATTCTCCCACCTCATTCTGCCGAGTAGCTGGGACTACAGGTGCACACCACCACGCCTGGCTAATTTTTGTATTTTTAGTAAAGACGGGGTTTCGTCATGTTGGCTGGGCTGGTCTCTAACTCCTGACCTCAGGTGATCTGCCCGCCTCAGCCTCCCAAAGTGCTGGGATTACAGGCATGAGCCACTGTGCCCGGCCTGATTAAGTTCACATAAGAGCTCATTTTACTATTTTTAAAGTTCAGGATCACCCCACTCCAGGAATTCCCAATTGCACTGCATTTATGTTTCTATCCATCTCCTAAAACTGAGCCCACGGAAACCAGGATTTATTGCTTATTCATCTCTGATCCTAGCTCCTAGTACTATTTATAGTCCTGGTAGGCATGCTGAATAAGCAAGGATTACAAAGAGTTTGGTGGTCAATGACAAATTTTGAAGCTGTAAGTAAGGAGAGATGGGACTATATGGATACAAGGTATTATTGTTTGAAGGAAACAGGTAGTCGGAGAAGTGGAAAATGGAGGCAGGAGGTATAAGTTGAAACCAGGACAGTAAACTAGGAAACTAGTCAAACAGCTTAGGTATAAAGGTATAGTTTAGATTTAAAATGGTAGAATGAGGAATAGAAAAGGCTATGACAGCTATCAAGCAAGAATCAACAGGTCTTAGAGAGTCTCACCTGCATTTAACAAAGGTAATTTCCAGAAATCAAAGCTGTGCTAAATATAGACTAGAGTCCTCTCACAGATGCAGAAACCCCCCGCTCACCTCATCATAGATACTCTCAATCTCATTGAGTAAGCTCTTAGACCTCAGGACCTTGGTGTCATTCTGTTTAAAGTTGATCCCCTGGTGGTCCAGAGACTTCAAGTAGTATTTCTCATTTTGTTCTCGCCATACTTTGTTAAAGCCTCTCTGAGCTTCTCGCCATTCTTCCTCTTTCATCTTCAACCTAGTGAAGCGGGAAGGGATGGAAACAACACATGGGAATTCAGAGGGTTTAGAAGAAAGAAATTTGCCAGGCTTACTTTAGTTAAAGAAAGGTGCAAAGCTATATTAGGTCTCTCAAAATTACTGGCAACTTGGGATGCTATCAAACCAGTCTTGAACTCTGTTTCATGAGGGAATTACTCATCCAAGACTTACTTTGAGGAAATGATTTATCTCAAAGTCAAATAATTTACCTAGAATGGTTACTTAAAAACAGCATTCCAGGGAATATCTTTCAGGTATAAGTATTCCTTGAAAAAAAGAGTTCTTGTTTCTTTGCTATAGGACTTTGCAAAACGTTCACAATGCTAATAGAAACACAGAAGTCCAAGACAAGAGAACTTGCACAGTTATGTTCCTCTGGATACAGTCAGGAAAGTTCTGATCAGAACTGATTCTAATAACCCAGAAGAGAACAGACTAAGACAAAAAAAAGCACTAAAACTGAAGAATAACCTGTATCTCAAAAGCCAGAAGTTAAATGCTACAGGCAAGAAGAAGAAACCATCAATCTGTGCCAGCTCTTGAGGGGAAGATGAGGGAGAAGAAACCATCAATCTGTGCCAGCTCTTGAGGGGAAGATGAGGGAGGACAAATCAAATCTGGGTATTTGTGAACTGTGCAGCAAATAAGAATTAATTTTTACCAGATGATACTGAGAGAGAACCAAGCTCCTAACAAAGGATTCACAGTGTGGTCAATAATGACATGGGGCTGGGTGTGGTGTGGCTTGTGCCTGTAATGCCAGCACTTTGGGGAGGCCAAGGCAGGAGGATTGCTTGAGCCCAGGAGTTAGAGGCCAGCCTGGGAAATATAGCAAGACCTCATCTCTATTAAAAAAAATAAAATAAAAATTAGCTGGGTGTGGTGGCACATTCCTGTAGTCCCAGCTATTCGGGAGGCTGAGGTGGGAGGATCACCTGAGCCTGGGAAGTTGAGGCTGCAGTGAGCTGTGTTCACACTACTGCACTCCAGCCTGGGTGAAAGAGTGAGATCTTGTCTCAAAACAAAACAAAACAAAAACAAACAAACCACAAAGATGTTAACAACAGTTAGTCCTGAGTGTGGCAGGAACATGGGTGGTAATTATCTTCTTTTCTTTTCTGTATTTTAAAATACTCCCCCAAACATACACACAGAGCCTTCCACCATGAACTTACAAGATTTGTTCTCTAATGTTGGTTACACAGGACCCCCAAAAGAAGTTCCATTCTGCACCTGAATTCCAACAACCAGGGTTGGGGAGAAAGAGAGGTCTCATGGGACAACCAGGTTGAAAATGAGAGCCTTATTTAATGAGACACTGAACCGGTAGTGAAGTACACTAAAGCACTAAGGGCACATTTGCTCATGTACCTTTTAAGGACAATTGGAACAGCAATGGAGGGATTCTTTCTCAGACCATCAATGATGTCAGCTGCTTTATCAGCATATATCCTCTGGAGTGCTTTTCTATGGATGACTTCTGATGTGCCCCCAAGGGTGTTGTCCAAGCGAAATTTGGCTTGTTCTTCAGCAGACAAGCGGGAAAGCTTCTTCTGTATTGCTTCCAGAACCCGGATTGTTGCCAGATTGGTCTCTAAAACTACATCAAGCTGAAGAGGAAGACAAAGAAGGGTATGCTCAGGACCCAAATCAAAATAGAATAGAGTAGTGTTTAGAAGAATAAGGTAGGGAGTCAAACTCCTTGGATTTGAATCCTGGTTCTGCCCTACTAGCTACATAAGACTGTTTCTTTATCAGCAAAATAGGGATAACAGCACCTATTACTCTCACAACCCTGTGTCTGGATTAAATGATACAATCCACATAAAGTATTTAGCACAATACCTGGCACATAAGAACCACAGGATGAAGTTGGATAAATGGTAGTTATTACCACCACCGTCGCTGCTGCCGCCACCACCACCGTGTGCTTTGCTTAGGACTACTGATTTTAGACCAGAGGAACCAAACAGGAGATGACTTTACTGAAACGTTTCCCTGAACTTTCCTGAATTGCTAAGATCCATTATGAACAAACAATAACAATCAAAACAATCCCAAAAGACCGCTTTGTCTTGAGAGTTTTTTGGTTTAACTTGAAATATTTAAATATATTCAAATACTTAAATATTCAATAGCCTTGTTCCACATCCAGTAATAATAAGAGCAGTGACTATCATAACTTAAGGAGTTCACTGTTGTAGCTGCGGGTAACCATTTAAATTCTTATTGGACTCCTGGCAACCTTTGAGTCTACTTTTTCCCTAGCTTAAAATAAGGTTCTCTAAATGAGAAACAGAAAATGAAGTAAATGAGCAGTCTCAACGGTCTACAACCAACTGTTTGCAGAAGTGTTCCCTAAGTTTTCTTGTTTTGGGAATGTGGTAGTCATTTGGTCAATATTTCTGGCCCCTCTTGCTCTCCAATTATGAACAAAAAATGGACTAAACTTCCTGGCTCCCTTATGATTGGATAGGGCCATGTAACTAGTTTTGACCAATGAGTTGTTATGAGATGAGTAGAAGTAATGTTTATTACTTCTAGGCTGCAGCATTTAAAGGTGTGAGATCATTCCAAGCTCTCTTTTCCTCCTAGTGACTAGCAACATTCATAATGGCAGCAATCCCTTGGCCTGAATCCCCAAGTAATTCTGATATGCCAAATCCCCTGCTAAACATCAATGTACATGTAGAATGATTAGAAATTAAACCCATTGGTTTTACAAGTCACTCAGATGTGGGAGTTGTCTGTACTGAGGCATTACTAACCTATCTTGATTGGTAACGCACATTCCTTCAAACTAGCTCATCCCACCAAATCTTAAACACATGCACACCCCACTTCTTTCATGTTTGCCCTTGTAGTCACAAATGGGAAATGAAGTTGCCTCTCATTTGGAGGCATACCAGCTGAGAGAGGATAGGAACACTCTGTCAAAAACAAATGCCAAGCTCTGCTAAACTCATCAGTTAACCTTACTAAACGTAAGTAACAAAGAAATGCCTTCTTTAGCTTGATAACACTCCCTATGGAAGTTAACATCTGTCTTGATTTAGCTTTCTGCAAATAGGTGCAACTCCTTATAAATGCTGGGGCAAAGATGGCCAACCACCTGCCAGTGGCCAGGCAGCATGTGGTTCTCAATTAAAAACACACCAGAAACTGCTGAACCAAGTGTGAGGCGGGAAAACTGGCAAAGAGCTAAAAGAGTACCAAAACAAACAAACAAACAAACAAAAACCAGCAAGATACCTATCCACACAAGTAAGCACAGCCAGTCAATTTAATGTAACAGATACACTAAATAGGATACGTATCATTTTACATCTTTAGACAAACCAGACTTCCCTTTTTAAAAATGATAATGTAAACCAGACATATAAACACACTGAGGATTGAGCCCACTTTCAGTAGTCCCTCTCCTGATATAGGTGGTATGGGGCCTTCTACCACCTCATTTATTCACTCCACTCTTCCCTTCCTAATTACTTCAAAATAAAGCTCCTGGGACAGGCGCAGTGGCTCACACTTGTAATCCCAGCACTTTGGAAGGCCAAGACGGGTGGGTCACTTGAGGTCAGGAGTTCAAGACCAGCCTGGTCAACATGGTGAAACCCATCTCCACTAAAAATACAAAAAAAATTAGCCGGGTGTAGCGGCATACACCTGTAGTCCCAGATACTTGGGAGGCTGAGGCAGGATAATGGCTTAAACTCGTGAGGCAGAGGTTGCAGTGAGCCGAGATCACACCACTGCACTCCAGCCTGGTTGACAGAGCAATACTCTGTCTTTAAAAAGAAAGGGGTCCCTAATTTAGCCTTCTTTCAAAAGGAGCCAATCAGGCCAGGTATGGTGGCTCATGTGTGTAATCCCAGCACTTTGGGAGGCCAGGGTGGGATGATCGCTTGGACCCAAGAGTTTGAGACCAGCCTGGGTAATGTAGTAAAACACTGTTTCTATAAAAAACAAAAAATTAGCCACAGGGGGTAGGAGGCAAGGGGAGGGAGAGCATTAGGACAAATACCTAATGCATGTGGGGCTTAAAACCTAGATGATGAGTTGATAGGTGCAGCAAACCACCAAAGCACATGTATATCTATGTAACAAACCTGCACGTTCTGCACATGTATCCCAGAATTTAAAGTTTAAAAAAAAAAAAAAAAAATTTACCCAGGCATGGTAGCACATGCCTGTAGTCCCAGCCACTCGGTGGCGGGTAGGGGTGGGGGTCTGAGGTGGGAGGATCACACTTGAGTCTGGAAGGTTGAGGCTGCAATGAACTGTGATTGTGCCACTGCACTGCAGCCTGGGCAATAGAATGAGACCCTGTCTCAAAAAAACAAAACAAAACAAAGCAATCAGCTGGGCGCAGTGGCTCACACCTGTAATCCTAGCACTTTGGGAGGCCGAGACGGGTGGATCACGAGGTCAGGAGATCGAGACCATCCTGGCTAACACGGTGAAACTCCGTCTCTAATAAAAATACAAAAAATTAGCCGGACGTGTTGGCGGGCGCCTGTAGTCCCAGCTACTCGGGAGGCTGAGGCAGGAGAATGGCATGAACCTGGGAGGCAGAGCTTGCAGTGAGCCGAGATTGCGCCACTGCACTCCAGCCTGGGAGACAGAGCGAGACTCCGTCTCAAAAAAACAAAACAAAACAAACAAACAAACAAACAAAAAACAACAAAGCAATCAATACCAGAAACATGAAAGAAAAATGCCAGTTCTCAGAGCTGGTTTGCTAACCATGGCAAGATACTTGCTAAGGGTAACAATACACACAGATCTTAAATAATTTAAAAACAGCTTCAAGAAAGTACTATAAACCTTAGGATACTGATTTTCTTCACCATGCAAAACATAATAATCTTAAAATGCCATGCAAAATCAAAAGAACTATTATTTAGTCATCAATGGACAATTTCAGTTAAAAGGGCTAAAGTGGCCTAGATAAGTCACATTTGCCATAAAGCATGTACTAATATATACATTTGACCAATGCATAAAGCATGGAAAGTACCACAACAAGCACTTACCATAGAAGAATGTGAGCCTTTGGCTCTTCCATCTTAATAACCCTCAGAGACAGGTACTGATAGTCTCACTGAGCATCTCCCATTTCCCCCAACTTCAAATGCCAAACAAGCTTGTACCTCAAAGCGTTCATCTTCACAACGATAAATATGTTCTTCATATTGAGTCTTCTTGGAACTCACAAAGGTAGAGTCCTCAGACCACGAAGGGAAGGAAACCCAGGTATCATTTAAAACCTTTGGGTAGAAGAAGAGAGACTGAAACAAAAGCCTAAAAAAGCTTTCTGGTGATTAAGCATTCTGAATGAAAAGACAAAACTCTAGCAGAGAAATAGGCAACTAATATTACTTCACAAATTTCACCTTTAGCAAGTTTACAAAAAGCTATTAGTAAGAAAAGGGTGCTGAATATAAGCGGAAATATAATTCCAGTGCTTTGGGAGGACGAAGCAGGAAGATCACCTGAGCCCAGGAGGAGTGACCCAATCTTTACAAAACTAAAAACTTTTATTTTTATATTTTTAGCTGGGTGTGAAGGCATGTGTAAGTCCCAGGTACTTGGGAGGATCATTTGAGCCCAGGAGGTTGAGGCACTATGAGCCGTGATCACATCACTGCACTACAGCCTGGGTGACAAAACGAAACCCTGTCTCAAAAACAAACAAAAAAGTAGAAAACATTTTCTTTTTAAAAAGGATTAAAAGGGTTCTTAATTTCATCATTCATATAAATTCTCAATCCTTGGTACCACCACTCCCTTCTGGAAAAAGCTGAGGACCCAGGGCTGATCTTTGCTAGGGAAGGCCTTACCTCTTTACAGAGAGGAGTCCGTCCTGTACACTTGGGCTGCTGGTAACTCTTTGGTAAGGCTCGATAGCTGGAGCCCAATCGTTTACAAGAAGCATAATCTATCTCCATAGCAATGCCCTCTGTGGCTCGCTCCTTTGGATAAGTTTCCAGATGTACAGACTCCTTATAGCCCAGAAAGTTTTTAAACCAATTAAACAACTCAGGGAATTTCCTGAAGAATCAAACCAAAAAGTGACAAGCAATTAGGGGCAGGATGCAGTTATCCTGAGGTATGACTACTACCATCTGGTTTTGGATCAGAAATCTGCTACCAGGGATGAATTATTTCCTGCCTAAGAAGAACTGCTTCTGAGCATTTGGTTTCCCCTTTTTCTAATAAAATACTCTCAGATCAGTTAAAGTGGTGATCAAAGAGTTGTACCGAAACCAGGCAAAATAACAAGCCATTCTTTTGATCAAGAATATTGCTTTAATGTTCACATAATTCTTAGGTTGTCAAATATAGTAAAGATTCCAGACTCGGTGTAGTGGCTCATGCCTGTAATCCCAGCACTTTGGGAGGCCGAGGCAGGTGGATTACCTGAGGTCAGGAGTTCTGGACCAGCCTGGCCAACATGGTAAAACACCGTCTCTACTAAAAAACATAACAAAAATTAGCCGGGCGTGTGGTGACAGGCACCTGTAATCCCAGCTACTTGGGGGGCCGAGGCAGGAGAATCACCTGAACCCAGGAGGCGGAGGTTGCAGTGAGCCAAGATCATGCCATCACACTCCAGCCTGGGGAACAAGAGTGAGACTTCATCTCAAAAAAAAAATAATAATAATAATTTTTAAAAAAATTCCAGAACTCTGGGAGAGATTTTTCTTGATAAACATCCAGCACTGGTTAGAAGATCAGGAGACCACTAGTCTTGGCCATTAGTCGATAAATACTTAATGCCCTCTCTATTTTCTCATCTCTAGAGCTGGACTAGAAGACTTCTCAGGACTCTTCTGGCACTAACATTTGAGTCAACTGATGTATCTCAAGTAAATTAACTTTGCCTATCATATACTCTCACAAATCAAACATTACCTGGTCTCCATATCATGCATCAGGGCTAAGCCCCTCACTTCACTTACCCCAGGAAAGGAGAGACTAGTTGCACAAGCTCAGCACGAGAGATCACCTCCTGGTTAAAAATAACAAGACAGCGTAGGAAATTTTCGTAGGCTTCTGCACTCCGAAGAGCCTTTCGGACCTTATGGAGACAACGGGAAGAAAAACAGTTTTTGTTTTTCTTAAAGTGGGGAACTGAAAAGGGCCTCGCTCTGTCGCCCAGGAGGAGGCGCAGTTGTGTAATCTCAGCTCACTGCAGCCTCCCATCCTCAGCCTCCCAAGTAGCTGGGACTACAGGTGTGAGCCACCATGCCTGGCTAATTTCTAAATTTTTTGCAGAGACGAGGTCATATATTGCCCAGCTGCCCTGCCATTAGTTTTTAAAAACTGGGGAAATTTGTGGCTGGGCGTGGTGGCTCATGCCTATAATCCCAGCACTTTGGGAGGCCAAGGTGGGTGGATCACTGGAGGCCAGGACTTCGAGCCCAGACTGGCCAACATGCTGAAACCCCGTCTCTACTAAAAATACAAAAATTAGCCAGGCATGGTGGCACACGCCTGTAATTCCAGCTACTTGGGTGGCTGAGTGAAACATAAGATTATCACTTGAACCCTGGAGGCAGACGTTGCAGTGAGCTGGGATAATGCCACTGTACTCCAGCCTGGGTGACAGAGCAAGACTCTGTCTCATAAGTAAAAAAATAAAATAAAAACGGGGAAATTTAAACTGATATTTGATGACACTAAGGAATCAACGTTAGTGTTTTTAGATGTGATAATGATTATGTTTGCAATAAGGAGTTTTTTTGTTTTGTTTTGTTTTTTAAACGCAGTCCAGCACTGTTGCCCAGGCTGAAGTGCAGTGGTGCGATCTCAGCTCACTGCAACCTCTGCCTCCTGGGTTCAAGCAATTCTCCTGCCTCAGCCTCCCAAGTAGGTGGGATTACAGGCATGTGCTACTACACCCGGATAATTTTTCTATTTTTAGTAGAGACGAGGTTTCACCGTATTGGCTAGGCTAGTCTCAAACTCCTGACCACAAGTGATCCACCCGCCTTGGCCTCCCAAAGTGCTGGGATTACAGGCGTTTGAGCCACTGTACCCAGCCACAAAAAGGAGTCATTTTTAAAAGAAACTTACTAAAATATGTATGGATGAAATAAGGTATCTGCGATTTGTCTCCAAATAAACTGGGATGGGTGGGAATATATATGAAACAAGTAACTGGCTAGAATTGGGAACCGCTAAAGCTGGATGGTAGGTACGTGAGGAATCATTTTACTATTCTGTTTATGTATGTTCAAAATTTTCCAGCTGGGCGCAGTGGCTCACGCCTGTAGTCCCAGCACTTTGGGAGGCCGAGGTGGGTGGATCACCTGAGATCGGGAGTTTGAGACCAGCCTGGCCAACATAGTGAAACCCCATTCTACTAAAGAAAAAAATACAAAAAAATTAGCTAGGCGTGGTGGTGGGCACCTGTAGTCCCAGTGACTCAGGAGGCTGAGGCAGGAGAATCGCTTGAACCCAGGAGGCAGAGGTTGCAGTGAGCCAAGATCACGCCACTGTACTCCAGCTTGGGCAATAAGAGCGAAACTCCGTCTCAAAAAAAAAATACCATAATAACAATTTAAAAACTGAGATCTCGGAGTATACCTTCTCATATGCTTGATTCTCCACACCATATCAGAGTTACTCAGGTTTTTGTTGCCTCTTTTTCTTTTTTTTTTTTGAGACCGAGTTTCACTATTGTTGTCCTGGCTGGAGTGCAATGGCGCGATCTCAGCTCACTGCAACCTCTGCCTCCCGGGTTCAAGCGATTCTCCTGCCTCGGCCTCCCGAGTAGCTGGGATTATAGGCACCTGCCACAACGCCCAGCTAATGTTTTTTTTGTATTTTTAGTAGAGACGGGGTTTCACCATGTTGGCCAGGCTGGTCTTGAACTCCTGACTTCAGGTGATCCACCCACCTCGGCCTCTCAAAGTGCTGGGATTACAGGCGTGAGCCACTGCGTCCGGCCTGTTGCCTCTCTTAACATGTTTACAGCAAGAATCTTTGCCAAGGCTGTTTTAAACTCTGGTAATCTGGAATAACGCTCTCTTAAGATAGTTCTGTCCTCTGATCTGGTCTTTTTTCTTCCTCTATTTACAATATTGAGCATCTTAATACCAAAAACCCAAAAATGATCAATGGCATAGACAAAGTAAAACTAGTCTAGCTAGATTACCAATCTGGAGTTTCAGTTCCAAAATAAGTATTTAGCACTGTGATCCTTTGGTGAAGACCACAGACTGCCACCAAACCAAGTGGCTTATCAGCAACCCCTGCTCCAGACTTCCGTATGCTTTTCTTAACTATTCATCAGTAGACACTATATAGAATCTAGACTTTTAAAGCTAAAGATAAAAGAACACTGTACCTTTTATACTGTATACCCTATTTACCTTTACTTTTTATTAGCTTTTAAACATACACAAAAGTAGACAGAAGTATAACGAACCTATGTACTCACCCCAACCTCAATGATCTATAGTAAATTTTGTTTCATCTATACTTACTTCTCCTACCACTGCATTTTAAAGCAAATTCCAGACATTTCATCTAGATATAGTATATATGTTTAAGAAAAAGTACTAAGAAAATGCCATTACAGGACTGGGTGCAGTGGCTCACGCTTGTAATCCCAACACTTTGGGAGGCCAAGGCAGGCGGATCACCTGAGGTCAGGAGTTCGAGACAGCCTGGCCAACATAGTGAAACCCTGTCTCTACTAAACATACAAAAATTAGCTGGGTGTGGTGGTGGGCGCCTGTAATCCCAGCTACTCGGGAGGCTGAGGCAGGAGGATTGCGTGAACCCGGGAGGTGGAGGTTACAGTGAGCCCAGATCACACCATTGTACCCCAGCCTCAGCAATGGAGTGAGACTGTCCCAGAAAAAAAATAAAAAAAAAACAAAAAAACAAAAACAAAAACAAAAAACCCATTACTCTTAGAAATTAACTTATTTTCAGAAGACTCCTTAAGGCAAGGCATGGTGGCTCACACCTGTAATCTCAACACTTTGGAAGGCAAATGCTGAGGCCGAAGGAGGAGGATTGCCTGAGCCCAGGAGTCTGAGACCAGCCAGGGCAAAACATTGAGACCCCCTCTCTCCAAAAAAATTTTAAAAATTAGCTGAGTGTGGTGGTCTGTACCTGCAAGTCCCAGCTACTCAGGAGGGTAAGAAGGATCACTTGAGCCCATCTCTTAAATAAAAAAGGCCAGGTGTGGTGGCTCACACCTGTAATCCCAGCACTTTGGGAGGCGAAGGAGGGCTGATCACCCGAGGTCAGGAGTTCAAGACCAGCCTGGCCAACACAGTGAAACCTCATCTCTACTAAAAATATAAACATTAGCCAGGCGTTGTGGCGGGGCCTGTAATCCTAGCTACTCAGGAGGCTGAGGCAGGAGAATCGCTTGAACCCAGGAGATGGAGGTTGCACTGAGCCAAGATCACACCACTTCACTCCAGCCTGGGCAACAAGAGCGAGACTCTGTCTAAAAAAAAAAAAAAACCCAAAAATGTAAAAAAGATTCCTTAATAGCATCTAATATTGAGTCCGTGTCAAGTTCAATTGTCTAATTAATGTCTTAAAAATTGGCTATTGGCCAGGTGTGGTGGCTCACACCTGTAATCCCAGCATTTTGGGAGGCTGAGGTGGATCACCTGAAGCCAGGAGTTCAAGACCAGCCTGGCCAACATGGTGAAACCCTGTCTCTACTAAAAATGAAAAAATTAGCTGGGCACGGTAGTAGGCGCCTGTAGTCCCAGCTGTTTGGGAGGCTAAGGCTGGAGAATCGCTTGAGCCAGGGAGGCGGAGGTTGCAGTGAGCCAAGATTGCGCCATTGCACTCCAAGCTGGGCAACAGAGTGAGGCTCTGTCTCAAAAATAAAAATAAAAATAAAAATAAATCAGCTTTTAAATTCAGAATCCAAAGTCTGCATGTCACATTTGGCTTATATATTTCTTAATTCTTAATTTATAATAGCTTCCCTTCCATACCCTTTTCTTGACATTTATTGGTTGTGATCTAGACTTCCACACTTGTCTAAGAGCACCAACCGCCCAAGCAGACTTTGGTAATGATTCACATCAGAGCTAAGGACTCAACACTCTTGCAGGACTCTCCTGCAAAAAGCTCACATAGGCACAGCAGACAGAAAGGGATCAGGAGATACTAATCACGGAGATGTTAAATCATCTGCCCTTCTGCAAAACCCAAGAGGCAGAAAATAGAGTCAATCACCACAGATCAATCCAGGTTGATTCCTACCAGTGAGAAGCCCAACAGGTGCCAGCTACCCTGATGAAAGTTTCCTGCTAATCATCAAGTTGACTCCGAGGAGCAAATCACACTTAAGTTTATGTGGCCAAACTAAGGCACCACACAACATCATTTATGCCAATAATCTCAACTCTCGTTGCTCATTAGAATCAGCTGGGTAGCTTTGAAAACATGCAAGTAAATTAGAATTCCCCTGAATGCTATGTATGTGTGTACTACAAATAACTATCACAGCAATAAGATTACAAGTCATCGGCCAGGCGCGGTGGCTCACGCCTGTAATCCCAGCACTTTGGGAGGCCGAGGCGGGCGGATCACGAGGTCAGGAGATCGAGACCATCCTGGCTAACACGGTGAAACCCCGTCTCTACTAAAAATACAAAAAATTAGCCGGGCGAGGTGGTGGGCGCCTGTAGTCCTAGCTACTCGGGAGGCTGAGGCAGGAGAATGGCGTGAACCCCAGGAGGCGGAGCCTGCAGTGAGCCGAGATTGCGCCACTGCACTCCAGCCTGGGCGACAGCGAGACTCCGTCTCAAAAAAAAAAAGATTACAAGTCATCTTAAATCCTCAAAAATTGGTACAGGCACTGGTACTGCCTGCCACACAGACCTGGATATCTACAATGGGAGCTCCAAACATCTTTCAAGAGAAACATAATACATTTTCTAAAAATCTGTCTTCTGCCCCAAACTGCTTCATAAAACCAAAGCAAACAATGCTACCATTTTTCTAGCTATGCTAATAGTACTAGCAGACTCAAAGGACTCACAACTGGGAAACTATGTTAAAAAACAGAAAGTCCTAATTAGCCTGACACCTTTAAAACGAAACCTTCCAGGGGGATAAGATGATTTTCTTTTGGCATTAACAGGCACTATCAAATCTAACTCATCCATTACTCACCTTATCAAAAAATAACGATTCTGTTCCACCACCATGTTTGCTGGCATCTGCCATAGAAGAATCCTTCAGATTGAGCAGTTTGGGTTTCTTCTGCAAAAGAAAGATACAAACATGTGAGATTCAACGAGTGGTTTTCTCTGAATTTTATTTTTGTCTGTATTCAATGGTTTCATCACTGAAACCACTGCTGATTAATAATTTGAAACAAATGAGAGAACTCTAACCAACTCACTCCATACCCTCTAAGATTTCAACTCATATTTTCTATTTCAGTTTGCCTATTAAGTTTCTTTCTACAACAGAGGTTCAAAGATCATTCTACCCCCAAAATATTTTCTCCAGAAATGATCATGACATTACTGTGACAAACTTTTAGAATATCCTTACTTTTTCTAGGGGCCCAAAGTAACTTCATGTAGAATCTAATGCCACTGTTTTGTTCTCCTACCAGCTGAGGGAGAAAAGGCTGTTTGTAAAAAGAGCTCACAAATTGACAGAAATCAATCTTTAACCCTGAATAATATTTCAATTAAAAATTTACTTAAAAAGCATAATTTGCTGGGCATGGTGACTCATGCCTGTAATCCCAGCACTTTGGGAGGCCAAGGTGGGCAGATCATGAGGTCAAGAGATTGAGACCATCCTGGCCAACATGGTGAAACCCCGTCTCTACTAAAAATACAAAAAAATTAGCTGGGCGTGGTAGTGTGCGCCTATGGTCCCAGCTACTCAGGAGGCTGAGACAGAAGAATCGCTTGAACCCAGGAGGTGGAGGCTGCAGTGAGCCGAGATCACGCCACTGCACTCCAGCCTGGGCAACAGAGTGAGACTCCATCTCAAAAAAAAAAAAAAAAAAAAAAAAAAAAAGGCACGCCAGCAATATCCACTCAGACTAATTTAATATTGTTCTTCTAAAGGGAACCAACAGGCCATGATATAATCCTGTCAGGCAAGAAGTTACTTTTAAAATCCACCACTTACTCTCTATGAAGAAATGCACAAACTTTGTGAGAAGTAGCACATTTACCTTGGCTATCTCAGAGTATACTTTCTTAAGAGCCGCAGCCTCTGCTTACACTGCCTATGGAGAAAGTAGGCGGAGAATTTTAAGCCCCCACTATATTCTTGCCACCTGTAGGTAATCAAGAGTGGGCGGACGTAAATCCAAGCATGGAGTGTATCTACTGAGCTGATTCTTGCTACCCATATAACTAATTCTCTTTATTGAAATGAAGAAATAGAAACCATTATTATGTTCAACTTGATTTCAAAAGATTTCAAAAGAAGAAACCATGACAAACACTAATGAAAAGGATACTTCAAAAGTGTCAGTAACACCTAGTACGTCAGACCTTGTAGTCAGTCAATCACTATTCATCAGCCACCTCTTACTATTAGAAATTCCCAAACTTTTGTCATTATTTAATTCTGCAGACATATCTGTCTCTTCTATATTACATACTGCTTTGAAATTCACTGAAGAATTAAACATTCAATACATACAACTAGCCCTCTCCCTATCATAGCTGTGTTACATCAAAGAAGGGAGCAAGCTAAGTTTTCTGCAGGCAGACCATCAGTGTTAACTATAACAAAAAACATCATGTAATGGATTACTAAGAGGAGTTTAAGACTTCCCTCTGCTACAGCCCAAAGGTCCTGCCTTGGAGATTAAGATGATACACATAAGATCTGGTAACCCAACAAAGAACTTTGAGCAGGACAGGGTTCTAGACCAGAGATCTCAAAAAACACATGCACTCTACTCACAAGAGGACCTCAGAGACCACTTATTTCTGAAATAATTCTCAAGCTCAAGAATGTTCTTTCTTAACACAAGGCAGATTTAAAGCATCAAAGAAGAAGGGGCCAGGCGCGGTGGCTCACGCCTGTAATTCCAGCACTTTGGGAGGCCGAGGTGGGTGGATCACCTGAGGTCAGGAGTTCAAGACCAGCCTGGCCAACATGGCGAAACCCCATCTCTACTAAAAATGCAAAAATTAGCTGGGCGTGGTGGCACACGCCTGTAGTCCCAGTTACTCAGGAGGCTGCGGCAGGATAATTGCTTGAACCCGGGAGGCAGAGGTTGTAGTGAGCTGAGATCACACCACTGCACTCCAGCCTGGGCGACAGAGCAAGACTCCATCTCAAAAAAAAAAGAAGGGAAAAAAATTTCAAGTATTGGAAATTCTTAGTAGCAACCAAAACATTAAAGAAATGACAGCTCATTGCAAAGGAGAGATAATAAAGAACTCAGAAAAGTACAGTAATCCAAGCAATCAATGTTATTCTAATACTCTTTTGCAAAGCCAGATAAACTCTGCACTGAGTTTCTGTGACACAATACTAACTTCCTCCAAATATCTAGGACCCAACCGTTAACACACTTAAGAACACATGACTGCCGGGCACAGGTAATCCCAGCACTTTGGGAGGCCGAGGCGGGCAGATCATGAGGTCAGGAGATCGAGACCATCCTGGCTAACACGGTGAAACCCCGTCTCCACTAAAAAAAAAAAAAAATCAGCCCGGTATGGTGGCATGCGCCTGTAGTCCCAGCTACTCGGGAGGGCGAGACAGGAGAATCGCTTGAACCCGGGAGGCAGAGGTTGCAGTGAGCCGAGATCGTGCCACTGCACTCCAGCTTGGGCGACAGAGCGAGACTCGGTCTCAAAAAAACAAAAAAAAACAACAACAACAAAACACATGACCACCTCTAGAGTACCTCTCCATTAGAAATACTTGTGAGTGTCAAAATGAGCAGCTGCTGCCCATTCTCACCTTAACTGGAGGGGTGGTTCCTGTAGGATGTCTGCGGATCTGGCAGCCATTCTGGCTGGGCCTCTGCGGCTTGTTGTTCAGTTGGGGCTTCTTGACAGTGCCTCCATGATCATTTCTCACAGAATCAACCTTCTCAGCAGTTGTTTTGCTTAAAAGCTGATTAAGACACATGAATGAGATTAATGCTCTTATCAAAGCAAACAAATATCATCTAGGAAAAGTCCCCTTCTGAGCACAGTTTTCCAACTCATCTAAGATAATAATAGTAAATAGTGTAATTCTTATTAAAAAAACATACCACGGAGCTGTTGGCATCTGGTAGGAATTGTCCAAACTCTGACAACAAATCTTCCTGGTTTTTAAAGAGACGAGCAACCTGGGCATACACCTCCTGCTCTGTCAATGCTGGAGTGTAGTTTCCTCCAGCTTCCTTGGCATTTCTCTGCTCTTTCTGAGGAATTGCAAATGAAAAGAGATCATTTGGGCTACTGTTTTGAGTCACTCATCTTTGCACGCTTTCTGGAATCACTGTTATCTATTTAGGCTGCATGTAAGAAGAAAGTCTATGTTCTTAGCACCCGTTCTGACCACAGACTTTCAAGTTGAGAAAAAAAAAAAGTTGAAGATGGTGGATGACAATTCCTTTCAAAACTAGGGTAGTAAATATTTTTGAGACGGAGTTTCACTCTTGTTGCTCAGGCTGGAGTGCACTTGTCTCGGCCTCCCAAAGTACTGGGATTACAGGCGTGAGACACCATGCCCGGCCTAGGGCAATAAATATTAATGCCCAGGGGACCACTACCAACTGACAAAACCTTAGAAATTTCTCCTCCTCCTACTGTACATTAACTAGACTATATAAATCACCATCTAACTGTCCCAGATAAAACTGAGTTTCATTTCATGGGACAGTGACTAACAATCCTGACTGAGGCCGGGCACGGTGGCTCATGCCTGCAATCCCAGCACTTTGGGAGGCCATGGCGGGTGGATCACCTGAGACCAGCCTGGCCAACATGTTGAAACCCCGTCTCTACTAAAAATACAAGAAATCACTTGAACCCGGGAGGTAGAGGCTGCAGTGAGCCGACACTGCACTATTGCACTCCAGCCTAGGCAAAAAGAGCAAAACTCTGTCTCAAAAAAAAAAAAAAAAATCCTGACTGAATGTTGCAGGGCAATCAAGTCAGGCAAATAAAACTGGCTTTATAGCATGGGGGCGGTGGCTCACGCCTGCAATCCCAGCACTTTGGGAGGCCAAGGTGGGCAGATCACAAGGTCAGGAGTTCGAGACCAGCCTAGCCAACATAGTGAAATCCCATTTCTACTAACAATACAAAAAATTAGCTGGGCGTGGTGGGCGGAGCCTGTAATCCCAGCTACTAGGGAGGCTAAGGCAGGAGTATCACTTGAGCCCGGGAGGCGGAGACTGCAGTGAGCTGAGATCGTGCCACTACACTCCAGCCTGGGTGACAGTGCAAGACTCCGTCTCGAAAAACAAACAAACAAACAAACTGGCTTTAAAAACATGCATGATAGTTTCTAACTGGTTAATTTCCAGTATGAATTAATGGACACAATAATGGTTACTTGTTATTGGACTAGATGCCCTAAGAGGGTGACCTGGTTAAGACAGGCTGAATGGGCACTCCTTACCTGATATGTGTGCAAAATCTCCAGGAATGCTTTGTAGATGTCTGGTTGGCCCTGAAATCTGTTCTTGATCTTATTAACATAGTTGATGGCATGATTAAACTCCACAGGTTGATTGTTCTGCAAGGATGGGGCCGTTCCCAACGAGATTGTCACTGGTGTGTGAGGCTGGACCGGCGGAGAACGTGGGGATGCATACGGTGGAAGTGGGGGAGTCTGCTGACTGGCCGGAGTATGTGCTTGCAGTTGGGAGGGCTAGAAAGAAAAGAAATCTTTATTCTCTTCAGATGCATAGATGAGTTGATACAAGGAAAGTTCAAACTAAAGAGAAACAAGGTGTCAACGTATATCCTTTATTTACTCACTCAGGCCAGGTCATTTTAGTCCAACACAAATCATACTGGGCAGCAGTGGGAGTTGTAGGCGGTTCAAACATGCTGATACAAATATTTCAGTCTCACATTTTCTAAATAAAACCTTAAAACTGGAGCCATCTCCAATTACAGGGAAGAATTTTTCATATGCAATGTTTTAGCTTAGTAGCTCAACAAGTACACATAGAAAAAATCTCATTCTACATAGCCTTTTGATGTCAACAACAAGACAACTGTTGCAGTAGCTCCACATAAAAAAGTCTTCTACGCCAACTCTGTCCTGTAGAACTGAGATGATGGAAATGTCCTTTATTTGCACTGTCTTATACATAGCCACCAGCCACATGAGGTTACTGAGCACTTGAAAGCTAGTGCAAATGAAAAACTGAATTTAATTTAAATAGTCCTATGTGGCTAGTGGCTACTGTGTCAGACAGTGTGGTTCTAGACCAAGAACACCCCATCTTCATCACCATCACTATCACTATTCATTAGATCTTCTACTTAGCTTGATATAATCTAGTTAGTGAAATAACTTTCATAAAATAACCATGTGGGCAGCAGCACAATTTGACCAGGATAAGACGATGGTTTCTATCTGTGCTGTCAACTACTACTACACAAAGTCACCACCTGTTGGGATGTTCATGGTTTTATAAGCAGAAACTGTAAAAAGAAAGACCTTGAAAGTTGTTGCTGTGTTGATTTAAATAGATACCTAAGTAAGTGATGTGTAAATGTGAACCATGTCATAGTGAAGTTTTCATACAGCATTTTTCTATGACGAAATCTTTGTAACTTTGTTTCTCAGTATCTAAGTCTTATATAAAGGGGAAACATCAAAGGAAGGTGCTCTCTAGGGATGCATTCATATTGATGCAATATTTTCCAAGTGCTCACCTTGCTGACTTTGGCAGGTGGGGGCTGAGGAGCTGGCTGGGCAGGAGCTGGGGCTGACTGGGCTGAAGGCTGGGAAGGATGTTGGGGTGGTGGTTGAGGCTGTGGCTGGATGCCATGGGTGGGAATCTGATGAACCTGGCCAGGAGTTGTCACATTCACCATGTCATTGGTTTGCACCTCAATTTTGTAGCCAGGGGGCAAGAAGGTGTTGAATCCCATTATCAGATCGGGGTGGCCTTTGAATAGCTGGGACACACGACTAATCACTCCTGGGGTGTCGATGCTGATAAAAAACAAAAAGAAAAGTGATAAACTGTAAGCTTAACAAACACCCTGTTAAGAAAAAATTTCATGTTTTTTTTTCTTTTGAGACGGAGTCTCACTCTGTTGCCCAGGCTGGACTGCAATGGTGCAATCTTGGGGTCTTGGCTCACTGCAACCTCCACCTCCCGAGTTCAAGTGATTCTCCTGCCTCAGCCTCCCAAGTAGCTGGGATTACAGGCATGCGCCACCATACCCGGCTAATTTTTGTATTTTTAGGACAGGTGGGGTTTCACCATGTTGGCCAGGCTGGTCTCGAACTCCTGACCTCAGGTGATCCGCCCACCTTGGCCTCCCAAAGTGCTGGGATTACAGGCATGAGCCACCTCACTCAAAATTTCACTTTCTACTAGGTTTTCTCTAAACAGGAAAACAGATCATCTACGCATTTTAAAATTAACACACGAACTCTGAAATTCCAAAGCCATTTAGTTTTAGACTCAAAGATACTTGGCCACAATTTGTTTTTTTTTTTTTTGAGACAGAGTCTCATTCTGTTGCCCAGGCTGGAGTGCAGTAGCACAATCTCGGCACACTGCAGCCTCCGCCTCCTGGGTTCAAGCAATTCTCCTGCCTCAGCCTCCCAAGTAGCTGGGATTACAGGCACCCGCCACCATGCCCGGCTAATTTTTGGAATGGTCAAAATTTTTAACAGAATATATGTTCATTGTAATAATTCTACCAAGCAGATACTCAGATGATATATATAAAGCTACATATCCCAAACAAGATTCACTCTTTGATATACCAGTATACATCATTTCAGCACACATCTACATTGTTCAGATGAGTTACACTCTTACAACAGTGAACCATGCCAGAATATAAGGGTATCTAAACCAATTCAGAAACCAAGTAGCCTAAATCACTACCAGTGCTACTTCCCTGATTGAGACAAAACACTGGAAAAAATTTAGTTAAGGAAAATTTACCAATAGGGATAAAAAAGTCTAGTGGCCATAATTTCCATCAATAAAGGTATGCATAAAATAAAGGCATGATTTTGAAAATTCAGCTGCAAAAAGGAGCATCCTTTATCTTCCAGTAAATAAACTATATCCTCTTCCTTCCAAAATCAATATGCCAGATACAAAGCTTGAGTACAATCACACATCTTTTACCTCTGAGATTTAAATTCCTTCATGATGTCAAGGAAATCATTGTAGACCTGAGGCTGACTACCAAACTGCAGCTTCACCTGGTCAAGATAAGATAGCGCATCCTCCACCTGAGGCAGGGATAAATATCAAGGTTATAAAAAGAAAGTAAGCTCATAATTACAAAAAAAAAACAAAAACAAATTATTTATGCCTAAGTATGCTTAATGCAGTAAATGAAGTAAAAATATATTAAATATATACTTAAAAGTTAGTATGGATACCAATAATAAACTCAAGCTTAAAATAATAATCAACTCATAAAATCTGTAGCCTTGCCTTGGAAAATTTTGAACAGAATGATCAGTGAAGAATAATTACAATGATATATCATTTATTAATTCATTTCACAAGTATCTACTAAACTGCAACATACCAGGCCCAATGTGAGTACCAAGGATTCAATGACAAATAATTTGTAGCCCCTCGTCTATAGACATTTGTTTGTATGTAGTCAGGAATCATAACACAGTGGGTAACCCGGTAATCACTCCATGCCTGGAGATGACATGGGAAGGACACGTCTTCTCCACCAAAAAAAGTGAGGCTTCCCCAGGAGGTAATGTATAAACTGAGACCTAAAGATGACTATAAGCTAGCAAAAGTGAAGACCAGTGAAGAAAATCAAAAGCGGCAGCACGGGTAAAATCCTAGACAGGATACGATATGGGATATTTAGAAATCTGAAAACAGTTTAGTTTGGCTGGAGGATCTGTAGTGAAGAGGAAGGAAAAGTAACAAAATGAGACAGAAAAAAAAGCAGGATCTAGATTCTGAAAGGATTTGTAAATCTTGTGAAAAAGCAATTTAGATTTTTATCATCTGCATTTTCGTGTACGCAATTTGACTGCAGTGTTGAGAAAAAATTGGCACAAGAGCAGAAAAGATTGAAAGGAGGTAGGAAGACCAGGTATGCTACAGGAATAACTGGACAACTCATGTGAAAACAGTGGCTTGAATTATAGTACTGGCCCAGAACAACAGAGAGAACTGCATAGATAAAAAAGCTTTTTGGGTAGTAGAAGTGACAGGATTGGGGAACTGACTGAATAGAGGAGCTAAGGGAGAGCCAGCATTCAAAAGTGATCCGCCACGGAGCACTGAGGAAGAACAGTCAAGAGTGACTCTCGGACCGATCAAAGCCCACATGCCACTGCATCCCGCACTCAGCGCTTACATCCTTCCACATCACCACCACACCCAAGAGAAAGCCTGAAGGGGATGCTAAAGGAGATAGAGCCAAGGTGAAGAACAACCCAGAGAAGATCCGCAAGGTTGTATGCTAAACCTGCTCCTCCAAAGCCAGAGCCCAACCCTAAAAAGGATGCAGGCTGGGCGCAGTGGCTGACACCTGCAATCCCAGCACTTTCAGAGGCAGAGGTGGGAGGATCATCTGAGGTCAGGAGTTCGAGACCAGCCTGACCAACACGGAGAAACCCATCTCTACTAAAAATACAAAAATTAGCCAGGCATGGTGGCGCATGTCTGTAATGCCAGCTACTCGGGAGGCTGAGGCAGGGGAATCACTTGAACCCAGGAGGCGGAGGTTGCGGTGAGTCGAGATCATGCCATTGCACACCAGCCTGGGCAACAAGAGTGAAACTCGGTCTCAGGAAAAAAAAAAAAAAAAAAAAAGTCCCCTGCAAAGGAGAGAGAGGAGGTACCCAAAGGGAAAAAGGAAAATGCTGACACTGGCAGGGAGGGGAATAACCTTGCAGGAAATGGAGATGCCAAAACAGACCAGGCACAGAAAGCTGAAGGTGCTAGAGATGCCAAGTGAAACATGTGCATTTTTGGTAACTGTGTACTTCTGGTGACTGTAAAGTTTGAACTATAAAGTTATGAAGTTTGTAAATTTTGAAATACCATTGTTTAAATCAAGCTTTATAAAAATGCAGAATTTTGTTTTGCTTTTTCTAAAGCAGTGTTGTTATCGCACACAGAACACTTCATTGTTGTTTTGGTGGGAAGGATCACAGGTCACTAATAGAATGTCTTTGAAGCTGGACTGACGTGGGGAAAACACCTTTCCCTTCTAGTTTTGAGAGACTTCCTCTTGGCTTATAGAAGAAATTCCCTGACTTTATTTACTTATTTATTTAGAGACAGAGTTTTGCTATTGTTGCCCAGGCTGGAGTGCAGTGGTGCGATCTTGGCTCACTGTAACCTCTGCCTCCGGGGTTCAAGCGATTCTCTTGCCTCAGCCTCCTGAGTAGCTGGGGTTACAGGCACCCGCCAGCATGCCTGGCTAATTTTTGTATTTTTAGTACAGACAGGATTTCACCACATTGGCCAGGCTGGTCTCAAACTCCTGACCACAAGTGATCTGCCAGCCTCAGCCTCCCAAAGTCCTGGGATTACAGGCGTGAGCCACCACACCCAGCCTAGATTCCCTGACTTTTAACACACATGGCCACCTTGGCACAAACACCTTGTGGGATGGAAAAACAAATTCATTTTTACATCCTGTTCTCCCTCCCCACCTTCACAGACCTAACTCCCTTTTACCCAGACACCTGTTGGGACCTAACCCCCAATAACTGGTTACCAATATGTCAGGCAGTCAAACTTTCCAGTGATGCCACTGAAATGGCAGCCCTCAAAAGAGCAGTGGTTGCTTTTTCTAGACTGTGGATCTTCAGATAAGTCCTGCCATTTTCATTTCACTTCCTGAAAGTCAGGGTTGGCTTGTGAAAAGTTGTTAAACAACATGCTAAATGTGAAGTGTCAACCTTCACTCTAAACTTTCCCTGTTCAGAGCATCAAATGAGACTTCACTGGGTTTTATAGTGGCTTTTTTTTTTTTGGTAGCTCATTGTTAAGGATTGTCCATGTTCTGCCTGAAATACCATGACTGTTTTTGGAAAGTATCTTTAAAGCTGGATACAGTTTGGCTGGGGGAGAAAAAAAACTGACCTATCACAAAGAAGAACAGGTTGGAAAGGCTAAGCTATGAGTCTGATTTAGGACAGAGACACCCAAAAGAAATCCCCACTAGGTGTTTCCTATTTACTCTGAGATACGTTAAGTTTTATTTTGGTAGTTTAACTGAAGCCTAAATATTTAAAATTATACAAAATATCAGGTTTAAGAAATTTCAGAAATAAACATTTGATGTGATTTAAGCCAGTCTTTTTCTTTTTTTTTTTTTTGAGATGGGAGTCTCATTTTGTCTCCCAGGCTAGAGTGCAATGGCGCAATCTCGGGTCACTGCAACTTCTGCCTCCTGGGTTCAAGTGATATCTCCTGCCTCAGCCTCCTGAGTAGCTGGGATTCCAGGCGCATGTCACCACATCCAACTAATTTTTTTGTATTTTTAGTAGAGATGGGATTTCACCATGTTGGCCAGGCTGGTCTTGAACTCCTGACCTCAACTGATCCGCCTGCCTCAGCCTCCCAATGTGCTGGGATTACAGATGTGAGCCACCACACCTGGCCAGGCATAGATAGTCTTTTGATTTGTTGCAAAATGGAACATTTACATTCAAGTCAATCATTAACTGGTGCTGTGGTCTGAAATGTGTCCCACAAAATTCTTACATCGAAACTTAATCACCGATATGATGATATTAAGAAGTGAGGCCTTCAGAAAGTGATTGTGGAGCCCTCATGAATGGGATTAGGGACCTTATAAAAGGGCTGGAGTGAACCAGTGTTAGTCCCTTCGGCCCTTCTCCCTTCCAGTGTAAGGACACACATTCAGGGACCATCTCGAAAAACAGAGTTCAGGCCCTCACCAGACACCAAACCAACTGGCACCTGGATTTTATTTTATTATTTATTTTATTTATTATTATTATTATTTTTTTAGATGAAGTCTTGCTCTTGTCTCCCAGGCTGGAGTGCAAAGGCACGATCTCAGCTCAATACAACCTCCGCCTCCCGGGTTCAAGCGATTCTCCTGCCTCAGCCTCTTGAGTAACTGGGATTATAGGCGCCTGCCACCACGCCCAGCTAATTTTTGTATTTTTAGTAGAGATGGGGTGTCACCATGTTGGCCAGGCTGGTCTCAATCTCCTGACCTCGTGATCCGCCCGCCTCGGCCTCCCAACGTGCTGGGATTACAGGCGTAAGCCACTGCGTCTGGCCTATTTATTTATTTTGAGACATGGTCTCACTCTGTCACCCAGGCTGGAGTGCAGTGGCACAAATTCGGCTCACTGCAACTTCCACCTCCTGAGTTCAAGCGATTCTCGTGCCTCAGCCTCCAGAGTAACTGGGATTACAGGTGCATGCCATCATGCCTGGCTCATTTTTTTGTATCTTCGGTAGTTTTACCATGTTGGCCAGGCTGGTCTTGAACTCCTGACTTCAAATGATCTGCCCTCCTCAGCCTCCCAAAGTGCTGGGATTATAGGCGTGAGCCACCGCACCCGGCCAGCACCTTGATTTTAGATTTCCCAGCCCCCAGAACTTCTCCAGAACTGTGAGAAATAAACTGCTATTATTTAGATTATACAGTCTCAGGTATTTTGTTATAGCAGCACTAATGGATTGAGACAAATGGCCGCTTTTTTGTTTTTGTTTTTTTTGAGACAGAGTCTCGCTCTATCGCCCAGGCTGGAGTGCAGTGGCGCTTTCCCGGCTCACCGCAAGCTCTGCCTCCCGGGTTCACGCCATTCTCCTGCCTCAGCCTCCCAAGTAGCTGGGACTACAGGCGCCCGCCACCACGGCCGGCTAATTTTTTTTTCTATTTTTAGTAGAGACGGGATTTCACTGTGTTAGCCAGGATGGTCTCGATCTCCTGACCTCGTGATCTGCCCGCCTCGGCCTCTTAAAGTGCTAGGATTACAGGCGTGAGCCACCGCACCCGGCCCCGAGACAAATGGCTGTTTAAGAGTTCTTCAGACTTCCATTACGGCCATGGTTAATCAGTGTTTCGGTGTTGCTAGAAATCAGATTGTATAGTTGGTCAATACCCACTTGTTTGATGGTTAGTTTTTCTATACAAATATCATGACAATTTCTGTTGAAATTCAATGGACTATTTTAATTCATATTCTGAACTTTCCATACTAAAATGTTTCATTAATGACCAACTTAAGTGAACACAAAATATATTAAGTTTGCAAAAGGAACCAAGACTTTGGAAGATATTTAAGAATAGCATGCATCATTACACAACAAAAGAACAGTTATCAATAAGACATGGTATGGTATAAGGTAACTACTGCAGAGACGGAAAAAGTACAGAAACCCAAAAGAAAGCAATTATGTGTGATATGTATATGTCTGAAACAAAAAGGTACTGAAAGTCACAGCAAACCAAGCAAACCACTGTTTAAAAATTAGTTATAGGCCAGGTGTGGTGGCTCATGCCTGTAATCCTAGTACTCTGGGAGGCCAAGGAGGGTGGATCCCTTGAGGCCAGGAGTTTGAGAGCAGCCTGGCTAACATGGAAAAACCCCGTCCTAGTAAAAAAAAAAAAAAATACAAAAATTAGGCTTGGTGGTGCATGCCTGTAATCCCAGCTATTTGGGAGACTGAGGCATAAGAATCACTTGAACCCAGGCAGGGGAGGGTGCAGTGAGTTGAGATGGCGCCACTGCACTACAGCCTGGGCAGCAGAGTGAGACTCTGTCTCAAAAAAACAAAAAAGTAAAATAAAAGTTATAGAATAATCCTATGCTTTAAAAACTCTGCATGACACTCACATAATAAATAAGACACCTACATGTAAAAATAGTGAGGAAATTCTCTCATCACCTAAAGCATAGTCCAACTCTTATATAAACTCTCTATAAATGCATGTATACAGTTCTAGGTAGCACAACTTAAAAAAAAAACTTGGATGTAGTTATTTAGAAGCTACAGATTTAAGGAAGCACTTGGGGAGACCCTTAGACTCTGCTGATAAAGTTTCTTAGCTCACTTCAACAGGGATTTACTATTAAGGCCCCGAATCTCCTGAAGTCTACAATCTTGTTGGGAGAGAAAAACACAAGCAACTGTAAAGATAACCTGCTAAATATGTACCAAATATCACTGCTGCTGACATTCAATAACTAAATAACACCAAACATGCCTCAAATCGTTCAAATCCCTTCTTGTCACCACCAATCTACCAAAGACAAAAAACAAAAAAAAAAGACAATGTTGAGGCTTGAAATAATGTGTAAGCATTCTCACTGAACATTTCTTTTTTTTTGTTTGTTTTTTCTGAGACGGAGTTTCACTCTTGTCGCCCAGACTCGAGTGCAGTGGTATGATCTTGGCTTACTGCAATCTCTGCCTCCTGGGTTCCAACGATTCTCCTGCCTCAGCCTCCTGAGTAGCTGGGATTATTACAGGCATGCGCCACCATGCCTGGCTCATTTTGTATTTTTAGTAGAGGCATGGTTTCATCACATTTGTCAGGCTGGTCTTGAACTCCTGACCTCAGGTGATCCACCCACCTCGGCCTCCCAAAGTGCTGGGATTACAGGTGTAAGCCACCATGCCCGGCCTACATTATTATAGAATATAAATGATTTATTGAAGTTGATTCAAATGCTTGTAATGCATTTTAAGACTGATCCAAAAATGACAGGCAATGTGGGAATACTGAGTTAAATTACATGGAGGTACAAGAAGCATTTTACCTCTCCTCATCAGAAAGGAAATTCAACAAGTTATTTTATGCAGGAATATAGTCAAGAGCTTGTGACTAAAAGAACACAACAAGAAATCCTAACTCTATCTATGACTCACTCTATAACCCCAAATCCAAAACCTTTCCTTGTTTCCTTGCCAGTTTCCATAAAGCAAACAAAACATAATCCATATACTTATACCAAAGAGTCCTGTGAGGAAGGTGGGTAAAAACTGGTGTTGTGCTTTGATAGGGTTGATTGAAAAAGGCTATAGAAATACATATGTTTTTGTTAGTTTAATAAGCAAGTTTATAAGCTATTTTGCAACATTAAAGTATAACTACTGAATATACAGTGTTAATACAGAATTAAATCACGCACAACCAAGTTTTAAAAAAAATATTTTCAGGACTTAGTAAAGTGCTAAGCCCGCAGCAATAATACATTTTGGTACACAGCCATCACTCTACAACAGACTGAAAATGTTTTAAAGGAAACATCAATATTCCTTATACACATTTTCCCAAAGACAGAATCCAGAGTGAAGCTTCAGGCCTAAAAAACCTGTACTCTCTTTAAAAGGCTATGCATTAGTCAATACTATGTAAGCCAATATAGAGAGTAAATTTTACAAAATTACTCTAAATCACATAGCTTTGCTGTACTTTATAATATTTATGTAGCATTTAATACTCTTAGGCCAATATTAAACAAGTTCCCAAGAATCCACACCAACGAGGGCAGGGATCAAGAAGAACTAAAGTAAGTATCAGGGAAAACAGAAGAAACAACTATTTGCTGCATATGGATATGTCCTTAGAGGGTTTATTTCTCATTCGTGCCTGCAAGCAACATAAGTAGGTTGCAATAACCAAATGAAGATTTAACATCTCTTCAGAGTTCCTCCATTTATTATTTCCTGAACTTAATTTTATATAAACGTAAAATTAGAAAAATTGAAACCTGAACACTTGCTGCAACAATCACATATTTTGAAAAGTAACATTCAAGTGGTCAGAGATACAAGGTTAGCTGGGAACACAAGCTTCACTTCTCCAGGGATGCCTCATGAATTTCAAAGCACTGAAAACGTACCACACATACTCAGCAGAAAATATGAAAACACTGATAATTCATTCACAGTTACAGTTTTCCCTGAACTTTATAAAGATTCCCCCCAAAAAGGAGCATGTGTTTTACTAAGAATGGACTTGATGATGTGAGTCAATTCAGCTATTCATAAACAGGAATAAAAAGATAAAGGTAATAAGAACATTACAGGCATGAGCTGGGCATAGTGGCTCGCACCTGTAATCCCAACACTTTCGAAGGCCAAGATGGGAGAATCACTTGAGGCCAGCAGTTTGAGACCAGCCTGGGGAACACAGTGAGACTCCCATCTCTGAAACTAAAAACTAAAAAAAAAAATTTTTAAGAATTTAAAAAGATTGAACTGTAAGATATATTACTGGGCCAATTTACTGTACTAACCTGTAGCCAATCATATATGTGCTCAATAGAGAGTTCAAAAGGAAGCAGCCAAAAAATGAATTTTAAGGTTTATTTTGTATTAAAATGGCCCCACAATCCTGATAACATTTGACCGACATGCATTCATACAGTCCACAAACATTTGAGTATATTCTTCTCTGGATCAGGCACTGATGCCAAGATAGGAAACATAAGCAAATTTCACAAAACAAAAACGGTAAAACTTGTGATTCGACAGCTAGTATCTCAGGTTAGAAGTTGTACCACCACAACCAACAAGCTGCAACCAGTATTTCCTGCTAAAGATAAATTTTTTGACCCAAGAAAAAGAGCTGAATACCACCTTCAGCCTCTGAAATTGCTGCTGTCCCTGCACTGGTGCAACTGGTGGGGCTGGATGAGCATGACTCTGGACCACCTGGCCTCCGTGGGGCTGCACCGCTGTTGGGTGATGATGGCTGCTATGAACTGCTGCTATAGCGGGCCCATGACTGCCGGAGCTCTGTGGCATGGCTGAAACCTGGGGTGAACAAAATACAGACAGGAAACTTCAAGGCTTGTACATTCTTCCCCAAATGAGTCTAAATAACTAACACAAATGCACAAAGATAATTAATTGGAAACCCAAATTTCTGCTGGGCGTGATGGCTCACACCTATCTCACCTACATAGGAAGATCGCCTGAACTCAGGAGTTCAAGGCTGCAGTGAGCTATGATCATGCCACTGCATTCCAGCTTGGGCCACAGAGTGAGACCACGTCTCTAAAAAGAGAAAAGAAAGCCTGGGCAACATAGTGACACCCATCTCCACAAAAAATAAAAACTTGGCCAGGCATGGCAACATGCACCTGTGGTCCCACCTACTCCAGAGGCTAAAGGAGGAGGATTGCTTGAGTCCAGGAGTTCAAGGCTGCAGTGAGCTGTGATCACACCACTGCTCTCTAGCCCAGGTGACAGAATGAGACCGTCTCTAAAAAAAAAGAAAGAAAAGAAAAAGAAAGAAACCCAAATTTTCCACAAAAGGAACTGGTTAAATAAATTACAGCCCACCAAAGTTATAACAAAATTATTTGTAGCTATTAAAAATTATATAGCCGGGCACGGTGGCTCATGCCTGTAATCCCAGCACTTTGAGAGGCCAATGCAGGCGGATCACGAGGTCAGGAGATCGAGACCATCCTGGCTAGCATGGTGAAACCCCGTCTCTACTAAAAATACAAAAAATTAACCAGGCGTGTTGGCGGGCACCTACAGTCCCAGCTACTCGGGAGGCTGAGGCAGGAGAATAGCGTGAACCCAGGAGGCGGAGCTTGCAGTGAGCCAAGATCGTGCCACTGCAATCCAGCCTGCACGACAAAGCAAGACTCCATCTCAAAAACAAACAAACAAAAAAATATATATATAGTTTAGCTGGGAACAGTGTCTCACACCTGTAACCAGCACTTTGGGAGGCCCAGGCAGACAGATCACTTGAGTTCAGGAGCTTGAGACCAGCCTGGCCAACATGGTAAGACCCTGTCTCTACTGAAAATACCAAAAAAAATAGCTGGACGTGGTAACACGCATCTGTAATCCCAGCTACTGAGAGGCTGAGGCACGGTAATCACTTGAACCTGGGAGGTGGAGGTTGCAGTGAGCTGAGATCATGCCACTGCATTCCAGCCTAGAAAACAGAGCAAGACTCTGTCTCCAAAAAGAAGAAAAAAAATTATATAGTTTATCTCAAACTGTCTGTGGTAAAGGATGAGTTTTTTTCTTAAAATTTCAATCCATCAGGGACCACAACTTTTATAAAAATCCAATAAAAATAAATTACTATGAAAGTGAAATAAAAAATACATAAACCCGCCGGGCGTGGTGGCTCATGCCTGTAATCCCAGCACTTTGGGAGGCCGAGGTGGGCGGATCACCTGAGGTTGGGAGTTCTCGAGACCAGCCTGACCAACATGGAGAAACCCCATCTCTACTGAAAATACAAAATTAGACAGGCATGGTGGCGCATGCCTGTAATCCCAGCTATTCGGGAGGCTGAGGCAGGAGAATTGCTTGAACCAGGGAGGTGGAAGTTGCGGGGAGCTGAGATCACGCCACTGCACTCCAGCCTAGGCAACAAGAGTGAAACTCCATCTCAAAAAACAAAACAACAAAAATACATAAACCCGTAATTTTTTTTCTTACCTTTTTATTGAGACAGGGTCCCGCTCTCTCACCCAGGCTGGAGTGCAGTGGTACAATCATGGCTCACTGCAGCCTTGACCTCCCCAGGCTCAGATGATCCTCCCACCCCAGCTTCCCGAGTAGCTGGGACTACAGGCATGTACCACCATGCCTGGTTAATTGTCGTACTTTTTGTAGAAACAGGGTTTCAACATGTTGCCCAGGCTGGTCTTGAACTCTTGGGTATGGAGTCCACCTGCCTTGGCCTCCCAAAGTGCTGGGGTTATAGACGTAAGCCACTGTGCCCAGCCTGTAACTTTCATTACTGGATTTTACAAATAAAAAATGATCATGTCCAATTGCTCTAATAGTTTCTAAACAATTTCTATACTTATGCCATTACAAACTAGTAACAAAGGATACAGATTAGCCATTTTTAAGCCACACTTCAACAATGATATATATGGATATATTTGAATCTGAAAAAAAAGTTCATAATCCACAAGTTGAACATATTCATGTACTGTATATAAACTTTTAAATAGTTTTTTAAAGCACATTACACTGGCTGACAAAGACCCTGTCTCAAAAAAATAATAAAAGCACATTACAAAGCAGTATGATAAAAAGATTTCAAACCTTAGACAACTAATATATAGCAAAATGTTGGCATTTAATCTTGTGGTTACAGAATTAAAGATGACTCTTACTTTGTTTCTTTTTGTTTTTGAAACACTCTCGCTCTATCGCCCAGGCTGGAGTGCAGTAGCACAATTTCGGCTCACTGCAACCTGTGCCTCCCAGGTTCAAGCGATTCTCCTGCCTTAGCCTCCTGAGTAGCTGGGATTACAGGTGCCTGCCACCATGCCCAGCTAATTTTTGTATTTTTAGTAGAGACAGGGTTTCACCCTGGTTAGACTGGTGTCGAACTCCTGACCTCAAATGATCCACCCGTCTTGGGCTCCCAAAGTGCTGGGATTACAGGTGTGAGCCACCGCGCCTGGCCTACTTGGCTTATTTTGCTTATCTTGATTTGCTACGAGCACTGTATCTAATGTAAAATAAATTTTTTCCCCCTAATTCTTGATGGTTTGGCCTCAAACAAATGTCTTTTCTATTCTTTTATCTCAGTCTTTCTCCTGTCCTCTTACAAGTTTGAGGAAATAAAAGCCAAAACTACTTTCCTTCTATATCTATTTCAAGAAATGCTACAAAATTTTTTTCAGAACTTTTTTCCTTTTTCAGAATTGTTGATCACCACAGAAGACAACAATCTGTCCAAATGCCCAAATGCCCCATCCCCAAAATAAGGAGACTAAATAACATGAAACTTTCTTTCTCTAAACAATGTTAAGTTTTATACCACAATTTAAGAGAGAATAAAACTTTTTTTCAAATCCTCACTTTTATAAAAATTATCCTGGAGGGAGATGAAGAAATGAGGGAGAGGGAGAAACCAAGCAACTATGCATAAATCCACAGAAACAAAACAAGGTGTATTAAGAGTAAAAAGAAACTATTTAGACAATTCTAAAAGCTCTAATGTACCTCAAAGATGGGCTAGTATTCTGAGCTTCTGTATTCCAACATGCATGTTTTTTACAGGGTTTACAGGCTTTCACTAGACTGACTTATACAAACACATTATAGTTTCCATTCGGAAGAAATTTAACTATCCCAAATGTAGAAAACAGTCATTAACCTGTTTAGATAATGAAAGTAATCACCCAAGGTAAACAAGCAACTTTTTTTTCTTCCAAGTCCTAAAAGATGCCATCTGTTGGCAGTCTTCTGACTGCTGCCCCAGCCCCACAGGAAGGGATTAGACAGCCTCAAGGGGACTCCTGAGGAAGAGTGACACCTAAGGAATCACCATTTCCTACTTCAGCTGCATTTCCTCTTCTTTATATTTTTATACTAAATTCCTAGAAATGGAATTGCCAGGTCAAAAACTAACAAAACCATCTGACACAAACTGCCAAATTGCTCTCAAAAAAGATTACGTCAGTTTATATTCCCATTACCAGCCGTACATTTTTAAGGTCACTAACAAATGAGGTTGAAGGCCTCCCCAGACCAGTTATATGCTGAAGTAGAAAGATATCCACTATATATTAAATGAAAAGAGCAAACAGCACAATAGTATGTAATGTATGATCCACATTGTACAAAAAGAAAAGCAGAAAGGGCGGACGAGGTGGCTCATGCCTGTAATCCTAGCAGTTTGGGAGGCCGAGTCGGGCAGATCACTTGAGTCCAAGAGTTCAAGACCAGCCTGGGAAACATGGTGAAACTCTGTCTCTATAGAAAAAATACAAAAATTAGCCAGGTGTGGTGGCATGCACCTGTAGTCCCAACTACTTGGGAGACTGAGGTGCTAGGATTGCTTGAGCCCAGGAGGTGAAGGGTGCAGTGAGCTGAGATCATGCCACAGCCTTCCAGCCTGGGCGAGAGTGTGACTCTGTCTCAAAAAAAAAAGTAAATTTAGATAGCTAGACAGGTTGATATAGATGAGCTTGTATATGCATATAAAACTGGATACCCAAGAAATTCACCAGTGGGAGAAAATCTGAGGTGTGACAGAAAAAAAGTCATTTTATATCCTTTTTTTAAAAAAAAATCAAAGTGTGGCAGGGTGCAGTGGCTCACACCTGTAATCCCAGCACTTTGGGAGGTCAAGGCAGGCAGATCACTTAAAACCAGGAGTTTAAGACCAGCCTGCCCAACATGGCAAAACCCTGTCTCTACTAAAAATACAAAAATTAGCCGGGCATGGTGGCTTGCGCCTGTAATCCCAGCGACTCAAGAGGCTGGGGCATGAGAATCACTTGAACCTGGAAGCCAGAGGTTGCAGTGAGCCAAGATCACGCCACTGCACTCCAGCTGGGGCGACAGAGCGAGACACCATCTCAAAAAAATAAAATAAGGCCGGGTGCAGTGGCTCACGCCTGTAATCCCAGCACTTTGGAAGGCAGACAGGCGGATCACCTGAGGTCAAGACCAGCCTGGCCAGCACAGCGAAACCCCATCTCCACTAAAAATACAAAAATTAGCTGGGCGTGGTGGTGCACGCCTGTAATCCCAGCTACTCGGGAGGCTGAGGCAAGAGAATCGCTTCAACCTAGAAGGCAGAGGCTGCACTGAGCCAAGACTGAACCATTGCACTCCAGCCTGGGCAACAGACAGAGAGTCTGTCTCAAAAATAAATAAATAAATAAATAAAATAGGCTAGGCGTGGTGGCTCACACCTGTAATCCCGGTACTTTGGAAGGCCAAGAGGGGCAGATCACCTGAGGTCAGGAGTTCGAGACCAGTCTGGCCCACATGGCGAAACCCCATCTCTACTAAAAACACAAAAAATTAGCCAGGCATGGCAGCAGGTGCACGTAATCCCAGCTACTCGGGAGGCTGAGGCAGGAGAATCACTTGAGCCCGGGAGGCAGAGGTTGCAGTGGGCCGAGATCGCACCACTGCACTCCAGCCTGGGTGATAAGAGCGAAACTCCATCTCAAAATAAATAAATAAATAAATAAATAAATGAATAAAATAAAAAATAAAAAAACCAAAGTGATACATTACTTTCATAATAAAAAAGGGCAAAAACCAAATTTCTTCACTTCTACAAAACAGAGTAACAGATGAATGATCAGTGTTGGTCAGGACATAGAACAGGAATATACAATGCTTGGGGGAACTTGCTAAAGATGCATATACCCTGTGACACAGCAATCCCTTTCATAGGTACTTGACAAACTCTTGTATGTCCTCAAACCTGCTGACTGGTTTCCAACAGGTTAAGGAGTTTGCACCACAATGTAAACCAACGATGGTAGACCCTTGAATAACACGGGTTTTTGTTTTGTTTTTAAGGAGACAGGGTCTTGCACTGTTGTCCAGTCTGAAGTACAGTTGCTTGATCACAGCTCACTGCAGCCTTGACTTCCTGGGCTTGAGCAATCCTCTCACCTCAGTCTCCCGGGTAGCTAGGACTACAGATGCACACCACTATGCCTGGCTAATTTTTTATTTATTTTTTCAAATTAATTAATTAATTCTTTCTTTTTGAGACAAGTTCACACTCTGTCACCCACGCTGGGTGCGGAAGCATATTCACTGGAGCCTCAACCTCCCAGGCTCAAATGATCCTCTCACCTCAGCCTCCCAAGTAGCTAGGAACACAAGTGTGCACCATTACGCCCTGCTAATCTTTATTTTTAGGAGAGACGGGGCTTGCTATGTTGCCCAGGCTGATCTCAAACTCCTGGGCTCAGGCAATCCTCATGCTTCCAACTTCGCCAACTGTTGGGATTATGGGTGCGAGCCACTGCACTCAGCAACAACACAAGTCCACTTATACATGGATTTTCTCCCACCTCTGCCAACCCTGAGATGGCCAGACTAACCCTTCATCTTCTTTCTCCCTCCTCCTCAGCCTCCTCAATGTGAAGACAAGGATGAAGACCTTTATGATGATCCACTTCCACTTAATAAATGGTAGATATATTTTCTCTTCCTTATGATTTTCTTAGTATTTTGTTTCTTCTAGATTATTTTAAGAATATAGTATATGACAAATATACAAAATACATGCTAATCAACCATTTATGTTATCGGTAAAGCTTCTGGACAATAGGCTATTTGTATTTAAGTTTTAGGGGAGTCAAAAATTATACATTGGCCAGACGCAGTGGCTCAGACTTGTAATCCCAGCTCTTTGGGAGGCTGGCTGGGGGAGGATAGCTTTGGGCCAAGAGTTTAGGACCAGCCTGAGCAACACAGCAACACCTCATCTCTACAAAAATCATAAAAATTAGCCAGGCATGGTGGTGTGCACCTGTAGTCCTAGCTACTAGGGAGGCTAGGGCACGGGAGGACTGCTTGAGCCCAAGAGTTTGAGGCTGCAGTGAGTCATGATCGCACCACTACACCCCAACAGGGGCCACAGAGCAAGACACTATCTCCTAAAAAAAGAAAAAGGAAAAAAGTTATACATGTATTTTTGACTGCATGGGGGGAAGTCAGTGCCTCAACCCCCACACTGTCCAAGAGTCAGCCATATTTCACTACAATGATGTTTAATTCAGCTGTCTTTTTTAAAAATAAATAGCAAAACTGTCTTAATAAGTGCGTTGATTTAAATTCTGGCACAAGCTTCTTATTTTGTCATGAATTGCCACTGAGTGCACTAAGACAATATCACAATGTTCACAGCAGCACCTTTGTAAAAGCAAAAACCTGGAAACAGCCCAATAGTCCAACAGTAGAATTGACAAATAAATTGAGTATATGCATGTAATTTACACTACAGTGAAAATGGTGGAATTACAGCGATCTATAAAAATATGGGGTTTTTAAAACAAAGTGAGTCAAAGAAGAAAATGTTTCCATTTATATAAAAGTTCAAAAATACCGAAACTAAACAATTATGTTAGTTTTTTTAAGTAAATAAAGTCAAGGGAATGATAAATACAAAGTTTAGATCAGTGGCTACCTCTGAAGGGAGGGAAAAGAAGGGAGCAGAGTGGGATACGCAGGGAACTTCAAAGGTCATGACAACATTCTTTTTTTAAAAACTTGTATGGTGAGTACACAGTTATTTTTTTTTTTACCTTACACATACTCAACAATTTTTAATATCTAACACAGTATTAAAAAAAGTTTTATAATTGCCTAAAACCACTATTTCTCTTCCCTCATTCTAGTCCCTTGGTTGGCTCCAGCTTACCTGGTAGCTGGGTGTTACAGAGTACTGAATTCCCGTAGCTGACTGCATGGTCTCAGACACTGCTTCATACACAGGAGGGGCAGGGGCAAGCACCCGGTGCTGGTGAGGAAAAGCCTCTGTGCTGCCAGGGATCCGACGCTGCTGGGCTGCATACACCGGTGACTCCTGGTCATCCAAACGCCGCTTCATTCTGTGCTCATGCTCAGGGATGCACTACAAAACCTGCAGAAACCAAAAGCAATAGCATGCAAGTCAATTCTCACTCCAGTATGATGTACGCCACTTAGGACCAGTCACCCAAGTTTAGTAAAAGCTTGACTCCCAGAACTGATCATCTATTTCATCTTAGTGATGAAGTTTAAGTGCATGTGGGCATACCACCCCCCAACACAGTGAACAAGTTATAACTGAAAAAGACAAATATTTAAATAACATAATTTTAATTAATTTGGTATTATGAAGTTGAAAAATACGCTCCAATTTAAAAATATAAACACAACCTTGTTTCCCTTTATTCTCTAGTTTTCTCCTCAAATGCTATCACTCCTAATATTAATTACATATCTACATGCTGCAAAAATATTCAAGTGCTTCTTCTTTTTTTTTTTGAGACGGAGTCTCACTCTGTTGCCCAGGCTGAGTGCAGTGGTGCCATCTCGGCTCACTGCAAGATCCACCTCCCGGGTTCACGCCATTCTCCTGCCTCAGCCTCCCGAGTAGCTGGGACTACAGGCACCCGCCACCACACCCGGCTACTTTTTTTGCATTCTTAGTAGAGACGGGGTTTCACCGAGTTACCCAGGATGGTCTCGATCTCCTGACCTTGTGATCCATCCGCCTCAGCCTCCCAAAGTGCTGGGATTACAGGCGTGAGCCACCGCGCCCGGCCTCAAGTGCTTCTTCTTAAATCCTCTCAAAACCTACTACTATAATTGTGGTCTAATTTAAAATTTGTTTCAACAATTATAATGGTATCATGGAAAGAATACCGTGCCAGGAATGGGAAGACAAAGATTCTAGACTTGCCAATTTAAGATGCTACGTAACTTCAACAAGTTCCTCATTCTATGTGAATTTCAGTTTCTCCAACTATAAAATAAGAAAAGTTGGAACAGATCACTCCTAAATTTTCTTCTGGTTTTAACAGTTATAAGAAGAGATTCTCTTAGCTTAATAATACCTCCGTGGGAGACAATTTCATTCCTGCAGGACACAGTAATCTACTTGGCCCAGTAATCTACTTGGGTCTTCAGAGCTTTTCCATATCAGTATCACTAACACAAGCATAACACACCATCAGTGAGAAAGAATGAATCAGCCATCCAAAGAAAAAAGGCCCCACCACTTTTCCAGTCCCAAAAAAATCTCTTAAATAAGATACCACTGCTATGGAAAGAAGATAAAATTTACAGTAATAGTGGGAGATTTGGCAAGCCACCCCCTCATCTGAAATACGGTTAAGTTAAAAAAAAAAAAAATCTTTACCTAATTCATAAGTCTACCCAAGATCTTTTCTTTATCCTCTGGGAGCACACAAGCCCTGAAGGGAAAGTAGTCTTTACAAGGACTCTCCATGGCTGTTTCACCTTTTCTTTGTCCTCACTATAGTCCTCAATCTGCCTGCCACTCTAATCCTTAGCTCTGAAATCCTGTCTCAGGTTTTTCTCACATTTCACATACCTAAGTGGGACCCTGACACAGCAGCACAACCCATTAATTTGCAAGCTGGCTACTTTTATCTATTTGTAAACTCAAGCCACAAATATGCTCTCTGTGGCCTATATAACTTCAGACTAAGTCTCTCAGCTTTGTGTGTGATAATATGTGGAACTCAGTTAAATGGAGTTGAGAACGTTTCTGACAGCTGCTGAGGACAAATAATTTAAAATGTCTTAGCTAGTTATGCTTTCCTATGTTTTTCTAGCATGAAATAGCATGTTTAGCTTAGTATTCAAAAACCTTTTAGACATATTAAGAGGTTGAGTATATAGATTTATGCATGTTATTTGCCACTAATCAACTACGAACACTAAACCTCAGCGTGTTTTGGGATGAGGAACTGAGTCTAATCACAGGTAGAGTAAAATGTCTTTTTAGCTATTTCTTATATACGTTCATGACTTTCAGTGGTTTGGTCTTGGGTTCTGTTGGTTTAAAACTGATGCTTAACTCATCGGAGATTAACCTCTGTAACCAAAAATGAAGTCAATACTTTATTGGCCGGATGCAGTGGCTCACACCTGTAATCCCAGCACTTTGGGAGGCTGAGGCAGGCAGATCACCTAAGGTCGGGAGTTTGGGACCAGCCTGGCCAACATGGTGAAACCCTGTCTCCAGTAAAAATACAAAAATTAGCCAGGTGTGATGGCGCACACCTGTAAAACCTGCTACTTGGGAGGCTGAGGCATGAGAATCGCTAGAATCCAGGAGGCAGAGGTTGCATGAGGGGAGGTCCCACCACTGCACTCCAGCCTGGGCAACAGACTGAGACTCTGTCTCAAAAAAAAAAAAAAAAAAAAATTATAGAAATGTTATGATAGGGCAGCACTGGGTTTAAAAAACAAAAACTTCATAGGCTGGTCACAGTGGCTCACACCCGTAATCCCAGCACTTTGGAAGGCCGAGGTGGGTGGATCACCTGAAGTCAGGAGTTCGAGACCAGCCAGGCCAACATGGTGAAACCCAGTCTCTACTAAAAATACAAAATTAGCTGGGCATGATGGCACGCATCTGTAATCCCAGCTACTTGGGACGCTGAGACGGGAGAATCGCTTGAACCTGGGAGGCGGAGGTTGCAGTGAGCAAATTCGCACCACTGCACCCCAGGCTGGGGGACAGCGCGACTGTCTCAAAAAATAACAACAACAAAAAAAAACTTTATAAATAATAAGCCAAAATCAGATGTGAAGAGCACGGCACGACTATAGAAAAAACACTAGAGTACCTTTTAAGAACTGGATTCTGTTGGATGGGAGAATGTTTGAGGGCAAAAAATAAAAACAAACAAAAAAGAACTGGATTCTACTCCAAACTCTATCTACCATGAAGCTTTCTAATTTTGGCCCTGTTTTCAAACAGGGGCAAAAGGAGGGGATCAGCCTACATTAGTGATTTCCAAATGCTGGTTTATGAACCAGTCTATAAGGAAAAAGAAGATTGTAGTGAGCTTTTCATACATTAAGTATTACAGTACTATGGTTTATTCTGATATCATACTCTATCTTTTGGCTGTTAAAATATCGTTTCTTTTATTAAGTGATTGGGATTTCATATGGTACTTAACTTCATCCACCTCCAGAGTTTGCTTTCCATACCACCTCTACAACACTACAGAGGCTGAACTTTCTCTGAACCATACTTTATTCCTTTAACAATTACCACTCATAGGCCGGGCGTGGTGGCTCACGAGATCAGGAGATCGAGACCATCCTGGCTAACATGGTGAAACCCCGTCTCTACTAAAAATACAAAAAATTAGCCAGGCGTAGTGGCGGGCACCTGTAGTCCTAGCTACTCGGGAGGCTGAGGCAGGAGAATGGCGTGGACCGGGAGGCAGAGCTTGCAGTGAGCCGAGATCATGCCACTGCACTCCAGCCTGGGCGACAGAGCAAGACTCCATCTCAAAAACAACAACAACAAACAAACAAACAAACAATTACCACTCAAAGTTCTATTCCTAACTCTCTCTCAAATAAATTGCTTCCGCTCTAATCATACCTCCTGGTTTCAGGCCCTGATCATCCTTCACAACAACCTTATAAGCAAGGTGTTCTCTAATTTATGAATGAGGAAACTGAAAAACAAAGATTAAGTAAACTGCCCAAGGTTGCACAGCTAGTAAGAGGCAAAGCTGTGATATAAATCCAGGAAATCTGTCTCCAGAGCCTGGCTCTTAACTACTTCACTACCTTACCTCTCACAGAAGAGAAGAAGTGAAGGAAGAATCCCTTTACTTATTTAAGGCACACATGCAGGGAGCAAGTTCAGCTTTTTTTAACCTTTCACACACTTAGCTAACTCATCCTTCTTCAGCCTAAACCTAATAAAGCAGAAATGCTTTAGTAGCATTCATTCATTAAAAGCAAATGTTCAGTGAGTAGATATGAAGTTGGTAGATGATTTCAGCCCTTGCCCTCTAAAACCATATATAGCCTCACTAGTAATAAAAAACGTGTAAAGTAGGCCGGGCGCGGTGGCTCATGCCTGTAATCCCAGCGCTTTGGGAGGCCGAGGCAGGCGGATCACTTGAGGTCAGGAGTTCAAGACCAGACCGGCCAACATGGTGAAACCCTCCCTCTACTAAAAATACAAAAATTAGCCGGGTGTGGTTGTGGGCGCCTGTAATCCCAGCTACTCAGGAGGCTGAGGCACGAGAATCACTTGAACCTGGGAGGTGGAGGTTGCAGTGAGCCGAAATCGCGCCACTGCACTCCAGCCTGGGCAATAGAGTGGAACTGTCTCAAAAAAAAAAAAAATAAAAGGTCAGGCGCCGTGGCTCACACTTGCAATCCTAACACTTTGGTTCGCCGAGGCGAGTGGATCACCTGACGTCGGGAGTTTGAGACCAGCCTGATCAACATGGAGAAACTCTGTCTCTACTAAAAACACAAAATTAGCCGGGCATGGTGGTGCATGCCTGTAATCCCAGCTACTCGAGAGGCTGAGGCAGGAAAATCGCTTGAACCTGGGAGGCAGAGGCTGCAGTGAGCCGAGATCGCGCCACTGCACTCCAGCCTGGGCAACAAGAGCAAAACTCCGCCTCAAGAAAAAAAAAAGTAATTTACTCCAAAGCAATTTAAAAAAAAAAAAGATGACAGTGTGGGTAAGGATACAGGGAAACACTGATGGAGGAGGCTTTAATTGGTACAGCCTATTTAGCTGGCAACTTGTAGGTATTTATTAAAATTTTAAATGTGCATACCCATCCCATGCATATTATGGAAAACTATGTAAGAATCAGATCAAAGTTTATCCACGAGTATAAGAAATGAACTCTAAAACATACTAGATTTTGGAATACTGAAACTATCAATTCCACTTTCAGGCCTGTATCCTACACATCTGCTGAGTATATTTATTGCAGCAAAATATGAAAATCTAAATATCTATCAGCTAAATAAATGTGATCATGCATATTATGGAAAACTATGTAGGAATCAGAAAGATCAGGGTTTATCCACAAGTACAAAGAATGAACTCTAAGACATATTAAGTGAAAACAGCAGGCTAGGCCGGATGCAGTGGCTTACGCTTATAATCCCAGCACTTTGGGAGGCCGAGGCGGGTGGATCACCTGAGTTTGGGAGTTCGAGACCAACCTGACCAACATGGAGAAACCCTGTCTCTACTAAAAACACAAATATTAGCTGGGCGTGGTGGCGCATGCCTGTAATCCCAGTTACTCAGGAGGCTGAGGCAGGAGAATCACTCGAACCCAGGAGGTAGAGGTTGAGGTGAGCCAAGATGGCGCCACTGCACTCCAGCCTGGGCAACAAGAGTGAAACTACGTCTCAAAAAAAAAAAAAAAAAGAAGAAGAAAACAGTAAGCTATAGAATACATACAGCATGATCTCATGTATGTATATATACACATACAAAATGTACTAAAGATTTGTACATTTCATTGTATGTAAAATTTGCATTGAAAGAAAAATGTGCCTGGGCACAGTGATTCATGCCTGTAATCCCAACACTTTGGGAAGCTGAGGCTCAAGGATGGCTTGAGCCCAGGAGCTGGAGACCAGCCTGGGCAACAATGGGATGACCCTGTCTCTACAAAATAAAGAAACAATTAGCTGGAAGTGGTGGCGCACAACTATGGTACTAGCTACTCCAGTGACTGAAGTGGAAGGATCTCTTGACCTCAGAAGTTGAGGCTGCAAGGTTGTAGTGAGCAGTGATAACGTCACTGCACTCCGGCCTGGGCAACAGAGTGAGACTCTGTCTCAAAAAAAAAACAAAAAAAACAAAAAAGAAAAAGACAAAGAAAAAACATGCTAGCCACGCACAATGGCTCACAAAGTGCCTGTAATCCCAGCACTTTGGGAGGCCGAGGCAGGCGGACCTCTTGAGCACAGGAGTTCAAGACCAGCCTGGGCAACATGGCGAGACTCCATCTCTACAAAAAATACAAAATTAGCCATGCATGGTGGCATGTACCTGTAATCCCAGCTATTTAGGAGGCTGACGTGGGAGGATCATGTGAGTCCAGGAGACAGAGGCTGAGGTGAGCTGAGATCTCGCTACTGCACTCGAGCCTGGACAAAAAAGAAAAATGCTATAAACAATATTAAACTCTAGATAATGATAAACATGCTCAAGTGCTTAGATGAAGTATACTAATGTCTGCAATTTATTTTGAAATACATCAAAAAATCAGATTCATTGATGGAGCGATGGATAGATGGACAGGCATATGTTAAACCTAGTAGTAGAAAAATGATAATGGTAAAATCTAGGTAGTGTGTATATGGGTGTTCATTATATTTACTAAAATTCTATCAACTTTGTTGTGTATTTGGAAATTTTCTTGATAAAGTCTTGGAAAAAAACATCCACAGGTTCTGAGGATTAGGAAAAAAAAAAACAGGAAGAAAAGCCAACAATACAAACCAGCTCTTGAGTGGAAAAAATAAGTACTATAAATTGGGAAAGGGATACAGACAGGTACACTTGGGAAGACTCTATAAAGGTAAATATTCAGCTACATCTTGAAAATTAGAGATGAATTAGAACACAGGGGTATAGAGCATGAAATTAAAATAGTAAGTTTAGACTTGCAGGCAATAGTTATTTACAATCTTTGCCAAGTCATTCATCCCACAAATAATTAGCAAGTGCTTAAGACATGCCTGGCCCTGTGCGGAGGGTTAGAAGTCCAGCACTGAGCCAGAGATTTCCTCCCCGACAACAGCCAAGTCTTCCATGTATGACTGCTATCAGCTGATGTCCTCCTCGCAACAATCCTGTCAGATAGGCAGTCCCAGAACCCTTTTTTTTTTTTTGCAATAGCATACCATTATGTCCACCAGGCTGGAGTGCAGCAGGGCTATCACGGCTCACCGCATCCCCAACCTCCTGGGCTCAAGTAATCCTCCCACCTCAGCCTCCCAAGTAGCTGGGACATAGGCAGCGCCACCATATCTAACTTTTGTATTTTTTGTAGAGACAGGGTCTCGATATGCTGCCCAGGCTGGTCTCCAACTCCTGGCCTCAAACAATCCTCCTGTCTTGGCCTCCCAAAGTGCTGAGATTATAGGCATGAGCCACTGCGCCCAGCCAGACCCCTCTTTTTTTGAGGGAAACTGATACTCAAATTAAATGACTTATTCAAGGTCACATACCTGACTAAAAGAGCAAGAGGTTAAATTCTTCCTCCTTGGAATATGAACAATCTAAAGTAGAAACATTGGACAAGACTGTAAAACCACGCTTGCAGAGGGGTACAGTGTAATTCTAGAATATAAAGAAAGCCAAACGATGGAACCACAAAGTCAGCCACAAAAGTACTGTCAAGTCCCGCTTCAGCCAACATGGTTGATCTCCATCTGTTTCAAATTTGGAGTTTATAGTACTATCAGAACTCTAGTCTAGGAAGACATTATAAAAAGAAAAAAAAAGCACTTTGACGTATAGAAACTATGGAGAGAAGACTAAATAATGGCAGCAGAACATTTAAAGGTCACCTGGTGGGCACAGTGGCTTGCACCTGTAATTCCAGCACTCTGGGTGACTGAGGAGGAAGGATCATTTGAGGCCAGGAGGTGGAGGTTAGATTAAGCAAGATTGCACCACTGCACTCCAGCCTGAGCGACAGAGGAAGATCCCAAATACACACACACAAAAAAAACACCTACAGGTCCTAAAAGTCACCTGGCCATGTGTTATAATAAAACTGGGCGCGGTGGTTCACACCTGTAATCCTAGCACTGTGGGAGGCTGAGGCAGGCGGATCACTTGAGGTCAGGAGTTCAAAACCAGCCTGGCCAACATGGCGAAACTCTGTCTTTACTAAAGCACGAAAAACAAATTAGCCGGGTGTGGTTGTGGGTGCCTGTAATCCCAGCTACTCAGGAAGCTGAGACACAAGAATCGCTTGAACCCAGGGTGCGGAGGGTGCAGTGAGCTGAGATCGCGCCACCGCATTCCAGCCTGGTTGACAGAACAAGGCTCTCCGTCTCAAAAAACAAAACAAACAAAAAAAAAACGGGTGGGATGCTGGGTGTAGCAGCTCACATTTGTAATCCTAGCACTTTGGGAGGCCGTGGTGGGAGGATTGCTTGAGGCCAGGAGTTTGAGATGAGCCTGGGCAACAAAGTGAGACACCGTCTCTACAAAAAAATTTTATTAAAAATTAGCTGGGCATGGTAGTGAGCACCTGTAGTCCTTGCTGCTTAGGAGGCTGAGGTGGGAGGATCATTTGAGCCTGGGAGGTTGAGGCTACAGTGAGCTGTGATTATGCCACTGCACTCCAGCATGGGTGATGGAATAAGACCCTGTCTCAAAAAAACAAAAGTCTATCCTGGTCAGTTTGTTTAAATGCATACTCTTAGAACAAAAAATAAAATAAATAAATGCATACTCTTTTTTGCTTATTTTTAAATGCATATTCTTGAAACAATGGAAAGTTTCTCTTCAAAAGCAAACTTCCATCGCAGTATTAAGTCAATGTAAACTTCAACCCAGTGCAATTTTGAGTAGTCTAATTCAAAATTTGTCCAAAAGTCCACCTCTGGTTTTAAATCTGCTAAGAAAGAATCTATTACAGAATGAAAGGCACTCTATTTAGATTTCATATATTGATTAGAATTATTGCTTGGAAAAATTAACAACCAGCTCTTCTCAAAAGACACCATTAGATCTAATATCCAAGCCTCCTTTGAACTCAGTTTTTATATTCTTCTAATGCAGTGGTCCTCAACTAGGGGAGATTCTGCCTCCCAAGGGCACATGTAGTAATGATGGAAGACATTTTTGGTTGTCACAACTCGGGAAGATGGAATGCTACTGATATCTCACAGATAGAGTAAAAGGATGTTGTCAAACATCCTACAATGCACACGACAGTCTCCTCACAACAAATTATTTGGCCCAAAATGTCAACAGTGTGTGAAGACTGAGAAACCTAAGTTTAATCATAACCCCAACTGTCACATATCTTTTTTTTTTTTTTGAGACAGAGTCTTGCTCTGTCACCCAGGCTGGAGCGCAGTGGCGTGATCTTGGCTCACTGCAAGCTCCGCCTCCCAGGTTCATGCCATTCTTCGGCCTCAGCCTCCCAAGTAACTGGGACTACAGGCGCCTGCCACCACGCCTGGCTAATTTTTTTTTTGTATTTTTTAGTAGAGATGGGGTTTCACTGTGTTAGCCAGGATGGTCTCGATCTCCTGACCTCGTGATCCGCCCACCTCAGCCTCCCAAAGTGCTGGGATTACAGGCGTGAGCCACCGCACCCGGCCATCAATGCTTCTTTTACGGCATATGATACACCTTTAACCCGCATTATACCATTACGCATTGGCCAGACACTCTGACCTAAAGTTTTTTAGAACTCTTATCTTTTTTTACGCCTGGTCTCCTTTCGTCCCTCTCTTAGGCTTGATCTGTAAAACTCTTCTGACTCAAAATTTTAGAGCTTTTCTGATACCATAATGCTCATTAAATCTGTAAAAATTAAAAATAACGCCAAGTGTGGTGGCTCACGCCTGTAATCTCAGCACTTTGGGAGGCTGAGGCGGGCGGATCACCTGAGGTCAGGAGTTCAAGACCAGCCTGGTCAACATGGTGAAACCCCGTCTCTACTAAAAACACAAAAATTAGCTGGGCGTGGTAGCGGGCGCCTGTAATCCCAGCAACTTTGGAGGCTGAGGCAGGAGAATTGCTTGAACCTGGGAGGCGGAGGTTGCAGTGAGCCAAGATCACGCCAATGCACTCCAGCCTGGGCAACAGAGCGAGACTCCCTCTCAAAAATAAATAAATAAATAAATAACTTTAAAAAAACCCCATATCGTTATTACTTACTATTTTAACAAGAATGTAAGTAGCAAATTTGTTTTTTTTTTTGAGACACAGTCTTACTTTGTCACCCAGGCTGGAGTGCAGTGGTGCAATCTCAACTCACTGCAACCTCTGCCTCCCAGGTTCAAGCAATTCCTGTGCCTCAGCCTCCCAAAGCAGCTGGAATTACAGGTGTGTGCCACTACACCTGGCTAATTTTTGTATTTTTAGTAGAAAAGGGGTTTTGCCATGTTGGCCAGGCTGTTCTCAAACTCCTGACCTCAAGTGATCTGCCCGCTTCAGCCACCCAAAGTGCTGGGATTACAGGTGTGAGCCACCATGCCCAGCCTTAAGTAGCAAATCTAAATTTTTATTCCGTACTTTCCTGGACACTGGGAGATATAAATATCCAAAATGTGCAACATCCTTTAAAATGCAACCAAGTACTCATCAAATGTCATGCATGAACTTGGAACACAGCCATTCTATAAATTTTTTGTTTCTTTTAAGAAACAAGGGGTCGGGCGCGGTGGCTCATGCCTGTAATCCCAGCACTTTGGAAGGCCAAGGCAGGCGGATTACGAGGTCAGGAGATCGAGACCATCCTGGCTAACAAGGTGAAGCCCCGTCTTTACCAAAAATACAAAAAATTAGCCAGGCGTGGTGGCAGGCGCCTGTAGTCCCAGCTGCTCGGGAGGCTGAGGCAGGAGAATGGCGTGAACCTGGAAGGCAGAGCTTGCAGTGAGCTGAGATCGCGCCACTGCACTCCAGCCTGGGTGACAGAGCGAAGACTCTGTCTCAAAAAAAAAAAAAAAAAAAAGAACAAGAAAAAGAAACAGGGTTGGCCAGGTGCAGTGGCTCACGCCTGTAATCTCAGTACTTTGGGAGGCCAAGTCGGGTAGATCACGTGAGGTGAGGAGCTCAAGACCAGCCTAGCCAACATGGTGAAACCCCATCTCTACTAAAAATACAAAAAAATTAGCCGGGCATGGTGGCGTGTGCCTATAATCCCAGCTACTCAGGAAGCTGAGTCAGTAGAATTGCTTGAACTTGGGAGGTGGAGGTTGACCGAGATCTCGCCACTACACTCCAGCGTGGGCAACAGAGCCAGACTCCGTCTCAAAAAAACAAAAAACAAAATAAAAAAAAAACAGGGTCTTGCTCTATTGCCCAGGCTAGAGTACAGTGGCATGATCATAGCTCATTACAGACTGCTGGGCTCAAACAATCCTCCCACCTCAGCTTCCTAAGTAGCTGGGACTACAGAGTGGCTAATAAGAAAAAAATTTTTTTTAGAGACAGGGTCTCCCTACATTGCACAGGCCGGTCTTGAACTCCTGGCCACAAGCGATCCTCCTGCCTCAGCCTCCCGAGTAGCTGGTGTATACCACTACACTTGGCTTCCACTCTGTAAACAGGTACACACCACCACGCTTGGCTTCCATTTTGTAAATTTTGATTCCAGGTTTCAGGTACAGCTCTAGTAAGGTTCTAGCTTATCACCTCTGGGTCTTTTTTTCCCTTTCTGCCCATCAAATGAAATACTTTGAAAACTCACTTCATAATTTTGTTGGAGAGAACAGTCATCTTCTTTGCTCCATAATCATAAGCATTCTCATTTTTAGACTAATAAATGTCAATCAGAATGAACAATCCAGGCTGAGCGTGTGGCTCTTGCCTCTAATCCCAGCACTCTCAGAGGCCGAGGCGGGTGGATCACGAGGTCAGGAGATTGAGACCATCCTGGCTAAAACGGTGAAACCCCATCTGTACCAAAACTACAAAAAATTAGCTGGGTGCAGTGGCACGCACCCGTAGTCCCAGCTACTCGGGAGGCTGAGGCAGGAGAATCGCTTGAACCCAGGAGGCAGAGGTTGCAGTGAGCAAAGACCATGCCACTGCACTCCAGCCTGGGTAACAAGAGTGAGACTCTGTCTCAAAAAAAAAAAAAAAAAAAAAAAAAAAAAAAAACTGATTTTTTTTTTCATTTTTACATAATTTTTCCTTCTAACCATCTTTATACATATACGTAACTTTGGCACCTGTCCACTTACAAACTGCATCAACTAAGTTTTGGTGTACAAATATCTTGAAAGATGAAAGAATACTATCATACATCTTTTTGGCAAAGTGCAGTGGTTTTGATTGTTTTTTTTTTTCATTTCTTAAAAATAGAAATGGGGTCTCACTATGTTGCCCAGGCTGGTCTCGAACGTCTGGGCTCAAGCGATCCTCCCACCTCAGCCTCCCAAGAAGGTGGGATTGCAGGCATATGCCACTGCACCCAGCCCAGTTCTGATTCTTATAAAAAGAAAATCACATTCTAGCTGGATGCCTATAGTGCCAGTTACTTGGGGGAACTGAAGCAGGAGAACAGCTTGAGCTCAGGAATTTAAATCCAGCCTGGGCAACATAGTGAGATAGATCCCATCTTTAAAAAAAAAAAAAAAAAAAAAAAAATTCACCGCTGGGCATGGTGGCTCACGACTGTAATCCCAGCACTTTGGGAGGCCAAGGCAGGTGGATCACCTGAGGTTGGGAGTTCAAGACCAGCCTGACCAACATGGAGAAACCCCATCTTTTACTAAAAATACAAAAAATTAGCCAGGCATGGTGGTACATGCCTGTAATCCCAGCTACTTGGGAGGCTAAGGCAGGAGAATCCCTTGAACCCAGGAGGCGGAGGTTGCGGTGAGCCGAGATTGTGCCATGGCACTCTAGCCTGGGCAATAAGAGCAAAACTCTGTCTCAAAAAAAAAAAAAAAAAAAAAATCACATTCTAAACTCATCTAGGGTACAGTCACATATGTATATGGGTGGAGACAGAATCTTGCTATGTTGCCCAGCCTGGTTTTGAAGTACTGGGCTCAAGTGATCCTCCCATCTCAGCCTCCCGAGATGCTAGGATTACAGGTGCACGCCACCATGCCTGGCTGAAGACTCTTATTTTACAACTTGGTTTATATAACTTTACCGTCATCCTAACAGTCTAGAGTACTACTGTCACACAGCATTCATCTACTAGTTCCTCTGAAATGTCTTCTGTAGTCAGTTTTCTTCTCTTTGCCATTATAGGAGGAAGATGAAAAACTATGGATTTTTAAATATGTCCAATGAAAGCTTAAAAGTTGAAAAATAGTATAAAAATTACCATGTACTCCTTCACCTAGATTCTCCAAATGTTAACATCTTACATAATGTTTAAGATGGTATCTCCCAACTTCTTTTATACTTTCTTGAAAGATGCTGTAGGCTGGGCATGCTGGCTCATGCCTGGAATCCCAGCACTTTGGGAGGCTAAGGTGGGTGGATTGTTTGAGCCCAGGAGTTCGAGACTAGCCTAGACAACATGGCGAAACGTTCTCTCTACAAAAAAAATACAAAAATTAGCCAGGTGTGGTGGCACATGCCTGTAGTCCCAGCTACTTGGAGGGCTGAGGTGAGATTGCTTGAGTCTGGGAGGCGAAGGTTGCAGTGAACTGAGATTGCGCCACTGCACTCCAGCCTGGGTGACAGAGTGAGACCCTGTATCCAAAAAGAAAAAAAAAGTTGCTGTAAGTTTTGGGAAAAGCAATAAGAAAACTGAAGGGCTGCGGTGCACACCTATAGTCCCAGCTACCGAGGATGCTTAGGAGGGATGATCACTTGAGCCCAGAAGTTTGAGGCTGCAGAGAGCTATGATCATACCACTGCCCTTCGGCCTGGGCAACAAAGCGAGGCCCCATCTCTAAAAACTGAAGTGTAAAACTAATGATTTATTTCACTACTGCATATCCTTTTAAGCAATTCTATAATTCTCCCTTTGTCATATTATTTTAGTCCTCTTTAGCATATTTGAGAATTGATGAGTAATGATGAAATAATTCCTAGGATGATGAAATACCAAAACATTTCAATATACAGGAAAAATAAGATCAGTAAAACTCCACAACATTGTTTCGATGTACAAGTGGTAATAGCTAAAATGAGTTTATTCCTTTGGAAAAAAAATAAATTTTCAGGCTGGGCATGGTGACTCATGCCTGTAATCGCAGCACTTCGAGAGATAAGAAGTTTGAGGCCAGCCTGGCCAATATGGTGAAACCCCATTTCTACTAAAAATACAAAAATTAGCTGGGTATGGTGGTACACACCTGTAATCCCAGCTACTCGGGAGGTTGAGGCAGGAGAACCAGTTGAACCCAGGAGGCGGAGGTTGCAGTGAGCCAAGATCGCGCTACTGCACTCCAGCCTGGGGATGGAACAAGACCGCATCTCAAAAATAAAATTAAAAATAAAAATAAATTTTCTCTTTGCTGTTTTGAAGACCTCCAATAAATAAAAGTCATGAAATATACATCTTTACAAGTAGTTAGTACTGCTTTAAAAAAAAAAAGCAAAACTCAAAAACTAAAATTGAGTCCAGACCAGGTGCAGTGGCTCAGGCCTGTAATCCCAGCACTTTGGGAGGCCGAGGTGGGCAGACTGCTTGAGCCCAGGAGTTTGAGACCAATCTGGGCAATACAGACTTCGGTGACACTGATGTTACCCAGACATTTCTTACTACTGTAGGTAGAAAATGAACAGAAATTTAGTTAAATTCAAAATGTATTAATAATTGTTATCAATGTTGATTTTCTGATTTGATCACTGTATTGTGGTTTTAAAAGATGCACTTGGGGAATCTAGGTGAAGATTATAGGGCTATTATTTGTATTATTTTTGCAACTCTCTTTGAAGTCTAAAATTATTTCCAAAGAAAAAGTTTTTTAAAAATTAAGTATTAGGCCAGGCATGGTGGCTAACACCTGTAATCTCAGCACTTTGGGTGTCTGAGGCAGGTGGATTGCTTGAGTCCAGGAAGACCAGCCTGAGCAACATGGTAAGACCCTATCTCTATTTAATATAAGAAATATAATCTTTCAAAATATCTATAAGGCCAGGTGCAGTGGCTCATGCCTGTAATCCCAGCACTTCGGGAGGCCAAGGCAGGTGGATTGCCTGAGGCCAGGAGTTCAAGACAAGGCTGGTCAACGTGGTAAAACCCTGTCTCTACTAAAAATACAAAAAATTAGCCAGGCATGGTGGTGGCGCCTGTGATCCCAGCTACTCAGGAGGCTGAGACAGGAGAACTGCTTGAACCTGGGAAGGGGAGATTGCAGTGAGCTGAGATCGCGCTACTGTACTCCAGCCTGGGCGACAGAGCGAGACACTGTCTCAAAAAAAAAAAAAAAAAAAAAAAAATTAGCCAGGCATGGTGGTGGGTGCCTGTAATCCCAGCTACTCGGGAGGCTAAGGCAGAAGAATCACTTGAACCCAGGAGGTGGAGGTTGCAGTGAGCTGAGATTGTGCCAAGCCGAGATTGCACCACTGCACTCCAGCCTGGGAGACAGAGCAAAACTCCGTCTCAAAATAAATAAATAAATAAATAAATAGCTGGGTGTAGTGGCGCATGCCTGTAATCCCAGCTGCTCGGGAGGCTGAGGCAGGAGAATCACTTGAAGCTGGGTGTGTGTATGTGTGTGTGTGCAATGAGCCGAGATAGTACCACTGCACTCTAGCCTGGGCAACACAGTGAGACCTTGTCTCAAAAAAAAGAAAAAAAAAAAAAAAAAAGAAAGAAAGAAAAGAAAATAGAGCATTACAAAGAATAGAACTTGAGATAGTTCTTGAAAGGACAGGTGGAAGTGTCACTCACATCTCACACTGCTTTTATCACATTAGCTCTTCTGCTCCCACACAAACATGGGCACATAACATCTTTAACCATCTATGTATCCTCTACCATGCTCAGCATACTGCTTTGTCTTGTCTGTGGTGGAAACCAAATCATTCATTCATGTATACATTCTCTAATATCTACTGAGCACATACTATGCACCAGGTGTTTTAGGAGCTGGAGATACAACGGTAAACAAAAATCTCTTCCCTCAAGAAGCTTATATTTTAGTGAAAGATGACACAATAGACAAAGTATAATATTTAGAATAGTAGGCAGTGACAGGTATCAAGAACAAAAGGCAAGGAAGAGTTTTTGAAATTGTAGATAAGAATGGTCAGATAATACCTACTGATAAGGTAACTTCTGAGTAAAGGAAGTGAGGGAGCTAGTCATGCAGAAATTAGTGGAGGAAGCCTTCTAGGCAGAGGGGACAGCAACCGCAAAGACCCTCATGTCTTTGTGAGGGCTCACATGTGCTTGACATGTTCCAAAACAGCATGAAGGCTGGGTAGCTGAAGAAAAACGAAAGAAGGACTAGTCAGAAATGTAGTCAGAGAGGTACTAGGATAAGGGTGGCAGGCAGAGGGTACATCAGATTTGTTCTTACAGGTGTTTTTTTATTTTTTGACACAGGGTCTCATTTTGTCGTCAAGGCTGGGGTGCAGTGGCACAGTCATGGCTCACTGCAGCCTCAAGCTCCTGAGCTCAAGCAATCCTCCTGCCTCAGCCTCTCAAGTAACTGGGACTACAGGCACGCGCCAGCATGCTTGGCTAATTTTTAATTTTTTTATAGAGACAGGGTCTTGTTATGATGCCCAAGCTGGTCTCAAACTCCTGGACTCAAACGATCCTCCCACTTGAGCTCCCAAAATGGTGAAATTACAGACATATCCTTTTTTTTTTCTTTTGAGACAGTCTCGCTCTGTCGCCCAGGCTAGAGTGCAGTGGCACGATCTTGGCTCACTGCAAGCTCCACCTCCCGGGTTCACACCATTCTCCTGCCTCAACCTCCCGAGTAGCTGGGACTACAGGTGCGTGTGCCACCATGCCCGGCTAACTCTTTTGTATTTTTTTTAGTGGAGACCATGTTAGCCAGGATGGTCTCAATCTCCTGACCTCGTGATCCGCCTGCCTCAGCCTCCCAAAGTGCTGGTATTACAGGCATGGGCCACCGCGCCCAGCTCATTACAGACATATCTAAATAAGGACTCAGGTTTAATACTCAGACTGAAATGGAAAGCCACTGGATGGTTTTAAGCAGAGAAGTGACACGGTATGACTTAGGTTTCAAAAGAATCACTTGGGTTGCTATGTTGAGAACACATTTAAGAGCCGCAGTAACAAAACAAGGAGAATAGAATCCAAGCTAGAGATGCACAGGCACTGACTAGGGCAGTGGAGATGCAGATCCTAAGTGGTCTAATTCTGGATAGTATTTTGAATATAAAGCAGTAAAATTTACTGATGGACCACATATGAAAAAGACACAGAAGAGTCAACAATGTCTCTTAGTTATCCAAGAGGAGACATCGAGTGGAGACCTTGAGTGGGCCACTAAACATATTAGTCTATGGTAGAGGGAGAGATCCCCGTTAGAGTCATCAGCATTGTTTGGATTTTAGAAAGGTAATATGGTACATATACTGTATCATCTCTCTCTCCCAGCTAGGGCTGAGTAGCTCCCCATAATCAAGCAGTCACATTTCTGCATCATGCAGGATAGCCCAGGTCAGGCTGTACCCCAAAACTAGTTGTGGAACTAGACTTACCAAAAAACAAAAACTCTTGCATTTCAGAACTGCAAATAAAGGATGTGGACCTGCATATCCTCCAATAGCCCATATGTCAGCAAGCCTAGCCCTGGAGGACACCAAGAAGACTCATGAAGGGTCCACTGTCATGCTGAGAAATATGGGTAACATACAAGCATACAAGACAAAAAGTGGGTAGGGAAAACAAAAGCAAAAGGGGCAAATAAGAAATACATCAGGTAGAAATTGCCACCCATGACCGGGCACGGTGACTCACGTCTTAATCCTAGCACTTTTGAGAGGCTGAGGCAGAAGGACCTCTTGAGCCCAGGAGTTCGAGACCAGCCTGGGCAACACAGCAGGACTTCACCTCTATAAAAATATAAAAAAAATTAGCCAGGTGCGTGGTGGCACACACCTGTAGTCCCAGCTACATGGGAGGCTAAGGTAGGAGGGTCGCTTAAGTCCAGAAGATCAACACTGCAGTGAGCTGTGATCATGCCACTGCACTCCAGCCTGGTGACAGAGCGAGACTTCGTCTAAAAAAAAAAAAAAAAAGACATGAGAAAAAAAGACATTATGCGGCCGGGTGCAGTGGATCATGCCTGTAATCCCAGTACTTTGGGAGGCTGAGGCGGGCGGATCACGAGGTCAGGAGTCTGCGACCAACCTGATCAACATGGTGAAACCCTGCCTCTACCAAAAGTACAAAACTTAGCCAGGCGTGTGGTGGCGCCCCAGCTTCTTCTTCGTGGAGGCTGAGGCAGGACAATCGCTAGAACCCGGGAGGCGGAAGTTGCAGTGAGCTGAGATTGCACCACTGCACTCCAGCCTGGGAGACAGAGCAGGACTCCATCTCAAAAAAAAAAAAAAGTCTAGTGCCTAACACAGTATCTGTGACACAGTAAGTGCTCAATAAATATCAGCTTTTATTTTTCAAGGGGCGAGGAAGGTGTATTTTGAAAAAGCATATACTATTTATTTTTTTAAAGGCCTACAGAAAGTAAAGCTTAACAAACTCTTGGCTGGTGGATTGCCCAGAAAAGAGAGAAAGCCATGAAAAGCACTATGCTAAACTACTGAATGCCAGGGATATAACCTCTTAATTCCAGTTAAAATTCCCAGGTACTAACATCTGCCATGCACAGCTCTCCAGTGTCTTGTCTGCTCCCACTGAAGATGTAAAAAGAATTATACTTCACCAGGAATCTTGTCAAATTACTACACACCTCCTTCCTTAAAAAAGAAAAAAAGTCTTTCTCTGTATGTAAATTATTAAAACCCTCTTAATTACGAAGTGCCAATCTTTCTAAGCTATTTATCTCTGAACAAAATTATAGTATATAAAATAATTATCTGGAGATTATGAAGCATTTATGAAAATGTTCCTAATACAGCAAAACCAGGTTCTTACTTGAATCCTTATAGACTCTTCTGTGTTCCCCAGTATACAGCACTGCAAATCATGGGAACTATATATGTAGCCCAAATTTTCCTCAATGGTCAATCGTTCTCCACTATCTCTCTCAGTTTATGGCATCAGAAAAAACCACCTGGATTTTTTGTCTCCCCACCAATTCTATTACAGCCATCATTTGCTAAACTAAAATGCTATTGCTTTTGCAACTTCCTTAGCAGAGAAGGTAGGACCCACCTACCCTTTTCACATAAATATAGCACAGGGTACCACTCAGGCCCTACTAACCAAAGCACAAATCTAGAATTTCACTTCAGATAATTAACCAGAGGCTCATTTAGACATTACTGCATAAATAAACATTGGTTCCATGTTTATTTTTCTCATGAAAAATGTGAAAAACATTGAAATAATTTCTCTCAATAGGAAAAGATAATGTATCAAGTGAAAGCAAAAACCTCATCTAATGTGGTTCTGCTATCTAAATCTGAAATGCCCTAAGGCAACTCTCCAATACAGGCTGGAGGGCAACGCTACAGAAGTCACATACAGAAGGCTACCCTGATCCACAATTCCACCCTCCTCTGAAATAAAAAGGGCAACAACACTGTACTATGTAGAGTATAAATAGAAAGTGGTCTAGATGGTCTAACATAAGTACATAAAATAAAAAAGAAAAGACTTTTCACCTATAGTTACCTAAATAGCAAATTCTTTAGGAAACCAAGTTTTTTTGGTTGTTTTTTGAGGCGGAGTTTTGCTCCTGTCGCCCAGGCTACAGTGCAATGGCACCATCTCGGCTCACTGCACCCTCGCCTCCCGGGTTCAAGTGATTCTCCTGCCTCAGCCTCCCCAGTAGCTGGGATTACAGGCGCTTGCCACCACGCCCAGCTTTTTTTTGTATTTTTAGTAGAAACAGGGTTTCGCCATGTAAGCCTGGCTGGTCTCGAACTCCTGACCTCAAGTGATCCACCTGCCTCGGCCTCCCAAAGTGCTAGGATTACAGGCATGAGCCACCGCGCCCGTCCAGGAAACTAAGTTTATATAGCAGAACCATGTGCACAATGAAAGCATTCAAAAATACAACTGTCAGAGATATCGGAGTATTTTATTCAAAGTCTGAGTTCTTAAAAAAAAAAAACAAACCCTACTTTATAAACAGACCAGTTTTGAGATTAAAATGTAAATCCAAACTTTCCTGTTATAAATCTCAGCCTTGTAAAGAGGAGGAGCTTCCACTGCCTTTTCAAGGCTAACTTCGTTTAAAGTCCTAACGCACCGAAACAGACGCCAAGTCTACTACCCACCACCCATTGGCTCAAAGGAAGCCCCGCCCCGTACAGCCACGGTAACTGAACATCAAGGGAACCCCAGGGAAGGTTTTCCCTCCGCCACATTTCTAGTCTCTGATGACTCCCTGCCCCTCCCCTACCATCACCACCGCGGATCTAGGGTTCCAGCACCAGCCACGCACGCTCCTACAAGAGGACCTTGGGCACTTCGCCCCAATAGTTACAACCAAGAGGGGAGTGGGGGTGACCATGCTCCCACTCTCCTGGCTGCACGGTGCCAGACACGCTGCATGGAGCAAAGCGGAGAAAGCAGCTCCGGCACAGGGCCCTTGTGCCCCCAGGCAGAAGGCATGACCCAGCCACAAGAGTAAGTCCTGACACCTCCACAGCTCCCAGTCGGCGGGTGCCCCTCCCTCCCCACGGAGACATAGGGCGGGGCAGATCTAGGCGCCGAGACTCCCAGCCAGACCCGACAGCGGGCTTTCCCTAGCACCTCCTCATTGCCAAGGAGGCGGAAACCCGGGGCCTGGGCGGGGTGCAGGGGGGGACGGCCAAGGGGAGTGGCATCACGGATCAGTACGGCCCCTCCGGCCAACCGGATCCCAAGAAGGCGGAGGAACTCAGACTTCACGCCCCCTCCCTGCCGCGCCCTGAATCTACACGCGGGAGACCCCCCCCTACCCCTCCCCGACCCCAGCAGGCCAGAGCGCGGCCGCCAGCCCGAGGCCCCGCCCACCCCAGGAGGAGGGGAGGGGGTGGTCGGCCGCAAACTGCACTCAGCGCGAAGCCGGCCCCGCCCCTTTCTCCACAATCGCACGCGCGCGCCGGCCCCGCCTCTGAGCGGCGGCGCGAGAGCCCGCCCCCCTCCGCGCGCACCGGGACTACGCTCTCCTCCCCCTCCCGCGCGGAGAGCTACCCCGCTCCGCCCCCCACCCCCCTCACACAACCACACACCTCCCGCCCGTCTGCTCTACGGGAAGCCGAGGAGGTCAGCCCCCCCCCCCCAAAATACACACCCTCGAGTCCGGCGTTACCCGCCACCAGGCTCCCGCCCGGCCCCCGGCCCAGCGTGCTCTCACCGCAAAGCTGCTTCGGCCGCTCGTCACTGCGTGTCCCTCTCAGCGTGAGCCGCGAGCTCAGCAGGGAGGCCCCGAGAACGGCGCGGGGCACAGGCCCGCCGAAGCGGACTGCCAGCTACCTCTCCACTAACGAAGCGGTCACAGGCTCCGGTGCCCAGACTGGGAAGGAGGGAGGGAGGGAGGGAGGGAAACTCCGAGGGGGGAAGGGGAGGGGGGAAGATGGAGAAACCGTCTCCGCCGCCTCTACCGCCGCGGCCGCTTCTCTGTTACCCGGGAAATCCCGCCCACTCCCCCGACCCCGCCCCGCAGAGGGAAGACTCAGCTTCGTTCCAATACAGGACGCAATACCCGCCCGTCAAAGACTCAGCCAACCACCGAGGCCTGTCTTATGATTTTCCCGCCCCTTCCCCCTCGACTGGTAGGGGAGGGGGAGCCGCTCTCCTTCTCCACGCCCCTATTGGCGGGGAGCTTCCCTAACTCAACCCCGCCTATTGGAGACGGACTGCTGAAGCCCACCCCCGAGCCCCAACACTATTGGAGGAAGCAGGGAAGCTCTTCCTGTCTCATTGGAGGACACCACATAACCCGCCCTGCAGCGTCTCAGCCACAGGCCTAACAAGTTGGCTCCCGCCTCCGCTGGTCATCGCATTGGAAGGCTACCCCTGGCTCTCCCACCGCCCCAGTAAGGTAAGTAACCGATGTGGGGTAAAATGTCTGTAAGTGAAACAGGCTCCGCCTACCGCACTGCCGGGCCAGGCCCCGCCCCAAGAGTCGGATTGGATATCTTGGCGCTGGTAGGACCCTCCATTGGCCAGGGCGCCCGTCTAGGAAGGAGCTAATTCCACCCTGCGCGAGGAGGCTGAACCTTAGCAGTCCTTTTGTGGAATGTTTACACTAGAGACTGAAGCTCGGAGTTCCAGGGCCCGAGATAGGAGGGGGAGCGGAGCTCATCAGCGGAGACTCCACATCCTAGGATTTGAAGGAAAGGCAGCCCACCATGGAGGACTCCCTCACAAAAAAAATGAGAGAATGAGAACTCATCCTTCCGTCCAGTTATCTTTACAGTTTACATTCTACACACTGCGTCCTTGTAAACACAAATATCCGGAGCAGCTGGCAACTCCTTTCAGCCAAGTAGAGTACAGAACTAAGGTCTGGAGACCTAGGCGGAGAAGTAAACTCCCTAGAGCTGAATATGCAGTCCTAAGAGGGCGGAGATAACCAAAAGAGAGGCGGGCTCTAACAGCCACCGCCCTGGCAAGCCTCCGGAAGGCGGAGCGTGAGGCACAAGGTACTCACGATCTCCCGGGTGGATCTGGAGGCATCCTCAGAACTGAGAAAGGAGAGGAAAACACCAAAACAGGCCACGGCATAAATTAACATTGGGGACATGCCACACTCAGAGAATGGATAAAATTTCCGTAGTTGGGGACATAAGATAACGGCTGTTCACCTTCTCCTTGGCCGGGAGTGTTAATAGCAGTTCCTGTGCCCTCTCTGTGTAGGTAACAGTGCCTCGAACACACAGTGAGACAAAGTGCTTTCAATTCCTAGTTTGCTTTTATTTATTCACCAAATAGGGCGTGGGCCTGACGCTGATCTTACTTTGGGGGGCGCTCTCTCAGCGCCAGGAGAGGTGACGGGATTACGTTGTTACCGCTCTCCCGAATAAGTAGAACCCTCCTCCCAGAGAGCTAAGACCCCAAGGGACACGCCCAGGGAACCCACGCCTAGGTCCAACACTGTCCTCCCTCTGCAATCCAGCGGAAACGGCCAGGAACGAGCTCTGGCAGCAGGTGGGCCTGACTCCAGCGATGGCTTCGAGCCGCGAAACCACAGCAGCGAATTGTGAACTCCAAGGGTAGCCGACAGGTGGGAGCAGCCTCGCCAGTAGCCAAGCCCTGCCCCAGGACAGAGCTCTAAAAATAAGTCAGACCAACGAAGCGACCCCAGGGCCAAACTGCTCGGAGGTTAGGAGGAAGCGGCACTCCAGCAGAACTGACCCACGGCTACTTTTAACTTTGCGCCGCCTTCCACCACTAGACTGAGTACCACAGGGCATTCCCACCATGGTATCAAGAACTACTCAGAACCCAAGCCAGCATTAGGCCGCCCACGACTTCCCGTGAACACAGGGTACCACCTGCGCTAAGATCTCGCCTAAGGGCCCCAGGCCAGGGCACTAGGTTGTCAGAGTCTCAGATACAGCCAACTAAGGACAGCCGCTGCCATGCCTAGGAAAGAACAGACACTTGCAGCGTCTGCAGAGTTCTCGAGCTTAAGCTCAGGGAAGTCAAGGGGCACGGAAATAGCCAAGCGACAGGGTTAGAACTTTAGTACTTGGCCCCGGCCCCGAAAGGCAGATCTCAAACCCAGCAGAACCTCCGGAGTTTCGCTCCCGAAATCCACTCCGCACTGTAATCCCCTGGCTTCACCCCGAAGGCTACTAGGTCTCGAGCCTCGGTGGAACCTTTGTGTGGCTTCTCGGCTCTCCCCGCCCCCCTCGCCAAGGGCGCCGAGCCTAGGACTTCCGGGCGGGAGGGCAGTTCGAAGGAGCTAGGCGGGCCTCACACATGTGCGGAGCGCGCTCAAGAGCGGAGGGAGGCGGGGAGCAAGGGTGGACTTCCCCTCCCAGCTCTCTCCGCCGGAGGAGGCCGGGCTACCCGCCCCACCAATCAGAGGCGGGGGCGGGACCTTGCGCCTCACGTCATCCGCAAGAACCGTCCCTCCTCCCTCCGCGAAAAAAAAATCCTAGCAACTTAAACTCCAGCCCGGCCTCCCGATAGGCGGAGCTCGGGAGAATGTCATCCAATCCACATCCAAGAAGGAGAAAAAAAGGGAGTCTCGCCTAGCCAGTGGAAGACAAGAGAAGGCGGGGCCTCCGGGAGAGCCGGAGGTGGGTGGGAGAGAGGAAAGGGGTCCGCCCCTCAGCTCCCCTGCAGGCGGGTTGCACAAGCCGCCGGCGGAGTAGATAGTAAACAGTCTGGGCCGAGGAGTGCAGGCAAGGGCCGCCCGGCGCTCGGTGGACTGGGCCCCTGCGCCGCCTCTCCCGGCGTCGCCCCGCCCGGCCGGGACGGTTCCCGCCGGCGCCCCGCCTACCCGCCCGCGGCCGCCATCCCGGCTGACAGGCGCGCCCCCCGCGCCCCTCCCCGCCCGCTGATGCATTTCCTTTTCCCGATTCCGAGCGTGGAGACTGTTTTCCCAGTTTCCGACCTTCACTGCCCCTTTCAGGCCACCCCCTCGTGGGCGCGCACACGCCCGCGCCCCCGCCCCCGCCCCATCCGCGCCGAGCGGTCCGCAGCAGCACCTCGCGGGAAGGGGGAGCCCGGCGGCGGCACGGTCGGGGGAGGGGAAGAGAGCAGCAGTCGCCGCCGCCGCCTTGGGGTGGGCGGGGAAGCAGGCAGCTCCATGTTTGCAAGGGGATCAGCCGGGGCCGCGGACGAAGCCGCCGAGTTTCTGGGGGTTTTCCGCACCACCGATGCGAGCTCCTTGCTGGGTCGCGGCCTGACGGGTTCCGGCACCGAATGCTGACTCGACCGCCACGGCCAGGGAGTTTGGAGACCCGGCAGCTCGCAGGGCTAGCGGCGAGGCGCAGGGGCTCTTTCCGGTGGCCTCTCCCGCCCCCGGCCGCCCCTCCCGCAAGTCCGGTGTTGCCCCCGCCCCCAGAGTCCATAACAACCGCGGGCCCACAGTGCCCGCGCCTCTCCGGAGCGCGCCCACCGCCCCCTCCAAGTTTGCGGGCAAAAACAAAACCCTCGGGGCGGCTGCCGCCCTTGTCCAGCGTGGGTAGCCAGGGAAGCCGCGGGCCCCGGCTCGCTCGCTAACTCCAGCTCTCGAGCAACTCCGAGCGCCGCGAGCTCAGTGGGCCCCGCCGACCATGCTCGAGCCGCCGCCCCCTGCCGAGCCCGCACGCCGCAGCTCCGGCCCGGTTCTAGTCGGTGTGCGGAATCCCCCTTTTCTTTCCAGTATTTTTCTTTTTAAAAAAACGGCACAACAGGAGTCGGGGGTCTCCTGCCCGCCCCTTCTCCAGTCCGCCGCCAAAACCTACCGAAACCGACTGCTCGGTGAGATAAACTAGGCTACACGGCCGGCGCAGGGACGACCCCAGGCCAGGCCCACCCCTCTCCCACGGCTCCGGCCAGGCTGGGAAACACACACACTGGCGAGCGGGCGGCGCCAAGAGCTCTCCTTCCTGGCCTGTCCCTCGCCTACCTCGGCCGCGGAACTCCGAGCCTCCCCTCAGCTCGGTCCCAGGGCCCGCAGGGCCCACACCACGTCGGGCCGGCCAGACCGAGCGGCCGGCGGACTAGCCCCCCAAACGCCTGAGATTGGGGGGACCAAATTAAAAGCAGCTGTTTAACATACCTTCCGAGCCAGGCGAGGAGTCCTGAATGGGGGGGAACGCCCCCCACGGGCTATTGGCTCCCCGGCGCTCACGTCAGTCACCCTGGGCCCGCCTCCGCCCTTCGCCCCGCCTCTTCCCCTTCATTGAACGCCCCCTCCTTCCAAAAAATATAAATTAATTAATTAAACTAAACGCGAGTGGGAGACGCATCCGTGGTAGAGGCCCATATAGCTCCCTCGCCGCCGACTCGAGTTTCTTGAGGTCCTCGGACTGGGGGGAGGCCGCCTGGGACTCGGAGATCCGCTGGGTGGACGCGGAGGACGAGCCAGCGGAGCTACCCGGCCCCAACTTCCTTCACACACACAACCCATTTGGAACTAGGTAGGAGAGAAGGGTAGGAGCACCCTAGTCACTGGCTGGAGTGGGCAGACTCCTGTGGCTGTGTGACCTAACCGTGTTCGGTCCGCTCTGTTAGGCGACTAAAAATGAGTGATGCAAACAGGAAGCCCTGCGTCCGCGGGCAACAGGCACTTGCCTGAGCACCTACTGTGGGTGAGGCAGACATTCATACGTACCTGCTGCTGGGTGCAATTACAGACTGGATGACATGCTTACTCTACCCCTCCAAGGGCTCCAGATTCAGCCGAGGAGATTCTACGTAAGGAACTAAGGCAAGGCAGGAATGTGTATGAAAATAGGAATGTGTATGTAAATAGGAGCTCAGAGAAGAGAGATTCCTTTTCGCTGAAGGAGAATTGGGAAAGGTTTCATGAAGGAGGTGGCATTCAAGTTGGGTCTTAAAGATTTCATCCAGCAAATTGGAGGGGCAGGTCATTTTCATCAAAGGACACAAAGGGGTGAATGCAAAAAAGGACCTTCATATGTGGCTGTAGTAATAAAAAAGGAGGGGTGGGGAGATGGAACAAACAGTTTAAGACTTTTAGTTGAGTAAAATTCTTGGACGTGCGCAGCAGAATGTGCAGGCAGCACGGTCACAAGGCCCACAGACCCAGAACTATAGTGTAAGATGTTTGGCACCCTGGCAGAAAGATGGGTTCTGACGATGCACTGAGAGAGAAGTGCCTATAGGCAGCAAGGGGAGGCCCAGAGGCTGTTGTAATACTGCGTTTGGAGACTGCAGAAGTGCCTCTTGTGGAAGGAATAGCTGGGGAAAGAGAAGGCTTCTTTTCTCTATCAAAGCCACCCAATCCGAAAGCTTTCCCCACCTTCAGCAGCCCTCAAGTCAAAGCTTTGACTCAGATCCTTCCTTGCCTCATTTGCTTTATTTATCATAACTTCTAACCAAAAGGAGTTTCTAGGGGACAGAAGCCACCCCACATGTCTGTATTCCAGAGAGCTGAGCCTAGAGCCAGAGCACACAATGTGAAACAAACAAAAAAACCTGTTTGTTGAGGCATTGAGGAAAGGAAGTTAATGTGGATAAGGTGGGGTGTGCAGAATGTGAAGGACCTTGGCATCCAATGGGCAGAATGAGGGCCTGCTGCCAGTTAGGAAATTATTGGGAAGTCTTTCCCAATAATTCAGGAGACACGAAAGGAGGATTGACCAGAACAGTGACAGTGGGTGAAAAGAATTTTATTTTTTTTTGAGACAAAGTCTCACTCTCTCACCCAGGCTGGAGTGCAATAGCATGGTCTCGGCTGACTGCAACCTCCGCCTCCCAGGTTCAAGCGATTCTCCCGCCTCAGCCTCCCGAGTAGCTGGGACTACAGGCTACAGGCGTGTGCCACCACACCCGGCTAATTTTTGTATTTTTAGTACAGATGGGGTTTCACTATGTTGGCCAGGTTGGTCTCCAACTCCTGACCTTGTGATCCACCCGCCTCTGCCTCCCAAAGTGCTGAGATTATAGGCGTGAGCCACCGCGCCCAGCCGGTGAGAAGAATATTGAAGGAGAGCCTGTATTTGAGAAAGACTCAAGGGGAGTAGGTGAGTGATTCAGTGTGGGTAGTAGAGGGAAAGAAGTAGCCTGTGGCCTGCTGTGTGAAGAGTTGATAGAGCTTGAGGCTACTAGTTAGGTAATCTGAGTTCTGCACTTAGCATGGTCAGCAACTGGTGTTATAGTCTTAGGCAAGTCTCTTCCTCCCTCTGAGCCTCAGTTTCCCTGTGAAATGGGGTTGGAAATTGGAATAGAAAGATAGACTCGGCTGGACGTGGTGGCTCACACCTGTAATCCCAGCACTTTGGGAGGCCAAGGTGGGCGGATCACAAGGTTAGGAGATCAAGACCATCCTGGCTAACACAGTGAAACCCTGTCTCTACTAAAAAATACAAAAAATTAGCCAGGCGTGGTGGTGGGCGCCTGTAGTCCCAGCTACTTGGGAGGCTGAGGCAGGAGAATAGCGTGAACTTGGGAGGCGGAGCTTGCAGTGAGCCAAGATCACGCCACTGCACTCCAGCCTGGGCGTCAGAGACAGACTCCGTCTCAAAAAAAAAAAAAAGAAAAAGAAAAAAGAAAAAAAGATAGACTCTAAGGACCTCACATAGGATCCAGGTGGGGGAAGCTTACCACTGAGGAGACAGGGTAGGTGGGAAGAACTACTGATTTTGGAAGGGCAGTGGGTCACCCCAACTGGAGTCTGGAGACTGGAAAATAGGCAGTAGCTCAGTCAATTGAATCACTGGGTGAAAAGTATGGAGAGGGAAAGGCCAGGAGATAAGGACTATGTGTTCAGCAGGAGGCCCACCCTGGCAGAGCCATGGAGTTTGAGGTTCATCCTCCCTAGGGTGAGGACCAAGTTTTTCTTCAGAACAGAGATCCCAGCTGGGCAACAGAGCAAGACCCTGTCTCTACAAAATATTTAAAAATTAGCTGTGCGTGGGCTGGGCGCTGTGGCTCGTGCCTGTAATCCCAAGACTTTGGGAGGCCAATCACCTGAGGTCAGGATCACCTGAAGGCGGATCACCTGAGGCCAGGAGTTCGAGACTAGCCTGGCCAACATGAAGAAACCCCATCTCTACTAAAAATACAAAAAAATTAGCAGGGCATGGTGGTGGGCACCTGTAATCCCAGCTACTCGGGAGGCTGAGGCAGGAGAATCACTTGAACCCAGGAGGTGGAGGTTGTAGTGAGCTGAGATTGCACCACTGCACTCCAGCCTGGGCGATAAGAGTGAAACTCCATCTCAAAAAAAAAAAATTAGCTGTGTGTGGTTGCATGTGCCTACAGTCCGAGCTACTCGGGAGGCTGAGGCAGGAGAATCGCTTGATCCTGGGAGGTGGAGGTTGCAGTGAACCGAGATCACATCACTGCACTCCAGCCTGGGTGACAAGAGCAAAACTTTGTCTCAAAAAAAAAAAAAAATTAGCTGTCCATGGTGGCAACATGCCTACAGTCCCAGCTAGTTGGGAGGCTGAGGCAGGAGAATTGTTTGAACCTGGGAGGCGGAGGTTGCAGTGAGCCTAGATCGCGCCACTTCACTCCAGCCTGGGCAGAAGAGTGAAACTCTTTGAGAGTTTTTTTTGAGACAGAGTCTCAAAAAGAACCCAGTCGGGTGCAGTGCCTCACACCTGTAATCCTAGTACTTTGGGAGGCCCAGGTGGTTGGATCACCTGAGGTCAGGAGTCCAAGACCAGCCTGGCTAACATGGCAAAACCCCGTCTCTACTAAAAATAGAAAAATTAGCTGGGCGTGGTAGTGGGCGCCTATAATCCCAGCTACTCAGGAGGCTGAGGCAGGAGAATCACTTGAACCCGGGAGGCAGAAGTTGCAATGAGCCGAGATCATGCCATCTCACTCCAGCCTGGGTGGGGAAGAGTGAAACTCCATCTCAAAGAAAAAAAAAAAAAAAAAGAACCAATCCCCTGATGGCTGGATCCCCATCTCAAATTCCTGCTCTATTTCTTAATTTCTTAAGGGGCTCTAGCTGAAGGCATAACAGATACTGTGTCAAAGTGAGATGAGGCAGATTGGTGGAGCAGAAAGAACTAGTCTGGAAGTTGAGTCCCCTGGTTCCCACTTAGTCCCTTCTTATCTGTGGATCAGCTTCCTCTCCTATATAAGAGGATAACATAGCAATCCTTGCCCTGTTATGAGGATCAAATGTGATGATAAAGTGTGCTTTATCACCTGGTAAGGTTCTGAGCTGCTGTGGAAGCCAAAGACCCAGCATTTGACAGTGATACTAGGCAGCACGTGTTGTGCTGTGGATGCAGTTACTCATGGAGGATTTGCAACTGCAACAGTTACCTCCACTCAGAGAACCAGGCTTTGCTGACACTGCCCATGGTCCTATGTGTGCCACCCTGGTGGAGACCTCCTCCTGAACACTTGGCAGACTGAGTTTCTTGAGGACAGACACTTCGATGCACCTCTGAGTCCCCAGAGCTCACTGCAGTCAGATACAGGGGGCCCTTTGGAAGGGGTCCAGTGATGGTTTCTCACTCAGTATGTTGACACCTGGACAGCACGGCAAGTCCCACATTCTTTGGGAAAGAGAACGCTTGATTTGGTGACATTGTCCCTCCAGCTGCCAGCTGCACTGAGGGATTACATCCATGCTACTCCCCTGACTACCCTATCAGTGAAGACAAAACTAAGTGGACTTTGTGAACCAACTGGTATAGGTAAAAATAATAATAATGATAATAATTAAAATAAAATTAAGTGGATTTGGGTAAGGGCCCTCCTAGGAGAAATCACACTGGTAGGTCAGGTTCTGATTCCTGGAGGCCCGTTTTATGTGAAAAGTCTCATAGACCAGCCTGGGCAACACAGTGAGACTGTCTCTACAAAAAATAAAAACAAATTTAGTTGGGCATGGTGGCATGTCCCTGTGGTCCCAGCTACTCAAGAGGCTGAGGCAGGAAGGTCACCTGAGCCTGGGAGGTTGAGACTGCTGTTAGCTGTAATCACACCGCTGCACTTGAGCCTGGGAGACAGAGCAAGACCCTGTCTCAAACAACAACAACAACAAATTCTTGTAGAGTTTGTGAGTTAGGGATTATTATCCTTAGTTATAGATGAGCAAACTGAGGCTAACAGCAGTAGAGTGACTTGCTCAAGTCAAATAGCTTAAGGGAAGTCTGGGTCCAAAGTCTAAGCTTTGCCTCCACTCCCACACGCTGTCTTTGTGCACTCCGGCCAGTGACCCAGGTTGGGGCCTGGAGAAAAACAGCCTGACTCCCCTGTTGCTCCACACTCCTCACCTCCCTAACTTAAAGATCAGTTTATCCTCAGACAATTCTAAATGATTTCTGGCCGTTTCCAGAAAATTATCCAGAAAAGCAACATTTGTCTGATGCACATACATACATACATACACAGAAGACCTAAACTCGCAACACATAAACTCAAATCTATCACACCTCCTGACACCCTCAATCTCACAGGTGTCTCACATACACCCTCTCTCTTTCACAAAAAGGACTCATTCAAAGTTCTTTAGGGCACTTATGGTAGGTGGTGACTGAGAGACATTTAGGGCCTGCACTTCAGTGACTCTGCCAAGGATATCAGTGCCAGCACCCTATCCACACAAGCTCTGAGGGCTAAGACTCTCAGTAATATCCAGGTAAGGAGGATATGAGGCTGGCTCCCCAGGGACCCACAACCCAAAGCATCTTCTAGGTTCAAGGCAAGATGATTTTGGCAAATCATTTATCTTTTCAGTTTCTTTATCTGTAATCTAAGAATCAGAATACCTACTTCGGTGGGAAGATGTGAGATTTAAAATTAAGTATGCCTGCCGGGCGTGGTGGCTCACGCCTGTAATCCCAACACTTTGGATCACGAAGTCAGATCAAGACTATCCTGGCTAACACAGTGAAACCCCGTCTCTACTAAAAATACAAAAAAATTAGCCGGGCATGGTGGCACGCGCCTGTAGTCCCAGCTACTTGGGAGGCTGAGGCAGGAGAATCACTTGAGCCGGGGAGCCGGAGGTTGCAGTGATCCGAGATCATGCCACTGCACTCCAGCCTGGGCGACAGAGACTCTGTCTCAAAAAAAAAAAAAAAAAATTAAGTATCCCTAGCATTCAGTCAAGAGTTCTCATATCTTTTTCCCCTCCTTTATCTCATCCCTACCTCCCTCTTCTCCTGGCCATTCAAATGCAAAGTCCGATTGAGCAATGAGCCCTGGAGCAGGCCTAGAGGGCCAAATAATCCCATGATGTGAAGAAACTCCATTTCTCTTGCAACCAGGTTTAGATGGTATATATTCCGTAATTTCTGATTTCTGGGTGGCCTTGGAGGCTCGGAATTTTTTTTTTTTCTTTGAGACGGAGTCTCGCTCTGTCATCCAGGCTGGAGTGCAGTGGCGCGATCTCAGCTCACTGCAAGCTCAGCTTCCCGGTTTCACGCCATTCTCCTGGGAGGCTCGGAATGTTTGAAGGAATTTTTATGACTGCTACTCACTGCCTTGAAATGTTTCCCCTGGCTGAGCATTAGTTTACCCTTCTGGGTCACTCAGCATGTTCCTCAGTTTACCTGGCTTTATGTTTTCAAAGTGTTTCCTTCTCTTTACCAGTTGTTTGGTGGCTTTTTTTTTTTTTTTTTTGAGACAGAGTTTCGCTCTTCTTGCCCAGGCTGGAGTGCAATGGCGCGATCTCCGCTCACCGAAACCTCCGTCTCCTGGGTTCAAGCGATTCTTCTGCCTCAACCTCCCCAGTAGCTAGGATTACAGGCTTGCGCCACCATACCCGGCTAATTTTGTATTTTTAGGAGAGATGGGGTTTCTCTGTGTTGGTCAGGCTGGTCTCAAACTCCCGACCTCAAGTGATCCACCCGCCTTGGCCTCCCAAGGTGCTGGGATTACAGGTGTGAGCCACTGCGCCTGGCCTGACGTTTTTTTTTTTTTTTTTAAAGCAACGAGTTCCTTTGTTACTGCTTTTTAAAAATAGAATAGCTTGCCATTTGAGAATTTATTATTTTTATTTATTTTTTTAGAGACGGGGTTTTGCCATGTTGCTCAGGTTGGTCTGAAACTCCTGGCCTCAAGTGATCCTCCCACCTTAGCCCCCCAAAGCACTGGGATTACAGGCCTGAGCCACTGCACCCAGCAAGGTCCTTTGTTCAAAGAAAATCTTATTCAGAAGCCTAATGTGTAAGAGATCAAGGTGGGCCTTGTTTTGGTTTAAGTGAGGACAGCCTGGGCACTGCAGTCTATTCCTTCACATCTCTCTCATGCAGCCTCCCTAACAGCCACATAGTCCCTTCGAAGACTTCTAATGAACCCACATTTCAGATCTTGTTCATTCGTCCCAGCCACTACCTACCTCTCAGCAGCCTGTGACAAAGCAGCCTGGCTTTGTGCTCAGTTACCTCTGCCTGTTCATTAGTATCCTTCAGCAGCTTTTCTTCCTCCGCCCATTACCTAAATGTTGGTGACATCCAAACGTATCTCCTCTCTTGCCTTCCTCATTCTCACTTCAAGGCTCATTGCTTCTGTCTAACTAAGTCCTAAACTGACATCTCCAGACCAGTATCTGCCCTGCACATCAGACTCCAGACTTCCACTGGATGCTGGCCACAGAAAATTTTTTATTAAAAATACATTTTTTCACAGAAGAAAATTCATTAAAAGTCAAGAAAGAGCCCCCAGATGAAATGGCTGACCTTTACTCAGGTGCACATCTGGCCAGTCTTGAGGCTTTAAGACAAACTACGCAGCAGCATTAGAGAAGTAGTAGATTATAATGTGCGGGGAGGGGAGACGGACGTGAGCCTGGAGTCTGAGAGGGGCACTGTACCGTTTTTTCCAACACCCCCAGCTAGGATTCTAGTGGAGTTAGCTATGTCCACCATGGCCTTAGCCTGAAAAATATGGGCATTTAAGACTTCAGCAGGCCACATTTAGCTCAAACAGGAGGATTTTATGACAGCCAAGGTAAAGAAGGGAGATTTAAACATTGTAACAGGTTTCAAGGTGCTAGATTTTTTTTCCCCCAAGAAAACATCTCCAAGTAAAAGTGATATATTTCTATTTGTGGAGAAGATCCTAGTCTTCTCTGTAGTCAATTATGAACAGTGCAGTCTAGAACACTTGATATTCACAAGTGTTGTGTAAAGGTAACTATAGGGCGGATACCTCCTAAGAGAAAAAGATGGTTCCCAGGCTGATGGGCATTTCCATTCCTGCCCTTGGTAGGCTCACAGTGGTTTGTGGGAGTAACCAAGGCCAGAGAGAAATCTAAGGACTAGGTTGGGAGCTATAGGACCCTTGGTCTGTTCATGCTTTGCCTCTGAGAAACCCTGTAGACCCCACATTAAGAAACAGGGAAACTTTAAAGGCCTATAGGCTGGTCTTGGAGATGACAGAGACCTGACCTGCTTTTCCTCCAATTGGAAGGCCAAGGGGGAAGAGAACTGAGGGAAGCTAGGGAAGTAGCAGCAGCTTGAAAGAAGAGACTCTGAAAACACACTAAAACTGGAGAGGCTGGGTGTGGTGGCCCATGCCTGTAATCCTCTCACTTTGGGAGGCCGAGGCAGGAGGATTGCTTGAGGCTGGAGTTCGAGACCAGCCTGGGCAACATAGTGAGATCCTGTCTCTAGAGAGAGAGAGAGAAAAAAAAAAAAAGCTGGGTTCCTGCTTGAGCCCAGTTGTTGAGACTGCAGTGAGCCATGATCATGCCACTCCCCTCTAACCTAGGCAACAGAGTGAGACTCTGTCTCTGAAAGTAAAAAAAATGAAAAGTGGGGAGTGCTAGTGGGAGCCAACTCAACCCAAGTAAAGGCCTAATAGCTCCTCTATGGGTGTTTGCACTGTCTAACAAAGAACTGGACCCTGACAGTCAGAGGACCCATGGTAGGATCATCTAGTGTAGCCCCTTCTTTTACAGAGGGAACCTAGGACTTGGGTTTGGTTCAGTGGTAAGACCTCAAAACCACAAAAGAGCTGGGTCACTCTAGAGAAGCTTTTCTACTTGGCCAATGCCTCTTGGCCCAATTCCCTCTAGGTCTCTGATTTATAAAAGTTTTTGTATGTGTGTCTGTCTGTCCCAAGAGACAGGAAGCATTCCTTTCAGGGAAGGAACCAAATTTCCCTAGGGCTATGATGCTAAATAGTCCATTCTCCCAAGAACAAGTCCTACTCTGTCATTTACCTGCATACTGTCACATGAAGACTGATAAGGGTGGGCCTCCGAGGCTGAGGATGCTGGGGCACCCTTCGTCTCAGGAGTCCCATCCTAGCCAATGAGGATGGGCAAGATGAAGGGAGCAATGGGAAAAAGGACACAGGGATTATCTCATGTTTGAAAAATTATATAGCATGGGAATGTTAGAGAAAGGTGAAACAAACAGCCATCAAATCAGAAGCAGAAGCCTGCTTTAGCTCAGTGTTTTCTTCTTTCCTGAACACTGTCTTTCTTTTTTATTTATTTATTTTTTTTGAGATGGAGTTTTACTCTTGTTGCCCAGGCTAGAGTGCAATGGCGCGATCTCGGCTCATTGCAACCTCTGCCTCCCAGATTCAAGTGATTCTCCCATTTCAGCCTCCCGAGTAGCTGGGATTACAAGCACATACCACCACACCCGGGTAATTTTTATATTTTTAGTAGAGATGGGGTTTCATCATATTGGTCAGGCTGGTCTCAAACTCCTGACCTCAGGTGATCTGCCCACCTCGGCCTTCCAAAGTACTGGGATTACAGGCATAAAGCCACTGCACTTGGACCCTGAGCATTTTCTCTTGCTTTGTTCACTAAGTCTCCTGTATGAGAACCCTGACTTGCCAAACAGATTCTGGGTTGCGTCTCTGCCTTCCCTTTCCTTTACCTCCTCCTTTAACACCTAACACAGGTAGGTTCACGCTGGTAAAAGCTACAAACAATGGCAGTGGGAGGAGTTCCTCTGAGTTTTACTGAAAATTTAGGAGACATCAATTTGTTAACTCTCTATAGGGTCAGAAACATGAACTAAATCTATGGTTCCCAAACCTGGATAATCCTGTCACTCACTAACAACCTACTGGATGGGCCCAGAAATCAGCATTTTATGGAGCTGAAGTGATAGATAACCTCACCAGTCTTCAGATATGCAATGAGGAACTCATGCATAACCTTAAATTCACAGGGCAGTCGGGTTACAGCCTCTTCAAATAAATGACAATTTAAAGTTACCTCCTCCAGGCCGTTTATCATTAATCCCATTTCTTACATGTTCCACCAAACCCCTGACCTCTCTGGTTTCTCAGATTTCCAAGAATCTCTGTTCACTTCTTATGTTTGTGCACTCCCAAGAGAATGGAGGCTCATCTGGAGAAGGAACTAGATTAATCTTCTGCTCTACACTTGAGCTCCTGATTATGGTAAGAAACTCGATAAAAATTTATTGGCAGATCAGAAGATGGATCCTTAGAGGAAGTCTAGTGTAAGAGGTGAAAGAAGATACTTTGGAGTCAGATGGTCTGGGATCCTGGCTGTAGCAAATTAACATTCCTGTCTCTCAATTTTTTTCTTCTGTCAATACCTACCTCAAAAGGTTGTTGAGGGTGAATGAGATGATACCTAGAAATTACTCTGAACAGTGCCTGGAATAGAGTGAGCATCCAGTAAATTGGCTGCTATGACTATTATTAAGAACACCCCAATATTTCCCAGCCACAACTGCCCCAACTGGGCAGGCCATCAACAGCCAACAGGTATGATATGGGGAGTGGTCTTCCATGTACAAAGCTTCTGGTTCCTTTCTTTCTAAGAGATAAATGCAAATGACTCAAGATCTTCTCACAAAGACCATGTACCCATAGATATGGAGTCTCCTGGGGAGAATGATAACCCCTTTGGTACGCTGCAGACATGAGGACCCTACATCAGGAGGTCCTAGCTAGGACAGTCAGTCACCAACCCTGTCACCCTTCGCGTCTACTACATGAAGCATGGGCACAAGAACAACAACCTGGAATTTAAGAACTTTTTTTACTCTGAAAGGAGAGCTAAACAAACCTCTGTTCTCCAAACACAAGATCTCCATCTTCCATGCAGTGAAGAGACCACAGGCTTTGTAAGCAGACCAACTTGAGCTCGTTTTAGAGCAAATCACTGTAACCCTCTGGACCTCACCTTCCTCATCTATATAGAAATGAGAAAGGGGTGCACAGGAGAAGGGAGAGAAGATAATATCTCACTGAATTGTTGTGAGGTTTGAATGAGGCAGGGTGGGGGAAAAGCACCTAGCATAGTGCTTAGCACATCTCAAGCACTGAACTGGTGCTGGTCCCTCTGTCCAGAGATAGGGCCATGGCCTACAGACAAGGTGAACTCATAGTGTCAGAACTCAAAGTCTCAGATACTGAAGGCTTGGGTCCCTCCCTGCCTCCCTCATCCCTCCCAGACCAGCTCCTGGACCCCCTCCCTCATGTCCCAGGCTGCTAAATTGATGAAGCTAAAAGGGTTTTGATCATGTCGGTATATTTATATGTAAATACAAAACTGTATCACTGTAAGATATTGAATATGAACATTACAATTATTTTCTGAATCAGACTCAGTCCATTGATATTAAATACAAAATGAAATGATTGTAAAAAATAATAATATACACATTCAAAGAGCTTATTACAGTATAAAATTATTGAGGTCTGATCAGCTGCCAACCTCATCTTCTGTCACAGGGGAAGGTTTAGGAGTTCCTGGGATTTTTTGGGAATGTGGAGTGCTGAGGACTCTTGATTTATCCCTAGCACATAAGGATGAGTGGGCTGGGAGCAGGCAGGGACAGGTTGGGTGGGTAGGGGACAAACAGTGATTGCAGGGGACCACCTCACTCAGCCAGGGGGTGAAGCTTTTTATTGACACAGAACCCACCCAGTTTGAGGGTCTAGCAGGCTAGCAGGCAGGAAGAGATGGGCATCTCGGTAGACAGGGCCAAGCTGCATAAAGGAACCATCCAGCAAAAGAAAAAGGGCCCCAGCTCATCCTCCCAGGGAGGTATTTTCTTAGTGGTTTTTTCTTTCTCATACCTGGGCTCCCCCTCCTTCCTTCTAAGATTCGTACCGATTGCATTTGGCTCTGGCTGCTCAGTGAGTTCATCTCTACCCTCCGCCTCCCATCCCTGGGATAGTGAAAGCAAAGAGAGAGTATGGAATCACAGTGGAGGTCTGTTCCCCAAATTGGCCAAGTAAATGTAGAAAAATCATCGGATAAGGGAAATCCATGCTGAGCTAACCCAGTGTCACCACAAACTAATACATTCTTGGCTCCAACAGGTGGCAACTGGAAGGAGATAAGTCATTACTTAAGGAAGGGGCCCTGTGGCAGGAACATGGAGGAGATGTGTGTGTGTCCTCTTCCACCACTCTGTAGCCTGACAAGAGGAGACATGATCACCAACCCAAGCTAGTCCAGGATAAATAGTAGGGTCCAAGAAGCAAGGAGTCCTGAACTGCAACACGGAGCCCCAGGAACTTCTGGAAAGGAGTATCGTGTGTATATGTATTTATAGAATACGATCATATTATCACATACAATATATATTATATACACACGTACATATGGACCCATACACATAAGTGCACACACACACACACACAGAATGACAGAAAGGACTGGAATACACGCCCTACTTATAAACGTGCTTGGCACTCAGGACGATCTCTAGAATATGTAACTTGGTCAAGCTCTCTGGGGAGAAAGGCAAATGCTCATCAAACCTCCCCATAAAATCCTAGGAAAGGGAAGGAGTGGGAGACAGGAGACCTCAGAAAAAGAATGGCGGGAGAAAGGAGGAGGGAGGTTCCTTCCCCACTTACCTCGGGGACCCTAGCAAAAATCAATAGCCACAATTTGGTTTTAATAAGGCACAGTTTGATAGCAGATGCTAGGAATTAAGAACACATTGCTACTGGCCCTTTCTAGTGGCAATTTCACCACATTTATCTAGCCAAAGGGAAAGGCTGCCTTGCGTGCACACGTGTGCTGGGAGACACAAGAAAGAAGTTGATCCATGGCTTCAGCGTAACTGATGGCAACCTATAGGCTCAGCGGTGTCCAGGGTAGTTTAAGGAAGGCTGGCCAACAGGTAGGAGGTTCGTAGGAGAGTTACTGACTCTCCACGGCCAGCAGGTTTTGGCCAGAGGATACCATGCCCTCCTTCTCTGCGAACTCCAGGATGGCCTTGTAGCAAAAATAGTACTGCTCAGGGGTCTGGATGCTGAAGGCCCTCTGGGTCCTCATGCGTGACACCGTCTGGAACACATTAAGGGTGCCAAGCTCCTCCAGCTGTGCCAGGCAGATGTCCAGTGAGCAGAAGGTACCTGAAGAAGGAAGGAAGTGATCACATCTGGTTTACCTCTCTTCTCTTCCTCCCTCTACCAAATAACCCAGGCAGAACTGAATGAATGACTTCACAGGCAAAGTGCCTCATGGCAGAAGGCCAGGTGGCCTTAGGCCTGAAAGGACTCAAGAAGGAGGTCACAGGGAGTGTTGGAGGCCAGAGAAATGAGAAGGCCTCTTATTTCTCAGGACATACACTTGGGGTAACAGGAAGTGGAAATGGGAAGGTGACACAGGGGAACTTCCTGCTTCAATCCCAGACAGACAGACTGACAGCACTCCCACACCTAATTTCCAGAGTCCACAAGTTTTTCAGAGGCCTAACAAAAACCTATTCTCAACTTTCTCCCAAAGGGACCTTTGAAATAGAAAGGCCAACATTTCCTACCATGTACATGCCCTTAAGGCAAAAGCTGCTAACTGGCTCCAGAATGGAGAACACAGCACAGGGTGGGGAGTCCCTCCAGGGAGGGCTGGATGGGAAGGAAGCAGCAGCCCAGCTGAGCTCTCTGGGATACCTGCAGTGACAGTTCTAACAGGTGACAGAGTCAGCGTTATGATGGGGTGTATAAAACATCAACCCCTAGAGGACTTGGCTTGTGAAATATATATTCTGGCCATCACTTGGTCCACCAAAAGGACATTAGATGAGGGATTTTTCACAGCAATTCACCACCAAGGGAGCAAGTGAGTTCCTTCTCCAATCACAGATGTGGGCTAAGAGCTTTGTTTTTCCTCGTCCACCCCTACTGCCCCTGCAGACACCAAGAGCTGCATTAGGTGCGTTACCTGTCCTGCCAATGCCTGCACTGCAATGGACCACAATGGGTGGCTCAGGGCACTGCCCTTTGGAGCGTGCTCCCATGTTGCTCACAGCCAGACTCTGCTGGTTTCTGACCACTCTCAAGAAGTCAATGAGGGAAGCTGCTGAGGAAGGGACACCATAGTCTGGCCAGCTCAAGAACTGGAAGTGGGTCACCTGGCGTTTCTGCCGTTCCTTAGATAAGAAAAGAAGTAAACGTTAACAAGGTTATTTCTGCCTGCCCCTAGCTACCTCTGGCTTTTCCAGATTCTCAACACCCTGGTTATCCCTACCACCAAGGCTCCTATCCACCACTGTCAACTTTTCCCATAATTGCTTCTTTACTACAAACCCAAAGGAAGGGTTGGTTAATTGGAAAAGGCAGAATTCCTATACTGTAAGATCCAGAATTTTTTTTGAGACAGGATCTCACTCTGTTGCCCAGGTTGGAGTGCAGTGGCACGATCAAACTTACTGCTGCCTTGACCTCACAGGCTTGTGCCACCATGCCCAGCTAATTTGTTCTATGTTTTGTAGAGACAGGATCTCACTGTGTTGCCTAGATTATCTTGAACTCCTGGGCTCAAGTGATCCTTCCACCTCTGCCTCCCAGAGTGCTGGGATTATAGGCCTAAGCCATTGCACCCAGCCCCAGATTTCTAAAATTATAAGCTTTACTCCTATTTAATGTTCCTATCGTGCTGCAGTAATATGGCTATATTGGCTGTGAGTTAAATATCCTCATCCTGTCCCTAGAAAAACAGAAGCAACTCATAACTTCCCTGGTATCCTACCTATTCCCTCTGGAGATTTTCATTACAGTAATTATTCTCCCCCTGTTTCAACAAGGTGAGAAAAAAGAAACCTGGATTTACCTCTGTGTTGTGAATTTCTAGCGTTGTTTTCTTATAATGATTCATGTTCTCCACGCCTAGATTGGTCACTGTGAGGAAGCCAAATCGGATCCGAGAGTCTTTTTCTAAAGGCCAGTACTGGCCACACTTTCTCCTGCCGCCTTCCTCAAAGCTGAAGACACACAGAGCAAGGTAAGCCTTCCATCGTTCCTCTCCACAGCAGTAACCTGGCTTCCCCAAAGACCTGATATACCCCCAGGCAGCAATATCATCTCTTGCATTGCTTCTAACTTACACCATTGATTCTCAGCAGAAAGGAAAGGAAACCTCTTCATTCTAAACAAATGTACTCACAGCTAAAGTTTCTGCATGTACTCATATAGCAGACAGTTACTGAGCACTTACTACAGCATTTGGTCTTTTTCCTAATACGCAATAGTACGTCTCACATATGTGGGATAAATACTGGGTGAACAGAGACAAAAACAGTATAGTAGCTGGGTATAGTGGTGCATGCCTGTAATCCCAGCTACTTGGGAGGTTTAGGCAGGAGAATCACCTAAGACCAGGAGTTTGAGACCAGCCTGGGTAACATCATGAGACTCCATCTCAAAAAAGAAAAAGAAAAAGAAAAAAAAAGAGTAGAGAAAATATGAAAATATGATAGGTCAGAGAGAACTCTCTGATAAACTGATAAACACACATCTACTGGTATGTTAGCAGGAGGTTTGTGTAAAAGCCTGAAGTCCCAGCCCAGGCAACATGGAAACCCTATCTCTACTAAAAATACAAAAATTAGTCAGGCATGGTGGTGGGTACCTGTAGTCCCAGCTACTTAGGAGGCTGAGGTAGGAGGATTGCTTGAATCCAGGAGGTTGAGACTGCAGTGAGCTGAGATGGCACCACTGCACTCCAGCCTGGATGACAAAGTGAGACTCTGTCTCAAAAAAGAAAAAAAAAAAAAAAAAAGGCCTAGGCCAGGCGCAGTGACTCATGCCTGTAATTCCAGCACTTTAGGAGGCCAAGGTGGCGGATCACCTGAGGTCAGGAGTTCGAGACTAGCCTGGCCAACACGGTGAAACCCCATCTCTACTAAAAATACAAAAATTAGCCAGGCATGGTGGTGGGCACCTGTAATCCCAGCTACTTGGGAGGCTGAGGCAGAATAGCTTCAACCTGGGAGGCGGAGGTTGCAGTGAGCTGAGATCGCACCACTTAAGGTTGCAGTGAGCTGAGATCGCACCACTTAACTCCAGCCTGCACAATAGAGTGAGACTCTTGTCTCAAAAAAAAAAGGCCTAAATCTACCTTGCCACCCTCCAGTGGCCCCAAAGTATTCCAAGGTAGAACTTCTCCCACTACCTCCTCTCCAAATAAGTGGTGGTTATAACAGTGCTAAGGAAGGGAATTTAACATTCACATTCATTTTTTTCCTTCCTCATCTGAAATAGGTTATTCCTTAAATTTGCCAGATTTGTAGACCAAAATTTCAAAAATATTCCTTTCATTAAAATCTTCCGGCCAGGCGCGGTGGCTCACGCCTGTAATCCCAGCACTTTGGGAGGCCGAGGCAGGCGGATCACGAGGTCAGGAGATCGAGCCCATCCTGGCTAACACGGTGAAACCCCTTCTCTACTAAAAATACAAAAAATTAGCCGGGCGAGGTGGCGGGCGCCTGAAGTCCCAGCTACTCGGGAGGCTGAGGCAGGAGAATGGCGTGAACCCCGGTGGGGGCAGAGCCTGTAGTGAGCTGAGATTGCGCCACTGCACTCCAGCCTGGGCGACAGTGAGACTCCGTCTCAAAAATAAAATAAAATAAAATAAAATAAAATAAAAATAAAATAAAATCTTCCTGGCCAGGCGCAGTGGCCCACGCTTGTAATCCCAGCACTTTGGGAGGCTGAGGCAACAGATCACGAGGTCAGGAGTTCAAGACCAGCCTGACCAACATGGTAAAACCCCATCTCTACTAAAAATCCAAAAATTAGCTGGGCATGGTGGCACGTTCCTATAATCTCAGCTACTCAGGAGAATCACTTGAACCCAGGAGGCAAGGGTTGCGGTGAACTGAGATCGAGCCATTGTACTCCCACCTGGGTGACAGAGCAAGACACCATCTCCAAAAAAAAAAAAAAAGATATTAGCCAGGCGTGGTGGCACATGCCCGTAATCCTAGCTATTCGGGAGGCTGAGGCAGGAGAATTGCTTGAACCTGGGAGACGGAAGTTACAGTGAGCCAAGATCGTGCCACACTGCACTCCAGCCTGGTGGCAGAGTGAGACTCCATCTCAGAAGAAAAAAAAAAAAAGTAGCAACAAATGGAGAGCAAAGGGAATCTGGTAATTCAGGAGTCAGGAAGGCAGCACCCCTCTGGAAATAGGGAACAGATAAAAGGAGAATTGTCCCATGTTTCCCAGAACTTCCTTTAGTGGATAAGGCCAGGACCTCAAAATAGGGTATAACTGGCACAGGGTTGCCAGAGCCAGGGATTAAAGCTTTAACAAGTTAGATCTATTCATCTCCACCATACCCGGGTTGTGGATTAGCTAAGAGATATCTCAAAATCTTTGCCCTGGCTTTCCTAATCCTCAATTTTTTTTTTTTTAATTGAGACAGAGTCTCGCTCTGTAGCCCAGGCTGGAGTGCAATGGCGTGATCTCAGCTCACTGCAACCTCTGCCTCCTGGGTTCAAGTGATTCTCCTGCCTCAGCCTCCCAAGTAGCTGGGATTACAGGCACGCACCACAATGCCCGGCTAATTTTTTGTATTTTTAATAGAGAAGGCACCATGCCCGGCTAATTTTTTGTATTTTTAATAGAGACGGGGTTTCACCAGGCTGGCCAGGCTAGTCTGGAACTCCTGACCTTGTGATCCGCCTGCCTTGGCCTCCCTAAGTGCTGGGATTACAGGCGTGAGCCACCGTGCCAGGCTGACCCTCATTATTTCTAAAAGCTAAACTTCCCTCTTTAATCACCCATGCCTAGGGACAGAGTGGAGGTGGAGACCTTTGGAAAAAAGGGATTAACTCACCGGGTGGTCATGACAATCACCAAGACTTTTTGCTCCCATACCATGAGCCAGAAATCACGATAGGTATTCTCCAAAGGACCTGAAATAAAAGGAGAAGACAAGAAACATGACTCTGGGAAACACTTTTTTTCTTTTGTAGGCGCTTCTGTTTTACTCCCCAATGGTAACTCCAAACCATAGATGGTTAGCTCCCTGCTCATCTTTCCACATCCCTGCTATTCAGTATAGTCCGTGGACCAATCACACCAGCATCGTATGGGAGAGTGTAAGAAACATGAATCTGCATGTCAACGAGATCCCCAGGTGAGTCGTAGGTAGGTTTGGGAAGCACTGCTACATACCCTCTCAGAGTCTTAATCATCAGAACTTCAGCCATCACATCCAGGCTGACAGTGTCAAACTGTAAGAATCTCTAGCTGTTTTCATCTCACCTAAGCTTCAGTTTTATAATCACAGATTGCTTACTAAACCATTAACCTTCTGTTTCCCATAATCTCAGATCCATTATGTCTGTAACTAAGTCTCCTCCTTCAAAATTAGCTTTATCTTGGCCGGGTGCAGTGGCTCATGCCTATAATCCCAGCACTTTGGGAGGCCATGGCAGGCAGGTTGCCTGAGCTCAAGAGTTTGAGATCAGCCTGGCAACATGGTAAAACCCCATCTCTATGAAAAATACAAAAATTAGCCAGGTGTGGTGGCACATGCCTGTAGTCTCAGGTACTTGGGAGGCTGAGGCACAAGAATTGCTTGACCCCGGGAGGTGGAGGTTGCAGTGAGCCAAGAGCGCACCACTGCACTCCAGCCTGGGCAACAGAACGAGACTCTGTCTCAAAAAAAAAAAAAATTAGCTTTATCTTGCAACTTTCTTATCTCTGTTAACAATACTAGCATTCTTAAATCATTCAGTCTTAAAAAGGTGAAGTCAACACTGACTTACCCATTTCCTTCATCTCCCAGAAGCAGTCAGTCACCAAATCCTAGAGATTTTTTACCTTTGAAATGTTTTTGGTTTTTATTCTTTTGCCCTCATCTTCTCCCCATCCTGTTCTTCCTGCTCGATTTCACTGACACAAAGACCACGTCATCTTCTAAGTTACTGTAACACCCTCTTAGTCTACTTTTTTGAATAGGCCTTTTTCCCTTCCAATCTACTCTGGGAAACCCCACCAGTTTAATCTTTCTTAAAAATTACTTCATCAGAACATAGACACACCATGCTCACTTTGGCCTCTATTCTTTCGCTCAAGCTGTCTCCGTCACCTCCAATGCTATTCATTTTCTACCCATTTTCAAGTGCCACCTCTTCCTTGAAGCTTTCTCTGACCACCGCATTCCTTGTGAAGCTTCTTCTCTTTTGCTTTTGATGGCACAGCTGGATCTATACAGGTTGACCATTTAATTTATATACTCTTCCATCCATTATTTTACTTTGTGGGAATTAATGATATCTCACTAAACATGGTCCTAAGGACAAAGGATTACAGGTGTGAGCCACTGCACCTGGCCAAATTCTCCTTTGCACAGGGCTGAGCACTCAGGGCTGAGCACTCAGCAATAACTTTGAAGATACTTGTGGGCTACCAACTCCACTTTGATCAAGACAGTAACCGGCCGGGCGCAGGGCTCACACCTGTAATCCCAACACTTTGGGAGGCCGAGGCAGGTGGATCACTTGAGGTCAGGAGTCCGAGACCAGCCTGGCCAACATGGTAAAACCCCGTCTCTACTAAAAATATGAAAATTAGCTGGGCACGATGGCAGGTGCCTGTAATCCCAGCTACTCGGGAGCCTGAGTTAGGAGAATTGTTTGAACCCAGGAGGCGGAGGTTGCATTAATTGCATTAAACCAAGATCGCACCATTGAACTCCGGCCTGGGCGACAGCAAGACTCCATCTCAAGAAAAAAAAAACGTAACAACTCAAGATAATTCCTTATACTTTCTGGGTGTTTCTTTCCTCTCTGCTTTCAGGAAAGCAGGGCAGTACTAATGGTTAATTTTGGTCTAGAAGTCTGCTGGTTCTACTACCCTTATTGCTAAGTCTTTTAGCAAGCACTAACATGATACTGGAATACCCTCTCTGCAGAAGTGGATGATGTCAAAAACGTGAGATCTTAGAAATACACTAAATATCCAATAAGAGAGGATTAATTAAATTATGACGTATCAGGTGGGGTGCAGTGGCGCACGCCTGTAATCCCAGCACTTTGGGAGGATGAGGCAGGCAGATCACTTGAGCCCAGAAGTTTGAGACCAACCTGGGCAACATTGCAAAACCCTGTCCCTACAAAAAATACAAAAACTAGCCAGGTGTAGTAGCACATGCCTGTAGTCCCAGCTACTCAGGAGACTGAGGTGAGAGGATCACCTGTGTGTGCCTGGAGAGGCCAAGGCTGCATTGAGCCATGATCGTGAACCATGATCATACCACTCTGTCACCCAGCCTAGGTGACAGAGTGAGACCCTGTCTCAAAAATAAATAAATAAATAATAGCATACCATAATTTATACAGTCTATAAAGTTGATGTTGTAAGAGCTGTATTTTTTGCTATGGAAAGGTATTCACAGATACCATTAAATGAAACAAGAGATAGTATAGAAAGAGCACATTTGGTTAAATTAAAAGTTTAGTTTTGTTTTTTTTGAGACCGAGTATCACTCTGTCGCCCAGGCTGGAGTGCAGTGGCGTGATCTCAGCTCACTGAAACCTCTGCCTGCCGCGTTCAAGCGATTCTCCTACCTCAGCCTCCTGAGTAGCTGGGATTACAGGCATGCACCACTACGCTCGGCTACTTTTTGTAGTTTTAGTAGAGAGGGGGTTTCATCATGTTGGCCAGGCTGGTTTCAAATACCTGACCTCAAGTGATCTGCCCGCCTTGGCCTCCCAAAGTGCTGGGATTACAGGCTTGAGCCACCGTGCCCGGCCTGGTTAAATATTTTGTATGCCTATATCTGCATGTATGCATAGATAAAGGTCTAGGAGGAGATGCTGTAAAATGTTAACATTATCTCTGGGTCCTAGGGTTATGAGGGATTATTTTTGTTTTCTAAATGTTCTACAATGGACATGCATTACCCTAGTATACACATCAAGAAGACAGTAAGGACACCTTTTCCACATCTCTGACCCTCAGCCTCATCCACATCCTACTCTCCTGCACCACAGCAACTCTCATATACTTCATTTTCCACATTCAGACCACTGGCAGAATTGGAGTACTGAGCAGTCAGAGCATATGGTAACTCAGTTACCAGACTGGGGCTGGGCAAACTTCTCACAGGCTCAAGAGAGATACTAAGAAGGGAAAGTTGTACTTCCCAGCTTAGACCCTTTAACAGTAAACTTCTCTCAAGAAATAAAGTCAGCAGTTTATACTGACATAGGTGAAACAATCCACAGACATGGCTTGTAAAAACTTCTGAACCAAACAAACATGGGTTCAAACCCTGGTTCTGCCACTTACTAGCTGCATGGTCCAAGGTCACGTAAACTTTTGGGTTTCAGTTTGCTCATCTATAAATTAATAAACCTCCCTTGCAGAGTCTCTATAATAATTAGATAGCATTTATGCATCTGATATATAATAGGTCTTCTCAATAGATGACATCATTAATAGAAATATAGGCCAGGCGTAGTGGCTGATGCTTGTAATCCCAGCACTTTGGGAGGCCGAGGTAGGCAGATCACTTCAGGCCGGGAGTTCGAGACCAGCCTAGGCAACATGGTGAAACCCTGTCTCTACCAAAAATACAAAAATTAGCCAGGCATGGTGGCAGGTGCCTGTAATCCCAGCTACTTGGGAGGCTGAGGCAGGAGACTCGCTTGAGCCCTGGAAGTGGAAGGTGCAGTGAGCCAAGATCATGTCACTGCACTCCAGCCTGGGCGACAGAGCGAAACTCCATCTCAAAACTTAATTAATTAATTAATTAAAAATAAAGAAGTTGCAGACATTATGATATTTTATTCCTAAATACTTGAGCACTTACTAGGAAAACAAGGACCTCCTCCTATAGAACATTACCATTATCACCTTAAGCATACATTAAACATGGATACAATGTTGGCTAAAAAAAATCTCCAATTGTCTCAATAGTTTGTCTTCAATAGATTTTTTTCTCCCAGTTGAGGATCTAATCAGATACTCTTTTTTTTTTTTTTTTTTTTTTTTTGAGACAGAGCCTTCCTCTGTCGCCCAGGCTGGAGTGCAATGGCGCAGTCGCAGTCCACTGCAACCTCTGCCTCCCAGGTTCAAGCAATTCTCCTGCCTCAGCCTCCCGAATAGTTGGGACTACAGGCACCCACCACCACACCTAGCTAATTTTTGTATTTTTAGTAGAGACGGTGTTTCACCATATTGGCCAGGCTGGTTTGGAACTCCTGACCTTGTGATCCGCCTGCCTCGGCCTCCCAAAGTGCTGGGATTACAGGCATGAACCACCACGCCTGGCCGATCCTCTTTTTTTTTTTCTTTTTGAGCGCAATCTCTGCTCGCTGCAACCTCCGCCTCCTGGGTTCAAGCGATTCTCCTGCCTCAGCCTCCCAAGTAGCTGGGATTACAGGCATGTGCCACCACGCCCGGCTAATTTTGTATGTTTAGTAGAAACGTGGTTTCTCCATGTTGGTCAGGCTGGTCTCGAACTTCCAACCTCAGTTTATCCACCTGCCTCGGCCTCCCAAAGTGCTGGGATTACAGGTGTGAGCCATTGTGACTGGCCCTTTAATTTATTTATTTTTGAGACAGGATCTTGCTGTGTCAGCCAGGCTGGAGTGCAGTGGCACGATCTCGGCTCAGAGCAACCTCTGCTTCCTGGGCTCAAGTGATACTCCCCCCTCAGCCTCCCAAAGTACTGGAGTTACAGGCGTGAGCCACTGTGCCTGGCCATGGTTCTCTTTAGTCTCCCTTTAATCTAGAACAGTTCTCTGCCTTTTTGTTTTTTATGGCATTAACTTTGGAGAGTCTGAGCCAGTTTTCTTATAGTATGTCCCACAATCTGGATTGTTTCCCATGACTAGATTCAGATTTTAAAACTGGCAATACACAATGCAGGTGATATTCATTTCTCAATGCATCATATCAGGAGGTGTACATAATGTCCCTTTGTCCTTTACTGGTGATACTAAGTTTGATCACTTGATTAAGGAGGTATCCACCGTATCTTGCTCTGCAGTGGTCAAAGGGCCTTACGCCCATCTGATGGTCTGTTGTCTTTCTGTATTATGATTTCCTCCTACCATCTTTGAAAGTGACATGATATTCTTGAGATGGAGAGGCCAGGTCAGGAAGAGTACTAGGATCATAGGAACATTTATAGAAACTCCACCTGAAATCCTCCTAGAGGCTGGGCATGGTGGCTCACGCCTGTAATCCCAACACTTTGGGAGGCCGAAGCGGGCAGATCACGAGGTCAGGAGTTCGAGACCAGCCTGTCCAACATGGTGAAACCCAGTCTCTACTAAAAATACAAAAATTAGCCGGGCGTGGTGGCACACACCTGTAGTCCCAGATACTCAGGAGGCTGAGGCAGGAGAATCACTTGAACCCGGGAGGTGGAGGTTGCAGTGAGTGGAGGTCGTACCACTGCACAATAGCCTGGGCGACACAGCAAGCCTCCATTTCAAAGGAGAAAAAAAAATGAGAAATCCTCCTAGAGCTCAGTATTCCACTGTCAGACTTATTAGCACATACTATCTATGTCAGAACATTTGCTGGAGTGCTCTGTGATGGTATAGGAACCAGCCTAGGCCTATTAGGACAGCAATACTCATTCCTAGATTGGACTCAATCTCTGGGAAGTCCACTGCTATTCTTGGCCTCTCACTAGACAGGAAGAGCATGAAGAGCTCACTGGCTGATGCATTCTGATGCCCTACACCCTTGCCAATACTAAGAAATAGCCCCAAAACTTGCAGGCAGTAGTGTTATGTGTTTAAATCTCCAGTTTATCTCTATGCGGTGAGTTTCCAGGCACACCTGGTACAGAAACCCCAAACTACTTATTTGCTTTTCTCAACCACCACCCATCTTTATAAAAGGCCAGGATCTAGTGGCCAAAACCTCCACTCAAGTTACCATTCGTTTAAAAATTATGCTATCATTTGGCACAAGGAATCATAAGTAGATGGCACAAAATCAACATGGGAGGGACGGACCAGCTTACCTTGTGTGCCAATGTAAGCATTCTTCTGCTTGTAGCCATCCATGAAACTGGCATTGATGTAATCTGTCTAATGATAAAAAGGAGACATCACTATAGCTACACAGAATACACCATTTGGGTCATAAAATGATGTACTCAGTAAGTAAAACCCAAGGTGTGAATATTCTCTTCTTGTTGAGCAGAAAATGAGGAGTGAAATGGCCAGCTCAAACCCTCACTTCAATAAATGGTGCTGGGACAAGTAGATATCTACATGCATAAAAATCAAGCTGACTCCTTCCTCACACTGTAAAACTGACTCAAAATGTATCACAGACCAAATGTAAGGGATTAAAACTATTAAAACTCTCAGAATAAAATATAAGAGTAAATCTTTGTGACCTTGGGTTAGGCAAAGCTTTCACAGATATGATACCAAAGGCGTAAGTGACAAAAGAAAAGAGATAAATTGGACTATATTAAAATTAAAAACTTATGCCAGGCGCGGTGGCTCACGCCTGTAATCCCAGCACTTTGGGAGGCCGAGGAGGGTGGATCACGAGGTCAGGAGATCGAGACCATCCTGGCTAACACGGCGAAACCCTGTCTCTACTAAAAATACAAAAAAGGTCTCTTCCGTGAGGAGCGCAGAGGAGGTCGCGGCGCCGGAGGCCCCAGAAGGCTCGAAGGCGCCGCGGGCTGGGGTCGGTGGCTTAGGGAGCCCGTCCGGCCATGGTGGCCGCGGGTGGTGGTTGGCGCGGCTGCGCTGCGGCCTGGGGCAGTGCGGAGCCGGGACAGTCGCGGCGCTGACGCCCGCGGGCCCCAGCTGCAGATATGAAGCGGAGCCGCTGCCGCGACCGACCGCAGCCACCGCCGCCCCACAGCCGGGAGGATGGAGTTCAGCGGGCAGCGGAGCTGTCTCAGTCTTTGCCGCCGCGCCGGCGAGCGCCGCCCGCGAGGCAGCGGCTGGAGGAGCGGACGGGCCCCGCGGGGCCCGAGGGCAAGGAGCAGCCGCCTGCCTTGGCCTCCCAAAGTGCCGAGATTGCAGCCTCTGCCCGGCTGCCACCCCGTCTGGGAAGTGAGGAGTGTCTCTGCCTGGCCGCCCATCGTCTGGGATGTGAGGAGCCCCTCTGCCTGGCTGCCCAGTCTGGAAAGTGAGGAGCGTCTCCGCCCGGCCGCCATCCCATCTAGGAAGTGAGGAGCGCCTCTTCCCAGCCGCCATCACATCTAGGAAGTGAGGAGCGTCTCTGCCCGGCCGCCCATCGTCTGAGATGTGGGGAGCGCCTCTGCCCCGCCGCCCCATCTGGGATGTGAGGAGCGCCTCTGCCCGGCCGAGACCCCCTCTGGGAGGTGAGGAGCGTCTCTGCCCGGCCGCCCCGTCTGAGAAGTGAGGAGACCCTCTGCCTGGCAACCACCCCGTCTGAGAAGTGAGGAGCCTCTCCGCCCGGCAGCCACCCCATCTGGGAAGTGAGGAGCGTCTCCGCCGGGCAGCCACCCCGTCCGGGAGGGAGGTGGGGGGGGGTCAGCCCCCGGCCCGGCCAGCCGCCCCATCCGGAGGAGGTGGGGGGTCAGCCCCCCCGCCCGGCCAGCCGTGCCATCCGGGAGGGAGGTGGGGGGGTCAGCCCCCCGCCTGGCCAGCCGTGCCGTCCGGGAGGAGGTGGGGGGGTCAGCCCCCCACCCGGCCAGCCGCCCCGTCCGGAGGTGAGGGGCGCCTCTGCCCGGCCGCCCCTACTGGAAGTGAGGAGCCCTCAGCCCGGCCAGCCACCCCGTCCGGAGGGAGGTGGGGAGGTCAGCCCCCGCCCGCCAGCCGCCCGTCCGGGAGGGAGGTGGGGGGTCGCCCCCCGCCCGGCCAGCCGCCCCGTCCGGGAGGGAGGTGGGGGGGGTCAGCCCCCCCGCCCAGCCAGCCGCCCTGTCCGGGAGGTGAGGGGTGCCTCTGCCCGGCCGCCCCTACTGGGAAGTGAGGAGCCCCTCTGCCCGGCCAGCCGCCCCGTCCGGGAGGGAGGTGGGGGGGGGTCAGCGCCCCTGCCTGGCCAGCCGCCCCTCCGGGAGGTGAGGGGGCGCCTCTGCCCGGCCGCCCCTACTGGGAAGTGAGGAGCCCCTCTGCCCGGCCACCACCCCGTCTGGGAGGTGTGCCCAACAGCTCATTGAGAACGGGCCAGGATGACAATGGCGGCTTTGTGGAATAGAAAGGGGGGAAAGGTGGGGAAAAGATTGAGAAATCGGATGGTTGCCGTGTCTGTGTAGAAAGAAGTAGACATGGGAGACTTTTCATTTTGTTCTGCACTAAGAAAAATTCCTCTGCCTTGGGATCCTGTTGATCTGTGACCTTACCCCCAACCCTGTGCTCTCTGAAACATGTGCTGTGTCCACTCAGGGTTAAATGGATTAAGGGCGGTGCAAGATGTGCTTTGTTAAACAGATGCTTGAAGGCAGCATGCTCCTTAAGAGTCATCACCAGGCCGGGCGCGGTGGCTCACGCCTGTAATCCCAGCACTTTGGGAGGCCGAGGCGGGCGGATGACGAGGTCAGGAGATCGAGACCATCCTGGCTAACACGGTGAAACCCCGTCTCTACTAAAAATACAAAAGATTAGCCGGGCGTGGTGGCGGGCGCCTGTAGTCCCAGCTACTCGGGAGGCTGAGGCAGGAGAATGGCGTGAACCCGGGAGGCGGAGCTTGCAGTGAGCCGAGATCGTGCCACTGCACTCCAGCCTGGGCGACAGAGCGAGACTCCGTCTCAAAAAAAAAAAAAAAAAAAAAAAAAAAGAGTCATCACCAATCCCTAATCTCAAGTAATCAGGGACACAAACACTGCGGAAGGCCGCAGGGTCCTCTGCCTAGGAAAACCAGAGACCTTTGTTCACTTGTTTATCTGCTGACCTTCCCTCCACTATTGTCCCATGACCCTGCCAAATCCCCCTCTGTGAGAAACACCCAAGAATTATCAATAAAAAAATAAATTAAAAAAAAATACAAAAAAATAGCTGGGCGTGGTGGCAGGCGCCTGTAGTCCCAGCTACACGGGAGGCTGAGGCAGGAGAATGGCATAAACCCGGGAGATGGAGCTTGCTGTGAGCTGAGATCGTGCCACTGCACTCCAGCCTGAGCGACAGAGCGAGACTCTGTCTCAAAAAAAAAAAAAATTCATTCATCATCAGCCATCATGGAAATGCAAATCCATACCACGAGATACTAATTTATACCCACTAGGATGGCTACAGATATCAAAGATAGATAATACTGTTGGCAAGGATGTGGAAAAACTGAAACCCTCATACATGTGTAAACCCTCCTTATACATGGCTAGTGGTAATGTAAAATGCTGCAGTTACTTTAGAAAACAGTCTGGTTGTTCCTGAAAAGATTAAACAGTTACCATATGACCCAGCAATTCCACTCCTTAGCAAAATAACATAGGTGCATACAAAAACTTATACATAAATATCCATAGCAGCATTATTCGTAATAGCCAAAAATGGAAACAACTCAAATGTCCTTCAACTGATAAATGAATAAAAGTGGTATATCCATACAATGGAATATTATTTGGCAGTAAAAAGCAGTGATGTGATGATACATGCTATGACATGGATGGACCTAGAAAACATTATGCTAAATGATAGAAGCCAGACACAAAAAGCTACATAGTCTAGGATTCTCTTTGTATGAGATCCCTAGAACAGGCAAATCTATGGAGATAGGAAATAAATCAGAGTGGGTTAGAGGGAAATAGGTAGCGACTGCCAAGGGTGTGAGGTTTCTTTGGGAAATGAAAAAAATGTTCTAAAGTTGTTTGTGGTGATGGTGGCACAACTCTGTGAATATACTAATAGCCATTGACTTATATACTTTAAATAGGTAAATTGTATGGTATGTGAACTGTTGGAGGCCGAAAGAATGAGGGTCATGATCAACTCAGTATACCACTGGAGGCTACATGAGCAAAAAGGAAACTGTTCTCATGAAAGCAGGATGTTGGCAAACTGACAAACTGCATCTGCCGCCCAGAAGGAATGCTGAGGGCAGTCACGACCCAGGCACAAGTGTTTCTTGTAGTTAGGCACATCTGAAGCCTGTTAGCAATAATGTGTACCTGTGATCAATTAAGCAGCTGACCAATCGTTACCTCCTCCTCCCTGCTCTTGGTACCCAATAAATACAAAGGGCTGTAGAAGCTCAGGGCTGCCTTTGCTCACTAGAAGCAGGGAGTTCTCTTCTTCCCCATGTTACCCTTCCTTTAGAATAGTTATTTTTGTCTTAAGTTTTCATTGCTATGTTTATCCCCCTTCATTCAGTCTCCTAATGACGGTCTCAAGTAATAACAATAGTAACTGCCCTAGTGACATCTCAAGCAGTAATTGTGGCAGTCTGCCAGAGTGAACTATATAACTCAATAGAAACTGTTATTTACAAGAAAAGGGTCCATCAAGACTTGCAACACTGTAGCACAGGACCAAATGAGAGGCAAGGCAAGCAAGTAGGAACACCTGGTCCATCCTGCCACACACAAAAGGCAAAATATGAATGGAGAAGAAATAAAGCTACATCTCATACTTAGGACCATCAACAGACGAGCCAAACACCTGGACTCCATTATTACCTGAATTAATGCAAAGCAACTTCCAGTCAAATTCAAAGGCATCTCAATGAACAGCTCCTGACTACCTCTCTTCCAGGGTATTCTCCCACCTCCTAATGTCCTCAGTCTTAATTACTTCAACATCATTTTTTATAAATACCTACTCAAAAGATCCTTTGATCCAGGCTGATAAAAGAGAAACATCAATCAGCTGCAGTTTTATGTTATAGTATAACTAGTTGGGAGTTGAATGGATAGAAGCAGTGGAATGGATAAGGGAAGGTGTGAAGGGTTACAGAAGGACAAAAGAAAAGTTTCAATAGCAAACTAGGGAAAACTCATAACCCACTGCATTACAGAGAGGTCAGACTGACTCTTTCCTCAACCTATCACTCGTTCTCCTGTGGGTCCTATCACTGGGTGGGCAGTCTGAACTGTCAGTATCCCATAGCTAACCTCCTAAGATATCTCCACCTCATGGTCAAACCCATGTTACTTGGATTTGTGTTCATTAGCCAGTCAGTCTACCAATTTATCACTCTACTATTTATTTAGTCAAGAGTTTCCTCCTTAGAAACTGTTTCTTTGACTAAATAAATAGTGGAGTGATAAACTCGGAGTTTTCCCTCCCATAGCAGCTAGTATTGACCTCATACGATTACTGTCCTACCCTGACTCAGACAACTTCACTGAGCTAATAGACCACCTGCAGCAGACCCAGCATGCTAAAAGCCTCACTCACTTCCAAACAGGCTTCTCAATCCAGGGTGCACCCAGTCAGCCAAAGCCCATCCTCTACTCAACCTGGCACATGCAAATGGTATACCCACTCGAGGACCAAGGGGAGAAGGTATGGAAAAGCACAAAAGATTTACCTAGTATATGCCAGTCAGCATTAGTAAGAACATAAGGAGGAACTAACTTCATGCTTTGAAAAGAATTGTCACTTCTTTTTTTTTTTTTTTTTTTTTTTTTGAGACGGAGTCTCGCTCTGTTGCCCAGGCCGGACTGCGGACTGCAGTGGCGCAATCTCGGCTCACTGCAAGCTCCGCTTCCCGGGTTCACGCCATTCTCCTGCCTCAGCCTCCCGAGTAGCTGGGACTACAGGCGCCCGCCACCGCGCCCGGCTAATTTTTTGTATTTTTTTAGTAGAGACGGGGTTTCACCTTGTTAGCCAGGATGGTCTTGATCTCCTGACCTCATGATCCACCCGCCTCGGCCTCCCAAAGTGCTGGGATTACAGGCGTGAGCCACCGCGCCCGGCCGAATTGTCACTTCTTTAAAGAAGACATTATTTCTTTATAACTAAGAATTACCAGCTTTAGCACTGGTCTCTGAGCTGATTTTTAATTCCCAGGGAATTAAATTTTTAATTTCAGCAACTTCGGAAGAATCACTGGATATTAAAACTGAAGGCCGGGCGCAGTGGCTCACGCCTGTAATCCCAGCACTTTGGGAGGCCAAGGCGGGCAGATCACGAGGTCAGGAGATCAAGACCATCCTGGCTAACAAGGTGAAACCCCATCTCTACTAAAAATACAAAAAATTAGCTGGGTGTGGTGGCGGGCGCCTGTAGTCCCAGCTACCTGGGAGGCTGAGGCAGGAGAATGGCACGAACCCGGGAGGTGGAGGTTGCAGTGAGCCGAGATCGCACCACTGCACTCCAGCCTGGGCGACAAAGCGAGACTCCAACTCAAAAAAAAAAAAAAAAACAAAACTGAAAATGACCCAGAGATAAAGTATACACTTGGGGGAAAATTGGAATAGCAGGAAGAACAAACCCGGAACACTATGTTGTGAGCCATTGCTATAGACTGATCATTTGTGTCCCCCATAACTTCAAATGTGTAATCCCAACCCCAGACCCTCAATGTAATGGTATTAGGAGATGGGGCCTTTAGACAGGTGATTAGGACCATGAGGACAGAGCTCTCACAAATGGGATTAGTGCCCTTATAAGACAGAAGAGTTCTGAAGTGCTCCCTCACCCCTTCCCCTTCTGCCATGTGAGGATGCAATGAGTAGACAGTGGTCTATGAACCAAGAAAGGGGCCCTCACCAGACCCCAAATCTGCCAGCACGTTGATCTTGGACTTCCCAGACTCCACAATAGTGAGAAATAAATTTCTGTTGTTTATAAGCCATCCTGCATGTGGTATTTTTGTTACAGCAGCCCAAACAGATTAAGGCAGCCATGTTCAACAGAAACTGGGACTAATAGCTTTAAAATTCCAGAAGCAAATCAAGTAAACAATTCACTAAAAAACCTGAATCCTCCAAATAACAAGGTATTGTATACTTGAAAATTGCGGACAGCATATTTTAAGTGTTTTCACCACAAAACAAGGTAAATATGTGAAGTAATGCATATGTGGTGTTTTTTTTTTTTTTTTTTTTGAGACGGAGTCTTTGCTCTGTTGCCCAGGCTGGAGTGCACTGGTGCGATCTCGGCTTACTGCAAGCTCCGCCTCCCAGGTTCATGCCATTCTCCTGCCTCGGCCTCCCGAGTAGCTGGGACTACAGGCGCCCACCACCACACCTGGCTAATTTTTTGTATTTTTTAGTAGAGACGGGGTTTCACCGTGTTAGCCAGGATGGTCTCGATCTCCTGACCTTGTGATCTGCCCGCCTCGGCCTCCCAAAGTGCTGGGATTACAGGTGTGAGCCACCGTGCCCGGCAAAGTAATGCATATATTAACTAGCTTGACTTAGTGTCTCTGCAATCCATACATATTTTAAAATATTATATTGTATACCATAAATATATACAATTTCTATCAATTAAAATTTAAAAACAACTAAATGTCAGAAAACAGAATGGAAAAATAGCCCCATAGGTGGAAATTCCATGAGAGTGTTAAGTCCCCAAAGCTAAGTAAATAATTTTTTTTTTTTTGCTTTCGGCCCGCAAAGTAAATAATGTCAAAAAAACTAAAAACTAAAATCAAAATAAAATAAAAAAAAAGCCTAAATACTCCATTTACTATAAAAATAAAGCCTCCGCTAATGTTTCAGTAAGGAGAGGGACTACAAATCAGACAATGATCTTCATATTAACCACAGGATGATTAGAAGAATCTCCCAGTACACTAAGATTCACTCATTCACAAATATGTCCTGAGTGTCTGATATGTGGCAGGCACTGTTCTAGGTACTGGAGACAGGGAAGTCAACAAAATGGATAAATACAGGTATCTCTGACTCCAGAGCCCCAACTCAACCACTGTACTCCACTCCTTCAGGGCATATACGATGATGATCTCAGCAGTACTGATGAATTTACCCTCCAGCCAGCCAGTCTCTTAGCTCAAATGCTCCTGCAGGAAAATCTTCTCCAAGGGTCCTGGATAGGACTGTGAATTCAGTTTATGTGCTTGAAACAACAGGGACAAGAGAGTTGGAAACCATGATCCTGGGGTCCCAACCCACATGTCATATATGCCCAAATACAAGGCAGTAAGTTTTCCAAAAATTATTCCCCAGAAAGAGAAGGGATATAACAAGTCCTTATAATGTGTGTCATGTTAAAGAGGTACTATTTAAATTACTTTACTGTGTGTCATGTTAAAGAGGCACTATTTAAATTACTTTACTTTGCCGGCGCAGTGGCTCATGCCTGTAATCCCAGCACTTTGGGAGGCTGAGGCAGGCGGATCACCCCAGGTCAGGAGTTCAAGACCAGCCTGACCAAAATGATGAAACCCCGTATCTACTAAAAATACAAAAATTAGCCGGGCATGGTGGCATGCACCTGTAATCCCAGCTACTCGGGAGGCTGAGAAAGGATAATTGCTTGAACCCAGGAGGTGGAGGTTGCAGTGAGCTGAGATTGCGCCATTGCACTCCAGCCTGGACAACAAGAGCGAAACTCTGTCTCAAAATAAATAAATAAATAAAAATAAAATAACTTTACTTTGAACAACCTCAGTCAATGCTGGGTTTTTTTTTTTTATGAGATCACCTAACAAAATTGGGTTTTTCGGAGATATCACCTAATAAAATTGGTATATCAGAAGGGAAAAAAAGGAAGATAATAATAATTTAGTCATTCATCTCAAAATTCTAAGGTTGGATGTTGCTGTAAACAAGTTATATTAAAAAGGAATTATGGCCAGGCACACCGGCTCATGCCTGTAATCCCAGCACTTTGGGAGGCCAAGGTGAGAGGATTGCTTGAGCCCAGGAAGAACTTAGGCAACACAGCGAGACCCTAGGTCTACAAAAATAAAATTAAAAAAAATCAGCCATGTGTAATGGCGTGTGCCTGTAGTCTCAGCTACTTGGGAGGCAGAGGTGGGAGGATCGCTTGAGCCCAGGAGTTCAAGGGTGCAGTGAGCTACGATCAAGTCACTGCACTCAAGCCTGGGTGACAGAGTGAGACCCTGTCTCAATTTTCTGTTTTTTAAGGATTTTACAAAGGAATAAGTGAATGAATCATATTATAGGGGATGCATAAGATGCAGGATGAATTAAAAAACCAACTTGTCCTGGCCGGGCCTAGTGGCTCATGCCTGTAATCCCAGCACTTTGGGAGGCCGAGACGGGCGGATCACGAGGTCAGGAGATCGAGACCATCCTGGCTAACATGGTGAAACCCCGTCTCTACTAAAAACACAAAATATTAGCCGGGCGTGGTGGTGGGCACCTGTAGTCCCAGCTACTCGGGAGGCTGAGGCAGGAGAATGGCGTGAACCTGGGAGGTGGAGCTTGCGGTGAGCCAATATTGCGCCACTGCACTCCAGCCTGGGGGACAGAGCAAGACTCCGTCTCAAAAAAAAAAAAAAAAAAAAAAAATTTGTCCTAATGTTACCCTAACAGATTTTCCTGGTTTAGGATAAAATTTCCAGTCACAATGCCACACACTTAAAAGTAAATAAAGATGTTGTACTCTGGAAAACCTTGTTAGACTGACTCAAAAATTGGCCTGTAATTCCAGCACTTAGGGAGGCTGAGGCAAGAGGATTGTTTGAGCACAAGAGTTCAAGACCAGACTAGGCAACATAGTGAGAACTTGTCTCTACAAAAGTATTTAAAAATTAGCCATGTATGTGGCACACACCTGTGGTCTCAGCTACTTGGGAGGCTGAGGTACAAGAATCACTTGAGCCCAGGAGGTCAAGGTTGCAGTGAGCTGTGATCACTGTACCTAGCCTGGGCAATAAAGCAAGACCTTGTCTTGAGGGAGAAAAAAAAAAGTGGCTCAAATGTGACAAAGACACTAAAGTTAAAGGTGTATGTAAAGTGTTTGAATAAAATGTTCATTAAATATCTCTGTTAATAGATTACATATGAGGCTTTTAACATGTAGATATAATCAAATTAATATATTAAATAATATAGTCATTTGACCATTTCATCTCTATCCCTAGACATTTATGTATACATAAGTTGTCCACAATTTCCTCAGATACAGATGGAGAAATCAGAGGTCACTTATAATCAAAGTTGCTTTGTATTGATGCATATATACTCACCAAAGGAATTGCACTATATGACCATGACTTTACAACTAAGGAGTAAAATGATAAATAATTTAACATCTATGAAGCACCTACAATACAACAGACCTTGCACTATCAGCATTCACATAAAGAATTTCATTTAATTTCCACTCAATACTGTGAGATGGGCATTTGAGGACTTGCCTATGGTCACAGACTAGTATGTAGCAAAATATAAACTCAAACCTAATCTCTCTGGCCTCGGAGTCTACTTTCATTCTACCGAAGTATTAGTAAGCTTCACTTTGGAAGAAGCTCTATTTCCCCCAGTGCACCTAAAAAGATTACATTTATCTGTCTACCTGAGTATGGCCACTTCGCTTTGTTAGCTTCACTCTAGTTTGGTCCAGGCAGGGTACATCCCCATAACGGTTTTTCTCTAGGTTTCCTGGAGACCTGAAGGAAACGAAACAAACAAGCAAGAATAAAGAAAAAGTGGGGACAGTATGTATGTACAAAATCTGACCATGCTAAAGGGGTGTCAATTACTCTTAGGGGTGGAGACATGGAAGCTTTTCAATTTCTAGCCCATACAGTTCCATATCATTTAACATTTTTTGTGGTAAGTACATACTACTTCTAAAAGTAAACATATCTCCATTCAAAAGAGAGAGGGAGACCAGGCATGGTGGCTCACACCTGTAGTCCCAGCACTTTGGGAGGCAGGAGGATTGCTTGAGGCCAGGAGTTCGTGAGCAGTCTGGGAAATGTAATGAGAGCTTATCTCTTTTTTTTTTGAGACGGAGTCTCGCTCTGTTGCCCAGGCTGGAGTGCAGTAGCGTGATCTCGACTCACTGCAAGCTCTACCTCCTGGGTTCACGCCATTCTCCTGCTTCAGCCTCCTGAGTAGCTGGGACTACAGGCTCCCGCCACCACGCCCAGCTAATTTTTTTGTATTTTTAGTAGAGACGGGGTTTCACCATGTTAGCCAGGATGGTCTCGATCTCCTGACCTCATGATCTGCCCGCCTCGGCCTCCCAAAGTGTTGGGATTACAGGCATGAGCCACTGCGCCCTGCCTAATGAGAGGTTATCTCTAGAGAGAAGTCAAAAAATTAGCCGGGCATCATGGCACACACCTGTACTCCTAGCTGCTCAGGAGTCTAAGGTGGGAGGACGGCTTCAGCCCAGGAAGTCAAGGCTGCAGTGCGCTATGACAGCGCCACTGCACACCAGCCTGGGTGACGGAGAGAAACCCTGACTTAAAAAAAAGAGAAGCTGGGTGTGGTGGCTCATGCCTGTAATCCCAGCACTTTGGGAGGCCAAGGCGGGTGGATCACCTGGGGTCAGGGGTTCAAGACCAGACTGGCCAAGATGATAAAACCCTGCCTTTACTAAAAATACAAAAATTAGCCAGGTGTGATGGCACACACCTGTAATCCCAGCTACTCAGGAGGCTGAGCCAGGAGAATCGCTTGAACCTGGGAGGTGGAGGATGCAGTGAGCCAACATCACACCACTGCACTCCAGCCTGAGTGACAAAGCAAGACTTTATCTCAAAAAAAAAAAAAAATAATTAAATTTAAAAACAGAGAGAAGGAGTGGGGATGGGAGTCCCAAATGGCCAAGGCAGAAATTGGTACTAAGAAGTGGGGTGCTTCTGTAACAAATAACTAAAAATGTGGAAGCAGCTTTGGACCTGGGTAATGGACAGAGCTGATAGAATTTGGAAGTACATGCAGAAAAAGCCTATGTTGCCATAAACAGGCATAAAAGGCAATTCTACTATGGGCTCAGAAAAAGAAGAGCTATAGAGAAAGCCTCAGTCTTCTTAGAGATTACCTAAGTGATACTGATCAGAAAACTGGTAGAAATATGGGTGGTAAAATCCATTTTGATGAGGTCTCAGACAGAGATGAGGAGCACATTAGTAAAAAGAGAGAGAGGGAGAGAAGGGGAGAGAAATGGGGTATACCACCAAAAAACTCCAGCTGCAGATAAAAATTTCTACTACTTATTTGTCAAAAGATGTTCAAACCAAATCTCTTCAATTCCAATTTCATTTTCTTTTTGGGACAGGGTCTCAAAGGTCTCCAGGGTCGCCCAGGCTGGAGTCCAGTGGCACAATCACAGCTCACTTGCAGCCTTAATCTCCCTGGGCTCAGTCCCAGATGCACACCACCACGCCCAGCTAATTTTTAAATTTTTTGTAGAGAAAGGGTTTTGCCACATTGCCCAGGCTGGTCTCAAACTCCTGGGCTCAAGCAATCCTCCCGCCTCAGCCTCCCAAAGTGCTGGGATTATAGGTGTGAGTCACCGAGCCTGACCTTAAATGCCAGTTTAACATGGTAGGTTGATAACACATATTGACTGCACTCCATTCATCCAGTAGCTTCACTAAAATGATGAAAAAGGAGTATTCACTACAAACCCAAAAAGTGACAGTGGAGACATCAGCACACAAAGAGTGTTCAACTCATTTTGACAGAGAAAAAGCAGATAGGAGGATTTTGGCTGACGTGGCCAGACACAGAAGCTAGGACCAAGGGAGGTACCTATAGAGAGACAAGATGGCACACCCTTAGAACTCCCTTACCATGGAAAGCAAGGTGAGGAACAGAGCTAAAAATGGGAATAAAATGAAAATCTGAATGTTATGTAGTGAAAATCCCTGACCCATTCTCATTGTCCTGACCTACACTCATATCCAAGTTTGGATCCCCTCAGCGGATCCAAAGGACAGGAGAACTCTTCACTGGATAAAGTAAACAGCATCAGGTGAAAGAATTCTGTCATTTGGAGAATACCCAACAAAAAGCTAGTTGTCTGATCATTATAATCTGAAGCTCATCCATGCAAAACGAGCTTCCATGCAGCTTGTTTTTGTTTTTGTTCATCACTGTCTGCTTTTGTAACCATGCAGCTTTTAAGGACCATAAATGTGAACTAAAAGCCAAGGATCTCAATGTAATTAAGGAAAGCCCTTACACAAAGACTTTAATACACAATTCAAATAACACAATTCAGGCTTGTCACGGTGGCTCATGCCTGTAATCCTAACTCTTTGGGAGGGCCAAGGTGGGAGGATCACTTGAGCTCAGGAGTTCAAGACCAGCCTGGGCAACATAGCAAGACCTTGTCTCTACTAAAAATTAAAAAAATTAGCTGGGCATGGAGGTACAAACCTGTAGTCCCGGCTATTCAGGAAGCTGAGGTAGGAGGATCACCTAAGCTTGGGAGACAGAAGCTGCAGTGAGCTATGATTGCATCCCTGCACTCCACCCTGGGTGACAAAGTGAGACCCTGTCTCAAAATCAAACAAAAAATAAACAAACAAAAAAACCCATAATTCAAACACATGGGGGCTACAGAAGTTTAAAAAAAAAGATAGTCAATAAGAGAAAAGTAACCTCTAAAAGGCTATCATTAATATCCTCAAAGAGAAAATAGATGATACAATTATACATAAAACAAGAAGAGAGTGCAATGAAAAAGGAACAGAGAAGAAAAGCTCTTGGAAATTAAAAATAATATCCAAAATAGGAATTTTAATAGACGAGATAAAAGAGAAAGTTGAGGAAATTTCCAGAATACAAAACAAAACAAAAAAAGTGATGAAAATATGAGAAAAACTGGCCAGGCACAGTAGCTCATGCCTGTTATCCCAGCACTTTGGGAGGCTGGGGTGGACGGATTACTTGAGGTCAGAAGTTTAAGACCAGCCTGGCCAACATGTTGAAACTCGTCTCTACTAAAAATACAAAAATCAGCAGGGCATGGTGGCACACGCTTTGTAGTCCCAGCTACTCGGGAGGCTGAGGCATGAGAATTGCTTGAACACGGGAAATGGAGGTTGCAGTGAGCTGAAATTGCGCCACTGTACTCCAGCCTGGGCAACAGAGCGAGACTCCGTCTCATTAAAAAAAAAAGAAAGAAAGAAAAAGAAAATATGAGAAAGATGAAGAAAGTTAAGAGAATCATTCTGGGACACAAGTCAGCAAACTATGCCCTGGCCACTTGTTTTTGTAAATGAAGTTTTACTGGAACACAGTCAAGCCCATTTATTTCTGTACTCACTAAGTATATATTGACAGTGTTGAGTCAGTAAACTATGCCCTGGCTACTTGTTTTTGTAAATAATGTTTTATTGGAACATAGTCAAGCTCATTTATTTCTGTACTCACTAAGTATATTTTGACAGCGTTGAGTACTTGTAACAAAGACTGTAAACCTCACAATACCGAAATATTTACTATCTTACCCTTTAAGAAAAAGTTTATCAATCCCATATATATATATATATATATATATAAAATCTATATATTTACATATAGAGAGAGAGCGCGAGCGAGAACTAACATAATACAAGGAAAGAAATCATTTAAAACACAGTGTAATAAGAAAAGCCCTAGAACTAAATAACAAACCTTCAGATTAAAAGAATCTATCAAGTAACCAATGTAATAAATTTTAAAAGAGGACCTACACTAAGGCACATCATTGTGAATCTTTTTTTTTGCAGGGGGTGGACAGAGTCTCGCTCTGTCCCCCAGACTGGAGTGCAGTGGCACAATCTTGGCTCACTGCAACCTCCGCCTCCCAGGTTCAAGGGATTCTTCTGCCTCAGCCTCCCGAGTAGCTGGGATTACAGGAGCCTGCCACCATACCTGGCTAATTTTTATATTTTTAGCAGAGACGGGGTTTCGCCATGTTGGCCAGGCTGGTCTTGAACTCCTCACCTCAGGTGATCTGCCCTCCTCAGCCTCCCAAAGTGCTGGGGTTACAGGCTTGAGCCACTGTGCCCAGCCTCTCTCAATCCTTTTAAATGATCTATTGTTTTTCTTTTTCCTTCCCTGGGCATTTTAAAGATAATTTCTTTTTCTGTTTAAGAAATTTAGACTGGGTGCAATGGCTCACTCCTGCAATCCCAGCACTTTGGGAGGCCAAGGAGGGCAGATCTCCTGAAGTCAGGAGTTTGAGACCAGCCTGGCCAACATGGTGAAACTCCGTTTCTACCACAAATACAAAAATTAGCCAGGCATGATGGCACACGCCTGTAGTCCCAGCTACTCAGGAGGCTGAGGCAGGAGAATCACTTGAACCCAGAAGGTGGAGGTTGCGGTGAGCTGAGATTGTGCCACTGCACTCCAGCCTGGGTGGCAGAGTGAGACCCCATCTTAAATAAATAAATAAATAATAAATAGATTGAGAAAGAATAAGATCAGACAATTCACAGACAGCATCACTAGTAATTGGAAAGGCATTGCCTTAAAAATTCTGAGATAAAGTTATTTCTAACCTAGAGTTCTATACTCCAGCAAAATAGAATAAAAGAAAGAAGATGGTCTACAATTAGGAAACAAGATCCAACAAAGGAAAGAGGGAAAACTGCAAGATAAAAACTGAGGAACAAGCCTAGAGAATAACCAACCACAGTTTAGACTAGAATGAAAGAAAAAGTTCTGAAAGTGAGGTCTCAGGAAAAAAAAAATAGATGCAATTGATTATCTGATACATTCAATCACTTGGAAACTAATGATAACACTGTAAAATAAATCTGATTGGGCATATAGAAAAATAATGAAGGGCCAAGCACGGTGGCTCACACCTACAATCCCAGCACTTTGGGAGGCCAAGGTGGGCAGATCACTTGAGGTCAGGAGTTCGAAACCAGCCTAGCCAACATAGTGAAACCATGTCTCTACTAAAAATAACAAAAAACATTAGCTGGGCAAGGTGGCAGGTGCCTATAATCCCAGCTACTCAGGAGGCTGAGATATGAGAATCGCTTGAACCCAGGGTGTGGAGGTTGCAGTGAGCCGAGATCGCGCCACTACACTCCAGCCTGGGCAACATCAAAACAACAACCACAACAACAAAACAAAACAACAACAACAACAATAAAAAACAAAAGAAAAAGAATGAGGAACATATACAGAAAACTAAAGGAAATGAAAAAATCTGGTAATTAACTCCAGAAGAAACAAAAAATTGAATTGATAAGATCATTAGGCCAGGTGTAGTGGCTCATTCCTGTAATCCCAGTATTTTGGGAGGCTGAGGCAGGTGGACTGCCTGAGCTCAGGAGTTTGGGACCAGCCTGGGCAACATGGCGAAACCCCATCTCTACCAAAAATACAAAAAATTAGCCAGACGTGGTGAAGCATGCCTGTGGTCCCAGCTACTCTGGAGGCTGAGGTGAGAGAATTGCTTGAGTTTGGGAAGCAGAGGTTGCAGTGAGCTGAGATAGAGCCACTGTACTCCAACCTGGGTGAGAGAGTGAGAGCCTGTCTCAAAAAAAAAAAAAAAGGCTGGACGTAGTGGTTCACACCTGTAATCCCAGCACTTTGGGAGGCCGAGGCAGGTGAATCACTTGAGGCCAGGATTTTGAGACCAGCCTGGCCAACATGGTGAAATCCCATCTGTTCTAAAAATTAAAAAAAAAAAAAAAATTGTTAATATATTTGATCATTTCATAGTAGCCCATGTAGCTCTCCAGTAAAAATAATTTACATAGTCATAATAATGTACAATGACGATTCAATTTAAGAATGTTACATATAATTATTGGAAGAGTAGTCAAAATGAAAGTGGAGACATAGTATAAGAGCTAAATGAGCACCTACAATAAAAGTCACTAAAAGTATTATTAACTTTTTTTTTTTTTTTTGAGACAGGGTCTCGCTCTGTATTCCAAGCTGGAGTCCAGTGGCACAATTTTGGCTCACTGCAGCCTCAACGTCCCAGGCTCAAGTGAGCTTCCCACCTCAGCCTCCCAAGTAGCTGGGATTACAAACACACGCCACCACACCAAGCTAATTTTTGTAATTTTTGTAGAGACAGGGTTTCCACCTGTCTCTACATGTTGCTCAGGCTGGTCTTGAAATCCTAGGCTCAAACGATCTACCCACCTCAGCCTCCCAAAGTGCTGGGATTACAGGCATGAGCCACTGTGCCTGGCATATTATAAGCATTTTAATTTAGAATTAGGGATGAAATACCAGGGGAAACAGCTACAAGAGTTGAATACATGATTATAGGTAATGGAACTGAGGGTAAAATAGGAATTTGCTATTTATTTTGTCATTGCTTGTCTTCTTTAGAACTGTTTGGTTTTGAAAAAAATTATTTGCATATATTAACTGAAAGCAAAGAAATTACAAAGGTCACACATATAAAATAATACTCTATATTGTTCATGAGTGCTTATGCATATATAACAGTATAAACAAAATCAACTAGAAAGAAATATCATATTCATACTAGTAGCTGCTTATGATGAGTGGGGAGAACTAAGGATGCGGATTAGAAGGAATTTCAACTTTATAATAAATTCTTTCTCTCATATAATAATTAAAAAGACAGCTGGGCACAGTGGCTCATGCCTAAAATCCTAGTGCTTTGGGAGGCTGAGGTGGGAGAATCACTTGAGCCCAGGAGTTTGAGACCAGCCTGGGCAACAGAGCAAGACTCCATCTCTACAAAAACTTCAAAAAAATTAGCAAGGTGTGGCACCCCATACTTCTTGTCCCAGCTACTAGGAAGGCTAAGGCAAGAAAATCACTTGAGCCCAGGAGGTTAAGGCTGCCATAAGCTATGACAGTGCCACTGCACCTGCACTCCAACCTATGCGACAGAGCAAGAACACATGTCTCTCTTAAAAAGAAAGAAAAAGGCCAGGTGTGGGGGCTCATGCCTGTAATTCCAGCACTTTAGGAGGCCAAGGTGGGTGGATCACCTGACGTGAGGAGCTCGAGACCACTCTGACCAACATGGCGAAACCCCGTCTCTATGAAAAATACAAAAAATTAGCTGGGCTTGGTAGCGGGCACCTGTAATCCCAGCTACTTGGGAGGCTAAGGCAGGAGAATCGCTTGAACCCAGGAGGCGGAGGTTGCAGTGAGCTGAAGTCACACCATTGCACTCCAGCCTGGGCAACAAGAGCAAAACTCTGTCTCAAAAAAAAAAAAAAAAAGATGAAGCAAATATAACAAAATATTAACAAGAGTCAGTGTTGATTCTGTGGTAGGAACATAGTTGTCTGTAAAATCTTAAAAAATTTCAGCCCAGCGCAGTGGCTCATGCCTGTAATCCCAGCACTTTGGGAGGCTGAGGCTGGCGGATCACCTGAGGTCAGGAGTTGGAGACCAGCCTAGTCAATATGGTGAAACCCCATCTTTACTAAAAATACAAAAAAAAAAATTAGCTGGGCGTGGTAGCAGGCACCTGTAATCCCAGCTACTTGGGAGACTGAGGCGGGAGATCACTTGAACCCATGAGGCGGAGGTTGCAGCGAGCTGAGATCACGCCACTGAACTCCAGCCTGGGCGACAGAGCGAGACCACATCTCAGAGAAATATATATATATATTTCTCCCTTCCTATACGAATATGCCTAGTGAATAAAACCAATCCTAAAAGATTACATACAGTATGTATGTAATTTTTTTACATTTTATGTAATGTTACTTGATATAACAACAATTTGGAAAGGACAAAATTAGAGAAATGGAGAATAGATTAGTGGTTGCAGGGGTTAGGAATGGGGAGGTGGTGGGAAGGAGGTATATGTTTACTATAGGGCAATGAGGCTGGGCACGGTGGCTCACACCTGTAATCCCAGCACTTTGGGAGGCCGAGGTGAGTGGATCACCTGAGGTCAGGAGTTTGAGATCAGCCTGGCCAACATGGTGAAACCCTGACTGTAGTAAAAATACAAAAATTCGTCAGGCATGGTGGTGCACGCCTGTAATCCCAGCTACTTGGGAGGCTGAGGCAGGAGAATCGCTTGAACCTGGGAGGCAGAGGTTACAGGGAGCTGAGATTGCACCACAGCACTCCAGCTTGGGTGACAGAGCAAGACTCTGTCTTAAAAAAATAAGTAAATAAAAATAAAAATATTGATCGCTTCTCAGTCTTTTGGCTAAGATCAAGTGTAAAATAAAAATAATGAAGGGCAACGAGGGGAGCCTTGTGGTGACAGAACTCTGTATCTTGATTATGGTGACAGATACACAAACCTACATGTGTGACAAAACTGCACAGAACTAAATACACAAAAATGAAGTAAAACTGGGGAAGTCTAAATCAGATTGGTGGATTGTATCTATATTAACATTCTGGCTGTGATATTACACTATAGTTTTGGAAGATGTTATCATGGGATAACTGTAGAAAGGGTACATGTAATCTGTCTCCATTATTTCTTACAACTGCAGGTGAATCTACAATTATAAGAAAAAGTAAAAAGAGAAAAGGGAAAGAAAGTCTCTTGGTCCAGGGGAATCCTGGGCAAGAGTGAATATACACTGATAGCCACTTCATAATCCAGAATTCCAAGGGAGACACAGTTTGTTCTTTGTAAGTAGCTCTACTGGGAGTTGGTGTAAGTCAGAGGCTTGGAGCTGATGAGGATTCTAGGTTCTAAATCATAAAGTGGGGAATCAGTCATTCAATAGGCAAGACTAGGAAGTCCTCTCATTAGATGAGAGATCTGTTCTCTGATTGTCAAATGGTAGCTGGTTTGGATGATGGCAACAAGACGATCTAAACCCACTTTTTTTTTTTTTTTTTTTTTTTTGAGACAGAGTCTTGCTCTATCGCCCAGGCTGGAGTGCGGTGGCATGATCTTGGCTCACAGCAACCTCCGCCTCCTGGGCTCAAGTGATTCTCCTGCCTCAGCCTCCCAAGTAGCTGGGACTACAGGTGCGTGCCACCACACCCAGCTAATTTTTGTATTATTAGAAGAGACGGGGTTTCACCATGTTGGCCAGGATGTTCTCAATCTCTTGACCTCGTGATCTGCCAGCCTCAACCTCCCAAAGTGCTGCGATTACAGGCGTGAGCCACCGCGCCCAGCCAAACCCACTTTTTTAATGGAGGAGGGGAGACTCCATAGTAGAAATGACATCTCAAGGGCCTCACAGCAGCTGGTAGTTGCAAAAGCACCGAGAGCAAGGTGAAGAATCCCCAGGATAAGTGTGCATCCTCTTAGATCAGCCTAGCATGCCTCCCTGCTCCAACATATTTCCTTGATTCAAGACTGCAAGGGAGGCTGGGCATAGTGGCTCATGCCTGTAATCCCAGCACTTTGCAGGGCTGAGGTGGGCAGATCACTTGAGGTCAGGAGTTCGAGATCAGCCTGGCCAACATGGCAAAACCCCATCTCTACTAAAAATACACAAATTAGGCCAGGCATGGTGGCTCACGCCTGTAATCCTAGCACTTTGGGAAGCCAAGGAGGACGAATCACCCGAGGTCAGGAGTTTGAGACCAGCCTGGCCAACACAGTGAAACCCCATCTCTACTAAAAATACAAAATTAACCGGGTGTGGTGGCACACGCCTGTAATCCCAGCTACTCAGGAGGCTGAGGCAGGAGAATTGCTTGAGCCGGGAGATGGAGGTTGCAGTGGGCTGAGATCGTGGCACTGCACTCTAGCCTGGCCGAGAGTGAGACTCTGTCTCAAAATAAATAAATAAATAAATAAACAAACATACATACACACACACACACACACACACACACATATATATACACACACAAATTAGTTGGGTGTGGTGGCACACACCTGTAATTCCATCTACTTGGGAGACTAAGGCACAGAATGGCTTGAACCCACAAGGCGGAGGTTGCAGTGGGCCGAAATCATACCATTGCACTCCAGCCTGGGTGATGGAGTGAGACTGTCTCAACAACAACAAAAAAGACTTTAAGGGAATAACTGTTCTGTTTGCAAAAGAGATTGGATATAAACAGGGAGTCTGGTAGTTGGGTATAGGTAGCACCCATAATTCCAGCACTTTGGAAGGCTGAGGCAGGAGGATCACTTGAGCCCAGGGGTTCAAGACCAGCCTGGGCAACATAGGGAGACTCTACAAAAAATTTAAAAAATTAGCCAGGCATGGTGGTGCATGTCTGTGGTCTCAGCTACTCAAGAGGCTGAGGCAGGAGGATCAATTGAGCATCAAGAGATGGAGGCTGCAGTGAGCCATGATCATGCCACTATGCGCCAGTCTGGGGGACAGAGCAAGACCCTGTCTCTAAAAAAAATAATAATAATAAAATAATAAATACAATAAGTAAAATGAAATAAAAATTAAATAAAAATAGGGGTCTGGAGCTGGTAGGGAAGAAACAGAGCTGTATGAGAGAAAAGAATAATTTCCCTTGTTGATATATGGTCTGTGTCCCCTTTTTCTCCTCTTATTTTCCTTTGCATTCTTGATCTGATTGACTTCTTTCTCAAGTGCCTCTTATCTCTTACTTTCCCTATCTCATTATTTTCCCCAACTCATTATTTTCCCTCTTTGCTTTGCTAAAAGACTCTATCCCTGCATCTTATTCAGAACACACTGACTACACTGGACAGGAGTTACAAGAGAGAAGAGGTACTCACAGAATCCTAGATTTCTAAAACATTTAAGCTACAAAGGTAGGTGAATATCAGAGTCCAGTAGTCACATATTATACAGAGGAAAACCAAAGTGCTGAGAAGGGAAATAACTTGTGTCACTCACAGAGGGAATTTTTGGTTAAGTTGGAATATGAGGCTGGGACCCACTAGGATGGCTTCCCTCATTTTCTTTCTTTTTTTTTTTTCCTCTTCTTTTCTTTCTTTCTTTTTTTTTTTTTTTCCTTAGACAAAGTCTTACTCTGTCACTTAGGCTGGAGCTCAGTGGCGTGATCATAACTCACTGTGGTCTTGACCTCCCGGGCTCAAGTGATCCTCCTGCATAGCTGGGACAACAGGAGTGTGCCACCATGCCTGGCTAATTTTTTCGTTTTTTATTTTTGTAGAGGTAGGGTCTTGCTATGCTGCTCAGGTTAGTCTCAAACTCCTGGGCACAAATGATCCTCCTATACCTTTACTCCCAAAGTGCTGGGATTATAGGCATGAGCCACTGCCCCCAGCCCTAGTTTCTGTAGTTTTCAACAGTCACAGCTCACTAGCTGGAGAGAAAGAGATTTCTGGGGCAGCCAATTAAAACATGGTAAGAGAAATGACAGCAACATGGTAAGAGAAATAATCTGACCAGGTGCGGTGGCTCACACCTGTAATCCCAACACTTTGGGAGGTTGAGGCAGGAGGATCACTTGAGCCTCGGAGTTTGAGACCAGCCTGGGCAACATGCCAAAACCCCATCTCTTCAAAAAATAAAAAATGAGCTGGACATAGTGGCACATACCTGTAGTCCCAGCTACTCAGGAGGCTGAAGTAGGAGGATCGCTTTAACCTAGGAATTTGAGGAAAAGAAAAGGATAAAAGAAAAGAAAAGGAGAAGAGAAGAAGAAAAGAAGAGAAGAGAAAAAAGAAAAAGAGGCCAGGTGCGGTAGATCATACCTGTAATCCCAGCACTTCGGGAGGCTGAGGCAGGCAGATCACCTGAGGTCAGGAGTTCAAGATCAACCTGGACAACATCGTGAAACCCTGTCTCTACTAAAAATACAAAAATTAGCCAGGCATGGTGGTGCGCGCCTATAATTCCAGCTACTTGGGAGGGTGAGGCAGGAAGAATCGCTTGAACCTGGGAGGCGGAGGTTGCAGTGAGCCGAGATCGTGCCATTGCACTCCAGCCTGGGTGACAGAACGAGACTCCATCTCAGAAAGAAAAAAAAAAGAGAGGGAGGGAGGAAGGAAGGAATTACAGGTGTGCGCCACCACACCCAGCTAATTTGTGTGTGGGTGTGTATATATATATGTATGTATGTATATATAGTTATCAACTAGTTACGAGCCAGAGTTATAAACTAGCGAGATGGTTTTGTGATAGGATTTGAGTAGAATGAAAATCTCAAGGGGTTAAAGTCCTATGAGGCAACTGTACTCTCTGACTGTGGATTATTTTAAGTGTACCACATACCCCTCCTCAAGAAGTAATGTTATACCATAAATGTTATGGGGAGAAACTGCCCAAATGAACAGACCAGCACTCACACTGAGTACTGGAATAGAGAGTAGCCTATTTTGAACCTACTTTTTTTAAAAAAAACTTGCATTTCAGAAAAATATCCAAAAATATGTCCAACAGGGTTATCCTGTTGGTACCAAAGACCTTCAGAAATTTCAGAGCATAGGATGTTAGCAAGAAGCACCCAATGGTGCCCAGGCTGGAGTGCAGTGGCGTGATCTCAGCTCACTACAACCTCCATCTCCCAGCCGCCTGCCTTGGCCTCCCAAAGTGCCGAGATTGCAGCCTCTGCCCGGCCACCACCCCGTCTGGGAAGTGAGGAGCGTCTCTGCCTGGCCGCCCATCGTCTGGGACGTGAGGAGCCCCTCTGCCTGGCTGCCCAGTCTGGAAAGTGAGGAGCGTCTCTGCCCGGCCGCCATCCCATCTAGGAAGTGAGGAGCGCCTCTTCCCGGCAGCCATCCCATCTGGGAAGTGAGGAGCATCTCTGCCCGGCCGCCCATCGTCTGAGATGTGGGGAGCGCCTCTGCCCCGCTGCCCCGTCTGGGATGTGAGGAGCTCCTCTGCCCGGTCGCGACCCCGTCTGGGAGGTGAGGAGCGTCTCTGCCCAGCCGCCCCGTCTGAGAAGTGAGGAGACCCTCCGCCCAGCATCCGCCCCATCTGAGAAGTGAGGAGCCCCTCCGCCCGGCAGCCGCCCCGTCTGAGAAGTGAGGAGTCCCTCTGCCCGGCAGCCACCCCGTCTGGGAAGTGAGGAGCGTCTCCGCCCGGCAGCCGCCCCGTCCGGGAGGGAGGTGGGGGGGTCAGCCCCCCGCCCGGCCAGCCGCTCCGTCCGGGAGGGAGGTGGGGGGGTCAGCCCCCCGCCCGGCCAGCCGCCCCGTCCGGGAGGTGAGGGGCGCCTCTGCCCAGCCGCCCCTACTGGGAAGTGAGGAGCCCCTCTGCCTGGCCAGCCACCCCGTCCGGGAGGGAGGTGGGGGAGTCAGCCCCCAACCCGGCCAGCCGCCCCATCCGGGAGGGAGGTGGGGGGGGGGTCAGCCCCCCGTCCGGGAGGGAGGTGGGGGGGTCAGCCCCCCGCCCGGCCAGCCGCCCCGTCCGGGAGGGAGGTGAGGGGGGGTCAGCCCTCCGCCCGGCCAGCCGCCCCGTCCGGGAGGGAGGTGGGGTCAGCCCCCCGCCCGGCCAGCCGCCCCGTCCGGGAGGTGAGGGGCGCCTCTGCCCAGCCGCCCCTACTGGGAAGTGAGGAGCCCCTCTGCCGGGCCAGCCGCCCCGTCCGGGAGGGAGGTGGGGGGCTCAGCCCCCCGCCCGGCCAGCCGACCCGTCCGGGAGGGAGGTGGGGGGATCAGCACCCCGCCCGGACAGCCGCCCCGTCCGGGAGGGAGGTGGGGAGGTCAGCCCCCCGCCCGGACAGCCGCCCCGTCCGGGAGGGAGGTGGGGGGGTCAGCCCCATGTCCGGGAGGGAGGTCGGGGGGGTCAGCCCCCCGCCCGGCCAGCCGCCCCGTCCGGGAGGGAGGTGAGGTCAGCCCCCTGCCCGGCCAGCCGCCCCGTCCGGGAGGTGAGGGGCGCCTCTGCCCAGCCGCCCCTACTGGGAAGTGAGGAGCCCCTCTGCCGGGCCAGCCACCCCGTCCGGGAGGGAGGTGGGGGGCTCAGCCCCCCGCCCGGCCAGCCGACCCGTCCGGGAGGGAGGTGGGGGGATCAGCCCCCCGCCCGGCCAGCCGCCCGGTCCGGGAGGGAGGTGGAGGGGTCAGCCCCACGTCCGGGAGGGAGGTGGGGGGGGTCAGCCCCCCGCCCAGCCAGCCGCCCCGTCCAGGAGGTGAGGGGCGCCTCTGCCCTGCCGCCCCTACTGGGAAGTGAGGAGCCCCTCTGCCCGGCCAGCCGCCCCGTCTGGGAGGGAGGTGGGGGGGTCAGCCCCCCGCCCGGCCAGCCGCCCTGTCCGGGAGGGAGGTGGGGGGGTCAGCCCCCCGCCCGGGAGGTGAGGGGCGCCTCTGCCCGGCCGCCCCTACTGGGAAGTGAGGAGCCCCTCTGCCCGGCCAGCCGCCCCGTCCGGGAGGGAGGTGGGGGGGTCAGCCCCCCGCCTGGCCAGCCGCCCCGTCCGGGAGGGAGGTGGGGGGGTCTGGCCAGCCACCCCGTCCGGGAGGTGAGGGGCACCTCTGCCCAGCCACCCCTACTAGGAAGTGAGGAGCCCCTCTGCCCAGCCACCACCTCGTCTGGGAGGTGTACCCAACAGCTCATTGAGAACGGGCCAGGATGACAATGGCGGTTTTGTGGAATAGAAAGGGGGGAAAGGTGGGGAAAAGATTGAGAAATCGGATGGTTGCCGTGTCTGTGTAGAAAGTAGACATGGGAGACTTTTCATTTTGTTCTGTACTAAGATAAATTCTTCTGCCTTGGGATCCTGTTGATCGGTGACCTTACCCCCAACCCTGTGCTCTCTGAAACATGTGCTGTGTCCACTCAGGGTTAAATGGATTAAGGGCGGTGCAAGATGTGCTTTGTTAAACAGATGCTTGAAGGCAGCATGCTCGTTAAGAATCATCACCACTCCCTAATCTCAAGTACCCAGGGACACAAACACTGCGGAAGGCCGCAGGGTCCTCTGCCTAGGAAAACCAGAGACCTTTGTTCACTTGTTTATCTGCCAACCTTCCCTCCACTATTGTCCTATGACCCTGCCAAATCCCCCTCTGCGAGAAACACCCAAGAATGATCAATAAAAAAAATAAAAATTTAAAAAAAAAAGAAAAAAAAAAAGAAGCACCAAAGCAGAAAGTACCTCTTTCTGCATGCGAGAAACCATCATTTATGTGAGAGTGATGTTCCCTAACATAAGGAAGGGTCTCTGCTAAGCAAGTGAGGGGTGGAAGGAGCTGTTGCCAGAGCCTACCAGAAGCATCCTGGTAACCAGCTGCTGGCCCAAACTTTTTCTACTTACATGGAACAGTGGAAAGTGCCAACAGGGTTCTCACGACGAATGTCTTCATATTCCTCATAGATTCCTTGCTTTTGCCTGGCATTAACATAGTCCACCAACTCTTGGATGGTCATAGCATGGGGACCTGGAACATGTACTGAGTCCCAGTCTAAGGCAGGAGGGAGGGAGAACAGGATGATCTCATCGAAGGGATCTGGGTGGCCGTTCACCTGGGGTAGGAACTGGAAATTCCAAGTGGCGAGATCAATTTTGACGTACCCACCCAGGTTTTCTGGAAGACACTCCCTGGGCAGATGCTGCGTGACCTCAGATGTCTTTAATATTTGAATCTGGAAGGTTAGAAAGAACCATGTGAGTATGTGGGAGGAGGGAAAGGCATATAGAGTGACAAAGAATAAATGTATTTATATCAGGTTTGGAGGATGGGATAAGATTTTCTTGAAATACAAGGTATACTTGTAAAAGTAGTAGACTACATTTCATCTGCCTGAGATTTAAGTCCTATGAATTTGCCAGATAAAAGTGTGAACTCCCAGAATGTATATAAAATTCACTCCTGGAATTAGGGACACTGTTATACATCTTCTGAAAGGACGATGTAGTGAACAAAAGCTTTATATTATTAACAAGGCTTCCCAGCATCGCTGCATGCTGGTACTCTTTTTTTGGCCACTAAGAATGCATAGGTAGTAGTTATTTTTGTCAACCCCATACTCAGACAACCAATTCTAAGGCCTGTTAGCTTGTATTTTACTCAGCTTGGTATAACTGTTCACAAAGATAGGATTCTATGAAAGCAAGACACCCAGAGGCAGGGTAGCCCAGGAAAAATGTGAGATAACACTTTTTTTTTGAGACAGGGTCTCACTTTTTCACCCAGCCTGGAGTGTAGTGGCGTGATGAAGGCTCACTGCAGCCTCAACCTCCTGGGCTCAAGTGATCCTTCCACCTCAGCCCCTCAAGTAGCTGGGAATACAGATGCACACAACCACGCCCAGCTAATTTTTTGTAGTAACCATAAAACTTAATTCTGCTCTCTGCTTGGACATAGCCATGCTGGAACTAATTAGCTTAACTGGTTCTCCTTAGGATCTCTGTGGAATGGGGATTCTCTTCCTCCTAAAAGCTCATCTCTTTTGCTGTCGCCTCTTCTTGGAATGCCTTCCTTTCCTCCTCTGCCTCTTCATGGACCAGCACAGCTCACCTCTTCTGTGAAGTCTTTCCTGACTGCCTGAGGCCATATGCTCCTCTGCGTTCCTGCAGAGCCAAAGTCCTCCTATGTGTATCTCTGTGTTCCCTATCAAGACCATGAGCTCCTTGAGGGTAGACTGTCTCACTTAATTTTTAATTATCAGGAACCAGTGCTTCGACTACAAAAAGTGCTTAATATATTTTGAGTTTATACATGCATGTATAATTCCTATAATTCAAGTGCAAGAACTTGCCTATGGATTCCTCTCAAAGAGTTACCTTAGAAAAGATCTCTCCAGCTGGCACGGTGGCTCATGCCTATAATCCCAGCACTTTGGGAGGCTGAGGCAGGTGGATCACCTGAGGTCAGGAGTTTGAGACCAGCCTGTCCAACATGGTGAAACCCCATCTCTACTAAAAAAATACAAGAATTAGCTGGGCATGTTGGCAGGAGCCTGTAATCCCAGCTACTTGGGAGGCTGAGGCAGGAGAATCACTTGAACCCGGGGGACGGAGGTTGCAGTGAGCCAAGATCATGCCATTGCACTCTAGCCTCAGCGACAACAGCAAAACTCTGTCGCAAAAAAAAAAAAAAAAAAAGAAAGAAAAGATCTCTCCTGGCTGGGCACGGTGGCTTATGCCTGTAATCCCAGCACTTTTGGGAGGCTGAGGTGGGTGGATCACGAGGTCAGAAGATCAAGACCATCCTGGCTAACACAGTGAAACTCCGTCTCTACTAAAAACACAAAAAATTAGCCGGGCGTGACAGCACACGCCTGTAGTCCCAGCTACTAGGGAGGCTGAGGCAGGAGAATGGTTTGAACCTGGGAGGCGGAGCTTGCAGTGAGCCGAGATCGCTTCACTGCACTCCAGCCTGGGAGACAGAGCGAGACTCCGTCTCAAAAAAGGTGGCTCACGCTTGTAATCCCAGCACTTTGGGAGGCTGAGGTGGGCGGATCATGAGGTCAGGAGTTCGAGACCAGCCTGGCCAATATGGTGAAACACCGTCTCTACTAAAAATACAAAAATTAGCTGGGTGTGGTAGCGTGCGCCTGTACTCCCAGCTACTCAGGAGGCTGAGGCAGAAGAATCGCTTGAACTCAGGAGGCGGGGCTGCAGTGAGCCAAGATCGTGCCACTGCACTCCAGCCTAGGCAACAGAGTGAGACACTCTCAAAAAAAAAAAAAAAAAAAAAAAAAGAAAAGCTCTCTCCTACTCTGCGTCATTAGGTCTCTAAGCAGCTTCCACAGAACCAAATGTTTTCACTTTCATGTCCTGTCTTTTAATTGCTGCAATCAGTAACTGAGACCATAAATCTTTTAATCATGGAACACGCAGGAGATTATAACAGAATTAAAGTTTCTGGTTTTATTGTGGCGGCGGGGTCTCACTGTGTTGCCTAGGCTGGTCTCAAACTCCTGGCCTCAAGCGATCTTCCCGCCTTGGCCTCGGACTCCCAAAGTGTTAGTATTATAAGCATGAGCCATTACACTTGGCCCAGAATTAAAGTAATTTTGAACGCTTTTGAAATTGGGAAGCAACAAGGTATTCTGAGAAAAAAAAATGCCAGGAATAAATGTAGAAAGAGACATAACGAAAAACTTTCCTCCACAACCCTGGTGGTCAAGGGATTGAATGATGTTTCCAGTTGAACAAATTCTAATGCCAGTTCAACTAATGCAGTTATATTACAAGCTGTTAAATATTAAAGGCCTATGCAGCACTAGGATAAATTTTGGAAGTAGCAGCTATCCCTAAGTTACCTCCAGGACACGTTCCTTCAGTACTATCTTATGCAAGGTGCTATAGAAAGTGAGAACCAGATAAACTGTGTTTAGTTTTGAACTTCAAGAAGCTCGTAGGACAGTAAGAGAGGCAGTCTGTATTGAACTGACTAATGCATCAGGTAGAGAATATAAGTGAATGCACTAACAGAAGCAGAACAGGCTCTAGAAGACACGCCAGGAGGATTTTTTGAAGGTAGAAAATTAATTGGCAGGAATTCACTGTATCTATTCACCTCCAGATAAAAAAGGGCAAGCTTGCCTTACCCTCTCCCGGACTTTGTCCTTCAGGAGGAGACTGATGATGGAATAGGGCACTCGGAACCATATGGGTGCCCCCACAATCAGCACCTTCTTCAAACGAGCTGGAAATGCTCCCTGTGGAGAAAACACATGAGGATTTAAGTGTAATGGAACCTGTGACTCTTCAAGCCCAAGTTTAGGTTTTCTGCTCTTCTCCCCATTCTTACCCAGCAGGGGGAGTCTACAGCCTAATTCAGGTTTGATCTCAGCAGCTAGAGGAAAAGTGGTTAAACAAACTGAAGAAATTAGAAGCTGATTTACCTTTAAAAATAACAATGTTAAGTTCTTGTCTACCGTAAGCTTTATGGATCAAAAACTATTCTGACTTCTCATCTCAACAGATATCCTACACATACCACACATCAGCATACATATATGCCTCTTAAAAAAGTTATGTTATTAAAACTTGAAGGAAAAATGAGATCATGAATAAACTGAACATTAAACATTTCTCGACCAGGTGCGGTGGCTCATGCCTATAATCCCAGCATTATGGGAGGCCGAGGTGGGTGGATCACCAGAGGTTGGGAGTTCAAGACCAGCCTGGCCAACATGGTAAAACCCATCACTACTAAAAATACAAAATTAGCCAGGCACGGTGGCAGACACCTGTAATCCCAACTACTCAGAAGGCTGAGGTAGGAGAATCACTTGAACCCAGGAAGCAGAGGCTGCAGTGAGTTGAGATCAAGCCATTGCACTTTACCCTGGGCAACAAGAGTGAAACTCTGTCTCAAAAAAAATAATATGGCTGGGCACAGTGGCTCACGCCTGTAATCCCAGCACTTCTGGAAGCTGAGGCGGGCAGATCACTTGATGTCAGGAGTTTGAGACCAGCCTGGCCAACATGGTGAAACCCCATCTCTACTAAAAATACAAAGATTAGCCGGGCATGGTGGCATGTGCCTGTAATCCCTGCTACTCGGGAGGCTAAGGCAGGAGAATCGCTTGAACCCAGGAAGTGGAGGTTGCAGTAAGCCAAGATCGCACCACTGCACTCCAGCCTGGGCGACAAGAGCGAAACTCCATCTCAAAATTTTAACAATAATAAATAAAAATTTAAAAATTTTAAAAATTTCTCTTTCATAACTTTTCATTCAGTCTGATGTATGCATAATCTTTTTTTAATCTATTCATTCATCTATGTATTTACCAATCAATAATCTAATGTGCACTATGGCAAATGAGATCTAAAAAAAGGAGATATCCTCATCCACACAAGATATAAAGATGAAAAAATCATTCATTCCTAATCCACAGTGCTTAGTTTTTTTGTTTGCTTGGCTGCTCTGTTTTTGTTTTGTATTGTTTTTGAGACAGGATCTTGCTGTTGCCCAGGCTGGAGTGCAGTGGCACAATCGCCACTCACTGAGTCCTGTACCTCCCAGGCTCAAATGATCCTCCCACCTCAGGCTCCCAAGTAACTGGGACTGCGCCACTACACTTGGCTAATTTTTGTATTTTTAGTAGAGACAGGGTTTCACCATGTTGGCCGGCTGGTTTCGAACTCCTGATCTCAAGTGATCCTCCTACCTTGGCATCCCAGAGTGCTGGGATTATAGGCATTGAGCCACTGCTCCTGGCGTGAAGTTCTTAATTTTCAAATGGTTAAATGTATTACTGTTTTCTTTTCTGGTTAGTGTGTTGTGTGTCTTAAATCCTTTTCTATTTTAATGTCAGAAAAAGTACTTTTTTTTTTTTTTACTGCTGTACCACCGATTCCACCAATGTGTATTAATTTTTCTAATTTGGTTTTTTATTGTAAAATATACACAACAAAATTGACCTTTTAAACCATTTTAAGTGTACAATTATTGGCGTTAAGTATGTTCACAATGCAGCCATCACCACTATTCATTTTCAGAACTATTTCATCATCACAAACAAAAACCCTGTACCCATTAAATAACATCTCCCTATTCCCTTCTCCCCCTAGTCCCTAGTAACCTTGGTTCTACTTTCTGTCTCTATGAATTTGCCTATTTTAGGTCCTCGTATTATTGGAATCCTACTATATTTGTCCTTTTTTGTCTTGTTTATCCTACTTAGCATAATGTTTTCAAGGTTAATCCATATTGTAGCATGTCTCAGAATTACATTGCTTTCTAAGGCTGAATAATATTTCCTCATAAATATACCACATTTTTCTTATCTATTAATCCGTTGATGGACATTTGGGTTGTTTCCACTTGTACACATTGGTTGTTTCCACTTGTCCAGATTTGAGGAGCTATTTTCCACATTGTTTCCACTTGTCCACATTTGAGGAGCTATTTTCTTTTAAAAATTTAAACTTTTGTTTTTGTCCTTTTTTTTTGAGACAAGTTCTCACTCTGTTGCCCAGGCTGGAGTACGATGGCACCATCATGGCTCACTGTAGCCTTGACCACCCAGGCTCAAGTGATCCTCCTACCTCAGCCTCGCAAGTAGCATGTGCCACCATGCCTGTCTAATTTTGTATTTTTGTAGAATAAAAATACAAATGGTTTCATCGTGTTGCCCAGGCTGGTTTCAAACTACTGGGTTCAAGCAATCTGCCTGCCTTGGCCTCCCAGTGTTGGGATTCCAGGTGTGAGCCTCCATGCCTGGCCTGTTTTTGCTATTTAAGACTTTAACCTATCTGAAGTTGATTTTTGAACATGGTATGAGATGTAGGAATCTGACATTTTTTTCTATATGGGTAGCTGTTTTGTTTTCCACCTTTACATATTAAAAAGTCCCGTCTTTCCCCAACTTAGACTTTCTATTTGTCAGTTTTAACAAAGTCACAATATCCTGGGGAATAAATATGACATAGGTAATTTAATTAACCATGTAACCATCATTCTGATTATTCAGTTTGTTTTCAGGCCTAAATAATCCTGATATGCTCATTTTATCTTTTCCTTTTAATTTTTTTTTTGAGACTCACTTTAATATTTTTTTTTTTTTTAGTCTCACTTGGTCACCCAAGCTGGAGTGTAGTGGCACGATATCTGCTCAAGGGTTCAACCAATTCTCCTGCTTCAGCCTCCCGAGTAGCTGGGATTACGGGCGTGTGCCATCACGCCTGGCTAACTTTTTTGTATTTTTAGCAGAGATGGGTTTTCACCATGTTGGCCAGGCTGGTCTCGAACTCCTGGCCTCAAGTGATCCGCCCATCTTGGCCTTTCAAAGTGCTGGGATTACAGGCATGAGCCACTGTACCCGGCCTCCTTTTAAATTATTTTAAGAAGCTGTTTCTAAGACTGGGATTATTTGGCTAAAGATTATGAATATTCTTTTTTTTTTTTTAAGACAGGGTTTTATCAACTGGGCTGGAATGCAATCATATGATCATAGCTCACTGCAGCCTCATATCCTGGGCTCAAGTGATCCTCCTGCCTCAGCCTCCTGGGTAGCTGGGATGATAGGCACACACCACCACATGCAGCTAAATTTTGTACAGTCAGGGTCTTGCTACGTGGCCTAGACTGGTCCTGAACTCCTGGCCTTAGGCAATTCTCCCACCTCAGCCTCCCAAAGGGCTGAGATTATAGATTTAAGTCACTGGAGCCAGCTTAAGGTATTATTTTTAATTATCTAAAATAAATGTGCAGTAAATACTCTTTTTATATTTTCCTGATTGTTTCCTTAGCATATAATCTCAGAAATACAACTGATCAAAGGGTATGTGCATTTTTAAGGATTTATAATGCCAGATGCCTTCCAAAAGGTGTTAACGACTTACTGAACTGACAGTATATGAGGGTGCTATACAGTCATTTATTTATTTGAAAAACAAACAAATCTTTATTGTCTAGAAATATATATTTTTAAAATCCCCCAGAAAAGACGCTATTCTCTCATTTCCCCATCCTCTTCCTCTTCCACACCTCTGAGACAAAGGACATTATTATACTTTAGTAAAACTTCATCCAGATGTCCAGACAATACCCCAACTATGTATTCTTCTGTATTTGCAAGCTACATGTTCTTATAGATACATCTGTAGATCTGGTTCATCTACAGATACCAGTTAGCCTTTGTAATCCATTCGCCACTTAAGTTTCACTGTCACTGGCTTTTCTGTTAATCCCTTGAGGAAAGGTTTGGGATTGAGGGGTAAATCCTTTATAACCACAGGAGAATGCTGCAGGCTATTCGCTGCTGACCAAGCTGCCACCCATCCCTGGTGACTGCAGCAGGTACCCCCAGACAGTCATGTAAATAGACTAGGCCCAGGTCTGCAGTTCTTTGCTCTGAAAAAAGAGACGTAATAGCTTCTACTTTTTATTTATCATTTTGTGGAAATAACAGGTGTTTTCCTAGAATGGTTTTTGATTTGCTGGTAAAAGGACCTTGGACATTTAGGTCCTGAAATAAATTGTTGCATCTTTGAAGGAAAAGATGAAAGTAGTTTATCACACTTCAGTGAAGAGGCCTTTGGAGAAGTTTGTTCTAGATGCTGTATATTCTCCATAGAGGAGTGCTGGGGTTTCTCCAAATCAGTAGAACTAAAGGGTAACTGAAGAGAACAGAGTGACATGTCAGATTGAGAATCAGTCTTTTGAGGCTGGGCGTGGTGGATCACACCTGTAATCCCAGGACTTTGAGAGGCCAAGGTGGATGGATCACTTGAGGTCAGGAGTTCGAGACCAGCCTGGCCAACATGGTGAAACCCCATTGCTACTAAAAATACAAAAATTAGCCGAGTGTGGTGATGAGCACCTGTAATCCCAGCTGCTTGGGAGGCTGAGGCAGGAGAATCACTTGAACCCGGGAGGCGGAGGCTGCAGTGAGCTGAGATCAGGCCATTGCGCTTCAGCCTGGGGGACAGAGAGAGACTCCATCTCAAAACAAACAAACAACAAAAAAGAATCAGTCTTTTGAAAGTGGCAAAAAGGGCTGGGCACGGTGGCTCACGTCTTTAATCCTAGCACTCTGGGAAGCCAAGGCTAGTGGATCACCTGAGGTCAGGAGTTAGAGTCTAGCCTGGCCAACATGGCAAAACCCCATCTCCACTAAAAATACAAAAATTAGCTAGGTGTGGTGACGAGCACCTGTAATCCCAACTACTTGGGAAATTAAGGCAGGAGAATCGCTTGAACCTGGGAGGCGGAGGTTGCAGTGAGCCGAGATAGCACCACTGCACTGCATCCTGGGCAAAAGAGTGAAACACTCTGTCTCAAAAAAAAAAAAAAAAAGAAAGAAAAGTGGCAAAAAGAATAGGCTAGAAGATACTAGCTACAATTCCTCTTTTTTTTTTTTTCTTTTGGATTTCTCAGGAATGATTTCTTCCTAGTTAGACCGCCAGTGTTGCATGGTAACCACACCCATGAAAAGGGCCGGAATATTGAAAAACTGCATGAAACTAAGCGCTGTGGGTCGGGCACAGTGGTTCACGCCTGTAATCCCAGCACTTTGGGAGGCCAAGGTGGCTGGATTGCTTGAGCTCAGGAGCTTGAGACCAGCCTAGGCACCATGGTGAAACTCCATCTCTACAAAAGATACAAAAATCAGTTGGGTGTGGTGGCACATGCCTGTAATTCTAGCTACTTGGGAGGTTGAGGCATGAGAACTGCTTGAACCCAGGAGGTGGAGGTTGCAGTGAGCCAAGATCGTGCCACTGCACTCAGCCTTGGCAACAGAGCAAGACCTGGTCTTAAAAAAAAGGAACTTCTGTTAGTCAAAGAGCTTCATAAAAAGTGAAAAAACAAGCTATAAATTAAGAGACAGTTTACTGTGCGCACACATTATATGTGTGTGTGTATATATGTATCTTCATGGATTAGAATAATATATTAAAAACTATTAATTTCTAAATGGACAAATCATAAATAGACATTTCACAGAAGAAGAAAAAATATATAGCTAACGAATATATGAAGATATAGTTAATTTCACTAATAAAAGAAACGCAAGCTATACCACAAGATACCATCTCATATCCATTTGATTGGGAAAAAAATTAAGAAGTCTGACATTAGTAAGTGCTGGAGAGGATGTAGATCAATGGAAATCTTCACACATGGCAAGGGGGTACGACTGCTTTGAAACACAGTTTGACATTGTCTTATAAAGTTAAATCTTCACAGACTTTAGGACCCAACAATCTACTCCTAAGTGTATACCCTAGAGCATGCATTCTCAATGGGGGAGATATCACCTCACCAAAGGGGTAAAATTAGTAGGAGAGCAGGGTGAGGTGAGCCAGAATAAAAAAAAGAAATCGGGCCAGGTGCAGTGGCTCACGCCTGTAATCCCAGCACTTTGGGAGGCTGAGGCGGGCAGTTCACAAGGTGAGGAGATCGAGACCATCTTGGCTAACATGGTGAAACCCCGTCTCTACTTAAAATACAAAAAAATTAGCCGGGCGTGGTGGTGGGCGCCGTAGTCCCAACTACTCTGGAGGCTGAGGCAGGAGAACGGCGTGAACCTGGGAGGCGGAGCTTGCAGTGAGCCGAGATCGTGCCACTGCACTCTAGCCTGGGCGACAGTGCGAGACTCCGTCTCAAAAAAAAAAAAAAAAAAAAGAAATCTTACACTTTTTATGTATACAGAGTACATAAAGAGGCCAGGCACAGTGGCCAACACCTATAATCCCAACACTTTGGGAGGCCAAGGAGGCGGTACTGCTTGAGCCCAGGAATTCAAGACCAGCCTGGGCAACATAGCGAGACTCTGTCTCTATTTAAAAAATAAGGCCAGGCGCAGTGGCTCACGCCTGTAATCCCAGCACTTTGGGAGGCCGAGGCGGGTGGATCACCCCAGGTCAGGAGTTTGAGACCAGCCTGGCCAACGTGGAGAAACCCCGTCTCTACCAAAAGTACAAAAATTGGCCGGGCGGGGTGGCAGGCGCCTATAATCCCAGCTATTCAGGAGGCTGAGGCAGGAGAATCATTTGAACCGGGAGGTGGAGGTTGCAGTGAGCCGACATCGCGCCACCGCACTCCAGCCTGGGCGACAAGAGCAAGACTCCATCTCAAAAAACATAAAAATAAAATAAAATAAAACAAAATAAAATAAAAAATAAATTTTAAAGAGTACATAGAGATATGCAGTATGTTTATGGTATTAAAATTTCATTAGAAGAGGAATTATTAGGGGAAAAAATATTTAAAAAGGCTCCTTAGTGAGGCAACAATGAAAAAAGGTTGAGAAACACTCCCCTAGAGACCCTCTTACACATATGCACCAGAAAACATGTTTAAGAATGTTCATAACAGCACCATTCATAACACAGGTTGGGTATTCCTTATCCAAAATGCTTGGGACTAGAAGTGTTTCAGATTTTGAATTTTTTTCAGATTTTAGAATATCTGCATATACATAATTAGATATCTTGGGGATGGGACCCAAGTCTAAGCAGGAAATTTATGTATGTTTCTTCTTTTTTTTTTTTTTTTTTGAGACGAAGTCTCACTGTGTCGCCCAGGCTGGAGTGCAGTGGCACGATCTTGGCTCACTGCAAGCTCCGCCTCCCGGATTCACACCATTCTCCTGCCTCAGCCTCCCAAGTAGCTGGGACTACAGGCGCCTGCCACCAGGCCCGGCTAATTTTTTTTTTTTTTTGTATTTTTAGTAGAGACAGGGTTTCACCATGTTAGCCAAGATGGTCTTGATCTCCTGACCTCGTGATCCGTCCGCCTCAGCCTCCCAAAGTGCTGAGATTACTGGTGTAAGCCACCATGCCTGGCCTAAATTTATGTATGTTTCATACACACCTTATACACATAAGTATGCCTCAGATTCCCAAAGTGCTGGGATTACAGGCGTGAGTCATGGCACCCAGCCCATCCCACTTTTATGACTCAGAATGTTCCTGTGCTTTTTTTTTTTTTTTTTTTTTTGAGACACAGTCTCGCTCTGTCGCCAGGCTGGAGTGCAGTGGCACAATCCCGGCTCACTGCAACCTCTGCCTCCCAGGTTCGAGCGATTCTCCTGCCTCAGCCTCCCGAGTACCTGGGACTATAGGCACGCGCCACCACACCCAGCTAATTTTTGTGTTTTTAGTAGAGACAGGGTTTCACCATGTTGGCCAGGATGGTCTTGATCTCTTGACCTCATGATCCACCCACCTCGGCCTCCCAAAGTGCTGGGATTACAGGCATGAGCCATGGCGCCTGGCCGTTCCTGTGCATTTTTTACCCGAATTCCTCCCATTTCACTTTTAAGATCATTTCTTGTTCTAAGGAAGCAGAGAGTAGTCATCATTTACAGATGACCTTTACATTGAACATAATGTCTGAAGTTTGCATCTTTCCTAAATCTTTTCCCAAAGAATTAAAAAAATATATATATCCCAAGCATTGAAGGAAACTTGAGAGGGCCCTCCATAGCCTTACCTTCAGCAGGTTTAGGACTTTCTTGCCAAGATCCAGCTCAAAGTTGGCATAATTAGAACCACACATGTCATAGATAAACACCAGTCCATTCCTCTGAGTTTCAAAGCTGTAAATCAACCATTGAACAAAAACATTTGTAAGTAAGCAGATGGATGAGGCAGGTTGAAAGCCTAATGCCAAAACAAAACCTGAGAGTATGAGACACATCTAGGATCAAAACAACTGCCTGACTGCACACTGGTCTTACAAAAAGATCTCTTATCTTTGGTATCTGCTATGTTTATTAAGGCAGATTTATCCAGATGTACCAAATGCCAAACTCGTAGGTTGAGAATGCTCTACAGCAACTAAGTTATCAAAATCTGAACTGTTTTCTCCCACCCCTCTGAATCTACCTACCCAAATCATATAACATATTCCGTACTCAACCCCAAAGTTTCCTCTTCCATGAAAGTTTCCCTGATAACTGTAATCAAACATGCTACCAATTGTTTTTTCCCTTAAAGCCCCATAAATCTTTCTGTGGATTTTTCTTGTGGCCTTAATAAACTCTGTATAGCCATCTGATTCTCTCCTAAAGGACAAGAACTTGTTGTTCCACTCATTACGCCCAACAATCCCTAGCACAGCCCTTAAAAATAAATGGTCACTGAATTGTAATTCAGTAGACTGGAAGCCCATCTCTAAGAAAATATTTCAGACCTGTGAAAAACTGTGTAGAACAAAACTGCCTCTAAGCTCATTGATAGTAAATTTGTCTCTTATGACCCCATGGAGGAAGAGAACAAACCCATAAATGGCCTTTGGAAAGCATTCCTAAAAAGTAGATTAAGGCTGACATAGTGGTTCATGACTGTAGTCTCAGTACTTTGGGAGGCTAAGGATGGTGGATAGCTTAAGCCCAGGAATTTGAGACCAGGCTGGGCAACATGACAATACCTCATCATGTAGTGACCTATAGTCTCAGCTACTTGGGAGGCTCAGGTGGGAGGGTCACTTGAGCCCAGGAGGTCGAGGCTACAGGGAGGTCATGCCACTGCACTCCAGCCTGGGAGACAGCGTGAGATCTTGTCTTAAGAAAAAGTAAGACTGGGCGCAGTGGCTCACGCCTGTAATCCTAGCACTTTGGGAGGCCAAGGCAGCTGGATCGCTTGAACCCAGGAGTTCAAGACCAGTCTGGGCAACATGGCAAGACCCTGACTCTATTTAAAAAAAAAAAAAAAAAGAGGGAAAAGAAAGAAAAAAAAGTAGATTAACAGGTATTAATAGTAAGCCATGGCTGGGTGTGGTGGCTCACACCTATAATCCCAGCACTTTGGGAGGCTGAAGCAGGTGGATCACCTGAGGTCAGCAGTTTGAGACCAGCCTGGCCAATATGGTGAAGCCCCATTTCTACTAAAAATACAAAATTAGCTGGGTATGGTGGCACATGCCTGTAATCCCAACTACTTGGGAGGCTGAGGCAGGAGAATTGCCTGAGCCCAAGAGGCAGAGGTTGCAGTGAATCGAGATTGCACCACTGCACTCCAGCCTGGGCAACAGAGCGAGACTCCATCTCAGGGGAAAAAAAAAAAAAAAAAAGTAAGCCTATTCCCAGACCAAACTGAGGAACATTTGAAGATACAGAAAGTATTCCTCAGTCCAATTTCCCAGATTTATAAAGATTTCTCAAAGATGTACTCTTCCACCAAGCCAGATCCGTACTTATATGTGATCTGCAGACCCAAATGGTCATTAGGATAAATTATTTGATTGGACTACTCACAGATGACAGCAAGAGTTTTCACATCTATTTAGAATTGAGAAAATGTTTGGCACAAAACTCATTCCTGAAATCAGGAGTCTCAAAGTTATTGTTTTTTGTTTTGAGACAGAGTTTCACTCTTGTCACCCAGGCTGGAGTGCAACGGCGGGATCTCGGCTCACTGCAACCTCCGCCGCCCGGGTTCAAGCAATTCTTCTGCCTCAGCCTCCCGAGTAGCTAGGACTACAGGTGCCCACCACCACACTTGGCTAATGTATTTTTAGTAGAGACGGGGTTTCGCCATGTTGGCCAGGCTGGTCTCGAACTCCTGACCTCAGGTGATCCACCCACGTCGGCCTCCCAAAGTGCTGGGATTACAGGCGTGAGCCACTATGCCCAGCCTCAAAGTTATTTTGTATCTTACTATTTTTGCACCAGCACCTCCTGGGAACCTCCATATCTTCATCCCTTTAACAAATTCCAAGGCAGAAGCACCCGCCCATGAGCTAACATTTCAAAAATGTCTAATTCTGAGGTACATGAAAGTTTCTCCAGCAGACTTAGTTTCAACTGGCACCTAATGTGTTACATTAGTGTTAAATCTTTACTCCTTTTTCTTATTTATTTCTTTACTTATTTTTTAATTTTTAGTAGAGATGGGGTTTCATTATGTTGCCCAGGCTGGTCTCAAACTCCTGACCTCAAGTGATCTGCCCCCCTCGGCCTCCCAAAGTGCTGGGATTACAGGTGTGAGTCACTGCGCCCTGCCCTTGACTCCTTTTTCACAACCCCAGAGAGACTATGATCCACAAAGGTCCAAGATGCTGTTAAAATGTGTGGCACAGGACAGGTCCAGTGACTCACACCTGTAATCTCAGCACTTTGGGAGACTGAGATGTGAAGACTGCTTGAGGCCAGAAGTTCGAGACCAGCCTGGTCAACAGAGTGAAACTCCGCCTCTACAAAAAAATTTTAAAATTGGACGGGTTTATTAGTACGTGCCTGTGGTCCCAGCTCCTTGGGAGACAGAGGCAGGAGGATCATTTGAGCCCAGGAGTTGAGGCTGCTGTGAGTTATGATGATGCAACTGCACTTCAGCCCGAGCAAAAGTGAGACCCTGTCTCTTAAATAAAAAGAAACAAAGAAAATGTGTGGCACAATTATTGAATAGGCTATCCAGATCTAGATACTTTCTATTTCTCCATGAGCTCCTCAAGGGTCAAATTCAAATTATGGGCTTTCCCCTCATGACTCCAGGTTGTGGCAGGGGACTAAAACAAAAACAAGTCAGTGAGGGGGCAAAGAGAATTTAAAAAAAAAGAAGCTTGGATGCATAATGAATGATCCAGGTTCTATATTCCCAGATCAAAGTGCTCATCCTGTGAAGGCACATAAAACATGAATGCAGTAAGATTTTCACACTTTAGGGTATAGAATAGATAGATAGATAGATAGATAGATAGATAGATAGATAGATAGATGTGTGTGTGTTTATATATGTGTGTATATATATACATATACTTTTTTTTTTTTGAGACAGAGTTCGCTTTTGTTGCCCAGGCTGAAGTGCAATAGTGCGATCTCTGCTCACTGCAACCTCCGCCCAAGTTCAAGTGATTCTCCTGCCTCAGCCTCTCGAGTAGCTAGGATTACAGGCACCCACCACCACGCCTGGCTAATTTTTTGTATTTTTACTAGAGACGGGGTTTCACCATGTTGGCCAGGCTGGTCTCAAACTCCCGACCTCAGGAGATCCACCCCCTTGGACTCCCAAAGTGCTGGGACTACACGCGTGAGCCACCAGAATATATATATTTTTAAGACAGCATTTTACTCTGTTGCCCATGCTGTAGTGCAGTGGCACAATCATGGCGCACTGTAGCCTCGACCTCCCAGGGCTCAGATGATCCTCCCAGGGCTCAGGTGATCCTCCCAGGGCTCAGGTGATCCTCCCAGTTCAGCCTTCCGTGAGTGTCTGGGACTACAGGCAAATACCACCATGCCTGGCTGCCTAATTTTTAAACTTTTTGTAGAGACGAGGCCTTGCTATGTTGCCCAGGCTGGTCTCGAACTTCTGGGCTCAAGCGATCCTCTCACCTGGCCTCCCAAAGTGTTGGGATTACAGGCATGAGCCACTGCACCCAGTTTAAGATTTACAATGGGCCGGGCACGGTGGCTCACGCCTGTAATCCCAACACTTTGGGAGGCTGAGGTGGGTGGATCACGAGCTCAGGTGATCGAGACCATCCTGGCTAACAAGGTGAAACCCCATCTCTACTAAAAATACAAAAAAAAAAAAAAAAAACGGGCGTGGTGGCAGGCGCCTGTAGTCCCAGCTACTCGGGAGGCTGAGGCAGGAGAATGGCACGAACCCGGGAGTCGGAGCTTGCAGCGAGCTGAGATAGCGCCACTGCACTCCAGCCTGGGGGACAGACCGAGACTCCGTCTCAAAGGAAAAAAAAAATAAAAAAAATATTTTTTTAATTCTTGAGCTACATGTTACAGAAAACACCAAGAAGTTTAAAATACAGTCCCTGACATTGGTTTTAAAAAAACGGAGAAGCCAGATGCAATGGCTTATGCTTGTAATCCCAGCATTTTGGGAGGCCGAGATGGGAGGATTGCTTAAGTCCAGGAGTTCAAGACTGCAGTGAGCTACAATCATGCTACTGCACTCCAGCCTGGGTGACAAACCAAGCCCTAGTCTCAAAAAACAAAAAAGAAAGAAACTGAGGATAGGAGATCCATGAGGGGCTACCAATGAAACAAGACTGTTACAGATCACTTTGAAGAAGACGGATGATGGATATGTGGATGTTCACGATACCATTCTCTCTCAACCTACAGAGATTCGGATGTTAAAAAGAAAGTTTCCTGCCCTCAAGAAGCGAGTGGATTCATCATGTTGCCCAGGGCTGGTCTCAAACTCCCGGGCTCAGACAATCTGCCCATCTCAGCCAACCAAAGTGCTAGGATTACAGGCATGAATCAATGCGCCTGGCCTCAATATAGCACTTCTAATCCGGAGGACCAGCCAAAGATGTCGAGAGCAGTAAGAAACTGTAAATTACAAGCACCAGGGAAAAAGGAATAGCAGAACAACAGCATGGGAGGACAGAAATAACTCTGCCCAAGAGTGAAGAAACCAGGATCTTAGAACCAGCTGGACTAACATATGATGACTGTAAAAAACTTCTTGGGGCTTGAGTTTAATTGTCAATTGAATTGTAACAATACCAATTACCTTAGCAGGAAGAGAGTGATGACCTGAGCTGGTTCTTTATGCTTATGCACCTCTTTTTATTAAGGATGGTTTTTGCTTAACTTTATACTTCTGGGCTTCTCCCTGAATGTTTTTTTGTTGTTGTTGTTTGTTTTGTGTGGGCTTTTTTGTGGGGTTTTTTTTGAGACAGGTCTTGCTGTGTCACCCAGGCTGGAATGCAGTGGCGTGATCATGGCTCACTACAGCTTCACCATTCTGGGCTCAAGTGATCCTCCCACCTCAGCAACCTCCCCCACCTCCCCCAAGAAGCTGGGACTAAAGGTGCACGCTACCACACCCAGCTAATTTTTTGTATTTTTTATCAGAGACAGGGTTTCACCATGTTGTCCAGGCTGGTCTCAACTCCTGGCTTCAAGCAATCCACCTGCTTCAGCCTCCCAAAGTGCTGGGATTACAGGTGTGAGCCACTGCACCCAGCCCTCCCCTGAATGTTGAGTCTCAAAATCCTCTGAACTAAACGGCATTATTCCTGTTATGCAGACAAAGAAACTGAGGCCTTAGAGGTTCTGATATGAGCAAAAAGAACCAGCACAGGTCATCTCCCCCTCATTCTTTTCCAATAAGTAGTTTTCCATACACTGAAGATTGCCGATAATTGACTTTCTCAGCTTCTGTTTTCCTGACATAGAGCCAAGGTGGTAAAGAGAACGCCCACCATCTTGATAGTGCCTGCAAACATGCCGAGTTCTAAAGGACATGGATTGTTTTCTATTCATAGCATTGCCCAGGGCACATCCTAGGAGAATGGCGAAGGCACTGCTGAATTTAATCAAGTAAAAAACTGTCACTTTCCTACCTGCATGTAGAATACCTAAAAAATAATCTCAATGCTTACCTATCCACAGCTCTGTCTAGCAAGTAAAACAGAGCCTGAAGTACCACATGTTGGACTGACTTGTGGGGATGATGCAACCTGGCAGTAAAGAGGGCAATGGAGGCTCCTGTTGGGTCCCGAACATTCTAAAGCAAATAAAACAAGAAACATTAAAAAAATCAAATAGAAAATCACAGCAATTACTAAGACTTATATACTGGATAAGGGTTTGATACATGTAGAAAACAGATGCTAACAATAATTCCCTGACTTCACCAATTGCTGTCCAAAGGGAAGAGTGTTAATATCATCCTTTGTCTGATTCTCCCAGGACTCCCTGGACCATATTTCTGTGGTAAGAAAAAAAAAACACATTCTCTTTGCTCTTCAACTACAGACAGATCAAAGGATGGCTGTGCACTGGCTTCCTAGCTAACTTCCCTGGCAGAATGGCAAAAGAAACAAGCAGCAGGAGAGAACCAGGGAACAGGACCATGATTTCCACCCTCTGCCTTAAAAGTGCCATTGTATGTTTACTTGAAAGGCTGAGGTCTCAACTAAGTGGAGAGCTTGCGTTAAATATGGAAGCATGGGTGTCTGACACATTGCATATCTCTCCCAAAGACCATGACTAACCTTAATGGACCAACTGAAGAAACTTTTCTAAGTCTACTGTACAACTGATTTTCCATAATTCAATTATTCAATTATCATTAGTAACTCTAATTACTAGAAACTATTAGTAATTCAATTGTTACTAAAATAATTTTATACCAAACTGCATGGCTGTTTCACATCTGCTCCTAACTGTGGAGACTCTCTAGATTCAGGATAAGGTATATAGGAACAAAGTCCAAACAGGGGGGGATGGAGGAGGGATAGCATTAAGAGATATACCTAATGCTAAATGACGAGTTAATGGGTGCAGCACACCAACAAGGCACATGTATACATATGTAACAAACCTGCACGTTGTGCACATGTACCCTAAAACTTAAAGTATAATAATAATAAAATTAAAAAAAAAAAAAAAAAAACAAAGTCCAAACAGGACACCAGTTAAAAAAGGAAGTAATAAGGCCCTACAAGATAGGTCCCTAAACACTCACTAAGATGGTGAATTTTCCACTGAGGATCTCAGAACGAAGAGGTTCCTCATGAGGTTTCAGCTTTACAATGCCTTCCTTCCTTCGAGTTTCCTAAAAAGGAAGCACAGCAAAATGTATTAATATGAAAATACTGTATATCCAGGACAGCACCATGTAACCACCAAATCTCAGAGATAAGGTGGTTATCAATGAATGAATGAATTATAAATTTCATAACTAAATAAATTTTGTAACTAATTTCATAACCAATTCTACTTCATTTAGTTGAATTAGAATTCAATTAAATGGGCCGGGCGCAGTGGCCCACGCCTGTAATCCCACCACTTTGAGAGGCCAAGGCGGGCAGGTCACCTGAGGTCAGGAGTTCGAGAGCAGCCTGGCCAACATGGTGAAACCTTGTCTCGGCTAAAAATACAAAAATTAGCCTGGCATGGTGGTGCGCGCCCATAATCCCAGCTACTCAGGAGGCTGAGGCAGGAGAATCGCTTGAACCCAGAAGGTGGAGGTTGCAGTAAGCCAAGACAGCACCACTGCACTCCAGCCTGGGTGACAAAATGAGACTCTGTCTCAAAAAAAAAAAAAAAAAAAAAAAAGAATTCAGCTAAATGAATAATGAAGTCAACTAAATGAATTATGAATTTCTTTGTAACCTGCCTCCAAGCCAGTCAAGCATTTTCGGAATTCCTGTCCAAAGCTACTTTATCAGCCCCTCAGGTAGGGTATTTTTCTCTGACTCAGTAAGAACCCTAACCCTGAAGAGTAACCAGTATGTTACATTCAGGTGCAGGATCAAGGTTCTTAAACACGCAGCAGCACTGACATGGTACCAGGACACTAAAATATGGACCTCAAAAATGTCTGGATGCCTACGTTCTCACATATTTTCTAGGTTTAGGCCTCTCCTATGTTTAAATAGGAGCCTTCTCTCCACCTGATATTGTCTCCAACAGCAGCTACCATGACTTCATTTTCCTCACCCTGATGGCCAGATTCTTTTTTTTTTTTTAATTGAGACCAAGTCTCACACTGTTGCTGAGGCTGGAGTGCAGTGGCATGATCTTGGCTCACTGCAACCTCCACGTCCAAGAGATTCTCTTGCCTCAGCCTCCTGAGTAGCTGGGATTACAGGCACGTGCCACCATGCCTGGCTAATTTTTGTGTTTTTAGTAGAGACGGGGTTTTGCCATGTTGCCCAGGCTGGTCTCCAACTCCTGGGCTGAAGCGATCCACCCGCCTCGGCCTCCCAAAGTGCTGGGATTACAGGCATGAGCCACCGCGCCCAGCCTCTTCAGTTCTCCTCTTAAATGACAAGGTTGACCACCTACACTTCCTTTTTCCGGAGACATTCTCTACCTTTATATACCGATAACAAAAAAATATTATCTTGGTTTGTCTTATTTCATCAACCGCTTGTTTTAAACCTCTTAGGCTGGGCACGGTGGCTCATGCCTGTAATCCCAGTACTTTGGGAGGCCGAGGTGCGTGGATCACTTGAGCTCAGGAGTTCGAGACCAGCCTGGGCAACATAGCAAAACCCCGTCTCTACTAAAAATACAAAAAATTAGCCAGGTATGGTGGTGCATGCCTGTGGTCCCAGCTACTCGGGAGGCTAAGGTGAGGTGGGAGGATCACTTGAGCTCAGGAGGCAGAGATCTGCAGTGAGCTGAGATCATGCCACTTCACTTCAGTCTGGGAGACACAGCAAGACTCTGTCTCAAAAAAAAAAGTGCTTCCACAGAATCCAGTGCTGCCTTATCATAACATTTCTACAACTCTTTGTTTATTTTCTCTTTCTTTTTTTTTTTTTTAAACAGTCTCACTCTGTTGCCCAGACTGGAATGCAATGGTGTGATCTCGGCTCACTGCAACCTCCACCTCCTTGGTTCAAGTGATTGTCCCTCCTCAGCCTCCCGAGTAGCTGGGAATACAGGTGCCACTACACCCAGCTAATTTTTGTAGTTTTAGTAGAGATGCGGTTTTGCCATTTTGTTCAGGCTGGTCTCAAACTCCTGACCTCAAGTGATCCACCTGCCTTGGCCTCCCAAAGTGCTGAGATTACAGGCATGAGCCACCGCACCCAGCCCTAGTCTCTCTTTCTAAATAGTAATCTCTGCACCTGGAACACAGTAAGTATAAAATAAGTATCTGTTGAGTAAATGAATGAATATTGAATGAGCTGGTCCACAAGACAGATGTAACCAAACTTCAGTTAAGCTAATCCTAGTGCTTGTTATCCCAATTTTTTTTTTTAGGGAGATTTTGTATTTCTTTAGAAGGATTCTGACCCCAAAGTAACATGCTGTATAGTGTTTTATCAAAGACACTACTAACTGAGAAAGCAAACAAGCACAAAACCAAAGTCTATGCCCCCTCAAAAAACAAAAATCAAAACAAAGTAAAATCCTGATGCCGCTACATTTGCATAAAGATACTTTAAGATAATGGACCTAGCTAATACACAGTTGCTCTTCTTTTCCAGTGTTAAAACTTCCCTTCCTGAACTGCCCACTAAGCTCATCATTCATCTGAATGGCAAGTTTCTAAAAGCCTTAGACAACCTGAAAACCAAGATTTTCATGTGGCCAGAGGCCAATGAAAAGAGCTAGGATTAAAACTCTAGGAAGGGTGAACCCCTATCCTGCCACCAGGATGCTGTCAGGCTACTTCCTCCGTCTCAATCATTAGATGTGGCATCCTGGTCTACGATCAAAACTTAGGTACAAAAGTAGTGCCTTCCAGTAGCTGCCTTGCCCAGCTTCAGCTCTCACAAGGGCTCCTGGATATGGATCCATTTTTTATGAAAGTGAGGAGGAACACTTAGAGAACCAATGTGTGTGTCGAGCATGACAGGGACAACAGCAACACTTAACCCAACTGCCACAGGTCTGGTCTACCCCTGAGCCACATACTCTGTAGGAGTGGAACAATTCTATGGCACGGAGCACATCAAACTTCCTTGCCATGAGGAACTTGACAGCCACATTCCAAGACAGCGGGGAAACATTGTACTGAACTGTCCACTTGTTAATCTCTTCGAGAAACTGCTTGGTAGCCTGTTTGACAAAGAAAGAAAGAATAATTAGTAAGAAGAGAGCATATTTATGGAGTCAAAAAACAAACAAGTGAAAACTATCATCCCTTCTCCAAGCAAGTCTGAACCCAGTTTGCTACAGGGAGCAGGGAAAGACAAACAAAAAGGTAGAAACAGGTCTGAAACCAGACATAGTTAAAATTTGTATAATTCAATGAGGCCAGAAGCCAGATCTAGGTTCAGAAAACAGGACTTAGTGCAGGTATGCATGAAAAAATGAGGGGGGAGAAGAGGGATCCTAAATGAGATGCAAATTACTAGTCCCAAAGCAAAAAATAAAAAAATTTAAAAATTTTGGGAGGCCACACTTTGGGAGGTAGAGGTGGGAGGATCACTTGAGGTCAGGAGTTCAAGACTAGCCTGACCAACATGGTGAAACTCCATCCATCTCTACTAAAAATACAAAACTAGCCGGATGTGGTGGCGCACGCCTGTAATGTCAGCTACTTGGGAGGCTGAGGTAGGAGAACTGCTTAAACCCAAGAGGCAGAGGTTGCAGTGAGCTGAGATCATGCCATTGCACTCCAGCCTGGGCAACAAGAGCGAAACTGTCTCAAAAAAAAAAAGAAAGAAAGAAAAAAAAAGAAAACAAAAAGAAAAGTGGCCAGGCCTTCCGAAGGATTATTGCCTAATGCAGTGTAGTATAGCAGTCTCAGCTGCTGCTTTGGTCCCACAAGCCAAATGGACACAGCAAAAGAATCAGAAAATGGTTTTGGCTTTGGAATTTGAGGCCAGTAAAATTATTAAGAAGAACTTAGCCAATCAAAAGAGCAGCTATTCTTTGTGCTAACTGACCCCACTGGACCTCTTCATGCTTTATATGGCAACCCCAAAACTGGATACTAGTACCCAGAGTCAATAACAGCCCCTCTGGATAGTGGTTTTGGAAAGGGGAGGAAAATTTTCATTTTTACTGTCTGACCCAGGCTGGCAAGATGCCTGCTTCCAGAACTGTTTCTATCTCTCAACTAATTCATGTTCTTTTATGCACTCTCATCCTATTTCTCCTTACATTATAACCAATTTCCTTTTTAGACAAACTACTTTTCTGTTTCTTCATTTTAGAATGATTTAAATTGGGATTTTTTTTTTTCTTTTTTTGAGACAGGGTCTCACTCTGTGACCCAGGCTGGAATGTAGTGGCACAATCTTGGCTCACTGCAGCTTCGACCACCTGGGCTCAAACAATCCTCCAGCCTCAGCCTCTCGAGTAGCTGGGACTATAGGCATGGCATATGTCATCACACCCAGTAATTTTTTTCTTTGTTATTTTTAGTAGAGACAAGGTCTCACTACATAGCCCAGGATTGGTCTCAAACTCCGGGGCTCAAGCGATCCTCTCATGATCCCTCTCAAAGTGCTGGGATTACAGGCATGAGCCACTGCCCTCAGCACATTTTTTTTTTTTTTTTTTTTGAGACAATATCTCACTCTGTCACCCAGCAGACTGCAGTGCAGTGGCACAATTACTGCTCATTGCAGCCTCAAACTCCTGGGCTCAAGGGATCCTCCTGTCCCCGCCTTCCGAGTAGCTGTGACTACAGGTGCACACCACCATGCCTGGATAATTTTTTTGATTTTTTGTAGAGACGAGGACTCCCTTTGTTGGCCAGGCTGGTCTTGAACTCCAGTGCTCAAGTGATCATTCCATCTCGCATTCCCAAAGAGCTGGGATTGCATCTGTGAGCTAAATTGGAATTTTTTTTTTAGATAGTCTCACTCTGTCACCCAGGCTGGAGTGCAGTGGTGCGATCTTGGCTCACTGCAACCTCTGCCTCCAGGGTTCAAGTGATTCTTCTGCCTCAGCCTCCCGAGTAGCTGGGACTACAGGGGCACACCACCACGCCTGGCTAATTTTTGTATTTTTAGTAGAGGCAAGGTTTCACCATATTGGCCAGGCTGGTCTCCAACTCCTGACCTCATGATCCGTCCGCCTCGGCCTCCCAAAGTGCTGGGATTACAGGTGTGAGCCACCGCACCCAGCCAGGAATAATTTTTTTGTAGGCATTCTACACTACTAAAAGCTTCATGCATGGCTATTCTGTCCCTTCCATCCAGAAACTTTTCTCAGCTGTTTGTCTGCAATATGACGAACCTGATGAGAATTCTGAATTTTAACCATACCTCTATTCCCAATCAACCCACAGTTATGACTTATTTATTCATATTTAATAAGCACCTGTTATTTGTTAAGCTAATACTTGCACTGAAAGGTATAACGAATAAAAAAATGAGGTTTGCTTCGAAAGGTATAAAACTAGCCTACCATGTGACCATGGACACGGTAATTCTGTCTTTGCTAATTTTTCAATTGAAAAATAAAGGGAGGACCGGGCACGGTGGCCCACAACTATAATCCCAGCACTTTGGGAAGCCAAGGCGGGTGGATCATTTGAGGTCAGGAGTTCGAGACCAGCCTGGCCAACATGGTGAAACCCTGTCACTATTAAAAATACAAAAATCAGCCAGGCATGGTGGTGCATGTCTGTAATCCCAGCTACTCAGGAGGCTAAGGCAGGAAAATTGCTTGAACCCAGGATGTGGAGGTTGCAGTGAGCCAAGATTGTGCCATTGCACTCCAGCCTGGGTGACAGAGCAAGACTCTGTTTCAAAGAAAAAAAAAATGGCTGGGCGTGTTGGCTTATGCCTGTAATCCCAGCACTTTGGGAGGCCGAGGGCAGATCACGAGGTCAGGAGCTCGAGACCAGCCTGGCCAATATGGTGAAACCCCGTCTCTACTAAAAATACAAAAATTAGCTGGGCATGGTGGCATGCGCCTGTGCTCCCGGCTAGTCAGGAGGCTGAGGCAGAAGAATCGCTTGAACCAGGAGGTGGGGTTGTAGTGAGCCAAGATCGCACCACTGCACTCCAGCCTGAGCGACAGAGAGAGACTCCATCTCAAAAAAAAAAAAAAAAAAAGAAAAGAAAGAAAGAAAGAAAGAAAAAGAAAGGGAGGGCTAGGCACGGTGGCTCATGCCTGTAATCCTAGCACTCCGGGAGGCCAAGGCAGGAAGATCACTTGAGGCCAATTCAAGATCAGCCTGGCCAACGTAGTGAGATCCTGTCTCTATAATAGATATATATATTACATTATATATATTACATATTATATTATTATATATTATATTATAATATATAATATATTATTATTATAATAAAATATATATTATAATAATAAAAATATATATTATAATATATTATATTATAATATATTATAATATAATTTATTATATAATATTATTATATTATAATATATTATATATTATTATATTATAATATACTATAATATATATTATTATATTATAATATACTATAATATATATTATTATATTATAATATACTATAATATATATTATTATATAATATACTATTATATATATTATTATATTATAATATATATAATATATATTATTATATAATATATATAATATATATTATTATATAATATATATAATATAATATATTATTATAATTATTATAATATAATATATAATAGAATATATTATAATATATCATAATATAATATAATATATATTATAATATATTATATATTATGATATATTATATATTACGATATATTATATATTATTATATATTATATTATATATTATAATATATATTTTTATTATTATAATGTATATTTTATATTATATATAATATATATAAGAAAAATAAAGAGAAAAAGCATAATAGCAATGACCTACTTCGGAGTCTTGGCAACAAGTCCTACCTTACAAATACAATTCAAATTGCTACACACTATTTAAACAACTGGCAAACTAAAATCCCAGGAGAGTCAGCAATACCTCATAACAGAGCATCTGATTCATCCCCCAATTTCTAGGAAAGGACAAAAGTACTTTATAAACCCCAGGAAAGTCTAAACGGCCTGAGGCTGCACCTGAGCTTTAGAGCCTTACGATTAAGGCAACATAGCTTACACCATTGGAGAAGGAAAGAACCAGCAAAACCAATCAGGCAAAGTGCATGAAAAGAGCCAAGAAATAAAGGCCATGAAGAAAAGCTTTCAGAAGATCATTCTGGCCTGGAACCAGCTGAAGCCACGCCAGAGAAATGAGTCCCAGAGAAGACAACAGGACAAACTTAGAATGCTCCTTCAGAAAATAGTTTGAATTGCCTCTGTGGAGTGAGTGGCCAGCATCAAAATGAGGAAAGATGGAAGGAAAAAGAAGTGAGCACAGAAAGATCCCAGAAATAAAACTCTAGCCAGTCAGTAAATTCCCCAGGAGACATGGTACCTGTTTTTGTTTTTTGTTTTTTCTGCTTTTTTTTTTTCTTTTGAGACAGAATCTCGCTCTGTCGCCCAGGCTGGAGTACAGTGGCGCAATCTTGGCTCCTGGCAAGCTCCACCTCCCGGGTTCACGCCATTCTCCTGCTTCAGGCTCCCGCCACCACACCCGGCTAATTTTTTTGTATTTTTAATAGAGACAGGGTTTCACCATGTTAGCTGGGATGGTCTCGATCTCCTCACCTCGTGATCCACCTGCCTCGGCCTCCCAAAGTGCTGGGATTACAGGCGTGAGCCACCACCCCCGGCCGAGACATGGTACCTGTTTTTTAATTAACCTATTATCCTTTAAATACAGTTCTCTAGTGGGCCTCTCTGATGTTGCTTATAGAATAAAACACCAGAATAATAGAACATATTTTTCCTGCTACTTAGCTGGGTATACAATTTCTAATAAAAAATAATCAACGGATAAATCAATGTATAAGTAGAAGTGGAAAATGTAAATGACCAAGAGGTGATATGAACTCATCACATATCCATCTGTTAAGATAAATTTTCATTTTTTGGCTGGGCACAGTGGCTCGCCCCTGTAAACCCAGCACTTTGGGAAGCCAAGGTGGGCAGATCATGAGGTCAGGGGTTCGAGACCAGCCTGGCCAACATAGTGAATGAAACCCTGTCTCTACTGAAAATACAAACAATTAACAGGGTGTGGTGGCAGGTGCCTGTAATCCCAGCTACGTGGGAGGCTGAGGCAGTAGAATCGCTTGAACCCAGGAGGCAGAGGTTGCAGTGATCCAAGATCGTGCCACTGCATTCCAGCCCAGGAGACAGTGCGAGACTCTGTCTCAAAAAAAAAAAAAGATAACTTTTCATTTTTCATAAATAAACCATGTCCTAATAAGAGAAAGGCATGCAGGTTTCACACACTTCCTTCAAAGTACATCTTGCCTTCCTTTTTATTAAGCTCAGTTCCTCCAAGGTCCTTAATGTTCTGTAGCTCCCAAGAGCTGTTGCCTTGAGCTGACCTCTGTCCCCCTGCTGGTCAGGATGTTATTCTTGGCTTTAAGCACAGGAACAATTCCTCCTGGTTTGGCCTGACCAGGCCTTGCATGTAGAGTCCAGTGTACTATAAACAGTGATGTGATATTTACAGATACAAATACACATGCGTAGCACCTGCTCTGTTCAGCCTCAGATTCACCCTCCTGCACACCCATCCCTCTGGTGGAAGAGATGAACCTCTAAAAGGAGTCAGAAAGAATGGCCTCATCTTCAACAACCTTCCTTTAGACAGTTAATCAGATTTCTCCCTCTGCTTACACATAGGTTTAACATGACCACTGAGTACAAAGTAATTTGTAGCTCTGCTGGTTACCAGAAAAACAAGTCCCAGCAACTTTAATCAGCAACACAGTCTTCAGAAGGGATAATTGAAATTCTCAAAATTAAAACTCAGTTTATTTCCTAGTGAAAGAAAGAATGAGCCAAAAGATGAGTCACAGCTTAGAAAATATTTTAACTCCAGGACAATGGTTTGAATCTATCTATGCTTATGAAACACAAGTTGTTAACACCTGGCAGCTAAGGAAGAGCTGGAGTTCAAACAGCTCTGGTCTTCCTTTGGGATAAGGTCTGAATTGATATATGGAGAAACTAACATTACCACTTACAACCCTCCTTAACCAGTTTTTCAGGTAAGGGTAAGATTTGTTTTGTTTTGCTTTTTTGAGACAGGTTGTTGCTTTGTCACCGAGGATGGAGTGGAGCAATCATGGCTCACTGCAGCCTCGACCTCCTGGGCTCAATTGATCCTCCTGCCTCAGCCTTTCCAAGTGGCTGAGACTACATGCACACGTCACCATGCCTGGCTAATTTTTGCATTTTTTAGTAGAGATGGGGTTTCACCATGTAGCCCAGGCTGATCTCGAACTCCTGGGCTCAAGAAATCCACCTGCCTCAGCCTCCCAAAGTGCTGGAATTACAGGCATGAGCCACCGTGCCTGGCCTCAAGGGTAAGATTTGTTCCTGCATAGTCAAAAAGCATACTATAATTATCTACTTCTCCCACAACCATGTTTAAATAAATAAAAACAAGTTTCTTGACTATGGCCATGAAGATAAAGATACTAGAGAACCTGCTATAAAACAGCTGAGAAAGCTGTCAATTAAGCAGGGTACACCCTGGACACAATTCATTAGTGTTGAAATAATGGTATCAGAGAGAATAAAACCAACAACATAGCCTCCATGTTACATCAAACTCCCAAGAGCAGCTATAATTTTGAGATGAGCTTTGGGCAAGGAACTAGCCACTCAAGAGGACAAGAATAATGTGCTGGCACTCTCAGTTCCACAGGTAGTACCTTAAATCCTATATCCCAAGACAACCTAGGAGAGTGAAGAGCCAGACCTGTAAGAAACCTGCTCTTGAAATAAACAAAAAACTTCTGTCTCCTGAAATATCAGTTACCTAGCAACAAAGGAGAAAGTTTAGTGTGGTTTTGGGGATTATAAAGAACCAATCCATCTTCTTATTCACTACTGTGTGTTATTTGGGCAAGTCATTTAACCTCTCTGAGCCACAATTTCCTCACCTTGAATGAGAAACGGATGGAAGAGCACCCACTACCATACCTAGCACTTGGTAGTCTCTGAATGGATGAATGTTCATTCTCTTTTTTCTTTACTCTGGTCATTTCACACTAAAACTTCTTTCAACAAAGATAGAATTTCTTAGAATCATATGACCTCTGTTGCTTCCCTTTAGTCTGTATCAATGCAATCTCTCTAATCCATTTTATACAAAACCATACATTTAAACTAGAAATATGTGTTCAGGCTGGGAGTGGTGGCTCACATCTGTAATCCCAGCACTTTGGAAGGCCAAGGTGGGAAGACTGCTTGAGCCCAGGAGTTAGAGACCAGCCTGGGCAACATGGTGAGACCCCATCTCTACAAAAAAATTTAAAAATTAGCCATGCATGGTGGCACATGCCTGTGGTCCCAGCTACTCGGGGGGCTGAGGTGGGAGGAGTGCTTGAGCCTAGGATGCCAAGGCTGCAGAGGGCCAAGATCATACCACTGCAGTCCAGCCTGGGTGACTGAGTGAGACTCTATCTCAAAAAAAAAAAAAAAAGGCCAGGTGCAATGGTTCACGCCTATAATCCCAGCACCTTGGGAGGCCGAGGCAGGTGGATCACCTGAGGTCAGAAGTTTGAGACCAGCCTGGCCAACAGGGTGAAACCTCGTCTCTACTAAGAAAACAAAAATTAACCAGGTGTGCTGGCTTGCGCCTGTAATCCCAGCTACTCAGGAGGCTGATGCGGGAGAATAGCTTGAACCCAGGAGGCAGAGGCTGCAGTAAGCCAAGATCATGTCATTGTACTCCAGCCTGGGTGACAAGAAAGAAAGAAAAACAAAAGAAATAAACATTCAACTGAAAACGATTTTTTTTTTTTTTGAGACAGAGTCTCACTCTGTTGCCCAGGCTGGAGTGCAGTGGCGTGATCTCGGCTCACTGCAAGCTCCGTCTCCTGGGTTCACGCCATTCTCCTGCCTCAGCCTCCTGAGTAGCTGGGACTACAGGCGGCCGCCACCATGCCTGGCTATTTTTTTGTATTTTTAGTAGAGACGGGGTTTCACTATGTTGGCCAGGATGGTCTCGATCCCTTGACCTCGTGATCCACCTGCCTCGGCCTCCCAAAGTGCTGGGATTACAGGCCTGAGCCACCGCGCCCGGCCTCAACTGAAAACACTTTTTAAAGGACCAATTATTCCTTATTCAAGGCTCTGTGGCTATAAAGAAAAAGCTGAGGCCAGAAGTATTTAGACTTCAGTTCCCATCTTTTTGTCCCTACTCTCAGACTTCTCTGGCAGCTCCAGAGATTAACAATGCCATCCTAGGCACAAGCTCCTTTTAACAGCGCAAACTATGGAGAGGTCTCAATACAATAAAGAAACAGGTGTTGATTACAGGTGTTGTGCAGAACAAACACCATGAAAAAATGCAGTCAGTCATCCTGCAATGAAGACCTAAATAAGGAAAGTGATTCAAGATAAGATGCAATGTCTGGCTTTTAACAAATTTGAAGATACTTCTGTATTTCAACAAATATGCCATTTCTCCATTATTTCAGTGATGGATGCATTAATGAACTACCTTCCTCTCATGACCTGTTTCCCCCCTCTCTCCTTCATTGTGATTACTGCCTTTTTATATCTATTGATCTCTTCAGCCCATATTAATCTGCTAGGTGAGACTCTGAGCAAAGACACACTGGTTTGCTATAAGGCAGCAAGAGGTTTGATGAATTTCCAAACTAAAACTACGATTTTTCCATAAGCACTTTGTTAATGTACCAAAAAAGGAAACAAATCCAGTCCCTTTAATATTTACTGGTTTATCTCAAATATTTTCCACTTCTCAGGAAAACATTGCCTTTTCTTAAAATGTGATTTTAAAAGAGATAATGCTTTCTTAAATAGGCTCTTACTGCATTTGGGAAAAGTTTTAAGTATATTTTCTGATTTTATCGTATTATAAAACAATGTAATAACAAAAATTTGCAAAAAGTAAAAGGCCAGTCATAATCTGTGCACACACACATTTAAAGAAAAACTTAAGGGAAGGGGAAAAGAAAGGATTAGTCAAACATTCACAACAAATATTTGCTGAGGGCCCATTCTGTGCTAATCAGTACAGTAGTTGTTGAGAAGACACAACATAGATCGCTTCTTGGCCTTTCGCTAAGATCAAGTGAGAAGACACAACATAGAGACATAAAGACCCTATTCCAAGCAGTTTACAATCATTTAACTATGGAGACAGATGTATAAATACATCTTTACCACATAATGTAATAAATTCTAGGAAGGTTCTATGAACAGAATGCTATGGGATTCAAACTCTCTCTATGGATATAAAAAAAATTTTTTTAGGAGTGCCTTGAAGGATGAGTAGGAATCTGTCAGGCAGAGAAAAGTATTCTAGTCAGAGAACAAAATGTTTCAAATCAGGGTCATGAAAGAACAGGGCTTATTGGGGATATCATATAGCTAGTGTGTCCAATGTGTATGAGGGAGAATGGTGGGAGATGTGTGAACAGGGGGGCTGAACCAGACTGGGAAGGCCCTTGTATGCTGTACTTCAAATTCCAGACATGATCCTATAAACATAAAAGATTCAATAGAGATCTTTAAGCAAAGGGATGAGATGATGAGTTTGGTTCCCCTCTCCCACCTCAAAAAAATAACTATAAGCAGTGGGGAAGTCAGACTGAAAGGAAAAAAAATCTAGCAACAGGGAGGTAAGTTCCCTGAAGACAGGGATCATATCTATTTTATTCACCTAGTTCCTAGCACTGTGCCTGGCACAAAGCACTTACTTAATAAATATCTATGATGAATGAATGAATTAATTATTGAAGTCTCAATATTATTAACATTTAGAGGGCAGACAGAAGATGAAGAACAAAGGAACTTTTACAATTTTCTTTTAGAAATACTAGTGATTGCAGGCCAGGCATGGTGGCTCACACCTGTAATCCCAGCACTTTGGGAGGCCAAGGCAGGCGGATCACCTGAGGTCAGGAATTCGAGACCAGCCTGACCAATATGGCAAAACTCCGTCTCTACTAAAAATACAAAACTTAGCTGGGCATGGTGGTGGGCGCCTGTAATCCCAACTACTCAGGAGGCTGAGGCAAGAGAATTGCTTGAATCCAGGAGGCTGAGGTTGCAGTGAGCCGAGATCATGCCATTGCACTCCAGCCTGGGTGACACAGTGAGACTCCGTCTCAAAAAAAAAAAAAAAAAAAAACTAGTGATTGCTGAAAATCAAATAAATGGTGATCTAAACAAAAACAAGAGGAATCGTCAAATATCTTCCCTAAAAAAAAAAAAAAAAAAAAAAAAAAAAGGCCAGGCTCGGTGGCTCACGCCTGTAATCCCAGCACTTTGGGAGGCTTAGGTGGGTGGACCATGAGGTTAAGAGATCAAGACCATCCTGGCCAACACGGTGAAACCCCCACCTCTATTAAAAATGCAAAAAACTTAGCTGGGCGTGGTGGTGCGCACCTGTAGTCCCAGCTACTCGGGAGGCTGAGGCAGGAGAATCACTTGAACTCAGGAGGCGGAGGTTGCAGTGAGCCGAGATGGTGCCACTGCACTCCAGCAGGGCAACAGAGGGAGACTCCATCTCAAAAAAAAAAAAAAAAAAAAAAAGGCCAGGCGTGGTGGCTCACACCTGTAATCCCAGCACTTTGGGAGGCCAAGGCAGGCGGATCACCTGAGGTCAGGCGTTCAAGACCAGCCTGGCCAACATAGTGAAACCCTGTCTCTTCTAAAAATACAAAAATTAGCTGTGTGTGGTGGTGCCTGCCTGTAATCCCAGCTACTCAGGAGGCTGAGGCAGGAGAATCACTTGAACCCAGGAGGCAGAGGTTGCAGTGAGCCAAGATTGTGCCACTGTACTCCAGCCTGGGAGAGAGAGCAAGACTTTGTCTCGAAACAAAACAAAACAAAACAAAACACACACACACACAAAGCTTCACAGTAAAGATAGCTCTCACATTACAGGCTTCTCCGAGGAATGTAAAGACTTGGTTTAACATCAGGAGATCTATCAAAGCAATTTTTATGTTAACAGGAAAGGAAAAAAAAGTATATAACCTTCTCAACAGATGCTGAAAATGCACTGCGTAAAATCCATCACACATAGGCCCCGTAATTTTTTTCTATTAAAGATGAGAAGGCCAGCAGGTACCTGCTATTACCACCACTATGTAACATTGCACTGAAGGTCATACCTAACAGAAGCCAAAAGATGCGTAACAACCTGATGCAAAAAGACAGGAATTTTAGGCCAGGTGTGGTGGCTCCAATCTATAATCCCAGCACTCTGGGAGGCCGAAGTGGGCAGACTGCTTGATCTCAGGAGTTCGTGACCAGCCTGAGGAACATGACAAAACCCCGTCTCTACAAAAAATACAAAAATTCGCCCAGCATGATGGCACACGCCTACAGTCCCACAAGTGGGAGGATCACTTAAGCCCGGGAGGCAGAGGCTGCAGTGAGCTGAAACTGTACCACTGCATGGCCCCCCAGCCTGGGTGACACAGCCAGACCCTGTCTCAAAAAAAAAAAGGAATGTTAAAGAAGAGAATAAAATTCAGAAACCACACAGTGTATATCTAAGTATACAGTATATGAAACAAGTAATATGACTATTAGTAAGCAAAAAGTATTATAGGAATTTAGATATGCACATAAATATTTGTAGGATACACAAAAAACTGGTAATAATGGTCACCTCTGGGGAGAGAAAATGAACTGGGGCTGGGTGTAATGCTTCACACCTGTAACCCCAACACTTTGTGAGGCTGAGGCAGGAGGATCACTTGAATCCAGTAGTTCCAGACCAGCCTAGGCAACAAAGCAAGACCCAGTCTCTATAAAAAAAATAAAAAAGAAAGAAAGAAAGAAAGAAAGAAAATGAACTGGGAAACAGCATTGGAAGATAACTATAAGCAACCTTTAAAAAATTTTTTTTTGGCCGGGCGTGGTGGCTCACGCCTGTAATCTCAGGTGTTTCACCATTTTGGCCAGGATGGTCTTGATCTCTCGACCTCATGATCCGCCCGCCTTGGCCTCCCAAAGTGCTGGGATTATAGGCGTGAGCCACTGTGCCCGGCCAGTGATTTATCTTTAGTAAACAAATTACATTTACTATCTTCTCTCTGAAGGAAGTTGGTATTTAGAAGATTTTTTTTTTTTTTTTGAGATGGAGTCTCGCACTGCCACCCAGGCTGGAGTGCAATCGCACAATCTTGGCTCACTGCAACCTCTGCCTCCCAAGTTCAAGTGATTCTCCTGCCTCAGCCTCCCAAGAAGCTGGGATTACAGGCGTACCTGCCTACTTTTTGTGTGTGTTTTTAGTAGAGACGGGGTTTCACTACGTTGGCCAGACTGGTCTCGAACTCCTGACCTCATGATCCGCCCGCCTCAGCCTCCCAAAGTGCTGGGATTACAGGCATGAGCCACCGCGCCCAGCCTAGTAGAGAAGATTTAATTGGAGGACCACGAAGGTAGAAATGTTCACCCATTTGAATATGTGAACTTTTTTATTGTTGTTTTTTGAGATAGAATCTCCCTCTGTCACCCAGGCTGGAGTGCAGCGGTGTGATCTCGGCTCACTGCAACCTTGGCCTCCCAGGTTCAAGTGATTCTTCTGCCTCAGCCTCCTGAGTAGCTGGGATTACAGGCGCGCACCACCACGCCAGGCTAACTTTGTATTTTTAGTGGAGACGGGGTTTCACCATGTTGGCCAGGCTGGTCTCGAACTCCTGGCCTCAAGTAATCCGCCTCAAGCAACTCCCCTGACCTCCCAAAGTGCTGCGATTATAGGCAAGAGCCGCCACGTCTGGCCTGAATGTGTGAACTTCTAAATTATATGTCACGTTTTATTTATTAGGAAGTGTGAAGTATAGAATTCCTTATGGCTAAGACCTATAAAGGTATCATTAAAAAATTTAAAGACATAAAATACCCCTCAGTTTCTCTGCCTTTTTGAAGGAAAGCATCAGAAATAAAAAACAAAAGTGAAACTGACTTTTACAAAAGTTTAGTCCATTGAGATAGAGCAAATAAATAGGCACAATGAAAGAAAAGGGAATAGAGTCAACTAAGTTTGAGTGCACTGTAAATACTTTTTTAAAAATAATGTGTGGCCGGGCATGTTGGCTCACGCCTGTAATCCTAGCACTTTGGGAAGACAAGGCAGGTGGATCTCAAGAGTTCGAGACCAGCCTGGCCAACATGGCAAAACTCTGTCTCTACTAAAAATACAAAAATTAGCCAGACGTGGTGGCACATGCCTGTAATCCCAGCCATTCAGGAGGCTGAAGCAGGAGAATCGCTTAAACCCAGGAGGTGGAGGTTGCAGTGAGCTGAGATCGCACCAGCCTGGGTGACAGAGCAAGACTCTGTCTCTAAAAAAAAAAAAAAAAAAAGAAAGAAAGAAAGAAAGAAAGAAAAATGTGAATCAGGTCTGATTGGAAGCACTACTTCTGCTGCCTTCCTGTTTGTACTTTTCAGTTGCTGCAAGAATGATCCAGGCGGCTGCTAGGTGAGGTGACACATAATTCCAGCATTTTGGGAGGCTGAGGTGGGAGGATTCCTTGAGACCAGCATGGATAACATAGTGAGATCCTGTCTCTATTTAAAACAAAAAAAGGATGATCCAGGTGGGACGAGATGACTCATGCCCGTAATCCAAGCACTTTGGGAAGCTGAGGTGGGAGGATCGCTTGAGCCCAGGAGTTTGAGACCAGCCTGGGCAACACAGGGAAACCTCGTCTCTAAAAAAAAAATTAAAAATTAGCCAGGTGTGGTGGTGCACACCTGTAGTCCCAGGTACTCAGGAGGCTGAGGTAGGAGGATCACTTGAGCCTAGGAGGTCCAGGCTGCAGTGAGCTGTGATCACACCACTGCACTTCAGCCTGGGTAACAGTGAAACCCTGTCTCAAAAAATAAAAAAATAAAAAATAAAAAAAAAGAGACAGGATCTTGCTCTTGCCCAGGCTTGAGTGCAGTGGCATGATCATAGCTCAGTGTAACCTTGAAGTCCTAGGCTCAAATGATTCTCCTGCCCCAGCCTCCCTAGTAGCTGGAACTACAGGTGTGTGCCACCACATCTGGCTACTTTTTTAATTTTTGTAGAGATAGGGTCTCACCAGCCGAGACTGGTGTCGCACTCCTGGCCTCCAGTGATCTTCCCCCATTAGCCTACTGAAGCGCTGGGATTACAGGCATGATCCACCACACCTGCCCTCATTTTATTATTATTATTATTAATTAATTAATTAATTTTTTGAGACAGAGTCTCGCTCTGTCGCCCAGGCTGGAGTGCAGTGGCATGATCTCGGCTCACTGCAAGCTCCGCCTCCCAGGTTCACACCATTCTCCTGCCTCAGCCTCCCCAGTAGCTGTAACTACAGGTGCGCGCCACCATGCCTGGCTAATTTTTTGTATTTTTAGTAGAGACGGGATTTCACCGTGTTAGCCAGGATGGTCTTGATCTCCTGACCTCCTGATCCGCCTGCCTCAGCCTCTCAAAGTGCTGGGATTACAGGCGTGAGCCACTGCACCTGGCCTTTATTATTTTTTGTTTTTGAGACGGAGTCTTACTCTGTCACCTAGGTTGGAGTGCAGTAGTGCGATCTCAGCTCACTGCAACCTCCACCTCCCAGGTTCAAGCAGTTCTCCTGCCTCAGCCTCCTGAGATTGAGACCATCCTGGAACATGGTGAAACCCCGTCTCTGCTAAAAATACAAAAATTAGCTGGGAGTGGTGGCGTGCACCTGTAGTCCCAGCTACTCAGAGGCTGAGGCAGAAGAATCGCCTGAACCTAGGAGGCAGAGGTTGCAGTGAGCCGAGATGGTGCCACTGCACTCCAGCCTGGTGACAGAGCAAGATGCCATCTCAAAAATAAAATAAAATAAAATAAAATAAAATATAAATCATTAATAGGTCTACTCCCAGCAATCTGGATAAATGTATATTGGGAACTCAGAACCAACTGCTTAAAACTACATGTGGCACAGAATCTTTCACAATGAGTTTACAAACATTTTCTTCCTTTAAAAGATAACCCATATTATCAGGTCTCTTTATTCTGATATCCACATGTTGCAAGATAGAAAGTCTTTCTTGTTCATCCGTTAAGGGACTATGTGCACTTCAAACTCAAAGCCCTACAAATCTCATCAGAAAGGGTAAGGCCAAATAACCATGAAGAAAGGCCTAACACCCATCTGCCTAATGAAACCAAATAGGATGGTTCTGAAACCATGGGACTCTTCCATCTACCACATCAAGCATTATGCAAGAACCCAAGAAGAAAAAAAGCTAACTGCTATTAAAGGATTAATATCCCACTGGGAACGGATCAACAGGAAACCAGGGTTGACCAAGTGAAGTTTCCCATCTGAGTCCAAAGCTTCAGGCAACACTGAGGGGCCAGAGTTAACTGAACTGTTAAACACGAAAAGCTCCTCAGTGTTAATGACTTCCTACCAGCAGAAGTGAAGGGCTAAGGTTTATCAGCACTCCACCAGCCAAGTGTGACAGCCCCAGATCAGGAATAGTTTGTCTCCAATACCTGATGAGCAGAAAATGTTCTATTCCTTTTCAAATGCTATTTCTGTCTCCTTTGGCTCATGGTTCCTTTGTACACATAAGACAGCATTAGTCACATATTAAAGAAGGCAATTCAATCCCTTCATTTTTTTTTTGGCTTTTTTTTTTTAATTATACTTTTAAGTTTTCGGGTACATGTGCACAATGTGCAGGTTTGTTACATATGTATACATGTGCCATGTTGATGTGCTGCACCCATTAACTCGTCATTTAGCATTAGGTATATCTCCTAATGCTATCCCTCCCCCCTCCCCCCACCCCACGACAGTCCCCGGTGTGTAATGTTCCCCTTCCTGTGTCCATGTGTTCTCACTGTTCAATTCCCACCTATGAGTGAGAACATGCAGTGTTTCGTTTTTTGTCCTTGCAATACTTTGCTGAGAATGATGTTTTCCAGTTTCATCCATGTCCCTACAAAGGACATGAACTCATCATTTTTTATGGCTGCCCTTCATTTTTCTAGAGCAAGATTTTGCCCCTCCCAGTTCACACAGACCAAAGAGCAAAGTCCTGCAAGAAATCACAGTAGTAGTAACCATGTGTGAAGCATTTAAGATATACCAGAGAAGGAACCATACTACATCATACTCAACACTGACAAGCTAGGTATTATTAACCGCATAAAGAAATCAAAGGCTCACAGAGCCGAAGCAAACTGTCCAAGGTTACTCAACCAATAAATGGCAGAGCTGAGGTTTTGAGCACTGAATCCAAGTCTTTTCAAATCCTTATAGTCTTTCCACTTCACTAAATGGGCATGAGACATACAAGACACATATCATTCATCTTATTGGGTAATATATATGTCATTTGTTTGTTGATCTATGCACAAAATTACTCTGGAAGAATAAATAAGAAACTGGTAGCATCAGCTGTCTCAGAGGAGAACTAGGTAGCTGGGAGACATGGTGAGAAGATTAATATTTTCCATATTCCTTTCTGTATCTTTTTAAGTTTAAATCGTATGACTATATTATCCACTCAAAAAAATAACAATAAAACATATTAGTTTTATATAGCCTTTAACTAAAATATACATAACAGGAATTTTTGAACATAATATTTTTGAAACTATGCCACCAAACAATAATAAGTTTGTTGGTAATCTTCATTTCAGGGCCAAAAAAATGAGTTAGGGAGCTCTACACAGGGGTAAAGGATGACAGCTGTTTCACGAACTGCTAGCCTTAGATGGGGATGCTTCAACGAGGAGTGTGCCACTCTCACTTTCCTGCTGGAGGCATTTGCCAATAGCATATTTACTAAACACAAGCTGGCATCTCTCCTCTCAGGTTTAAAAAACACTTGCCAGGCCAAAGTTATCAAAGAGGATGAAGAATTCCCAGAGACAACAGAGGAAATAGGTAAACAAGGAAAACAAGGAAGTAAACAATTCTAAATTGTCATAGGAGAAAATTCATGTTAGGAGGTTGAGAGGCAGAATATAACACAGAAGAGAAACGGAAAAAAACGAAACCTGCCGAGTAAACAAGCAGCTCCTGGCCAGGCGTGGGGGCTCACACCCATAATCCCAACACTTTGGAGGCCAAGGCAGGAGGATCGTTTGAGCCCAGGAATTTGAAACCAGCCTGGACAACACAGGGTTATCCAATCTCCACAACATATGAAAATAAATTAGCCGGGTGTGGCAGTGTACTGCTGTGGTCCTAGCAGGAGGCTGAAGGGGGAGGATCACTTGAGCCTGGGAGTCCAAGTCTACAGTGAGCTGTGATGATGCCACTGTGTTCCAGCCTGGGTGACAGAGCAGAACCTGTCTCAAAAAGCAAAACAACAACAAACAAACAAAACACACACACACAAAAACAAGAAGCTCCTCATCCACCAACAAGAGCAACATCATCTAGGTTCCCAGAGGGAGGTAACAGAGGTAGCTGGTCACACTCTCCACAAGAACCTGTAGACAGCTTGCCAACTGCCACTCATGCCGCTAAAGAGTGAGTGAACCACACAACCAGAAGAAACCTGTAAAGTCTTTCTGGGGGAAAAAAAAATTTAAAGAGCTTGGTAAACATAGAGAGTGGGAGGGGCCTTTGGTAACATTTTTTTTTTCTCTTCTTCCAACTGATAGCTTAGACTTTAGGAAAGAAAGGAGGAATGTGAATGGCTGTGAGGAAATTGAAGTTGGCTTTCCAGATCATGCTAAAACATTCTTACCCTTCCTCTACTCCCAAACCTGGCTTATTCCTATTTCTCCTTCAGGTCAGCCTAAATCCTACTTCATCCTATAAATTTCTACTGCTTTCCAGCCAAGCACTGACCAAACAGTATTATAAAGCATGTTATTGTCTATCTGCTCCCACTAAACTGTAAGCTTGGGAAGATGCAGGGGCCAAGGGTTCTGTGCCACAACTGCATACTCAACACCAAGCATAGTGACACCATTCTGATAAGTAAATGTGTCAATGGTGATGGGCTCTTGGCCTGCTAAAAGAGTGTGGTTCAGAGAGTAGGAAGAACACATTTGAACACTTGCCAATCTGATTATGGGAACTTAAAATTTAAAATACAGGAGAGGGCCGAGCATGGTGGTTCACACTTGTAATCCCAACACTATGGGAGGCTGAGATGAGTAGAATGCTTGACCCCAGGAGTTCAAGACCAGCCTGGGCAACATAGTGAGACCCCCCCATCTCTAGAAAAGATTTAAAATAAAGTAAAACAAAACAAAACAAAATAAAATAAAGTAAGAGGACAGCAAAAAATTCCTAAATAAAACTGGGAAAGAACATCAGGAAAATAACATGAGAAGAAAAGCAATGAAAGAGGTGACTATTAAATCACAGAAGAAACTATCTGGAAATTAGATATCTTAATTCCCTGCCAATATCTTAACGTCAGACATCTATAATAGGATATACAAAATAAAATAATTTAAAATAAATTTATGGCCAGGCGCGGTGGCTCATGCCTGTAATCCCAGCACTTTGGGAGGCGGAGGCAGGTGGAATCACTTGAGATCAGGAGTTCGACATCATGACAACAGCCTGGCCAACATGGCGAAACCCCGTCTCTACTAAAAATACAAAAATTAGCTGGGTGTGGTGGCGCACGCCTGTAGTCCCAGCTACTTGGGAAGCTGAGGCACGAGAATTGCTTGAGCCAGGGATGGGAGGATGCAGTGAGCCAAGATCACATCACTGCACTCCAGCCTGGGTGACAGAGCAAGATTCTGTCTGAAAAAATAGATTAAAGTAAATTTATGGATTTTGTAAAATAAGTAAGACATGGTCTCTACCCATAAAAATCTGAGTCTGGCAGAACTGTGAACACAATACACCAACTAATGGGCAAATGGAATTCAAATCTTTATTATTTTTACTTATTTATTTTTGTCTTTTACAAACAAAAGTAAGTAATTCAGATCTCAAGAGGGGAAGTGGAATGACAGCACATCCCAAAATGATATTCCCTGGAGAAATCCACAAACCACAGTAGAAAATTTCTGAATGAGGATAAAAGAGAGTAATGGACATGATACAGCTACTGGGAGACCCCTTCAAACTTCTCAATAACAGAAAATATAGATTGTTTTCTTGACTCAGATCCCAAAATTGTCAGGGTGATAATGGTGTATAGAAATAGGGAACTTCAGCCAGGCGCAGTGCCTCACGCCTGTAATCCCAGTACTTTGGGAGGCCGAGGCGGGCAGATCACGAGGTCAGGAGTTCAAGACCAGCCTGGCTAACATGGTGAAACCCCATCTCTACTAAAAGCATAAAAAATAAGCCAGGCATGGTGGCACATGCCTGTACTCCCAGCTACTCAGGAGGCTGAGGCAGGAGAATCGCTTCAACCTGGGAGGCAGAAGTTGCAGTGAGCCGAGATCATGCCACTGCACTCTAGCCTGGGCGACAGAGCAAGACTCTGTCTCAAAAAAAAAAAAGAAATAGAGAACTTCATTAACCTTGACATTTGCTGGATATCACATTTAACTTAAAAAGGGTGGGTGGGCACAGAAAGCCTGATAAATTCTTGTGGACAGTTTCATCCTAAAATGATAAGAGAACGACTACACTGGACATTATCCAGACTAAGGAGAAATACTAGATGAAAAATTGAAAGGGTTTCAAGAAGAAAGTAACCACATAATCCTTAACAGTGTGATAGCCAACAACTAAGTGTTGTCAACAGGAGGCAGTTAAGAATGCAAGTTCTAGACAGAGCACTAGTCACCCTACATTAAAGACCCAGTTCTGCCACAGCAGAACTCTCACTCAGGCAAGTCAAAAACCACCTGTGCCAGGCCAGGCACGGTGGCTCATGCCTGTAATCCCAGCACTTTGGGAGGCCTGGGTGGGTGGATCACCTGAGGTCAGGAGTTTGAAACCAGCTGGCCAAATGGTGAAACTTTGTCTCTACTAAAAATACAAAAACATTACCAGATGTGGTGGTGTGCACCTGTAGTCCTAGCTACTAGGGAGGCTGAGGCAGGAGAATCGCTTGAACACGGGAGGCAGAGGTTGCAGTGAGCTGAGATAGCACCACTGCACTTCAGCTTGGCCGACAGAGCAAGACTCTGTCTCAAAAAAAAAAAAAAAAAAAAAAGGCCAGGCACAGTGGCTCACACCGGTAATCCCAGCACTTTGGGAGGCCAAGGCAGGTGGATCATGAGGTCAAGAGTTCAAGACCACCCTGGCCAACATGGTGAAACCCCGTCTCTACTAAAAATACATAAATTAGCCAGGCGTGGTGGCAGACAAAACAAAACAAAAAACAAAACAAGACAAAAAAAACCTCTGTGCCATACATTTTCTCATCCAAAAAAGGAAACCTGCCTATGCTGTCTCGCATGATCAAATAACTGGCTATCCTTGAAGGCATTGTGTAAAACTTAACTACACTGCATTAAGTAACACCAGACCTTAACAATAGCTAATATTTACTGGATATAGGGTTCTTTTTTTTTTTTTTTGAGACGAAGCCTCGCTCTGTCACCCAGGCTGGAGTGCAGTGACTCAATCTTGGCTCACTGCAACCTCGGCCTCCTGGGTTCAAGCAATTCTCCTGCCTCAGCCTCCTGAGTAGCTGGGATTACAGGCATGCGCCACCACACCCGGCTAATTTTTGTATTTTTAGCAGAGATGGGGTTTCACCATATTAGCCAGGCTATTGTCGAACTCCTGATCTCAAGTGATCCACTTGCCTCAGCCTCCCAAAGTGCTGGGATTACAGGTGTAAGCCACCATGCCTGGCCCCTACTGGGTACAGAGTTCTAATCACAAGTCAGAGACTAAGATTTAGATAGATTATCAAATTCTCTCAATAGCCCTTAAAGATTGATACTATTATTATCCCTATATTACAGTTGAGAAAACAGATTTCGAACTGTTAGGTAACTTGTCCAAAGTCCCAGAACAAGAAAAGTGGTAGAGCCTGAATCAGAACACAGGTTTTCTGACTCTAGAGAATCCACATTATAACCACTGTATTACAGTGCTTTCAAAATGCAGATTTAACTAAATTAAAATATCATAATATAAACTTCTTCTTTTTTTTTTTTTGAGATGGAATCTCACTCTTGTCACCCAGGCTAGAGTGCAATGGGACGATCTCGGCTCACTGCAACCTCCACCTCCCAGGTTCAAGCTATTCTCCTGCCTCAGCCTCCCAAGTAGCTGGGATTACAGGCGCCCACCACCATGCCCAGCTAATTTTTGCACTTTTAATAGAGATAGGGTTTTGCCATGTTGGCCAGGTTGGTCTTGAACTCCTGATTTCGTGATCTGCTCACCTCAGCCTCCCAAAGTGCTGGGATTACAGGCATGAACCACCACGCCCAGACTAATATCATAATATGAACTTCTAAAGAGAAGACAGATGGTGGTATTGCTTTTTTGTTTTAATTTTTGTTTTTGTTTTTTCCTTTAGAGACAAGGGGAAATTTTTTTTTTTTTTTTTTTGAGACAGAGTCTTGCTCTGTCACCCAGGCTGGAGTGCAGGGGCGCGATCTTGGCTCACTGCAAGCTCTGCCACCAGGGTTCACGCCATTCTCCTGCCTCAGCCTCCCGAGTAGCTGGGACTACAGGCGCCCGCCACCACGCCCGGCTAATTTTTTGTATTTTTAATAGAGACGGGGTTTCACCGTGTTAGCCAGAATGGTCTCGATCTCCTGACCTTGTGATCCGCCCGCCTCAGCCTCCCAAAGTACTGGGATTATAGGCATGAGCCACCACACCCAGCCAAAAATTTCAAAAAAAGAAAAATAGAAACAGGGTCTCCCTCTGTAACCAAGGCTGGAGTGCAGTGGGGCAATCATAGTCCACTGTAATTTCAAACTCCTGGGCTCAAGCAATCCTCCCATCTCAGCCTCCCAAAGTGCTGGGATTAACAGGTGTGAGCCACCACACCCAGCCAGATGCTGGTGTTTTTTAAAGAAATCCTTAAAAGTGAGATAATATGAATTATGCAATTAATTATAAATTATTCCAATTTCATTTTTTTTTCTTTGAGACAAGGTCTCACTCTGTAACTCAGGCTGGATTACAGTGGTGAGGACATGGCTCACTGCAGTCTTGACCTCCCAGGTGCAAGTGATCCTCCTGCCTCAGCCTCCTGAGTAGTTGGGACTACAGGGGTGGACCACCACACTTGGCTAATTTCTGTATTTTTTGTAGAGACGAGGTTTCACCATGTTGCCCAAGCTGGTCTCTTAACTCCTCAGTTCAAGCGATCTGCCTACCTCAGCCTCCCAAAATGCTGGGATTACAGGTGTAAGCCACCACATCTGGCTAATTTCAAATTTAAAAAGGGAACAATCTGAAGAGACTAGCACAATCGAAAAGCATTCTTGAGTACAGATGTTAAAAGGCCACTCACAAACACGTACAAAAAACAGAAGGCATAGTTAAAAAAAAGAGTGGTGGCTCTAACCTAAAAGAAAAGTAACAGCCCATAATGAGGCAAGGCTTGTTAATAAAGCTAAGGATAACAAGAAGGGTTTTGTGAGAACTGTCTAGACCTTGGAAGGCTGGGGCGGAAGGATTGCTTGAGACCACGGGTTCAAAACCAGCCTAAGCAACATGGCAAGCCCTCGTCTCTACTAAAATTAAAAAATTAGCCAGGTGTGGTAAAGCATGCCTATAGTCCCAGCTACTCGGGAGGCTGAGGTGGGAGGATTGCTTAAGCATGGGAAGTTAAGGCTGCAGTGAGCCATGACTGCATCCCTGTACTCTTGCCTGAGTGACCGAGTAAGACCCTTGTCTACCCCCACCCCCACCAAAAAAAAAACTGTCTTGATAAACTCCTTTTTCCGTTTCTCTATCAAGTACAATGTTCAGTTTGAAGTGGGAAAAAATAAGCCCTGTAAATAGAGAGAAATGAATTTCAAAACAGCAGAGACCCTAACAATCTGACAATCCTGAGAACTCCAAGGCAGCCTGATAAACCCCTGTGGTAGTTTTTTTTTTTTTTTTGAGACAGAGTCTTGCTTCTTCACCCAGGCTGGAGTGCAATGGCGCTATCTCGGCTCACTGCAACCTCCACCTCCCGGATTCAAGCGATTCTCCTGCCTTAGCCTCCCGAGTAGCTGGGATTACAGGCACCCGCCACTACATCCAGCTGATTTTTGTACTTTCAGTAGAGACGGGGTTTCACCATGTTGGCCAGGCTAGTCTCGAACTCCTGACCTCAGGTGATCCACCTGCCTTGGCCTCCCAAAGTGCTGGGATTACAGGCGTGAGCCACCATGCCCAACCAGTGGGGTCAATTTTAAAGGACATAAAAAATAAAAAGATTGGCTGGGTGCAGTGGCTCACGCCTGTAATCCCAGCACTTTGGGAGGCCGAGGTGGACGGATCATTTGAGGTCAGGAGTTCCAGACCAGCCTGTCCAACATGGTGAAACCCCATCTTTACTAAAAACACAAAATTAGCTGGGTGTAGTGGCGCATGCCTGTAATCCCAACTATTAGGGAGGCAGAGGCAGGAGAATCGCTTGAACCCGGGAGAAGGTTGCAGTGAGCCAAGATCGCACCACTGCACTCCAACCTGGGCAAAAAGAGTGAAACTCCATCTTGGAAAATAAATAAATAATAAAAATAAAAAGTTTTTTTTTCTTTTTTGTTGAGCAGGGTCTCACTGTGTTGGCCAGGCTGCTCTTGAACTAGGCTCAAGCGATCTTCCTTCTTTGGCCACCCAAAGTGTTGGGATTACAGGCATGAGTCAATGTGCCTGGCCAAAAATTAAAAGATTTTAAAGGAAAAGCCTGGAAGGAGAGAGACAAACAGACCAATGTTTACTGAGTGCTTATAGTGTGCTGGGCCATGAGGCAAGTACTTTACATCCATGTTTTATTCAACCTTTCCAACAGGCCCATTTGTAGATATTAAGACTTTTAAAAAAATTTTTTTCAGACATGAAATCTCACTGTTGCCCAGGCTGAACTTGAATTCCTGAGATCAAGGGATCCTCCTGCCTCAGGCTCCAGTGTAGCTGGGACTACAGGCATGCACCAACCACCCTGCCGAGGGCTGTTAAGACATTTTAAATATGAGGAAATGAAGGCCCAGAGAAGTTAGGACTTCACCAAGTCACATTGCTTCCCATGATACAACCAAGATTGCAAAACCAAGTCTGACTCTAAAACCCACGCTCTTTTTCTTTTTGAAACGGAGTCTCGCTCTGTCACCCATACTGGAGTGCAGTGCCACAATCTCAGCTCACTGAAACCTCTGCCTCCCAGGTGGGTTCAAGTGATTCTCCTGCCTCTGCCTCCCAAATAGCTGGGACTACAGGCATGTGCCACAAAGCCCAGCTAATTTTTCTATTTTTAGTAAAGAGGGGGTTTCACTATGTTGGACAGGCTGGTCACCCCATGCATGCTCTTTCCATTAATTTACTCTGTATCTGTCTCTGGCCTAGTCCCATTGATGGCAATGAGCACATTACAGAGGCGTAGCATCCCAAACAAGGAGGCTTACTAGACCTCATCTGTAATATAGACAGTCCCCAATTTATGATGGTCTGACTTACAATTTTTTGACTTTAGCCAGGCATGGTGGCTCATACTTGTAATCTCAGCACTTTGAGAGGCTGAGGTGGGCAGATCACTTGAGGTCAGGAGTTTTGAGACCAGCCTGAACAACATGGTGAAACCCCGTCTCCACTAAAAATACAAAAATTAGCTGGGCATGGTGGTGCACGCCTGTAGTCCCAGTTACTTGGGAGGCTGAGGCAGAAGAATTGCTGGAAACTGCCTGGGAGGTGGAGGTTACAGTGAGCTGAGATTTCACCATTGCACTCCAGCCCGGGTGACAGAGTGAGACTCCATCTCAAAAAAAAAAAAGAAAAAAGAAAAAAGAAAAAAAAATTTGTTTTGACTTAACAATGGTACAAAAGTGATAAGCACTGCCGGGCACGGCGGCTCACGTCTGTAATTCCAGCACTTTGGGAGGCCGAGGTGGGTGGATCACCTGAGGTCGGGAGTTCGAGACCAGCCTGACCAACATAGAGAAACCCCATCTCTACTAAAAAAAAAAAAAGTAGAAAATTAACGGGGCATGGTGGCGCATGCCTGTATTCCCAGCTACTCGGGAGGCTGAGGCAGTAGAATCACTTGAACCCAGGAGGCGGAGGTTGCGGTGAGCCAAGATCACACCATTGTACTGTAGCCTGGGCAACAAGAGGGAAACTCCGTCTCAAAAAAACAAAACAAAACAAAACAAAAAAACAGTGATAAGCATTCAGTAGAAACTGTACTTTGAACACCCATACAACCATTTTGTTTTTCACTTTCAGTATTCAATAAATTACATGAGATACTCAATGCTTTATTATAAAATCACCTTTATGTTAAATGATCTTGCTTAATTCTAGGCTAATGTAAGTGCTCTGAGCATGTTTGCGGCTCAGATATGAGCTGAACATCATAGGATAAGCTATGCTCAGTAGGTTAGGTGTATTAAATGCATTTTCAACTTATGATATTTTCAACTTACGATGGGTCTATTGGGACATAACCCCACAGTAAGTCAAAAAGCACCTAGGCTGTCTTCAGTTCTGAGTGCTGAACTTTAAGAGAGTCACCGGCAAACTAGATATGGTCCCATAAAAGATTTAGATAAGGGCACTGGGTCATGCTGACCATACAGAAGGAGGGCCTTTAGCTAAGAGAACAAATATATGGTAAAAATAGAACACAAATCCAAAAGATCAAAACTGGATGGTGCAATGGGCTAGAATGGTACTAAAAAGCAACGGCCTTTAGAGTCAGACAGCCAAGGGTTTGTATTCCAGATTCTATCACTCACTGTTTAGAATCCAGGCAAGTTACTTAACTTCTCTGAACCTTAATTTCGACATTTATAAAACGGGGGTAATACTACACAAAATTGCAAGAGGGGAGAAAAGGTAATATTTGTAAAATTCTTGGGACATAAGACTCAACAAATGGTAGTGCACATTAAATCTAACAAAATGAAATTTAAGGATATGTGCAAGTAAATCAATTTTAGAAGCACCAGATGAAACTTAACAGGAGTACATAAGAAAAGAATTAAAGATCTTAGTAGACTTGAATCTGTGAATCAACAGCTTGCTAAGACTGCCAAAAATTATTGTGAATTTGGAGACCATTACAGAAGCACAGTGTCCAAAACAAGGAGTCCTATCAGACTTCATTCATGATACTGTCTTTAGTCCTGAGTGCTAAACTTTAAGAGGGTCACCGGCAAATTAGAATCAATCCAGGACAGATGAGAAAAGTTAGTAGCTCTGAAAACACAGTAACTTGCCTCTTCTTCCTGGCTCTATATTCCCTCCACTCCATCCAACCAAAGCTACCTGACAACTGCTTCTATCTCTATGCCCCAGTAACACATTCATGCTCATATATCCCCCCACAACATATTCACGTCCCTCAATTTTGCCCCAGTTCCAAAGCCCCAAATGGATCTGACAGAGTGACTTGTTCACTTCTAGTCCAAAAATCTAGGATGAGGCATGTGAGACTTGCTGCTAATCTGGCCCTGACCTGCAGATTATACTTGATGCTAATCTGCACCAAATCTAACTGGCCCCTGCATTCTTCCTGAGGCTGAGACCCAACCCTGTACCCTGGGTAACTGAATTAATCCTGAGTCTGAGTCACATACTCAAGAAAGTAGGACTCTTCCTGAATGTCTCCTTGACCCACAGCTCCATTACTCCCTTAAAGGGATGAAGCTGGTCAGAAGTATACAATTAGACAATGTCAGTCATCTCAGCCATTTCAAACCTGCTAGACCAATACTTTCTTTCTTTTTTTTTTTTTTTTTTGATTTTTTTTAAGACAGAATCTTGCTCTGTCACCCAGGCTGGAGTATTGCAGTGGCACAATCATGGGTCACTGCAGCCTCAACCTTACAGGCTCAAATGATCCTCCCACCTCAGCCTCCCAAGTAGCTGGGACTACAGGAGTATGCCACCATGCCCGGCTGAAAAAAGAAAAAAAAATTTTTTTTTTTGAAATAGAATTTCGCTCTTATTGCCCAGGCTGGAGTGCAATGGTGCAATCTTGGCTCACCACAACTTCTGCCTCCCGGGTTCAAGCGATTCTTCTGTCTCAGCCTCCCAAGTAGCTGGGATTACAGGCATGCACCACCACGCCCGGCTAATTTTGTATTTTTAGTAGAGACAGGGTTTCTCCATGTTGGTCAGGCTGGTCTCAAACTCCCGACCTCAGGTGATCCGCCCGCCTCAGCCTTCCCAAGTGCCAGAATTACAGGCGTGAGCCACCACGCCTGGCCTTTAAAATTTTTTTGTAGAGGCAGGGTCTCCCCATGTTGCCCAGGCTGGTCTCAAACTCCTGGACTCAAGTGATTTTCCCACCTCAGCCTCCTAAAGTGCTGGAATTACATGTTTGAGCCACCATGCCCGGCCTAGATCAATACTTTCAAATCCAAAAAGGCCCTCAGATAAACTCAGGAACAAACGTATATATTCTCACAAAATGGTACAAGTTGATCAGCTTATTGTACCTAAGAGACTATTTGCAAACCTACAAAGAATGAAGTCTTAAATAGCTGCCTGTAATCTGGATGTCCTCACTGCAGTGAGGCATCAGCTCCCCAGCAGAACCCAGACAGTAAAATCTGTTAACTCACATGTCCAGACTCTCAGGGCAACTAACACTGGAGTAACATGAGCTTCCCCCTATGGAATGGTCTTGTCAAAACTGGCAGGTTTTCCTGGCTGAATCAGAACAGCCTGGGTCTTGTTTCATTCAATACTCCCTTGGAAGCCAAGCATCTCTCTAGGGAATGCCATCTGCAGTGGACATCAGGTATCTCAATGCCCTCTTTGCAACCATGCAAATATCCTGGTTCCATTTCTATATCTCAAGAGACTCTGCTCTTTCTTCAGATGAGAAAAATCATGATAAATGCTAGTCTTTGAGAAGTCTGCCTTGCTGTTCCTCTTCCAGGGAACAGTTCAGTTCTAGTCCAGAACCAAATGATTCCTGGAGCTTTCATCCAGTTCAGACTGCTTCTATACCTAGTTCCAGAGCCAATTTATAAATTCAAGACTTCCCTTCCTCAACTGTACCTGAATGTCTAAATTCACTTCTAGATGTTTCCTTGATCAACAACAGCACCCTAGATATTCTCTGGATCACTGGTTGTCAGACTTTGAGTATGCATTTAGAGACGTTAAAATACATATTACTGGATCCCACCTCGGAGTTTCTGATTCAGCAGGCCTAGGGCAGGACTTGAAAATGTGCATTTTTGTTTTTTATTTACTTTTCATTTTATTATTATTATTATTATTATTTTTGAGACAGTCCTCGCTCTGTCACCCAGGCTGGAGTGCAGTGGTGTGATCTCAGTTCACTGCAACCTCCACTTCCCAGGTTCAAGCAATTCTTGGGCTTCAGCCTCCTGAGTAGCTGGGATTACAGGCGTGCACCACCATGCCCAGATAATTTATGTATTTTTTGTAGAGATGGGGTTTCGCCATATTGGCCAGGCTGGTCTCGAACTACTGGCCTCAAGTAATCCACCCACCTCGGCTTCCCAAAGTAGTGGGATTACAGTTATAAGCCACTGCGCCCGGCCAAAATTTTGCATTTTTAACAAGCTCCCAAGGGATGCTGATGGTGGTGGTCAGGGAAACACACTTTAAGAACCACTGCTCTAGCCAGGTGCAGTAGCCTACACCTATAATCCTAGCACTTTGGGAGGCTGAGGCAGGATGATCCCTTGAGCCCAGGAAATGGAGGTGGCAGTGAGCTATGACTGCACCACTTCATTCCAGCCTCGATGACAAACAAAGCGAGACCCCCGTCTCAAAAAAAAAAAAAAAAAAAAAAAGAGAGAGAGGCACTACTCTAGATCAACAATTTTTTTTTTCTGTCGCCCAGGCTGGAGTGCAGTGGCACAACCTCGGCTCAGTGCAACCTCCACCTCCCACGTTCAAGCAATTCTCTGCCTCAGCCTCCCGAGTAGCTGGGATTACAGGCGCCCACCACCACGCTTGGCTAATTTTTGTATTTTTAGTAGAGACGGGGTTTCACCATGTTGGCCAGGCTGGTCTCGAACTCCTGACCTCGTGATCCCCCCTGCCTCGGCCTCCCAAAGTGTTGGGATTACAGGTGTGAGCCACTGCACCGGCCTTTTTTTTAATTATTATTTTATTATTATTATTTTGAGACAGGGTCTCGCTCTGTCACCCAGGCTGGAGCGTAGTGGCACAATCTCGGCTCACTGCAACCTCCGCCTCCCAGGTTCAAGCAAGTCTCTGCCTCAGCCTTCTGAGTAGCTGGGATTACAGGCATGTGCCACCACACCTGGCTAGTTTTTGTATTTTTTTGTAGAGACAGAGTTTTGCCATATTGCCCAGGCTGGTCTCAAACTCCTGAGCTCAAGTGATCCACCTGCTTCAGTCTCCCAAAGTGCTGGGATTCAGGTGTGAGCCACCACACCTGGCCGCATTTTCTTTATTGTGGTAAAATATACCTAACAATATTTATCATTTTTACTATTCCTAAATATGCAATTCAGTTGCATTAAATAAATTCACATTGCTGTGTAACTAGCACCTTTCTATAACCCAAAATTGTTTTATCATACCCAGCAAAAACTCTGTACCCATTAAACAATAATTCCCCCTTCCCAACTTTCCACAGCCTCTGGTATTCTACTTTCTGTCCCTATGAATGTACCTATTGTAGGTACCTCAAACAAGTGGAATCACAACAGTTGTCCTCCTGTGTCTGGCTTATTTCATGAAGCCGAATGTTTCCAAGGTCCATCATGGTATATAGCATATATCAAGACTGCCTTCCTTTTAAGGCCGAGTAATATTCCATTATATGTATATACACCATTTTGTTTATTCTTCTGTTGATGGACACTTGGGTTGTTCCACCTTTGGCTATTGAGAATAGTGCTGCTGATCAGACGCAGTGGCTAATGCCTGTAATCCCAGCACTTTGGGAGGTTGAAGTGGGCAGATCACCTGAGGTCAGGAGTTCGAGACCAGCCTGGCCAACATGGTGAAACCCCGTCTCTACTAAAAATACAAAAATTAGCTGGGTGTGGTAGCGCATGCCTTTAGTCCCAGCTACTTGGGAGTCTGAGGCAAGAGAATCTCTTGAACCTGGGAGGCGGAGGTTGTAGAGGGCTGAGATCACACCATTGCACTCCAGCCTGGTCGACAGAATGGGACTCTGTCTCAAAAAAAAAAACACAAAAAAACAAAAAAGAGAATAGTGCTGCTATGACATGGGTGCACAAGTATCTCTTTGAGGCTCTGTTTCAATTCTTTTATATACTTAGGAGTGAAATTTCTGGGTAATATGGTAGTTCTACCTTTAATCTTTAGAGAAACTGCCAAAGTGTTTTCCACAGTGGCTGTACCATTTTATATTCCTAACAGCAATGCCAACACTTGTTTCCCATTTTGTTTTGTTTTACTTCTAACCATCCTGGTAGGTAGGGCTTAGCTATTATTATTATCACAAGTTTTGATATGGGCTTTTACCAATACTTGTAGCACTGTAAAGATAGCATGACAACATGAGAGGTTCTGACTATTTTCCAGCTTCAAATGGTTTAGCAGTTCCATTCAAAAGACAAGTTTTCACGATTGCTTCTAATTTTCTTGAAAAATCACCTCCAAGGCTAGCATTTACCTAGCTTCAGGTTGACTAAGAAAGAAAATGGGCTGGGCGCGGTGGCACACACCTGTAATCCTAGCACTTTGGGAGGCCAAGGTGGGTGGATCACCAGAGGTCAGGAGTTCAAGACCAGCCTGGCCAACATGCCAAAACCTCATCTGTACTAAAAATACAAAAATTGACCAGGCGCAGTCGCTCACACCTGTAATCCCAGCACTTTGGCAGGCCAAGGCAGGCGGATCACGAGGTCGAGAAATCAAGACCATCCTGGCCAACATGGTAAAACACTGTCTCTACTAAAAATACAAAAATTAGCTGGGCGTGGTTGCTTGCACCTGTAGTGCCAGCTACTCAGGAGCCTGAGGCAGGAGAACTGCTTGAACCCAGGAGGCGGAGGCTGCAGTGAGCCGAGATTGCGCCACTGCACTCCAGCCTGGCAACAGAGTGAGACTCCATCTCAAAAAAAAAAGAAAAAATAGAAATACAAAAATTAGCTGGGCGTGGTGGCACACGCCTGTAATCCCAGCTACTCGGAAGGCTGAGGCACGAGAACTGCTTGAACCTGGGAGGCGGAGGTTGCAGTGAGCCAAGACTGCACCACTGCACTCCAGCCTGGGTGACAAGAGTGAGACTCTCCCTCTCCCTCTCCCCCTCCCCCTCTCCCCACGGTCTCCCGATCCCTCTCTTGCCACGGTCTCCCTCTGACGCCGAGCCGAAGCTGGACTGTACTGCTGCCATCTCTGCTCACTGCAACCTCCCTGCCTGATTCTCCTGCCTCAGCCTGCCGAGTGCCTGCGACTGCAGGCGCGCGCCGCCACACCTGACTGGTTTTTGTATTTTTTTGGTGGAGACGGGGTTTCGCTGTGTTGGCCGGGCTGGTCTCCAGCTCCTAACCGCGAGTGATCTGCCAGCCTCGGCCTCCCAAGGTGCCGGGATTGCAGACGGAGTCTCGTTCACTCAGTGCTCAATGTTGCCCAGGCTGGAGTGCAGTGGCGTGATCTCGGCTCGCTACAACCTCCACCTCCCAGCCGCCTGCCTTGGCCTCCCAAAGTGCCGAGATTGCAGCCTCTGCCCGGCTGCCACCCCGTCTGGGAAGTGAGGAGCGTCTCTGCCTGGCCACCCATCGTCTGGGATGTGAGGATCCCCTCTGCCCGGCTGCCAGGTCTGGGAAGTGAGGAGCACCTCTTCCCGGCCGCCATCCCGTCTAGGAAGTGAGGAGCGTCTCTGCCCAGCCGCCCATCGTCTGAGATGTGGGGAGCGCCTCTGCCCCGCCGCCCCGTCTGGGATGTGAGGAGCGCCTCTGCCCGGCCGCCCCGTCTAAGTGAGGAGCCCCTCCGCCCGGCAGCCGCCCCGTCTAAGAAGTGAGGATCCCCTCTGCCCGGCCACCACCCCGTCTGGGAGGTGTACCCAACAGCTCATTGAGAACGGGCCATGACGACGATGGCGGTTTTGTCGAGTAGAAAAGGGGGAAATGTGGGGAAAAGATAGAGAAATCAGACTGTTGCTGTGTCTGTGTAGAAAGAAGTAGACATGGGAGACTCCATTTTGTTCTGTGCTGGGAGGAATTCTTCTGCCTTGGGATGCTGTTGATCTGTGACCTTGCCCCCAGCCCGATGCTCTCTGAAACATGTGCTGTGTCCACTCAGCGTTAGATGGATTAAGGGCGGTGCAAGATGTGCTTTGTTGAACAGATGCTTGAGGGCAGCATGCTTGTTAAGAGTCATCAACCACTCCCTAATCTCAAGTACCCAGGGACACAAACACTGCGGAAGGCCGCAGGGTCCTCTGCCTAGGAAAACCAGAGACCTTTGTTCACTTGTTTATCTGCTGACCTTCCCTCCACTATTGTCCTATGACCCTGCCAAATCCCCCTCTGCGAGAAACACCCAAGAATGGTCAACAAAAAAAAAAAAAAAAAGAAGAAAGAAAATATTTGGGGTGGCTGAAGAAAAGAAAAAAATGAATATTTTTTTCTTTTTAAAAACTTTCTCACTGGGCACGATGGCTCATGCTTGTAATCCCGGCACTTTGGGAGGCCAAGGTGGGCAGATCATTTGAGGTCAGGAGTTCAAGACCAGCCTGGCCAACATGGTGAAACCCCATCTCTACTAAAAATACAGAAATTAGCTGGGCATGGTGGCATGTGCCTGTAATCCCAGCTACTCAGGAGGCTGAGGCAGGAGAATTGCTTGAATCTGGGAGGCGGAGGTTGCAGTGAGCTGAGATAGTGCCACTGCACTCCAGCCTGGGCAACAGAGCAAGACTCCATCTCAAAAAAAAAAAAAAAAATTTATCTGATAACTTAATTCCATAATAACGTTGTTTTACCCATAAACAAAATGGCACACACTGGCATTCAGTTTCCGGAAATGTCTAATGGTTTCTCTAGAGCATTTAGAAATTAATCTAGAAAGGTTATTTTTGAAAACAAAAGTATGTGGAAAATCTTGTATATTTTAATCTTGCTGGCTACACCACTTCTAAGTCCCTAACCTAGCCAGAAATACCATTTTTTCTTCATTTTTGGGGTTTTCAAGGCATGGAAGAGCTAGAGCCTCCTTAGTGAGGCAAATGGTCATTCCCAAATAAAACTGTTTAATTGTCCTCATATATTACATTTAAGTCTTCAGGCCTTTCTCTCAGTAACTCTTTTCCTTCATGATTCCAAGAAAAAAATCAGGAAAATATAGAAAGTATAAAAGAGCAGTAAAAATAACTTCCTGGCTGGGTGCAGAGGCTCACACCTGTAATCCTAGCACTCTGGGAGGCCAAAAGAGGAGGATTGCTTGAGCCCAGGAGCACGAGACCAGCCTGGGCAACACAGTGAGACACCCATCTATATTTTGTTGCTGTTGTTGTTAATTACTTTAAAGCCAGGCGCGGTGGCTCACACCTGTAATCCCAGCACTTTGGGAGGCCAAGGCAGGTGGATCACAAGGTCAGGAGTTCAAGACCAGCCTGACCAACATGGTGAAACGCCGTCTCTACTAAAAATACAAAAAGTAGCCAGGCATGGTGGCTCGTGCCTGTAATCCCAGCTACTCAGGAGGCTGAGACAGGAGAATCGCTTGAACTCAGGAGTCTGAGGTTGCAGTGAGCTGAGATCACACCACTGCACTCCAGCCTGGGTGACAGAGTGAGAGTAAAAAAAAAAAATTACTTTAAAAAGCCAGGCATGGCGGCCCATGCCTGTAATCTCAGCACTTTGGAGGCCGAGGCAAGTGGATCACTTGAGGTCAGGAGTTCAAGACCAGCCTGACCAACATGGTGAAACCTTATCTATATTAAAAATACAAAATTAGCCCGGCACGGTGGCGCATGCCTGTAATCCCAGCTACTTGGGAGGCTGAGGCAGGAGAATCGCTTAAACCCAGGCGATGGAGGTTGCAGTAAGCTGAGATCACACCACTGTGCTCCAGCCTGGGCAACAAGAACAAAACTCCATCTCAAAAAAAAAAAATTACTTAAAAAAGAATTCCGTTTTTTGGAAAATTTTCTTCCTCAACTTTCTTACATTTGACCCAAGTTGAAAAAAAATCTAGCTTAAAAACAGAAAAGGAAAAAAAAAAATGGGCAAAACGAAAGTATCATGGAAAAACAATTTCAAAAGCTGTTGTCCCAGATATTGATAGGCAAGTATATGAAATATACTTTCCCATTATACTCACTGTGGTACTTGAGAGATTAAACTGTATATATATAAGACTGTGGCTCCAGCTGGAGTGCAGTGGCATGACCATGGTTCATTGCAACCTTAAACTCCTGGGCTCAAGTGATCTTCCCACATCAGCCAACAACAGATATGTGCCACCATGCCCGGCTAATTTATTTTTTATTTTATTTTTTATTACTTTTATTTGAGAAAGAGTTTCGCTTTTGTTGTCCAGGCTGGAGTGCAATGACACGATCTCGGCTCACCACAATCTCTGCCTCCTGGATTCAAGAGATTCTCCTGCCTCAGCCTCCCAAGTAGCTGGGATTACAGGCATGTGCCACCATGCCAGGCTAATTTTGTATGTTTAGTGAGATGGGGTTTCTCCATGTTGGTCAGGCTGGTCTCGAACTCCCAACCTCAGGTAATCCACCCACCTCAGCAGCCCAAAGTGCTGGCATTACAGGTGTGAGCCACCGCACCCAGCTAATTTATTATTATTATTATTACTTGTGTAGACATGGGGTCTTGCTGTGTTGCCCAGGTTGGTCTCAAACTCCTGGCCTCAGATGATCCTCTCGCCTTGGCTTCCCACAGTACTGGGATTACAGGCATGACCCACTGCGCCTGGCCAAGATGGATTTTCATAAAGGCAAAGAGCAGACCTTCTATTCTGAGAGCTACAGCCAGAGGCTTATATGAACTCCCCAACTTCATTAACCTCATTAAATCATATAATTTCTGTCATACGTAAATGTACATTAAACAGTGACATCTTGGAACAATAAATAACTGGGAACAATGTAGCCACACCTCTACAGGGAAACTTGTGAGTGGCTGAAACCAGGAATGTTGAACCCACAAATGTCCAGGGAGAGCTATCTCTGGGGTGTGTGTGTCATACACGAACATACATGGTTAAAGGCAGAGGAAGTGCACTGGAGACAGCAGTTAACCAGAAGAGTGAGTCTCAGCGCTTCTACTGAAAGCCTCTGAATATCATCCCTATATCTTAAAGACAATCATCCTAGGCCGGGCGCGGTGGCTCACGCCTGTAATCCCAACGCTTTGGGAGGCCGAGGCGGGTGGATCACGAGGTCAGGAGATCGAGACCATCCTGGCTAACACGGTGAAACCCCATCTCTACTAAAAAATACAAAAAATTAGCCGGGTGTGGTGGCGGGCGCCCGTAGTCCCAGCTACTCGGGAGGCTGAGGCAGGAGAATGGCGTGAACTGCACTCCAGCCTGGATGACAGAGCGAGACTCGTTTCAAAAAAAAAAAAAAAAAAAAAAAAAGACAATCATCCTAAGCAAAACAATACCTGCTTCGTAGGCTATGTGAAGAATAAACAATTTCAAAAAAGTTTCACTCATTCTTTAGCAAACATATTTTAGTTTGTTTTCTGTTTTTCTTTCCATCTTTTATTTTAGGTTCAGGGGGTACATGTGCAGGTTTATTACATAGGTAAATTGTGTGTCACAGGGTTTGGTGTACAGATTATTTTGTTACCCAGGTAATAAGCATAGTACACAATAGACAGCTTTTTGATCCTCGCCCTCCTCCCACTCTCCACACTCAAGTAGGCCCAGGTGTCTATTGTTCCCTTCTTTGTGTTCATGTGTACTTAATGTTTAGATTCCACTTATAAGTGATAATGTATGGCATTTTTTTTCTCTTTTCTTTTTGAGATGGAGTCTCACTCTGCTGCCCAGTCTAGAGTGCAGTGGTGTAATCTCGGCTCACTGCAACCTCTGCCTCCCGGGTTCAAGCAATTCTCCTGCCTCAGCCTCCCAAGTAGCTGGGATTACAGGCACCTGCCACCATGCCCAGCTAACTTTGGTATTTTTAGTAGAGAAAGGGTTTTGCATCTTAGCCAGGTTAGTCTCAAACTCTTGACCTCAAGGGATCCATCTGCCTCAGCCTCCCAAAGTGCTGGGATTACAGGCGTGAGCCCACACCCCTGGCTGGTATTTGGTTTTCTGTTCTTGCATTAGTTTGCTTAGCATAATGGTCTCCAACTCTATCCTTGCTGAGAAAGATATGATCTTTTTTATGGCTCGGTAGTATTCCATGGTTGGTGTATATGTACCACATTTTCTTTATGCAGTCAACTGCTGATGGGCACTAAGGTTGATTCTATGTGTCAGCAAACATATTTTGAACCCTCCAAAATATACTAAGAATTCAGAAGTTCGAGTCCCTGTCCTCATTGCACGTAACAAGTCCTCCTCCTTGACAGGTACTCTATAGTTTAATAACTGCCTTCAAAGAACTAGAAAGCAATTCCTCAAGGATAGAGAGCTCCAACCTTGCTATACAAGGACCTGGCACATACCAACAGATAATTCAAATATAGTTTGAATGAACAAACTATATTTCTGCTTATGATCTAAAAAAAATCCTCAGTTGACATTAACACGATAAAGAATTGATAAAAAATAACACTGTGTGGTGATTATCAGGGGAACAGAGACACTTCAGGGCAACACTCAGAAACATTTGGAGGTATACATGTACTGAAACATCACAATATGTATAATTATTATGTACATTATGTCTTTTTTTTTTTTTAATAGAGATAAGGTCTCACTTTGTCACCCAGGCTGGAGTGCAGCAGCAAAATCATAGCTTTGTAAACTTTGTAACCTCAAATTCCTGGGCTCAATCGATCCTCCTGCCTCAGCCTCCCAAAGTGTTGGAATTACAGGCTTAAGCTACCATGCCTGGCCAAAAACAATAATTTTAAAAAAGAGAAACACTTGAAGGGGAAAAATAAAAATGACACCACATTGGCCAGGTGCGGTGGCTCACGCCTGTAATCCCAGCACTTCTGGAGGCTGAGGCGGGTAGATCAGGAGGTCAGAAGATTGAGACCATCCTGGCTAACACAGTGAAACCCCGTCTCTACTAAAAATACAAAAAAAATTAGCCAGGCGTGGTAGCGGGCGCCTGTAGTCCCAGCTACTCGGGAGGCTGAGGCAGGAGAATGGCGTGAACCCGGGAGGCGGAGCTTGCAGTGAGCCAGAATCGCGCCACTGACTCCAGCCTGGCCGACAGAGTGAGACTACGTCTCAAAAAAAAAAAAAAAAATATGACACCACATTATCATGCCATGGCAAAGCTCAGTAGTGTTCTCTCATGTAAAATCCCTCCATCTGGAGTGCAGTGGCTCATGCCTGTATTCTAACACTTTGGGAGGGCAAGGTAGGAGGATCCCTTGAGGCAAGGAATTTGAGAACAGCCTGGGCAACACAACAAGACCCTCTCTCTATTAAAAATAAATACATAAAAATAAATTTTGGCTGGGCACGGTGGCTCACGACTGTAATCCCGGCACTTTGGGAGCCTGAGGCGGGCAGATCACGAGGTCAGGAGTTCGAGACCAGCCTGACCAACATGGTGAAACCCCGTCTCTACTAAAAATACAAAAATTAGCTGGCGTGGTGGCACGTGCCTGTAATCCCAGCTACTCAGGAGACTAAGGCAGGAGAACTGCTTGAACCCGGGAGGCAGAGGTTGCAGTGAGCCGAGATTCTACCACTGCACTCCAGCCTGGGCGACAGAAAAAGACTCCGTCTCAAAAAATATATAATAATAATAATAATAATAATAATAATAATAATAATAATTTTTTAAAAGCTAAATAAAATCCCTCCACCTCTGAAAACCCCTGCAAAGGGTGTGGAAATGGCTCATTTTACCCCTATGATGGTTATGCTATAAAACAATTGGTTTTAGACTAGAGCTTTTCAGTATGAGAAGTCAATTGCTGAAATCAGTATTTGGTGACACATATTTTCATAAACACTAAATGTGTTGAGCAAAGACCTATCTTTAACTTTAAAGTGAAAACTTCAAACTGTTCCTAACTACAAAATTTTTCAGAGATAAACCATGGTTTCTCAACTCTGGCACTACTGACATTTTGACCAGATAATTCTCTGCTGTAGGGAGCTGTCCTATGCATTAGAGGATGTTTAGCAGCATTCCTGACCTCTATCCACTAGATGCCAGTACCACCTCCCACAGTCATGACAACTAAAGAAATTTCTAGATATTGACAAATGTTCTGGGGGGAGGATCATACTGATAGGGAACCAGAGATAAACAATGGAATGATAATTTTCTTCATAAAGGCTGTTTAAATAAGATATGGAAGATAATACAAACTATCATTCTTTGCACTCATTTGCGAATCATTTTTAGGTCATCAGATGACCTTTTAATATTTTATCTGAAAAGCAGCAGCAGAAGCAGACCACCACCACCAGTGCACCTAAAGGTAATGTGTAACCTAGAAAGAAGAAATGAACCAATGAACCAATGGATGATGCAAAAAGTCTTAACAGTAAAAAATGAGCTAAGGTAGCCTCAGTACTCTGCTATGTATATTACTCATGCATGGTAACTGTTAGAATTCTTAGGCTATCTTGAAATCTTTTATTTCAATGCTACAAAGTCAGACTCTTCATTTTTCTTCCTATTCTTATCTGAAAAAGAAAAGTTTCCTGTATCACAGAGATCAAGAATACTTACCACTATTTATTGAGCATTTTGTAAATACAAGGGATTTTACTTAATTAAGCAGATCTCCAAAAAACTTAAGGAAATAAGACAAAACAGATTCAGGAACGTTAAATAAAACACCGAGAGCCACAAAGGAAGCTGAGGGATTCCTGAGATCTACCAAAGGGTCATCACCATCACATCCCAAAAGGCCTAGGTTTTACTTATAAATCTTCTAGTTTATAAAAAGGCCAGATTTGCAATAATATTAAAAACTGAGATCTCAGCATTTAATAGCATAATCTTAAACGTGTAAAGAACACATAGTACTTTTCAGAAAGTGTTATTTTTCATTATAAAAGAAACGTAAGTGGCGGGACACAGTGGCTCATGCCTGTAATCCTAGCACTTTGGGAGGCCGAGGTGGGCAGATGACCTGAGGTCAGGAGTTTGAGACCAGCTTGGCCAAAATGGCAAAACCCCATCTCTACTAAAAATTTAAAAATTAGCTGGGCATGGTGGCAGGCACCTGTAGTCCCAGCTACTTGGGAGGCTGAGACAGAATTGCTTGAAGCCAGGAGGCGGAGGTTGCAGTGAGCTGAGATCGCACCACTGCACTCCAGCCTGGGCGACAGAGTCTCACTCTGTCTCAAAAAAAAAAAAAGAAAGAAACATATGGGCTGGGCACAGTGGTTCATGCCTATAATCTTAGCATTTTGGGAGGCTGAAGCGGAAGGATAGCTTGAGCTCAGGAATTTCAGACCAGCCTGGGCAACATAGTGAGGTCCTATCTCTATTAATGAGAAAAAAAAATTAGCTGGATGTGATGACACGGGCCTGTGGTCCCAGCTACTCAGGAGGCTGAAGTGGGAGCATCGCTTGAGCCTGGGAGGTCAAGGCTGCAGTCAGCCATAACTGTGCCACCACATTCCAGCCTCGGCAACAGAAACATATGATCATTGTAGATCATCTAAATAGCCCATTTTTTTTCTTTTTTTTTTTTTTTCAGATGCAATCTCACTCTGTCGCCCAGGCTGGAGTGCAGTGGCGTGATCTCGGCTCACTGCAACCTCCACCTCTCATGTTCAAGTGATTCTCCTGCCTCAACCTCTGGAGTAGCTGCAATTACAGGCGTACACCACCATGCCTGGCTAATTTCTTTGTATTTTTAGTAGAGACGGGGTTTTGCCATGTTGGCCAGGCTGGTCTTGAACTCCTGACCTCAGGTGATCCGACTGCCTTGGCCTCCCAAAGTGCTGGGATTACAGGCGTGAGTCACCGCGCCCAGCCTTAAATAGCCCATTTTTTAAAAGATTGGTTGTAATAATGATGTATATAATGAATATCATCATATTATCATAATGACGTGTATCTGTAATAATGATTCACATCAAAACAAATGCAAAGGTAAAGATTAGCTAGGTGTTCAAGCAATGAACAAGTAACTAATGGATGAACATCCCCAAACACTTCAGTCCTAAAGTCACAGATGACTTTTTTAGAACCTGCCCAGAAATTACTGTAGAAATAAATTCTGGCTTCAGAATAATTCAATAAACTTACCTGTGCTACCTACACTGAAAAAAGTGACAAGTACTGTGCCGGTATGTTGTGGATGGATTTGGTATTTCAGAGGAAACTGGTACATACTACAGAAACGGCCTTTCCCAAAGGAAAAATGAAATGCTGCCAGGCGCGGTGGCTCACGCCTGTAATCCCAGCACTTTGGGAGGCCGAGGTGGGTGGATCACAAGGTCAGGAGATCAATACCGTCCTGACTAACACGGTGAAACCCTGTCTCTATTAAAAATACAAAAAATTAGCCGGGCGTGGTGGCAGGCGCCTGTAGTCCCAGCTACTCAGGAGACTGAGGCAAGAGAATGGCATTAACCCGGGAGGTGGAGCTTGCAGTGAGCCGAGATTGTGCCACTGCACTCCAGCCTGGGCGACACAGCGAGACTCCGTCTCAAAAAAAAAAAAAAAGAAAACAAAAACTGAAATGCTTATCTCAGAAGCATAAATTAAAGAGAAAAATCATCTCTAATCTACTGTTTCGGTCTTACCATTTTATAGTTTGGACCTAAGAGATCAGCAATCCTTAATAAATAAGGTTTCCCATGAGTTCTGGAGCTTCTCTGCCTCCTGTTCGCACCCTCCATGTCCATGTTTAACAACCTAATGCCAGCCAGGTGCAGTGGCTCATGGCTGTAATCCCAGCACTTTGGGAGGCCGAGGCTGGAGGATCACTTGAGCCTAGGAGTTTAAGACCAGCCTGGGCAACAGAACGAGACCCTGTCTCTACAACAAATAAAAAATAAAAAATCTAACTGGGCATGGTGGTGTGGTGGTGCACGCTTTTAGTCCCAGCTTCTTGGGAGGCTGAGGTAGGAGGATTCCTTGGGCCAGGGAGGTCAAGGCTTCAGCAAGCCATGATCATGCCACTGCACTCCAGTCTGGGTGACAGAGTGAGACCTTGTCTCAAAAAAAAAAAAAAAAACAAAACAAAAAAAAAACAACCTAATGCTGGATGGACACAGTGGCTCATGTCTGTAATCCTAGCACTTTGGGAGGCCGAGGCTGGAAGACTGCTTGAACACAAGAGTTCGGGACCAGCCTAGGCAAGAAAGCAATACCCCCATCTCTTTAGAAAAAAAAAAAAATGTGCCAGGCATGGTGGTACATGCTTGTAGTTCCAGCCACTATAGAGGCTGAGGAAGGAGGACCACTTGGGACCAGGAGTTTCAGGCTGCAGCGAGCTAGGATCAAGCCACTGCACTTCAGCCTGGGCAACAGAACAAGACCCTGTCTCTTACTAAAAAAATTTTAAAAAGTGAACCAAACGCTTAAGAAGCTAACTCGGTTAGGTTCCTAAGGGGCCTTTTCAAAATCAGATATAAAAGGGCTGATGCCAGGCCCTCCAGCACTGAGAAGTGTAGGCTAAACTACCTTTTCTAGGAACATCTTCCCTTATTCTAGAAGAATAGGAATAGAAAACAGTGGTTATTTTAGTGGTCAGGAAGAGCAACCAAGATCTCGCATGGAGGTGTGCTTAGGGGGAAAATGTTAAAATAATTGATTAGGAAAAAGAAAGTACGAGAATTGTCTGATATACCAAGGCAGGATGGTAGACAGAAGCAGTGAAATGGCTGATATTACACTAGAGGTTGTATCTGAACAAATAATCAGGGTTAGGTTCTATGACTTCTAATCTTGGCACTGCAATGGACCAGCCACACTGCCGTAAAATGGGGCTTAATATTTAGAAAATAAAGTTTAAGTACTCCAAAATTACTATGTCTTTTCCAAGACAATAAAGGCATAAAAGTCAGAAAATGAAACTAAAATATACTCACAATGAGTCTTAACTTTTACCTCTTTAAAACAGTTTAGCTCCTGGCCAGGCATGGTGGCTCACGCCTGTAATCCCAGCACTTTGAGAGGCCGAGGCGGGCTGATCACCTGAGGTCAGGAGTTCAAGAGCAGCCTGGCCAATAAGCTGAAACCCCATCTCTACAAAAAATACAAAAATTAGCTGGGCGTGGTGGCGGGCACCTGTAATCCCAGCTACTTGGGAGGCTGAGGCTGGAAAATCGCTTGAACCCAGGAGGCGGAGGTTGCAGTGAGCGGAGATAGTGACAAGAGTGAAACTCCATCTCAAAAAAAAAAAAAAAAAAACAGTTCAGCTCCTTTCTAAAGGAGGGTCTTTTCAATTCATTCATAAGTACTAGGTTGGGTTCCTTAGAGAAAACCTCCAGGCCACTTAATATTCACAAAACTAAAGTCCAAGACCCTTGTGCTCAGAATTTTTTTTTTGAGATGGATTCTCGCTTTGTCACCAGGCTGGAGGGCAGTGGCGCGATCTCAGCTCACAGCAACCCCTGCCTCCCGGTTCAAGCAATTCTCCTGCCTCAGCCTCCCGAGTAGCTGGGACTACAGGTGAGCGCCACCACTCCCAGCTAATTTTTGTATCTTTACTAGAGACGGGATTTCATCATGTTGGCCAGGATGGTCTTGATCTCTTGACCTTGTGATCCACCCGCCTCGGCCTCCCAAAGTGCTGGGATTACAGGCATGAGCCACACCACACCCAACCAGAAATTTTTAATACAGCAAAATTCTCACATCCAAATGAGGTTTTACCTAATTGTTACTTACAGTATCATAAACTATCAGCAATAATGAAAATAATAAGAGTTCTTCACCTTTCCTTCCTTCTTTGTCTCTGTAGAAGACCTCAATTTAACATCATAAATCATTTGGTCCTTGACGTATGGTAACTTCCAGGGAGACAGATGACATTTAGCACAGGACATGTAAGACTGTGGGAAAAGGGAAGTTCTTGGCCGCAAGAAATGGGACAAAACCCTTGCCTTTGGGAAAAATGCCAAAGATCTCTGAAGTCCACGCTAAAGCAGTTAAATTTTTAGCTTTAAAAGATTCCATTACAAAAATCCAAACCAGACTGGGCACAGTGGCTCATGCCTGTAATCCCAACACTTTGGGAGGCCGAGGCAGGAGGATTGCTTGAGCTTAGGAGTTCGTGACCAGCCTGGGCAACATGGTAAAACCCCCCTCTACAAAAAATATAACAAATTAGTCATGTGTGGTAGCATGCCTGTAGTCCCAGGAACCCGGGAGGCGAGGTGGAAGGATCACTTGATCCTGGGAGGCTGGGAGGTCGAGGCTGCAATGAGTTATGATCATGCCACTGCATTCCAGCCTGGGTGACAGAGTAAGATCCTGTCTCCAAAAAAAAAAGCAAAAACCACACCATACAATTAGAATAGGCTTTTAAAAACTACACTATAAAAATGCAAGATAATAATTTTCTGGAATTCATAAGAACCTGTACTAGGTGATGGTCCCCAGGGTGGATATGAATATTTTTTCCCCTTGTAATTGGCTTAAGCTAACATGGTTCTAAAATTTTTCGCTATTCAAAAACGATGAGGACGGGCACGGTAGCTCATGCCTGTAATCCCAGCACTCTGGGAGACCAAGGCAGGTTGATCACCTGAGGTCAGGAGTTTGAGACCAGCCTGGCCAACATGGCGAAACCCCGTCTCTACTAAAAATACAAAAATTAGCCAGGTATGGTGGCGGGCACCTGTAATCCCAGCTACTAGGGAGGCTGAGGCAGGAGAATTGCTTGAACCCGGGAGGCGGCGGTTGCAGTGAGCCGAGATCATGCCACTGCACTCTAGTCTAGGTGACAGAACAAGACTGTCTCAAAAAGAAAAAAACAAAAAACAATGATGAATATCATAATAATGGCTAACTTTTCTGACTACTTATTATATAAGCATTGGGCTAAGTGCTCTACATGCATCTCCTTATTAATCCTCACAACATTGTAAGGTCTAAATAACATAAACTTTAAGAATTTTCAAAAAAAGAAAAAACATAAAATTAAAATAAAAAAAGAAACAAAAATAATAATAATTTTCAGGCTGGGCGTGGTGGCTCACGCCTGTACTCCCAGCATTTTGGGAGGCCAAGGTGGGTAGACTGCTTGAGCCCTGGAGTTCAAGACCAGCCTGGGCAACATAGTGACACCTTATCTCTATTATTTAAAAAATGAAATAAAATAAATTGGTGGTGGCTCACGCTTGTAATCCCAGCACTTTGGGAGGCAGAGGCAGGTGGATCACGAGGTCAGGATATAGAGACCATCATGGCCAACATGGTGAAACCCCATCTCTACTAAAATATAAAAATTGGCCAGGCATGGTGGTGCATGCCAGCAGTCCCAGCTGCTTGGGAGGCTGAGGTAGGAGAATCGCTTGAACACAGGAGGTGGAGGTTGTGCCATTGTGCTCCAGCCTGGTGACAGAGCAAGACTCCGTCTCAAAAAACTAAATAAAAAATAAAAATAAAACTATTAACAGAAACATAAGTACTTTCGAAAACTACTCTATTATCCTATCAATCATCACTGGGATATCCATGCAAAACCAAAATACCCTGAACAGCTATAATTATACAGAATTTTAATCTAGTGAGAGTTCTAGTTAAGAGTCTTGGCAGGGTGAGATGGCTCACACCTGTAATCCCAGCACTTTGGGCTGCTGAGGCACGTGGATTACCTAAGGTCAAGAGTTCAAGACCAGCATGGGCAACATGGTGAAATCCCATCTCTACTAAAAATACAAAAATAAGCCAGGCGTGGTGGCAGGTGCCTGTAATCCCAGCTACTCGGGAGGCCAAGGCATGAGAATCGCTTGAACCCAGGAGGCAAAGGTTGCAGTGAGCTGAGATCGTGCCACTGCCCACAGCCTGGGCAACAAAGCAAGACTCCGTCTCAAAACACAATAACATAATGACAATGAAGATTAATACTTATATGTAGAAATTGTCCTTCACACTGCCAAACTGCCAGCCCATTAAGAAAGGCTTTTACGGCCAGGCATGGTGGCTCATGCCTGTAATCCGAGCACTTGGGGAGGCCAAGGCAGGCTGATCACTTGAGATCAGGAGTTGGAGACCAGACTAGCCAACATGGTGAAACCCCATCTCTACTAAAAAGAAAATACAAAAATTAGTCGGGTGTGATGGTGCATGCCTGTAGTCCCAGCTACTCGAGAGGCTGAGACAGGAGAATCGCTTGAACCCAGAAGGCGGAGGTTGCAGTGGGCTGAGACTGCGCTCCAGCCTGGGCGACAGAGCGAGACTCTGTCTCAAAAAAAAAGAAAAAAAGAAAGAAAGAAAAAGAAAGGCTTTCACAAGCCTTCTTGTGCAAAAGAACAAGAAGATATAAAGAAAATAAAATTTTATTGTAGTTGTGACCACACCTTGAAATGGAGAGTTGACAACTCTGTTTTAAGGAACAAATTTTTTTCCTATAGTAATTTCATCATAATTTCTTGCACAGAGTATACAGTATGTTTCCTCTGGCAATACACAGCTGAGTAAAGGTTTTCTGTATCTTTTCATCTGTACTTTTCAAACTATATTTTAAGAAGCATTAACAAAACCAAACACATATATCAATACCAAAACCCACAAAATTAGCTATTTTATACCCACTTAGGCACCTAAGTAAATTGGCTAATGGCTTCATGGGAAGTAATGTAGTGTAAAAGAGGAAACACTGGCAGTGAAGGCAGAAAACCTAGACCTGGGTGGAAATCATGGCTACATCACTTGTTAACTATGTGACCTTGGGCAATTTCCTTCTCTCAGTCTGAGTTTTCTTATTTGCAAAGTGAGGGTAGTAATTCCAATCTTGGGAGGGACGATTAATTGCATGTGAAATGCCCACCACAGAGCCTGACTGAAAGCAGGAGTTTAGAAAAGATACTGTTACGATTGTTATTCATATAAGCTCCTTAAAAGCAAAAACATCATATTTGTCCTCGTAGCCCAATTGTAGGCTTTATAATTATTGAGGAGCTGAAAAACAAGAAACACCAAAGTTACAAATGAGGATTTGTATCCGTTCAACACATGCCTAGACAGAAAATGAGACTAAGTAATCATGACTTTCAAAAACTATATCAATGCATACACAGCATATAAATCAAAGTATATATTGCCATTTGATGGGGAAAAAAATCAAAATATGTAATGTGCTTATTTTTAAGCCACTCTGAAAGAAGATGATGCTGCCTGTATACAAATCAAGAGTACAACTACTCTTCATTCATTCTGCAAGTATTTCCGTAAGTGCCAGTCATTATGTCAGTCATTATGCTAGGCAATGTGCATATGATGGGGAGCAAAAGCGAAAATAATCCCAACCCTCATAGAGCTTGCTTGCAGTCATGTAATCACACAAATAAGTGTTAACTTGTGATAAGTGATGTGAATGACAGGTAAATGGTGCTCTGAGAACCTATTAGGTTAGAATCTAATCTAACTGAAATCAAGGAAGGCCTTCCAAGGAGGTGAAACCTGAGAGCTGAAGGATGAAGAGGAGGTTAACAAAGGGGGGTGTTTCCAGATGGAGGAAAGCAGCTCCTGCAAAGACCCTGTAAGCAGGAGGAAACAAGGAAAGAAGGCAGGACTATAAGGCCAGTGTGCATGGAGCAGAGACAAGTGTGAGAACTAGCTAGGGCCTAGGCTGCTCAAGGGCCTAGATATATAGCCTACATTCAAAAGTTGCAATTTGATCTCAAGAGCAATGACAAGGCCTGTAATCCTAAGGCTTTGGGAGGCTGAGGCAGGAGGACGGCTTGAACCCAGGAGGTTGAGGCTGTAATGAGCCGTGATTACACCACTGGACTCCAGCCTGGGTGACAAAGTGAGATCCTGTCTCCACAAAAAAAAAAAAAAAAGGCAACCAGAAGCCACTAAAGAGTTTTATGAATGCTTCTTTGCGGGGCAGGCAGGCTGAGGGGAAGATGAAATCAGATTTTCAACAGGACTCTGGCTTCTGGATTCTGGAATATGGATGGACCAGGTGGGAAACAAAAGTCCTGTCAGGATAGGATAGTAGCTTCGAATAGGGTGATGGCAGTGATGGTGGAAGGAAGCCAATGAATTCAAGAGATATTCAGGAAAATCTAACACTGTATTGTACACAAGGGCAGAGGGACAGCAGTGTCCAAGACTTCTGGGTTTCTGATTCATATGACTGTACAGAAGGAGATACCACTCAGGAGGTATTCTGCTTCAGAAATATTTTTAAGGAGCCAGGCGCGGTGGCTCACGCCTGTAATCCCAGCACTTTGGGAGGCTGAGGTGGGTGAATTGCCTGAGGTCAGGAGTTCGAGACCAGCCTAGCTAATGTAGTGAAACCCCATCTCTACTAAAAATACAAAAACTTAGCTGGGTGTGGTGGCGGGCGCCTGTAATCCCAGCTACTAGGGTGGCTGAAGCAAGAGAATTGCTCGAACCCGGGAGGCAGAGGTTGCAATGAGCCAAGATCACGCCATTGCATTCCAGCCTGGGCAACAAGAGCAAAACTCTGTCTCAAAAAAAAAAAAAAAAAAAGAAAGAAAGAAAAGAAATATCTTTTTTTTTTTTTTTTTTTGAGACAGAGGAGACGGAGTCTCGCTCTGTCGGCGGGATCTCGGCTCACTGCAAGCTCCGCCTCCCGGGTTCACGCCATTCTCCTGCCTCAGCCTCCCGAGTAGCTGGGACTACAGGCGCCCGCCACGACGCCCGGCTAATTTTTTGTATTTTTAGTAGAGGCGGGGTTTCACTGTGTTAGCCAGGATGGTCTCGATCTCCTGACCTCATGATCCGCCCGCCTCTGCCTCCCAAAGTGCTGGGATTACAGGCGTGAGCCACCGCGCCCGGCCGAAAAGAAATATCTTTAAGGCTGTTCACACAGGCCAAAAAGGGCCTAACTGCACTACACTTTTGCATGAAAATGTGTAAACCGAATTTGATCCCCTACTTTAAATAAGGCTCTAAAAGATTTTTTGCTATTTACAGAAATCAAACTGACTCTCAAAAGTACAAGGATTTTCCTACACTGAAGAAATTTCAAAGATTCTGCCACAAGCTTCTAAATCAACTCCAAATAAATGTTAAATTGGTTTGAGCAATAGGGCAGCATTACGGAGTGAATGTGTCAGTTCCCATGAGGACCACTTTGATAAGGCTAACACTTATGTACTGCTGTTTAATTTTAATATTTTAAATAAATCTTAAGAGTACCCTTGGCTGGGCGCGGTGGTTCACGCCTGTAATCCCAGCACTTTGGGAGGCCAAGGCGGGTGGATCATGAGGTCAGGAGATCGAGACCATCCTGGCTAACATGGGGAAACCCCGTCTCTACTAAAAATATGAAAAATTAGCCAGGCGTGGTGGCGGGCGCCTGTAGTCCCAGCTACTCGGGAGGCTGAGACAGAAGAATGGCATGAACCCAGGAGGTGGAGCTTGCAGTGAGCCGAGATTGCGCCACTGCACTCCAGCCTGGGCAACAGAGCAAGACTCCATCTCAAAAAAAAAAAAAAAAAAAAAAAGAGTACTCTTGGCTGGGCACAGCGGCCCAGGCCTGTAATCCCAGCATTTTGGGAGGCCAAGGCGGGTGGATCACGAGGTCAAGAAATCGAGACCATCCTCCAACATGGTGAAACCCCGTCTCTAGTAAAAATACAAAACTTAGCTGGGCATGGTGGCACGCACGCCTGAAGTCACAGCTACTTGGGAGGCTGAGGCAGGAGAATCGCTTGAATCAGGGAGGCAGAGTTTGCAGTGAGCCGAGATCACAACGCTACACTTCAGCCTGGCAACAGAGCAAGACTCAGTTAAAAAACAAAAGGGTACTTCTGGCTGTGTGCAGTGGCTCACACCTGTGATCCCAACACTTTGGGAGGCCAAGGCGGGTGGATCACCTGAGGCCAGGAGTATGATGAGACTAGCCTGGCCAACACGGTGAAACCCCATCTCTACTAAAAATACAAAAATTAGCTGGGCATGGTGGGTACCTGTAATCCCAGATACTCAGGAGGCTGAGGCAGGAGAATCGCTTGAACCCGGCAGATGGAGGTTGCAGTGAGCCGAGATCACGCCATTGTACTCCAGTCTGGGCAACAAAACCCAAACTCCGGCCAGGCGCAGTAACTCACGACTGTAATCCCAGCACTTTTGGAGGACGAGGCGGGCAGATCATGAGGTCAGGAGTTCAAGACCAGCCTGGCCAACATGGTGAAACCCCGCGTCTACTAAAAATACAAAAATTAGCTGGGCATGGTGGCAGGCGCCTGTAATCCCAGCTGCTCGGGAGGCTGAGGCAGGAGAATCGTTTGAACCCTGGAGGCAGAGGTTGCAGTGAGCCAAGATCAGGCCACTGCACTCCAGCCTAGATGACAGGGCGAGGCTCTGTCTCAAAAAAACAAACAAACAAACAAAAAATCAAAACTCCATCTCAAAAAAAAAGAGAGTACTCTTATGTGATATTAAACTAAAATATGGTAACATTAGGCATTACCATAATTAGAACTATACTGCTTTTGTTTCAATATTTTGAAATGCTTGTAAAAAAATAATATTTTGTAGAAAAAAGAGATAAGATTTTAAAAACACACACACACACAATCTCTTGACTTTAATAAACATTTTGCCGTTTCCATCCTAGTCCTTGTTAATGCCCATCACATTCAATTCAGGGTAAAAGATAAGGTTTTTACTAGTTAAACACATCTGTATATATGTGTATGCACTATGTACAAAGTAAAGCCAATACCATGTCAATACTATCAATACTTTAATATTTACTTTTCCTGGTTTTAGTTTTCAAATTTGCAACGGATGCTATTTGCATAGAATACTGATGGCTTTAAGTCTTAAAAACAGAAATCTGACTGACCCAAGGAAAAGGATGAAAGAAAGAGATTTTGTCCCTTTAAAATCAGCCAACACATCCTATCTTAGTACTGAAGTACTTCCCAATTCTGGCAGAATGGGCTCCTTGGCCACCTGCTTGCACTAGGGTCTGACTAGCATTTTATTAACATCCAACTGCAGTTACCAGGACATTCATTACCACTGCTTGTACAAAGCAGAATTCTTTTTAAATTTTTTTCCCATACAGATTTCATCACCAGGTGTCAAAAGACAAAACCGTGGCCTGAGGCCAAATAGAAAAATGTCATCTCCACAAATAAGGAGAAAAGACAAGGACTTTAAAAAATCAGGTCAACAAGCCCATTAGCCAATAATAGTTTGTAAAACTGGACTGTCTTCACACTAGAGGCTGTGCTAGCAAATGTGGTCCTTGGAAACAAGAGCTGTAGAGCTTGAAATGGGTTGCCAGCATGGTTTGCCTTTTTCTTTTTTCATGTTTATTTTTATTTTTTTTATTTATAACATGGAATCAGACTATGACTATAATCGAGCATAGCTATGGCGGGGTATGGGCAGTGCCAAGGAAGAGACAGCGAAAAGCCCGTAGGGTTCCCAGTCTAAGCTAGCAGACCTTCCCATCTTCCTCAGGAGTGGTCCCTGTCTCCGCAGCTGGAATGTGCGGGAGGGAAAGTTACAAGGGCCCCCAAAATGAGACAGCAAACCACTTCCTTCTGAAAACTAAAGGTCATAGGCTTTTAAGGAACAATAGAGCTCAATGTAAGCTTCAGAAAGATGGAGACAGTCAGATGAGACGAGGGTAGGGAAGCGCGGGTGAGGAGATGCGCCCCGTCTGGGATAGCTGAATAGGGGGGTCAAGGCCAGGGACTTTAGGAACACGAGAAGGGCTGGATCTTCCATAACCTGCCCAAGTGGGCCTGAGAAACCTAAGAGGCTCCTCTGAAAATCTAGGGCATCTATGCATCCAATACTCTCAGCCCTCTCCTCGGGAAGGGAGATAATCCCCACAGGAAGCACCCCCCAAACTGGGGCTTTTCCTGCCCTTCAAAAGCCACAAACCCTCACGGAAAACATTTACAAGGGAGTGGAAGGGCCGGGGGCAAGCAGCGGTTCTGCAAATCTCGGGAAGAAGGCCCCTGGATCCAAGGAACTTTGCCCCTGGAATAGGGGGTGGGGTGCGGAGGGCACCGTCTGAGGCTGGTAAGCCTCGGCGAAAGAAGCGGCGGGAACGGGAGTAGGGTCCCGTGGGTCCCCCGACGAGGGGGTGGCGGCCTGGGGCGCGGTCGCCGGTGAGGGAGGCCCGCGAGCCGGGCACGGGAGCGGGGGGCTGCGGCCCCGTGGCTGCAAAGAGCCGGCACTCGGGAGGCAGAGGCCGGCGTAGGCCTCGGGGGCCCGGACACACCCAACGCGGCGGCCTCGGGCCCGCTTACCTGCTCCTCCTCCGGGGTCAGCTCCGGCGCCATGTCGGGCCGGGGCGCGGTCGCGGGCTCCATCCCCCCGCCACCGCCGCCGGGCGGACAAAACTCGCTCGCGAGCGCGGGAGCCCGGCGCGCTCGGCCTCCGCTTCCGCGTCCCCGCGCCTCAGCAGCCCGGGGCCGGCTCGCGCATAGTGTGGCCGGCAGGGCCCGGCGCCTGCAGCGGCCGCAAACGCCGCTTCTGCTTCCTTAAGAAAAATCTCTCCGAACTGCCGCTCTCTTCCGGGAGGAAATCCTTTTTTATATTATTCGCTCCGTTCCTCACACTCCCCCTTATCTCCTGGGGAAGAAAAAGTGCAGGCGAAGAGCTAACAGCCACTCGGGATTTAAAAGGAAATAGGAAATCAGGAACTTTTAGAGCCGGGAGCGAAGGGTCGGCGGAAATTTCCCGAAGGCCGCCGACCCCCTCGGCGCCCCGCTTCCTCGGCCGCGCTCCCGCTCCTCCACAGCGCCACAGAGCTCGGGGCCGCCCAGCCGGGCCGTCCTCGCGGACGCTGGCCCTGCGACCTGCGCGGCTGCCTCAGCCAGGCTCCTCGCGGGCGGCCGCAGCGAAAGGGAGGGAGTGGAGAGGGAGCGAGGGAAACGCGCCCCCCTCCTGACTCACGGCCAACGCTGCGGCCGCCCCGCGGCCGCCCGAGCCCCCCGCGGCTCCATTGAGAAACTGAGCGTCTCATTCACAAGCTGGCGGCGAGGAGGGCCCGGCGGAGCGAGGACGCAGTCCGGGAGGGGGAGACAGAGAGGAGCCCGGGCGGGGGAGGGGACCGGGAGGGGGAGGGGACCCGGGCGGGGAGGGGACCCTAGCTGGACGGAAGGCAACTCGACTGCGGGAGGGAGAAAAAGGAAGAAAAGAGTATTTCGTGAGGCTCAGATCCTCGGAGGAGGAGGAGAATACGTTCGTTTGCAAATTATCTGCTGACTGGCACCTCTCCTGGGGTTAACTTGCCGCTGCCACCTACGCGTGAGAAACCCACAATCCTCAACTATTTGTCGCTTGCAGCCTGAAAGACCCTGGAAAGGTTGCCTGCCAGGCCAGGATGCTTAGGTGGAAGGAATCGCACCTGCCTCCCTCTCTCTCCCTCCTTACTGGCTGCACCCTGTAATTCATCTCCAGTGTCGCTAATTTTAATCCCCCATAGAAACGACATCAGACTCCGAACATCATTCAGGAATGACGCGGCCTTTGCAGACCTTTGATTTTCACTAGGGCAAGTGCAGCAAAGGGTTCAGGATTAGGGGTACAGTCTTGGAGTCATTTGGGGAGGAATGGGGCATAGAGAAGGCAAGGCTGGGTCTGGTACGTTGTTGCATTATTCCAAGCCAAAGATAAATATTCCAAAGGGACCCAAAGTCCACAACTAGTTCCAAGGCTGAAGCCCTGGAGCCAGTCCTGAGGGACCCAAAGGAGGGGCCTTCAGACAACAGGAAGGTGCTGTGAGTTGTGATGCTCCTATGATTTTTTTTTTATTTTTTTTTTTGAGACGGAGTCTCTGTGTCGCCCAGGCTGGAGTGCAGTGGCGCGATCTCGGCTCACTGCAACCTCCACCTCCCGGGGTCAAGCGATTCTCCTGCCTCAGCCTCCTGGGTAGCTGGGATTACAGGTGCGAGCCACCACGCCCGGCTAATTTTTGTATTTTTAGTAGAGACGGGGTTTCACCATGTTGGTCAGGCTGGTCTCGAACTCCTGACCTTGTGATCCGCCCGCCTCGGTCTTCCAAAGTGCTGGGATTACAGGCAGGCGTGAGCCACCGCGCGCCTGGCTTTTTTGTTTTTCTTTTTTTGAGACGGAGTCTCACTCTGTCACCCAGGCTGGAGTGCAGTGGCGCGATCTCGGCTCACTGCAAGCTCCCCCTCCCAGGTTCACGCCATTCTCCTGCCTCAGGCTCCCAAGTAGCTGGGACTACAGGCACCCGCCACCGCGCCCGGCTAATTTTTATTTTTATTTTTTTTATTTTTTTGTATTTTTAGTAGAGACGGGCTTTCACCATGTTAGCCAGGATGGTCTCAATCTCCTGACCTCGTGATCCGCCCACCTCGGCCTCCCAAAGTTGTTGTTGTTGTTGTTGTTGTTTTAACACAGGGTCTCACTTTGTTGCCCAGGCTGGAGTGCAGTGGCGTGATCACAGCTCACTGCAGCTTCAAAGTCCTGGGCTCAAGCAATCCTCCCGCCTCAGCCTCCTGAGTAGGTGGGACTACAGGTGCACACCACTGCACCTGGCTAATTTTTTTTTTTTTTTTTTTGGTAGAGATAGGGGTCTTACTATGTTGCCCAGGCTGGTCTCAAACTCCTGGTAAACTGCCTTTGCAAAATTATAACTGATGATTTTATGACAGTGAAAGAAATCAGACCTAACTGACTCTATCTTGTTTCTAACCCTTAAGCTGTCCTTGTTCATTCCTGGGCATAGGCCGAACTAACTTTGGGAAGGAATTCAGTTCATGGTTTGACTCTGAAACAAAATTGATAATAGCCCTTTCCCGAAAAGACCCCCTTCTTCCCTGGGGTCCAGTCTGCCTTTGCAGGACTAACAGATTAAGCTACAAGATTAGAAATTACAATTTAGGGGTCATGCAGCCATGGGCTCCAAGAGTCTAAACCTCCCCAAACTGCTCCTGGGGATAACATCACTATTGTAAAACCTAAGATCAGTGCTTGAGATATTTTGCAGACCCTGCACCCAGTGCATCAGCTGATACCATCCAGACTGGTAATCTGGCCCAAATAGGTCTGCCATCCCAACCAGGAACAGAAGACAGCAAGAAAAACTCATTTCAACTCCCTATGATCCAATCTCAAACCTGACCAATCAGCACTCTCCACTTCCTAAGCCCCTACCCACCAAATTATCTTTAAAAACTCTGATCCCTTAATGCTCCAGGGAGACTGATTTCAGTAATAATAAAGCTCCAGGCCGGGCATGGTGACTCACGCCTGTAATCCCAGCACTTTGGGAGGCTGAGGCAGGCGGATCATGAGGTTAAGAGATCGAGACCATCCTGGCCAACATGGTGAAACCCCGTCTCTAGTAAAAATACAAAAATTAGCTGGGCATGGTGGCGCGTACCTGTCGTCCCAGCTACTCGGGAGTCTGAGGCAGGAGAAGCGCTTGAACCCGGGAGGTGGAGGTTGCAGTGAGCCAAGATCGCATCACTGCACTCCAGCCTGGCGAAACAGCGAGACGCTGAATCAAAATAATAATAATAATAATAATAATAAAACTCCACTCTCCTGCACAGACGGCTCTGTGTGAATTACTCTTTTGCCATTGCAATTCCCCTGTCTTGATATATCCGCTGTGTAAGCAGCAGGCAAGGTGATCCCATTGGGCAGTTACACTGGGCTCAGGCGATCTTCCTGCCTCAGCCTCCCAAAGTGCTGGGATTACAGGTGTGAGCCACCGTGCCCAGCCTTCTAGGATTTTTGTTTTTGTTTGAGATGGAGTTTCGCTCTTGTTGCCCAGGCTGGAGTGCAATGGCACGATCTCAGCTCACTGCAACCTCCACTTCCCAGGTTCAAGCAATTCTCCTGCCTCAGCCTCCCTAGTAGCTGGGATTACAGGTGTCTGCCACCATGCCTAGCTAATTTTTCGTATTTTTAGTAGAGATGGGGTTTCACTGTGTTGGCCAGGCTGGTCTCAAACTCCTGACCTCAGGCAATCCACCCGCCTCAGCCTGCCAAAGTGTTGGCATTACAGGCATGAGCCACCATGCCCGGCTCCTTCTAGGATTTTAAAAACAATCCCTGACCTCAACTAATTTCTGCATTAATGCAATAGGAACTTCAGGCTGCCCTTGGTAAGAATCAGAGACGATATCCTTGGTATTTGAATCTTTATCTCAGCTAGGATATTTTCTCCTTTGCATCAATACAGCTGACTGGAGGTTGACTTCATCACTCCTTTAGTTTCAGTATTGTAACCAGTCTGGAATACTTTTTTTTTTTTTTTTTTTTTTTTTTTTTTTTGAGTGGAGGTCTTGCTCTGTTTCCCAGGCTGGAGTGCAATGGCGTGATCTCGGCTCACTGTGACCTCCACCTCCTGGGTTCAAGCAATTCTCCTGCCTCAGCCTCCTGAGTAGGTGAGATTACAGGCGTCCACCAGCACACCCTGCTAATTTTTGTATTTTTAGTAGAGACAGGGTTTCACCATGTTAGCCAGGCTGGTCTCGAACTCCTGACCTCACGCAATCCGCCCACCTCAGCCTCCCAAAGTGCTGGTATTACAGGCGTGAACTACTGCATCCAGCCTGCTTTCTTTTTATTGAAGTGTAATATACAGAAAAAGTACAAATATAAGTGTACTGCTTGATGAATTTTTTTATTTTATTTTTTGAGACAGGGTCTCACTCTGTTGCCCAGGATAGAGTGCAACAGCACAATCCTGGCTCACTGCAACCTCTACTTCCTGGCTCAAGCGATCCTCCAGCCTCAGCCTCCCAAATAGCTGGGACTATAGGTGCGTGCCACCAGGCCTGGCCCATTTTTATATTTTTTGTAGAGATGGGGTTTTGCCACATTGCCCAGGCTGGTCTCAAACTCCTGAGCTCAAAGCAATCCACCCACCTCAGCGTCCCAAAGTGCTAGGATTACAGGCGTAAGCCACTGCACCCGGCCAGATGAATTTTCATAAACTGAACACACTCGTGTCTGTGCCCAATGCACAGATCAACAAATAGAATATTCTGAACTTGCCAAAGCCTCGCCTTTTGCCCATCCCCCACCCCACAGTCAGTTACTACTCTGCTGAAGGGTAACCACTATCTTGCCCGTTTTTTTTTTTTTTTTTTTTTTGAGACAGGGTCTCTCGCTGTGTCACCCAGGCTGGAGTGTAATGGCACGATCTGGGCTCACTGCCACCTCTGCCTCCCGGGTTCAAGTGATTCTCCTGCCTCAGCCTTCAGAGTAGCTGGGATTACAGGCATGCACTACCATGCCCATATAATTTTTGTGTTTTTTTTAGTAGAGACGGGTTTTCACCATGTTGGCCAGGCTGGTCTCGAATTCCTGACCTCAAGTGATCCACCCACCTTGGCCTCCCAAAGCTCTAGGATTATAGTTGTGAGCTATCACTCCCAGCCTCAGGCTTGAACTCCTGGGCTCAAGTGATCTGCCTGCCTCCCCCTTCCAAAGTGTTGGGCGTCAGCCACCGTGCCGGGCCAAGTATGCTTTTTCTCCCTAGGCAAGCAAATGGTTCTAGGACTAAACTGGAGTAAGAAACAGCAGGACCTGAGTAGTACAAACCATTGATTGGAGACAGGAGAGGATGGAGTCTCTCAACTCACTATTTACACTTCACATTTGTTTTGCCCACTGATCCTCAGGACACCAGGGGTCAGTGATTTATCCAAAGTCACACAACTAAATAATTAGTATTGAGCTAAAACTTGAACCCAGGCATTCTAACTCCTGATCTAGGAACTGGGTGAGGAGGAGAATTAATAAAGATATTTAACTGAGTGGGCTGAGAGAGAACTCAGCAGTGTTTTCAGAGGCACAGCTGTGTGTGTGGGCGTGTGGGTGTGTAAGGAAAGAGAGTTCTCCGGAACTGTTATCCATCACTGTTTTAACAGGACAATGTTTGGAAATTTCTGAGCACAAACGTGAATAACAAAACAAAGTGCAAGGCGGCTGGCTGGCCAGTTTGTTTTGAGAGGTAAATCCAGGAGACCCAGAGTAGAGAGGCAACTACCTGGCTTGCCTGTAACTGCAGGCTTGAACCAATGAACTCAAGTATGGTACTGTCATCCTGCCCAATCAAATCTTAAAGGCTGGGCTGGGCACCGGGGCTCACGCCTGTAATCCCAGCACTTTGGGAGGCCCAGGTGGGTGGATCACTTGAGGTCAGGAGTTCGAGACCACCCTGATCAACATGGTAAAACCCCGTCTCTGCTAAAAATACAAGAAATTAGCCAGACGAGATGTTGCATGCCTGTAATCCCAGCTACTCGGGAGGCTGAGGCAGAATTGCTTGAACCTGGGAGGCAGAGGTTGCAATGAGCCGAAATCGCACCATGGCACTCTAGCCTATAAAACGAGAGCAAAACTCTGTTGCAAAACAAACAAACAAAAATCTTAAAAGACTGCAGAATGGCTTGTAGTATCAAAAGATTGAAAACATTATGAGGCCGGGCACGGTGGCTCATGCCTGTAATCACAGCACTTTGGGAGGCTGAGGCAGGCGGATCACGAGGTAAGGAGAACAAGACCATCATGGCCAACATGGTGAAACCTTGTCTCTACTAAGATACAAAAATTAGCTGGGCATGGTTGTGCGCACCACTGTCCCAACCACTCGAGAGGCTGAGGCAGGAGAATCGCTTGAACCCGGGAGGCAGAGGTTGCAGTCAGCCGAGATCGCACCACCACTGCACTCCAGCCTGGTGACAGAGGGAGACTCTGTCTCAAAAAAAAAAAAAAAAAAAAAAGGCTGGGCGCGGTGGCTCACACCTGTAATCCCAGCACTTTGGGAGGCTAAGGTGGGCAGATCACGAGATCAAGAGATTGAGACCAACATGGTGAAACCCCGTCTCTACTAAAAATACAAAAATTAGCTGAGTGTGGTGGCACATGCCTATAGTCCCGCTACTCGGGAGGCTGAGGCAAGAGAATCACTTGAACCTGGGAGGTGGAGGTTGCAGTGAGCCGAGATCGCCCTACTGCACGCCAGCCTGGCAACAGAGTGAGACTCCATCCCAAACAAAGAAACATTATGGCCCATCAATAGAAGACTCAGTAAATAAATTACAGTACACACATACACTGAAATAATAGGTTGACATTTATTGTGTCCTTACATTTACCCCACACACTGTTCTAAATGACTTTCATTGATTTACTCTCACCATAATAGTATAAGAAAGGTGAAACTATGATCCTTATTTTACAAAAAGCATATATAGTAGATCCATTGATACAGCCTCCTTACTTTTTTTTTTTTTTGCTGAGATGGAGTCTTGCTGTGTTGCTCAGGCCGGAGTACAGTAGTGCGGTCTCAGCTTACTGCAACTTCCGCCTCCTGGGTTCAAGCAATTCTCTGCCTCAGACTCCCGAGTAGTTGGGATTACAGGCGCCTGCCACTACGCCCAGCTAATTTTTGTATTTTTAGTAGAGATGGGTTTTCACCATGTTGGCCAGACTGGTCGTGAACTCCTGACCTCGTCATCCATCCACCTCGGCCTCCCAAAGTGCTGGGACTACAGGCGTGAGCCACCACACCCAGCTGTTTTTCTTTTGTTTGAGATGGAGTCTCGCTCTGTTACCCAGGCTGGAGTGCAGTGGCACAATCTCGGCTCACTGCAACTTCCACTTCCCTGGCTCAGGTGATTCTTGTGCCTCAGCCTCTCAAGTAGCTGGGATTACAGGCGTGAACCACCGCGCCTGGCCCCTCCTTGCTTTTTATTTTTTTTGAGGCAGAGTGTCACTCTGTCACCTCAGCTGGAGTGCAATGGCACGATCTCAGCCCACTGCATCCTCTGCCCCCTCGTTTCAAGCAATTCTCCTGCCTCAGCCTCTCGAGTAGCTGGGATTACAGGTGTGCACCACCACATCTGGCTAATTTTTTTTATTATTATTATACTTTAAGTTCTAGGGTACATGTGCACAATGTGCAGGTTTGTTACATATGTATACATGTGTCATATTGGTGTGCTGCACCCATTAACTCGTCATTTACATTAGGTATATCTCCTAATGCTATCCCTCCCCATGACCAGCCCCGCTGTTTGATGTTCCCCACCCTGTGTCCAAGTGTTCTCATTGTTCAATTCCCACCTATGAGTGAGAACATTCGGTGTTTGGTTTCCTATCCTTGCGATAGTTTGCTGAGAATGATGGTTTCCAGCTTCATCCATGTCCCTACAAAGGACATGAACTCATCCTTTTTTATGGCTGCATAGTATTCCATGGTGTATATGTGCCACATTTTCTTAATCCAGTCTATCACTAATGGACATTTGGGTTGGTTCCAAGTCTTTGCTATTGTGAATAGTGCCGCAATAAACATATGTGTGCACGTGTCTTTATAGTAGCATGATTCATAATCCTTTGGGTATATACCCAGTAATGGGATCGCTGGGTCAAATCATATTTCTAGTTCTAGATCCTTGAGGAATTGCCACACTGTCTTCCACAATGGTTGAACTAGTTTATACTCCCACCAACAGTGTAAAAGAGTTCCTATTTCTCCACATCCTCTCCAGCATCTGTTGTTTCCTGACTTTTTAATGATCGCCATTCTAACTGGTGTGAGATGGTATCTCATTGTGGTTTTGATTTGCATTTCTCTGATGGCCAGTGGTGATGAGCATTTTTTCATGTGTCTGTTGGCTGCATAAATGTCTTCTTTTGAGAAGCGTCTGTTCATATCCTTCACCCACTTTTTGATGGGGTTGTTTGATTTTTTCTTGTAAATTTGTTTAAGTTCTTTGTAGATTCCGAATATTAGCCCTTTGTCAGATGGGTAGATTGCAAAAATTTTCTCCCATTCTGTAAGTTGCCTGTTCACTCTGATGGTAGTTTCTTTTGCTGTGCAGAAGTTCTTTAGTTTAATTAAATCCCATTTGTCTATTTTGGGCTTTTGTTGCCACTGCTTTTGGTGTTTTAGTCATGAAGTCCTTGCCCACGCCTATGTCCTGAATGGTATTGCCTAGGTTTTCTTCTAGGGTTTTTATGGTTTTAGGTCTAACATTTAAGTCTTTAATCCATCTTGAATTAATTTTTGTATAAGGTGTAAGGAAGGGATGCAGTTTCAGCTTTCTACATATATATCCGGCTAATTTTTGTATTTTTAGTAGAGACAGGCTTTCGCCATGTTGACCAGGCTGGTCTCGAACTCCTAACCTCAGGTGATCTGCCCGCCTTGGCCTCCCAAAGTGCTGGGATTACAGGCGTGAGCCACCGCGCCCGGCCCAAAACAGACGTTTTGTTTTGTTTTTCTGAGAGAGAGTCTCAATCTATCACCCGGGCTGGAGTGCAGTGATGCGATCTCAGCTCACTGCAACCTCCGCCTCCTGGGTTCAAGCAATTCTCATGCCTCAGCCTCCTGAGTAGCTGGGATTACAGGCGCCCACCACCATGCCCAGCTAATTTTTGTATTTTTAGTAGAGATGGGGTTTCACCATATTGTCCAGGCTGGTCTTGAACACCTGACCTCAGATGATACACCCACTTCAGCCTCTCCAAGTGCTGGGATTACATGCGTGAGCCACCACACCCAGCCCAGAACAGACATTTTATAAAATAAGACATTTAAATCTCAACAGGCATATAAAAAGATGCTTAACTTCACTGATCATCAGAGAAATGCAAATCGAAACTACAATGAGGCCAGGCATGGTGGCTCATGCCTTTAATCTCAGCACTTTGGGAGGCCGAGGCAGGTGGATCACTTGAGGTCAGGAGTTCAAGACCAGCCTGGCCAACATGGTGAAACCTCGTCTCTACTAAAAATACAAATATTAGCAGGGCACAGTGGTGCACACCTGTAATCCCAGCTACTCAGGAGGATGAAACAGGAGAATCGCTTGAACCCGGGAGGCGGATTGCGCCACTGCACTCCAGCCTGGGCAACAGAGTGAGACTCTATCTCAAAATAAATAAATAAATAAAATAAAATAAAATTACAATGAGATACCATCTCACCCCAGTTAAAATGGTTTTTATCCAAAAGACAGGCAATAACAAATGCTGGCAAGGATGTGGAGAATAGGGAACCCTCATACACTTTTGGTGGGAATATAAATTAGTACAACCACTATGGAGAACAATTTGGAGGTTCCTAAAGAAAACCTAAAAATATAGCCAGGTGAGGTGGCTCATGCCTGGAGGCTAAGGCAGGAAGATCACTTGAGTCCAAGATTCCAGGAGTTTGAGTCCAGGCTGGGCAACACAGTGAGACCTCATCTGTACAAAATATAAAGAAAATCAGCTAGGAGTAGTGATGCACACCTGTAGTCCCAGGTACTTGGGAGGCTGAGGTGTGAGGATCACTTGAGCCTGGGAAATAAAGGCTGCAGTGAACTGTGATTACACCACTGCACTCCAGCCTGGGCAAGAGAGTCAGACCTTGTTGAAAAGGGAGGAGAGGGGAGGGGAAGGGAAGGGAGGGAAGGTGTAGGGGAAAAGAGGGGTGAGGGGAGGAGGGGGGAAGGAAGGGGAGGGGAAGAAAAGGGGAAGGGAGGAAAAGGGGAGGGGAGGGAAGGAAAGGGGAGGGGAGGGGGGAGAGGAGGAAAAGGGGAGGGAGGAGGGGAAGGAAGGGGAGGGGAAGAGAGGGGAGTGGGAGGGGAGGGGAGAGGGAGGGGAGGAAAGAAAAGAAAAAGCCAAAAATAAAGCTACCAATCCCCCTCCTAGGTATATACCCCAAAGAAAGGAAATCAGTATGTTGAAGAGACATCTGCACTCCCATGTTTACTGCTGCACTATTCACAATAGCTAAAATTTGGAAGCAGCCTAAGTGTTCATCAACATATAAATGGATAAAGAAAATGTGGCACAGATACACAATGGAGAACTATTAAGTCATAAAAAAGAATGAGGCCGGGTACAGTGACTCACGCCTGTAATTTCAGCACTTTGGGAGGCCGAGGGGCAGATCACTTGAGGCCAGGGGTTGAAGACCAGCCTAGCCAACATGATGAATCCCTGTCTCTGTTTAAAAAAATACTAAAAATACAAAAATTAACCGGGTGTGGTGGCGCATACCTGTAATCCCAGCTACTTGGGAGGCTGAGGCATGAGAATCGCTTGAACCTGGGAGGCAGAGGTTGCAGTGAGCCAAGATTGTGCCACTGCACTCCAGACTGGGTGACAGAGTGAGACTCTGTCTCAAAAAAAAAAAAAAAAAAAAAGAGAGAGAGGGATCCTGTCATTTGCAACAACATGGATGGAACTGAAGGTCATTATGTTAAGTGAAATAAGCCAGGCACAGAAAGACAAACTTCCCATGTTCTCACTTATTTTGTAGGAGCTAAAAATTAAAATAATTGAACTCATGGAGATAAAGAGTAGAAGGATGGTAACCAGAGGATGGGAAGGGTAGTGGGGGGTGAGGGAGAAGTGGGGATGGTTAATGGGTACAGAAAAATAGAAAGAATGAATAAGAGCCAGGTGCAATGGCTCATGCCTATAATCCTTGCACTTTGGGAGGCCAAGGCAAGTGGATGGCTTGAGCTCAGGAATTTGAGACCAGCCTAGGCAACATGGCAAGACTCTGTCTCTACTAAAAATACAAAAAAGATCACTTGAGCCTGGGAGGCAGGGGTTGCAGTGAGCTGAGATCACGCCACTGCACTCCAGCCTGGGTGACAGAGTGAGACCCTGTCTCAAATTAGAAAAAAAAAAAAGAATGAGTAAGGTGTATTTGCTAGCACAACAGGGTGACTATAGTACAAAATAATTTAATTGTACATTTCAAAATAATTAAGAATATAATTGGATTGTTTGTAACACAAAGGATAAATGCCTGGGATGGATACCCCATTTACCTTGATGTGATTATTATGCGTTGCATGCCTGTATGAAAATATCTCATGTGACCCATAAATATATACATCTACTATGTGATGTACCCACAAAAAAGAAAAAGAGAAAGAAAAAAAATAGCATAAGTTTCAGGTCTCTGTCTAGAAAGCTTATCCTCCCCTCCCAGCACCTTCTTCACCAGACATATCTGATTCATCCTTAAGGTCTCAGCTCAAAAGTCACTTCCCCAGCAAGATCTTCCTTGATTACTCTCTAAACTGAACTGCACTTTCTGAGACTCATAGCACCCTTTTATTCGTCAGAGAGCTGATCACAATTTGTAATTATGCACTTGTTTCTACATTCATTGGCCTAGTGTTTGTGTGCCTTACTAGATTGTAAGCTTCAGGATGGCAGGAACCACATCTGTCCTGTTGGCCCCTGAACTCCCAGCACCTAGAACCTAGAACATAGTAGGCAATCCCTTGATAAATGTGTTGAATGACTGAATCAAGGAAGATGGCCACTTTATCTATGAGACATATCTTACCATTTTCCCCTCTCTTTTGTTGTATTTATTTGGGTTTAAGAATAGACATACTTCCAATGCTGGAGTTGGAATTTTATAACCTTCTCCACCAAACATTTTTATTTCTAAAATCCAAAGCTCCTCTCAAACATTGCTCCAAAATTTCTACTGCCTATAAAAGAGACTTGTGTTGTGCTATAAAGATGATATGAGGCTGGGCGTGGTGGCTCACGCCTGTAATCCCAGCACTTTGGGAGGCTGAGGCGGGTGGATCACGAGGTCAGGAGTTCGAGACCAGCCTGACCAATGTGGTGAAACCCCATCTCTACTAAAAATACAAAAATTAGCTGGGCGTGGTGGCGCGTGCCTGTAATCCCAGCTACTCAGGAGACTGAGGCAGGAGAATTGCTTGAACCCGGGAGGCGGAGGTTGTAGTGAGCCGAGATTGCACCATTGCAATCCAGCCTGGGCTACAGAGCAAGACTCCATCTCAAAAAAAAAAAAAAGATGATTTGGCTATAAAAGATTCACCCCACCCTGCCAAAAGAAAGAAAGGTGGGCACAGTGGTGCACGTCTGTAGCCCCAGACACTCAGGAGGCCGAGATGGGAGGATTGCTTGAGCCCAGGTGTTCAAGACCAGCCTGGGCAATGTAGTTGAGATCCCATCTCTAAAAAATATCTATCTGTATAGAGTGCAATGGTATAATTATAGCTAATTGCAGCTCTAACTCCTGGCCATAGGAGATCCTCCTACCTCAGCCTTCCAAGCAGCTAGGACTACAGGCACCTATCACCATGCCCAACTAATTTTTAAATTTTTTGTAGAGACAAGGTCTCGCTCTGTTGGCCAGGCTGGTCTGGAACTCCTGGCCTCAAGAAATCCTCCTGCCTTGGCCTCCCAAAGCACTGGGATTATAGGTGTGAACCACCATGCCCAGTCTCATTTCTTTATTAGAAAGGACAGCTAGGGTGATTGCCTTTCCCTTTTCCAATGTACAAAGTTAGTTTTTAAGCTATCCTTTTAATCACGTACACAGAACTAAATATAGTTCTTGTTCCTAAAAGTCTGCAGTATATCCAAGCACCTGTTAGCAGCTTGCCACACACCTCCATTTAGCTTTCTCAGCAAGGTCACTCCTCTGTGCAGCAGCAGAGAGGAGGGGCTCTCCTCCAGGGTGCATTCTCATTCCACCTTAGTATTTCTTCATTCACTCAACTAAAAGTTATTGACGTAACAAGTGCCAAGCATAATGCCAGGCACTGGGGACCTAAAGATGAGGAAGACCAGGTTCCTGACCTCATGGAACTTGCTAGCTAATAGAAGGAGTATGTAGTAAAGAACTTAACCTTGCAAAGAGTGTTCTGGCCTTTGCCCTTCGCTCCTGGGAGGTAACCTCTAAGCCCTTGGAATGTCTTGCCTGATAAAAGTATCTTTGTTTACCAGGAGGCAGACCTTAGGCCACACTGGACAGTCTAACAATGTGATTTAGGCAGAAGTCTTTGGGGCGTACCAGATAGTTTAGCAATGTGATGAGGGAGGAGGGAAGACTTTGGATCACACTTTATCAGGTAGACTTATGGAGGGGCTGGAGACTGAGGTCAGTCACATGGGCAGACAATCAGGTCCACATGACTGAGCCCCAATAAAAATTTTAGACATCATTCCAGCCAGACGCGGTGGCTCATGCCTGTAATCCCAGCACTTTGGGAGGCCAAGGTGGGCAGATCACCTGAGGTCAGGAGTTCAAGACCAGCCTGGCCAACATGGGGGAAACCCTGTCTCCACTTAAAATACAAAAATTAGCTGGACGTGGTGGCAGATGCCTGTAATTCCAGCTACTTGGGAGGCTGAGGCAGGAGAATCACTTGAACCCAGGAGGTGGAGGTTGCAGTGAGCCAAGATTGTGCCACTGCACTCCAGCCTGGGCCACAGAGCGAGACTCCATCTCAAAACAACAACAAAACAAAAAAAAACTTTGGACATCAAAGCTCAGGTGAGACTGCCTGATTGGCAATACTCTGTGAGTATTGTTACACATACTGGGAAAATTAACTCTGTCCATGATTCCACTGGGAGCTCTGCATTTGGAACTTTCCTGCTTTCTGCTCCGTGCATCTCTTCCCTTGGCCGACTTTACTCTGTTTCCTTTCACTGTGATTAAACTGTGATTGTGACCATAACAGCTTTTTTTTTTTTTTTTTTTGAGACGGAGTCTCGCTCTGTCACCCAGGCTGGAGTGCAGTGGCGCGATCTCGGCTCACTGCAACCTCTGCCTCCTGGGTTCACACCATTCTCCTGCCTCAGCCTCCCAAGTAGCTGAGACTACAGGCACCCGCCACCATGTCCAGCTAATTTTTTTTAATTTTTAGTAGAGACAGGGTTTCACCATATTGGCCAGCTGGTCTCGAACTCCTGACCTCATGATCCACCCGCCTCGTCCTCCCAAAGCACTGGGATTACAGGCATGAGCCACTGCGCCCAGCCCACATCTTGATATTTTTGAATGCTAGCTTGAAGGACCTATTTCAGAGTGCCCCTTACATTTTTTTTTTTTCTTTTTGAGACGGAGTCTTGCTATGTCGCCCAGGCTGGAGTGCAGTGGCCTGATCTCAGCTCACCGCAAGCTCTGCCTCCCAGGTTCACGCCATTCTCCTGCCTCAACCTCCCGAGTAGCTGGGACTACAGGCGCCCGCTACCACGCCTGGCCAATTTTTTGTATTTTTAGTAGAGATGGGTTTTCACCGTGTTAGCCAGGATGGTCTCGATCTCCTGACCTCGTGATCCGCCCGCCTCGGCCTCCCAGAGTGCTGGGATTACAGGCATAAGCCACCGCGCCTGGCCTCCACCTGGTCATATTTCTTTAGAGATTATCAAACTACCTCTTGCCACCTGTTTTAAAGATGGTTGTGTTGGCTGGGCATGGTGGCTCATGCCTGTAATCCCAGCACTTTGAGAGGCTAAGGTGGGCAGATCACTTGAGCTCAGGAGTTTGAGACCAGCCTGGGCAACACGGCGAAACCTTGTCTCTAAAAAAAAAATACGAAAATTAGCCAGGCGTGGTGGCTCATGCCTGTAATCCCAGCTACTTGAGAGGCTGAAGCAGGAGGATCACTGGGAGGTCAAGGCTGCAGTAAGCTATTATTGCACTACTGTACTCCAGCCTGAGCAACAGGGTGAGCCCCTGTCTCAAAAAAGGAAAAAAAAAAAAAGATGGTTGTGTTATAGGTTGCTATGACTGCATATTTGTTTTCTAGCCAGCCCTCTAAACAGCACCCAGTTTCTTTTTTTTGTTTGTTTCTTTTCTTTTCTTTTCTTTTTTTGAGACGGAGTTTCACTCTTATTTCCCAGGCATGGAGTGCAATGGCGCAGTCTCGGCTCACCACAACCTCTGCCTCCTGGGTTCAAGTGATTCTCCTGCCTTAGCCTCCCAAGTAGCTGGGATTATAGGCATGCACCACCACGCCCCACTAATTTTGTATTTTTAGTACAGACGGTCAGGCTGGTCTCTCCATGTTGGTCAGGCTGGTCTCGAACTCCCGACCTCAGGTGATCCACCTGCCTTGGGCTCCCAAAGTGCTGGGACTACAGGCGTGAGCCACTGCGCCCAGCACCCAGTTTCTTTTTATTGTAGAGTCATCTTCCCATGCAATATATTTGAGTGATGCTATAGTCTGGGATAATTGCCCTCCCTTAGTCAAGTGTCAGGCTCATAACTCAAGATGGGCCAATCACATTCTCCTCCCACCTCAGCTCCCAAGTAGCTGGGACTACAGCCAGCACGCCTGGCTATTTTTGTATTTTTTGTAGAGACGGGGTTTCGCCATGTAGCCCGGGCTGGTCTTGAACTCCTGGGCTCAAGTGATCCACCCATCTTGGCTTCCTAGAGTGTGGGATTACAGACGTGAGCCATCACACGGTCCCTAACTGATACTATTGCCATGGCCTACCTTGCTTGCCTTGGCAGGAGGGCCAGCTTGGCATGAGTTAGCAAAGAACCACTATTTGAGATCACCTATTTTATCTCAAGTACTGCTGGAACCCATGCACCTAGAAAAGACCAGGGTTTTCAACCAGTAGATCCAGAATAAGCAGTCTTATTGAATCAAAGGATATATCAGCCAAAATAATCAACAAGCACAACTTGATATTTTTTAATGGTAGCTTGAAGGACCTATCTCAGAGTGCCCCTTACATTTTTAACTAAGAAGCCAGTATTATCTATTGATCACTGAATAGCAGTGTGTCCCCTGGTCGTATTTCTCTCACTCTCTCTGTCTTTTTTTGTTGTTACAAAAACTGCCAGCTCTCACAGTGATTTTACCACACCTATGTATTTACAATCTTTTTTTTTTTTTATTTTTTATTTTTATTTTTTTTAGACTGAGTCTCACTCTGTCGCCCAGGCTGGAGTGCAATGGCGTGATCTCGGCTCACTGCAACCTCTGTCTCCTGGGTTCAAGCGATTCTCCTGCCTTAGCCTCCTGAGTAGCTGGGACTACAGGCGTGTGCCACCACACTCAGCTAATTTTTTGTATTTTTAGTAGAGACGGGGTTTCACCATGTTAACCAAGATGCTCTTGATCTCCTGACCTTGTGCTCCTCCCGCCTTGGTCTCCCAAAGTGCTGGGATTACAGGCGTGAGCCACCGCGCCCGGCCTACAGTCTGAGAAAAGTCATGCTGAGTTCCAGTGGCTGCACTGGAAGAGTTTGTGTCACCCTAATCCACTTGTGTTTGGCAGTGATTTATCCACATTTGCTATTTCTCCACTTGGTCATTTCTCATTAATGTCTAAACCTACTGAAACCTGACTTCTGTTCCTGCCACTTCAAGTCCTCTCAAAGGACTACTGGTCTCCTGTTTTCCAAATCTGAGGGACATTTCCCCAGCTTTTTCTTACCTGACTTCAGCTGCCATCTATGTGCTGATACCTCCAGACCTGTATCTATCTACTTGCCATTCATCTCCAGTCACCTTAATACTCAGCATGTCCCAAACTGAACTCAATACCTTTCCTCCTCAATCCCCCTCAACTGTGCTTTTCCTGGGATCCTTGTCCTTGTTAGTGGCACTCAGTCACCCATATTAGGAATCTAGGAATCATCACAATGATGATTCCATTTCTTATATTTCACAGCTAGTGAGTCACCATGTCCTTTAATTCCCACCTCTCTCTTCATTTCCTCTACAACCTTAATTCAGGCCTTCATCATCTCTCTCATAGGGTACTGCCAGATCCTCCTACCTAGTTTCCCTGCCACTAGTCTTTTCCCCTTTGAATCCATCCCTGCCATAGCAGAGTGATCCTTTCTAAAAATATAGGTTTGATCATGTTACTTCAAGGATGTACCATTGACTGCAAGATACATGTGAAGCTTCTCATCCTGCCATGCAAGTTCATTCATGACCTGACCTTAGTATATCTCTCCAGCCTCATAAATTACCTTGCCTCCTTTGCTGCCTACTTTTCAGTGATGCTGTTTTACAGTTCTGTGTATAAATGCATCTGTTTCATACTTTTCCCCTACACCATCCCCGCTCACTCTGACTTCATTCACCTGGTGGATATACCTATTCGTCTTTGAAGGACTCCATTCAAAAGACACCTGTTTGAACATTTTCCTCTGCAGGTAGAGTAGCCATTCTTTGTGCCCTCCCCATCCATACAGCCAGCTCTCACAGTGATTATAATATTTTATCACACTTATGTATTTACATATATATTTCCCAAACTCAGGGAATAGTCCACAGACTACCGTTACTTTGGATACCAGTTGCAAGTTTGGGGAACCCTAAGACTACCCTCTGGTTATATAATTCGCCACAAGGACTCACAGACCTCATTGAAAGCTGTTATAGTCTCTGGGCGCAGTGGCTCACCCCTGTAATCCCAGCTACTCAGGAGGGTGAGGCAGGAGAATCGTCTGAACTGGGGAGGCGGAGGTTGCAGTGAGCCGAGACTGTGCCACTGCACTCCAGCCTGGGCAACACAGCAAGACTCTATCCCAAAATAAAAAAAAAAAAATCAAGTTGTGATTGTTGATAATTTTGGCTGATATATCCTTTGATTCATGCAGCTGTCCCCAGAGTGTGTGTGCCTGTAGTGCCTGTGTGCGCCCTTTGGGGAAGTAGTCCTTCCAGACCTGATTATTTCTGAACAGAGTATGGCCAAGTCACTATTGACACTAGCATGCATAGCTTCTGAACTGATATGGTTGGCTGCTGATAGCACAGACTAGAGCACTCAGAAAATTATCAAACAGAGACTAAATGTTTAGGCACTTAAAACATGCTCCTTGGCAAGAGGAACACAATGTTCCTATTACAGAATTGACCTAAATTCAGGAAAGAGCTTATTGATGTAGGCAAATGCTTGAATCTGCAGCCAGCAGGATCATCAATGGATGAGGGTGGGAGCGGGGAGTCTTCCAATTTTACAAGGTCAGCTTGAGCAACTCTCTAAGAGCCGACACTAAGACTAGTTCCACTGGATGTACTGAAGTTGTATAATCAGGCTCCAAATAACTACTACCTCTGCCCAAATCTGTTCCCAGAACTAATCAACATGCAGGGACCACTGCATGTCAGACAAGAGCTGACCTGGATCCCTGTGAAAATCTGTCCACAGGACACTAGTGCTGCTGGAGGGAATGGTGAAGTACTTGTATCCATGACAGAGTCCTAGAAAGATGGGAAGCAATATGGGAGCTGACTGAAGCCACAGGAAGTGGGATCCATTTCCTGAATACAAAGCAGAAACTAATTAGTCAGTTTCCAACACAATCTTCCATTCTCACAGCTGCCAAAGACCTCCAGTTCACAAATCTCAAGAGACCTTGCCTGCTCAAAGTTCTTTCTTAGCTCCTTTCATCCATGACACAAAATCTAAAACCTGCTATCTCTCTCCAGCCTCTTCTCCCAAACTGTCCTGGTGGGCTTCTTTTCTCACAGGAGTGTGAGCTCCTCAAGGGCAGGGACTAAGTACTGTCCACCTCCATAACCCCTCTACTTGGCAGGGGCCTAGGACAAGCTTATCTCCTGGTAGGCACAAATGTTTGCTGAAGGAGTGAATGAACTACATTTGCATTTTATCTCTGGCAATGTCTAAACCAAAGAAAATCACACTTGTCTTCTCAGAAGAGGGAACATATTCAAATACCCAGAATTGCAGTTCCTGGTAAAACCTTTCGGCGGCAGCAGCAACTGGAAACTCAGCAGAATCTTTGAGTACTAAAAAGAGTGAAATGGGCCAAGACTTGAACAGCCATGGTTGAAGTAGCCCAGGGGACTGAGATGGGAAGGGGAGATTCATGGCTATCTAAAGCTTAAGAACCACAAACCAGTTCTTTCTTACAAATCACATATATTTACATTGTGGATCTGGGATACACTTATCACAGTAGGAGCTGCTCAAATCAATCTGAATGCTACGCAATCTGGGAACCTCCCCATAACTGTTTGAGCCAGCATTTCAGATTATAGATAAGCTGTTTCCAGCTGGACTGGGTTTGGAAAGTTCACTCTAAAGAATGAAGTCACCTGTTGTCACTGTCCTCCTCTCCAGGATTCCTTTTGGGGCCAGGTACCATCCTGTGGCTCCTTAAGGAGGCTTCTCTCTTTAATTCTCCATGAGGCATCCAGGGTGGTCTGGGCTATGGGAAGAACCCTTCAACTTGGGAGTAGACAGGTGCTCCAATTCATAGTGCCCATTCTCAGAGGCCTTGTGTGTGAGTTTCTCCTTCATGCCTTCCTTCTGGCTCTTCTTGTGCTCCATAATCTGCTGGAGCTGGTGCCCAGCATAGTCTGGCTTGGTGGTCAGCGGGCCAGCCGGCACAGCTACACCAAGGACATCTGACACCATGTAGGGGCGCAGCCAGCCCACCAAGGGAGTGCTTCCGGGGCTGTAGTGGGTCTGTTTGTGGTAGAAGAGAAGTCCATCTACCTATAAGACAAGGGGAAATTGAGGATCAAATGACTTCTGGGGCCACATGTTTCCAGGAGAGCCTATACACACAAGGGCAGCTCTTGTGGTCCGACTCCTTTTTCTGGGTCACTGACAGAGGAAAGAGTCCCAGCTTCTCACACATGCCGTTTCTCTAAATAAAGAAATGGCCTAGAAAACTAAATTTGAGAAAATAAAAACATTGGCTGGGCGTGGTGGCTCATGCTTATAATTCCAGCACTTTGGAGGCTGAGGCAGGCAGATTGCTTGAGCTCAGGAGTTTGAGACCAGCCTGGGCAACATGGTAAGACTCCATTTCTACTAAAAATTCAAAAAAATAGCCAGGCATGTGTGGCACATGCCTGTAATCCCAGCTACTCGGGTGTCTGAGACACGACAACCGCTTGAACCCAGTAGGCAGAGGATGCAGTGAGCTGAGACTGCACCACTGCACTCCAGCCTGGCGACAGAGTGAGACTCTGTCTCAAAAAAAGAAAAAAAAAAAGGAAAGGATAAACATAAATAGCACTTTCCTGTTTACAGAGTGCTTTCCTGCCCACTATTTTACTATCTTACCCATGACGGTGTCTGAGAGATGGGGCTGCTCATACTCAGGGAGTTCTGAGGACCTCCTTAAAACACACAGTGAGTAGGAAGCAGGACTTCAACTTGAACTCTGGTCTTCTGTCCCCAGATTCCACGGACTTTCCACCACTTAGGGGTCTGTGTTGTGGTGGATGAGCTCTGTGCATGGAATGAAAAGCAGAGGAACTGGACAGGCCCCTCCGGGGCAGCAGATTGCTGCACACAGTGGAAACAGGCTGTCCAGATGCCCTGCTTCCCTGGCTACTGTTGGTTGCCTAAACCTCCCCCTAAATTGTTTGTGAGCCATGTTCTGGGAAACAGTTTTTCTCAACGGGAAGACCTCCTACAGTCCCACATTTTATTTTCTATGATTCAGTGACTCATCTCTAAAAAGCATTTATTGTCACTGGGGCATAAGGGTTATAAATAAAGATGGTATTCTTACCACCTTCTTAATTGACTCCCAGAAATGCTGGCAACTCAGCCTTTGCCATTTCCTTATTTGGGAAGCTGTGATCCTTATATAAAATTACATCCAGTTCAAGCAAATGCTTGCAGTGACTGGGCAGATTTTTTTTTTTTTTTTTCTTTCTGAGATGGAGTTTCGCTCGTTGCCCAGGCTGCAGTGGAGTGCGGTGGTGCGATCTCAGCTCAGTGCAACCTCCGCCTCCCGGGTTCAAGAGATTCTCCTGCCTCAACTTCCCAAGTAGCTGGGACTACAGGCGTGTGCCACCATGCCTGGCTAATTTTTGTATTGTTAGTAGAGCCGGGGTTTCACCATGTTGGCGAGGCTGGTCTTGAACTCCTGACCTCAGGTGATCCAACTGCCTCGACCTCCCAAAGTGCTGGGATTACAGGTGTGAGCCACTGTGCCCGGCCAAGGCAGAATTTTTAAGGGAATGATGGGCAAAGGAAAATGTGCTTGTTGAGCCTAGAGAAGGTAGCTGCAGGTTCTGAGGCTGACAAGACTGTTGAGGACTGGGGAGCCTCTGGGGCTGTGAGGTTTGTTTTTTGTTTTTTTTTTTTGAGACAGAGTCTTGTGCTGTTGCCCAGGCTGGAGTGCAGTGGCTCAATCTCGGCTCACTGCAACCTCTGCCTCCCAAGTTCAAGTGATTCTCCTGCCTCAGCCTCCCGAGTAGCTGGGATTACAGGCATCTGCCAATACGCCCAGCTAATTTTTGTATTTTTAGTAGAAACGAGGTTTTGCCATGTTGGCCAGGCTGGTCTTGAACTCCTGACCTCAAGTGATCCACCGGCCTCGGCCTTCCCAAGTGCTGGGATTATAGGCGTGAGCCACCATGCCCAGCCGCTGTGAGACTTTCAGTGCTAAAACAGGGCGAGTCCTGAGCAAACTGGAATGAGGTGGTCACCTGACTCATGCTCCTGCTCAGCAAGTGCTGCTGTCCCCAAGGGCCATCTTCTTTGGTGAGGAAAGGATTAGGGATTTGGACATTTGTTGGAGTCATTCAGTCACAGAAGCACCTTCACTTTACAAGCAGCCACGACAGCCAAACCAGGGACCTGGGTCTCAGCTTGCAGTAGGAAGAGGCACACAAGAAGGATCTAGGCATGCAAGTCTTGCTCCTATCTGGGCCTCAGTTTCTCCGGACCTCAGTTTCTCCATCTGTAAGATGAGGGAGTTGGACGAGCTGTCCATTAAGGGCCCTTCCAGTGCCAGCATTCTGACTTATCCAGCATGGGTGGAGCTCAGGCTCTGAAGGGCAGCAAGTACATCCTTTCTCCAGAATCAGCTTTGTCCCATTCTGATGCTTTGACACAGCACAATCAAGGAATATTTTAAGACTTTGTGTAACTAAGTCTCTCTGCAGCCTATCATCATGTCAAGGCAATAAAGACAATGGTTTCGTTACCTCAAAAGGGAAATCCATAGATAGCACATCACACAGGCTTTCGGGAGTGCAAGGGAAGTTCTTTAGCCCCACAAATTTAAACTGAAATAGAAATTAGAACAAGGAATTAGTACGTTATAAATGATACTGGCCCAAGCAATTGAAAATCTCTGTCAGGCCAGGCATAGTGGCTCACACCTGTAATCCCAGCACTTTGGGAGGCAAAGTCAGGAGGATCACCTGAGGTCAAGAAATCAAGACAAGCCTGGCCAACATGGTGAAACCCCGTCTGTACTAAAAATACAAAAATTAGCCAGGCATAGTGGCATGTGCCTGTAGTCCAAGCTACTTGGGAGGTTGAGGGAGGAAAATAGCTTGAACCCAGGAAGGGGAGGTTGCAGTGAGCCATGATCATGCCACTGCACTCCAGACTGGGTGACAGAGCAAGACTCCCTCTCAAAAAAAGCAAAAAGAAAAGAAAATCTCTGTCAAAGAAGAAAAACTTGTAGTCCCAGCTACTTGGGAGGCTGCTGAGGTAGAAGGATCGCTTGAGCCTGAGGTCAAGGCTGCAGTAAGCTCAGATTGTGCCACTGCACCCCAGCCTGAGTGACAGAGCCAGACCCTGTCTCAAAAACCAAACCAAACCAAACTAAACCAAGCCAAAACAAAAAAACAAAGAAGAAAAGTTTTCAGTCTCATCCTTCTCTACTAATTCCCCTCTACTTACTCTCTTAACTACTAGGTCGTGGTTCCCAATCTTTCCTCCCCCTTTTTTTTAAGAGATGAGATCTCATTCTGTCACCCATGCTAGAGAGCAGTGGCACAATCACAGCTCACTGCATCCTCAAATTCCTGGGCTCAAGGGATTCTCCCACCTCAGTTTCCCAGTATGCTGGGATTATAGGCATGAGCCACTGTACCCAGCCCCAACCTTCTTTTATCCACAAGAATCATCTAGGGAGCTTTTAAAAATTACTGATACTCAGGAGGCTGAAGCAGGAAAATGACATGAACCCGGGAGGCGGAGCTTGCAGTGGGCCGAGATTGTGCCACTGCACTCCAACCTGGGTGACAGAGCGAGACTCCGTCTCTAAAAATAAAAAATAAATAAAAATAAATTACTGATGCTGGCCAGGTGTGGTGGCTCACGCCTGTAATCCCAGCACTTTGGGAGGCCGAGAAGGGCGGATCACGAGGTCAGGAGTTCGAGACCAGTCTGACCAATATGGCGAAACCCCGTCTCTACTAAAAATACAAAAATTAGCCAGGCATGGTGGTACATGCCAGTAGTCCCAGCTACTTGGGAGGCTGAGGCAGAAGAATCGCTTGAACCTGGGAGGCGGAGGTTGCAGTGAGCTGAGATTGTGCCACTGCACTCTAGCCTGAGCAACAGAGCAAGACTCGGTCTCAAAAAAAAAAAAAAAAATATTACTGATGCACAGGCCCTACTCTGAGATTCTGACTGAACTGGTCTGGGGTGGGATCCAGGTTTTTTGTTGTTTTTTTTGAGACAGAGTTGCGCTCTTTCACCCAGGCTGGAGTGCAGTGGCACAATCACAGCTCACTGCAGCCTCAACCTCTTGGGCTCAAGTGATCCTCCCACCTCAGCCTCTCAAGTAGCTGGAACTATAGGTGCACGCCACCATGCCTAATCTGTTTTTGTATTTTTTTGTAGAGATGGGGTTCTGCTGTGTTGCCCAGGCTGGTCTCAAACTCCTGGGCTCAAACAATCCACCTACCTCAGCCTCCCAAAGTGATGGGATTATAGGCACACATCACCATACCTGGCTAATTTTTTTGTTTGTATTTCTTTTGTAGAGATGGGGTTTTGCCATGTTGCCCAGGCTGCTCCGAACTACTGAGCTCAGGCAGTCCACCTGCCTTGGCCACCCAAAGTGCTGGGATTACAGATGTGAGTCACTGTGCCTGGCCCAGGTATTTTTTTTTTTTGAGACAAAGTCTCGCTCCCTCACCCAGGCTGGAGTGCAGTGGCACGATCTCGGCTAACTGCAAGCTCGGCCTCCTGGGTTCACAGCATTCTCCTGCTCAGCCTCTCAAGTAGCTGGGACTATAGGCGCCCACCACCACGACCGGCTAATTTTTTGTATTTTTAGTAGAGACGGGGTTTCACTGTGTTAGCCAGGATGGTCTCGATCTCCTGACCTCGTGATTCGCCTGTCTCGGCCTCCCAAAGTGCTGGGATTACAGGCGTGAGCTACCGCACTCGGCCTGGCCCAGGTATTTTTTTTAAAGCTCTTCACTGGGCCGGGTGCAGTGGATCACGCCTGTAATCCCAGCACTTTGGGAGGCTGAGGCAGGCAGATCACAAGGTCAGGAGATCGACACCATCCTTGCTAACACAGTGAAACCCCGTCTCTACTAAAAATACAAAAAATTAGCCGGTCGTGGTGGTGGGCGCCTATAGTCCCAGCTACTCAGGAGGCTGAGGCAGGAGAATGCTGTGAACCTGGGAGGCGGAGCTTGCAGTGAGCCGAGATCACGCCACTGCACTCCAGCCTGGGTGACGGAGCGAGACTCTGTCTCAAAAAAAAAAAAAAAAAAAAAGCTCTCCAGCTGATTTTAACATACAGTCAGGAGTGGGAACCACTGTATTGTACTAGGTTGAGTGGTTGTGTGTTATTCTCTTGGCCCCATGACAGCTACCACTAATAAAGGGCTAGTGAAATCCTTTTCACACCTGCAAGGATTTTTAGACTGAAGCAGCATAACTAAGTGATTAGAACTACAAACTCTAAAGTCAGATTGCTTGGGTTTGAATCCCATTCTGCCAATCATTTAACCTCCATATACTTTCATCTTCCCATCTGTAAAATGGGATAACAACAGCACATATCTACTTCGTAGGGTTACTGTGTGGATTCAGTGAGATAATATACATAGAGCACTTAAACCAGTGTCTTAGAGAGAGCAGTCTTCCCCTTCCTCAATGCATGTTCCTCCAGGACCTACATGATAATAACATCACTGAAAGTACTGATCATATTTATTCTCCTATAACTGGTTGTCCAATTCCCTTTAACTTTTTTTTTTTTTTTTTTTTTGTGACAGAGTCTCGCTCTGTTGCCCAGGCTGGAGTACAGTGGCACAATCTTGGCTCACTGCAACCTCCGCCTCCCAGGTTCAAGTGGTTCTCCTGCCTCAGCCTCCCAAGTAGCTGGGATTACAGGCGTGCACCACTACACTTGGCTAATTGTTTTTGTATTTAGTAGAGACAGGGTTTTGCCATGTTGGTCAGGCTGGTCTCGAATTCCTGACCTCAAATGATCCACCTGCCTCGGCCTCCCAAAGTGCTGGGATTACAGGCGTGAGCCACGGCGCCTGGCCCTTGGCTTTAACATTTTTTGTGAGCAATCCAAGCAAATGCCAATCTGCAGGGCTAATAAAATGCCCTGAAAATAGCTGTCACATATTTAAATCACTGATTATTATTGAGTGCCTACCATGAGTATTATGTTAGGAGGACTTGCATATTTATATAATTTGGTTCTTATAACAACCCTGTAAATTAGATGTTATTACCCTATTTTTCAGATGGAAAATCTAAGGGTAAGTGAGATTATTAACTTAACTTAGTAATAAATTTTTTTTAGTCTTTTTTTAGTTATTATTACTTCAATAGGTTTTTGGGGAAGAGGTAGTGTTTGGTTACATGAATAAGTTCTTTTGTGGTGATTTCTGAGATTTGGTGCACCCACCACCCAAGCAGCGTACACTGCACCCAATTATCCCTCATCCCCCTTACCCTTCCCCAGAGTTCCCAAAGTCCATTGTGTCATTCTTATGCCTTTATATCCTCATAGCTTAGCTCCCAATTATGAGTGAGAACATAGGATGTTAAATTAGTAATAATAAAAGCCAAAAATGGAATTCAGATCTACATGATTGATACTCTTCCCTTTATACCATGCTGCCTCAAAAAAGATCATTTCATACATAATGATTATATTTAGATAACAGACCAATCCACACTACTCCCCATAAGGAACTCAGTGATCCTAACACCAGGCCTTACAGGATTAAGCTTGGTTTTCTCTCCCAGTCCTTCTTCTTCTGGTAACTTTGAATGCATCCAGTAGAATCGGAAATCAGTCTGCCACAGAGAAGGGAAACAGAAAGATGAAATACTTTCCATTTCAAACTCTAATATAAACAAAAACACCCCATGCTATTTTTTTTTTTTTTTTTTTGAGATGGAGTGTTGCTCTGTCACCCAGGCTGGAGTGCAATGGTACAGTCTCGGCTCACTGTAACCTCCGCCTCCCAAGTTCAAGCGATTCTCCTGCCTCCCAAGTAGCTGGGACTACAGGCGCCCACTGCCACACCAGGCTAATTTTTGTATTTTTGGTAGAGACAGGGTTTCACCATGTTGGCCAGAGTGGTCTCCATCTCCTGACCTCTTGATCTCTCCACCTCGAGCCTCCCAAAGTGCTGGGATTACAGGTGTGAGCCACTGCGCCCACCGGGCCTCTTCATTCTTTTAAATTATTTTGCTTTTGGAAATTTAAAAAGATACATACAGTCTTTTGTTTACGTTATAAAAATATATTTGGTTTTAGTTACCAAATTTGTAGGTTGTGAATACATGTAATAAAATATCCTTCAGCAGAATTAAAGGAAAATATGTTCTAGATTGAATTTATGTTCTGAGTTGTAGGCTTGGTTCTACACGTGGGCAAGGTACTTAAGACCTGTGCTTCTTAGCATCTCAGCTTCCATATCTATATGTCAAGGACAGGCCAGGTGCAGTCGTTCATGCCCAGCACTTCGGTAGGCCAAAGTGGGTGGATCACTTGAGGTCAGGAGTTCAAGACAGCCTGGCCAACATGGTGAAACGCCGTCTCTACTAAAAATACAAAAATTAGCTGGGTGTGGTGGCAAGCGCCTGTAATCCCAGCTACTCAGAAGGCGGAGGCAGGAGAAGTGCTTGAACCCAGGATGCGGAGGTTGCAGTGAGCCCAGATCGCAGCACTGCACTCCAACCTGGGCAACAGAGCGAGACTCCGTCTCAAAGAAAAAAAAGGATGATAATAGTACTTACCTTACAATAAGGACGTGTTGTAAGGGATTTAATGAGCTAATGCAGAAAGTGCTTAGCAATGCACATCTTGATTGTTATTGTTTGAATGAGATGCACCTTAGAATTCTGAGTACCAATACCTAGTGTGTTTTGGAAACCTAGTATGCGGGAATGGCTTAGAAAGAAGCAGCCTATGGTGACAGCCTGCATGAAGATCACTGGAGGCCTGTTCACACATCAGCCTCAGGCCCATTTCTACAACGTTCTGATATGCCTGGTCTGGAGACTACACACCGAGAACCACTATGATAAACTAATTGACAGGGAGCAAAAGGAAGTACCAAAACCCCCAAACCCACCATTATACAACTGGGACAATGACGGGGAGAGTGTTCTTAACAGGGATGGAGGCCGGTGGGGCTCACTCAGCCTCACCTGATGACTGCTGCTGTTACCTGTTAAGAATCACCAATAGTAAAATGTTGGGGGTATGGTGAAACAGAAGGGGAGAATATTGGGGCCTCTCCTCCTTTGAAAAGTCTCCTCCTAGAGCTAACCTTTGAGATTTGAGGTTCTGGGTCATACCAAGGAGGCCCTGCCATTTTCAGGGTCAGGATGTGGTTGGTGAAGGAGTGGAGGTTGCAGGAGTCTAGTAGATGGTGACTTACATTCAATTCCACCTTCTCTTCCTGGGGCTGCTGCACAAGGTGGCATCCCCACCCCCTTGCCCCACAATCTTCACTGCCAGAAATCCTCCCATACTCTGGAGAGAGATAAGGGGGTGGGTGCAGCTGCTATCAAGTCCCAGCCTACACCCCTGCCATTTCTTTCTTTCTTCCTCTCAAGAACTGCATGTTTCTCTTAGTTCCTCCTATTTCTCTTTTAAAACTAAGCTAATTTAAACACACTCAAAGATGCAGGGAGCATTAGATAATGTTCTTGATATACCACATCCTGTGCACACCAAGAAGTTGGTCACATACCAAACCCACATGCTGAGCCGCTTTCCCAGGAGGAGAGGAGAAGACAGGAAGAGCCACGAGAGGAGGATCCATCCCTACCTGGCAATCATAAAAAGGGTGTCCCCGCCAGCACATCACATCCAGAACGTAGTAGGTCTGGTTTACCTCATTGTAAATGCAATCTAGAATGGTGTAGTCTGAGGACACAAAGCAGAAAGTCAGCACAGAGTTCTTCTTCCAACCAGGTTCCCTCCACCACAACCTAGGGAGCCCCATCCCAGAGGCTTGAGTCCAACAATCCTCAGTGCTTGCAGCAGTCACTGGCACTAAGGACTAAGGATTCACTGGGGAGAGAACCCTGCCTGGCTACCAGCTACAGCTTCATGGTGACTCAGGGTAAGACAGCACAAGACGCATCAAGGCAAACCTTAAGCAAAGTGAGAATTCTGAAGTTTTAGATAAACTGGCACATTTACTCACCTCAACGAGGTTTAAAAGCAAGTCATCTTCCATTTTAGTTTACAACTGCTTTTTGAGTTCCTATCATAGGCACTGTGTTATGTGGGGAATATTAACTATAAATATTCCCTGCCTTTAAGGAAGTTACCATTTGGTTAAGGGGATAAGATGATCACAGAAGAACTAAGAGCTAAATTACAGAGCTCATACTAAGAGCAACAGGAGTTCCCGAAAGAGAAGGCTGGAGCAGCAGGAAATGCTTCAAGGGAGAGATGCCATACAAATAGTCTTCTGGGACCAGCCGGGTTTAAACAACAGGGCAGAGGGGAGAAGAGAGGGCATTTCAGACCCAAGTACTGATGTGGCATGAGCAAAGCCCCAGAGGCAGAATGAACTGGGCACATGTGGGGAGATAAGTCAGCTGAACAGAAGGTGGGTATAAGGAGTAGGGGAAAGACATGGGATGGGTGGGACAAAGCCTGCATGTGAAAGGTACTAAACGCCAACAGAGAAGTCAGAGCAAGGCCAGGTGCAGTGGCTCACACCTATACTCCCAGCACTTTGGGAGGCCAAGGCAGGCAGATGGCTTTGAGCCCAGGAGTTTCAGACCAGCCTGGGCAACATGGCAAAACCCCATCTCTACCAAAAATACAAAAAATTAGCTGGGCATGGTGGCACACTCCTGTAGTCTCAGTTACTCAGGAAATTGAGGTGGGAGGATCACTTGAGCCTGAGAAATAAAGGCTGCAGTGAGCTGTGATCATGCCCTTGAACCCGAGCCTGGGCCACAGAGTGAGACCGTGTCAAAAAATAAAAAAGAGAAGTCTGGGCTCAGTACAGAGGACATGAGGAACCACCAAAGGAGCCTGAGCAGGTAGAGAAGAAAGCAAGCCCAGCTCTGCCAATTCCTTACTGAATAACTGTGGGTAAGTTATTTCTCCCCCACGACCTTAGTCTACTCAGCTAGGCCCAGTGGGGAGGAAGAACCTAAGGTTACAACAATGAGAAAGGAGAAAAGGGAGTTTGGCAGGGAAGCCCCAGCATCAGCTGGCTGTACCATTATGCTTAGTATTCTCTCAGAGACGTTTCCCCCCAAATCTGTATCTGTTGTCCCGTAATAGAAGTCCAAAGATATGTTGACCTTAATTCAGGAATTTACGGACCATCAGGCCTCATGGGGCTGCATTTATTCTGCAACTGGGGACGCTTGACCTTGAAGGGGAGGTCCTTGGTCCAGGGGCCAGGATGGTGTCTACATGCAGTTTCAAAGATAAGCTTTCAGGCCGGGTGCAGTGGCTTATGCCTGTAATCCCAGCAATTTGGGAGGCCAAGGTGGGTGGATCACTTTGAGGCCAGGAGTTCAAGACCAGCCTGGCCAAAATGGTGAAATCCAGTCTCTACTAAAAGTACAAAAATTAGCCGGGTGCAGCCTATAATCCCAGCTACTCAGGAGGCTGAGGCAGGAGAATCACTTGAACCCAGGAGGCGGAAGTTGCAGTGAGCCAATATGGTGCCACTGCACTCCAGCTTGGGTGACAAAGTGAGACTCTGTCTCAAAAAACAAAAAAAAAAAACAAAGATAAGCTATCAAAGTGGGTCTTTTTTTTTTTTTTTTTTTTTTTTTTGAGACGGAGTCTCGCTCTGTCGCCCAGGCCGGACTGCGGACTGCAGTGGTGCAATCTCGGCTCACTGCAAGCTCCGCTTCCTGGGTTCACGCCATTCTCCTGCCTCAGCCTCCCGAGTAGCTGGGACTACAGGTGCCCACCACCGCACCCGGCTAATTTTTTGTATTTTTAGTAGAGACGGGGTTTCACCTTGTTAGCCAGGATGGTCTCGATCTCCTGACCTCATGATCCACCCGCCTCGGCCTCCCAAAGTGCTGGGATTACAGGCGTGAGCCACCGCGCCCGGCCCAAAGTGGGTCTTTAAAGCAAATTACACTGTCTTTTACTGATCAATAAGTAGACACTCTATGTAGGTACCTTTTGCTGTTGAGTTTCGCCTGTTGCCTCCTGGCAGAAGTGAAGAAAACCTGTTGACACAGTAGCCACTCTTGGTGTAGGCACTGGTAGAACCCTGCATGGAGAGAAAGTTACCATTCTTATTAGACCTCAAGGTCTCCTCGCCCTCTTGCCTCCTCATTCTGCAGGAATGTTACTCGACCAAAGATGGCTCTCAACAAACCTTCCTGCAGGAAAGTGTTTCAAGCTCCACTCCAGGCACAGCTGTTGTGGCGTATGAGGAAAATGGAGCACAAAGAATCCCTCCCACTACAGACCAGGCCTACTGGCATAGGGGGCAGGCAGCTACTCACCCTGGAGGCCACGATAAGGGCTCTTTTTCCAACAGGGCACACGACCACAATCCATTCCTGCCCCAAATCTGAAGGAACGTCAATTAACCACTCAGAAAGCATCAACTGGAAATGCAAAAAATAGTGTTAAAGATCAGCAGGGGTGTGCTACTCGAAAGTCTGCAATGACAAGGCATTAATATCCTGTGTGTATATTAAAAACCTGAGTGAAAGAATGAGGGCAGAGAGCCGGGCACGGGGGCTCATGCTTGTAATCCCAGCACTTTGGGAGGCTGTGGCAGGTGGATCACCTGAGGTCAGGAGTTCAAGACCAGCCTGGCCAACATAGTGAAATCTCGTCTCTACTAAAAAATATAAAAAATTAGCTGGGTGTGGTGGCAGGCACCTGTAATCCCAGCTACTAGGAAGGCTGAGCCACGAGAATTGCTTGAACCTGGGAGGCAGAGGTTGCAGTGAGCCGAGATGGTGCCATTGCACTCCAGCCTGGGCACCAAGAGCGAAACTCTGTCTCAAAAAAAAAAAAAAAAAAGAATGAGGGCAGAAAAGGCTGACAGTGGCACCTCCACCCCATGTGCTCTAGGGAGTTGGCTGTGTCTCCTGCACAGCTGACAGGATGATGGGGGCCACTGACTATGAACTTTGGCTTCTCTCCTCCATCTCCACCTGCAACCACACCATGCTTACTGCCTCACCTCCCGGGTCAGGGTGATGAACCCTCTTCCTTTCCTTACTTTGTCCATCTGCTCCTATCATCATTACTATTATGTTTGCCACAACTCAGAGATGAATAAGATCCCTGACCTTGAGATGCTCTTAGACTAGACCAGCATTTCTCAAACCGATGCCCCAAATACTATACTACAGGATGTTAGGAAATCTGTCTTAAAAAACGAAACAACGCCAAACCAAACCAACAAAAACAGTGATGTGGTGAAATTAATTTGGGAAGACAAACTCTTCCACTCAGTCTCTTCCATCTGTAAAGACTTTGTCCCATGGGCTGGGCGAGGTGGCTCACGCCTGTAGTCCCAGCACTTTGGGAGACCAAGGCGGGCGGATCACGAGGTCAAGAGATTGAGACCATCCTGGCCAACATGGTGAAACCCCGTCTCTACCAAAAATACAAAAATTAGCTGGGCGTGTTGGCGGGCACCTATAATCCCAGCTACTCAGGAGGCTGAGGCAGGAAAATCGTTTGAACCCAGGAGGCGCAGGTTGCAATAAGCCAAGATCACGCCACTGCACTCCAGCCTGGTGACAGAGTGAGACTTCGTCTCAAAAAGAAAAAAAAAAAAAGACTTTGTCCCATCAATTAATCTCTCTCATTGAATCTTTCATTTCTCCTTCCCTTTAGGCACTCACTCCCAATCTTTTTTTTTTTGAGATGGAGTCTCGCTCTGTCGCCCAGGCTGGAGTGCAGTGGCGCTATCTCAGCTCACTGCAAGCTGCGCCTCCCGGGTTCACGCCATTCTCCTGCCTCAGCCTCCCGAGTAGCTGGGACTACAGTCACCCGCCACTGTGCCCAGCTAATTTTTTGTATTTTTAGTAGAGACGGGGTTTCACCGTGTTAGCCAGGATGGTCTCGATCTCCTGACCTCGTGATCCGCCCGCCTCGGCCCCCCAAAGTGCTGGGATTACAGGCATGAGCCACCACGCCCGGCTCACTTTAAAAAAAAACTTTTTGTGGCCAGGAACGGTGGCTCACGCCTATAATCCCAGCACTTTGAGAGGCTGTGGCGGGCAGATCATGAGGCCAAGAAATCGAGACCATCCTGGCCAACATGGTGACAAGCCGTCTCTACTAAAAATACAAAAATTAGCCAGGCGTGGTGGCATGCACCCGTAGTCCCAGCTACTCGGGAGGTTGAGGCGGGAGAATCACTTGAAGCTGGGAGATGGAGGTTGCAGTGAGCCGAGATAGCACCACTGCACTCCAGCCTGGCGACAGAGCGAGACCCCGTCTCAAAAAAAAACTTTTTGTCACTCAGCATTTCTGTTGAGCTACTCCACTTTCTCCTAGTTTAAAAACTACTTAATACTTCTTGATGCTGCCTTCTTGCTCAATCTGACAGCCACAGTCCAGATTTCCTACCCCACAGTCCTACTGAAGGCCCTCTGACCTCTTCTCATAACTCTTCCTTTTTTTCCTTTTTTTTTTTTTGAACTGGAGTCTTACTCTGTCACCCAAGCTGAAGTGCAGTGGCACAATCTCGGTTCACTGCAACCTCCACCTCCCGGGTTCAAGCGATCCTCCCATTTTAGCCTCCCTAGTAGCCGGGACTACAGGCACACGCCACTACGCCCGGCTCATTTTTGTATTTTTAGTAGAGACAGGGTTTCACCATTTTGGCCAGGCTGGTCTCGAACTCCTGACCTCAGGTGATCCACCCACCTCGGCCTCCCAAAGTGCTGGGATTACAGGTATGAGCCACTGTGCCTGGCCTCCCATACCTCTTTCTTATCCTCCCCACTCTACTCCTCGCCTTACGTAATGCTACCAGCCACATCTCCCTTCCTGACATCCGTTCCCTTGGCACCATGACATAGCACTACTCTGTTTTTCCCTCTAAACATTCCTCCACACACTCCCCCAAAATATGTAATCTTCAGGGGGCTGTTTTAGGTCCCCCTTTTCTCTTAGATGCTGTTCCCATTAGGGGTGGATCTCATCTATTTCTATAGCTTCACTTGTGCCTCCTAATGCTCCTTCATCTCCAGACTTCTTTCCTCCACACTCATCTATATTGCGAGATGTCTGCTTGGTATCTCTTTCTGTTTGTCTCCTCTGCACCGAAAACTCAGTATATCCAGAGTGGAATTAACTGCCTTCTGTTGCCTAAGTACTTCCCACCCCTGAAACACCTACCCTTCCCTTCTGCGTCTCATAACCTTGTTAATGGCATCACCACTCCGTTACTGAATCTTAGAGTTTAAGCATAATCTAGGCAAATTAGACTACATCAAAATTTAAAAATTCTGTGCTGCCAACAATATCACCAAGAAGACAAAAAGACAACCCACAGAATGAAAGAAAATATGTGCAAATCATGTATCTGATAAGAAACTTGTATCTAGAATATATTAAAAACTCTTATAATTCAATAATAAAAAGATAAATAACTCAATTAAAAAACAAGGAGGGCAGATCATGAGGTCAGGAGATCGAGACCATCCTGGCTAACACAGTGAAACCTCGTCTCTACTGAAAATACAAAAAAAATTAGCCGGGCGCGGTGGCGGGCACCTGTAGTCCCAGCTGTTCGGGAGGCTGAGGCAGGAGAATGGCGTGAACCCGGGAGGCGGAGCTTGTAGTGAGCCAAGATCGCGTCACTGCACTCCAGCCTGGGCGACAGAGCAAGACTCCATCTCAAAAAAAAAAAAAAAAAAAAAAAAGAGCAAAGGATTTGAATAGACATTTCTCCAAAGAAGATATACAAATGACCAATACGCACAAGAAAAGATGTTTAACATCAGGCCAGGTGCAGTGGCTCACACCTGTAATCCCAGCACTTTGGGAGGCCGAGGTGGGCGGATCACAAAATCAGGAGTTCGAGACCAGCCTGGTCAATACGCTGAAACCCCGTCTCTACTAAAAATACAAAAATTAGCCGGAAGTGGTGGCGGGTGCCTGTAGTCCCAGCTACTCGGGAGGCTAAGGCAGGAGAATCGCTTGAACCTGGGAGGCAGAGGTTGTAGTGAGCTAAGATCGTGCTATTGCACTCCAGCCTGGGCAAGAGAGGGAGACTCCAACTCAAAAAAAAAAAAAAAGAAAAGAAAAGAAAAGATGTTTAACATCATTAGTCACTAGGGAAATAGGGAAATACAAATCAAAACCACAAGAAACCACTTCACACCCACTAGGATGGCTATATTTAAAAGGATGGACAATAACAAGTGTTGGCAAAGCTGTGGAGAAATTGGAACACTTATATGTTGCTGGTGGGAATGTAAAGTAGTGGAGTCACTTTGGAGAACAGTCTAGCACTTCCTCAAAAGGTTAAACAGAGTTATCATATATAGACCCAGCAATTCCACTTCTAGGTATATACACAAGAGAAATGAAAACATATGCTCACACAAAAACTTGTAGTACAAGAATATTAATAATGGCATTATTTGGCTGGGTGCAGTGGCTCACACCTGTAATCCCAGCACATTGGGAGGCCAAGGCAGGTGGATCAGCTCAGGTCACAAGTTCGAGACCAGCCTGGCCAACATGGTGAAACTCCCGTCTCTACTAAAAATATAAAAATTAGCTGGGTGTGATGGCACACACCTGTAGTCCCAGCTACTAGGGAGGCTGAGGCAGGAAGATCACTTAAACTCAGGAGATGGAGGTTGCAGTAAGCCAAGAACATGCCACTGTACTCCAGCCTGGGTGAGAGAGTGAGACTTCATCTCGAAAAAAGTAAATAAATAAAATTAATTAAAAAACAAATAAAAATGGCATTATTCATAATAGCCAAAAAGTAGGAGCAACTCAAATAGCCATAAACTGAAGAATAAATAAACAAAATGTAGTCTATCCATACAGTGGAATATTATTTGGCAATAAAAAGGAGTGAAGTACTGATACATGGTACAATATGATGAACGTTGGAAACCTCATGCTAAGTAAAAGAAGCCAGTCACAAAAGTCCACATATTATATGATTCCCTTTCTATGAAATGTGCAAAATAGGAACAGAAAGTAGATTAATGATTAGGGGCTACAGGGAAGAATGGAGAGTGACACTAATTAGTATGGGGTTTCTTTTGGGGATAAGGAAAATGTTCTAGAATTAAATAGTCGTGATGGTTGCACAGTCTTGTGACTACACTAAAAAAAAAGAAACCATTAAACTATACAATAAAAATAGGCAAATTGTATGGTATGTGAATTATATCTCAATATAACTGTCTAAAAAATAGTAGTAGCAGCTAATACTTGTGGGGCACTTCCAGACTCTGGGCTAGGTATTTAAGGCATATTATTTCATTTAATCCTTCTACCAATCCTATGAGATAAGTACTATTACTATCCCCATTTTACAGATAAGAAACCAAAGACTTAGAGTGGCTAAAATACCTTGCTTAAGGTCAACACAGAGCCTAGCTTTGAGATCAGATCTGTGTGACCTCAAAGCTTACATCCTTTCCCACTTCTTATACTGCCTCTCATATCCAGTCCACTGCTAAGTTCTTCCATTCTATCTGGCAACATTTCTTTTTTATTTGTTTTATTTATTTTTTATTTTTTATAGAAATGGGATCTTCCTATGCTGTCCAGCTGGGATTACAGACACCCATCACACCTGGCTAATTTTTGTATTTTTAATAGATGGGGTTTCACCATGTTGGCCAGGCTGGTCTTGAACTCCTGGCCTTAGCCTCCCAAAGTGCTGGGATTACAGGCATGAGCCACTGTGCCCAGCCTCTGCACATATTTTTGAGGCCCTTTACATCTCTTCTGCCATACTCCTTCTCCCAACTCTATGCCACTCTACCCTAACTGGCCTGCAAACTGCTCCCGGGCACACCATATACTCCTTTCTGGCTTCTGGGCCTCGTGCTCAGCCTGTTTGTTCCCACTGCCTGGAATGCCCTAAAATGCACTGCACTTCTATCTATTAATGTCCTACTTACCCTTCAAGGCTGCCTCTTCCTTCATTAACCCTTCTCTGATTTCACACCCCCTCCTTCCTCCTTGGTTGGAAGGAATCTCATTTTTTTTTTTTTTTTTTTTTTTTTGAGACGGAGTCTCGCTCTGTCGCCCAGGCTGGAGTGCAGTGGTGTGATCTCGGCTCACTGCAAGCTCCGCCTCCCAGGTTCACACCATTCTCCTGCCTCAGCCTCCCAAGTAGCTGGGACTACAGGCGCCTGCCACCACCACGCCTGGCTAATTTTTTTTTTGTATTTTTAGTAGAGACGGGGTTTCACCATGTTAGCCAGGATGGTCTCGATCTCCTGACCTCGTGATCCACCCGCCTTGGCCTCCCAAAGTGCTGGGATTACAGGCGTGAGCCACTGCACCTGGCCAGCATCTCACTTTTTTATAGCACAAAACATCTTCTACACCTATTCTAGGAGCACAGGGGCTATTTCTGCTCCACATCTATCTTCCCATGTCATAGCCTAGTTTAACACAGAGCAGGTCTTTCAATAATGCTTACTGAACAAAATTGAATTGTACTTTGTCACAGAGGATGTTATCTGTACTGTATTTGGGGTAAAGAAAGGGGCTGTGGGAGTGCATCCAATAACCATATTCTATTGTGTTTTTTTTTTTCTTTAGAGATGGGGTCTCTCCGGGTGCAGTGGCTCACTCTTGTAATCCCAGCACTTTGGGAGGCCGAGGGGGGTGGATCACCTGAGGTCGGGAGTTCGAGACCAACCTGTCCACCATGGTGAAACCCTGTCTCTACTAAAAATACAAAAACTTAGCCGGGTGTGGTGGCAGGCATCTGTAATCCCAGCTACTCGGGAGGCTGAAACAGGAGAACTGCTTGAACCCGGGAGGCAGAGGTTGCAGTGAGCCACGATCGTACCACTGCACTCCAGCCTGGGCAACAAGAGCAAAACTCTGTCTCAAAAAAGAAAAAAAAAGAGATGGGGTCTCACTATGTTAGCCAGGTTGGTCTTGAACTCCTGGCTTCAAGTAATCCTCCCACCTTGGCCTCCCAAATTGCTGGGATTACAGGTATGAGCCACCACACTCAGGCCCAGGAACCATATTCTAAAGGCAGGGGAGAATTCTGAGATGACAAGATACTTGGGTTCTAGACACAAGTATATGATAGCAGGGTAGACCTCCATCCCAACTTGGACCCATACCCTGCTTTCTGAAATACCTGAGCTGCCTGGAACACAAGAACAGTCTCTCTCCATACCTCTTTCCCTATGGTACCACAGCCATGTTGGTTTCCTCTCTGGATCTAAAAGGGCACTGAGTCAGGTTTATTATAGTGATCTGCTGCTTCATGGCCTGAACCTCACCTTGGCCAGCTGGCTGGTCTGGGGTGGCTGGGCAGGCTCACTTTATTCAAGGGCAGCTGTACTTCCCACTTGCCACCACCTGAGTGTGAAATTTCAAGACTGGCCTCATAGTACACTGCCTGGGAAAGACTCTACCACCCAGGGAAGTGGAAGGAGTCAGTGGTAGGCTGGGCAGGCCCAATCCAGAACAGCTGTGCAGTGACAACTAAAAAAAATGACAAGGATATGGAGTGTGTTACTATATCAATAGCTCAGGGGCTTTCTGCAGTGGGCTGGCAGCCTTTGGTAACAGCACAGGCTAATAGTTCCCAAACCCCACTACCCACAGATTCCATCAGTGATTCCTAGTCAGTCCATAGCACAGTAAGCCATCTCTACTTATCATCCCATATGATCTACGTACACTGGCATGTTCTTTGCAGTTCCTATTCCTTTTTCCTGCCTCATTCTCCTCTCTTTATGACAGCATTTATTTCAGTGGGCTTTGACTGCATAGTAAAGGGAGTGAGATTAGCTGGGTCTCATCTTCTCTGGACCACTTACTTGATTAGCATAGTGTTTTGGTAACTTCTTGACAGTGTCAATGTCCATTTCTTCATCATCTTTCTTATTTTCTTCCTCACTCTCCATCCCTGTCCAGTCATCTTCAGCCAGTCTTCTGGCATGGTTCACATAATCCAGCCGCTTGCTGGAAGGAAAAAAAAGGCATAAGGACATATCTTTTCTTCTTTTTTTTTTTTTAGACAGGGTCTCGCTCTGTTGCCCAGGCTGGAATGGTGCAATCTCAGCTCACTGCAGCCTCAACCTCCTGGGCTCAAGTGATCTTCCCACCTCAGCTTCCACAGTAGGTGGGACTACAGGCACACACCACCACCCCTGGCTAATTTTTGTATTTTTTGTAGAGATGGGGTTTCACCATGTTGCCCAGGCTGGTCTCAAACTCCTGGCCTCAAGTGATCTGCCTGCCTCAGCCTCCCAAAGTGCTGGGATTATTAGGCATGAACCACCGCATCTGGCCAGGGCAGGTCTTTATGTCTTTTAGGAAGATGCCCTATAATGCGACACATTTAATTCAAAAGCTCCAAATTTGGGAGCAACTTGGGGATTCTGGTGGAAGTAAGAAATGATGGAATCTCCTTTGCAAGGCTAAAACAGTGACCGCCCCCTCAAAATCCTAAATAGCGAAACCCCCTCTGAATACACTCAGCCTTCCTCAGAGTTTCCTAAGAATGCAAAATAAAATATCTAAAGAAATTTCCAAGGTTCACTAGATGGAAAGGCTAGCTTCACCCCTACCCCATCCCACCCCAGATGAGAGCTGACACCTTCCTGCCTAGCAGACATCTCATCCAAAGACCCCAGGGGTGGAAGAGAAGAGCCACTGAGATGCAGTGAGAAGTCTAAAGCAAGGACAGCTTCTGGAGATTTCTGCCTTATACACCTTTTTTGTTTTTAAAGAGAACTTTTTTTTTTACGGACCGTAGGTGTATGCCACTGTGCCCAGCTTATACAGCTTTCTCAGAAGCCAGGCCTTTCTCCAGTTCCTGTCTAACTTTCAAAAAAGGTCACTTAGTTTACAATTTAATATATTTTATTTATTTGTTTCCCTTTATCGTTATCTTGTTTTAAAACAACACATGCTAGAAAGTTTGGGAAACTGAAAAGAAAAAAAAAGAATCTTTTGGAACCTAATTGTTTCAAAGTGATTTGGAAATACCACATAACCTCCCACATTTGATTTCTTCAATGCTAAGGCAGGAATTCAACCACTGAGGCAGTGAAACCAACACAGCTGGTTTCTCTTAAACACATACATGTTCATGCTCATTATAAAAAGGCACACACCAGAGAGAACATATGAAAGCACAATGGTCTTTTATCTCGAGAATAAAAGAGCTGGTATATTTGTACATGTGTGAAAGAAAGTCTGTCTGTGGTTATTTCCTGAACATTGTTTGTAATCACAAGAGAAGAAAACTGCCCAGATGCCCATCAGGAGGGACTGGCTTGATGGCATTATGAAGTATCCATTCCACGGAATACCTAGCACCACGAAAAAGGAATGATGTGGTACTTTATGAACTGATATAGAATTTCTCCCCCAAAACACCACTAAATAAATGTGCAGAACAGTATATAGTATACTGCTACTTGTGTTAAAAAAAAAAAAAAAAAAAAAAAAAAAAGCCAGGTGCAGTGGCTCCTGCCTGTAATCCCAGCCCTCTGGGAGGGTGAATTGGCCAGATCACTTGAGCTCAGGAGTTCAAGACCAGCTTGGGCAACATGGTGAAATTGTGTTTCTACCAAAAATAAAAAAATTAGCTGGGTGTGGTGGCCTGCACCAGTGGTCCCAGCTACTTGAGGGGCTGAGGTTGCAGTGAGCCAAGATCATGCCACAGTACTCAGCCTGGGAGATAGAGTCAAAAAAAAAAAAAGCTTTTGTACACATACTACCACACACACTTGCTCATATATGTATAGAATATCTTCGGAAGGGCCAGGCGTAGTGGCTGACGTCTGAAATCCCAGCACTTTGGGAGGTCAAGGTGGGAGGATCAGTTGAGCCTAGGAGTTCAAGATCAGCCTGAGCAATATAGGGAGACCCTGTTCCTACAAAATATAAAAAAATTAGCCAGGTGCTATGGAGTGTGCCTGTAGTCCCACCTACTTCAGAGGCTGAGGTGGGAGGATCACCTGAGCCTGAGAGGTTGAGGCTGCAGTGAGCCGGGATCTGCACACTCCAGCCCGAACAACACAGTGACACCCTGTCTAAAATATATATATATTTGGAAGGATACACCAGAAACTAATAATATAGGAGAGGAACTGGATAGCTAGGGGACAGAAATGGGAAGACCTCACCATATACTCTTCTATTTATTTTATTTATTTATTTATTTATTTGAGAGAGTCTAGCTGTGTTGCCCAGGCTGGAGTGCAATGGCGCGATTTCGGCTCACTGCAACCTCCACCTCCCGGGTTCAAGTGATTCTCCTGTCTCAGCCTCCCGAGTAGCTGGGACTACAGGCACGCACCACCATGTCGGGCTAATTTTTGTATTTTTAGTAGAGACAAGTTTTCGCCATGTTGGTCAGGCCAGTCTCGAACTCCTGACCTCAGGTGATCCACCCACCTCGGCCACCCAAAGTGCTGGGATTACAGGCGTCAGCCACCATGCCCGGCCTCTTATGTATATTTTAAATTTTCAACCATACAAATGTATTACCTATTCAAAGATAACTACATTTTTAAAAATGGGGAGAGGAATGATCTGGGAATGTATTCTGCAAGCCACCCAGAGCCACAGGGAACCATCTCTGCCAAACACAACCAGTGATGCAACACTGGGCAAAATGCAGACTGTATGGAAACTATGCAGCTGTTAGTAGTTTCTTCTGATCCCTAATTCCTTAATTTATGACCCAGAAGAGGCCCATGCTGCATTGAGAATACAAGGATCGGCCCTGCCTTCAGAGTAGCTCAGCCTCAAACACTCTTATCCTGCCCTCTTTCCCTGTTTGCACATCTTGGCACTTAGAATTAAGTATATGGAAGACATTTCCTCAGATTCCCTTAGGAATTATTTGTCTTGAACTCCCAAGAGTGCCACAGAAACATTTGGGCTGAAGGCAGATGGGAAGACCACACCAATACCAGCATTCAGAGTGCAGAAGCCAAACACAAGCATCCCAGGAAATGTGGGGAGTGAAAGTCTGGGCGTGGCTTTCGCAAGTTCCTAAACCACAGAGCTCAGTACAGCTGCCAGGAAAAAAAGAAAAACTTAACCAAATAATTGAGCTTTTGGTTTCAAACTTCGGTGTCTCCCTAATTCCTCATCTTCTCCTAAGCTCTGGGTATAAAAGAAACCTACCTCTGCCAGGATTTACCCCTCCCAACCTGTGGGCAAGAAGATCAGCCTACAAAGAGTCTACTTTGAAGGGAGAGTCTGTAGAGACAAGCCTAGAGCCTTCGGAATGGTTCATAGCTCCTAGCCCAGAGAAAGAAGACAAGGAGTTAAAGCTTCCTTACGATTTCTGCAGTTCCAGTAACCTCCGGCGGCGCTCACTCTGCTCCAAGGAACTGTACTTGGACTTGTACTGGGATAGGCGGGGGTGTGGGGCAGCTGTGCTGTTCAGATCTTGAGACACAGAAAAGCTACTAGCCAGGGCCTGACTCAACTCTTCCATCTTCCCTACAAAGGAAAACGTAAGAAAATGGTTCATTCATTTCATATCATCTCCTGTATACAGACAGTTATGCAGTTATGATATGATGGCCACATTCCTGAAAAAAAATTAACTTAATGCAAAATCACAAGTGTTTCCATGAGACAAAAGGAAGTTAAAGGGTAAATGAGTCATATATTAGCAATAACATTATTTTCCTACAGATATTTCCTTTTTTTTTTTTTTTTGAGACAGGGTCTCTCTCTATCACCCAGGTCGGAGTGTAGTGGTGCAATCACAGCTCACTGTTGCCTCAATCTACTGGACCCAAGCAATCCTCCCACCTCAGCTTCCCCAGTAACTGAGACTACAGGTATACACCACCACACCCAGCCAATTTTAAAATTTATTGGTACAGACGGGATCTCCCTATGTTGCCTAGGCTAGTCTTGAACTCTTGGGCTCAAGCAATCTTCCCTCCTCAGCCTCTCAAAGTGCTGGCATTATAGGTGTGAGCCACTGCGCCCGGCCTTTTCTGAGCAGTTCCTCTACAGTTTCCTGAATAGCCATCACTCATTAACCAATATAACTCTCCATGCAGTTTATTCAATTGGTTATTTAATTCTCAACTAAGTGCCAACTCATATTATGAAAATTTAATTCCAGAGGAAACACTGGTTCTAGGGTCCCTGGAGGAAGACAAAAGCAATCAAAAACCCCAAACTCGCCAGGCACGATGGCTCATGCCTGTAATCCCAGCACTTTGGGAGGCCGAGGTGGGTGGATCACAAGGTCAGGAGTTCGAAACCAGCCTGACCAACATGGTGAAACCCCGTCTCTACTAAAAATACAAAAACTAGCTGGATGTGGTGGCAGGCGCCTGTAATCCCAGCTACTCGGGAGGCTGAGGCAGAAGAATCGCTTGAACCTGGGAGGCGGAGGTTGCAGTGAGCCGAGATCGTGCCACTGCACTCCAGCCTGGGCGACACAGCAAGACTTCATCTCAAAAAACAAACAAACAAACAAACAAAAAAACAAACTCTAGCGACCTGGGATTACAGGTGGCTCATGCCTGTAATCCCAGCACTTTGGGAGGCCAAGGCAGGAGGATCACTTGAGGCCAGTAGTTCAAGACCAACCTGGACAATGTAGTGAGACTATGTCTCTACTTTTTAAATAAAAAAGTAAAAAATTATTTTAAATTATAATTTATTTTTTAAAAAATCTGATTGTTACTTCCTCATATTCTAGTTGTGTTTTGTTTTTGGGTGGGCAGAAAGAAGGTTTCAGGGCTACTTATGTGGGACTCACTTGGAAAAGAGCTAGGATGTGGAAGGCTGCTTAACAAGTAACGTCAATGCTCCAGTAGTGTGAAGAACTTCCATAAAGTACATTAGGGAAACAAGACAGGCATGGAGTAGATGTCATTTTGAAAACAGACTTCCCACTTTAGGTGGACCCTAAAGAATGGGAGTGGGGAGAAAGGTGAATTCACACTTCATTCAAGCGCCTGTGAGCCTTAGATTATAAGAAAACAGGAACATTTGGGAGAAATCTGACTTGCACTGCTGGGCTGGCCCAGCCCTTTGGTTCTAGTGTAAACCAGAGGGCACCTCCAGTGCTTAACCTCCATCCCAGGCCAGGTCCAGTGCTCTGAGCATCAAAATCAACAGGTTCATTCCAGAGCCTCTACAGTGAAAAATACAACTCCATAGGCCTCTACTTGGCCAGTGAGTTACTTTCCATTGCACAAGTGAAGTCAGATATTTTTCTTGATTTGAAACATTAGATTTTGTTTAATTTAAAAGGAACTTAAAAATCGTGGTTTGCCAGGTGCAGTTGTGCTTGCCTTTAGTCCCAGCTACTCTGGAGGCTGAGGCAGGAGGTATGCTTGAGCCCAGGAGTTCGAAGCCAGCCTGGGCAATATAGCAAGACCTTGTCTGTAAAAAGAAAAAAAAATTGTGGCTAAATACACATATCATGAAATTCATCATCTTAACCATTTGTAGGTGTACAGTTCTGTAAAGTTAAGTATGTTCAACACTGCTGTGCAGAACTCTCCAGAACTCCTTTTATCTTGAATAACTGAACCTCTGTAACCTTTAAACATAAAAGAAACTTTTTTTTTTTTGAGACAGAGTTTCACTCTTGTTGCCCAGGCTGGAGCACAATGGCACGATCTTGGCTCACCACAACCTCCGCCTCCCAGGTTCAAGTGATTCTCCTGCCTCAGCCTCCCGCGTAGCTGGGATTACAGGCGCCCGCCACCACGCCCGGCTAATTTTGTTTTTGTATTTTTTAGTAGAGACGGGGTTTCACCGTGTTAGCCAGGATGGTCTCGATCTCCCGACCTCCTGATCTGCCCACCTTGGCCTCCCAAAGTGCTGGGATTACAGGTGTGAGCCACCACGCCCGGCCTTTTTTTTTTTTTTGAGACAGGGTCTCACTTTGTCTCCCAGGCTGGACTACAGTGGTGTGATCTCGGCTCACTGCAGCCTCCACCTCCTGGGTTCAAGTAACTCTCCTGCCTCAGCCTCCTGAGTAGCTGGGATTATAGACATGCACCACCATGCTCGGCTAATTTTTGTATTTTTAGTAGAGAAGAGGTTTCATTATGTTGGCGTGGCTGGTCTGAAACTCCTGACCTGAAGTGATCTGCCTGCCTCAGCCTCCCAAAGTGCTGGAATTACAAGCATGAGCCACTGCACCCGGCTTGAGGTGTGCCTTAATATCTTTGCAATGCAACCAAGGGTTGCCATTCCTGAGTGACTGAGGCCTCATGATGAGTGCTTGGGATCCATATGGTATGTTATTCAAATCATCCATAATGGTATGTATGCTATTGTCTCTACTTTTCTGTACTTTTGTGTAAGTTTGAAAGCTTTCATGATAAAATTTTTTTTTTTTTTTTTTTTGAGACGGAGTCTCGCTCTGTCGCCCAGGCTGGAGTGCAGTGGCGGGATCTCGGCTCACTGCAAGCTCCGCCTCCCGGGTTCACGCCATTCTCCTGCCTCAGCCTCCCAAGTAGCTGGGACTACAGGCGCCCGCCACTACGCCCGGCTAATTTTTTGTATTTTCAGTAGAGACGGGGTTTCACCGTTTTAGCCGGGATGGTCTCGATCTCCTGACCTCGTGATCCGCCCGCCTCGGCCTCCCAAAGTGCTGGGATTACAGGCGTGAGCCACCGCGCCCGGCCGATAAAAATTTTTAAAAAGTCATTATGTTTTCAGTTCATCACCAAAGTAATGACCAAATCCAAAGCACCTTTATTAGGCCTATCATGCACTATCTTGGTGTGGGCTCCCGCTCTGCCAAGAACCACACAACCTTTGAAACTGATGTCCTGGGCCTGGCGCGGTGGCTCACGCCTGTAATCCCAGCACTTTGGGAGGTTGAAGCGGGCAGATCACCTGAGGTTAGGAGATCGAGACCATCCTGGCTAACACAGTGAAACCCCGTCTCTACTAAAAAAAAAAAAAAAAATACAAAAAAATTAGCCAGGCATGGTGACGGGCGCCTGTAGTCCCAGATGCTCGGGAGGCTGAGGCAGGAGAATGGCTTGAACCCGTAAGGCGGAGCTTGCAGTGAGTCGAGATCGTGCCACTGCACTCCAGCCTGGACTTCGTCTCAAAAAGAAAAAAAAAAGAAAAACTGATGTCCTGGATACTGGGGCGGTTCCTTTACCTTCCTTCAAGGCTGTTCTTGGCGGGTTCCTGCTGTTTCGTTTTGTTTTTTCTTTGTTGTTGTTGTTTTTTTTTTGAGACAGAGTTTCGCTCTTGTTGCCCAGGCTGGAGTGCAGTGGCATGATCTCGGCTCACTGCAACCTCCATCTCCCGGATTCAAGCGATTCTCCTGCCTCAGCCTCCCGAGTAGCTGGGATTACAGGCACGCGCCACAACGCCCGGCTAATTTTTTTTGTATTTTTAGTACAGATGGGGTTTCACCATGTTGGTCAGGCTGGTCTCAAACTCCTGACCTCAGGTGATCCGCCCACCTCGGCCTCCCAAAGTGCTGGGATTACAGGCGTGAGCCACTGCGCCCCGCCGGGCTCCTGCTGTTTCAACCCATTCCTTGGATGGTGCTGCCTCCAAGTGTTCGGACCTTAGCCCCAGGTGGTCTTAGCACCAGTAACCCCCGCTCCAACTCCCTAAAGTCCGACCCGCCCCAGGCCCCGCCCACGCTCCACCCTCCCTCCCTGTCTAGCCCCCTCCCCCATCCCCTTCCCCCTCCTTCGCGTCTCCCCATCCGGCGCCCCCGCCTCGCGTCCCCTGGGTCCGCATCCTGGCAGCCTCCGCGTTTCCCTACCCCTGCTACCGGGCTCCAGCCCCGGGGACGCTATCTGCTTCACTCGGCCGTGCGCGCCGCCACCGCCCCGCACTGCCTTTTTCTAGGCATGGGGTCATCTAGGCCATGCATGATTCGCCCCTGCCCCACAGAAGTCCCTGAGGGGTCCTGGCCGGACAGCACGGAATAGAAGAACGGAAACTCTCCCAAAAGGAGTCCCAGGCCTGGCTCTATCCCTCCAGATGACGTCCCAGGAGGCCAGAGTGCAGGGCCGGCCAGAGGGAGTCACAGTCCGGCACCGAGAGGCAACTCGGCAGCTGGCGGGGCCCGGGCTCGAACCCAGGGACTCACCCAAACCGAGGTGACCGTCGCACGCGCCGCCGCCACCGGGGCCGACGAATCACCTGCCCTGGGAAGCTAGGTCCGCCCTCCCCCCGCCCCCAGCTGCTGCCTCACCGCTGGGCCCACAGGCCTCGCGCCCTGAGTTTCCGGCTCCTCCCTCCTTTGCGAACGCTGGGAGTTCCGTTGCCTACAGGCCGTTATTTCCGCCTTCAACGGCTGGGGCATTTCCCATCGGCTAGGGAGGGGGTCTTCTTGCATTTGCTTTGCACTGTCCGGGACTCTTCCTGCTAGATGACTTGACCAGGCCGAGGCCTCCCTCCTGAACACAAGCTCTTCGGGGCTCCTTTCGCCAATGGGAGGAGGCTGATCTTGTGGCCGGGCATTCAACGCCCTGGGCCCTGCCGCCTCCCGCAGATCTTCCCGGGCCTTAGGGCTTCACCTGGAGTCCCCTTCCCCTCTTGGGCCCGTGCTCTTAAACGGGCAGTGCCAATTGCCTGGATTACTCCAACTAACCCCTCACACCCAAGTTTCAGACACAGACCTTCGCTCCCCCACTTGCCCTTAACAAAAGCAGATACATACCTCGATTACTGCCTGTTTGCTGCTTTTGCGAGCTTCTTTCCCACTCGGCTGCGGGCTGAGCAATGGTAGGGACCTGGCTTGATTCCTATTTAAGTAGCCAGAGTCCAGCACAAGGGATGGCGCTCAGTAGACCCTGCGTGAAGGAATGATTAAATTGGTGCAAAAGACTAGGGTAAGCGGCAGAGATTTAGGAGATTAAGTCCTGCCAGGGTGTAGCCTCTGCAGGGCGGGAAGGCTGAGATTACAATTTTAAAACTGAATATTTATTGAATGCTTACATTCAGCCAATCCCTGCTTCACACCCATCATCTCATTTAATTTTTTTCCTTTTTTTTCTTTTTTAAGCCAGTAGATATTAACTCTTAATCATGACATGAGGAAGTAGACACACTGAAGCTCAGAGAGGTTAAGTAATTTGGCCAAAGTAACACAGCTTTCAAGGAAAATGTTTGAATTTGCTGAAAGTTTGATGTATAGGGAAGTTGACTACCGATGTATGACAGAAGCAAAGTATCCACCTTTGGCACATTTTGCGTCCACGGAATGCTAAAATTTGGACTTGTGTATTTTATGCACATTACACCATACATTCAGACTAAAAAGAATAGGAAATTAGGCTGATGAAAGGCTATTACTAGACTGGTAAAAAGGGTTCTGGGGCCCTGGAAGGCCAATTTTTCTGGACGTGAGATTTTTTTTTATTTTTTTGAGATGGAGTCTCGCTCTGTCGCCCAGGCTCTGGAGTGCAGTGGCGCAATCTCCGCTCACTGCAAGCTCCGCCTCCCGGGTTCACGCCATTCTCCTGCCTCAGCCTACTGAGTAGCTGGGACTACAGGCGCCTGCCACCATGCCCGGCTAATTTTTTTGTATTTTTAGTAGAGACGGGGTTTCACTGTGTTAGCCAGGATGGTCTCGATCTCCTGACCTCATGATCTGCCCGCCTCGGCCTCCCAAAGTGCTGGGATTAAAGGCGTGAGCCACCGCACCCGGCCTGGACCTGAGATTTTATTTAGGTGGCTCTTTCAGTGGCCAGGCTGAGCAAAGCTGTCCACTAGGGTATTTATTTGGTGCATCCACAAATAAAAGCTCATGTCTGCCTGATTTATGAGACTGACAAAAAAGAGAAGTCCAGGGCCTGACTTCACTAGGGAATTTTGACACCCAGGATATTAGGTATTTTGTGTCCAAACAACCATCCCTTACAACCACGGAGGTCACATCTAATGGTCGGGCTGCATAGAAAAGAATAAAGACCTTAAACATTTTAGGAAAATAGACTGAGACTGAGAAAGAAGTTCCCAAATTCATGCCTGGAGGTCCAGGAGAAATGTTCTAGTTCCTCACTCACACCTAGCTGAATAACTTCCCATATCACTGAAAAAACAAAACAAAACCAGGTCAGGCACTGTGGCTCATGCCTGTAATCCCACCACTTTGAGAGGCCAAGGTGGAAGTAGCCCATGAGTTTGAGACCAGCCTGGGCAACATGACAAAAACCCATCTCCACAAAAAAAAAATTAGCTAGGTGTAGTGGTATGAGTCATGATCCCAACTACTTGGAAGGCTGAGGTGGGAGGATCACTTGAGCCCAGGAAGTCATGGCTGCAGTGAGCTGTGATCCTGCCACTGCACTCAGCCTGGAGACTCTGTCTCAAAACAAACAAAAACCAGAGCACCTGGCCCAGGGGTTCATTTAGAGCCAGTGGGTGTTTCAGAAGGGGCTACCTCTGGAATCTCAGCTTCAGAATGTTGGCCACATGCACACACTGTGCTTTATGTCTTTAAATCAATTAATTTAAGAAAAAAGCCTGACTACATTTATTTAAAAGGGCAACATTGGCCAGGTGTGGTGGCTCATGCCTGTAATCCTAGCACTTTGGGAGGCCAAGGCGGGCAGATCACAAGGTCAAGAGATCCAGACCATCCTGGCCAACATGGTGAAACCCCATCTCTACTAAAAATACAAAAATTATCTGGGCATGGTGGCGCATGCCTGTAGTCCCAGCTGCTCGGGAGGCTGAGGCAGGAGAATCACTTGAACCTGGGAGGCGGAGGTTGCAGTGAGCCGAGATCGCGCTACTGCACTCCAGCCTGGTGTCAGAGCAAGACTCTGTCTCAAAAAAAAAAAAAAAAAGGGCAACATCATAGCATTACCTTACATCAATCACTTCCCACTTTATTAGAAGGTATCTATAAAATAAATACATTGCTCATGCCTATAATCCTAGCACTTTGGGAGGCTGAGGCAGACAGATCACCTGAGGTCAGGAGTTCGAGACCAGCCTGACCAACATGGAGAAACCCTGTCTCTACTAAAAATACAAAATTAGCTGGGCATGGTGGTGCATGCCTGTAATCCCAGCTACTCGGGAGGCTGAGGCAAGAGAATTGCTTGAACCCAGGAAGCGGTGGTTGCAGTGAGCCGAGATCGCGCCATTGCACTCCAGCCTGGGCAACAAGAGCGAAACTCCATCTCAAAAATAAGTAAATAAATAAATACGTGAAAATAATGTTATAGGCTGGTGCAAAAGTAATTGCAGTTTTTGGCCGGGCGCAGTGACTCACGCCTGTAATCCCAGCACTTTGGGAGGCCGAGGCGGGCAAATCACCTGAGGTCGGGAGTTTGAGACCAGCCTGACCAACATGGAGAAACCCCGTCTCTACTAAAAATATAAAATTAGCCGGGCGTGGTGGCACATGCCTGTAATCTCAGGTACTCAGGAGGCTGAGGCAGGAGAATCGCTTGAACCCAGGAGGCAGAGGTTGTGGTGAGCCAAGATGGCGCCATTGCACTCTAGCCTGGGCAACAAGAGTGAAACTACTTCTCAAAAAAAAAAAAAAAGTAATTGCAGTTTTTGCCATTAAAATTAATGGCACCAACCTAATATAATCTTGCTAGATAGATATGGATGTCTGCAGAAAGCTGTAAGTCTGGGGACTTTGTAAAAATCAGAGATTAGCAAGTGTTGAAGTGATAAGGAGTCACACTAACAGAATTTTTCTTTGACGTAATCAGAAAAATTCAAAGAGGACAGAAGAGGGAAGAACCACTTTCTCACTCTATTATTCAATGTCATTAAAGTGGAATCTGTGTACCCCTTAAAATCTTCTGGTTGCCCATGGGCAGGAGAATCCTTACTTAGAAAAGAGAAGGTTGAGAGCAGGAAGGTGTCCAGCCCAGAGGGGAAATGGAGGGAGGTAAGATCACAGAGGCTGCTGGGACACAGGGGCAGGTAAGGGCCTCAGGCCACGGTGGGGAGTTTGGATTTTACCTCCACTGCTGAAGAGGGTTTATTTTTTTGGGGGGTGCGTGGGGGTTGTTTTTGTTTTTGAGACATATCTTGCTCTGTCGCCCAGGCCGGAGTGCAGTGGTGCGATCTCTGCTCACTCCAACCTCCGTCTCCCAGGTTCAAGCAATCCTGCCTCAGCCTCCCAAGTAGCTGGGATTACAGGCATGCGCCACCATGCCTGGCTAATTTTTATATTTTTAGTAGACACGGGGTTTCACCATGTTGGCCAGGCTGGTCTCGAATTCCTGACCTCAGGTGATCCGCCCACCTTGGCCTCCCAAAGTGCTGGGATTACAGGTGTGAGCCACCATGCCTGTCTGCAGATGAGGGTTTTTAAACAGTTATGAGATAGCAGATTCCAGCTTTAGTGAGCTCCCGCTGGCTACTTGGTAGACAACTGAATGTAGGCAACCAAGTGTGGAGGCGTGGAAGCCAGTGAGCAGACCTTGCATGAAAGTATGTCGGGGGATGTGATAGGATTAAGATATAATCTAAAAATAAAACCTGGACAGTTTGTTACTCTTTTTATTGAGATGGAGTCTTACTCTGTTGCTCAGGCTAGAGTGCAATGGTTTGATCACAACTCACTGCAGCCTCAATCACCTGGGCTCAAGTGATCCTTCCACCTCAGCCTCTCAAGTAGCTGGAACTACAGGTGCATGCCACCACACCCAGCTAATTTATTTATTTATCTTATTTATTTATTTATTTGAGATGGAGTTTCGCCCTTGTTGCCCAGGCTGGAGTGCAATGGTGCTATCTCGGCTCACCGCAACCTCCACCTCCCGGGTTCAAGCAATTCTCCTGCCGCCGGGCGCAGTGGCTCACGCCTGTAATCCCAGCACTTTGGGAGGCCGAGGCGAGTGGATCACAAGGTCAGGAGATCGAGACCATCCCGGCTAACACGGTGAAACCCCATCTCTACTAGAAATACAAAAAATTAGCTGGGCGTGGTGGCACGCGCCTGTAGTCCCAGCTACTCGGGAGGCTGAGGCAGGAGAATGGCGTGAACCTGGGAGGCGGAGCTTGCAGTGAGCCGAGATCGCACCACTGCACTCCAGCTTGGGCGACAGAGCGAGACGACTCTGTCTCAAAAAAAAAAAAAAGCAATTCTCCTGCCTTAGCCTCCCAAGTAGCTGGGATTACAGGCATGAGCCACCATGCCTGGCTAATTTTGTATTTTTCAGTAGAGACGGGATTTCTCCACATTGGTCAGGCTGGTCTTGAACTCCTGACCTCAGGTGATCCGCCTACCTCTGCCTCCCAAAGTGCTGGGATTACAGGCCTGAGCCACCACGCCTGGCCTAATTTATTTTTTTAGAGACGAGGTTTAGCTATATTGCCCAAGCTGGTTTTGAAAAACTGGGCTCAAGAGATCTTCCTGCCTTGGCTTCTCAAAGTGCTGGGATTACAGGTGTAAGCCACCATGCCTGGCCAGTTTATTACTCATAAAATAGGGGAAATTAGCACGAATTATACATGCGTCCTAGTCTAGTCCCCAGCCAAAACTTTCCCCCTGAGGTTTATTAGATCTGAGAGAAAATAGGAAAGGGAACAACTTCCTCCCTAAATCGATGTTGTTAAAGGCCAAGGCCATGCACCATCTAAGCCATTTTGAGGACCAGTGCTTCTCATTGGCCACCTGGAGACACCTTGTAGGACAGTAAAGAAGTCAGTTATGGGCCGGGTGCAGTGGCTCACGCCTGTAATCCCAGCACTTTGGGAGGCCGAGGCGGGGGAATCACGAGGTCAGGAGATTGAGACCATCCTGGCTAACACGGTGAAACACCGTCTCTACTAAAAAATATAAAAATTTAGCCGGGTATGGTGGCAGGCGCCTGTAGTCCCAGCTACTCGGGAGGCTGAGGCAGGAGAATGGCGTGAATCCGGGAGGCAGTGCTTGCAGTGAGCCAAGATTGTGCCACTGCACTCCAGCCTGGGCGACAGAGCGAGACTCAGTCTAAAAAAAAAAAAGTCAGTTATGGCTGGTCGCAGTGGCTCACACCTGTAATCCCAGCACTTTGGGAGGCCAAGGCAGGTGGATTACGAGGTCAGGAGTTTGAGACCAGCCTGGCCAATATGGTGAAACCCCGTCTCTACTAAAAATACAAAAATTAGCCAGGCATGGTGGCACGCACCTGTAATCGCAGGTACTGGGGAGGCTGGGGCAGAAGAATCGCTTGAACCCAGGAGGCAGAGTTTGCAGTGAGCCAAGATTATGCCCCTGCACTCCAGCCTGGGCAACAGAATGAGACTCCATCTCAAAAAAAAAAAAAAAAAAAAAGAAGCCAGTTATGCTAGGAGGGAGAAGCAGACGTGAAAGGGTGGCAAAGTCAGGCATCAAAGGGGGTCACAGGAGCCAGGGTACAGAAACTGCAGCCACAGGGGACCCTAAAGCTCCAGGGAGCCAAACCTCTTCCCTACTCCCACCCCACCCCAACCCACCCCCATCCCAAGGTCCCTGAGCCCCAGTCCTGGGTGAGAGAAATCATGAAAGTGGTTAAGGATTAAGGTCTTGGGCCCTGGAGCTAGATGGCCTAGATCCAAATCCAGACTCAGGTACCTGTTGGCACAGTGGCCTGGGTTTGTTATTTCACCTTCTGTGCTCAATTACCCTCTCTGTAAAATGTGGTTAACAACAGCACCTAGCTCATAAGGTTGTTATACAGTTTCATTGAGCTAATCTAGGTGAGGTGATTAGAATAGTACCTGGCACAGAGTAAGTCTTTAAAAGTGCTGTTTTGTTAGTCTTTAACTTGTTATAAAATAACCCCTCCATGACTGATTTACTTATATCTACAATAAATAAATTGACACCTACTTAGGTGAGCCCAAGAGAATCTCTTCTCTGCAGACAAAAGTGCTTGCCCAGACTTGAGGTGACATAGTTTGCCCAGGTTAGGTACAGGCAGAGGGTGACTGGGTGAGAATTTTAATCCAGACTTTCAGCCCTTACGGACTCCAAAATTCCTGACTTTTTTTTTTTTTTTTTTTAGACAGAGTTTTGCTCGTTGCCAAGGCTGGAGTGCAGTAGCATGATCTCAGCTCACTGCAACCTCTGCCTCCAGGGTTCAAGTGATTCTTTTGCCCTAGCCTCCTGAGTAGCTGTGATTACAGGCGCGCACCACCATGCCTGGCTAATTTTTTTTATTTTTAGTAGAAATGGGGTTTCACCATGTTGGCCAGGCTGGTCTTGAACTCCTGACCTCACGTGATCCATCTGCCTCGGCCTCCCAAAGTGCTGGGATTACAGGCGTGAGCCACCGGGCCTGGCTTTTTTTTTTTTTTTTTTTTGAGACAGGGTCTCACTCTGTCACCCAGGCTGGAGTGCGGTACTGTGATCTTGGCTCACTGTAACCTCCACCTCCCGGGCTCAAGCAATCCCCTGATCTCAGCCTCCCAAGTAGCTGAGACTACAGGTGCTTGCCCCCACACCCAGTTGATTTTTTTTTTTTTTTTAGAGACAGAGTCTTGCTCTGTTGCCCAGGCTGGAGTGCAGTGGCGCGATCTCGGCTCACTGCAACCTCCACCTCCCGGGTTCTAGCAATTCTCCTGCCTCAGGCTCCCAAGTAGCTGGGATTACAGGTGCACACCGTCACACCCGGCCAATTTTTTGTAGAGACAGGGTTTCACTGTGTTGCCCAGGCTGGTCTCGAACTCCTGAGCTCAGGCAATCCACCAGCCTCAGCCTCCCAAAGTGCTAGGATTACAGCACTTTGGGCGTTTACAGCACTTTCAGCCACCGCGCCAGGCCTGATTTTTATATTTTTAGTAGAGATGGGGTTTTGCCATGTTGACTAGGCTGGTCTTGAACTCTTGACTCAAGCAATCCACCCACCTTGGCTTCCCAAAGTGTTGGGATTATAGGCATAAACCTGGCCAAAACCCCTGATTTTTATCCCATGGACCCATGGAATGTTGCCTGCCCTGTATTTTTTTTTTTTTTTTGAGACAGGGTCTTGCTGTGTTCCCCAGGCTGGAGTGTAGTGGTGTGATCACAGCTCATAGCAGCTTCTACCTCTTAGGCTCAAGTGATCCTCCCACCTCAGCCTCCCTGAGTAGCTGGGACCATAGGTGAATGCCACCATGCCCAGCTACTTTTTTTTTTTTTTTTTTTTTCCTGTAAAGACAAGGTCTGGTTATGTTGCCCAGGCTGGTCTCAAACTCCTGGGCTCAATCCTCCCACCTCAGCTTCCCAAAGTGCTGGGATTACAGGCATAAACCACTGCACCTGGGCCCTGCCTCATATTTTAAGGGGTCTACTTTCACTCCTGAGTTTCAGCTCATGAGCTGAATGAATGAGTGATTTGGTTCATCTCTGCTGAGATTCTGCCCTTCCATGCAGGGAACCAGCCTGGCCCCAGGTAGGGGGGAAATGTCCTTTACAAACTGCCCAGGGGCTTCAAAGTTGGGACCCATTCTTGGATTTTTTTTGGTTTTTCTTTGAGATGAAGTTTCGCTCTTGTTGCCCAGGCTGGAGTGCAATGGCCTGATCTGGATTCACTGCAACCTCCACCTCCTGGGTTTGAGCGATTCTCCTGTCTCAGCCTCCTGAGTAGCTGGGATTATAGGGGCCTGCCACGACACCAGGCTAATTTTTTGTATGTTTAGTAGAGATAAGGTTTCTCCATGTTGTCCAGGCTGGTCTTGAACTCCTGACCTCAGGTGATCCACCCGCCTCGGCTTCCCAAAGTGCTGGGAATATAGACATGAGCCACCGCACCCGGCCTTTCTTGGATGTTAAAACCAAGGTTTGTCCTAAAGATTGCACAGCTTTCTGGAGCCAGGGCTGGGGATTGTTGGGGCAGTGAAGCACGTCTAAATTCTTCTCTACTTTGCAAGTGTTGACAGCACTCTTTTATATCCTTTTCTCTAAATCAGAAACAGAGCAGAAACTAGAGCCATCTCGTCCTGCCTCTTCCTATCATAGAAAGGAGATGGAGGGAGGCCTAGAGAGAGAAGGAGAAGCTTATGCCCCCAGTCCCGCAGCAAGTCAGAGGCGGACAAGACCCCTCTTCCCTGAAGCCCCTGCAGCCTCTCTGCCCCTCTGCTGCTGGAATAGGATGCAGCATCTGCATGATGTTTGCTCTGTGCCAAGCACTGGGCTAGGAACAAGGCCTGTGCTTTTCCAAGTGTGGTCCCCTGACTAGCAGCACCAAAATCACCTGGGAACCTGTTAGAAATGCAAATTCTCAGGCCCGCCCCAGACCTCCTGAATCAGAAACATGAAGGGGGCTGGGCGCGTTGGCTCACGCCTGTAGTCCTAACACTTTGGGAGGCCGAGGTGGGCGCATCACGGGGTCAGGAGATTGAGACCATCCTGGCTAACACGGTGAAACTCCGTCTCTACTAAAAATACAAAAAAGTAGCTGGGCGTGGTGGCGGGCGCCTGTAGTCCCAGCTACTCGGAAGGCTGAGGCAGGAGAATGGTGTGAACCCGGGAGGCGGAACTTGTAGTGAGCCAAGATCGCGCCACTGCACTCCAGCCTGGGCAACAGAGCAAGACTCCATCTCAAAAAAAAAAAAAAAAAAAAAAAAAAAAGAAACATGAATGGAGTGGAGACAGCATCTGTTTTCACAATCCTTCCCCAAGGTTCAAATGTGGCATGGTCAAGTTTGAGAACCACTGCTCCAAGCCATAGTAGGCTCAGTCCCGGTGTATCTGAGTGGCTAAAATTGTGGAACCTGGAGTCAGAGAGAACTAGGTGCAAACCTGCCTCCATTGCTAACTCTGTGACTCAGGTAAGCTATTGTCTTTGAGCTTTAGTTCTGTCAGTGATAAAATGGCCATAATAATAGTGCCCATAAGGTTGTTGTGAGGACTACATGAGACAGCACAAAGCCTGGGGCGTGGTAAGCACTGCTGGGGTAGCCATTATTAGCTAGCTGAGTGATTATTTTTTATTTTTTTGAGACAGTCTTGCTCTGTTGCCCAGGCTGGAGTGCAGTGGCACGATCTTGGCTCACTGCAACCTCTGCCTCCTGGGTTCAAGCAATTTTCCTGCCTCAGCCTCCCGAGCAGCTGGGATTACAAGCGTGCAGCACCACGCCCGTATTTTTAGTAGAGATGAGGTTTCACCATGTTGGCCAGGCTAGTCTCGAACTCCTGACCTCATGTGATCCACCTGCCTTGGTCTCCCAAAGTGCTGGGAATGCAGGCGTGAGCCACCGCGCCGACCTCCTCTCTACAATTTTTAATGTCAGTACTATTTTTTACCCCCACCTTTTCACATTAAAAAATGTGGTAAAATATACATAACATAGAATTTACCATTGTAGCCACTTTTAAGTGTTAATTCAGTGGTATTAATTACACTCGCAATGTAGTACAACAGTCACCACTATTGTACTATACCACATTGTACTACATTGTGAATGTGAAATGTGTTGTTCTACATTGTGAAAGTTTTTCCAAAACTTTTTTTTTCTTTTTGAGACTGGGTCTCACTCTGTTCTGTCACCCAGGCTGGAGCGTGATCATGGCTCACTGCACCCTCAACCTCCCTGGGCTCAGGTGACCCTCCCACCTCAGCCTCCCAAGTAGCTGGGACTACACGCACACATCACCACACCCAACTAATTTCTGTGGTTTTTTTTTTTTTTTTTTTTTCCACGCTGCCCAGGTCTTGAACTCCTGGGCTCAAGCAATCCACCTGCATCGGCCTCCCAAAGTGCTAGGATTACAAGAGTGAGCCACCACGCCCAGCCTTCAAAACATTATCATCACCCAAAACAGAAACTCTGTACCATTAAACAGTAATTCCACACCCCCCTCCAATATTACCACATTTTTATGATGAGGAAAACGGAGGCACAGAGAGGCTCGGTAAAACAATCAATGTTACACAGCTAGCTAAGCATAGGGGTCAGGACTCAGACTAGGCTATTTGGCTCCAGAGCTTGCTTTCTGAATCACTGTCTTACATTTTTTTTCTTTTCTTTTTTTTTTTTCAGACAGAGTCTCACTCTGTCCCCTAGGCTGGAGTGCAGTGGTGCGATCTTGGCTCACTGCAACCTCCGCCTCCTGGGTTCAAGAGATTCTTGTGCCTCAGCCTCCTGAGTAGCTGGGATTACAGGTGGCTACTACCATGCCCGCCTAATTTTTGTATTTTTAGTACAGACGGGGTTTCGCCACATGGGCCAGGCTGATCTCCAACTCCTGAACTCAGGTGATCTGCCCACCTCAGCCTCCCAAGGTGCTGGGATTACAGGCATGAGCCGCCATGCCTAGCAGATTTTTTTTCTTAAATCTAAAGCTTTTATTCTTGTTTATTTATTTATTTACTTATTTATTTACTCTGTCGCCCAGGCTGGAGTGCAGTGGCATGATCTCGGCTCACTGCAACCTCTGCCTCCCAGGTTCAAGCTATTCTTCTGCCTCAGCCTCAGCTTTGCAAACCTAGCCCAAGTAGCTGGGTTTACAAACATGTGCCATCACGCCCGACTAATTTTTATATTTTTGCTAGAGATGGGGTTTCACCATGTTGGACAGGCTGGTCTTGAACTCCTGGCCTCAAGTGATCTGCCCACCTCAGCCTCCCAGAGTGCTGGGATTACAGGCATGAGCCACCGCGCCTGGCCTGAATTTTGAGGTTTTTATCTGCTTGGGCCATGGGTGCAGGCTCCAATTACTCCAAAGGGGCTGATCTATCTGCCATGCCTTGTGGGGTCTGGTGGGAGCTGGAGGGCCACAGGGGTCCTGCCCTGTAGAGCCACTTTGTTTTTCCTCCATGAGATCCACAATCTTGGGAGCCCTGAGGATGTTCCTCCAAATGGGCAGACTATGCCCAGCCACCAGAGCTGGAGAGCAGGATTCTCTCTCCTTCCACTTATAAAGGGACAGCACTGAAACAAACATGGCCTCTGGAGTCACATGAGACTGGACTCGAAACCTAGCCTTGGACAGGTTGCTATTCCAATTGTTTCCCAAACTGAAGTTACAGATACCACCACCTACCTTGCAGAGTTGTTGGTAAGAGTAAATGGCAGCCTAGAACTAGCAGGGCCTAGATGAGAGTTAGTTCCCTTCCTAACTTGAATATCACCTTTTCCTTAATGCCTTCCCAGTTCAATGTTTGCTCCCTCCTCACACCTTTATACAGCATCCTGTGGAGACCGATCGAATTGCCTAGTGCTGCTGCTTTTCCCTGCTGGTTTGTAAATTCAAGTTCAGAGACTCTTTCTAAACTCTGACACACATCAAGGGCTGGGTGTGCTGACACTGACACAGTCCCAGTCCATTGCTTACTGGCTACGTAATCTTTGGTAATTTGACCCATCTCTGCCTCCATTTCCTCATCTGAAAAGTAGAGAATTGGATTCTCCACTTCATAGGATTGCTGGGAGGTTGAAATGGGCTAATATAGGTGGTGCACTTAAAAATGGAGCTGACATATAGTAGAAGTACTTGGTATTATATGATCCCATGATATAATAAGTCCCCTTCTCTAAATCATTTCTTCACCTAATGCTGCCTCACACCTGGGGAAGCGAACAAGGCACCACTAAAAGCCAATCCACTGATCTCGGCATCCTATTTATTCTCCTTTTAGAAGGCTTGGCCAGGCACGGTGGCTCACACCTGTAATCCCAGCACTTTGGGAGGCTGAGGCAGGATTGCTTGAACTTAGGAGTTTGAGATCAGCCTAGGTAACATGCCAAAACCCTGTGTCTACAAAAATTAAAAACTAGCCAGGGGTGGTGGTACATGCCTATAATCCCAGCTACTGGGGAGGCTGAGGTGGGAGGACTGCTTGAGCCCAGGAGATCGAGGCTGCAGTGAGCTGTGACAGCTCCACTGCACTCCAGCTTGGGCCTTGTGTGAAAAAAAAAACAAAAAGAAAAAAGAATAAAGAAATCTTGAGTAAAACTTGGTAGTCTCCCTTCTTATTCTCTATCACTGCTATCATCTAAATTTCCAGGAACCTCCTGGGCCACTTCTAACCGCTAGATGGCCAAGCTACAGAGTGATTATTTCCTTAGGCAAGCAAACATCCCAGCCCTCTAATACGGTATTTCCTGGGGCTGGAATATCAACAGGAAGTTATGTGAGGAAGAGCTCTGCCAAAACACTCATTCCAAGGAAGGGACTGGTAAAGTGACAAATTTGCCCAATCCTGTACAACATCCTGCATCCTCCACATGTGGCCCTGTTGCACATCTAATCCACAGGCAGGTCACTCGCTGCTGACTCTATTCTTCTCTGGGCTCCTGGGACGTATAAATATGACTCTATGTAAGAAAACCAGAGGCTGGGCGCAGTTTGCTCATGCCTGTAATCCCAGCACTTTGGGAGGCCGAGGCGGGCGGATCACGAGTTCAGGAGTTCCAGACCAGCCTGGCCAACATGGTGAAACCCTGACTCTACTAAAACCACAAAAATTAGCCGGGCGCGGTGGCGGGCGCCTATACTCCTAGCTACTCGGGAGGCTGAGGCAGGAAAATTGCTTGAACCCGGGAGGCGGAGGTTGCAGTGAGCCGAGATCGCGCCACTGCACTCCAGCCTGGGTGACAGAGCAAGACTCCGTCTCTAGAGAAAAAAAGAAAACCAGACAGATTAAAAAGTTGCACTTACAAAGCAGTTGGGGCATTTATTGACATTTAAACAAGGGAGGAGATCCTGAACACTAGTCTCGCTCAGTTTATAAAAACTTGAGGCCAAACTCTCCATCATCTGTACACAGCTTAACCACGGCCAGGAGCAAGAATTCGAGTTAAACGAATTGAACCAGTCCAACCACAAGACGATAAAGGGAAACAGGGCGTGGGGATTTCCAGTTTTTCCTTTTACATTACAAAGTTTCCAACACAAGAAGCCAACAATACCCCAGTGCTGCACCAAGTTACTTCCCACTGTTTCCCAAGGCACAGTCAATTAATAATCAGTAGTCCAAGTTCTAAGAACATTCCCTGGAAAACAAGGACGCACCTCCCGTGGCTCTATGCATGGCCTGCCACTGATGAATCAAATTCTTAAGAACCTACGACCGTCTGATACCCTTGAGGAGAGCACCCTCATAGAATCTCCAGCATCAGGCCTCAGTTTTCCCATCTGTAAAAGACAGCCATGCAAAGTGGGAGATCCGCTAGGCTTCCAGATCGAAGTCATCGCGCTCCTCATTGTACTCTAGCACGTGCCGCTTGATCTTGGACGAGTCCACCCAAGTGACAAAGTCCTCCATGCTGCGCGTGACAAGGAAGGCGGGGTCGGTAACCACGTCAGGGCCCACGCGTACGTGCCCTTGCTCCACAAAGGCCACGGCAGCCTGAAGGTGCTGCGCCATGCGCAGCTTGAGGAGCACGGTGGGGAGGCGGCGGCGGCAGAAGGACGAGGCCGTGACGAAGTCGCAGAGCTCCAGCGAACCGCGCGTGGGCACCAAGCCGAGAGCATACAGCTTGTCCAGCAGCGCGGCCGAAGCGCGCACGCGGAACTGGTCGCGTTCGGGCAGGTCGCGCAGGCGCCGCGCCAGCTCACGCACGGCACGGCTCAGCTGGTTGTAGCGCGTGTAGTCCTCCCGCCGCTGCAGCCGGTAACGCCGCAGCACGCGCAGCTCGTGCAGGTTGTGGTCGGTGACCTCCCAGTTCAGGAAGTCCACCTGCTTCAGCAGCTTCTGCTCGTGGAACTTAAGCTTCCGCACCATGATGGCGGCAGCCGCAGCCGCAGGACCCGAAGCTGAGAGCGCGTTCTGGCATCCGCGCGATTTCCGCCGCGGCGCCCCAAGACCTGGACGGCCTGGGACCCTGGGCCAATGAAAGAAAGACTTAAAGTCACGCCCTCACTTCCCATTGGCCAGGGTGGGACCACGCCTCTGCACTGGGATCTCGCGTTTCTTCTTTTCTTCGCGTTTGCGAGGGAGGGGGTAGAAGCACCGGAGGTGGGTGGTTGGGAGCGGGTCCCTAGGCGGTTCCGCGCGGTTTTTAGTAGCCAAGACTGTATCCCTTTCTGCGGCAATCATTTCCTCCTAGACTTCTGTCCTTTGGGGACTTTCAGAGTCTCCCCCGCAAGAGCTGAAGAGGCCATTTCTGGGGAAGAGGGGTGACTGCGGCTTGTTGATTGGGTTTACTGTGCTAACTTGCACTGGGCTCCTGCCATGCCTTGGGGGAGCTTGCCGGAGCCGGCTCTCCTGGGGCTGACCTGGTAGTCCCCGCCGCCCGCCAGCGTCAGGTCCTTCACCTGGCATGCAGAGCGATCTCTCATTGTCAAGTTGGGATAGGTGGCACCGAACCCATGAAATACTGATTGGCTGCTTCCTAGGCCCACAGAAAAGGGATCTATAAGGGAGTCGCCTGGAAATCTGTATTATTAACTAAAGTGTCAGATGATTCATAAAACCCAGCAAGTTTGAGAAACTTGGACTATAACTACAAGTCCAAACCCTTTAGTCTGTGCTCAAATGAATTATCCTGACATGAATTTCTGGCCACCAAGCATTGAGTTAACAAATTTAATGCTGTTTCCGCTAGTTGCATCTGTAAGTTACATCTGAGTATAGCGCTGCAGACCTAACCCCTTTTTGCCCGGGCATTTGACGCCACCTAGCTTCTCACTGATCATTTTTGTTTTGTATGCTTTTCATTGTCTTTTACAATACAATATTTGAGGGTTGGGCGCGGTGGCACATGCCTGTAATCCCAGCACTTTGGGAGGCTGAGGTGGGAGGATCATTTGAGGCCAGGAGTTCAAGACCAACCTAGGCAAAAAAAAAAAGAAAAAAGAAGCGAGATCCCACCTCTGTAAAAAATCTTAAAGAATTAGCCAAGCATGGTGGTGCGCACCTGTAGTCCTGACTACCTGGGAGGCTGAGGGGGAAGGATCATTTGAGCCCAGGACTTGTAGGCTGCATTGAGCTACAATGGTGCCACCGCACCCCAGCTTGCACAACAGAGCCAGACCCTGTCTCAAAAAGATATATATATATATATAAAATATTCGATATCTGGAAAATAATATAATATGTAAATTATAAAGTATAATAAATACTCATAAACTTAGCCAGTTTAAGAAAACATCACCAGGCTAGGCATGGTGGCTCATGCCTGTAATCCCAACACTGGGAGGCCAAGGTGGGAGGATCACTGGAAGCCAGGAGTTCAAGACCAGCCTGGGCAACATAGTAAGACTCAGTCCCTATGGACAAAAAAAAAAAAAAAAAATTAGCCAGGCATGGTGGCAGCACCTATAGTCCCAGCTACTGGTGAGGGTTTCGGGGTAAGAGGGGGGAGGATCCCTTGAAGCCGGAAGTTCAAGGATGCAGTGAGCCATGATCACACTACTGCACTCCAGCTTGGGCAACAGAACAACATCCTGTCTCTAAAACAAACAGAAAGCTAATACAGATTGTTTGCTTTTTTAATCTAATTGATTTTTTCTTTTTTTTTTTTTGGAGATCGAGTCTTGCTCTCTCGCCCAGGCTGGAGTGCAGTGGTGTGATCTTGGCTCACTGCAACCTCCGCCTCCTGGGTTCAAGCTATTCTCCTGCCTCAGCCTCCTGAGTAGCTGGGACTGCAGGCACCTGCCACCACACCTGGCTAATTTTTTGTATTTTTAGTAGAGACGAGGTTTCACCGTGTTAGCCAGGATGGTCTCCATCTCCTGACCTTGTGATCCACCCACTTTGGCCTCCCAAAGTGCTGGGATTACAGGCATGAGCCACTGCACCCAGCCCCAGAGTAGGTCTTATTGAGAAGGTGATATTTTATAGGGGTTAAGCCATGTGTGGATATCTAGGGGGAGAACATTTCAGGAAGAGGAAACAGTGGAAATGCCTTAAGGCAGGAATGTGCCTGGCATGTCAGAAGAGTAAGAAAGCTATCTTGGCTGGAGCAGAGTGGGCAAGGAGGAGAGGAAGAGGTTAAAGAGCTTGTAGTCCCTTGAAAAGACTTTGGCTTTTATGTTGAGAGGCATATACTTCGGGGTTTTGAGCAAAGGATTGACACTTATGTTTTTTGTTTGTTTTTGTTTTTGAGATAGGGTCTCACACTGTTGCCCAGGCTGGAGTGCAGTGGTACGACCAAGGCTCACTGCAGCCTCAACCTTCCAGCCTCAAGCAATCCTCTTGAGTAGCTAGGACTACAGGCACATGCCACCATGCCCAGCTAATTTTTATTTTTTATTTTATTATTATTATTATTTGAGACAGAGTCTTGCCCAGGCTGGAGTGCAATGGCACGATGTCAGCTCACTGCAACCTCCGCCTCTCAGGTTCAAGCAATTATCCCTGCCTCAGCCTCTCAAGTAGCTGGGATTACAGGCGCCTGCCACCACACCCAGCTAATTTTTGTATTTTTAGTAGAGACGGGGTTTTGCCATGTTGGCTAGGCTGGTCTCGAACTTCTGACCTCAGGTGATCCGCCCACCCTCGGCCTCCCAAAGTGCTGGGATTATAGACGTGAGCCACTGCACCTGGCTACTAATTTTTAAATTTTTTGTAGAGATGGGGTCTCACTATGTTGTCATGGCTGGTGTTGAACTCCTGGGCTCAAGCGATCCTGCTACCTCAGGCTCCCAAAGTGCTGGGATTACAAGCATAAGCCACCATGCCCGGCTCAGAAATTCAATTTTGGACATTTTTGGTTGGAGGCATCCATTAGACTTCTGAGGGGAGATGTCAAGGAGAAATAGATATATGAGTTAAGAGTTTTTTTAAAAAGGGCTGGAGATTTAAAAAATTGGGCATTACTAGAATGAGTGGTATTTGAAGTCATTCGGCTGGATGAGATCATCAAAGGAGTGCCTATGGATACAAAAGACAAGAGGACAACTCTACTGTGGTTACTCTAACGTTAAGAATTATTGGAGGCTTGCTGGGCGCTGTGGCTCATGCCTGTAATCCCAGCACTTTGGGAGGCTGAGGCAGGTGGATCATGAGGTCAGGAGATCGAGACCAGCCTGGTTAACACGGTGAAATCCCATCTCTACTAAAAATACAAAAAGTTAGCCAGGCGTGGTGGCGGGCGCCTGTAATCCCAGCTACTTGGGAGGCTGAGGCAGGAGAATTGCTTGAACCTGGGAGGCGGAGGTTGCAGTGAGCCGAGATCGCACCACTGTACTCCAGCCTGGGTGACAGAGCAAGACTGTCTCAAAAAAGAAAAAAAAAAAAGAATTATTGGAGAGAAGAGGATGAACCAGTGAGGTGGAAGAAATACCAGGAGAGTATGTTCTCTCCAATGCAAATGAAGAAAATGTATCCAGGAGGAAGGAGTGATCAACCAGGTCAAATGCTACCAAAAGGCTAAATAAGAGAAGGACTGAGAATAACCATTAGGGTCCAGCAACACCAAGGCTATTGATGACCTTGACAAGAATAGTTCAGTGGAGTGTGGGAGTAAAAGATTGGCCAGAGGGATTTAAAGAGAGAACAGGAGAAAAAAAATTGGACGCACTTAGTATAGACAGCTATTTCAAGGAATTTTGCTGCAAAGGTGAGCAGAGGAATGGGGCAATAGCTGGTGGGGAAAGTGGAGTCAAAAAAAATTTTGAGATGGAGTCTTGCTCTGTCGCTAGGCTGGAGCGCAGTGGCGGGTGCAATCTCGGCTCACTGCAACCTTTGCCTCCCAGGTTCAAGCGATTCTCCTGCCTCAGCCTCCTGAGTAGCTGGGACTACAGGCACACGCCACCATGCCTAGCTAATTTTTGTATTTTTAGTAGAGACGGGGTTTCACCATGTTGCCCAGGATGGTCTCGACCTCTTGACCTCGTGATCCGCCCACCTCAGCCTCCCAAAGTGCTGGGATTACAGGCAGTAGCCACCATGCCCGGCCTCAAAAAAAATCTTTTTTAACATGTGGGTTGATACTTCACTCAATAGCTGCAGCTTATTGGTTGCTTTCCCAGTCTATTCTACCTCCAAAAGCTCTCCCAGATTTTTGTCTCTCCAGCCTGTTACCCCTGCCCTATGTCAGGCCCTCATCATCTTTTGTCTGCATTCCTACAGTAATAGTCCAGTGTGTCCTGCAGGCTGCCACCAGCAGAGTCAGCCTGAAAACCACTGGGCACAGTTCTCCCTTGCTGTTTCCTTTCCTAAAGGATGGAAATTGGATGCCTGGATGAGGGATGGATGCTGTTTCCTGTGTATGAATCAGGGTCCCAGCAGGAAAGACAGAACACACCCCAGTGAGAATAACGTGAGAGGCTGGGGGTGGTGGCTCATGCTTGTAATCCCAGCACTTTGAGAGACCGAGGCAGAAGGATTGCTTGAGCCCAGGAGTTTGAGATCAGCCTGGGCAACATAGTGAAAAGCCCCCTATACAAAAATACAAAAGTTGGCTGGATGTGGTGGCGGGTGCCTGTAGTTCCAGCTACTTGGGAGGCTGAGGTGGGGAGGATCACCTGAGCCCAGGGAGGTTGAAGCTGCAGTGAGCTGTGATTGTGCCACTGTATTCCAGCCTGGGCAACAGAGTGAGACCCTGTCTCAAAAAAAAAAAAAAAAAAAACAGAAAAGAAAAAAAGAATAATGTGAGACTTGACTAAAGGGACTGTTTCCATAGGAATGGGCAGGGTATAGGGAGATCACAAGGGTTAGTGCAGTTTCCTGAGACTGCTAACATGGCCTGTTTCCCCTAGGACTGAAGAAGGTCCCTGGAGGGGAGGGAATGGGAAGATACAGGTTCTGGAAATCTCAGTGAGGCTGAGGAGTGAGTTCCTCCCAAGAACCTGGAAATAAGGGTGGCTCCTGAGAGTTACAAAAAAACCCGTCTAGAACACATGTGGGAGTAAATCCAAAATGGCTGGTCTGTAAATGTGTGACTGAGTGTTTGGGAACCAACTAAAGTCTGTCAAGGGTGGTGGCTGAGGACGCCTCGGGGAGGTTGGGCTGGAGGGGGACCCTATTGGGTGAACAGAAATCCCAATTGTATTAAGTAAACTAATAAAGGTAAAGCGTTTACTGTAGTGTCCATCACTCAGCAAGCACTAAGGAAGTAGATGCTTTTTTTTGCTTTTTTTTTTTTTTTGTGAGACAGCGTCTCGATCTGTCCCCCAGGCTGGAGTATAATGACATATACAATGGCACCATCTTGGCTCACTGCAGCCTCTCACTCCTGGCCACCTCACCTGGCTGATGCTATCTTTTTTTTTTTTTTTTTGAGATTGGAGTCTTGCTCTATCACCAGGCTAGAGTGCAGTGGCACAATCTCGGCTCACTGCAACCTCTGCCTCCTGGGTTCAAGCAATTCTTCTACCTCAGCCTCCTGAGTAGCTGGGATTACAGGCATGCGCCATCACGCCCAGCTAATTTTTTGTATTTTTAGTAGAGATGGGGTTTCGCCATGTTGGCCAAGCTGGTCTCGAACTCCTGAGCTCAAGTAATCCACCTGCCTTGGCCTCCCAAAGTGCTGGGATTACAGGTGTGAGCCACTGCACCCAGCCCTGATGCTATTGTTAAACTCAGTTTGGAGAAAGGCTATGTGGACAGAAGATAGATCACAGGGAAGGGGGGGGTCCTAAAAGCACGTGGGGAAAACGTATATTCTGTCTTAGAGATGCTAGGACGAACTGTCTTTAGAATGAAGGCTGCCCCATGACAGGAAGCAAGGTTTTAAGGTTACTTGACTGAGAGACTCCTCATACCCTTTCCCCTCTTGGGGGTTCCAGACTCACTGAGCTAACTTTCTGGTAACTGGGCTTCCCAAGGGGTAGCCCAAACTGCCTTGATCTATTGATGCAGAAATTCAGTTCTGCTTGACAGTTTTATTTCTCTGTGCAAATTGATACCTAGCCTTCTGGGGTTTGTACATAGGCCTTTATTCTGGTCAAATGCCAGACCTGCGAAGGGAGTCGGATCCACTCACTGAACCAGTGAAACTGGGTTTTGGAGCCAGAGGTCTGGGAACCATGTCCCTCAAAACAGCCAAAGGTATCCATCTTTAGCAGAACTACCTTGTACCAGTTAATCTGCAATAAGTGACTAGGGAGAGAATGAAGGGAAGATCTAGCTAGACAGGGTAGACAAGACTCCAGGGTATAGCCAGGAAAGGGAGTCCTCCTGAAGCCTTTGCCTCATCTTAGGCACTTCCTCCTTCAGGAAGCTTTCCTTGATCCTTGCTCTACCCAGGCTGGGGTAGGTACCCTCATGTGCACTTTTCATGGCACTAACTAGTCACACTGGGCAGGGAGCATTTGTCTACTTGTCACAACATATCTGAGCTTTTGGAAAATAAGGATAATGTCTTATTTGTCTTTGTAGCTCAGGGGCCTGGTGCAGAGTAGGTACTCAGTTAATGTTTCTTGAGTGCATGACTTGGCTGAATGAATGACTGAGACAGAATGGATTGATTAAAGACAAGAGAGGGTGGACTGTAAGCCCCCCAGGATAGAAACCCCGACTGCCTTGTGGTGTACTACTCCCCAGTGCCCAGCACAGTGCCTAGCAGAATCAATGCCCAAAGTGTTCCCGATATGCTGACCGAGGGTCAGATCCCACTTGCCTCTTCTCGAAGATTCTCTACCTGACCACTTCTCTCCTTGCTGCCGCTGGCTAGCACAGAACATCCAGTCCCCGCTGCTGTACTAAGCAACACGGAACCGGGTGGCACCTAGACTTGTTCCCTGTCGCTGCAGATGTAGAGTAGTGTCTTTCCCTCCTTCCAAGCTAGTCGCCCAGGGCAGGGTCGCCCTGTCTGGCTAGGGTGCTGCACCCGCAGCTCTCGGTATCTTAGGTCAGACGCCTGGAACGCGCAGGCCGTTTCTGTTCCTCCGGAAAACAATCTCTGAGCTGCGCCACGACCCGTCCCTGCGGAGCAGGAGTGGGGAATGGGAAGGTGGGAAGGCGAGTCCGCGACTCTGCTCCCCAACCCCAGCTGGCGCGGCGGCTTTCCACGCACCCCCCTCCCCCCACCCCGATCTCCCGATCCTGGCTCTGGCGCGGTGCTCCTTGCAGCCCCACGCTTTGCAAACTTTCGGAGTTTTACTCCATTTGCGTCACGGAAAAGGCAGGAGGATGACGGAGTCCAGGAAGCGAGGCAGCGGCAGCTGGCAAGCTCCCCCGCCGGGCGCTCCAACCACGGGGGCGTGAGGTGTCTCCCGGCGAGGGCGGACAGGCGGAGGGAGAGGAGGGGAGGTGGCGGTCCCAGGGACCAGCCCCGGAGGCTCTCGGGCCCCCTCGTTCCCGGGTCGTTTCCTCCCTCTCGCCTCCCGGACTGAGCGCCAGCGAGCGAGGGCGCTGGCCAGCTGGGAAGCCGCGCGGAGGAGTAGGCGGGGGCTCGGCTGCAGCGCCCCGGGCCCGCGGGAGGGCGGAGCTGGCCGTCCCTGCCCCGCCGGGACGCACGGAAGTGCAGCGGAGTTTGCCCGATTCTCCAGCCTGCTTCCCCCTCCCTCCTCCCTCTCCCCACCCCTCACCTCCCCTTTGGCGATCCCCTCCTTCCTCAGGACGCCACCTCCCGGAATCGCCTTTTTGTTTTGGAGCTGCCTTCTCGCTGGCGGAGCGGAGGGTCTGCGAGCGCCGGGGAAGGCAGGCTGGGGGCGCAGCCCGCCCCCCACTGGCCGGGCCCCGCAGGGCGGAGAGGAGGACGGACGGACAGACGGCTGGCCGCGCCATCTGCTCGCCGGAGCTCACTCTCCAAACTCCAAACTGTTGAGTGTGTGCGTGCACGCGAGGGTGGTGATCGGGGGTCGTAAGTCCCGGGTGAGGAACCGGTTTCTGCTGGGGTTACCTTTGGACGGGGTTCCTGGGATTCAGAGCAGGGTCAGCGTCAGGCTCAGAAACTGCTGAGGAATTAGGCAAACAAAAGAGACCACTCAGCGAGTGGCTAGAAGTCGCCCGACAGCCTCGTCGCGCCCCCTCCTTCCTCCGGGGTTGGGGCTGGCCACTTCTGGGGCGGGGAGAGGGCGCCCGAGCCGGCGGGGGCTCCGGCTGCGCAGCCGGGGTCGAAGAGTTGGCGGCCTGTTGTGTAAGCCTCAGTCCTTGTTTTCCCGGCCTGGCTCGTTGTGAAGCCGGACACATCCACCCTTGGACTCGATTCAGGCGGCTGCTGCTTTTCTCCTTGCCCCTCTTGGATTTTCCGGATTTTTGAAAACCCAGTGGCCCAGGAGCAAGAGGAGGAAGGAGGAAGGGGCAGATCTGCAGAGGAATGTGAGAGCCTCCCAAAGCGAGAGCCGCCAAAAGAATCTGGGAGCCAGAGGGACAGCCGAGCCCTGCCCGGGTTTCTGGAATGGTGGTTTCAGAGTGAGTCTCTTCTATTTTAGAACGTTGTTCCAGTGGAAAGTGTCGAATTTTTCCCCTCGCAGGGCAGATTTCTCCAGGTCACTTGACTTTTCTTCTGGGAGTAGGAGTTAGGAGAGATTCCCCTCTAACCCCCCAGAGGCTGCTAAGGGAGGAGGAGACTGTGGACATGAGCCCTCCCTGCTCACAAGCATATGCCCGGAGACCTGATAGGGCAGTTTCTGGGCCATGGACATTGCTTTGAAGAGGGGGAGACTGGACAGCATCTGTGGGTGCTGAGACCCCACCTTAGGACCTGAGAGATTGAACTGTGTAAGCGCCATTCAGCTGCGAGTGCATTCTTGGACTGCCTTGTGAGCATCCCCGGTCTGGGCAGGACCCTCTCCTTCCCATCTTTCTATACCACCCAGCCCAGCCATGGCACTGAAAGGCCGAGCCCTCTATGACTTTCACAGTGAGAACAAGGAGGAAATCAGCATCCAGCAGGATGAGGACCTGGTCATCTTTAGCGAGACCTCACTGGATGGCTGGCTGCAGGGCCAGAACAGCCGTGGGGAGACAGGGCTCTTTCCTGCCTCTTATGTGGAGATCGTCCGTTCTGGCATCAGCACCAACCATGCTGACTACTCCAGCAGCCCTGCAGGCTCTCCCGGAGCCCAGGTGAGCTTGTACAACAGCCCCAGTGTGGCCAGCCCAGCTAGGAGTGGTGGGGGCAGTGGCTTCCTCTCAAACCAGGGTAGCTTTGAGGAGGATGATGATGATGACTGGGATGACTGGGACGACGGATGCACAGTGGTGGAGGAGCCACGGGCTGGTGGGCTGGGCACCAACGGGCACCCTCCCCTCAACCTCTCCTACCCTGGTGCCTACCCCAGCCAGCACATGGCCTTCCGGCCCAAGCCACCACTGGAGCGGCAGGACAGCCTGGCATCTGCCAAGCGAGGCAGTGTGGTGGGCCGTAACCTCAACCGTTTCTCATGCTTTGTGCGTTCTGGAGTGGAGGCCTTCATCCTGGGTGATGTGCCCATGATGGCCAAGATCGCTGAGACATACTCCATTGAAATGGGCCCTCGTGGCCCCCAGTGGAAGGCCAATCCCCACCCATTTGCCTGCTCTGTGGAGGACCCCACAAAACAGACCAAATTCAAGGGCATCAAAAGCTACATCTCCTACAAGCTCACACCCACCCATGCTGCCTCACCCGTCTACCGGCGCTACAAACACTTTGACTGGCTCTATAACCGCCTGCTACACAAGTTCACTGTCATCTCGGTGCCCCACCTGCCTGAGAAGCAGGCCACTGGCCGCTTCGAGGAGGACTTCATCGAAAAGCGGAAGCGGAGACTCATCCTCTGGATGGACCACATGACCAGCCACCCTGTGCTCTCCCAGTACGAAGGCTTCCAGCATTTCCTCAGCTGCCTGGATGACAAGCAGTGGAAGATGGGCAAACGCCGGGCGGAGAAGGATGAGATGGTGGGTGCCAGCTTCCTGCTCACCTTCCAGATCCCCACCGAGCACCAGGACTTGCAGGACGTGGAAGATCGCGTGGACACTTTCAAGGCCTTCAGTAAGAAGATGGACGACAGCGTCCTGCAGCTCAGCACTGTGGCATCAGAGCTGGTGCGTAAACATGTGGGGGGCTTCCGCAAGGAATTCCAGAAGCTGGGCAGTGCCTTCCAGGCCATCAGTCATTCCTTCCAGATGGACCCCCCCTTTTGCTCTGAGGCCCTCAACAGTGCCATTTCTCACACGGGCCGTACCTATGAAGCCATCGGGGAGATGTTTGCTGAGCAGCCCAAGAATGACCTCTTCCAGATGCTGGACACACTGTCTCTCTACCAGGGCCTGCTCTCCAACTTCCCTGACATCATCCATCTACAAAAAGGTAAGGCCCAGTGCAGGCAGGAAACTCGTCCTGAGTCTGGCTCTCTGCTGGGCCCTGGGGAGATGGGGATGGCCTGGATAGAATGGAGCAACTTGTCTTTATTTCTCTGTCTCAATCATTCATTTAACAAATGTGTTGGGCTGGGCACGGTGGCTTACGCTTGTAATCTCAGCACTTTGGGAGGTTGAAGTAGGAGGATCACTTGGGCCCAGGAGGTTGAGACTACAGTGAGCCCGATTGTGCCACTGCACTCCAGCCTGGGTGACAGAGTGAGACCCTGTCTCTAAAACAAACAAACAAACAAACAAACAAACAAATGTGTTGAATATCAACTCTGTGTCTGTGGCAAATGTGCTTCTAGGTGCAGGGATATTGTTGTGCACAGGCCCGGTCTCTGTCCTCATGGAGCTTGATATTTACCTTCTTGTCAGTTCATTCATTTTCTCTGTTTGCATCTCGTTTACCCATCATGCATGGTGTCATGCTGGGTTCTGAGAACACATAGATGACCAGGCCCCAGGCCTTGCCCTTGAGGAGCCGGTAGGCCCTTGGGAGACACAGACCCAACCCAGATAACAAGAGCTCAGAGTGGGGGCCTGTCTTGTGCTCCTTGCAAGTTAACCTCCCCACCTTTGCAGCTTTGGAAGCTACTCTCACCACTGTGTATTCTCTTTATGAGCGTCTTGTCTGTGTGCAGGAAGATCCCTGTCCCCATTTTGCAGATGAAGGAGCTAGTGTCCACAGAAGAGTGGTTGCACAGCCTGTGGCCCGGCTGGGACTGTCCCTTCCTCCTGCCACCTCCCCAAGGACACGTCCATGTTGGCCACTTCCCAAGCCTAGCCATGTTTTCAGTTCTCATGACCCCCTCTGTGGGGGAGGGACAGGATGGGCCTCTGCCTGTTACTGCTGGGGCTGTCCATGAACTGCCGGGGAAATGACTCATCCTGGGTCACACAGGGGCACTCTGGCTGGGCCAGGGGTGCAGAATCAGGGGTCCAGGGCACTGTCCACATGGCCTATCCAACTCCTGCTTCCCAAGCCTGGCTTCTCTTCTTGCCTGAGGAGAGAGCCAGTGGCTGCCCCAGCAGGTGCCTGAGTCCTGGGCACAGCTGGGAGGGCAGATGTCAGGAGAGAGGTGTGATCCTCCCTGGGGCTGCTTGGTAACTCGTCTGCAGGGCGTGGAGCTGGCTCCCTGGCCCTTGGGCCCTGAGGTTAGACCTGGCTTGGTGGGGAGTTTGACTCTGGGTGGGGCCAGGGGGCAGACCTCTGCACTGAGCCTGGGGAACAGGAAACATGTCACCCACCACCACCAGGGAGGGCCTGGGGTAAGCTGGCCTTGCTTTCCTTTACCAAGAGGTTGACTTCTATAACTTCTCCAGCTCCCAGCCTCCTTTCTCCCCTTGCTATATCCTCTTCCTCTTCCTTTCTTTCTGTTTTTTTTTTTTTTTCTCTCATCTCTACCTTTCTTCCTCCTCCTCTGAACTCCAGGAAACACAAACCTGAGTGCTAGTCTTGGCTCTGCCCCTAGATTGCTGTGCGTCCCCGGGGAGTGCCTTTGCCCCTCTGGGCCTTAGTTTCCTGATCTGTAAAACAAGGGAATGGGGTCCCAGTGAGCCATCAGGCCTTCAAGGGAGTGGGTGGGAAGGGACTCCTGGGGAGGGTATGGCTCAGAAACAGAATGACACCTTAGCTCTGGCTCTGAGCACTGGGGCAGGAGTAGGGCAGGGGAGGTGGCCAGGCCTGCTGGGGGCCCACTGGGGCAGGTGTCTCCCTGAGCACAAGTGGGAAGGCTGGTTCAACCAGCTCCTTAGATGGCTTGTTCCTGTGCAGGCAGCAGGAGGGGGAATGCAATGATTAAACAGATGCTCCCATGCAGTGGCTGGGGACCCCCCACCCAGAGCAGAGCTGAGGACATTAGGGCAGCCCCACACCTAGGAAGGACACCAGGGCCTCCCAGGCTGGGGGGAAGCCAGACCAGCCTTTCTGACCCTGGGCAGAGAGACAGAGCTGAGATAGGCCATTTCTGAGTTTCTACTTGAGGTGTTTCTAAGAGTCAGAGGCCACTGTCCTCTGTGCTGGTGCATTTGACCTGAAACAGAGGCCAGCCCACTGCCTTCCCTCCCCGGGAGGACCCCTCCCAATGGGCCAAGCCCTCTCTGGCTTACTCTAAGTTCTGGGCTCTGCACTGCTCCTCCCAGGCCTGTGGTGTGGGGCAAGTTAGGGAGGGGGTACTGAGACAGAACTGGACAGGCTTTGGGGACCACAGCCCAATGGGAGTGATAAGGAGGGGGTCCTAATGCTGGCCTTAGGGGTGGAGCCCTTCTCAAAGAAAAGAGAAGAACAGTTGGGTCCTGGGCCCCCAGGATTCTGTCCAGCCTGTCTGGACATCTGAATGGGTGGTGAGTGTGTGGGAGGAAGGACAGTGGAGGCCTAGGTGGGAGTCAGGAGACCAGGATTTGGACAAACTTTGCATCTGACATGACTTTGGGAGAGATTTCTCCCCTCAGTCTCTAGGTGAGTAAAATGGGACCCGAGGGTCTTCATTTCCTTAGGAGGGCTCCATGTCATGTGAAACTTACATTAAACAAATTTGTATGCTTTTCAGAAAAATAATAAAATGAAATAAAATGGGACATAAACCCTGGCTGGAGCTGAGAGGAGCCTGGTCCTCCCACGGGCCTAGTCCCTGTAGCCCAATCCAGGGGTCTCCTAAGAGAAGGGTAACCATATAATTAACCAGGGCAGTTTGGGGCATAAAAGGGGGCCCTAGCAATAGTGATCCCGGGACAACAGGGGAAAGTAACTGTCCAGGGCAAGCTGGGACGTATGGACCCCCAACTTGACAGCCAGCAAGAGCGGGGCTGGTCCTAAGGCTCACGACAGGTCAGGAGGGCGATGTGGTCACTTCCGTTTTACAGACGAGGTGCAGCGATGCAGATGAGCCTCAGAGCAGGAGCTGGAGTCCAGTGTGTCTGGCTCCGCAGCCCAGGCTGTTTCCACTGTGCCCTCCCAGATGGGGGAGGGGATCCCCAGGGATGGAGAGCTGAGCCAGAAGGCGAAAGAGGAGGGAGGAAGGCTTGGGTGCTCCTTCACTGGTCCTGTGGGCTAGAGAGAGGCCCAGGACCACAGAGCTTCCATGGAGGGGCCATAGGGACAGCGTGGCCAAGGCAAAGTGGCGACTGTAGGGACAAGTTCTTGCCTGGGGGATGGGTGGGTTCAGCCTCTGGGTTCTGAGCCATCATCTAGCCTTCCCTCTACCGCTCATCCTGTAATCTCAGCACTTTGGGAGGCCGAAGTGGGCGGATCACAGGAGTTCGACACCAGCCTGGCTAACATAGTGAAACCCTGTCTCTACTAAAAATACAAAAAAATAGCCAGGCATGGTGGCAGGTGCCTGTAATCCCAGCTACTTGGAAGGCTGAGGCAGAAGAATTGCTTGAACCCAGCAGGCGGAGGTTGCAGTGAGCCGAGATCAAGCCACTGCACTCCAGCTTGGGCAGCAGAACAAGACTCCATCTCAAATTAAAAAAAAAAAAAAAAAAGAAAAGAAAAGCAGTTTTCAAGCCATAACATGTAGCATCTGGAGCTTCTATTGTATCTCAGGTGCGCTCCTTTGAACTGTGTACATATTAGTTCAGTTAAGCCTCAACTATACTATAGGGCAGGTACTATTATTATCCCATTTTACAGATGTGGAAACTCCTTAAAGCACTATACCGTGTGAGAGGTTGTCAACAGCATCACATCTAGTGCAACCTGTCCCACTGGGCAGTGGGGAGACCTGGAGCCCAGGCAAGAGCAGTGGCTTGCTGGAGAGGATACAGCTAGGACTAGGACTCAGACCTCCTGCTCCCTCCTGCCCCCAACCTGGGGTGGATGTTAACTGTCTCCAAGAGGCAGGGGCAAGATGGATTGAGGTGGGAGCTTAGGGAATATCCCTGGGACTTGCAGCTGGTGGGCTCCAACCCTCCTTTCTGCATTTTTGGGACCCAGCCTGTAAGAGGAGTGCTGAGGCAGGAGGTCCCCCTGGGTCCTCAGCTCTCAGGTTAAGTCTTAAGTAGAATGTCGGGGGGATGCTGGACAGGCCTGAGCCCTGACTCCCAGCCTGTGGGGTGGGGTGCATTAGCATTAGCTGGTCCTGGCCCCAGAGCTGAGTCACAGGGTGGAGGGGTAACGGAGAACAGGGTGGGGCCTCTGTTTCCCCCCGACCTCTGCAGCCTTTGCTCCCCATCCCTGGCCTCCTGCCTGTCTGTGGATACCTAACCATTGCAATGGGTTCATTCTTACTCTTTGGGCTCCTCATCAGCAAAAGAGGCCTTTCCTTCCTCTAAGGCCATGGACAGGAAAAGTCTATAGATGCACTTCCACTGTGCCAACTTTCTCGGCAGGTGGAATCCAGGCTAGTTCAGTATCTCCTCTTTAGCTAGGTTCCTTCTGCGGAAGTTTAACTCCAGTTTCTTCACCCTGCTGTTTTCTACCTTTCTTCTTACGGTTCTTCCTACTCCTTGGGACCTTCTTGAATCCCTGTGTCCAACGTCTGGGGGCCCCACACATATGCCTGAAGGACCTGGCATGGGCTCCCTGCAGCAGAAGTGGTGTCCGACCCCCAGCTGTGGAGGACCAGGCAGGAAAGAGGCTGGGAGTCCTGGGCAAGTTCCTGCCCCTCAGGGCCTTGGCCTCCTCTGTACAGTAGTAGGATGGAGGTGGAATCGAGGGTTGGACACCTGATCTTTTGGGCCTTTCTAGCTCTGAAGTCTCTTACTGGGTCCTATCCTGGGCCTTGGGGTGATCCCCCTTCTGCTGCCCAGGGCTGGGCTGTTGAGATGGTGCAGGAGGTGGTCCAGGGAAGGTGGCAGAAGGACTGAGTGGGCTGGGAGCTGGGGAATGCAGATTTCTTTTGGGCGCTGTGTGAGCAGCCCTGGAGACTCTCTGAACTTGAGTCTGTTTGCCTGAAATGCTACTATTAGCCGATTAGCCATGCACTTATCAACTAACATGGATGTTGCCCCTTCTAAAGGCATCCAGAGTTATTCCCAGCATGTAGAGCCCTGGGCCTGATATACAGTAAGTGCTCAATGAATGCATTTAGAATGCACTGGACAATTTGAGCCAGGGAGTGAAGAGAATATTATCTAGACAGCCCTCAAGAGCCCTCCTTAAAGGAGAAGTGGGAAAGCATGGGTATTGAGCATGCTATCTGTGTGTAGTGGGTGCGTTTGCAGTGCTCAGGGGTGTGCTGTCCTCTATGCCAACCCTTCCCTGCTCCTAATCTTCTTTGTATGGTGGATTCTCTGCAGCCCTCGGCGACTGAGTGCCAGGCACAGGCAAACTTCCTTCTCTTCCCAGCAACTGTCCCCACTGGCTTAAAGGCAGAATTCGTCAAGTCCCTTTTAATTCAGAACTGAAATTCATTCACCAGCTGCTTGTTCATTCATTCAGATTCTTCTAAATTGGGTCCTCTGCCCAGGTTCATCTCCACCCCCCATCTGTCACCTGGTTATTACACAACCTCCTCGAGTTCCCTGGGGGCTGGGATGAGGAGGGAACAGGGCGTGCATGTCTGGGAGATACACCAGGTGGCCTTTGAAGAGTTGTTTTAGAATCAGCAGTGTGATGGGGGTGGGGGTGGGGAGCCAGGGCACAGGTGACATGGGAGAGACATTCTGTCAGGGGAACTGGGAGAGGCTCCAGTGTAGAAGTGGCACCTGATCGGGGCCATGAATTATGAATAGGAATCCAGGGGGCAGAGGTAGGAAGGTAGGAAAGAGCCAGGTGAGTTTGACGAACATGGGGGTCAGTGTGGAATGCGTGCAGGGGCCAACTCCCAGAGGTGAGGGCCCCCCAGGCCAGGCAGATTGGTGTGGACCTTGATCTGTAGGTAGTGGAGAGCTAGGAAAGGTGCCCAGCTTGGGATACCTCTTTAGATGCTGCAGAGAACCTGTCAGAGGCTGGGGCGGAGGGCAGGGAGACGTGGCGGGGCTGTTGTAGCAGTCCAGTGAGGGACAGGGTTGAATCAGTTCAGCAGGCCTATATCAGGATCTGCTGTGGGCCAGGCCTTGTTCTGGGTACCAGAGACACAGAGAGGTTGAGGACAGGCTCTATCCTCATTGAATTCATAGTCCATCAAGCAGGGCTGTGACTGGTCACATGTGGGCTACTGGTGGCACTGCACATTTGGAGAGAAGATGATGTGCTTGGTTTAGGAGGTGCTGAGGGTGATGGCTTGGGTAACATCCTGGCAGAGACACCCAGGTGGCTGGAATGTGGGTCTGGGGCTCAGGAATGACGTCCGAGTTGAGCTGATGAGGGTGCTGTCTGCCCTCAAGGGTACAGGGAGCACATGGAGATCAGAGCCCTCACACGCTGTCCTCTGCTCTGCCTATGCCAGGCGCCTTCGCCAAGGTGAAGGAGAGCCAACGCATGAGTGACGAGGGCCGCATGGTGCAGGACGAGGCAGACGGCATTCGCAGGCGCTGCCGCGTGGTGGGTTTCGCCCTGCAGGCCGAGATGAACCACTTCCACCAGCGCCGTGAGCTCGACTTCAAGCACATGATGCAGAACTACTTGCGCCAGCAGATCCTCTTCTACCAGCGGGTGGGCCAGCAGCTGGAGAAGACCCTGCGCATGTATGACAACCTCTGACCGCGTGTGCCTGGGCCCCCTCCTTCCCCTGGGCCTGGTCACTGCAGTGTACCCCACTTTCCCGACCTCCCTATACCAGCAGTGACTGGGGGAGGGGTCAGCGGTGGGGGAGATAAGCGGCCTGTCCTGCCTCCTGGGAGAAGGAGCTTTCAAGGAGTCATGGGTGCCCCTGGGAAATTCCCCACTCCTTAGAAGTGGGGCACAGCAGGGGTGAGAATAGAGTCAGGAGCCCTCGAGGCCAAGGCCTGGGCTGCCGGTCAGTCAGTGAAGGTCAGGCCAGGGTCTCAGCCTCCCCTAGAGCCTATTTTGCTTGCTCACCTGGCCACTGCTGCCTTATCCATTCAGCAGACACCGAGGCCTGCTGCACCCTTGGGTCGGATGCTGGGCACCCAGGGCTGTGACATGCCTGCTCTTCAGGAGTCCTCAGTGAAGGTCGGGGTCAGACACAGACAGAGTCAATGCAGTATGACTGATGTTTAAGTGAGGGATTTCTGGAAGCTCATAGAAGGGACCACAGCATTCCACTGGTCAGGGAAGACTCCATAGAGTAGGCAACATTTGGGCAGTGTTTTGAAGAATGACAAGGGCCTGCCAGACAGTACATGGGGGAGAAGGACTTTCAGGGGAGAGGAACAGCATGGGCAAAGTTATGGAGGCATGCAAACATCTCCCTCTTCTCTCCCTTACTTTCCAAGCAAGTTAGGTACGCTTTCCATGGGGATTCTGGCCTGTGTGGTAGGAAGGGATCTCCCTTGCTCCCATGTTGCTGGCTGTCCGTACATCACCCTGTCCCCTGCAGGAGGGGGCTACAGGCCATCTCCCTCCTGTAGGCCTCTGACTCCCCTCCACTTTTGGGCCCTCAGCTTATCTCGGGCAGGGGACCATTGCAGCATCCTCCCCTCCTCGGACTCAAGGTGCTGAGGTATAAGCCCTGGGCCCCAGATCCCTGGTGACACCTTCCTGGAGAAGACTCTCAAAAGTGACTGTATATTTGAGTTCACCAGCAATAACTCCCCACACTCGAAGCAGGTCCAAACCCAGGATCTCAGGGTCCTTGGGCTCTGTGGCACTGTCTTCCCAAGATCCTTCCTGTTGCACAATGGGAAACCTAAGAGGAAAAAGACAGGGGCCTGCTTGCCCAGCCATGCGAGGGATTCCATGCCCACCTGCCCTCTGTCTGCCTCGCTGGAATGTGGGCCCCTGCTCCCCGTCAGGTTGTGCTGTCTCTGACCTATGTTTACATCCCCGAGGGGTTTCTGCCTCCTCCCCACCCAGGTCAGGGTGTGGTCCAGCAGCTTGCTGTGGGGTGCTGACATGTGTCACCACTGCCCCCCTTGCCCCCGGGGGGGTCATGGTCTCCTCCTGGATGCTGCTCCTTGAATCTTTTTTCTTGATAAACCTTTTACAATTAAGATAACACAAGCATGACTTTTTCTGTTTGGATCCCAGAAAGGCGGAGGGCAGGAGAAGGATAGAGCCCTAATTGCTCCTGAGAGCCATTGGATGAGATTCTGAGGTCGTGGTGGGCACAAATTTTCCACAGAACCTCAAAAGTTCAGGGGAGGGCTATGCTGGTGGAAGGTGCCAGCAGGCAGGAGGAGCTAGAGGCGGCTGTGGACCCCTGGGTGGATCCATCCCTCCCTAGAACGCACTCTTGTCTCTAAAACAGGTGGAGTGCTGCCCAGGGGACTGGCTGTACTGCCTTGTGATCTGGGGCTGAGGGTTGTATGAGGAAGGGACAGGACGCTGTGCCCTAGGACAATTAATAGATGGTGGCTCCTCTCCCCAAGGAGCCATGCCCTGGCCTTGCCCTTGAAAAGCCCTAGTCCAGGGGAGGGAAGTGGGGGACTCAGAAGCTGTGTCTCTTCCCCAAACCGTCCTGGGTACCCAGCCCTGCGGAGGCTCCCACATTGGAAACTGAAGAGGACGCTGGCTGTTGGGGGTGCCCTGATCAGGATGAGCGGACCTTGCTCTTGGATCTGTTCATCCACAGATGAGAGGAGGGTACTGGTTGAGACTTGGCTCTCCTTTGGAGGCAATGGGGACTTGGTGGAGGGAGGGCTTCCAGGGTCAAGGCCGTCAGGGAAGGTTGGCTAGACCAGGGACCAGGGAGCTTGTGCAGGAAGATGGAGAAGGGCCAGCAGGTGCGGTGGGGGAAGGGGCGGGCAGGACTCCCTGTTCAGGGCATAGCGTCCTCAGAGGAACTTCTGGAATGGGTCCCCCTGGCCCTTGGTCAACATTAGGTCAGATTTGGGACTTTCTGAGGAATTTTCCCCTCTCTCCACCCTGCCCCATTTTCTAACCCATCCGAGGAACTTCCCGCCCTTAACCTCTTCTCAGCTCTGCCATCCATGTAGCCATCTGCAGAAGGGGCTCTGAGCAGTGGGGGCTGGGCCAGGCCGAGGCAGGGCTGGTGGGAATGCTCCTCCTAACCCATGGTGCCTGGAAAGTCCCCTGCTCATGCTTCCTGCTCTGGGAACAGTGTTGTCCTCTGTGTGCCTTCCTTGAGAGGGGACCACCTCCCAGGCCTTCCATCCTCAGGGTGAGGCCATCAGTCTGATACTTTTCTCAGGAGGGACTTGGATCCAGGAGAAGCATCAGGAAGTGGAGTCTTGGGATAATGCCAGGCCTGCTCCTGGTATCCTGAGGTCTCTGGGCTGGGGCAGGTGTGTGTGTGGCAGGGAGGGAGGCTGTCCTGGCCCTCCTCTCTCTTTTCTTTCTGCCTCTATGGGGGTGGGGGTATTGGGGGAACTTGGGGCCGTTCTGGGGTAGCTAAGCCCCTTTCAGCAGGAGATTGGGGGACCAGTGTTGGGGGCATCCTGGTGATGGCCGATTCCTGCCTCGTCACATGCCAGGCAGATGTTCCCGACTCGGCTGGACCCAGCTGCCTCGTTTCCTCCCTTACTTTGCTCTGAGGGGGTGGAAAACAAGGCTTCTCTTTCTGCCCTGGACAGCTACCAGCACCCGGGGTAGGGGATCCCCTGGTCACCAGTCTTGGCCCAGTACAGGAAAAGGAATCCGCTTTGTGGCCACAGATGGGGGCTGGGGATGGAAGCAGACCTCAGATCCTGCATCTCTTCACCCGCTGGACACAGGAGGGCTATGAACCACTGTGCCGTGGCTGCACCACTGGCTGGAGCAGAGCCAGGCCTGGGAGAGGCAGGTGGCCCCATCGGCCCCTGCTCTGCACCACCCCTCCCAGATGACAGAGCCATATGTCTTCCACGTGTCTACACACTCACAGACTCACGAATGTAATCGCTCAGTCTCACAACAAGCACACGCAGTCACACACCTGCCCACAGGCACATACGCCACATAAGCATGCCTGTATGCTCACACAGTCATACTGCCACACGCTATTACACATTCACAGCCACAGCCACACATGCCTTGCCATCCATTCAAAGCACCAGTGGCTACTTTGTCAGACACAGCCACACCACAGTCCTATGCACATGGTCATAGCCTCACACAGTGACACATACTCGGGCACACACCGCCACAAAGCCATGCTTGCACAGAGCAAAGGTGTCATAAGCATCTCTGTGCCTGGACTGCACCTGCATGACCTCCCAGGGTCCCCACCTCATCAGAGATTAAGGAGAGCTTTGCTTGGAGACACCACCCCTGGAGGGGGTGTCTCCAAGGGGGAGTAGAGCCAGTCACAAGCACCACATACAGGCACACAGCCTGAGGTCTAGGGATGCAATTGGGATGACTGGATACCACCAAGTTCAGCTCCTTATTGAACAGATGGGCGCCTGAGGCCCAGGGAGCAGTGGTGGCTGGCCTTATCACCCAGCAGGGCAGGGGATACTCTGGGGCCAGAGCCTGGCTCTGGGCAGACTCTGTTTCCTGGCCCTGCCCTCCCCTGGGCCAATCCTCTGGGCCAGGCTGCCTCTGAAGGCCCCTGGCTGAACCGATCCAGCAGAGCTCCAGGCAGCTCCCTTCTCAAGCTAGAGCTGAGCTGCAGTGGCCACGGGAGCCGGAGCCAGGATGCGGTGGGCAGGGCCTAGGCCTGGGCGGGAGGAACATTCCTGCACCATCTCCTCCCCAAGCATGTGAGGACCCAGCCCGCCCTGCCCGCCTGCCCGCTGACTCAGGCCTCCAGGAGCCAAGCCTGCTCAGCTCCCCCACCCACCCTAACCTGCTTCCCCACTAGTTCGGCTCTGGTTCCCCTCTCCACTGGCTGGGGCAGGAGAAGACGGTGAGCCCTGGTAGGAAGACCATGGGGAAAAATCAAACCTCACCACCCCCCGACATAGCTCAGAAGGGCTGATTGTGAAACCCAGCTCTGTTCAACATAGTTGAACACAAACTTTTTTTTTCTTTTGGTTTGGTTTTGTTTTGTTGGTCAAACCCCAGTGCAGTGCAGTCTGTTTAAGAAGTAGTGTCGCATAGCTGTGGCCTGGATCTGCTCAGCAGCCCCAGTAGGCAGCATTTATTCCCTTTCGCAACAAAGAGACTGAGACTTGGCCAGAGGGAAGATGGGACCTGCCTAGGTTCACACAGGGAATCTCTGGCGGGGCTGGACTCAAACCCAGCTCCCTGCCATCACTCCTTAGAGTCACACTGATGAACTCATTTAGGGCCAAAGGAAGAAGGGGAGGCAGATTTCCCCTCTAGATGAGTGAAGGGATAGGAGGCTGGTGAACCCAACGGCTGAAATGTGAAGGGTGAGAGGGTAGGGTGAGTCCCCCCAGCCCTGAGGGATGAAGGGTCTGAAGATGGCACTGCACGGTGACAGCTGCAGTGACTCAGGAGCTCCGTTTACAAAGGAACATGAGTGAGGAACATAACTTAATTTTTTTTTATATCTGACCTGAATTTCTGTTTTCCTCCCCCATTCCCCACATGGTAGAAGTGTAATCTCACATCAATTTGGGGACCCTTTCTTTCCCCAGGGATGTGTAGAACTTTTGGGGATGGCACATTTGAAGACCTTAGGGAGCTTTGCATTTTAAAGGCTGAATCCCACACTCTATCATACATATTAATATTTACCTGCATTCCACATTAAAGGGTTCAGTTTATGACTTGTGTCCTGTCTTGTAGATACTTAATTAAACGGTATTAATTTTGATTTTGCCCCTTTCTGTTGGTGCTCTGCTCTCTTCCCTCCTCCCCGCCCTGCCCACCCAGCAGCACACATTGTTACGGGTTGCTTCTTGCAGAACTCCTGGACCTGGATGCTGCCATTGGGCCTGCGATGCCCGCCATGGTCCTGGTCAGCATTGGGCCCTCCGATCATCTTGCCCTGCCTCCTGCCTTTCCCCTGCATGCTCCCTTGATGCCCATCCTGAGTCTCTGTGTGTCTGGCTCTTCTCTGCTCTTGGGCACTCAGGGCTCCTTCCATTTGCCCTGTACTAAGGGGCTGATAGAGGTCCTTTCTGTGGCCTGTGGCCCCCTCTGGGGCCTGTGGTCATCATTCCACAGCTCCCACTTCGCAGTCAAGCACAGGGAGCTCTGGGGTGCCGCTTAGACACCCCATGCCACCCTGTTTCTTCTGGGATCTGGCTCCTTTCTTGGGGTTCTACCTGGGATGGGGGTATGAGTCCCACTGCTTCGGAATCTCCCAGCCTCTGGGGATTCTACTATCTCCCAGTGCAGGCAGCACTGTGATGGGCACTGGATGGTCGTTATTTTACAACCACCCCATGTGCAAGAGATTATTACTGTCATTTTACACACCAGGAAATGGGGTCCAGCGAGGGGGGTGCTGGAGTAGCCAAGGCTGGTGCGAAACAGTACCCAGGCCTGGGCTACCTGTGCTGAGAGGCAGATGGCCAGTGCCAGGGCCGGGTGTTACAGGCTGGCGGAAGCCTGGAGGCACCTGGAGCCTCTTCTGGGCTGACCCGCACCCCTTGCTGCCATTTGGCAGGAGTGCTCTGGGGTTGGAGCAAGGGAGTATGAGGCTCCTCCATATAGCCCTGCTGCCCCCAGATAGCAGCAGCCCCCACCCCAACCCCATTCCTTTCCCTCTACCGCCCAGAGGCAAGTGCAGATCCTGACCAGTGTGGCCTTGCTGTAGGGATGTTTCTTAACTGCTTCATGCTTCTGTTTCTCCACTGAGAGGGGAGTTCCAGATGGCTGTTAGGAGGGTGACGTGAGCAGAACACATCATCTGGGCAGTGCCTGCACAGCCAGCGCCACTGAGGAGCAGGTGGGGTCATCAGCCTGAGTAGAGCTGGAGCAGCCCTGGGGAGAGAGAGTGCTAAGAATATTGGTACCCCCACTTCATAGGTTGGAAAACTGACTGGGCAAGCCCTTTAAAGCCACACAGTGGGTAGATGGCAGAGCTGGGCCTGGAACCAGGCCCCCAACCACCCCCAGACCTTTAGCCTTGCCCCGTGTTGCCACACTGCCTCCGTGGGGAGCAGATTCCTTGGGGTCCTTGGCTGTCATTGTACTTGTCATCCAGGGCAGGAGGGGTCCGCTGGGCCACTAACAGTTACATATACCAACATATACAGGATAGCACAGCCCAAGGTTAAGAGCCCCAGTCTCATACCCAATGCCTCCCATAAACAGATTCACTGGGTGACCTCATGTAAGGTCATCATTCAGTCTCAGTTTCCTCCAGCATCACTCAAGCGATGGTTACCACGATTATACATGGCCACGAGTTCACGAGTGTGGATGCTGTCACTGCCTCAGGCCGGCTGCATCCTCAAAGCCACACAGGTCAGCCAGGTTGGGTGGGCCTGAGTGCACAAGAGCTACCATTTTTTCAGTCCTCTGTGCTGGTACCACGACTGTTTGGAAGGTAGGAACTCCTATTGTCAACATTTTCCAGCAGACGGTGGCTCAGAGGCATTGAGTCACTGCGAGATTGCGCACCTGCCCCATGGCAGGCCTGGGCTGAGGTCTGCCTGCACTTGGAGCCGTGCCCTTCCCACCGCACCAGGCTGCCTTTTGAAGGCTGGGGGGCTAGGCGTGGCGGGGGCCACTGTCCTGCTGCAGTGTGAACACAAGGGTGCTGGGAATCGAAGGGAATGGGGAGGGAGAGGGGCAGGTGGCCGTGAGGGGCAGGTGGTGGGTATTGGGTGGAGGTGGCTGTGTTCCTTCAAGTCAGTGGGTGAAAGGTCAGAGGGCTTGGCCCACAGAGAGTGCTGAGCAAATATTTGTGGAGAGATAATTTTCTGGAAGGCCCGAGGCTGGGGCATGGGGTCAGGTTCTGGCTGTGGAGGAGGGGGCTAGACAGGTGAGGCCATGGGCAGCGAGCTGGGGGCAGGAGCAGGACTCTGGTCTCTGAGAAGAACTCAGGAGCCTCCTTACTCCAGGAGACAATATGGGGGCAGTGAGAGCTGGCAGGAAAATGTCGAGACTCGGGGAAGGGGGCTTGTGAGTGCTGAGCCAAAAAGGGCTCTGGCCCTGGGGCTGGGCTGGGGTGTCAGGTGGGGCAGGCAGAGGTGGGGTGATGGAGTCTCTGCCTGCATCTGGTACCTGGAGTGTGTGGACCCACCTGTGTGGTTGCAGGTGCCTGTCAGTGTGTGCACCTGTACCTACCTGCGTGTATGTCCCTGTGGTGGCGCTGGCGCTTGGTATCTATAGTCATTCAGCCACACGAGCTTTTCCCTGTGTTTCTCAGCCTGGAAAAGACAATTCCTCTCCCCCTGAACCTCAGGCCCACCTTGGGCTCATGCCTGGCTCCTCTCTTTCTCTCATTCCACATCCCATCCACAAGCACAGCCTTGTTAGTCCATCAAATGAGACCCCAAATGTAATGCTCTCACCACCTGGGTCCAAACCACTAGGCTTACCTGGACTATTGCAGCAGCCTCCAAGCTGCCCTTCTGCTGCCTCTCCTGCTCCTTAATGGTCTAACAGGGGCCAGAGTGATCTTTTACAAAAACATGTGAATGTATATATATATATTTATACATATACACACACGTGCATATACACATATATAAAAATATGTATTTTTTTTTAGAGACAGGGTCTTGCTATATTGTCCAGTCTGGTCTCAAACTCCTGGCCTCAAGTGATTCTCCTGCCTCAGGTTCCTGCATAGCTGGGATTATAGGCATAAGCCACTGTGCACAGCTCAGAGTGAACTTTTAAAACCATATTCTTTTTTTTTTTTTAAAGACGATGTCTCACTGTGTTGCCCAGGCTGGAGTGCAATGGTTTGATCTTGGCTCACTGCAACCTCCGCCTCCTGGGTTCAAGCGATTCTTCTGCCTCAGCCTCCCGAGTAGCTGGGATTACAGGCATTCACCACCTTGCCTGGCTAATTTTTTTTTGTATTTTTAGTAGAGATGGGGTTTCACCATGTTGGCCAGGCTAGTTTTGAACTCCTGACCTCAAGTAATTCACCCGCCTCGGCCTCCCAAAGTGCTGGGATTACAGGTGTGAGTACCACACCCAGCCTTAAAACCATATTCTAAATCAAATCATGTCTCTCCCCTGCTTTCAACCTCAGGGCTTCCTGCCATACTTAGGAAAGTTTCCAAACTCCTAGCACAACCCACAAGGCTCCTTCCTGGTCTTGCGTCAGACCCCTCTGCACTTCGGTCATGGAACTCCAGACTCATTGGTCGGCTGGTTTCCTCTTCTGCGTTTGCTCAGACCTCAGGGCCTTTGCATTTGCTCTCTTCTCTGTCTTGCATGTTCTTCCTCCCAGATAAACATGTGGTTCTCACCTCAATTAATTCAGATCTCTACATAAATGTCACCTCCTTGGAGAAGGCTTCCCTGACCCTGAAATCTAATGAAACTTCCTCGTCCCTCTGTTTCCTTACCCTGCCTTATTTTTTCTTCATTTTACTTATTACCAGCTGCCAATTATAAATGTGTATGTATTTAGCTCTTATTTATTTATTTTTGTCACCCAGGCTGGAGTGCATTGGCGTGATCTCGGCTCACTGCAACCTCTGCCTCCTGGGCTCAAGCGATTCTCCTGCCTCAGTCTCCCAAGCAAATACAGGCCTGGCACGGAGGCTCATACCCACCACTTTGGGAGGCTGAAGTGGGCGGATCACCTGAGGTCAGGAGTTTGAGACCAGTCTAGCCAACATTACAAAACCCCATCTCTACTAAAAATACAAAAATTAGCTGAGCGTGGTGGTGCATACCTGTAATCCCACTTACTCAAGAGGCTGAGGCAGGAGAATCGCTTGAGCCTGGGAGGCGGAAGTTACAGTGAGCCAAGATTGCACAACTTCACTCCAGCCTGGGCAAAGGAGTGGGACTATGTCTCAGAAAAAAAGAAAAGTTTCAAACATACACAAAAGTAGAGAAACGAATATAACAGAACCCCACATGCCCACCTCTTGGCTCCAACAATTCTCAACACTGGGTCCCTATTTTACTCCCCCACACCCTTTGCCTTCCGGTGGACTCCAGCATCACACAGTCTCATGTGTGGATACTTCAGTTCAAAGGTTATATTTTAAATGTAGCTGTTTCTGGTCTGTCTCCCTCAGTAGAAAGCAGCTTTCTGGGGAGTTGGTGTCTGTCTGTCTTGCTCACTGCTGTATCTCCAGCTCCGGCACAGTGCCTGGCTCCCAGTAGGTGACTGAGGAGGTCTGCATGGCTGTGTCTGCAGGTCTCTGGGGAGGGCATGTGTGTAGGTGCTGGTTTGCACATGTCCACCACCGTGTCAGCGAGTGTCTGCACATGCCTTTATGCGCAGCTGCATGTGGCAGTCCTGTGGATACGTGTGCATGTGTACGTTGCCACAGCAGCTGATGGCTAAATGCGTGCCTACTCCCTGATGTCATTTCCCACACCCCTGGGGACCCAATGACTCGTTCTGGGAAGTATTTCCCTCTTTCTCAGCAAGGGATGGGGTGTGAAGGGGTGGAAGAGGGGTGTGCACCAGTCTGCTCAGCCCTCTGGAGGACCCAGAGAGCCCCTTCTTGACCTTCCTTACTAGCAGGGCGCCGTGCTGTCCCCACCAGTAGAGCAGGCAGCCTCTTTCTTCCCTGGCATTGAAACCCAGCCAGTTGGGCCGGCATCAGCTGGGTGGGGTGTGGAGTGTGTGTGTATGAGGCGTGGTGGTGGCCCATCCTGGCCAGCTCCAAAGGCTCCTAGGGTGACTGCTGTGTAATTGGGCAACTGAGGCCATTTAAGCTGGGGACAATTGGGTGTAGACATCTGGTCCAGTGCCCCAGCAGTGCCCCCTCTCCCCCCTGCAAGTTCTGCATCTTAAAGGGCTGGCCCTGGAAGGCGGGCAGTGGCGTAAGACCTCGCTCTCAGCCCAGCACCGGGTTCATTCCAGGGGCTCCTTGCTGTCGGGCCAGGAGCTCCACAGTGGCTTCTCAGCCTGCTCTCCAGGGCCCCTTCTTACCCTGGAGGCCAGGGTCCGCGTCCTCTGGCTCTGCATTGTCCTTCCCACCTCCCACCCTGCCTTAGGCTCAGCTCTCCTCCTTCTTCAGGGCCCAGCCCAGACAGCCCCTGTGTTCCAGGAGGGGCCTGCCCCTTCCACCTGGGCAGTCAGGTTCTTTGGGGCTCCTCCCTCTTGGATCCCTGAGGCCAAGACCTCCCCACCATGTAGGCCAGATGGTCCCCACTCACTCCACCCCCAACCTCAGGGAGAGCCTTCCGAATCAGTGAGGTGGGTGTGCAGCAAGGAAGGGCAGAGTGGCACTGCCAGCTGCTCCTACCCAGAACTGGATCCCTTGCTGCACACCTCACTTCACTCCCTGCCACAGCCCAGTGAAGAATGGCCCTGCGTCTCTCTTTGCCAGATGGGGAACACATGCATTCGGCCATCCAAAAGAAGGACTGAGCATTTGTTCGGCACCTACTATGTGTCGGGCACTGAGATAGCTGCCATAAATTATGATAATAACAATAACATCAGCTTCTACCATTTGTCAAGCACCTACAACATGCCAGACCCATATGCTGGGCCATTCAATAGGAGGAACCATCATAACACCAATAATAAGAATGGTCGGCCTGGCATGGTGGCTTTTGCCTGTGATCCCAGCACTTTGGAAAGCAGATGCGGGCATATCACTTGAGGTCAGGAGTTCGAGACCAGCCTGGCCAACATGGTGAAACCGTGCCTCTACTAAAAATACAAAAATTAGCCGGGCATGGTGGTATGCGCCTGTAGTCCCAGCTACTCGGGAGGCTGAGGCAGGAGAATCGCTTGAACCTGGGAAGCGGAGGTTGCAGTGAGCCGAGATCACGCCACTGCACTCCAGCCTGGGCGGCAGAGCGAGACTCCGTATTTTAAAAAAAAAAGCCGGTCACGGTGTCTCACGCCTGTAATCCCAGCCCTTTGGGAGGCCGAGGTGGGTGGATCACGAGGTCAGGAGATCGAGACCATCCTGGCTAACACGGCGAAAACCCGTCTCTACCAAAAAACAGAAAAAAAAATTAGCCAGGCGTGGTGGCGGACGCCTGAAGTCCCAGCTACTCGGGAGGCTGAGGCAGGAGAACGGCGTGAATCTCGGAGGCGGAGCTTGCAGCGAGCCGAGATCGTGCCACTGCACATCTGCCTGGGCGACAGAGTGAGACTCTGTCTCAAAACAAAACAAAACGAACAAAAAAAAAACAAAAAAACGAACAACAACAAAAAAAAGGCCAACATTTATTGAGCATTTACTGTGTGTGAGGGGCTGTTCTAAGAGCTTTGCCTTAACACTGACCCTTTGGAAAGAAACCTTGGTCAGTTATACTGTTTTGGTAGATCTTCATTCAGAGAGAGGGCAGAAGCTGGGCTGGGGCCCTCTGGCCAGACACATAGCATGAATGCTGGAAGGGACAGGAGGAGGGCTTCTAGGCAGAAAGCAGGCACTGAGCTCCCAGGCCTGGCTCAATACTCTCTCGAACCAGTGGTCCCTTCTTGAGTTAGAACAGGTGGGTGGACTTGTACAAGCTCACCAAGTGGACAGTCACTGCCTCTGCCCTCCTTCCTTCAGTTCATGTGTTCTGCCCCCAGACTCTGAGCTTCTCAGGGCAGATTAGGGAGCAGAGGTCCTGGGGCCTTGAACCTTCATGGAGTCCCTGGGCCTTGCCCCAGTTGCTTGTCCAGGTGCAGTACTCACAAGGCAACCTTTTAGCAGGGCTGACTCAGAAGGGGCCTTTCTACCTGAGTCACTGACTTCCAGGAGCGCTCAGGCTCTGCCAGCCTCGCCCACCTGCCCAGCAGCTCTTTAGGTCACCCCAGCACAGGCGCCACCTTCCCCAACAAGACTCAACAAGGCTCCCCTGCCGCAGTCTGGTTCTTGAAGGTCTCTGCCCTGGCCAGCATGTCTGGCATCCCTGGCCCATTGCCTGGCCCCGATGCCTCTCCAGGTGTTGGGCATCCCACTGCTGAGAGACATATCTTTGGCATCTGGAAGTGTTTCAAGCCTCTAGGAGGCCTAGCTCTGCCGGTGAATTGCTTTGTGACTATGGTTGAGTCACACCTCTTCTCTGGGCCCCCTGATTGAATGCACGGTCGTCTGGGTGGGGGAGAGGTGAGGGCATCCGTGGCTCTGCTCTGCCCCTTGCCCCCGAAGGTTGTGATCAAGTGAGCCCTGTGAGTGGTTAGCCCGGCTGGCACAGCGCCCCATGAGCCTGGATGTTCTCAGGAGGGCTGTTGGGCAGGGGGAGGCTGAGTGTAAGGGGGTTTGGGGTCATCTCCTCCTCCTGCCCCACTTAACTTTGCTTCTTTCTGTGGTGAGCCCCCACGTGTGATTTGGTGAACGTGTTCTGCCCATAGCGTTCTGAGATAGACCCTATAGGCAGAACACGTTCAGGCAGAATGACCTCAGGTGTCTGGGTGGGAGGGAGCCACGGGCGAGTCTGAAGGAGGTGTGCAGTGAGCTCTGAAGCATCTGGGAGGGAAAGATTAAATCCACCCGACAGAAACTCAGGGCCTGGGGTCAGGTCAGCCTGGGCCCTAGCAGAGATCTGGGGCCAGAGCAGCCATCGAGAGCCCAGCCAGCAACCCTGGGGGTGAGAGGAGCAGGGGAGCCAGAGTGGGAACCCAGGAGAGGTCTGGGTAGGATGGGTGGTCAGAGGCCTCTTGGCTTGAGGGCATGTCTGAGGGAAGGGGGTGCTGTGTTCTGGCAGTAGATGTTTGCTGGACATCTACTGTGTACCCAGCATGGGCACAGCAGTGGCTAGGCCAGGCTACACACTGCCTTAGTGGAGTGTATAGAATTGAACGATGCCTACTGCAGGGTGTGGGGGTCTGGGGCCTTCACCTGGGCTTTGGCTCAACAACCCAGGAGGGGAGTGGAGTTGGTGGGGGTCCCAAAGGCACTCCCAGCACCAGGATAGCCCACAGGCTGGGGGCCATAGACCAGCATTCCTTCTGTGGACAGGAGAGACAGTGGGGCACCTCTGCGGGACAGAGAGCTCTGGGTGTCCCATGCCCTCCTTCTGACCAGGCCTGGCTGGCAGTGTGACAGGTGGCTTCTTTCCCCTCTCCTGCTGGCTGCCCTGCTCCTCCATGGGGGAGGCCCTGTGCATGACACAGGCACTGACTGGTGACATTGGCCGGACACTTCCCTTCATCTCTTCCCCTGACAGGTGAGACCAGATGGGCAGGGAAGGGACAGGAAGGGAAGGAGCAGCCAGATTACAGAAGGTGGGGTGGTGGGGCTACTGTACTTCCCAGGGCCCCATCTTTGGGAGGTAAGGATGGGAGTAGGCTGTTTCCTGCAGAGCCTCCCCATTGGATCAGATCTGGCTGCTGGTCTTACCCTCCTCTGCTTCCCTCTCTTGTCCTCACTGGAGTCCCCTGGGGAAGGAACCCATGTCAGAACCCATCCCTCCAAACCTGCAGCGGATGTGGGGGTCTTTGCAAGAGTGAGAGCTGAAGTGGAATAGAAAACCCTGGGACAGGGCTCGAGGTCTGACCCCTCTTCCAGCTCAGCCACCAGCTCACTGTATGATCTTGGTCTGGGCCCTGCCTCTCCCATTTTAGTGTCCCCTAATTAAAGGGTGAGGGGAAGACTTCAGTCAGGACTTACACTGTGTCATGTGTCTTCTAATCACCAGGGACCTTGTTAAAACACAGTCTGATTCAGCTACTCTGGGGTAGGGCCTGAGAGTCTTCATTTCCAACAAGCTCCCAGGTAATGCCGGTGCTGCCAGTTCATGGACTCCACTTTGAGCAGCAAAGACTTAGGCAACTCATTGCATTTGAGTCTGCAAGACCCAGAGACTGTGTCTCTTGGGTCCTTTGCAATCTCACGAGGCATCAGAAGGAAGCCTTGGGATTAGCTCCAGGCTCTGGACTAACAGAGCACGGATCTCAGGTTGGCAGGCAGGGGAACTATCCTAGTCCCCTGCTGAGGCTGTGTTTGGGTAAAAAAGTCCTTCTTGGCAACTGGGCGATTTAATCCAGGGTTGCTTCTGTCTCTAGGGGCTCACAGGACATCTGGAACATGAAGGAACACAACACAACCCACCAATTATCTTGGTGGCCACAGAGGGCCCTCCAAGGAGCTGATGCCCTTTGTGAGGCTAGTAGCCATCAGTTAAATACTGTAATCCATTACACTGAGAATAGAAATGTAACCAGGATGTAGCTGAACATGCCCAGCTTTAGCTGCCATGTGGCTGGGCCTTCCATGGAAAGGACCAGCCTTCTCTAAGGAGAGGAGGAAGCAGACAGAGGCAGTGAGCCCTCCCACTCTGCGCTTCCCCTCACTGGCCTGCTCACACCGCTGGGTGAAGGCACATGTCAGGGTTAGGTAGTTATTCAATGGTATGCCTGCGGCTCTTCAGGAAGGGCTGATTGGATTCCTATCTACATCTTCCACTGCATTTTTGGCACAAAATGCTCTGGCTATTGCCTGACCAATCTTAGCGGTAACTCCACAGGGATGGCGTTACCTATGAGAGGCCCTAGGGTCGGAGTGGAGCTGTGTAGAGGAGCCCAGCGGGTCTGGTTCTCTACCTTGGTCCCAACTATTTACCAGGGCTTCCCGACATCTTACGGCCAGGAATGGGAGATCCAACCAGAGAGGTCTGGAGTTCTGCCCAGGAAGAACCTCCACCTCTTTGAGATCTGGAATCTTCAGGGCCTGGAGGAAGATGCCAGCAGCCCTGGCAGTTCTCATTGGTCAGGGGAGGTCGGTGTGGGGTGGCAGAAGCACTTCTCTGGCTTCCTATTGGGGGATGAGTGTGCAAGCTCAGTGGGCTCCCTGGCTGCCAGAGCAATCTGCTTAAAGGACTGGCTTCTAGGATGCAGGGAAGGGCTCAGAGGGAGCCCCTTCTCTAGCACCTGAGAGACTAAGCCACTTAGGGTGGTGGGCAGGGTTTCTAAGCTGGGGTCCTGGGGATCTGGGCCCCTCTGGCAACTCCTACCCTGTCCCCTTCCCCCACCAGTGGGCTCACTTTGCAATTCTGCTGATGTCAGCTTGAGTGCCTTAATGGGCAGAAAATCCTGACTCCTTTGCCCGACTAGGCTAGCTGGGACTGCAGGGGGCCCCAGGTAAGGAGCATATACTTCTGAAATTTGTGTGTGCCCCCGCGTATGCGTTTGTGTCTTAGGTAGGTAGGTATTTATCTCTGTGTTGTGTGTCTGAAGGTCATGCATGAGCCTGTGTTCATATACACAATGGCGTGCACAAAGGCACATTATGGATTTGTGTATGTTTGTTTGTGTGGAGAGGGTCAGGAGCTCCCAGACATTCCTGAACACTTGCACATGGGTTGGCTGTTATCTCCAGCGCCTGGGAGGAACTGGCTCCTTAAAGGAGGGGGATGGTGAGTTACTTTGTAAAGTGGAGACAAGCCCCTTAAGCCCTGGGGAAAGGGATTTACATAAACCAAGGTCCCACGTTTAGGTTGGGTTCTCAGCTCTGGTGTGCCCATGAAAGACCCTCTCCCAGGTCCTAGCAGAGCTGCTGGCACAGTGCCCTGGGTGCCAGCCCACTGTCCTGCATGGGCTCAGAGGAGCTGGAACGGTGTCAGCTGGTGCCAGCTCCCTGGGGGCAGGGCAGGCCGGGCCAGGCTATGTGAACAGAGTGTGTCCTCAGTCCTCTGGGGGAAATCGGAGACCAGGCCAGATCCTGCCTGCTGGGTCTCTCACCCTCTTCTCAGCTTACACTTCCAGGGAAACTGGTCACCCTGGGTAGAGACTTGCTCCAGATATCAGGGCCCTGAGGCTCCAGCCTGAGCTCCTGGGAGGGGATGTGGTGTAGAGACACCCTTGGCCAGGCCCCTGCCTCAGGCTGGCCTGGGGCGCCAGAGAGACCAGGCTTGTAGAAGGAACGGAGCAGGCTCACGCGGAGCCCTGTGCACGGTGAGCTCAGGGTGCAGAGGGATCTCTGGGGCCCTGGTCACCCTCCCTGGGGAGTCCTGCTTTTCAGTGTGGCAAGAAGCGCCTTGCTGTGTGACAGCCCTCTTCCCCTCCCTGACTCTTAGTCTCCCCTGGGTCCTCTGGGGGCCCTAACAGCAGGATGTACCTGGCCTCCTGCCCGAAGCCTCTCAGAGTGGAGGAGGACCTAGGAGGCTGGACACTGAGATGCGAGAGGCGTCATAGGAGGGGCGGTCCAGGGGCAGGGTGGGGAGGAGACTTCTCTTGCTCATTCCTGGTTCAAATGTTTCAGATGTTGGGATGCAGGGAAGAGGTGACTCTGGTCCCCAGATGCAGGTCAGCTGCCAGAGGCTGGCCAGGGCTTCCCACCCACTGACCCTGGCTGCACTCAGAGGCCTCTCACATTTCTCTTCCTCTCTTCAGTCTACTGTCAGGGCCAGGCATATCCCCTGGGACCCAGAATCTGTCTCCATTGCCCCCAACCCTGCGACACCCTCAAGAGAGGTCTAGAGGGTGGTGACTCAGTAACTCAGAGAGGGCCTTCTGGAGATGCCGCGGCCTCAGAACCCCTCTGTAACCCAATGCTGGCCTCTCAGGCCACGTGCGGGGATGCCTGGCTTTTCTGAATCCTTGCTGCTTCCTCTGGCTTTGAGAAGCAGCACACTTGGTCCTCCTGTTGGGAGGGTGGACACCAGCAGAAGCCTTCCTTGTAAAAGTTTCTAGGAGGCACCTGTGGTGGTTCTCCTCCCCCTCCCCCTTGGTACCATGTCCCAGCCTTGGGATCCCCAAGTCCCCCCACTCCCTTCACTTTGCTGCTGCAACCCCTTGAGAGGTGGCTGGGGAAGGACAGGGGTATGGAGGTCGAAACTCAGGCTAATAAATCTAGGGTGGGGAGCATTTATTTTAATTTTTGTCTTGCAGCTCTTTGTAGAGGACCTAGCCTTTCTCTACTGAACTGAAGGGGTTTGGTCCCATCACCCGAAGACTGGCCCACCTGCCCACACAGGTGGGGGCACAGGAGGTCTGGGAGGCCCCAGGAGGTGGAAGTTCAGAGGCCTGCCTGGCCCTGTCCATCCCACTGGCTGAGGCCAGGCCGGAGGGCCGACCCCAGGGGCCCTCTGTATGCAAGCCGACGCAGACAAGGGCCCAGTGCATAGTTAAGACACAAACACCACACAGCTGTCCAGAGCCTCCAAAGCACTGTTTATCCAGGCTCCATGGAACCAAGTGCCCCCAGCTGCCTGCCCTAGTCCTCAGGGGGGCACTGGCACCGCAGTGGCCTCGGCCTGAGACCCTCGATGAGCCCCAGCCTAACCTGCTCCAAAGCCACTGACACATGCATGTTTAGCCCTTGGCCCATCAAGATGGGGCCCTGGGAATGAACTGGCTGCAGACCCTCCTCCATCCCACACCCCCAGGGGCTCCATCAGTCCTGGCTAGCTCAGCACCATGTTAAATAGCTTCCTTGCAATCTCCCTTAAATAAACCCATCCCCAGAGCAACCTACCCACCCTGCACCCTGAATATATTATCCTATTGGCTTATGCCTTCTAGACTGGAGGCGCTCTCTCCTCTTGCCCTCTACTCCAGGGGATACCATCTCCCTAAAAAACCAGGGGAGGAAGTTTTTTTCTCAACTCTGGGGCAGAGACAAAGGGTGGCCTGGGTTGGAGTGGAAAAGCCAGGAATAGCTTCCTCTGTCCCTTCCCTCCCCAGGGTACTTCCTTCTCCTTGCCCTCTTAGCAGCCTGGGTCAGGCGCGACTTACCCAAGGTCACAGACCCAGGACCCAGAGTCATGACCCATGTAGGAGGTTACCCTGGTTTTGACAGCCCAAACCAGCTCCAGGGCAGGAGGACTGAACTTAAGCCTGCCTCCACCTTGGCCCCTGCAGTTCTCCAGGCTCGGAGTGAGCTGAGGGAGGTTCCAGCTCTTGACTCCACTCTGTCCCGGACCCCTGGGACTATCTCCCAGGACCCTCCACCCCTGGTGTCTCCAGGTCTCTCTTGCTCTGGGGATACTCAGACAGCACCAGGCATGGAAGCAATGGGGCCCGGGACATGGGCAAGCCTGTCCCTGGCCCGATCAGCATCTGGGCCCAGGCCAGGCCTCACACCCAGTACTGGCCATTCTTAAGGGCAGGGTTGGGTGTCCGGCAGAACTGCAGCAGCTCTGGGTCAGGCTGGCCTCCTGGAGGGGGCCCCTGGCCAGGCACAGCTGTGAGCGGGATGGCCTGGCCTGGCTCCACCTTGCGAAAGGTCTCGGTGTCACCAGCCAGGCCGTTGCGGGGCTTGGCAGTCAGGACCTGGACGTCATGCTTGCCCGTCTTGTTGCGTTTTCGGAGGTAGAAGAGCAGGGGCAGGATGAGCGCCAGGAGCAGAAGTACCAGGCACATGGGGATGATGACGCTGAACATGTTGGCCTCAAGGAAGCTCAGGAAGCCTCCCTTGGCCACAGCGGGCTCAGGGCTGGATGCCATGGGGCCTGGCTCGCCTGTGGGGGTGCTGCTCTCTGGCTTCCCTGCTTCCGTCCGGGCGGCCTCGGGGACACTGAGCAGGGCCACGCTGTAGGGCCGGGCAGCATTGTAAGGCTCAGTGGCAAAGTCCAGGGAGGCCACAGCAGGCGGGACGCCCTGTGCCCACAGCTCCAGAGTGAGACTGTCACCTGCGGGGCCGGGGGCCCTCCCCTCTGGCCTGCCCACCTCCAGCCCCAGCCTCCCGTCCTCAAGGTCCTGCTGAGTGAACTGCTCCACCAGCTGGCTGCCCCCGGGCTCCGTCCTGGCTCGGGGCACGCGGACCACGCGGCCATGCCGGGGTCCCTCCAGGAGGCGGAAGCGCGGCACACTGCCTGTGCGGTTGGCCAGCTCGCCAGCATCTAGGACGGTGGGGTCCAGGCGCAGGGTGGCACCCTGGGGCCATGGCCCACCTGCCCACACATGCAGCAGAGCCCTCACAGTGACGTTCACTACGGCTGATGCATTGACACCCCTAGCCAGTGCCAGGACTCTGAAGTGGTCATGAGAGGAGGAGAAGTTGGTGAAGGCAAAGACCACCTCGCCCTGGTCTATCTGGAATTGGCTGAAGGCCGAGGTGGGCCGCCCGCCCACCAGGAGATGCCCATACTGGGGTCCCTGGATGAGGCGGTATGCTGCCTCTGGCTCCTCCCGATCTGAAACCACCCGGAGCTGCTGCTGGCTCAGTGAGGAGCGCCCCAAAGCTTGGGGCACCTCCAGGGGTGCCCGCAGCTGCACCTCGATGGCGGATGGTAGGATGTCCACAGCCAGGGACATGGGCAGGGGTGGGCTGGCCCCATCAGACATGCTCAGCTGGAAGATGCCTGCCACGCTGCTCCCGTTGGCCACGAAGGCCAGCCGCCCTGAATCCACATCGGCTTGCGTGAAGCGGGTCACGGGCCCCAGGCCACCACCCACCAGGCTGAGGAAGCCGTTGTGGGGTGCCCGCTGGACCTCGTACTCAATCTCCCCAGGAGCTGAGTCTGGGTCCACCACACTCAGCTGGGCCCGGGAGATGGGGGCACGAGAGCCTCGGGTGAGCCGGAGTGGGACAGAGGCCTGTGGCTGAGGGGGCCGCTCATTTACATCCCTCACCGTGATGGCAAAGGCCTCTGAGGTTTGGGGTCCAGCCACGGAGGCCCCTGCTGGCCCCTGGAGGTGGGCACGAAAGTGGAAGCCATCCTGCTGGGTGCCCCCACCGCCGTGGGCATACACTAGCTGCCCTGCAGCCAGCTGGGACTGCAGGAAGTGGGGCTGCCCAGCATGGAGGGGCTCCTCGGACACCAACAGCTGGCCCCGGCTGGGGAACTGTGTGACCTGGAAGAGCACATCATGCTCTGAGCGCTGGGGTGATGGAACGCTGGCCAAGAGATTGGAGGCATCCAGAGCAGCCACGGTGATCCTGGCCCGCTGGCCCTCGGGGACCCAGAGACCTGGGGGTGGGACATAGGCTATGAGGGTCCAGCCCACTGAGGGGAGAGTGATGGACCCTCAGCTGGGGGTGCCTCAGGGCAAGGATGTGCCTCCCCCCAACCATCAAGCCAGGTCCTCCAGGGTGGGGCTCAGGGTTCCCAGGAGGATAAGGACTATGTCCCCGCTGTGATGTCAAAGCTTCCCCACTCACCCTCCCTGTGACTTCCCAGGTCCTGGGGGCTGAGACAGGAGCTGCTGACCCTGGCCTCGTGTCCCCTCCTCCTGGGCCTCTCCCATTGTCCCTCCCCACAATCTTGCCAGCTTATCATGCTGTTCACCTTTGTTCTTCCAGAGGTGGCTGGGGCGCTGGGGACAGGCAGCCTCAAAAGACACAGCCACAGCAAGGGTGGCGGCCACGTCCCGGGCAGGCGGCGAGGACAGCTGGAGCTCTAGGGTATCATGGGCCTCCCAAAAGGGCTCGGGGGGCATCTCATGCTCATACAGAATATTCCCAGCGTAGACCTAGGGGAGACACCATCGTGGGGTGAGAGGCAGGTCCAGCCTGTGTTGTCCAGACACTGAGCACTTTTGTCTCCTCAGGCCCCACTCTGGGCTCTCCTGGGTGTGCCCAGGTCTGTGCGTGTGACCCGCTGTCTCCCTCACTAACTCACTGGGTCACATCAGGCAATGCAGTGCAGAGCTGGGCTCTGGAGCCGGAGCCTGGGCTCAAACCCCAACTCTGCCACCCTGGGGAAATCGCCTAATTTCTCTGACCTCTGGGGAATGCAATGATCTGTCTGTGCTGCTCTCTAAAGCGAGTACTTCCTCTTGTGCACAGGATCCTATCCCCTCTTGCCTTCTGAAGACACCACTTCTACTGTCTCTTGGCTTTCTCCTATGGTGTCAGTTCCCCCCAGATGCATCATTCCCTTCATTATGCAACTATGCTATTCTTTTGTCTCACTTACATTAAAGCTATTTAATTAATTATTATTATTATTATTTTGAGACAGGGTCTTGCTCTGTTGCCCAGACTGGACTGCAGTGGCGTGATCATGGCTCACTGCAGCCTCGACCTCCAGGGCTCAAGCGATCCTCCCACCTCAGCTTCCCAAGTAGCGGGGACTGCAGGCACATGCCACCACACCCAGCTATTTTTTTTTATTGTTTGTTGAGACAGGGTCTCACTATGTTGCCCAGGCTGGTCTTGAACTTCTGGGCTCAAGCGGTCCACTTGCCTCGGCCTCCCAGAGTGCTAGGATTACAGGCAGGAGGCACTGCACCTGGCCAGAAAAAACTATTCTTGACTTCACATTTTCCACCAGCTTCACCCCTGCCCCTTTGCTTCTCTTTGCAGCAAAACTTCAAAAAGCATAGTCCACGCTCTCCCCCAGGCATTCTTGGGTCTCTCTACCCAGGATTTTGCTCCCCCATCGCCACATCTCCTTTTGCCAAGGGCACCAGAGGCCTCCGTGTTGTTGGATCCAGCGGTCGGCTCTCAGCCTCCTCTTAACTGCTCAGTGGCACTGGTGCCGCCAAGCAACCCTTCCTCCAAGAGAGCCACAGGCTCTGGGATACTTCACTCTGGGGTTCCTCCTACCTCACAGACTCTCCTGGCTGGTCCTCCTCTTCTCCCCAACATCTTATGGCCAGGTCTCCAGGCTCTTTTCTGTCTACAGGCACTCTCCATGAGTCCTTATTCAGTCTCCTGGCCTCAAATGCCAGCTGTGCTGAGACCCCCTTATTTGTAGCTCCAGCCTAGCCTGCTCTCCCCTGAACCCCAGACTCATGTTTCCAGCTACCTCTGCCGATATCTAATAGACACCTCAAACTCAACCTGCCCCGGCTGCACTCCCGATCGGCCCCCACCTCCTACAGTCATCCTGCTTCAGAGACTATAGCTCCGTTTTCAAGGGCTCAGGCCACACCCTTGGAACCACCCTTGCATCCTCTCTTTCCCTCAAACCACCGCATCTCTCACCTGGATTATCGTAACAGCTTCCTGTGTCCCAGCTGCAGTCCCCCGCCCATTACATTTTGTTCCTAACACAGCAGCCAGAGTGAGCCTTTTGAAAGGGAAGATTATGGGGCTCTTTGGCTCACATAGTGCAGTGTCTCCCCATCTGACCACTAAGGCCTGGCTGTGACCATATCACCCCTGCGACCTCAACTCCCCTCACCTCCACTCCAGACACACCTGCTGTTCTATGGTGCTGCCTGCAGTTCAACACCAAAGAATATTCTTCGCTCCAGGAAGAAAAACGGTTTTCTCCACCTCCAATCACAATGTGTTCTTTTGGCCTATCTTTTGCTCCCCACCCACCCTTTTTTTTGAGACGGAGTCTTGCTCTGTCGCCCAGGCTGGAATGCAGTGGCACGATCTTGGCTCACTGCAACCTCCACCTCCACCTCCCGGGTTCAAGCGATTCCCCTGCCTCAGCCTCCTGAGTAGCTGGGACTATAAATGCGTGCCACCACGCCCAGCTCATTTTTTGTATTTTAGTAGAGATGGGGTTTCACCATGTTAGCCAGGATAGTTTCGATCTCTTGACCTCGTGATCCACCCGCCTTGGCCTCCCAAAGTGCTGGGATTACAGCTGTGAGCCACCGCGCCCGGCCTTATTTTCCCCTTTTAGGAAACACTGGGAACTATTTTCTTCTCAGAGAAAAACAGGACTTGCCCAATAGTAACATGGAAACTTAACAGGGTCTTAACCTGTGAAGACTCTAGGAGCAGAACCCGGAGTAAGGGGGAGCAGGGGCCGGAGTAAGGGGAGCAGGGCCCCGTCTAAGATGGGGCAGGGCCTGGGCTAAGGGAGAGCAGGGCCGGGCTAAGGGGAGGCAGGGCCCAGTCTGAGGTGGGGGCAGGGCCTGGTCTAAGGGGAGCAGAGCCTGGGCTAAAGGGCAGCTGAGCCCAGTCTGAAGGAGAGCCGAGCTATCTGAATAGGGGCTAGCACCTGTTCTAAAGGAAGTGGCTGCTCCCCTGCTTTCGCTGTAAGAGGGAACACAGGCCTTTTAAGAAAATGGGAATCAAGTTTTTTGTTTAATTTCCCAAAGGTTATATGTTGACAATTAACTTCAAAGTATTAGCTGCTTTTTGTAGGCCAAATAAACACGTCTGTGGGCCAGATCTGGCCCAGGACTAGAGTTGCCAGTGGCAACTTCTGGCCCAGGCTGAATGGTGGGCAGGAAGGAAATGGAGCCCCCAGGAGTGGGAGTGGGAGCTGATGCCTGGGTACGGGAGCTCTGTGGGTGGGAGTGAGACAAAAAACAGGGTCTTGAGCTCTGGGGAGCAAGCAGTGTCCTCCAGTGAAGGAAATCCTGGACTCGCAGGCAGAAGTTTTGCCTCTTACTCGCCATGTGCTCTGAATAAAGTTACCTGCCCTCCACGAGCCTGTTTCCTTATCTGAAAAATGGGGACACCTGACCCCTTCCCTGCCCAGTTTAGTGTTGTGGGACAGGGCTGCTGTCAAGACAATACCCAGTCCTGCCCTCCTCCCAGAGTGGGCCAGGGTAGCCCACGTAGCCTCTTCCCTGCTTTCCTGGGTGGCACTGCCAGCCTGACCCCCTGGTGTCCATTCAGTCTAGTCCTTCATATTTCTGGGGCACGGGGAAGCTCTGAGTAACGTGGGACTATAAAGTGCAAGAGGGTTGCTGATGGCCTGGTCCCGTGCCCTCTCCATTCCTGGGCATTCTTGACAAAGGCTCCCAGCAACTGAGGGTACGCAGCAGCTGCAGACACCAGCCTGACAAATATCTCATTGTGGGGAGGGGGCCATAGCAGGAGTGGGGAGCCAGGGAAATACAGAACCTGGGACTGGGAGGTGTTGATGTGAGAAGCCCAAGAAACTTCATTCCACCTGTCAAAGCCACCTCCTTCCAGATGCCCAAATCTGAGCCACTTGCTGGGCAGGGACTTTGCCTTTGCACTTGCTGAATACCATCTGCACCTCTCAGGAGGGAGAGTGCCAGGCTCAGGAGTCCCTGCCGAGCTAGGAAAGGGGGCTGGGGTGGGCTCTGCCATTTTTTGAAGGCTGGCAGGGGGACCCCTCAGGAGGTACTTGGGGCAGTACCATATGCTGTGGCTCCTGAGTGAGAGTCAGCTCTGCGCCCCACAAGACCACTCCCTACCCAGAATTCACTGTCATCATGTGCTGGGTCCAGATGCCCATGCAGCCTCCTGGCGGGAGCATCACATGTGCCGCCTGCCTGGGATGGCCCATGGAAGAGTCTGCCCCGCTCTGCCCTGCTATGGAACAACTCCTGTTCTGTCTTCAGCGAGTGGTGTTCATTTAAGTGATGACTGGGCTGGCCCCCATGGCACAGTTATCACAGAGAGTCTGCTGCTACCCATGGCTGAGAGCTCTAATTCTTCCTGGTGGTCTCTGAAGCCACCAGGACGGATGAACAGCAGCTTCACCCTCTTGGCTGACTCAGCTGCCTTTCATCAGCTCATCTGCCCCTAGGATCCACTCTGCCTCTGGCTGGCACTTGACCTGAGCCCCAGGCTCACACCTCTGCCCACAGGCCCAGCCGCTGCTTCACGTCCAACTCCATCCCCCACCAAGCACTGCCCCTCATCAGCTACTGGGGTACCACTAGTGCCCCCACATGGTGCCCCCTCTCCAGACCCTCGGGTCCGGCTGTAGCTTCCTTCTGGAAGCTATACCCCAAGACCCCAGCCCTGCTCTAGGGCCCTGTATCCCCGACTTTCTGCATCCTTCTCCCTCCTTCTGGGAACATGAACTTGCCCTGCCAGCCTGGCGGCTCCTGGAGGACAGGACACTAGCGCCTGGACAATGGCAGGCCCGGGAACGTCTGCTGCCAGTGATGCTGGAGCTGGCATCCATGTCCACATGATGTCCATGGCACAGCGGCCACCTGAGGCTGGGGGCATCTGAGTGGTGGCTGCAAAGTTGGGCCCTTACCTCTGCCTGAGTGAAGTTCACCAGGGCCTCCCCTGTGCTGTCCTGCTGGGCGTGGAACAGCCGGCCTAGCTGGGGGCCCCGCACCACACGGTAGAGCAGGAGCTGGGGGTCAGTGCCTGCGCTGGAGCTGGCCCTGAGGGTCTGACTGCTGAGTGGCTGGACGGACCCTGCCAGAGGCAAAAGGGGATATCAGATTTTGACTGGGAGCCAGGTCCAGGCCTGTGTTTGCAAAGAGGCAGCGTGACCCTGGCATGCCACCCTCAGCTCCGCCCCAGCTCCTGGCACCCAGGAATGCCCATGATCAGCACACCCACCTGGGCAGACAGTCAGTGTCTGGCTGCCCTTCAGCGAGAGGAGCACTTGCTTCTGGGCCGTCACTCGGAAGAAGTGTCCGGGGGAAGTGTGCTCGCCGTCAGAGAGGCGGAAGCGGAAGCCTCCATCCAGGGTTCCTGGGGACAGGGGCATTGGGTCCAGCTGGCCCGAGCCGGCTCCCCATCTCAGGGCACCCCCGTGGGCAGCAGGAACCCGAGGCCCGGCCCTCAGCACCCACCTCTGTGTGAGAACAGCACGAGCCCGCCGTCCAGCTGGGCCTGCGTGAAGCTGCGCACCTCAGTGCCCGGCGCCCCCCGCAGCACTACCCGCCCGTTGCTGGGCTGCTCGATGGTGTAGACCAGATCCTCAGACCCAGAGTCGCCGTCCGTGCTCCTCAGAGCCTCCGCAGGGATGGGCGCAGTGGCCCCCTCCCACATCTGGGAACACAGGCCTGTGAAGGTTCTGCCTTGCCGCACTCACCCACCCCTTCCTCCCCGGCCCTGGGCTGCCACCAGGGCTCCAGTCCTGCTGCGGCTCAGCCCCTCGGGTGGCATCGAGGCTGGCGCCACTCTGGCTCCCCTGCACAAAGGGCCTCCCGCATTCACCTTCCCTGTCACCCCAGGGAAGGCCCCAGGGAAGGTCACCCTCCAGGCCCAGCCTCCCTGCTCTCCATCTGCCCTAGTCCTGTGTGTCCCTCAAGGCCAGCTTATGTCCCCTACCCAGGAAGGCCCCAGCTCTTACCCTCACCAAGTTCTCACTCCCAGAAACCCCCAGCGCTGACCAACAGTGCTCCCTAATCTGTCTCACTGGTGGGACAGGGGTCTCCTTTCAGAGCCTCCGTGTGTGCCTGGCCGGGGCCGGGCACAGGTGGGAATGGTGATTTTAGAAATGGGCCCTCCTTCCAGCTGAGGGAGGGGTGCGTGGCGCAGAGAGTGGGGGGCTGATGGTTGGCACTGTTCTGCAGCACAGAATCAGCGTGGGATGGGCCCAGGTGCTTCCAGAGCAGTTAGGGGCCCTCCTTATGTTGGGCAAAGGGGACCCCTTTTTCAGGCCTCCCACTTGCAAGCAGAGCAGGTGCCTGTTCCTGAGGTCCTGGTACCAGTCTTGCTGGGTCAATTACTTGCGGGCAGAGCTGCAGTGGGACTCACATGCCCGGAAAACAGAGCCTTCTGGCATTCCTGGGCTTCCTCCCCCGGCCCCAGGGAGCCCTCAGGCCCAGCCCTGGCAGGAGGGGCCATAATGTTGCGGGGCAGGACCCCAGCACTAGGCTTCTGGAGCAAACACAGGTAGATGGCACCACCTGGTGGCTGTGCTGCCACACAGCCGTCCTGGCCTGTGGTTCCAGAGCACTGTGTCCCACTCTTTGGCGGCTTCCGCACCACCAGGCCACCCGCTACGGGCACATCCTAGACCACCAAGGCCCCGCCCCCACCCCCGCCCCAGGCACCCCATGCCAGAGACAGCCCAAGTCAGCCCTTTATGGAAACTTCAGTGGCTCCTGCTGACCGGGGAGGATGCACCCCAGAAGCTGGGGTTCAAAGCCCTGCCATGTGGGCTTTGTAAAGCCATGCCCTTTCTGTTCCACCAGAACTACTTTTGCAACCATGGAGAAGTTCCATCCCACGTCTGGGCCTCAACTTCCACCTGCAGAGTGGGGCCCTTACCTCTGCCTGAGCGAAGTTCACCAGGGCCTTCCCTGCACTGTCCTGCTGGGCGTGGAACAGCCTTGTGCAGGAGTTTGGGGAGCCAAGCCATGGCCTTCACTTGCTGGGTGAAGGTGGGAAACTTAACAGCTTCCGCCCTGATGCCTGCCCTTAAGGGCTTGTAAGTGATTCTGTCAGATGTTCTGGTCCTTAGCCACAGAAGAAGGAACAGCAGAGCCACCCGTGGCCGCTCAGAAGTCTGCCTACCATACTTGCAAACATCCAATAAAAAAACTTCCCACCTGTGTTCTATTTCAGCACAATCTCACTTCTCTCCTTCCAACAACCCCGTGAGGCATGTGGCAGCGTCCCCATTTTGCAGAGGAGGAAACTGAGGATCAGAGCTGGGGGAGCTCTGAGCCGCGAAGTAGGGGACGCTGGCCTCTTTCTCGAAGCAGACATGGGGGTGTTCCCAGGGATGCTCTCACCTGCAGGCCTGTGTTTGTAGTGAGGATGGGGGGTTGGTCATTGACAGGCAGGACAGTGACAGTGAAGGCCACAGGATGGCTCTGGCGATCCATCTCGGAGGCATTAGCCATCAGGACAAAACTGTCTGTCAGTGTCTCGCTCCCGTCATGCACGTAGCGGATCAGCTGCTCTTCCACCTAGGGGCAGGCCCAGGGCTGGCAGTCAGGCCCCAGCAGCACCCTTCATGCCCTGCCTTTGGGTGCAGGAGGAGACTGACTCTTTTAGGGCTTCATTTTCCATTGGTAGAAAATGGGGACCATAAGTTCTGGCTCCGAGGAGTTGTGAGGAAGAAAAGATATATGGTATTTAAAGCATAGGTGCTTCTGAAATGTGACTCCCCGTCTCCTCTCTGTGTATAACCCCCAGACTGGGAGTCCCCAGGGCTCCCTCCACTCTGCCCCCAGAGCTGGGCTGCAGCCCCTGGGCCTCTCTCACAGCCATACCATTCTCCAGGAGAAGGCGCTGAGGGTCCTGGCTTGAGGTCCGTCCTCCTTCTGCAGGGCTCCATGCTGGGGTGGCTCCAGCACCTGCAGGCTGAGGCCCAGGAGAGTGGGGAAGTAGGGCCCGGAGACACGGAGCAGTGGAGGGGCCAGGGTGAGGCTGCCACCCTCAGGGACGCTGAAGTTTTGCGCCTCTAGTGGGATGGCAGCGGGCAGCACCTCCAGCTCCACAAGGACGCCCTCGAGGGGAGCACCCAGGCCTGAGGCCACATCCAGCGAGAAGGCATCGCTCCAGGCCTCAGGGCGGGAGTGCAGGTACAGGACCCTGCCTGTGTCCACTGCCTCCTGGGAGAAGCTCTGCACAGGGTCCAGGCTGGGTGGCTCATCTGCCAAGGCGCCACGCGACACCATCACCAGGTAGCCGGCACTCGGTGGGCTCTTCACTGAGAATACGATGTCTGCAGGTGGCACTGCCTCCTGGGCTGCCTGGTTAACAGAGGTCACAAGGACTCACAGGGGGCCACAGAGGGGGTCTCAGAGGGGTCCACTGTGGCCCTAAGAAGCCGGAACAGGCTTGATCTTGCCCCACTTATTCCTCTAGATACCACTGCTCATTTAGACACACAAACACACACGTGGGTTCACACACACAGCAGCCAGACATGCAGCTGGTCACATTTTTTGTTTTTTGAGACAGGGTCTCACTCTGTCACCCAGGCTGGAGTGCAGTGGTACAATCACAGTTCCTTGAAGCCTCAACTTCCCAGGCTCAAGGGATCCTCCTACCTCAGCCTCCCAAGTAGCTGGGACCACAGGCATGTGCCACCAGGCCCGGCTAATTTTTAAATTTTTTGTGTAGAGATGGGGTTTCACTGGGTTGCCCCGGCTGCTGGTCACATGTTAATGCCCACCCCACACACGGTTGCAGGGGGTCGGTCACACAGCTTGAGATGCACTCCCTCAGGGAGGTGCATAATCACATGTCCCCAGACTCAGTGACACAGACACACGAGTTCATCATATGCTGACGCAGTCACACATGTACACATGCGTGTGTGCACACACACACACACAGGCCCCCCTGCTCAGGATCCGTTCAGGCCTGTGGCTGGTTTGCAGGCAGCACCTCCCCAGCCCCTGCTATTACCACCCAGGACCATCAGAGGGCGCCCCGCCCCACCCCTCCTGGAGGCACAGCCGCCTTCAGCTCAGGCCCTACAGAGCTCACGCCCCAAAGGCCACACGGGCTCCCTCACCTGATGGGCCAGCCACAAGAGGCCAAACCACCCCCCAAACTCACATTCCTGTTCTATGCATTTGCCCGGAATGTTCCTTCTGCCTGGAATACCACTCCCCATTCTCTGCTCCTGATGGCCTGTGCTCTTCAGAGCCCGGCCCAAACGCTGCCTCCTCCCGCGAGGCCTTCCTGACTCCAGATCTGCTGGCTTGCTGTCGGCCCCAAGCTCCAGACATGCAGACCAGAAGGGTCTCCGAAATGAGCAGTGTAGGAGAGTAAGGCCAAGAGCGGGCAAGGACTGGCCTGAGGTCACAGGGCAAGTCAGTGAGCCTGCTGGAGGGCCCGTGGTTGCTCTGTGGGGTTCCTGGGTGGGCAGAAGCCACCCAGGTCTGGGCTCTGAGAAAAGAGTGGGGGACATGAGGGTCTGAGGAGTAGCGGCCTGTCTCCACGGTCAGCAATCCCCAAAGCTCAGGACCCGTGATGTCCTCCCAGGGAACTGACTGCAATGGAGATTCTCGGGCTCCACGTCAGAGATTCTGTAGGGCTGGGTGGGGTCCAGGAATCTGCATGCTCAGCCATGTCATACACATGAGTGGACACAACCTCTGGAGGCGCACACAACTCCCAGGAGGATGGGTGTATAGCAAGCTCCCCAGAAACTCCTGGGAGCACAACATATACGGGAGCACATCTGAGGCACGTGCACACATGTAACCTGGAGCCACCACAGCCACAGCCCAAGTCACGTGTGTTCCTGGCATGGAGGCTGGGAGAAGGCCCTCTACCTGGCCCACACCCCTGCTCACCACCTCCAACTCCTCACCTCCAGCTGGTCCCTTCTGATCTCAGCTGCCTCTCCCTGGAAGACGTAGATCTTCTTGTGCCGGACCAGCTTCAGTGGGGCCAGTGGGCCCTCTAGGGCAATGGTCACTTGTAGGGTGGCATCCGTGTGCACTGGCCCTGCTTCCACGGAGAAGGCCATGGTGTCGCGGGGGCTGAGGCTGCCATTGTGGCTATAGAGAACGGCCCCATCCAGCAGGTCCTGCTGGGAGAAGGCTGTGGCTGGCTGACCAGCCCGGACTAGCTGTCCCCAGCGAGGGCCAGCTGTGACGTGGTAGTGGACCTCATCCCCACTGCGGATGTCGAGGTTGGTGTCCAGGTGGAGCACGGCCGTGTCGATGGTGCCCTGGCCTCCTTGAGGGACCACAAGGCTGGAGCCGTTGGCCACACGGAGGTAGGGTTCCGAGGCCTGCACCTCCAGCAGCGCAGTGGCCTGGTGTTGCCCGTCGGACACCTGCAGCTGGATCCAGCCACGGTCAGCCCCTGAGTGCACGAACAGTACTCGCCTCTTCCTGAGGTCCTCCTGGGTGAAGCGGTAGATGGGCCGCGTGGGCTCATCTACGGCCACGATACTGCCAAAGAGGAGGTCCTTGCGGGTAAGCACCAGCTGGGCGTCAGCAAAGCCCGAGTCAGCATCGCTGAAGGCCACGTCGTCTGTAGTCAGCAGCCGCCGCCCACCCCGGGCCACATGGAAGATCCGGCTGATGGTCTGCACAGGGGCGTGGTCATTCACGGGCTGGATGGCCACTCGGAAGACACCCCGTACCTCCTCCCAGGCCATGTCACCACTGCTCTCGCCCTGGCGGGTAGCAACAAATGGGATATCATCTTCTGTGGTCTCGGAGTCATCATGCTGGTAGACCAGCCGGCCACGCAACAGGTCTTCATTGGTGAAGGATGTCACCATAGTGGTCTTGTCCTGTGTCCCACGCCAAGCCAACCTCCCATGGCGGGGCCGCTCCATGACCTCATAGAGGTAGCTGGCACTGTTGAGACTCTTGACAAAGAGGTGGTCAGCAGAGAGGACACCCTCACCACCCTCAGGCACCACGAGGAGGACATTGGTGAGGACAGGCGCATCTGGGTCACCACCAATGTGGATGGGGAAGGTATAGAGTGGGGAGAAATATGGTGGAGCTGTGACACGGAAACGGAAGGTGTCCTCGACTGCCTCTGAGGCACGTGCTGTGGCCCCATAGGTCACCCGGCCAGCCTGTATGTCATCCTGGGTGAAGCCCTGGCCATCTGACAGCCTTGTGCCCTGTAGTTGAAGGTTGCCTTTCCTGGGAGCCTGAACCACCTCATAATGGAAGGTTGGGGGGCTTGGGCCTGCCTCCTCCAGGGTGGCCTCCAGGTGGGCTGTGGTGAGGGTCTCCTGCTGGGTGTTCTGAGTGTGCAGTGGCTCCAGCCGCAGCATCCACACAGTGGCTCTCTGGATGGTCACTGGGAAGGACAGATTGCTCAGGATCTCCTGGCCCACCTGCACCTCCAGGGCCAGGTTCTCCACGGTGTCGTAAGCGTGGTGCTGTGGGTCAGTGCTCAGGTACCTCACGCGGCCCTGCTCCACATCCCGCTGGTGGAACGCCTGTGTGGCCCACCACTCAGCACCCTCCACCCCACCTGCCCCCTGCTTCTGCAGCTCCCCAAACTGCAGGGCCCCAGTGACGCGGAACAGCACGCTCACATCCTGCCCCACGGCATTGGTCTCCACCGACAGGTTGGCGGGCAAGATGGGCATGGCAGAGCCTTGGGCCAGTCGCAACCCTGTGCTGCGGTGGATCTGTATGGCCGGCCGGATGGCCACCACCTTCAGCGTGGCCGGGGGGCTGGCCTGCAGTCCATCGCTGACCCGGAACGTCAAGTCCTGTGCAGGACCACCGCGGTGGACATAGACTAGGCTGCCGGCCTCCAACTCCCGGCAGGAGAACTCGGTCGCCGGCTCCCCAGGCTGGTCTCGGCGCTCCACGGGGAGGCCAGAGGAGGTGCCAAGGACCTGGAAGGTGAGGCCCTCACAGGCAGAGTCCGGGTCATAGGCCTGGAAAACCTCAGGCCCCAGCGGCTTCTGCGTGTGTTCCAGGATCACCATGAGGCTGCCATGTGGGAAGATGATGTGGGGTGGGTCATTGACAGGGTTGACCTGGATGGGCAGGAGGTATGTTTGGCCCCTCCGAAGGCATGAGGGCATGGGCACCCGAGCCGTCACCGACACCTCCAGCACCAGCTGGTCGGAGGTGTCCTCAGAGCCATCGTGGATGAAGCGGGCCTTGCGGTTCACCACGTCCAGGAGGGTGAACATTTTTCGTGCCTGGGCTCCCGGGATGTCCAGCTCGAGCTCGCCATGGCGTGCCCCTCGGGTCACGCTGAACAGCACCTGGGATTTGCGCAGCTCAGCCTCCATCAGGTCCAGCGTGGGCTGCACATGCCTCCACTCAAGCCAGGCTGTGCCCCCCTCGGCCACCACCAGTGGGCTGATAGTCAGCAGCTGGGTGAAATTGGCAAAGACAGGAGGCAGCCCTGGCTCAGGCACGCATGGCTCAGGCAGCTCCATGGCTGGCCAAGCCTCAGGGGCCAGGGTGGAGAAAGCTTCATAATGTCCATAGGCATCGTCCTCATACTCCTCCTCCTCCAGCCTGCAGCCGGCTGCCATGTTGCGCGTCAGCAAAGCTTCCCGCAGCCCCCGCCTCTGGCCATTGACACTGAGGTCTTCCATGCAGCCCAGCAGGGAGGCATTGGTGGCCTCTGGTGTCAGGCCCAGGCGGTGTTCCTGGAGGTGACGAGAGGCCTCTGCATCCAGCCCCCCGAGAAGGAGACTGCCCCGTGGCTCCAGGTAGCTGAGGACTCCTCGGTTCGAAGTATGCGTAGGGTACTGGTCCACGGAGATTTCCAGCCGGTGAGCATTGATGTGGACACTGACCTCATGGGGCTGCCCATCGGCCACAGGCACACTGTTGTGGAGCAATACGGTACCCTGGCCCTTCTCCACCACGGCCCGCAGGTGGCCCTCAAATATGTCCACATAGATGAAGTCCCCACGCCGGCCCCCTGCCTGGAAGGCCAAGGGTGCCTGCCGGCTCTGTGTGGTGAGTGTAAACTCTAGGGTTCCTTCGTCCTGAGTGCCCCAGGCAGGGAAGGCAGCCAGAGAGTGGGGCCCAGAGAAGCCCAGGGCCACATCATCACTGGCAGAAAACTCTTCAGCACAGCCCTCATGCACATCGGGGGTCAGAGGCCGGAGGAGGCTGCGGCCATTGAGGGTGGCTGCATGGAGGCAACCCCTCAGGGGTCGGCTGGTTCCCCTCAGGTAGGGCAGGCCAAGGGTCCCAGTGCCCCCAACAAAGAGCCCATAGGGGACCTCTAGGGGGGCTCCTGGGACTGCTGAGGAGGCGTTCAGAAACCCATCGACTGACAACGTGGCCCAGCCCTCTACGACAGTCAGCACCACAGTGTGGGGGATGGAGTCACTCAGCAGCGTCTCTGCTGGAGTCTGCAGCCTCAGCTCCTCCTGGCCCAGAACAAGTCTGACCTGAAGAGAGATGGGGAGTGGGAGATAGTGGACAGCACTTTGGATCCATCATTTCCCTTATAAAAGCATAGAGCCGGGCGTGATTGCAGTGGTGGCTCATGCCTGTAATCCTAGCACTTTGGGAGGCCAAGGCAGGCGGATCACCTGAGGTTAGGAGTTTGAGACCAGCCTGGCCAACATGGAGAAACCCTGTCTCTACTAAAAACACAAAATTAGCTGGGCATGGTGGCGCATGCCTGTAATCCCAGCTACTTTGGAGGCTGTGGCAGGAGAATTGCTTGAACTCGGGAGGTGGAGGTTGCAGTGAGCTGAGATCATGCCATTGCACTCCAGCCTGGGCAGCAAGAGCGAAACTCTGTCTCAAAAAACAAACAAAAAAAAAGCATAGTGAGTTCCCCACACTTGGGGCCCCAGAGTGGAAAACCTAGGACAAGAGCCTCTGGTGCCACTCCTCTTGCCGTCCTGCCATCTCTTTATTCATCCTCCAAACACTCACCAAAGGAAACTCTGGGCCAGGGCTGGATGGGCTCTGGGGACCCTGATATGAATCAGATGTGGTCCTCGCCCACAAGGAACTGACATACAGCAAGATGCTCTCCTAGAAATCCAACCTGTGTTTTTAAATTCTTCCCCTCTTTCCTTGAGTGAGAGGTGCCAGAAATATTGTCTTGGAATCTGGATTTCAACTTTGGAATAATGGGTAACTGGGAATCCCTTGATCAGTCCCCTTCAACAGAGCAAAGTTTCTTGGGGTCATTGAAGGCAGCCAGGCTCACTGTTCAGGAATAGGCTAATTTTTAAATTAAAATTTAAATACTCTGTGTTCTGAAAAAAAGCTCCCTGACCTGGGGTGGAAGGAGATCTTGGGGAGAGATGAAGGACATAGTTCTGTCTCCATGACATTGACAGCAGAAATGGCTCTGGTACGGTGCTCCCAGATGGTAGAATGGGAGGTGGCAGAGTATGGTAACTGCAGAACCAGGGCACTAAGAACTATAATTTTGGAGTCCTGGTATGGAGCATCTCTGTAGGGGTGTGGCATCATTGTACCTACAGAACTGGACAGCCATCAGCACCAGCCTGCACCACGCTGGTGTTTAACAGTGAAAGCAGCAGACTGACCAAGCCCTAGTCCTCTCCCCATGGGGTGTGGAAGGAGATGGCTGCCCCAAATTTGTTTTTTTTTGAGACGGAGTTTGGTTCTTGTTGCCCAGGCTGAAGTGCAATGGTGCGGTCTCGGCTCACTGCAACCTCCTTCTCCTGGGTTCAAGTGATTCTCTTGCCTCAGCCTCCTGAGTAGCTGGGATTACAGGCATGTGTCACCATGCCCGGCTAATTTTTTTGTATTTTTATTAGAGACACGGTTTCACCATGTTGGCCAGGCTGGTCTCGAACTCCTGACCTCAGGTGATCCACCCGCCTCAGCCTCCCAAAGTGCTGGGATTACAGGCATGAGCCACCGCGTCCGGTTATTTTTTTCTTTTAAAAATAGAGATGGGGACTCATTGTGTGGCTTAGGCCAGACTTGAACTCCTAGGCTCGAGTGATCTTCTCACCTTGGCCTCCCAAAGTGGTGGGATTATAGGCATGAGCCACTGCACCCAGCCTGGCACAAATTCGGAATAAGACCCTGGGTTCTTAAACTCTTCATGGTTTAGGGGAAGACTCAAAAAAGCCACAAGACTCCTTGCTAACAAAGCTTGTGGTGTCTTGAAGGATGAAATGGAAAAATGAGGAAGCTGAGGCAGTACTGGTGCTGTTACTGTCGTGGACAGACCATGGTGCTGCAGAGAAATTGGTGCAGTGCCACCGGGATGCACAGGGGTCATGGGGGCTCAGGAGGGGGCCTAGCCCAGGAGGAGGGGATGCCCACACTGAGACTTCAAGGAGAGGCTGGAGTTAGGCATGTGCAGGGAACGGGAGAGGCGCACACCTGGCAGAAGGAGTGTGCATCAAGAGCCTGGCAGCAAGCGACTGTAAGATGGCCAGGAACTGAAAGCAGTTCAGGGCTGTCAGAGCACAAAGGGCCAGCGAGGGGTTGTGGCGGGAAACATGGTTGGAGGGAGCCAGTGGGCAGAGCCAGTTCATGAAGGATTTACCATTTCTGGGCTGCTGCTGCCCATCCCACAGTGGAGAACTTAAGACCCCAAGATAAAAGTGACTTACACAAGGTCACACAGCCAGCTGGGGTTCACTCAAAGCTAGAGAAGGAATCCCACCCCGAATCCCGCCCAGATCTCAGGGGGACGTCACTCACCTGCAGGCGTCCAGAGTAGAGCTGCAGCAGGAGGTGGTCAGCTGGGCCTGCTGCCAGGAGAAGGAGGGCTTCGGGCTGGGACGTGGAGAACTGCAGCTGCAGGTCTATGTCGGTCAGAGCCGTGGCCACAGGCACCTCCAGGTGGTTCTCACCGAAGAAGGAAGCTGTGTGAGAGAGGGAGCTGTGGTCAAGGCTCAGACTCTTGCCTGGAGGAGGCGAGGTGCCGCAAAGAGGGACGGGTGGGTTGCAGAAAGGGGTCCGTGCTGGCGCACCCTCATGGTTCTGCTGTATGGTGCTGCCTCTGAGCACTGCCCGGGTCCCAGCATCTTCTTGGTCCTGGCACCAGAAGGCACAGGCTCACCTTGTGTCCAGCCCAGATCTTGTATTTACAGGAGGTCAGACCCAGAAATTCCCAGCAACTCAGGTCTCCTCCTTGGAGGTTCCTGGAGCCAGAGGCCTCCGCCAGCTCTGACTCGCCTCCCCTGGGCCCCAGAGGAGTCTCCCTCGTGGGTCTGGCTCCTGGACCCAGCCCAAAGGGAACCGCAACTGGCCTGACCATCTGGCTTGGTGGTCACAGCCCCAAGGAATGGAGTTTCTGGAGAATCACCCCCAGTCCAGACTGATCCCTGCTCAGATTCCTTCTCCTAAGTGCCCTTGTGCTTGGGCTCCTGTGCAGCGCCTGCTGTGCCATGCCCCGCCTCCATGGGTTGGCTGAGGCCACGACTGGGATCTGGGGGTGGTGTCAGCATGGCCCACCTATCCCCGCTTCTCTCTCAGGCCATTCTTCCAGCTGCCATTGAGCGTCGGGGCAGGAGCTTATTGGCCTGAGTCTGCCAAGGAGCAAAGGCTCTGAGGCCAGATGGGGACCATGTGCAGTGTCAAACCAAAGTGGGCCCACACTTCCTCCATTACCCTTGCTATTGCTTCCTGCTGGAGAGCTATTCACAGTCCCCGATGAGCAGTCAGATCCGGCCCCATTGTTTCCACCGTGGCCAAGGAACCAGGGATGAGAACAGCTGAGTTCCTAACTTCCCCAGGCCACCACGCAGGCTGAGGCTGAAGACAGGGCTTGGGAGGGGCTGAGGGTCTGCTGGGCAGGCCAAAGAGGGCCTCCCCAGGCAGAAGGCCATGTCTGGGCTTGCCTGGGGTTAGTGGTTCCTATGCAGGGCCCGTTCTGTCCCATACTGGGACTCCTCCTCTTTTGAATTGCTGCTTCCTCCAGTCAGTTTCCCCAGATTAGCCTCCCTGACTTCCAACCCGCTGCCACAATTTCTGGTCCATGCCTTTTGTGGTGATAAGAGCCAAATATAACTTTGACTTTGCCTGCAGATGTCCAGGGCTGGGGGGTAGAGAAACACGGGTTAAAAACGGTGATTCATTCCTGTTGGGCTTCCCTCAAACCCGAGAGCGAGCACAGGCTGACGGCCTTGATAGGGATAATCCGGCACCAGCCCCATGTGCTGGTCCCTGGCCAGCCTGAGCCAGCTGCCATCCGCCTGAGTAAGCAGCTTCAGCCGTTGGAGGAGTCGGAGACTTGTACACCCTAAGGGCAGCCAGCCCCACTGGGAGGGATGTCCAAGAAAGATCCCGTAAGAACCCCTTGGGCTGAGTTAAATCCCCTCTAGTTATCTCCTCCTGCCAGCACTGCTGGCAATACCAGCACCTTGTCTGGGAAGCTACGGGAATCAAGGGAGCCCTGCAGACCATCTGCGCGGGGGCGGCCCAGCTGGTTCAGCAGAGCTTGGCGCCAGCAAGGGACAGACCAGGGAACTGCAGGTGGCGGCCACCTACCGGGGTGCCTTATCTGCAAAGACATTGATTCCTAAGAGCAAAACACAGCACACTAAAGTGAGGGAGGCCATAGCACAAGGGGTGGGGGCACATGGCCCTGCAGGATAGAGCCACCACCGTCACCTGCTGGAGCGGCTGACAGCAGCTGCCAGGAGTCTACTGTTGAATTTTCAGGAATTTTGAGAGCCAGGTGATACTGCCCACAGTGAGAACATTTATACCAGGAAAAGAGGCAAATACTGCAAATCAGGGTTCCCCCTCCCCAAGAAAGCCCATTGCTAAACATTTACCTATCCAGCACCCACAGAGAAGGGGGCACATGTCCCTGCCCCTACCCACCCTTGCACTAAAGGTATATGTAGACCCGCCAAGTCATGGTCAACATCAGGGCTCTGGGCCAGGCAGGAACTGAACTAGATGGTTGGCCCTAACCACTGAACCACCTGCCTGCAGCCCCCTCCCAGCAGAGGAGAGTAGAGCCTGTTTGGCCAGAGTGGGAGGGTGGCAGGAAGTAGAGGTACTTTCCAGAGCGCTGGGGTCTGAATGGGTCCATTGAGGGGCTGGGCCCTGCTGCTTCCTGTGGGGCTGAGCGGGAGGGGCTCACACAGGCTGTCTTGTGCTGCTGGAGCGCGTGGCCAGGCAGCCCCCCACCCCAACAGAGGCCTCTGAGGCCTTGCTGGCCAGGGCTCTGGAAACTCTGACAGCGCCACTCCCTCCACCTCCTGGTCTCCTTTTTTCTGCCCCTCTTACACTCTCTGAGGGGCTTCAGTTGCAAGAACTCAGAATCCCTGTCTTGGAGGTGGTGGGGGGGCAGTTGAAGAGGGGCTTCAAATGGAGAGGGTGTGCAGAATTAAGATGTAATAAGCTAGGAGTCAATCCAGAGGACTTCCTGGAGGAGGTCACGGTGGTGTACAGACACAGAGAGGGAGGAATAGGCAGTCTCAGAGGACAGCAGCAAGGCCGAGTGAGACTGGCAGGAAGTACACAGGTCCCCTTTGGGTGGGGCTAGGAGGGTTTCTGCTCCATCACCCGCTAAAGCCTCTGGCTAACTTGAAGGAAGAGAAGTAGAGGGAAAAGTAGAATGGGTCAAGCTAGGCTCGGCTGCGTGACTGGGGCGGGGGGATGGAGGAGGTTGTGGGGAGACATTGGCACAGGCTGGATCAGACCTGCCGTTGATTCTCCTGGGTCAAGAGGACCCATGATTCATCAAAACAGCAGACCAAACCTGTAGCAGCCCCATGGGCTGCCCTCTGAGCCAGGAGAAGGGGCCCACTTCAGGCCTCAGTGTCACCATTCTGTAAAATGGGCACAGTCCCTCCCACCCCTTCCCCCTCCTGACTGTGGGGATTAGTCCTGGGGGTCTCTCCCTGATCTAGGAGTTTGCTGTCCATATGGATGTGGGGAAGGTTAATGGCATGGGGTGCCTGGAGGTGCCAAGCCTTGGGCATGAGAGGAGCAGGATGCCCCACAGGTCTGGGGGCCCGTGGGAGGGGCAGGAAGAGTGCTGCGTGTATGGGTTTCTCTCTCTGGAAGGCGCGTCAGTGGGCGTCCAGGGCTGTATATTAATAGATGTGTATTTGTGTGTGCGCAAGCATGTGGGTGGCTGCTGGGGGTGTGCTTTGGGTTTGCGTAAGGCTGTGTGTTTGTGTGTGTGTGCGCGTGTGTGGGCCGGGAGCTGCCAGGACAGAGCAATGATTGTGCCCGGGCCTGTCCTGCCCTTCGGTGCCCGCCTGCCATTACTTGGCTGGGCCTGGCTCCATGAAAGGGGCTGTGTGTTCTTGGAGGGTTCCTGCCCCTCCTGCTCAGCGCCCATAGAGAGGTTTGCTAAAGGTGGGTACATCCTCAGGCTTCCCACCCTTCCTCCCCATAAACAGGGCACTGCTGTCTGGGCCTGAGGGTGGGGTGGCTCCATCCTTCTTCCTGAGATCTAGGCCTGGGGGCACAGAAAAAGCCTGTTTCCTTCCCTGCCAAGTCCCTTCTCAGGGGCTAGAGGAAACCTCGGTCAAGGTCCCCAGCAAGCCCCCTCTGTCAGGGCAAGGGCTGCGCTGGCATCTCCGGGCTCCCCGGAGGCACTACTAGGAGGAGTGTGGATGGGCCCCTGAGGCTTCCAGCCTGACACCCAGCCCTCTGTCTGACACCAGGCTCCGGGGACAAGGAGTCGCTGTGAGGGGAACATCTCTGCCCATCAGGCCCGCCTCCCCCGGCCAGGGCCCCACCTTCCCCAGCCAGGCCAGGGCCGGGTCTCAGGCACAGATGCCTCTTCCAGGCTGAGGGCTGCTGTGGGCTCTGTTCCTTCTGAGTCCTCAGAAGGCTGCCTGTGTCCCTGTATCTGCCCCATCTCTCCTTCGCCTCCGGCCATCCCTGCTGCCAGGCTCTGCCTCTGCTCCCCCTGGTCTCCCCCTAGCTCTTTGGCTCCCTCTTCCCTCTGCCCCATCCTGGCTGTCCCTGGGCACATCACCCTTTGCTCTAGGACAGTCTGGAGGGCCCCGGCCTGGGGCCCCACCCTCCATGGGTGCTGAGTCCCACAGCATCAGCATTCTCTGTAGCTCAAGCCTGCTGCAGGGCACTCAGCTTCCACCTTCCAGACAGACAAACTGAGGCTCCAGAGGAGAAGCGATTTGACGAAGAGAAGCAGAAAGAGATCCAGCAGGTCCCAGCACCACCCGTGTGAGCCCTACCCACCCAGGCACCCCCACTGTACCCCACTCTCTGGCAATGGATCCCTGTGTGCCCCACTCCCGCCATGTTCCTGGTTGCCTGGGGGCAGCCCCACAGCCAGGCTGCGTCATGGGAGCAGCAGCATTCCTGGGTGTCTGCTGCTGCCTGACTTTATAAGGGAGAAATTCTGGGAGCCCGGAGCTGCTGGCCCGTGGGGAGTGCCTGGGCCCGTAGTTGAGGGTGAGGGCAGGAGACCTGGACATCTGTATGTGGGGGAGGGACACCCAGTGCCACAGAGACAGAGCAGGAGGTGAGAGGTGGAATGCGTAATAGAGACCCATTCATTCATTCACTCAATCACAAATACAGCAATACAGTGATGGGAATGGAAGAAGACAGCTAACATGGGAGAAAGTTATTAAAACTGAGAAGGAGAAATCAAGATGCCCTCCTCCATAAAGACTGGATTCACATACAGACCAAGGCCTGAGGAAGGAGACGGAGGAGGAAAACTCGAGGGAGACAGAGAAGGCGGGATGTTGGCAGCAAGCCTGCTGCTGTGCACAGGAGTGAGGAGGGGATGCCCAGCCAGCCTGCTGGGGAGGGAGGGCCCTGCTCCAAGACGAAGCCAGACTTCTCCATCACCGCCCCTCGGGGTTTGGCACCACGGCGGGAGATCCTGGCTCCAGGTCTGGGCAGGCAGGGGTGAGGGAGTCTGAGGGGGCTGTGGGATGGGGTATTCTGGGAGGGCCAAGGCCGGGATGAAGGGCTCTCTGTCTCCCCTCATAGGTGTGTATGTGGTGGGGCGGGGGGTGGTCGTGGCCCACCTGGGGGCTGAATGCCGGCTCTGTGAGAGCATGGACGGGCCAGGTGTGCTTCCCCAGCAGCGGACCCTCCCTGAGGTCACCTGGCCCTCTAGACCTCAGGTCAGTTCCCCTCCCCTCCCCTTGCACCTCCAAGGGACTCCCCGATTTTACTTCCGCCACCAATCTACTTCCAACCAAGCAGGCAGGGCATGGGTGAGTGTGTGCAGGAATGTGGGTCAGTGTCACATGTACACACGTGTGTGGCGGCAAGGCAGGCGAGGAAGGGGTGCGCTGGGTCCCTGGTCTGGCCCCACTGTGGGCCCTGGATACCGAGACATAACTGGGGGTCCCCTCCCCAGCACATTGGTCTCCCTGGGCTCCTCAGGCAAGGGAGAAGCTGTCTGGTGTGCCTACTCAGGGGTGAGCCCCTCTCAAACCTCCTCCCAGCAGACTCCCCAAGGCTCAGCCACCCACACTGAGCTATCACCTTCACCCAACCCTGTTACTCTGAGGGTAACAAGGGGGTAGGTTACAGGGGAGACTTAAGGTCAGACTAAGGGGAGCGACCTGCCCAGTGATGACACTGGGGTCACCAGGGCCCAGGCCTAGAAGGCTCATCACTGGCCAGGGTGGGCTGCCTGGGAGACGCTCACACACCTGCAGACCCCTCAGGGCTCACTGCTCTTTAGCAACTCTTCCTGGCTGCTTCCAGACTGGGATTCCACCACCCAGGGCCATCCCCGCGGCCCAAGGACTGCCTGCTCCTCTCCTGTCCCGTGAGCTACCGAAATGCGGACAACAGTAGGTTAGTTCCAAATCCCATGGAGCTTACAACAGCAGCCATCATCTCAGGAGACACTGCTTTATCCCAGTGGGGTGCTGGAGTGCTAGGCACCTGCTCAGGTGACTGCCTCCACGTCTAAATGCTGCAGAGACCTCTGTCGGGGTCAGGGCAGCACCAAAAACTCTTGAGCCAAGAGACACACACTCAGGTCAGCTGACCTTCTGTTTAGTTGCCTTTCTGGTCCCTTGCAAGGCCAAGGGGGCCAGGGAGGAAAACAGTTTCCTCAGCTATTGGCTGGGCCCTGACCCTGGTCACTGGCCTCAGCTACCATCCTCTAACCAAGCGCTTTGAGTCACCCACGTAGAGGGGCATGTGCTGGGGAACATTTCCAGTTGAGGGAACCCGTCTGGAAGATGAGTGGAAGCAGGGGCAGGTGGGGTGGGAGAAGCTGAGCTTGGTCCACAGAGGCTGATAGGGGCTGCACCCTGGGCTCCCAGCCACATGTCCCAACCCTGGGGCCTTGTGGAGCACAGAGGAAGCAGGAGGGGAAATGAGAGGTTTTGAGGGAAGAAGCAGCCCAGAGTCCACCCAGGCGGGAGGGCTGGGCCGGGGGAGGAGGAAGCGGGGCCTCAATGGTGTCTTTGTGGAAGTCTTGCTGCTCCCCAGGCCTCAGGCGAGGAGGGTGGGGTGGCTGCGGTGGGGAGCGGTTCCAAGAGGCTTTTCCCTGCCTTATAATCTTCCCTCTTGGACAGGGAGATGGGTGGGTTTCCAGGCTCCATCCGTACCCTCCTTTCCCCCACTTTCCTGGCCCTAGAGGACCTGGGACCCTCACCTCAGTGGACCCAGGCTGGGGTAGGGTTTCTGGCAGGGAAGAGAAGAGTGAAGGACCCTCACTTGGCACTGGGCCTGCACAGCCCCCCAGCCCTAGCAGGGCTCCTGGGAGGCATCTCCCATGTTACAGGTGAGGAAACTGAGGCTCAGAGAGGGCAGTCCTCCGTGCTAGCCTGTGGAGCAGCGGCAGGGCTGGGACTTAAGCTCCTGTGGGTGTGGCTCCAGAGCTAGGGGCTGTGGGTGTCAGCAGGGCACATGCACCGTGTGTGCACCCAGAGAGGCGTGGTGGGTTTGCTTGCTGCCTGTGAATCGGAAGTGGAGCATCTGCCAATGGCCCCAGTGGGAGGAGGGTGTGAGAGCTGGACCCCAGCCTGGGGAACACACACTCTTTCCCTTCCTGTCCCCTGGGACTCTTCTGTCAGGGCCGGGTGGAGGGGGCAGCGAGGAGGGGGGGACAGCGAGGAGGGGAGGGAAGCATCTGCTCTCCTTGGGCGGTTTGGCAGCCCCTCCTCTGTGGCTCTGGGGCTGGCCGAATCGGGAGGGCCCTTCTGCAGGGGCTGGCGGGGGATGACTAGGTCCAGAAGCCAGTGATAAGTGCCAGCCCTGCCCACTGGTGACTTGGAGGTCTGGGAGGAGGGTGGAGAGACAGGGGTCTGGGTGGGAGCTGCCCCCAGGAGGCTGAGGGCCAGGCTCTCTCCTGGGCTGTGTCCAGGACCAGGCAGCCCATGGCTCATCTCTGAGTTCCCCTTGGCTCTGGCAGCAGAAACTGCTGAAGACAGGGCTGCTGGGGCGGCGTCTCGGGGCTTCCCCAGCCTGGCGGGCTGGGTCTGGAGATAGTGAGTGTGTGAGTTGGGATGGGGGAAGAACAGAGGAAATGGTGACTGTGGGTCTGGACGGCTGCCTGGACCTGAAATCTGGTGGCACAACTTGTGCACAGTAGCCTTGTGTGCCTCCTCCTCAGTTCCCCCATCTGAATACAGAGGGTGGGCTCACCCCACAGACAGAAGTCCATGTCCAGGGCAGAAGCCTGGGTCAGGGCTCACACCCCCAGCACACACACAGGGCTCAGAGCCATGTGCTTCCATGCTTTCCCTGGCCTCAGTGTCCCCATCTGTAAAAGGGGACCTGGATAGAGGGACTGACACACATCTGGCCTCTGACCAGCCCAGCAGACTGGCAAGAGGTGTGGCCACTACCGTGGGTACAGTAGAGCCACCTCTGGCCTAAATGGCCACAGGTCTAGCCAGACTGGAAGCTCTTGAGGACAGGACCAGGGCCCACATCTCCTTCCCAGGGCATCTGTGCAGCAAGAAGGCCATGGACCTGTGATGAGGGAGGTGATGTCAGCATCTAAGGGAACGAAAGGATCAAATGAGATGGCATTTGTCCCGTGTGAGGGTTTTTCTATCAGGCAGAGCTGTCCCACCACAGCAAGTCCCAGCACTGGTGGTGCTCCAGTGGGAGGGCGTTGCCGGGGGGTGCACCAGGAAACCTCAGTGTCCTTGCTAGTGAAGCTCTGGGCTACCCAGGCCCATCAGAGATCCCGAGACTGAGACCTCTCTTCCTGGGCAGGCCTGACTCCTCCTGGAATAGGTTCCTGCCTAGCACCCCCACCTGCCAACTGCCTGGAAGCCTGCAGCCTGTGGGCCCCCCCTGGAGCTGTGCCCACCGCCACCACACTCCCTCTGGCCCTCCTTTTCTCTCCCGGCCTCAGGCCCAGCCTCTGCTAATGCACCACGTCTCTCTCACTGGCACCAACTCTCCAGGGCTCCAGGCCCACTGCCAGTGTCCCTCAGATGTCCATGGCAGGAACACCCACAGGAACCCCCAAGCCCAACCCCACCCAAAGCAAGGAGGACTCAGTGTACTCTCCCCTACAGCTGGCTCGCCAGCCCCGTGAAGGCCCGACTGTCCACCTGTTGCTGAGTAGACATCTGAGGGTCGCACTGAACTCTCCTCCTCCTCCCTCCCCACAGCCACTGCTGATTAATACTCAGGTTCCATCCATCCAGTCCCCAAATTCTCCTTCAACTTCATCTTCCTCTCTTGCTCCCTGGTCCATCCATAAGGCGGCTGGCCACCGTCCTCGGTCTGGCTTAATCAATCTCCTGACTCCCTTTGCTAATAGCAGCCCCAGTTAACCCAAACTGAAAGCCACTCCCTCAGCCTCCCTTGCCTTTGGTGGCTCCCATTGCCCCAGGGTCAGGCCCCCACCCCCGGGTGGCACTGAAGGCCAGGGTGCCCTCAACTCTGCCTGCAGGGTCTCTTGCTCTCTTCCAAGGACACTCCACGCCTCCGTCTCACTAGACTCTGCACTGACTCCGTGCACACCTAGCAGGGCCGACCTGCTGCCTTCGCTCAGGCTGGGCCTGCTGCTGGGCCAGCTCTTCTCTCCTGTCCACCTGTGAAATGTCCTCATGCTCTTTCAGGAAAAAAGCCCAAAGCACCTTCTGTGTCCTTGGGGTGCAAAGACACTCGCTGCGGCCCAGGGGGCTGTGCTGTTGTCACCTCTCTCCATTTACACTGTGAGCCTTGGGGACAAGACTGACCTTGCTTGGGGACAGGACGTGGGAGGAAAGGAGGGAGGGGCCCACCAGGGCATGAGGGCCATGGGCCCAGTGGGAGGGGCTGCCTCTGGGAGCTCGCCCCAGCCCTCCCCACCTTGTCTTACCTCCAGTCTCCTTTCCAGGCCTCCTCTGCCCTCCAGAGCCCCAGGGCTCAGAGGCAGGGGACTGGACACTATGGCCTGGGAGGGCTCGAGGGACTGCCAGAGCCAGAGACTGCTTTTCTGGGCCTGTGGTGACAGAGTCTGGTGCTTGTTTTTAAAGAAAATAGAATCCGAGCCCCTATTTATAGCCGGAGGCCACAGCCACAGACAGAAGACGGATGGGGTTTGAGGCTTACAGGCCCCTGCTCTAGCATGGACTGGGAGGTGGGGCCATTCCCAGGCCCCCCTGCCCGCCTTTGTCAACCCCCAAGGAAGTGCCTGTGGGATCCTGACACTCCCTGGGACAGGATGTAGCCTGCACTTTGGGGCACGGGAGGACCTGGTGAGGGGAGCGGAACATTTCTCAGGATTGGTCCCTGGGGCCCAGAGTCCCTTGTGGGAATGGGAGGAGGTGAGGGTCTGTTATGTCTACTGAGAAGGCAGAGAGGGCCCTGGGGACGGGTGGGGTGCTGGCGGCAGGGAGCACTTCTGACTGCCGTGGAACCCGGTAAAGGAGAAGGGAAGGAGAACAGAGCAGGACTGGAGAGATGGGCAGACAGACAGAGAGACAGGGTAGGAAAGACAGACAGAAAGAGATGGAGGAACCACAGCCAGGGGTGGGAAAGGACAGAGAGATGGAGAGAGCGGGATGGGGGGATGGACTGAGAGATCGGGGGTGCTCTGCAGCCCGGGTGACCCTGCGCAGGGGCAGACAGAAGCCGTGAGGGGAGACTGAAGTGTGGCTTCCGTCCCATAGAGTCTTCATGGTGCTCCAGGCAGCGTGGTCAGAGTCCGGGTGGAGCCGGTGAGGAGGGAGGAAGCAGGCGTCTCTGTGGCCTCGCCCACCCCCAGCCTCCAGGGTCTAGGGGCTGGAGACCCTCCGTTCCCGGCAGTCTCCACGGGGAAGGCCCAGGCCTGTTGGAGGCAACGCAATGCGGTGGGGCAGAGCCCAGATTGACCTTGTCACCAAGATCCCCAAGGGCTGTCTTGGGCACGGCCGGGACCTTGAGGGACAGGTCTGGTCTCTGGCTTGTTATGGAGTGAGTTCCCTAGGCCTGGAGGGCTCACAAGCTAAGGCTATGGCCTGGACTCACACCTGCTGCCAGCCTCTACGCAGACCCCTCCCTTGGCTGCGCTTGTAGGGGCTGTGGGGTAACCGTAGCCTGGGGCATGTGTCATGGAGCCACAAGCAGTGACTCAGACAGTTAAAAAAGGAGCAGCTCTGAGTGGTGACTCAATTGGCTCTGGAGGGGCTGGGTGGGTCTGGCTGGTACAAGATGGGGTGGTCTGGGTTTATTTTTGGCAGGGCGGGGCTGGGGCCAGGGGGTGGAAGATGGGAGCCGGGGGTGGAGAGGAGCCGCTGCTCTCATCCCGGGGGGAGCCCCAGGGCTCCATGCCAACTTAGGAAAGTGGCTTTCCAATGCCAGGGAGTCCTGGCAGGCTGGGCTGCTTCTCAGCCCCATTCCAGGCCTAGCCTGCCTTGCTGCTTGGCCCAGGACAAGCAGCTGGCTCTCTCTAGATAGAGGCAGAGGCCCCTGTCCTGTTCCCAAGAGGCTCAAGCTCAGAATTTAGAGCTGACCTAGGAGACTGAAGATTCCACCCAGAGGCCCAGATAGGGCCAGGGGTCTCCCCAAGGCCACATAGCAGGGCCAGGTAGCCCAAGGGCTGTGGCACCATCAGCCAGCTGGCTCAGGCCTCTACAATATCTCGCTGGCCCCAGGGCTGTCCACGGTTGGAGGGACAGCCCCCGTCTGAGTACCCACCCCTGGAGGGGCTCAGCCAGGCTCCAGATGGGTGGCCAGAAGCACACGGGCCCCAGATGCCCAGAGATGGAACCTTGGCCAGGGGCAGCCACCTGGATTCCATTAAAACATGTGGGTGGGGGGCCTGGCCGGGCCCTGTCCAGGGGTCTGTGGAGAAGAGTCACCTCTACGTGGGTGAAGGCAGTGGGGGCCTGCACAATGGGATCTTGCCCTGAGGGCTCAGGCACAGGCCTGCCCTTGTCCGGGGTCCCTCCAGTGTCCCTGCCCCGAGCTGTGCACCCCACTCTGCAGTCACCTCAGTCACCTCCCCACACCTCCCCCTACTCTGAGCTCACATACACCCATACCACTGAGGGGTCCTAGCAGCCCAGAGCGGAGAGGGCTGTCCCCTCCCTCAGTCCGGATTTCTGCTCCTCGTGATGCAGCCACCACTGCTTATATCATGAGTGGTGGTAACAGCCCCATGGTGACTCTGGCAGGTGAGCTGTCCCACGTCCCTGGGCCCTGGCCTCCAGCCCCCACCTCCAGAGAGGGACTCGCGAGGGGTTGGTAGAGAGCAGGGAAAAGACAGGCTTCTAGGGTCCCCGTCCCATAAAAGGTCTTGGGGCCTGCTCATTCTCTTCTCCTCACTCACCTGCTCTGGGGACAGGGGGTTCCTGCTGTGCCCCGGCCCAGTGAGCCCCATCCTAGGGGCTGTTAGGCTTGGGAGAAACAGGCCCTGGGGAGGGCCAGGCAGGGGCTGTCCCCACTTCTTCTAGCACTGAGAGAGGGGTGTGGGCCTCAGCCCAGTTAGCCACAGAGATGCAGACCCCCACCCCCTCCCACCTTCTGAAGGGTCCTGGGCTGGCAGGCAGCCGCTGGCTGATACCCTCTCCAGAGCCCACCTCTCCTTTTCCATGTCACTTAGTCCCACACAGACTCACGGGGCCACCTCCTCTAGGCCTTTGCCTCGGAATCTTCCTTAAACACTCCTAAGCAGAAGTCCCCATGTTGCCGGGCCACTCCACCCTGGGAAGAAGATGCTAATAGCAGAGTGACTGCAGCTTCAGGAGCAGATGTCCACCGAGCATTGATTCCAGGCAAAGTGTCTTGCTTAATCCTTACAACACGTAAGAGGTTGGAATTATTTATCCCCATTTTAGAGAGGAGAAAACTGAGGCTCAGAAAGACAGAGTCACTTGCCCAAGGTCATGCATAGAGCGTCAGGGCTGGAATTCAACCTGAGCTCTCTAATGCCGTGTTTCACCACCATGTGCCTGGCCTCCTGCTTCCCTGTGTGGGTTCCCACAGCTCAGGACTCAGAGGAGGGAGAGATGGGGCCTGGGTCAGGGCTGAGGGGCAGGGGAGGGGCTCCCTCTCAGCTGCTCGCAGACTCCCAAAAAGGGTGATTTGCTCCTCCTTGACCAGGGTGGGAAGTAAAAGTGTGTGTGTGTATCTGTGTCTGTATGTGTCTGTGTGCATATGTGTGTGTCTGTGCCTGTGTGTATATGTCTGTGTGCGTGTGTGTGTGCGTATGTGTGTCTGTGTGCATGTGTCTGTGTCTGTATGTCTGTGTGTATCTATGTCTGTGTGTGCCTGTGTGCGTATGTCTGTGTCTCTGTGTGTGTGTGGCTAGGCCTCAGGCCTGCCTGGCTGGACTCTAGCTGCAGGAGAGCTGGTCTGGCCCCAGCAACTGTGCACAGGGAAGGGGCAGGGAGAAGCGGGTGTCGTGGGAATCAGTGTCCTGGTCCCACTGGTATTTATAGCTGCCCCTTCCTGAAATGTGGGTGGGGGAAGGGGCTGCTCTTAGGTGGGAACGGAAGTTCGTCTCCTCTCCCCAGCCCCCTCTGTCTCCCCAGAGAGTGGACTGGCCCAGGCCAGAGGGCCTGCCCTGGCGGGGGAACGAGGCACTGTGTCCTGATTTTGGGGGTTTTCCCTGGGGCTGCTGGCTCGGGGCAGGACACTCTCCTTGCCTACTGAGCAATACTGCGTGTGTGTGAGTGTGTATGTGTGAGTGTATGTATGTGTGTGTGAATGTGTATGTGTGTGTGTGAGTGTGTGTGTGCACACACACGCATGTGCACTTACTGGGTGTCAGGCTGAAGAAGGTCATGAACCGGGGACAGAGGCCAGGTGAGGGTAGGGGAAGAAAGGCCTGTAACCCCACAGAGATGGAGGGCAGGGCCCCAGGAGAGGGGCCATCCAGGTCATGGGTCTCAGAGCAATCTGTGGTTAGAACAGGCTCCTGGGGGTGGCGATACTGGAGCTGAGCCTTGGAGGATGGGGGAAAAGGGAAGGCCTGTTGCATGGAGCAGCTTGAGTAGAAGTGGAAAGGTGCCAGCGGTTGTGGATTATTATCTGATGGCCTAGTTCTATCTGATCAGCCAGTCCGTGGGACACAGGATCACCTTGACCAGGGAGGATGATATATTTGGGGAGAGAAGGACATAGCACAGCACAGTTGAGCATCCCTAATCTGAAAATTCAAAATCCAAATGCCCCTAAATCCAAAATTTTTTGAGTGCCAATAGGATACCACCAGTGGAAAATCTCACACATAAGAACTTTTTTTTTTTTTTTTTTTAGATGAACCCTCACTGACTCTGTCACCCAGGCTGGAGTGCAGTGACGCGATCTTAGCTCACTGCAACATCTGCCTCCCAGGTTCAAGCGATTCTCATGCCTCAGTATCCTGAGTAGCTGGGATTACAGGTGTCGCCAGCACGCCCAGCTAATTTTTGTATTTTTAGTAGAGACAGGGTTTCACCATGTTGGCCAGGCTGGTCTCGAACTCCTGAGCTCAGGTGACCTGCCTGCCTCAGCCTCCCAAAGTGCTGGGATTACAGGCGTGAGCCACCGCGCCTGGCCTCCACACATAAGAACTTAACATAAATTTCTCTCAGGCACAAAATTTCTTTAAAAAAATCTATAATGTTACCTTCAGCCTATGTGTATAAGGTGTATATGAAACATAAATCAATTTCATGTTTAGACTTGGGTCCCATCTTCAAAATATCTCACTATATATAACAAATATTCCAAAAGCCAAAAAATTCCAAAATCTGAAACACTTCAGGTCCCCAACATTTCAGATAAGGGACACTCAGCCAGTGTGGAGTGAGGGCCAGCAGGCAGTGGGCAGGAGTGGGAAGCTGGGGCAGGAGAGGCCACACAGCCCCAGGCCTGCTGTGAGGAAGCTGGGACCACCTTCTGCTCCCGGCCTCCAGGCTCCCAGACTTGGGGAAGGACATCTTCCAAGGGCCCTTAGTACCAATCTTCATGGAACCCAATCTATAAACAGGTTTGTGGAGTGGCTCTGCATGAATTGGGGTGGGGCAGGCGTCCCATATTCCCAAGCTCAGCTGCCTCCAGGCCGGCTCAGCTGGAGAGCCCTGGGGTGCGCTGGAGTGCAGTCAGAAAATCCCTGGTTGGCTCAGTGATCTCTACACCCCTCTGGGGGCCAGGCTGTGAGCCCTACAATGGGGGAGACCCCTGAGCAAAGCAGGTGGGATGTGTGCTCCCGGGGAGCTGCTGGTCCTGAGGGTGAAGCTACCCCCCAAACCAGGGCCAAAGAGTAGGGAGCCCTCCCCCTAATCTCCTGAGGACTCACTGTGTGACTCTGAACAAGCAGGCTCCTCTGTCTGAGCCCGGGTTTCCCCAGGATCCATGGGGGGCTGGTCTGGGGTCAGGGGTTTCTGCAGTAAGTTCCGGGAAGGGAGGCAGCGTCACTGACACACCTCAACCTTAGGCCGCAGGAGAGCCACACACTGAAGTGTTGAAGCAGGAGCGATGGCTGGAGGCCTGGCTAACGCATGCATGCCAGGGCTGGCAGAGCCAGCGGCCTCCTCCACAGGCTGGGAGCCGGCCTGGGTGTGGGAAGGAGCTGAGCGAGAGGCAGGAATGCTCAACAGGACAGGCACTGTCCCTGATGGGGCCCACCCCTGCCACCAGGCCACCTTGACAGCAGCCCTACAGCTATCACCCTACATCAGAGACAAAAGTGGCTTCATTGGCAACCCTAGCTTTGGGGGGAGAGGGTTTTTTGAAGGGGATTTGCTTAGGCTGTGAGAAAGTGGGGAGGGTTTGGAAAGGGAGAGAACGCTGGCTGGTGGGGGATGGGGAGACAGAACAAACATCTGGAGTCCTCAGCGAGCTGTCTGTCCCTGCAGACCTCTCTCTTTCCCCTGCTGGGGCCTGAGCCCACTGGTGGGTGGTTGTCCACCTGGCCTGATGTGGGGAAACTCGCTGCTGTTGGGGTGAGTGAGAACACCACGGCCTGTGTGCCCAAAGAGAGACCTGAGGCAGTCCCTGCTTTTCTCTGAGCCTCAGTTTCCTCATCTGTAAAATAGGACTGTTGGACAGGTATGGTGGTTCACACCTGTAATCCCAGCACTTTGGGAGTCCCAGGTGGGAGGCTTGCTTGAGCCCAGGAGTTCGAGACCAGCCTGGGCAACATAGTGAGACCTCGTCTCTACAAAAAATAATTACCCTGGTGTGGTGGCACATGCTTGAAGTCCCAGCTACTCAGGAGGCTGAGGTGGGGAGATCGCTTGAGCCTGGGAGGTTGAGGCTGCAGTGACTGTTTCCTGACCTGCAGGGCTGCTGTGGGGCTGCAGGACTAACAACATGGTTAGTGCACACTATGGGGTGTCCCTGAAGGTAAGAGCACAGCAATAAGACAGCTCTGTCCTCTCCTGTTTGGAGTTACGGACCCTCCTGAGAAGCGGAGAGAGCTAGGAACCCTTGCCCCACGGAGGAGCCAAGTACAAAATTGTTCATACAAATTCAGTTCATTCAAAAATTCCTCATACAAACTCAGTAGGAATGGTAATACAGTAAATCTGAAACCTGCCCTAAGCCTGCAGCTGGAGGAAGAGCCTTAACTCTGGAAGGCTCTATTGAACTGACATATGCTGGGGCGGAGGGCATGTTGGAGGCAAGAGGAGAGCTGGATGGGGCGGGAGTCAGGGGGAAAGGCAGTGAAGGAGCAGAGGGACCAGGGAGGGACCAGGCCTCAGTCCCATGCCCACAGGCCCCTTGTTCATTTGCCCCTGGCCTTGAATAGAAGACACACCTCAGGTGGCACCCCTGTCCCCATCCTGTGCTCACTTCCTTCCCCGCAAGTGCCACTGGCCCAGATCTTTAAGGTAGGGGACTTGGAGACAGAGGCAGTAGCCACCTCGTCCAGGTCTGTGAGAGTGGCCGTGTGCAAGTGTGTGTGCCCACATCTGTGTGCGCCAGTAAGTGCGGACGTCAAGGCTATTTCCAACTCCCCCTCCCCTGCCCGCCCCTCCTGGGCAGCACGCCCAGTTCCCAGACACAGCCTATACACTTCCTCTGAGAGCTCCACACGCACCCTACTCCCCTCCTGCCGTCATCGACAGCCGCCTGGCCCACCTGGCATGGCCCACCCCAGGCCCCCCAGGCGGGCAGCACTAAAAGGCCCTTCTTGTCCTGCCCGGGCGGGCAGGCGTAGGGAGGGAGGCTCCGTTACACTTGCTCTAGAACAGTTTTTCTCGAGTCCGGGTGGGCTGGGCCAAGGGCTCTGGCCCCTGGGCCCTGCCCTGCTCCGGAGGCCTGGGGTGGCACACAAGGTGCACACAAGGCTCAGTGCCTGTCCCGAGCACCATCGGTCCCCCCAAGCCATCCTCAGAGGCAGCAGGATCTACCCTGCTTCAATTTCTTGTACCTGGTGTCCCTGTGGCCCTGCTCACTAAGATACCCCCATCAGTTCTGAGTCCCCACCCAGGTAACACACAAGCCCTCCCTGCCAGGTACTCCCCAACCTGGGTCCCACTTCAACCCCTCACATTCTGCCTTTCAGTCAGTGATGCCAGGGAAGAGGTGTGGGAGCCACCACCCCTGCCTGCCCTGTGCTCACTGTGACCCCCCGACTAGAATGTCACCTCCTTCCTTCTCTGCCTGTCCTTCCAGTATCAGCTCAAATCCAATCTCCCCCAATGCTTGGCTCTCTGCTGGGGCCTCCCATACAGCTCAGAAGGAGCTGGACACCGCATCTGTCACCCACACTGTCTCAGTGGCCCAAGCCTAGGCCCCGACGCAGGCTGGGAGCACCCTCGAAGCAGGGCTGGGGGCTCTTCCTGGGCTGCTGGGGTTCTTGGTGGAACTCAGAGTACTTTTCTTCCTCTCTGGGGCCTCAGTTTCCCTCTCTATACAAGTGGAAGATTGGCCCAGATGGCCTCTAGGGTGCTGACTGCCAGGCCCCCTGACCTGGATGCCTCAAATGTTGATGAGTAGAGGGAGAGCCTCCCAGCACGCCTCATTCGGATACGGGAGGACGAGGGCCTTTGCAGCCAGGGGCATCCAGGAGGGGTGGGAGGGACGCCTTCCTCAGGCAGGGGCTGCCCCTACTGCAGAAATCAGGGCAGGCAGCTGGACCAGGAGTGGTGACAGAGATGGGTTGCTGGACGGGAGCTCTCACAGCCCCTCCTCATTTCCGAGTCCTCCTAAAGGCAGGGGATGGTGTAACTTTATAAAACCCCACAGCACCATGCTGCTCTCTTGCCCTAAAACCCTTGTGGCATCTCCTTTGCCAACAGGGCATAAGGCCGTGGGCTTCATTTTGCCATTTAAGGCTTCTGTGCCCCAGCCCAGTGGTTCTCCCTGGCCTGTGCTCGAAATACGCCTCCCAGCCAGGCTGCTGGCCTTCCTGTCTCAACACCCCTCTGCTTACGCCCACCTTGGTGCCTCTGAGTCAGCGCCCCTGCCTGGAGGACTGACTCCCTTCCCATCCACCAAGGCTTGGTTTGAGGCCCACCCTGTGTCCTGCCCCAGCTTGCCCCTGCTTTTCTCCCCTCTGTACTTTTCATCCAGATTTTTGCTGTTTGAGATTTAATTTGCCTTTCTGCCTCCTGAATGAGTCTCAGTTCAGCCTCTCAATTTCCCGTGCCCCTGCGAGCCTAGCACCATGCCTGCATGCTGTCAGGGCTAAGAAGGTATTTGAGAATGGCTCTCAGTTGAAGCCCAAGGAGGTGGGGGTACTGGAATCCCTCCTTGGCTGGAGGCTGGGGCCTGAATGAGCTGACCACCCTGGTCACCTTGGATGCTCCCTTCCCATCTCCCTGGCGGCCCAGCCCATCCCTCAGGCCCTGAGATCTTAGGGGATCTGGTCCCTGCAGGAACAGGGAGCCTGGAGATCCAGCCCTGATTCACCCCGCGGGGGTCCTCCCTTGACTCACTTCCCTTCTGGGAACCATGTGATGCCCTCTTTTAGAGCTGGCTTCTCCATCTGAAGGAGAGAAGGGTGTGGCCTGGGCCCTTGTGAAGGAGGCTCAGGCCCTGCCTTTGCTCCATGTTGCTCTTGGGAATGATCTCGAAGGTGTAGCTGAAGCACTGAATCACACGTGGGTAGTGATGATGGATGGGCCCTAAGGCCACAGTTCTTATGGCATAACTAGAGCTGCCTTCGCTGAAGGAAGAATGCTGTCATGTTGGGGTTTCTGGCATCGGGACAGAGAGGGGATATATCCCAGCACTTCTCGGAAAGCGAACTTCCATTCAGCCTCTGCTGGGTCAGGCATCAGTGCTGGGATGAGGAGGTGTGGCAGGGGGTGGTCCAGAGCTATCTGTAGGACAAGCCCCGCTGAGGGGCACCAGCTCTCCCTCTAGGAGGCTGAGAGTGGGTAGTGGGTGGGGGGTCCTGCCTGTCACCAACAGGAGGAGGGAGAGGAGAGAATGAAGAGGGGAGGTGGCAGATAGACGGATCTGCAAGGAAGCAAGGGGAGGAAAGAAGGGGCAGAGCTGGGGGGCAGCTGGAGGGGTGTGGGGGTGCTCCTCACAGGGGAGGGCAGGGTGGCTCATTCCTCGTTTCCCACCTTGTAGCACTCCCCATTCCTGGCCCAGGGCATCTGAAGCTGGAGGACCCACTTCTCACTGTCGCCGGGTCCCTTTGGACCCCAACATACTCACCCCAAACTTGCCTGGCAAACAAAGCTCGGCCAGCATTGGGGTGGCCCCACTGGTGTCTCAGACAATCCAAACGGGCAAAGCCACGCCCTAGGCAATCCATGCCTGGGGCGCCTGCTCCCGCCCCTAACTGGACAGCCTTGGCTAGCTAGAAACCCCATAACCTGAGATAGCGGGGTCCCGTGTCCGCCCCAGGATTGAACCCCTGGCGACCCCAGCTAGTGGTGGGAGAAGCGCAGCCTGCTTGACTCCCGATCTGGGGGCCACTTCTGGCTCCTCCTGTCCCTTTTCCCTCCCGGAGGAACCCCTCTAGTTCCGCCAGGCTGGGTCGGGGTCTCAGGCCCCTCACTCACCCGCGGATGCAAGTCTGGCCAACATAGTCAGGGTCAAAGCCAAGGCCAGGCCGGGGGCTGGAAGTGGGGGCCGCGGCCCGGACTGCATCCCGGCGGGCTGGGCGGCAGGACTTGCGAGGAGCCAGCGGAGTCCTGGGAGCTGGGAGCTGAGTGGAGCGAGCGCGGCTCTGCTCCTGGGCGCGGGCCGGCTCCGGGTGTCCGCGCACTTAACTCCGGGGGCGGGGCAGGCGCAGACCCGCGCGCCCGCTCGGGTTTCAGGCTTGGACTCCCCCACCTGCCCCCACCCTCAACCTTCTTAAAGGGCCCGTGCGGGGCTGTTCCTCTCTGGGGCAGGGGTGAGGGGGCCCTTGCAGCTGGGCCAGACCCCAGCCCCACCCTAAAGACTTAGAACAAAGTCATAGAGAGGCCCAGACACCCTGAACTCTGGCCCCAAGAGCCGAGCCCGGGAGACCCCCTCAGGGAGGAGGCATGAACTGTCCCAGCCCCTACTTCCCTCCTTTCTGCCTTTGCGGGAGTTCAGGAGACCCCTCCACAGGCACACTCCAGCCTTAGGAGGAAGGACAGACACCAGCCACCCTCACAGGCGGCTTTTGGGCTGCTTTGCCTCGGAGGTCCCCTAGGAACTTCTCCAGACTCCAGAGGCACCACCCGAGGTCCTGTGGGGCACTGCCCATGGCTGCAACAGTGACCTTCTCTGCCTGGAAGGGCCTCACCTCAGTCTCCCTGTCTGTAAGGGAGAGATGTCTGGATTTCCTCGCAGGGCAGAAGAATTCTCAGTCCCGCCATGACATTTGCCTCAAAATAACCTTGCAAGGTGGGTGAGGAGCATCCCCTCCCCCATTTCATGGAGGACGAAAGTGCAGCTCAAGCTGAAAGTGGCTCTTACAAGACTCCAGGTGGAAAGTAGGTCCCTGGCCGTTTGGTGCCAGAAGCCCAGGCCTCCTGACCCCTGAATCCGGGTGTTTCAACTTCCCGAGGCTGCCTCCTGGAAATCTGGCCCTGGATTTGGCTTCTACCTAACAGCTTCAGGCTGGGGCCCTTCTGCTGGCTCCCTTCCAGGCAGCAACATCAGCCTAGTCCCAAACAGGAGGAGAAAGGGCAATGTTACTTAGCTTCCGGTGCCTAGAGGATCTGCGTGTTCTCTGTCCAGTCCCAATGTTACCGGGCCTTGGTTTACTTCCTCCATTCAGGTCCCTCCATCTATCTGCTCCAGCCCATCTCCAGCCCAACCCCACCTTGCACCCTCTTCCCAGCTCTTCCCTTTGACCAGTAACAGCCCAGCACTTCATACTTTGCAACGAAACTGAGACCTGTTTTGCAGATGAAGAAACTGAGGCTGAGAGAGATTAAGGGACTGGAGCTAGTCTACATAGCTGCTGAGATGTGGGGCCAGGTCTTTGACCCTAAGTGCAGTGCTCAGGTGTGATGGTGCCTGGTCCATGTGGGGGTTATGAGTATTGGTCTTGAAACCAGAGAGACCTGGGTTCAAATCCCAGCTCCCTTACTTGGTTGTCAAACCTTGAACAAGTCCCCTCACCTCTCTGTGGCAGTTTCCTCATTTGTAAAATTGGGTTAATGAGGATTAAATGCTTTAATGTACCTCAAGTCCCTAGCCCAGGGCCTGGCATACGGTAGGTGCTCAATAAATGCTTATCCTTTCTCCTCCGTCTCTGTCATCCTGCACATTCCCTGTGATTCATGGTTTACATACAGCTTTACACATATCACCTCCCTTGTTGTAAAGCTTGAACTTTCTCCTCCAGAGGCTGCTGCATACAGTAGGTGTACAATAAATGCCTGCTGTAGTTGACTAAGAAACCAATTGCTGCTGTTCTGTAGGGATTTTGGCAAACCTAAGAGCTTCCATCCAGGTGCCCTAGGAGGCCTGGGATGGAGGCTGTGCTAGGCTGGCCTCAGTGGCGGTAAAGGCATTGATTCCACAATTTGTCCCTTGTTTTTTTTTTTTTTTTTTTTGAGACAGAGTCTCGCTCTGTTGCCCAGGCTGGAGTGTAATGGCGCGATCTCGGCTCACTGCAACCTCTGCCTCCCGGGTTCAAGCGATTCTCCTGCCTCAGCCTCCTGAGTAGCTGGGATTGCAGGTGTGCACCACCATGCCTGGCTAATTTTTGTATTTTTAGTAGAGATGGGGTTTCACCATGTTGACCAGGCTGGTCTTGAACTCCTGACCTCGTGATCTGCCCGCCTCAGCCTCCCAAAGTGCTGGGATTACAGGTGTGAGCCACCGCGCCCGGCTGTCCCTTGTTTTTCCTTCTCCTCAAGTCGGTAGGACACCTGGTCCTCATTAGGGGCTAATTACTGACAAGCTATGGGGCTGGGGGTGGGGGTGCTGCTTGGAAGACTGTGTTTGGAGGAAAAGAGCTTTCTTTTCAGGAATGAAAAAATAAGACAGAAGGCTTTTTGCTCTATGAATCAAAAATCTGGGTGAAGATCTCTGCTGGCCCCATCTCCCCCCCCCACCCCCTCCCCATCTTCCCTGCTCCCCACCTACACAGATGTCTGTGGAGCCTCCAGACAGGGTGCTCCCACCCACAGCTGAGATTCAAGTCTGGATTAGCTGGGAGCCTCCCCCTGCCTTGTTGCTAGCTGGGCAGAGAAACACAGGCCTGGAAAATAATGGCAACCAGCACAGCGGTAATAACCCGGCTGGCGCATCTCTGCTGGGGCTTCCCAGTTTACAAAAAACATTCACTTGGTCTCTTGACAACTTTGGGAAGCGTATGTGTTGGCCAACTGTGTCCCTGCTTCCAGATGAGGAAACTGAGGCTCTCAGTGGAAAAGGGATGCTGCGGCTCCAGCGCACACAGGCCTGGCCTTTGCTCAGCCGTAACCTAGGGCTGGAACTCCGGACCAATGCTGAGCAGCATCATGCCAGGCAGACTGGCAGAAAGTCGAGGTCCCTGTGTGCCTTTGGAACTGACCCCTGACCACCTCCCACTGTCTTGGAACAAAGGCTGCTGGACCAGCTGTGCCTGCTCCTCAACTGTCCCCTCTCCAGCTCCTCAGCAAGCTCACCCAAGGCCCTGAAGCCTCAGTGCTGAACAGAGCTGACCTGGGCCTCTCTGGCATCCTCAGGTCTGGCTCGGGCCTTCTTCCTTCTGCCCTCCAACCTTTCCCATGACTTTGCTTGGCCAGGCATCCTTGGTGGCCATCCCTGACTGCCCCTACCTCCCTGGCCACATCTCACCTTCCTCCAGCAAGCCCTCCTAGCCCTCCTTCGTGCTCGTCGACTTCTCTTTCAAAAGATTCCCTGGAATCCTGATCTCCGTAGCTCTCCTAGTTTCACCTGGGGCCTGCTTAGCTGGGTCAGGAGGTGTGCGTCCATGCCTCCCCAGCCAAGCATGGGACAGAGCACAGGGTGGGAGGGAGGAGGAAAGAAGGAGGCTTAGAACACACTTATAAGAAGGAAGAAGGATGTTCCCACCCAGGGGCAAAAGAAGATTCAAACTTCTCTGAAGCTACAGTGACCTGTGGTATGTGCTGCCTCCATTTCTCCAATTGTTCTTGGAGAACAAGACAACAGAGGGCCCAGTAATACTCACCTCCCTGCCAGCAGAGTTCACCCAACCATGCTGGCCAAGCACTGCTGGTCACTCCTACCTCTAGTGCTTCTTGGACTAAGAGTCCCCGCTCTGGGCAGTGGCTGTGGTTTGGCCCCACCCTTGGCCAGGGTGTTTTGCACCCTCGTTGCCTGGGCCCCACCCAAGAAGCCTGTGGCCAAAGCCAGCTTGCTGGGAAATGGTGTGTGCCTGTGCCCTAGATGGGGTGGTGCCTAAGCAGGGGTGTGCTCCTGCTGCCCAGGGCCCGCCCTCAGGGAATTGGCCCTCTGCCATGAAGGTCACAGAACCTAGGCCACTACTGTGCAAGAGGGCACGGGCTTTAGGCGCTGGCTCAGTGGCCCTGCAGTTTTCTGGCCAAGAGCTCCATGGCAGCGGGCCCTGGGCCTGGGCCTTTGACCTGGGGCCTCTGTTAGGAGTGGTCCTGATCCTGCTTCTGGCAGAGGCACACACAGGGCTCCTCCAAGTACAGGCAGCCAGGCTCAGGATGGGAGGGAGCAGCCAGTCCCAACAATTACACAGTTCGGGAGCTGAAAAGTTATGTTTGCCACTCTCAGGAGCCAGCTGTGGAAGGGAGGCCAGTGGAGGGCTTTGCCCTGGCCTCTGAGCCACACACAAGCCGTGCTGGGAGGACAAGGGCCGGGGGTGGTGAAGGACCCTCTTGGAGCCTTTGCTTTCCAGGAGCAGGCACTCGTCTTCCATATCACACTCACAAAGGCTGGTGGCTTCAGTGGCTGTGACCAGCTGGCCACAGCTGACTCCTCTGGGGTAGTGCTGTTTCTAAATATTAGTTCCTGCTGTTAACCCTTGCTGTGCGGCCCCAGTGGACAGCCGGCTGCCTGCAGACAGAGCCTCTTGGAAGTAGAGTGGACAGTCCCCACCTGGATGAAAAATTTGTGAGTATATTTGCTTGAGGGCTGGGTTGGGGCTCCCAGAAGGAGGGTGAGAAATACCTGCTTAGGGCTGGGAATGAGGCTTGCAGTAGATGTCAGGGGATGTGGGTCTGAGCTGGCCACTGGGCAGGGCAGTGGAAAGAATGTGGGGTCAGGAGCCAGGAGCCCGGTCCTGCCAAGCCTTTTTTTATGTGGCCCCAGACAAGTCACTTCGCCTTTCTGTACCCCTTTCCTCATCCGTAAAATGTACAGCCACCGAGGTGCTTGGATGATGGCCTCCAACAGAAGCGCCGGAGCTTTATAAACTCTGAAGTGCCTGGTGGTTATGATGATTTTTATGCCAGGGTCCTGCTGTCTGTGACTCCCCCGAGTCCCTTGGAGGAGAGGCAAGACTGACAACCAAGAGACAGCTGGAGCAAGCTGGCGGGGCTGCTGTTAGCCTGTGTGGAGCTTTAGTGGGGACACCACCCTATACAAGAATACCCAGCTTGGAGTTCAGCCCCTACTGGCCCCATTGGCTCTTGTCCTTGCACAGTGAAAAGCCTAGTGGTAGCCAGGCTCCAAGATGGCCCTCAGTGAGCCTCACCTTCTGGCATTCATGCCCTTGGGTAGCTCCCTCTCATGTTGAATACAGCCACCTTATGCAGCCAATAGGGTGTTGCAGAAATGATGAAGTGACGTCCAAGATGAGGTCAGAAAAGATATGGTAGCTTTTCCCTTGCTCTCTTCTGATTGCAGCCACCATGATCTGAGGATAATTAAGTAGACTGTGGAGGTGCCAATGTGGAGAGGAACTGAAGCCTCTTGCCAGCAGCCAGTATCAACTCACCACTCATGTGAATGAGCCATCTTGGAAGTGGATCTGCCAACCCTAATCAAATCTTAAGATTAATACAACCTCTACTTTTTTTTTTTTTTTTTTTTTTTAAGATGGAACCTAGCTTTGTTGCCCAGGCTGGAGTGCAGTGGTGTGATCTTGGTTCACTGCAACCTCTGCCTCCCGGATTCAAGTGATTCTCCTGCCTCACCCTCTCGAGTAGCTGGGATTACAGGCATGCACCACCATGTCCAGCTAATTTTTGTATTTTTAGTAGAGACGGGGTTTCACCATATTGGTCAGGGTGGTCTTGAACTACTAACCTCAAGTGATCCACCCGCCTTGGCCTCCCAAAGTGCTGGGATTACAGGCATGAGCCACCGTGCCTGACCTCTACTGACACCTTGACTGCCACCTCCTGAGAGACCTGGAGCCAAAACCACCCAGCAAAGTCACTTTTAAACTCCTGACCCACAGCAACTGTGTGCAACAGAAGGAAGTTGCTGTTTCAAGCAATTATATTTTGAAAGTAATTTGTTATGCAGCAAGAGATTACTGATAGAAGCCAGCACATCGTAGATGGCAGTCCAGTGAGTCAGACCTGGCACGTGCCTGGGGCTCAGAAAGCAGGACTCTGCTTCCATGAAAAGAAGTGACATTCCTTGATCAACAAATTCATTCATTCAACAAATATTTCTTAAGCACAGATCATATGTCAGGCACTATGCTGATGCTGAGGGCTGGGGACACAGGTGAATAAACAGGACCCTGGTTTTGGGGAACTGACAGGCTCCCCAAAGTGACTTGGCAATTGGTTGGATGTGGGAGTTGGGATAAGGGAGGTGTCCAGGACAAGCCTAGGTTTCTGGCTTGGGCACTTAGAAGGGTGGGTGGTGGTGTCATGGATTGAGATGGACAGGGACTGGGGGGTATCTCATAAGGAAATCTTGGGGCATGTTGATTTCAAGGTGCTTGTGAGAAACCCAGGTGACACTGTGCAGGCGGCTGTATATGTGAGCCTAATGCTCCTAAGAAGGTCTAGTCAGGGGAAGTTTTACTTCCGGATTGCTGGGGTATCGATAAGGGAATTAAAGCAACCAGAGGAGATGAGGCTGCCCGGGAGAGAGGAGCGCGGTGCAAAATGGGAGGAAGACCCAGCACTGAGCCCTGAGACACCAACGTCTCTTCCTTAAAATGTTTATTTTGACATAATTTCAGACTTAGATAAAAGTGGCAAGATGATTACAAATGTTTCCCACATACTCCACCTAGATTTCCCAAATGTTAATTGTTTACCACATTTTAAATTCTTTTCTCTCTCTCTCTCTTTTTTTTTTTTTAGATGGAGTCTCACTGTTTCCAGGCTGGAGTACAGTGGTGCATTCTCAGCTCACTGCAACCTCTGCCTCCCAGGTTCAAGCGATTCTCCTGCCTCAGCTTCCCGAGTAGCTGGGACCACAGGCACGTGCCACCAAGCCCAGCTAATTTTTTGTATTTTTTTTTTTTTTTTTTTTTTTTTTTGGAGATGGAGTGTTGCTCTGTCGCCCAGGCTTGAGTACAGTGCAGTGGCCCCATCTTGGCTCACTGCAAGCTCCGCCTCCTGGGTTCACGCCATTCTCTTGCCTCAGCCTCCCGAGTAGCTGGGACTACAGGCGCCCGCCACCACGCCCGGCTAATTTTTTTTTTTTTTTTGTATTTTTAGTAGAGACAGGGTTTCACCTTGTTAGCCAGGATGGTCTCGATCTCCTGACCTTGTGATCCGCCTGCCTTGGCCTCCCAAAGTGCTGGGATTACAGGCGTGAGCCACCGCACCTGGCCAATTTTTTGTATTTTTAGCAGAGATGGGGTTTTACTGTGTTAGCCAGGGTGGTCTCTATCTCCTGACCTCGTAATTTGCCCGCCTCGGCCTCCCAAAGTGCTGGGATTACAAGCATGAGCCACCACACCCGGCCATCTCTCTCTCTATTTTTCTGAACCATTTGAAAGTAAGTTGCAGACATAATGCTCCTTTATTCCTAAATATTTCAGTGAGTTTTTCCTCTTTTTTAATTTTTTTTTTAAAATGAGACAGGGTCTCGCTCTGCTGCCCAGGCTGGACTGCAGTGGTGCCATCAGAGCTCACCACACCATCAAACTTCTGGACTCAAGGGAGCTTCCTGCTTGAGTAGATGGGATTACAGGCACACACCACCGTGCCTGGCTATTTTTTTTTTTCTTTTTTGGTAGTGACAGGGTCCCACTGTGTTGTCCAGGCTGGTCTCGATCTCCTGGGCTCAAGCAGTATTTCCTAGAACAGGACCTTCTCTTTCATAACTGGAGTGCAATGATCAAAACCAGGAAATTAACATTGGTACAATACTTTGAACTAAGCCATAGACTTTTTTCTCCCCAGCTTTGCCAATTTTCCCAAAAATATCCTTTATAACAAAAGAAAACCTCGGCTTTCTTCTGAGTGTCTATTCATCTTGCATGGTTCTTCAGCGTTTCATTGTCTTCCATGATGTTGCCATTTTTGACAAGTACAGGCCAGTTCTTTTAGGTGAATTTTGGTTTGAGTTTGTCTGTTTTCCTCATGATTAAATTCAGGTTCTGTATTGTGGCAGGAATGCCTAGGAAGTGATGCCGTGCCCTTCTCACGCAGCCTATCAAAAGACACATAACTGGCTGGGCGTGGTGGCTTACACCTGCAATCCCAGCGCTTTGGGAGGCCAAGGAGGGCAGATTACTTGAGGTCAGGAGTTCGAGACCAGCCTGGCCAACATGGTGAAACCCTGCCTCTCCTAAAAATACAAAAATTAGCTGGGCATGGTAGCAGGCTCCCCTAATCCCAGTTATTCAGGAGGCTGAGGCAGGAGAATTGCTTGAACCCAGGAGGCAGAGGTCATAGTGAGCTGAGATCACGCCACTGCACTCTAGCCTGGGTGACAGAGCAAAAGACTCTGTCTCCCCCAAAAATCCCCCACAAAAAAACCAAACAAACAAAACCAAGAGGCACACATCTATTGTGCAATCATTGGGATGTTGACTCGTATCACTTGGTTGAGGTGATGCCTGCCAGGCCTCTCTTCTATAAAGTTACTGTTTCCCCTTTGCAATGAATAAGCATACGCCAACATTGAAAGGTCAGGTTGAGGAAGGAAGGAAGCCAGGAAGAAAGCCAGTGCAGGGGCAGCCGAGAGACAGAAGGAAAGAAGGAGGGCGTCCTGGAGCCAGCAGGAGGGGCAGCATGAGTGAGGCAGGGCTGGCATTTATTGCATTAGAGGATGAAGAGTGTCCCTTGGAAGCAGCTGCCACCTGCAGGTGGCGGGCGTCGAGTTAAGCCTCTTTCGGGTGGAGCAGTGGGCCTGGAGCCAACTCAGGCTGAGTCAAGTGTGAGAGGGAGGTGAGAATGGAGATGACTGGAAAACACCTCTGTGGGGAAGGTGGTCTGTGGGCTGGGCAGAGAGGGACAGGCAGTGACGGAGAAGCATGTGGGCTTGGGGGACAGTTTGAATAGATAGAGGGGACTTAGGATATCTAGAGTGTGACAGGAGGGAGCCAGATGAGAGGCGCAAGTCCAAGGAGAGGGGTGCAATCCACAGTGTCCCAGGCGGGACGTGGGAGCCGATGACAAAAGACATGGCGGTTCTGAGGCTGTGATGGGGGGTACTCGTCAGAGCCCAGCCTGATGGGGCAGGTGGATGGGGGGGCCGGAAGGATGGCCAGGCGAACAGAGGAGAGTGAGCCATGCAGGGGATGATCCCTGGGGGTGGGGGAGAGGGGGAGGGCAGGCTGCCCAGAGGTGGGGGTGGGTGGCAGGTGGCGAGGAGGGCAGGTCCAAGGTTCTGGCCATGAGACTGTCCTGACAGCTTTAGCTGCCTGATGCAGATGGACAACGCAGACCTGGGGGACGCAGTGCTGGGATGTTCCAGGAAAGGGGCTGGATGAGGAGGGTGGTGAAAGCTGGAGGGGCCTGAAGGATGACGCAGAAGTGCAGGGAGTGCAGGGTCAGCACTGGGGTCTCAGAGATGGGGGGCAGGGGATGGCCTCCCAGAGAGACTGGCTGTCAGTGCTGTGGGAGGTGGTGAGAAGCCCAGGATTGCAGTGGGGGACCGGCCTGTGAGGGAGTGGAGTGGAGGTGTTTGCACATGAGGAGGTCTGGGAACGGGGAGGCCAGGGCATTGGTGGTGGTCCCTGGGGAGGCCTGAGCTATCAGGGTCATGGCAGGAGTTGGGGTGGGGTGGAGGTGGCCTCGAGCCACGGCTGCTAGGTTTATGAGTAGGGACCCAGGGCAGCCCTGAGGAGCTGAAGGGGGACACACCTGGATGCCAGTGCCCCAGAGGAATGGGGCATTTGATGGGGAGGGCACAGTCTGGGGACCAAGGCAGCCAGAGACCCACGGCACTGTGGACTCTGAGGCATGAGGGATGTGAATGTCGGAGCAGCCAGCTTTGGACAGGGCCGAGGGCCACCTCCAGGGGTGAGCTGGGTCTCCATCAGAGCTGGAGGAAAGGAAGCATTTGGAACAAATTGGAGTGGCTTGTGACCTGCTGGGGTGCGGGGTGGCCTAGTTTCCTGAAGAGCTGTGCACCAGGATGATGGGGCAGAAGCAGTGAGGGAGGAAGGCAGGAGGCTCCCCGGGCCTGAAATACTTGGAGACTGCCCGCTCACCAGGAAGGTGGGGGTCCCAGCCCCAGATCCGGCCCCTCTCAGCACTGGGATACCATCAGGGCTCGCAGCTTCCTACAGGAAAAGCTGACGCGGATGGGGCTGAGGACATAGCATTGGCCCTGGCCTGAGGCCAGTGAGGCTGGGTCACCCCCCAGCCTGGCTCAGCCCTCCCTTACCCAGAAATCAGAGGTTTACTTGCCCCATGGGCATATGGGGGCACACAGGGTCTGCTGCTGGGGGGACTGGGCCCCTGTCCTCTGTTCTGAGGCCTGTGGTCCCTCAGGGGCTTCTGGACACCCTGCATGCCTGTCCTACCTGCTGCTCTGAGCCCTCGCTGTGCCTGCTGACTGGAATGCGTTCAGAGCATGGCTTGGTTTCTATTCAATCAGAGACTATGATCCAAGGAGAGCCCTGGGTTTTGTGTCCTGGTTCCATCTCTGCTATTTTGATGTAGTAGGAGACTTTGGGCAAGTCCTTGTTCCTTTCCGGGCCTCAGTTTTCTTAACTGTGTACTGGGGTGGTGACAGACACCCCTGTCTAAAGCCAGCAGTCATCTGGTTCCTGAGATGGACACCGCTGACCCGGTTCAGGTCAAATCCCTAGTCTGTTACGAACAGTGGAGGTGACAGGCCCCAGGCCCCCAAAAGCCTCCTGGGTTCTTAGGAATGAAGAGGTTCCCAGCATGTTTTCAGGCCTGGGGCTCATCCATCCGTCAGATGGGGCTGGCTGCCTTCCCTCCCCTTCTATGTGTCCTCTCATACCGCCCTCCAACTCCAACTGCTCCCCTGCCAAGGGAGTGCTCTTGGTCACAGGCACAGGAAGCAGCCCCTTGAAGGCTCAGCACCACCCCTCTGTCCTCCTTTATTTGCTTCCCACTCCTTTTTGTATCCATTGAGCTAGACATGGATCTCTAAAGATACCACACCCTGGGATAGGATTCTGGGGAGGAGCTATCAGACAGTCACACCTTAGTGATAATTGACTTGATATTTTGCCAGGGGAAAAATAGACTTGACAGAAGAGAGGGCATGTCCAGAGCCTGGGAGGTAGGTGGGAGAGGCAGGGGGTAGAGAGCCCCCAGGGGGCTGTGTGTGCTGCACAAACCCTTCACCCGTGACCCACCAACCCTTTCCATTCCTTTCCCCAACCTTAGGGCACCCACTGGGAGTGAAGCGCTAGCTGATACGTAACACCATCTCTCCATTTCCCTTCCCTGACCCAGGGTCCTGGGGACCCCCAGGCCACTTGGCCTGGTTGGTGATGGGGGACAGTGGGATAGTCAGGGTTCCATAACTAAGCTCCCAGCATAGAATTTCCACGCCGCAGTTCAGGCGCCATGGCAACCAGGGGAAATAAACACTACGAGTTTCACAGTCCAAGCTCTGCCGTGACGTCATCTCCAGCTCCAGCCTGCTGGGGCCTGTGCTGACTGTGCCCCAGACAGCCTTAGCTGCTCAAGCTGGAGAACTGTCTTCCTTCCCAGCTTCCTCCGTGTCTGGGGTGGGGGATGGGGGGGTCTCAGGCAGGGATACTCTAGCCCCTTGACTGCTGTTTAGACCCTGCTGTAGCTGCTGCTGCTCCCTGCCCAGCCCCAGCCATGAAACTGCCCAAGGGGACCAGGAGCTCTGTGTACTTTGCACAGCACCCAGAAAAGGAGCCATTGCCCTCAAGGCAGGAGGTCAAGCAGACCCCTGTCATCATGGCCAAGATCAAAGGTGAGAGCCATCCCCACCCTGGGCTTGGGCCCCCTCCCCTCTCTCCAGGACTCCTTCCAGCCTGCCTCCTGCAAAGCCCCTTCCAACTTCCTTGAAGCCTTACAGAAGACCTGAGCCTCCAAGCTGACCCTCACAGGCAGTGTTGGCTGCTGGGATTGTCCAAGTGGGTGGGGGAGGAGGGGAGCATGGGACTTGCAGTGAGGCCCGCTTTGGAAAAAGACTAGGAGCCTTTGTCCTAGCTTTAGCTTTCCTCACTTCCCTTCAATTTTACTCTCAAGGGACAGCAGACGCTAATTCTTACTATGTTGGTAATGACTGACTAGTGCTCTAAGTGGGAGTAGTTTAGTGCAGGGATTGAAGGTTTGGGTTCTACTGGATGATGGTCTTAGAATCTTCACACTACTAGTTTGTGATATGTGGGTAGATATTTCTAAGCCTCAATATTCTGTAAAATGGGAAAAACAAGAGCATTTACCTTACAGCATTGTTCAGAGGCTTAACGGAAATAATCCACGTCGGATGCCTAGTGGAGAACCTGGAGCAGAATAAGTTCTCAATTAACTGTAACTATTAGCTTCTTATTATGCATTGTCTGTCCAAGGGAAACTGCATTTTATCTGGAAATACTGCCTTCCCCCAAACGAAGCAGCTGGATGGATGCTGGGCTCGTGGCAGTGCGATAGCAGCAAGAACAAATACCCCCAATGTTCCCATGGTGCGCTGTACTGGGGCTTCCCCTGCCTCTGACCTGGTGGGCCCAGGCTGAGGGCTGTCCTGTCCATCCTTACAGGTCCGGGGCCCGCCAAGTACCTCCGGCCATCCTGCACGGGCTACATAGATCATGACATCTCCATGTTCAAGGCACCAGCTTATACCCTGCATAGCCGGCACTCAGAGAAGCGTGAGCGTTGCCACCCCAGTCATCCGGCTGGGGTTGGAGCTGTTGTTGGAGGTTGAGGGGAGAGACATGGAGCCATTCTCTGTAGCCACTGGGAATCTGAGACACTCAAGGGGCCCCCTGGGTCCAGAGGAAGCCAGCGGGGATTGAGGGTGGGGCAACTCCATGGGCATCCCCTAGCCGCCTCTCCCAAGGGAGCCTATAGGGGATCCTGGCCCTGTCCAGCTGGCACAGCAGAGTCTCCTTTTTCTGGCCTTTGGCTGGGGCCCTTCAGCTCCGGTCGCCATGCTCTGCTAGGGTCACTTGCCATTGTGGCCAGGCAGGAACAGCTAGGAGGCCAGTGGGGAAGTGGTGGCCCCCAGAGCTCCTCAGGTGGCCTAGAACCCACTGGAAGGGCAGAAGCAGAGGCCACAGATGACCTATGCTGCTGGGCAGGGTGTGGTGGCGTGCACCCGGGGGTCTGAGATCTGGGGTGCCTGTCAGGCCTTTCCCTGGGGAGAATACCCACCTCAGCAAGGTAAGCCCCTGGCCTGGCTGGGCCTTTGCTGAATGCCCACAGCAGCCACAGGGCTATTACTCCCCGTTGGCCCCAACCCCTGATTGGGTGGGTGGCTGCCCAAGCTGCTGGGCAGCTGTTATTTTACTGTTCCTCTGAGCAAGTTCTTGAAAATACCAGGTCATGTGTTAAAAGTCCCATTTTACAGATGAGGAAATCAAGGGTCCCCAAACACCCAGGAGCCACAGAATCTGAAGTGGGAGGGAGATCTTGCCTGGAGGCAGGCCAGGTGCTCAGTGGGGCAGCCTTTGGGGCTGACCAGGCCCTCTCCTTGGTTGCCCTGCAGGGATGGTGTGCCACAGCAGCCCTGGGCCTTGCTATCTCTTGGATCCCAAAATAACTCGGTTTGGAATGTCCAGCTGCCCGCAGGTCCCCATGGAGGAGCGCATCTCCAACCTGCGTAAGATGGGGTTATGGACAGATGTTGGGGGTTGGGAGGTTGGGGGGTGGGGTGCACCCTTAGGACCTGGGCAGGGGCAAAGGGTCAAGACTTCCTCCTTGGAAATGTCTGGATGCCGGTATCTCCCTGCAAGACACCGACATTGCAATGCTGACATCACCATGTCTTGAAGTCAATGTTATGACATGCAGCATGTCACCAGGTGACGTTATGATGACATGGAGCTCCTGTTGTGGATGCAATATTGTCATGCGAACGAGCTCACAGACTGTAGTGATCTCAGAATGTTTCTGTGTCGCTGTCAGAGGGACAATGTCTGGATGCTGACACTGTAGCAACTGGGGGTAATCCAAGGGGAATGTTATGATGACATTATGGTTTTTTACATGATGACCACTGTGTTGCCATCCTGATGTCAGGATGGCCTAAGTGACCATCTTATTTATTTATTATTTATTTATTTAGATCGAGTCTCGCTCTGTTGCCCAGGCTGGAGTGCAGTGGCGTGATCTCGGCTCACTGCAACCTCCACCTCCTGGGTTGGAGTGATTCTCCTGCCTCAGCCTTCTGAATAGCTGGGATTACAGGTGCACGCCACCACGCCCAGCTAATTTTTGTATTTTTAGTAGAGATGGGGTTTCACCATGTTGGTCAGGCTGGTCTCGAACTCCTGATCTTGTGATCTGCCTGCCTTAGCCTCCCAAAGTGCTGGGATTGCAGGTGTGAGCCACCGCGTCCGGCCTAAGTGACCATTTGGATGTCCCTGCCCTGCTGCTGAGGTGGTCAGCCTGAGGTCACAGTGGATAACCAGGACCATCAGTTGGCTAGCAGAGAATGAGGTCTGTTCCCTGCTCTGAGAGCCCTCCCTTCCCGCCACTCCCTTTCAGGCCTGAACCCCACCCTCGCATCCTGCCAGTACTACTTTGAGAAGATCCACCCACCGGGGGAACGCAGGGCTCCCCAGTACACGTTTGGCTACCGGCGCCCATACAGAGTGATGGACCTCAACCCGGCTCCCAACCAGTACCAGATGCCACTCTTGCTGGGGCCCAACACCCCTGTCAGCCGAGCTGCTCCCTGCTACAGTCTGGCCTCCAGGGACAAGAACTGGTTCTACAAGGAGGATGTGGCAGGAGGCCCTGGACCTACCACGTACGCCCGACCTGAGCCATCCATCTATCAGAACCGCAGCCCTACTTACAGCATGGCCAAGCGCTTCGCCTACCCTCTGGACCTCACGCCACGGCCTGGCCCCGGCTCCCACGAGGTCCAGCAGGTCACTGTGCACAAGCCCCACATCCCTGCTTTCACCATGGGCATCAAGCACTCACTCCACCTGTGCCCACTGGTCATCGACATTCGTGACTGAGGCCCCTCTTGGGGCACTCACTGCCCCTCATCCCCAGAAATTATTTTTCTACACCAAATTGAGCAATTTGACCAAGATTTCTAGTAGCAGAGCCGGTACCTGCTGAGTGTCCGGCACACAGAAGACATTAGAGATACATTTTCATGTATTTGTTTTTTCCTTTTCTGTTCACAGTTGCTTCCTGTGGGTCCTGCTCTGGGTGAGGGGCTGGGGACACTGGAAGGAATGATACAGTCCCTGTCCTTGAAGAGTTCCATTCTGGTTCACCAGGTGGGGAAGCCATGTGTCTGTCCTCCAAGGAGCCCCAGGCAGAGACTCGGGAGAGCTGCATTCCAGTCCTAACTGCCATTACAGGCTGTGTGGCCTTGTGCAGCTCCTGCCCCTCTCTGGGCTCAGGATTGCCCTTTAGACAGTGCACAGGGTAGGCTTGGAAGAGGTCTAGGTTCTCCCAAGTTCCAGAACTGTGGGACTGTGCTGACAGTGTGCAGTCCCCGAGACAGGGGCAGGGCAGGTCGGGGTGCAGGCAGAGGAGCGGAGTCCCTCTGGTTGGGAGTTGGGAGAGGAGTTTCCTCGGGGAGGGACCTAAGAGGACAAGAGGAGACTGCTGGGGAGGGCGAAGGTGGAGGTCAAGGTGAGAGCAAAGCATGCAGGTGCAGTGACAGGGAACTGGGGAGGCACAGAGCAGCAGGGGCCTGGGGTGCAGGGGGCGAGGCTGCTACCCGGGGCCACATTGTGGGCAGCCGGGAGGGGCCTCGGGCTTTGCCCTGAAGGTGTGAGGGCCGGAAGATGCTTTGGGAGAAGCTCGGACAGGATGGGCAGAGTGGGAGGCAGCTCCCAGCTGGGCAGACTGCAGGGAAGGTCAGCTTGTCACATGCTGTTTTTGGGGTCACTCACTATGTCCCCAACCTCAACAGCTTAGCCTGGCAGTGCCTGTCAGAGGAGCAGCCGTGAATTAGCCAGGAGGGGGCAGCGCTGTCTCAATCTTCAAGCCCAGGCCTGTGCCTACCCACCCTGGCTGGCACCCGCTCTGGCTTTGCTGCTGCTGGGCGGACAGGCGCCAGCTCCTGTTGGTCTTGAGGAGGTGAGGGTCTCTGGGGCTGGCATTTGTCCTTCCTCTGTTCTTGGCATCCAGAGCCCCAATTCACCTCTACTCCTGGACACAGGAACCTGGCAGTCCCAGGCCAGTGTGAGGCATGGAGGGGATGCGGCTGAGGTCAGCAAAGAGGCTGGGTGGGAGGGTGGGAGCCATGGAGGGAGTGGGAGGGAGGAGGGGGGTGAGAAAGCCCCCAGACCTAATGGCTCAGGCAGAGGCAGACTGTTCCGCAGAGCAGAGGGTGACAGGAAGAGAGCACCGCCTCAGAACCAGTGTCTAATGGTTCATCCTTATAAACCTGAACAATATCCAGGTTTTAATTTAAAGTGAAAATTGAGGCTGGGTGCAGTGGCCCAAGCCTGAAATCCCAGCATTTTGGGAGAGCAAGGCAAGCAGATCATTTGAGGTCAAGAGTTCAAGACCAGCCTGGACAACATGGCGAGACCCCGTGTCTACAAAATAAAATACAAAGATTAGCCAGGCATGGTAGCTGGCGCCTATAGACCCAGCTACTCAGGTGGCTGAGGTGGGGGGATCGCTTGAGCCCAGGAGGTCAAGGCTGCAGTGAGCTGTGATTGTGCCACTGCACTCCAGCTTGGGCGATACAGCAAGACCCTGTCTAAAAAAAAGAAAGAAAAGAAAAGAAAATTGAATTGAAGCCCTAACTTTGGTCAGAAAGGAACAGAGCATATAATATTCTTTGGAATATTTTTAAAAGCACACATACAACTAAATATTTAGAAAAGAGCCTGTGGTAAACCCCACTAGGGATGTCCTTGATTCTGGGCCCTGAGGTCTCCTCTCCATCCCACCCGCCCCCAGGCCCTGGGCTTTGCATCTGCCCATCCTCTCAACAAGGATGGCCTGGGCTGGCTCTTGGGAGGCTGTGGGAGCTCGGGGACCCGTCTGTCTTGTGGCAGATTAGAAAGATGTCATTTTGCCAACAGTGCCATTTATCATGGCAGCTGCAAAAATTAGTGATGCTTGGTGTGTAAGTGTTGGGTGGGGGTGGGAGCTGGCAGGTGACAGCAGCCAATGCTCCCCAGTGTTACCAGGTCAGGGAACTGCAGGCCAACCTCTGAATAGGGGCTTTCTGATTTAACACTTAGCCCAGGTGAAGGCCCTCTGTTGGAAAGATGAGGAAGCTGGCGCTCGGAGCCTGGAAATAACTTCGGCCACGTGATAATTTTTTTTTGTGACAGGATCTTGCTCCGTTGCCCAGGCTGGAGTGCAGTGGCACAATCTTGGTTCACTGCAGTAGCTGGGACTACAGGCACATGCCACCAAACCTGGTTAATTTTTAAATCTTTTTGTAGAGACGTGGTCTTGTTATGTTGCCTAGGCTGGTCTCGAACTCATGGCCTCAAGTGATCCTCCTGCTTGGGCCTCCCAAAGTGGGATTACAGGTTTGAGCCACCATGCCTAGCCCACATGACAAATTAATGGTCCATCTCTAAATAAAGGTCTAGGTTCTGTGTGTGACCAGGACCAGGGCTCATCTAGGGTGAAGTGCTTTACTTCTATTAGGAGTAAGTATTATTTTTGCCTTTATGGCTCAGTCTAGGACAGACCTTCAGCCTGGCCCCAGCTGCCACCAGACAGAGGCAGGATTGGGAGCTGGCCCTGGAGCTAGGACTCACTCTTGGGGTAGGTTTATGGTCCCAAGAGAAGGGGAGAAGGAGGATGGAGGGTTCAGAAGGAATATTGGGGGGGGGTGAAGATGTTCAGATGAGAGGTGGCCCCGCAATCAAAGGGATGCCGACTCCAGGGAAGATGAATGGGGCCTCCCTTGTGCCTCGGCCTGCAAAATGACAGGGTCATTTAGCTTGGGATTGACCTTTGGATGAAGCAGTCCCATCACTTGACATTGCCTTTCCTGTGGTAGTGCCCCCAGAGAGGTGACTTGCAGAAGGTCAGGCACGGCCTCCCAGGTCTGGCCGACTGCTGCGTGGCCCCTTCTGAACAACTCAGGGGGTTCTCGCTTGACCTTGCAGGAAGCCCTGGTTTGATCCTTGTAGGACTTGAATCTGTATCTTCAGGTCACTAGACTCCGGAGCCTGGCACTTGATCACACACAAAGCCCCCATCCGTGCATTCATTCATTCAACAAACATTTGCTAAGCTCCTGCCCTGTGCCAGGCTCTGGCTGGGTCCGGGGGTACGAAGACTTGGTCTTCACCTGGAGCCCTGGCCTCCAGGAGGTCTGAGGCTGTGTCCGTGAGAGGGTGGGAATTCACCCTCTCCCACCACGAGCAGATGTTGGAGGGTGGATGAGGCTCGGTGCCTGGCAGGAGACCCACCTGAGGTTCCTCTCTTCTCTCTAGGGGGCAAGACAGGCCTGGCTCCATGTTGGGTTACCTCAGCCAGGGCTTGGTGGTGACATCACAGTCCCACGAGCCTCTTGGACACTGGCTGGGGTGGGGGCTGGTCTGTTGTTCCACTGTTGCTGGAGGGAACCCCAAGGCCAATCACCACTCAGGTTCCCAGGACCTGGGGGGATGGTGGCCCTGGGCCAGGAGCAGAAGAGGGGCCCTGCCTGCAGGGACACATGGACACACCATCTGGAGGCACACAGGTAGGGGCTGTGCACACACACGTCCCTTACCGCACACACGTGGGGCAAGACACACACACAAATGCACAGACCCACACCTTACTCTACACACACACACCTGGTACCACCACTGCCTTCAAACACCCTGCCCCATCCCTCTCTCCCAGGCATCTCATCTCATGCACAGATACGTGCCCACCCAGGCTCACTGGCGCCCCTCACTGCCCTGGAGTAGTAAATCCACAAACCATGAGATGTCCCGACATGCAGAGAGAGGTGGGATGGGTGATGGGAGGGAGGTCAGGAGAGTCCCTGCATTCCCCCAGGAGAGGGGACCGCTGGCTGCTCTCAGCCCGCCAGCCTGGGACCTGGCCTCTGGGCGCTGTGCACGTGGTCGTGAGAGGGCACCCCCATGAAGACAAGCCAGGTCCCCACTCCTGCTCCCAGCACTCACAGACACCCACTCTCGGGGCTGCTCAGGTACGGGAGGACTAAACAGGAGCTCCTGCCACCCGGCTCCTTTCGGGGTGTGGTGGGGGGCTGGTGGGAGGACACATCCCCCTGAGTCCGTGGCCCTGCTCACTGGTGGAGAGTTGCCCGCCCTCCCGTTCCTTCTGCTCCCTCTTCCTCTCCACGCCCACATCCTCCCAGCTGGCCTTTCTCTCCCCCAGATCCTCTCCCATGACCAGGTTTCCTCTCTCTCTCTCTCTCTCTCTCTCGCTCCCTGTGTCCCTGTGACCTACTTATGCTCTAGAATAATGATCGACATTTTCAATTACCCCCAAAGTAACAGCCGTTCTTGGGGCCTGGCGGAGGACGGCTGCATGGGCGTGGGCACGGGCGCTGGTTTGAGTGTGGGGCCTGCGGGTGGTGGGGGTGGGGACGCCCATGGTCCCACTGTCCTTTGTTTGCTTTTTCTCATCCGGAGCCTTCAATTTTTCCTGGAAGATTGGAAGCACGTTTCCCTTCAGGGGAGGAAGGGAGATAAAACAGAGAAATAAAAACTGTCATCATTCTCTTGTAAACAGCGTAGAGCCAAGTGGGGGCTCGGCAGGAGAGAGCGACATGAGGGAGAGGCCAGGACAGAGAAAGGGGGCCGAGAGGGATGGGGTGGGGAGGTGAGCAGGAGCCCCCCCTCAAGGCCGGGTGGGTGGGTGTCCTGCAGGAAAGACTGATGGGAGGGGAATGAGGCGAGGTGAGGCTGATCCAGGGCTGGGGCCAGGTTGGGGGGTTGCGGTTTGAGGAGACACAGTGTCTGCTGAGTGCCAGGCAGGCCCTGGGAGGCAGGCGCTATTCTCCGAATCCCACCCTGCGCCAGGCTCTGGGGGTGCTGAGGTGAGTGACAGACATGTCTTTGCACTCTTGGGGCATAAACTCTATTGGAAACAAAGCGGTGGCTTCATGTGTTCAGCACTTATATCAATTGAGGCTCAGAGAGGGTGGGTGACCTGCCCGATGACACACAGCTGGAGGTGAGGAGACCAGGATCCCAGCCAGGTCCGTGTGACCGCAGTCTCCTTTCACACCACCTCCGCTGTGGGCACACTTGGCTCTTGCGTGACCTTGAGCAAGTCCTCACCTCTTGGCCATCAGTTTCCCCATCTGAAAAGCAGCCAGCATGCTGGCTCTCTGCAGGGCTGAGGGGAGCATCAGATGTCTGGATGTGAAGGACGCTCAGCTCTGGCTCTCTGGCGAGTTGGCGGGGGGACGGAGGAGCAAAGACCACCGGATGCTGGGAGAGGGACTGGCCGGCAGGGAAAGGAGGCCGGACCGCAGATTTACTCCCTGCTGCTGCCCAGTGGCAATAATTGGGTACTGCAGAGGGTGGGTCTGGAGGACCTTCTTCAGCTTGCAACAAGGCCAGAGCAGAAAGGTGCCTCTAGGGAGTGTTGTCTAGTCCTCCCGGCCCCATTTTGCTGATGCCCAGAGAAAGGAGGGACTCCTCCTCAGGTCATCCAGGGCAGAAGCTTGGGCTAGGCTTTCAGGGTAGGGTGCTTCCCTCCATCCCTGTGGCAATCAAGAAGCCCCCAGTCAGCTTCAGAGCAAGAGAAACAGAGTTCTACATCCTCTGCTTGATGCCACCACCTCCAGGGAGACTTCCAGGGTCTCCTCCAGTAGGAAGTGGCCTCACTCCTGCCCTGCAGTCCCACACTCAAACTCTCCTTGCTCCTCCTGCCCCACCCAACCATGACTGTCCTCCTGCCCGCAGCAAATCAGGCAGCGGGGCCCCTTGAGACACGAGAGATGGTGGAGAACCATTGTTACCACTCAGGGAGCATGTGCCAGGGGCCCACTCTGTCCTGCGGCTCTACCTGCATCCTCTCACTTGAACCTCGTAAGAACCTTGGTAAGTTGGGGTTATTTTGATCCCCATTTTTCAGGTGAGGGAACGGGCACAGAGAGTTTATGACCTTTACACACAGAGTGGTGGGGCATGGACTCAAACCCAGGTCTGTCTGTTCTCTGGAGAGGCACCTGCATTTGGAGGTGAAAACTACCCCTGTGGCCATATGACAGTCCACTGTGACCGGACACTGAAATGACCAGTCCAGGGGGCTTGTGGGCTGGGGTCTCAGCTTCACCACTGTGCTGCTGGGTGACTTTGGGCAAGGCCCATTCCTCTCTGGACCCTGGTTTCTCATCTGTGTACTGTGTATGTGCATGCATGCATGTGTGTGTATATATGCGTGCGTGCGTGCGTGTGTGTGTTCTGGGCTACCTCAGAGATCCATTCTGGCTTTGAGTGTGGTATATCCCATCTTGGGCTGGTCCCAAGGCTTGGGCCCTGGGATGGAAAGGTTTTAAAGGTCATGGGGAGGGGGTGCAGATGGCAGTGTGGGAGGCAGAGCTCTGGCTAAGAGCTGGGCCCCTTGGGTGCACCTCCTGCTTGCGTGTCACTGTGTAGGGCTGGGGATCAAGGGGAGGCATGGACTGTGAGGGCACGAGGGATCCGGCTCTGGGACAGGTATGGGGTTGGCCCTAGGGCCTGGATGTGTCTCCCTCCACTGCCTGCCACAGAGGGAGTTTGTCTTACAGGAAACAGCCTCATCCATCAGCGGCAATGGGGGGCTGACAGTGGCCACTCCCCACCAGCCCTGGCTGGAGGCAGACTCATAAATCCCATGCCAGGCTGGGCTGTAAATTCCTGTGATTCACATCTGGCCTCTTGGAGGACAGAGACATTTGGGGCTGTGGGGCTGGCTGTTCTCTCTTGGACAGGACAGGTGGGTACCCGGGAGAAGCCTCTTCACTGGCCCAGCAGTCTCAGATGGCCCCCCTGAGGAGATGCGATGCTGAGCCCCTGGATGCCTCAGGCCCAGCCCGAGCCATCTCTGCCCACGCCCAGGCCACCTCTGCCTGGGCCATTCCTGTGCTCTGGCCCGAATCACCCTGGAGGTCACGTGTGTGGACACACTCTGTGGCCTCAGAGATCTCATGGGGCCTGTGGCCCTGTGGGTGGAGGATTACTCAGGTGCTGGGGCAAGAGACTGAAGGCACAAACTGTTTCAATATAATAAAGAAAATAATTAGAATAAGAATAGTCATAATACAAATTAGATATAGAGATGATCATAGACAATTACCAATCATTACTATAAACATTATTAATCATTAGCTTTTAATTACTAATATAACCTAGGAATAACCTGCGGGTATAGGGTCAGGTGCTGAAGGGACATTGTGAGAAGTGATGTAGAAGGCAAGAGGTGAGCCCTGTCATGCCCGCATAAGGTCCGCTTGAGGGCTCCTTGGTCAAGTGGTAACGCCAGTGTCTGGGAAGGCACCCGTTACTTAGCAGACCGCGAAAGGGAGTCTCCCTTTCCTTGGAGGAGTCAGGGAACACTCTGCTCCACCAGCTTCTTGTGGGAGGCTGGATAGTATCCAGGCCTGCCCGCAGTCATCCGGAGGCCTAAACCCCTCCCTGTGGTGCTGTGCTTCAATGGTCACGCTCCTTGTCCACTTTCATGTTCCTCCTGTACTCCTGGTTCCTCTTTGAAGTTTGTAGTAGACAGTGGTAGAAGGAATAGTGAAAGTCTTAAAGTCTTTGATCTTTCTTATAAGTGCATAGAAGAAAACGCTGACGTATGCTGCCTTCTCTCTCCCTGCTTCGGCTACCTAAGAGGGAAGGGCCCCCTGTTCTGTGATCACGTGACTTGCTTCACCTTGTCAATCACTTAGAAGATTCACCCTCCTTACCCTGCCCCCTTGTCTTGCATGCAATAAATATCAGCGGGCGCAGCTGTTTGGGGCCACTACCGGTCTCCGCGTCTTGATGGTAGTGGTCCCCTGGGCCCAGCTGTTTTCCCTTTATCTCTTTGTCTTGTGTCTTTATTTATTACAATCTCTCGTCTCCGCACACGGGGAGAACACCCACTAAGTCCCGTAGGGCTGGACCCTACATGGCCTGGAGGGTTGGCTCCAAGAACCCCACAGTGAGGTCTCCTGCCAATCCGCATGGCATTCTGTCTTGGGGCTGTGAGGACACGGTGGGAGATCACGGCCCAGTCTGTGCATCTCTCATTCCAGGGAGGCCGGGGCCCCGAATCCACTGTCCCTTAGACAGGAAGGGGATAGGGACACTCAGACCAGGGCTGCAGCCATTTGTCGCCTTTCATCAGGACTTTTGCCACACTCAGATGCCACTGGAACTCTACTTAGCGTTTTTTAAAAATCAGCTTACTTTTAAAATTTAAGTGTGTGTTTTAGCCTCGTCTTTAGCCATATTTGTGAAATCAGGGTCTGATGTACTAGTCAAATACCATGCACATACACGCTCAGACACATACATATACACATATATGTGAAAATATACACATGAAATATATCCATGAAAGTAAACAAAGTTAAAATAGCAAATGCTCAGCTCCATGTACCATCTAACCCTGCTTTAGGTTTAGAGTGGCTCTAGTCTCCCCCCATTATGGGTGATTCCTCACTGGTGAAACAAAGCAGGTTCAGATGGCTCACAGAGCTGAGCATTTACCAGCCATTCTAGCCTTCCTCCATTTTACAGACAAGGAAACCAAGGTCCAGAGAGGTGTAGGGCCTGCCTGAGGTCACACAGCGCTGGGATTAGTGGCCAGCCTGCCTGACTCCCAGCTGAGTGATCCTTTTACGGAAGCACACTCCCTGTCTGTGGTGTGCAGGGCCCCTTCCTCCAGAAGCATATGTGGACTCACAGAGCCCTTTAGGAGACTGTGCCCTAACATGCCTCCTTCCCCGCCACCTCGCAGTGCCCAGCACCCTCACTGGCCGGCACGTGCAGCACAGATCTGGGTGTGCAGCCACTCAGCACACTGATCCACACACGTGGGCAGAGTCACAACACAGAAGCTCGCCTGCACACAGAGGCATTTGCACCAGCTCCCTGCACACTTGTGCCTGGTGTGTTCAGAGGACCACCTGTGCTGCTCATGGAGACAGGGCTTGCTCGCTAATGTCCAGCTGTCATTTCTCTACCTCAGGTCAGAGAGTCTGACCCACCTAAGAGCCTTCCATGGCTCCCTACGGCCTGCAGCATTGAGCCCCAAAAGTCAAACTCTTCGGACTTTGAAGGTTTTCCACCCTATGCCTCACCCTCCCCACAGAGCTCTTCCTCATTCCGTCTCTGTTCCCTGCTTTGGCCAGTGGCTGTCCTGGATGCGGCCCACACTACACCTCTGCCCACACTGCAGCTCTGTACCCAGATACCCTCCAGTTCCTCGCCACATAATTCTATCTCAGTCATGCCCCGGACTGCGTTGAAGCCAGGCTGCCTTGAAGCTCTCCTAGACTGCTCTTTTCCCCAAGGAAGGGTCATGATTTGCCAAATGTTTCGCATGTGTTAGCAAGACTGGAGTCGGAGCAGGCATCAAACCTTACATCCCATATGTCACACCTCACCACAGACCTGGATGCCAAATACCCTGAAGAGTCTGAACTCACATTGGCAGTTAGCAAAGTGCTCCTACAGCCACATCTGCAGTTAACACAGCATCCCTATGGCCACTGTCTCTCTTGATCCCCACGGCCACTCTGGGAGAAAGGCAGAGAGTCATCATTTGATAGAAAGGATGCTGAGGCTCTGGGAGGGAAAGGGACTTGCCTAAAGCCCCAGGGTGAAGCAGCGTCTCTGGACTCCCAGTCCAGTGCTCTTGCCCAGTGCTATGCTGCTTGCCTCTACCCATCTCCGTGGGTCATCAGCGCATCATAGGGCAAGCCCCAATCCCTGCCTCATTTTGGTTTATGGGCGCTGGACCCACAGCCCTACCCTACAGTCATTTGGAGACAAAAACAGATGCTATTGTTCTTCCTTAGAGAACGTGGCCAGTGGATCCGGCACACTGGGAATCAGAGTGAATGTCCTTGAAAGAGGCCATGGGTCAACAAGGCCAAGCCAGAGGATGCAGAACGCTTTTCCTTAGAAATCTTTGGGAGTGAAGCAGGCTTCAGACTCTCCCATCCCTGCCCCTGCAGCCACCCCTACCACATTGGTTTGGACCCAGTAGGTTGGGGCGGGGGCGGGGGCGGGGGCGGGGTGGGGGTGGAGGAAAAATCAGATTGCCCATGCCCCCCAGGCTCCTTCCCCAGCTGCTTCTGTCCTAGCCCAGGCCTGGTGCCATTCTTCCACTCACACTCGTGTGCAAACCCACACACACATCACACACCTTGATGCTCACAGTCACAGCCTGGCCTCTGCTCCTGTGGGCCAGTGGCCAGACACCCCCTGGGATGGCTCAAAGGAGTCAGGACTTGGAAGTGGGGACATCAGGGTAGCTGAAGGAAATCCACACACCCAGAACATCTCGGGGTTCAGACTCTCTGACCTGAGGTAGGCTCCCCAGGGGCTGGGAGAGGGGTTTGACGGAATGGAGGATGGAGGACAGCGGGAAGAAGAAACGAGGAGGAATGCAACGTGTGGGGCGGCCGCCAAGAGTGAAAATAGAGGGAAGCGCCATGCAAGTGCTGGAAAGAAGGGGGCAGGTGGGACGAGCCCCACAGCCCCCTCCACAAAAAGACCACTTCCGGGACTCAGTGCTCCTTTGGGGGCAGGCTCCGCCAGCTCTCCGCCACTCAGGGCTCCGGTCCCACGGTCGGAGTGCCCGGGACGGAGACGGCCAGTTCTGGCGGCCAGGTCCGACGCTCTAGAATCCAGCCCCATTTCCCTCCCGGCCACGCCCGTCCGGCGGCCTCTCCTGTCATATTCAGCCCCTACTCACCTGGGGACCCCGGGAGGGGCGCGAGGGCACCTGCAGGGGGAGGGCCTAAGGGGTCAGGGGAAGCCCCCGGTGTGGAGGGTACGACGGGCGCTTCCCCCAGGGTGGACGCAGCAGGCAGAGGCCCAGGAGCAGGGCTCCGCAACCCGGGCCGGGCTGGGGGCACGGCGGGGAGTCGGCACTGCGTCGTGGGGCTGGACTTGGGCGACCTGCGGGCGAAAGGGAGCCAGGAACAGAAAGAGGAGCGATGAGCGGCCCCGCCCACCCTAAGGCCCCGCCCCAGCCCAGTGCCAGCCACTCCCATGCATGCAAGCCCCTTCCTGAAGGCCCGAGGCGGTCACCGGAGCTTAAGCCCCGCCGCCAGCGGCGCCAACCTCCCAGATCCACCCCGCCCCGCAGCCCGCGCTCCACGGCAAGCCCCGCCCTCTCTAAGCTCCGCCTCTCGCTTCAAGTAGGCGCCACCCCGGGATGGGGGCGCGCCCTGCCTGGTCCGGCACTTCTTCCGCGGCCCAGGCTGGGGGGCTTTGGGGCCGTGGGGGCCGACCCTGGTACCTGCGTCCGACCGGGACGCTCTGCACCTGCAGCCAGGAGTCATCCACAGGACCCCGTGGGTGTGCTGACGATGGTCGTCTTGATGTCACCGATGATGCTGGGCGCCTCCCTCAGCACGTGGTGCATGCGCCGCATCTCGTTGCGCCCCTGTGCCTGCTCTGCCGACTCCCCCATCAGCGTGTTCTGTTCCCCACGCGAGTACAAGTTGGCCAGCAGCTCCGAGAAGATGAACTCCTTGGTCTGAGAGCGGGCAAAGAGGGAAGGAGACTGGGACCTGATTGATGCTTGTGCTGCCCTGGCCGCCATAGCTGCCCCGCCGGGCCCTGTTGGGACTGTGCGCTGGACTTGGAGCCGCGAGTATGGCTTTTCAGACGCGGCTTCTACACCGCTTAGACTCGAAGATCCGCCTCCCCACCGCCCTTTTCTCACTCAGATGAGGACACTGAGGTCCAGAGGAAAAGTCACCTGTCCAAGGTCACAGTTCTGGGAGGGGACTGAGGACCTATCATGCCACCAGGACACCTGTCTACTCAGTTTTTAATTTTTGGAGATAGGATCTCGCTTTGTCGCCAGGCTGGAGTACAGTGGGCGAGATCACTGCTCACTGAAGCCTCAACCTCCTGGGCTCAAAGTGATCCTCCAACGTCAGCCTGTGGAGCAGCTAGGACTACATGTACTTGCCACCACCAAGCCCAGCTATTTTTTAAAATTTTTGTGTTGAGATGAGGTCTCATTATGTTGCCCAGGCTGGTCTTGAACTCCTGGGCTCAAGCCGTCCTCCTACCTTGGCCTCCCAAAGTGCTGGGATTACAAGCATGAACCACTATAATCCCACATTATATTTCTATTGGACAACTCTGGTCTGGACTGTGCCTCCCTTCCTGAGGCTGGTCCCATAAGGCTGGTCTGCATCTCCCCTAGGCCAACATGGCCACCTGGGTCCCCTCTACCCCCATGAGGCGACGCATGCACGTTGTTGATCATGAGGTGGATGATGGTCTTGGGCATGAGGTCCTGCATGTTCTTGTTGACAATGGCCATGTACGAGTCCACCAGGTTCTGAATGGTCTCCACTTGCCACTCCAGCTGTGGTCCATGGAGAGCATGAAGCTGTCGGAGCCATTCCCCTCAGTCTTGCTGGCCTGTCATGAAGAACACAAGGGCATCAGGGTGGCCAGGCCATGTAGCCAGGCTCCAGGCATCCCCTGCAAGGGTACCTGGCACATTGATGCACAGAGAGAAGCAACTGGCCTAAACAGACACCCAGCTCTCCACATGCTCTAAAAGGTTTCAGGTCTCTGCCCATCCCTGTATCTCTTAGGACCCCAGACTCCCCTGATTCAGCCTCATCTTGGTTCTGACTCTACTGCCCAGAATTTGCCTCAATTTTCCAAACCAGAAATGAGAAAAAAACATCTGCAGATCCTTTGCTTAAAGACCTGGCCAGAGCTGGTGCCAGGCTGCAGACGCCTGGCAGGAAGCAAGAGAGGGTCACACTCACTTTCTTCTTGTCCTGGGAGGCCCACACACCAACACTGCCACCACTGCTGGCACCAGGGAGCACAGCCAAAGTAGACACACACAGAGAGGAAAAGGGGAGAGGTTGAGTGAACCTGGGACACTGCACCCCAACTCTAAGTCTCCTCTAGACATTGCCACAGTGAAATAGGGGAGAAAAGAGAAGGCAGTCACAGGAAACCACCATCATAGAAAGGGCATGCAAGAAATGCCATCTGTGGCAGAGACGGAGACACAAAACTGCCACTGGAGAAGGATGGGAGGACCAGAAGACTTAACTCTGATCTCACCCCAGAGTAGGTAGTGGGGAGGATTCCTGGTTATTTCTGAGCCAAACAAGGGCTCAGAAACATGGCATGACTTGGCATCACTGTGGATGGTGCCCCAGGGCCCCCCTAGTATCAGCAGCTTGACCCTCCTCTCCTTGCCCTGCCGCTCACCCCAACACACTCAAGGTACACACCAGCCCTCAGAAAGTAGGACTTCCAGCTGTTCACCTCCTCCTGTGTCTCATGAGCCAGCTCCAGCTGCCAATAATCCTTGTAGAGGCCAGGTGCGGTGGCTCACGCCTGTAATCCCAGCACTTTGGGAGGCCAAGGCAGGCGGATCATGAGGTCAGGAGATTGAGACCATCCTGGCTAACACGGTGAAACTCCGTCTCTACTAAAAATACAAAAAATTAGCCGGGCGTGGTGGCCGGCGCCTGTAGTCCCAGCTACTTGGGAGGCTGAGGCAGGAGAATGGTATGAACCTGGGAGGCGGAGGTTGCAGTGAGCCGAGATTGTGCCACTGCACTCCAGCCTGGGTGACAGAGCGAGACTCCATCTCAAAAAGAAAAAAAAATCCTTGTAGACATTCCTGCAAGACAGGGCAGGCAGTGAGGGCAGATGGGCAAAGCCACACCCTCCCTGGGGGTTAAGGGCATGCCTGGACTTTGGGGTCATCACATCTGAGTCAAGTCCTGGCTTGCTCATTTCCCAGCTGTGTGATTCTGGGCAAATCCCTTCCTTTCAGCCTCAGTTTCCTGATTGGGAAAATGGGTTAATAATAATTCCTGCCTTGTTATGGTTTGGCTGTGTCCCTATCCAAATCTCAACTTGAATTGTGTCTCTCAGAATTCCACTTATTGTGGGAGGGACCCAGGGAGAGGTAATTGAATCATGGGGGCTGGTCTTTCCTGTGCTATTCTCATGATAGTGAATAAGTCTTATGAGATCTGATGGGTTGCTTTTGCTTCTCTCATTTTCTCCTGCTGCTGCCAATGTAAGAAGTACCTTTCGCCTCCCACCATGATTCTGAGGCCTCCCCAGCCATGTGGAACTGTAAGTCCAATTAAACCTCTTTTTCTTCCCAGTCTTGGGTATGTTTTCATTGGAAGTGTGAAAATGGACTAATACAATAAATTGGTACCAGTAGAGTGGGGCATTGCTGAAAAGATACCTGAAAATGTGGAAGTAGCTTTGGAACTAGGTAACAGGCAAAGGTTGGAACAATTTGGAGGGCTCAGAAGAAGGCAGAAAAACGTGGGAAAGTTTGGAACTTCCTAGAGACTTGTTGAATGACTTTACCCCGAATGCTGATAGTGATACGGACAATAAGATCCAGGCTAAGGTGGTCTCAGATGGTGACAAGGAACTTGTTGGGAAGTGGAGCAAAGATGATTCTTGTTATGTTTTAGCAAAGAGACTGGTGGCATTTTGCCCCTGCCCTAGAGATTTGTGGAATTTTGAACTTGAGAGAGAAGATTTAGGGTAATCTGGCTGAAGAAATTTCTAAGTAGCAAAGCATTTAAGAGGTGACTTGGGTACTGTTGGCATTCAGTTTTATAAGGGAAGCAGGGCATAAGTTTGGAAAATTTGCAGCCCGACTATGCGATAGAAAAGAAAAACCCATTTTCTGGGGAGAAATTCAAGCCAGCTGCAGAAATTTGCATAAGTAGCAAGGAGCCTAATGTTAATCCCCAAGACCATGGGGAAAATGTCTCCAGGCTATGTCTCCAGACCTTCACAGCAGACCCTTCCATCACAGGCCCAGAGGCCCAGGAGGAAAAAGTGGTTTTGTGGGCCGGGGCCAGGGACCCTGTGCTGTGTGCAGCCTAGGGTTTTGGTGCCGTATGTCCCAGCCACTTAGCCGTGGCTGAAAGGGGCCAACGTACAGCTCAGGCTGTGGCTTCAGAGGGTGGAAGCCCCAAGCCTTGGCAGCTTCCATGTGGTGTTGAGTCTGTGAGTGCATAGAAGTTAAGAATTGAGGTTTGGGAACCTCCACCTAGATTTCAGGAGATGTATGGAAATGCCTGGATGCCCAGGCAAAAGTTTGCTGCCAGGGCCTTCATGGAGAACCTCTGCTAGGGCAGTGCAGAAGGGAAATGTGGGGTCAGAGCCCCCCCCACAGAGTCCCTCCTGGGGCACTGCCTAGTGGAGCTGTGAGAAGAGGACCACTATCCTCCAGACCCCAGAATGATAGATCCACTGACAGCTTGCACCATGTGCCTGGAAAAGCCACAGCACTCAATGCCAGCCTTTGAAAACAGCTGGGAGGGAGGCTGTACCCTGCAAAGCCCCAGGGGTGGAGCTGCCCAAGACCATGGGAACCCAATTCTTGCATCAATGTGACCTGGATGTGAGACAAAGGAGATAATTTTGGTGCTTTAAAATTTGACTGTCCCACTGGATTTTGGACTTGCATGGGCCTTGTAATCCCTTTGTTTTGGTCAGTTTCTCCCATTTGGAACAACTGTATTTACCCAATATCTGTACCCTCATTGTATCTAGGAAGTAACTAGTTTGTTTTTGATTTTTACAAGCTCATAGGCGAAAGAGACTTCCCTTGTCTCAGATGAGACTTTGGACTGTGGACTTTTTGGGTTAATGCTGAAATGAGTTAAGATTTTGGGGGACTGTTGGGAAGGCATGATTGGTTTTGAAATATGAGGACATGAGATTTGGAGGGGCCAGGGGTGGAATGATATGGTTTGGCTGTGTCCCCACCCAAATCTCAACTTGAATTGTATCTCCTAGAATTCCCACATGTTGTGGGAAGGACCCAGGAGGTGGTAACTGAATCATGGGAGCTGGTCTTTCCCGTGCTATTCTCATGATAGTGAACAAGTCTCATGAGATCTGATGAGTTTATTGAGGTTTCTGCTTTTGCTTCTATCTCATTTTCTCCTGCCACCACCATGTTAAGAAGTGCCTTCCGCCTCCCGCCATGATTCTGAGGCCTCCCCAGCCATATGGAGCTATAAGTCCAATTAAACCTCTTTTTCTCCCCAGTCTCAGGTATGTTTTTATGAGCAGTGTGAAAACGGACTAATACATGCCTCCTCAGGTCACTGTGAGGATTTAGTGAAACATTATCCTAAAAAAAATAAGTTAAAAGTCTTGCTTAAATATGACAAGCTTATAAAAATTAACAGAAGCATTATATTAGAATTTCTAAAGTCATTTCCATTGAAATCAAGAATAAGAAAAACATGCTGCTTTCCCCAATGTTAGTCAACATTATTTAAAATGTTTAGCTAATCAAACTGAAAAAAATAAAACAATTGGTATGTATATTATATAAAAAAGGTAAAATTGCATATTTTTGTATATAATAGAGAAGAGAAAATCTAATATTTTAATAAAATACAATAAATAATTTAATAAAATATCTCAAATCAAGATATATGGTACATAAAAATCATTAGCCTTTCTCAATATGAAGAATAACTAGTCATGGATATAAATTTATTTTTTAAATAACACATAAAAGCATTATATATTGCTTAGGAATATATATAAAACCATTATCTATTATTTAGAAATGCAAAAATACATTTAAGAAATGTTTAAATGTCTGGGAATTATACACACTGGCTTCTAGACACTAGTCATATATCTAGAAAGGGGGAAGATGAAAGAATGTCATCATATTCTATAAATATGTCAAAATGTTAAAATCTAGTAAGTATGAGAAGAGGGTACATGTTGCCTGTAATATTTTTTTTATATTTCTCTGTATATTTGAAATATTTAATAATACAATTTTAAATTTGAAATATCTTCTCTAAAGTCATGATAAGGATGGGCGGGGTGGCTCACGCCTGCAATCCCAGCACTTTGGGAGGCCGAGGTGGGTGGATCACCTTAGGTCAGAAGTTCGAGACCAGCTTGACCAATATGGTAAAACCTGTCTCTACTGAAACTACAAAAATTAGCCAGGTGTGGTGGCATGCACCTATAGTCCCAACTACTTGGGAGGCTGAGGCAGGAGAATTGCTTGAACTCGAGAGGCAGAGGTTGCAGTGAGTCGAGATTGTACCACTGCACTGCAGCCTGGGAGACAGAGCAAGACTCCATCTCAAAAAAAAAAAAAATTGGCTGGGCGCGGTGGCTCACGCCTGTAATCCCAGCACTTTGGGAGGCCTAGGCAGGTGGATCACAAGGTCAGGAGATCGAGACCATCCTGGCTAACATGGTGAAACTCCGTATCTAATAAAAATACAAAAAAATTAGCCAGGCATGGTGGCGGGCGCCTGTAGTCCTAGCTACTCGGGAGGCTGAGGCAGGAGAATGGCCATGAACCCGGGAGGTGCAGCTTGCAGTGAGCTGAGATCATGCCACTACACTCCAGCCTGGGTGACAGAGCGAGACTCCATCTCAAGAAAAATAAATAAATAAATAAAAATAAAAATCATGATTAAAAACAATAGGCTGGGCGCGATAGCTCACACCTGAAATCCTAGCACTTTGGGAGGCCAAGGCGGGCAGATTGCCTGAGCTCAGGAGTTTGAAACCAGCCTGGGCAACATGGTGAAACCCCATCTGTACTAAAATACAAACAAACAGACAAACAAAAAATGAAAACAACAACAATAATAATGGCTAAGAATGTTTGTATATGAAGTCATTTTTAAAGACAGAAAACAAGATCTAAGCAAGTGGAGAGACATGCCAGTACTCCAGAAAGGATAGTGTTAATGTTAATTCTTAGAAAAATTAATGTATAACTATGATGCAATTCCCATTAGAATCACAGTGAATTATGTCTTGGTCCATTGTGGCTGCTGTAACAAAATACTATAGACTGGATAGCTACTAAACAACATAAACTGACTTTTCCTAATTTTGAAGGCTGGGAAGTCCAAGATCAAGGCACAGGCAGGTCAGTGTCCAGTGAGAGCCCATTTCATTGTTTATTTACGGTGCCTTCTTGTTATGCCCTCAATGGGGGAAGGGACTAGGAAGCTCCCTTGGGCCTCTTTTATAAGAGGACTAATCCTGTTTATGGGAGCTCTGCCCTCACGACCTAGTTACCTCCCAAAAGCTCTACCTTTTAATACTGTCAACCTTGGGGGTTAGGGTTTCAACACAGGAATTTGGGGAGGGCACGAACATTCAAACCATAGCAAATCATTTTACAAAAACTACATGAAATGAATGTAAAGTTCAAATGAAAAAATAAATGAGTGTCCAAGAATAGGCAAGAAAACTATGAAAATAAAAAATAGAAACAGGGAGAATTGCCCTACCAAATATTAACCTACATTATAAAGTCACTATAATCAAAACAACATTAAAAGATGAATAAAAATGTATCTGTGGATCAGAAATTGATCCCAAAATCAATGTAAGTATATATAAGAACATAAAATATGGACAGGGTACTATTTCAATGCAGTGGGAAAAGGTTAATTTTTTAAATATAAACTGGCCATCAATCTAGAAGAAAACAAAACTAAATCCACTATCTCATGCCATTCACAAAAATAAGGTTCTGACAGTTTAGAAATTTAAATATAAGGAACAAAGAATATGAACATGCAATGCACAGGAGAGAAACATGTGTTTTATAATATTATGAAAATACACTCAGTGTCATTAAAACTCAGGAATAAGCAAGCTGAATAGTTTGTGGTTTTACCAATAACTTGGAATATGATGTAGCTTTAAAAAATATTGATCCAGAGTCTCACTTACTGAGACAGAGAGATGAAAAAAATCACACTGCTTAAGTGTGATTTTTTTTATCAATCATAAAACACACTATACATGAATATAGCAATTTTTATAGGTCTGTACAAGCATAAGGATGTGGACCAAGGTACATCAAGCTATTACCATTATTTATTTATGGTGTGAGGATGGAAGGGACTGGAAGAAAGTTATTAATGAATACTTATTATATATATGTATATATTTCACTTTTTAAAATAAGCAGACTTGCTGATATAATTTAAAAATAATAATTTTAAATATTTAGGCATATTGAGAAAAGAAAACCAAGGGAGGCTTTGCAGACACTGCCACCATCGGGAGCCCTGTACTATCAGCCATGGTTAACCCCACTGTGTTTTTTGACATCGCCGTCGATGGCGAGCCCTTGGGCCACGTCTCCTTCGAGCTGCTTGCAGACAAGTTTCCAAAGACAGCAGAAAACTTTCATGCTCTGAGCACTGGAGAGAAAGGATTTGGTAATAAGGGTTCTTGCTTTCACAGAATTATCAGAGTTTATGTGTCAGGGTGGTGACTTCACATGCCATAATGGCACTGGTGGCAAGTCCATCTATGGGGAGAAATTTGATGATGAGAACTTCATCCTAAAGCATACAGGTCCTGGCATCTTGTCCATGGCAAATGCTGGATCCAATATAAATGGTTCCCAGTTTTTCATCTGCACTGCCAAGACTGAGTGGTGGATGGCAAGCATGTGGTCTTTGGCAAGGTGAAAGAAGGCATGAATATTGTGGAGGCCACGGAGCGCTTTGAGTCCAGGAATGGCAAGACCAGGAAGAAGATCACCATTGCTGACTGTGGACAACTCTAATAAGGTTGACTTGTGTTTTATCTTAACCACCAGACCGTTCCTTCTGTAGCTCAGGACAGCACCCTCCACCCCACTTACTCGCAGTATCCTAGAATCTTTGTGCTCTCGCTGCAGTTCCCTTCCATGCCTAGCTGGACTGCAGAGTTGAGTTTATGATTATGAAATAAAAACTAAATAACCAAAAAAAAAAAAAAAGAAAAACAAGGGAAAAAATGAATTGGACTTATGAGGTATAATGGCTATTATCCTAGAGTGGTGGTAGAAGAAAGGAGAGGATGGAGAGAGATTAAATAAATTAGTTGTTTACTGAAACTTTTTTTTTTGAGATGGAGTCTCACTCTGTCACCCAGGTTGGAGTGCAGTGGTGTGATCTTGGCTCACTGCAAACTCCGCCTCCTGGGTTCAAGCCATTCTCCTGCCTCAGTCTCCTGAGTAGCTGGGACTATAGGCACCTGCCACCATGCCAAACTACTTTTATGTATTTGTATTTTTTTTTTTTTTTTTTGAGACAGAGTCTCGCTCTGTTACCCAGGCTGGAGTACAGTGGCGCGATCTCAGCTCACTGCAAGCTCCGCCTCCCGGGTTCACACCATTCTCCTGCCTCAGCCTCCCAAGTAGCTGGGACTACAGGCGCCCTCCACCACGCCTGGCTAATTTTTTTTGTATTTTTAGTAGAGACGGGGTTTCACCATGTTAGCCAGGATGGTCTCGATCTCCTGACCTCGTGATCTGCCCGCCTCGGCCTCCCAAAGTGCTGGGATTACAGGTGTGAGCCACCGCACCCAGCCACTTTTTTGTATTTTTAGTAGAGACAGGGTTTCACCATGTTGGCCAGGCTGGTCTTGAACTCCTGACCTCAGGTGATCCGCCCACCTCCGCCTCCCAAAGTGCTGGGATTACAGGCATGAGCCACTGCGCCCAGCCTGAAACTTGTCAAGCACAGGCAGAGTTCCTGGGGCCCAGAGGGATACACGAAATATAAGGCACAGACCTTACTCTCTATTGGCATTAAGTCTGATCGTGGATGAAATTAAAACACTTGAAACCATTTATATATAATGACGCAAGCCCCTCCAAAACTGTCAGGTCATAGAATGGATGTATCAGTTTGCTTTACCATTCACCTATTGGGGAGTATTTGGTTGTTTCCAGTTTGGGGCTATTACAAATAAATCTGCCATGAACAATCATGTATGAGTTTTTGTGCAGACATCAGTTTTATTTTCTGGTACAAATGCCCAGAAGCAATTGCTAGGTCATATATTGAGGTGTATGTTTAATTAAAGAAGCTGCCAAACTATTTTCTAGAGTGTCTGTATCATTTTATATTCCCACCAGCGATGTATGAGTTAGTTTTGTCTGCATCCTCGCCATTATTTGATACTATCACTATGCTTGATTTGAGCTGTTCTAATAGATCTGTAGTGATATCTTACTGTGGTTTTAATTTGCATTTCCCCAGTGGTTAGTGTTGAAGATCTATTCCTGTGCTTTAAGTCAATTCATTTTTAAAACCTAAATAAATGTATTTAAAAAGGAAACTTTTGCTTTAGGAGGCCAAGGCAGGTGAATTGCTCAAGCCGAGGAGTTCACGACCAGCCTGAGCAACATGGTGAAGCTCCATCTCTACAAAAAATACAAAAACATCCAGGCAAGGTAGCGTGCACCTATGGTTTCAGCTACTTGGGAAGTGAGGCAGGAGGATTGCTTGAGCCTGGGAGGTCGAGGCTGCCATGAGCCATGATTGCAGGATTGCACCATTATACTACAGCCTGGGTGTCACGGCAAAACCCTGCCTGAAATAAATGAATAAAAGGAAACTTGTGGTTAGTGGTTCTCAGAGTGTGGTCCCTGAGCCAGCAGCATCAGCATCACCATCAGCTGAGAACTTGTTAGAAATGCAGATTCTCAGGCGCCGTCCCAGACCTCCTGAATCAGAACCTCTGAGGCGTGGGTTCAGCGACCTGTGGTTTAACACGCCCTCCCGGTGAGAATCGGTCTCATTCACTACAGATAGAAGGAAATGGTAAAAATCAATTCATCCGCATATCGCCTAAAATCCTCCTGTGGGCCCCAGGTTGCCACAGCACACTTTTGGGCAGGAGCCCCACTCACAGAGGCCGTGACAAGAATGCTCCTGCCCCTGGGGTTGTGCAGTGACAGCTCACACAGCTCCACGTGGCGGTTCTGAGTTTGGGAAGCGCTGATGTAGTCCTACTGCAGCCCTTCCTGCCCTTCACCGGACTGAGGAAATCCAGGCTCTGAGGAGGGCGAGACTTGCCCAAGGTCACCCAGCAACATGGTCAGTCTCCTTTCCCAGGGCCCTCACAATGCGTGGCCTGTTTAAAGCCTGCCTCTATTCACTGCTGAGTGAAAAATCCAGCTCCAAAGTAGAATATGGGGAAGGATACTATCTTGTGCAGCTTATGTTTATAGCTGCAGATACATGGGAAAACAAGTCAGAAAATACTGTTGAAGCAGTTATTTGGGGAGAGAAGGGGTTTGCTGGTTTTTTGTGTTTTTAACTTTTCTATATCTCATAATTTTTATCACAATAATGTTTAGTTACATAATCAAAATGTATTAAATATAATATTAAAAATCGACATGAAGCCTGATCTAGCCACGGTCTATTGTTGGCAGAGTCAGGAAGCCTTCCAGATAGAGCAGGCCCTGCACCTGCCCCAGGTCACACCCTTACCCCATGGTGGCCTCCACATCCATACCCATGAGCATCTCCTGTGGGTGCGGCCCTCCCCTGCATCCAGCCCTGGGCACCCCCAGCCCAGAGGGCACCTCATGGTCTGAGAGTCCACCTGTCTGTCTCTAAAGAGAGGAAAGCTCCTTGGGACATGTGTTCTGCTTGACGCATCACCCCTGGCCTGGTACAGAAAGGTGGACAGTGGGTATTTGGTGAATAAATGAATGAATGATTAGAACAAGTCCCCAAAATGGTGATTTCCTGAGGCCCTTCTCCAGCTTGCCTAGGTGGAACCAGTTCCACTTTTCACAGGAAAGCCAGGTGTCAGGAGTGGGGCAGGTATGTGTGAATGGCCAGGTTCTCGAAGGCTGGATGGATACAGGGCTTATGGCAGGTCTGGGGTTGGCAGTGCTGCTGTGGGAGCCTGTAGGAGGGCTCGTCTTTGGAATCCCCCAGGGTATCCTGGTGCCCTCAGCTGCTGCATGGTGTGAGAAGGCCTGGCTTGTGGGGATGCACAGGGTCTTGTTTGGATTGGCCACCTGGTCCAGCCCAGGGAGCTATGCTTCCTGCCCCTCAGGGAAAACTCACTTTTGATGTGTAACAACAGCTGCAGGCAAGGGGAGGTAGAGGTGTGCTGGGCCTCGGCCTTAGAAGCCAGAAGCCAGTTCATGCCCCTACGTGGGAAAAGGATGATATACGTGGGAAAGGGATGGGGCCTTGGCTAGCTCTAGGGTCCTGGGTTATGGTCAGAACCATATGGACTTATATGAGTCACTTATGGACTCAGTGACTTGGGCTGACCCAGCCCCTCCCTGAACCTCATCAGTGAAACCAGGACGGGGCCAGGGCTCTCGACGCCTCCCAGCTCCAACCTCTGGCTTTCTCCCAGGAGGGCAGGAGATCAGACAGAGGTAACCTGGGCTCCCCTGTTTACGTCAACCTCCTTGTGAAGCCTCCCTCTTTCTGCCTGTGAGGTGGGTGGGGCCAGAAGGAGAGGCATTCACCTGTGGGTCTCTGACTTCTCTGCCCAGGTGTGCCTGGAGAGCCTGGTCTATACCCGGTGCTTTGCTACACCCCACAGCCTGGCCAAAGCCTCCCTGCCTCCAGAGCAGCCCTGGCCCTGGGAAGAAGCTGGTCTCTGCATTGAATGACAGGTAGAAAATTAAAGTGGGGATGATAGCTCTGGAAAGGAGTCAAGGAGGAGGTGCCTTCCCAAGGACACAGAGGGTTTTTCCAGAATGGAACTTGACTGGTGTGGGCAAACATCAGGAGGTGGGAAGGGTGGCTCCCTCTGCGGGAGCTGGGGCAACTTGCCTGGGCCAAATGGTGGTAGGTTGTGGGTAGGGCAGGCAGAGCTGGGGTGCTCAGAGCCTGGGTTCTCTGTCCTTGCAGAGGACTGGAATTCAAAACAAGTGTCCCCTGCCCTGTGGCTGGGGGACATCCTCTACTTCCAAGCCCAGACATACACCAGCTGCCACAAGCCCCTGAGGCTCTTTAGAGGACCAATGGACAGCCACACCCACAATGGGCCAGCCTGCTGGGCCACCTGCACCCTGGTCAGAGCCCATGACTGAGGGGACTCTCTGGGGACAATGGGGGCAGTCCCATGCTGCCCTCTTACAGGTGGATCAGTCCCTGGGATCTGGTGTTGGGCTAGGGTGGGCTGAGGCTGTTCTCTGCCAGGGTGCCTGGTGGACAGCAGGTAGAGCAACTTGTCCTTGGCTTTCCTGGACCCCAGGACACAGCTGAACACTGCACTTTACCCTGGATGCCTTCGGATTCTCAGGGGACCCTGGGAAGGAAGAGGGGGATGCCCCAGCAGGAGGCCAGGGCCCTGGGCTATGCTTGCTCCCCCCAGTCCCTCCAGCAGGCACCTCCTCTCCACATCAACATCACCTGATTCCTGAAGGCCTGGGCTACTGACAAGAGCCCCAAAACCCTCACCAAGGCCTGTTCTTGTATCAGAGCAACTAGTATGAGTTCAGAGCTGAAGGGGCCGGAGAGAAAACTCAGGGCTCTCTAAGAGTTCTCAGCTCCCTACTGTGGTGGGCCCCGTAGAAGTCCCCCCAGAAATCTGCAGCTGCTGTAAGTCACTGGGAGGAAGCTACAGCAGACATGTGTTTCCCAGCCTGGTAGATGCAGAGGGGTGTCCGGGCCCCGAGTGGGAGGCCCAAACACAGCCTTGGATATGGCAGTGCAGGATTCTAGACAGCTCTGGGGCCCTGGGCAAGTCATTTAGCCTCTCAGAACCCCATTCCTGGTCATCATGGGGCTCTTGTGTGGATGTAAAGAACCCCCCTGGCCACTTATGTCCCATCAGTGGAAGCCTAGCATGGGTGGAGACCCCCGAGACTGAACTCAGTGGTGGGATCCAGCCTGCCCAGCTCTCCTATATAGAGCCCAGAGCCAGGAGGATGGGCTTCCTGGAGAAGCAGGCACTCCTGTGGGCTGGAGAGCATGAGCAGGGGTCCCCTTGGGGAGGTGGAAGAGGCTGCGGTCAGTGAAGGCCATAATGAGGCAGAGCTTGGGCAAAAAAGGCATGATGATCAGGGGATCTGAAACCCAACAGAGACTGGACTGAGGACACTGTGGCCACCTCCTCCAGGTGTCGCTCAGGAGGTGGAAGCTGAGCTAGGGCTGGGCCCTTGTCCTGAGTAACGCCTCACCAGTCTTGGAAGGTATACCCAAGGTGGCTTAATGTAAGGGTGCATCTGCGCACTCTTTTTGAGATGGGGTCTTCCTCTGTCATTCAGGCTGCAATTCAGTGGCACAATCATAGCTCACTGCAGCCTCAAACTCCTGGGCTCAAGTGATCCTCCCACCTCAGCCTCACAAAGTATTATAATTATAGGCCTGAGCTATGGAGCCTGGTTTAAAATCTTAATAAATATCTCCTCCTGGTCTGCTTCCCTGGCTGACACACATGCTGGCATCTTGCGCCTAGACAGACATGTCTCTGGACTTGGTTCCATTTGTTCTGTCGGGCTCCTCTCTCTCAATGACCGCACATTACAGTATGTGGCTATTCTTACACATTTCTGTATAGAACTGAGGGTTAGTATATTAACGTCAAAGTTCTACTGGTTTTTCGAGGCTGGGTGGAAAGTTTGGGTTAATTTAGGAGTGGGCATCTTGACAATATAGGCTTTTCTTCCAGGAACGGTGATTCTGGGACGCAGGTTTTGCACATTCTGGTTTATTGCTTGACTCGCTGCCACAGAGGGATGTCACTGCTCCACACGCCATGCCCAAGAGATGTCCCACCTTATCTTTCTAAATCAAGCTGAATGTTTTCAGCTGACAGGATATCACGAGTGCTGCGGGGACTCACTCCCCTCAACCCGAGATGAAGTGAGGCGGAGACTATGGAGCAGATCCGTGCTGAGTGCATTTGCCCTTCCTGACCTGCACTGCTGCTGGCTGGGGCTGTGTCTGAGCTGTCAGAGGGCATTGATTTGGGGATGGGGTGGGGGGCAGTGCTGGAGAGATGCCCCTCACCTTCCTCAGCTCCTCCTGTCCAGCCGACACTTGGCCACCAAGGCCCCTGACTTCCAGGCCCCAGTCACCACTAACAGGGTGCTGCATGGGAACAAAGTGTAGGCCCAGAACCTGGAGTTCAGGTCACTCCTCCTTCCAGTCGAAGCCTCTGCCCCTCCCAGGTGATTCCAGCCTCGTTCCTCCATGGGCCAAATATCCTAAACAAAGGCCTGGACAGGGGGTCTTTATCTGACTGCCCAGAAAACACACGCAGAAAGGCTCTGCATGCCCTCTGTGGCCTGCCAGGGGTAAGAGCCTGCCCGTCAAAATGCACAGTCCTGGTTCTTGCAGGGAGTTGAGGAGCAGAAGAAGAAACAAAGGTCCATCTCATTCTTTCAGCAGGAACCTAAACTTGGGAAAGCCAGACGCAGTACATTTCTTAATCCTGATACTTTTATAACTGGTTATAGCTGGGTCACATGCACAACTGTTTTCCAACATCTTTCAACAGGCCACATAACATCCTGTAACTTCTTTTTTTAAAATTTTTATTTCATAAGGCCAGGGGCAGTGGCTCATGTAATCTCAACACTTTCGGAGGCCGAGGCAGGAAGACTGCTTGAGGCCAGGAGTTCGAGACCAGCCTGGGCAACACAGCAAGACCCCGTATGCAACAGAGAAAAACCCTGTCTCAAAATTTTTTTAGAGTACAGTGGCTTGATCACAGCTCACCGTAGCCTCCAGCTCCCGGGCTCAAGCGATACTCCCATCTCAGCAGCTGGGACTATCAGAGCACACCCCCACATCTGGCTGATTTTTAAATTTTTGGTAGAGATGCGGTCTCACTATGTTGCCCAGGCTGGTCTTGAACTCCTGGCCTCAAGAGATATTCCCAATGCGACCTCACAATGCACTGGGGTTACAGGCATGAGCCACCATGCAGCCCCTGCAAAATCTAACTGTTCTTCAGGTGCTCCTTTTGGACCTCCTAGCTAGACTGCCATTGGCAAATGCCAGTTGATTATCCACCCACATTTATGTTAATGGATTTCCCATGTTTTATTTGTCTAGACCAGGCTTTCTCCACAGCAGCACTGTTGATGTTTAGGGCTGGACAGTTCTCTGTTCTGGAGCTGTTTGCGCCTCGCAGGATGTTTAGCAGCATCCCCAGCCTCCGCCTGCCACATGCCAGCAGCACTCCTCAGTGTGACAGCCAAAGTGATTTCAGATACTGTCAAATATCCCCAGGGCGGCAAAATCACCTCCAGTTGAGAACTGCTGACCTAAAACCCTCTGGAACAATGTTAGATCATGGTAACGATAGCGCATACTGCTCCTGACCTTAATGGGAATACCTCTAGCATCAAAGTATAGTAGTACCTGTATACTACTGTCTGGGCTGTTATTAGTACACTGTATTAGTCCATTCTCATGCTGCTATGAAGAAATACCCAAGACTGGGTAATTTATAAAGAAAAGAGGTTTAAATTGACTCACAGTTCTGCATGGCCGGGGAGGCCTCAGGAAACTTACAATTATGGCAGAAGACACCTCTTGCCAGGGCAGCAGGAGAGAGAAGGAGAGCCGAGCAAAGGGGAAAGCCTGCTATAAAACCATCAGATCTCGTGAGAACTCACTCACTATCACGAGAACAGCGCAGGAGAAACCACCCCCATGATTCAATTATCTCCACCTGGTCCCACCCTTGACATGTGGGGATTATTGCAATTCAAGGTGAGATTTGGATGGGGACACAGAGCTAAACCATATTATATCCTTTATATTAGCATACTGTATCAAAGTATACTTTTCTTTCTTTCTTTTTTTTTTAAATTTGAGACAGAGTCTCGGTCTGGCTCTGGCTGGAGTGCAGTGGCACGATCTCAGCTCATGGCAACTTCTGCCTCCCGGGTTCAAGCAATTCTTGTGCCTCAGCCTCCCAATTAGCTGGAACTACAGGTGTGTGCCACCACACCCAGCTAATTTTGATTTTTTTTGAGTATACATGGGGTTCGACATGTTGGCCAGGCTGGTGTCAAACTCCTGGCCTCAAGTGATACCACCACTTTGGCCTCCCAAAGTGCTGGGATTCCAGGCGTGAGCCACTGCACCCAGCCTGAAGTATAATTTTCACAATGCGAAAAGCTTGACTTTCATACAGATAATGAAGGAATATGTATAAGATATTTTAATTTACAAGGGAGTCAGCAACATGGTGAAGCTAGTTAGAGGAGCATTTTGAGAGACAGTGTCTATAGTGTTCCAGGAAGTGCATTCTGAAATGCATTCTGAGATAGAGACAAAACTTGTTAATATCCTGTAGGGAGGCCAGGCATGATAGCTCATGCCTGTAATCGCAGCACTTTGGGAGGCCGAGGTGGGTGGATCACCTGAGGTCAGGAGTTCAAGACCAGCCTGGCCAACATGGTGAAACCCTGTCTCTACTAAAAATACAAAAATTAGCCAGGCACAGTGGTGGGTGCTTATAGTCCCAGCTACTTGGGAGGCTGAGGCAGGAGAATCACTTGAACCTGGGAGGTAGAGGCTGCAGTGAGCTGACTCAAAAAAAAAATTGTATTGGGAAATAAAACTGTCATCCTTGGGAATTATCTTTTCCACTGCACAGAAATCTGTAAGTTAACATATATACATATTCTCCAGTATATTCATAACATATTCTCTAGTATATTTCCCTATATTTGTGGTTTTCAAAGCATAGTCTCAAATTGGAAGTATCAGCGTCACCTGGGAACATAGACATGCAATGCTCAGGCCCCACCTCAGTCCTATTGAGTTAGAAACTCTGGTGTGGGGCCCAGCAGCCCGTTTCACAAGCCCTGCAGGGGATTATGATGCACTCTAATGTATGAGAACCACGGCTCTAAATAGTCAAATCATCTTTAATTGTAAAACAAGTATCTGTGAAATAATGCTCCAGTATGACATTAAAATGCTCCAGCACGCCACCCACTTTATTTCTGAATTTAAATACTTTGTCTGTCTGATGTTAAATTTGCTGTTTTTTTCAAATACTCTTAAGACAGTTTTTCATCGGTTCTTAATTTTCTCTTTTTAAATAAAAAATGGTTTTCCAAATCTATCCATTTTTCTCTTCTTTAACCTATTGATAGGATGAAATAAAAGTTGAACCATTCTTACGTCTTTTTTTTTTTTTTTTGAGATGGAGTCTCACCCTGTTGCTCAAGCTGACTGAAATGCAGCGGTGCAATCTCAGCTCACTGCAGCCTCCACCTCCCGGGTTCAAGCGATTCTCGTGCCTCAGCCTCTCGAGTAGCTGGGATTACAGGCACCCACCACCATGCCCAGCTATTTTTTTTTTTTAAGTAGAGACGGGTTTTGCCATATTGGCCAGGCTGGTCTCCAACTCCTGACCTCAGGTGATCTGCCTGCCTTGGCCTCCCAAAGTGCTAGGATTACAGGCGTGAGCCACCGCACCCAGCCTTTTTTTTTTTTTTTTCTGTTTTCCTTTTTTTTTTTTTTTTTGAGATGGTCTCATTCTGTTGCTCAGGCTGGATGGAGTACAGAGGTACCATCATGGCTCACTGCAGCCTCCACATCCCATGCTCAAGAGATCCTCCCACCTCAGCCTCTTAGGTAGCTGGGACGACACTTGTGCACCAGCAGAAGCAGCTAATTTTTTGTAGAGACTGGGGTCTCCCTATGTTGCCCAAGCTGGTCTAGAACTCCTGGGCTCAAGTGATCCACTGGCCTTGGTCCCCCAAAGTGCTATGATTAAAGGTCTTATGTTCTTAAAATTTTTCTTTGACATGGTATAGGATAGTCTAGTAACTTAACATACTGTTGTTTTCAACAGGCTAGTGCTTATGATTTGTAAAAGAACTCTTCAGAAATGAGTTCAATTTTACCATGAATTGGGACATTTTCCATTTCTTTCTATTCCATAGAGCAGTTTACTTGTCATGAGCTCTGTCTTTTGAAAACCTGAAAGCCTGCAATAAAACCAGCTGCACCTGGTGCATGGGATAGGCATGGAATTGAGGAGAGAGCTCAAACTACGGTCAGCCCTCTGTATCCTCGGGTTCTGGATCCTTGGATTTGACCAACTGTGCATCAAAAATATTTGGAAAAAGTAAAATAAAAAAACAAATTTAAAAATACTTCATACAGCTATTTACAAAGCATTTACGTTGTATTAAGTATTATAGTAATCTAGAGGTGATTTAAAGTCTACGGAAGGATGTGCATAGGTTATATGCAAATACTATGCCATATTATATCAGAGCATCTGTGAATTTTGGTATCTCTGGGGTCCTGGAACCAATATCCTGAGGTTTCTAAGGGACAACTGTATTCAATTTCTTCTCTGGTTATTAGTCTATTCTCTAATGTATTTTTGTTGTTGTTTTGTCTTTTTGTTTTTGCCTCTTCAAGTCAATGTCGGAAACTTAGTTGTTTTAGACAACCCATTAGCTCAGAGCTACCAGTAAGCAGACTACCACTGCAATCTAAGCAACGGATTTTTTCCCCCATCAGACTGGCAAAAAATAAGCATCTATTGATGTTGAAATTGTAGGGAGTTTTCCTGAGCATGTTAATTATGACAGCCCTTTTTGCTAGGCACCTACACAATTCATCAAAATGAAATAAAACACCCATGCACTTGAAGAAGTTATCTGGTTATTTCCTTATCTGGGTGCTGGTTATGTGAGGTCTACAGTTAATGAACACTTATTAAGCTTTATATTTCTAATAGGTACAATTTTCTGCATGTGTAGTAGATTTCAATAGTTTTTAAAATGTCTTTTGCCGCAGCCCGCAGCTGTGTATAATGCTATTCGCTTAACAGTGGAAAACATGGCAATGACCTGAATCCCCCTGGCTCCCGGGATCCTACCCCCTTAAGTTAAACAAATGAAATAACTTCCACTGTCTTTCCTAATGTCTTAATTCGGTCCTCAGTTAAACTGGCGGTGGGCGCTGCTTTTTTTCCAGGGAAGGATTCTGGAAGACATAGGAGGAGACGCCAGCATTTCGCCCTCCAGCACCTCCTGCGGGCTGTGGTCCGCTTCCGGCCTCACTCGAGCAGACCCCGCCCTCCCAGAGGCCGTTTGTCCAAGTCACGTGATCGTCGAATCTGTTGACCTGGCGCCACCGGAAAAAGAAATTCCCGGGCCCTGGCTTCTTGGCCTGATGGTGAGGCACCAGAGGTGAAGCGAGGCATGGGCTGCTGGAGCGGGAATGAGGGGGCGACAGTGGCTCCGGAAACGGGGGGAGGGTGTCTTCACTGGCCTCTCCGCAAACACAGTGTGTGCGGGTGTGAGGGCTGCAGGTCTGGTAGAGAAGAGTCCACCGCCATCCCGCTCCTGAGACGGGGGCAGGAGTGGGGGGCAGGAGTGGGGGGGCGGGTAAGACAGAGCAGGCCGGCCGGCTTGTGGAGGGCGAGGCAGGCAGATCCCTTGAGCTCAGGAGTTTGAGACCAGACTGGGCAACATGGCAAAACCCCATCTCTACTAAAAATACAAAAAATTAGCTGGGCATGGTGGCACATGCCTGTAGTCCCAGGTAGTTAGGAGGCTAGGGTGGGAGCACTGCTTGAGCCCAGGAAGTAGAGGCTGCAGTGAGCCGAGATCATGATGTCACTGCACTCCAGCCTGGGCAACAGAGTGGGACCCTGTCTCAAAAAATAAAAATAAAGTGGAAGCATCAGTATGCATGATTGAAGTCATGCTTTCCATCTATTTTTTTCCACCTTCCCTTTTTTCTGTCTAAAACATTGTATCTTAAGCTTTTGCCTATGTTATCAAGTACTCATAAGCATTATTTGAATGGTTGTATCATAATCCATTATCTGGACTCATTGTCATTTATCCATCTGCAGTTGCTGGAGATACTGCCCTTTCTGCCACACTCAGTCACCCTTCTGACCTTGCACTGTGTCCAGTTATCTACTAATACCCATACTGGTCATTTAGGACTTAAGAATAGTTATCATAGTTTTTAACATTCCAAAAAGAATGTGTCTTCCTAAAAATAGAATGGCTTGGTGGTTATACTTTTAAAGCAAAATAGACAAAGCCATGTTGAAATTAATGTTTTATTTTCTTCTTGTATCTATTTTCACTTCTCTTGTCATTTTGATGGATAAAGTTTCATTTGGAAGGATTTTTATTTCAAAACAGAAATAGCATATGACATGAGAAGGGGAACTCTGAAAGGTTCAACTTCCTAGTTTACTAAGTTTGTCACAAAAGCTACTGATAGTCAATCATGATTGGCCTGTATTGAAAGTGAGTTAACATTATGTACAACTTAAGCACTATACTTTCTATCCGATACAGAAAAATAGGTGGTGTGTTTGGAAAAGTATTGGGCTAGGAGTCAGGAAGCTTGATTGTTAGTCTCAACCCTGCTTCTTGAGCTGAGCACCCCTAGGCAATAATTCAGCAGCTATTTCTTAAATACCTAAATGAATTTCAGGCTTTGTGGTTGGGCTGGGAATATAGACATAGATACTGCATTCATGATTCTCCAAGCCTCCCTTCTTCACCCCGGCTCACAGTGAGCTTTCTTATGCATTGTGTAAATTTGTCTCCTAACAGGCCCCAACTCTGTCTCCAACCTCCTTCCCAGGGCAGTTGTGAGGATCAGATGAGGGAGAATATGTGTGAAAGCAAATTGTAAATTATTTTAAAATGCAATAAAAATATGATCCATGGAAAATTATTTAAAGATCCTTATTAAAATTATTAAAGATCCTTAGAATTTTAAATAAACAGTACATTAGGCCGGGCATTGTGGCTTAGGAGAGCGCTGGGTCAAATCAGTCCCCTCCAGCTACGCATTGCCTGGAGCTGCTCTCCAAGGACCCCTCAGCCACAGAAGGCGCTGGTCCTCCTACAGTGCTGCCCCACCCCCACCACCACAGCCTCCTGGGGGTGCAGTCAGGGGTGCCCTCCTTCAGGCTCTGCCCCTGCACCCACTCCTACACAACTACTCTCCCTGCCGGCAGCCCCAGAGACCAGATTGGTTTGGGCCTCTGCCTCCGCAGGCCCGAACCACCATCTCTTCTGCTCCCCAGAAAGCCAGCTCCCAGCACACAGGCAGCGTTCCCTCTTCATTCCTCAACACAGAGGGCCCCTCACAACCCTCTCAGCAGATGGTAGAGCTCCCCACGCATCCTCTTAAAGAGGCTTCACCGTTGATGGCCACAAGCCCCACCATGACCTCCTCCCAGGGAGTGAATTTTCTTACATGTCTCCCACCAGAGCAGGGACAAAATAAAACATAAAAGCAGCAGCTGTTAAATTATCAGCAACATTTCCTACTAGGATCAACTCACGGAGTGGGCAGTGTATTCCATTAGGTGGATCAGTGCAGGGGTTAGCAAGCGTTTTCTGTAAAGGGCCGGATGGGAACTCTTTAAGGCTCTGCAGGCCACTGGGTCTCTGTCACCACCTACTCAAACCCTCCCCTGTAGCAAGAAAGCAGCCCTAGCAACATGTCAACAGATAAGCGTGGCCACATTCCCAGAAACCTTTCTTTATGGACATGGAAGTTTGCATCTCACGTAATTCTCATGTGTCACAAGATACGACTCTACTTTCCATGTTTTCAACCATTTAAACATGTAAAAGCCATTCTTAGCGCGTGGGCCACACAAAAGCAGGCAGCAAGAAATTTGGCCTTTACACCAACAGCAGCTGACCCCTGGATGGAGCATTAGAGCTTGGGTGTGTGTCCCACTCCAGGGCTTCCAGGAGAGGGGATGCAGGCCGATGCCACCTCCACCCCTGTCGCTCTAGGGGAGAAGGCAGAGCTGGTGCTGTATGAAGTTTGGCTGCAGATCCTGGGCCAGCCCTACACCAAGGCCTTGGAGGACAAAACCAGCCTTGAGTTCTGGGCACTTCAGGGGCAACCGACAAGATGGGTGAAGTGGCGGGATGAAGTGGGGGGGCGGGGAAGAAGCCTCGGGAAGATGGGGGATGACTGGACAAGACTTTGGTAGAGCTGTGACCCTCTTCATCCTCTCCTGACCCCCCAGCTGACCCTCGTCCTCAGATCTCTGCAGAACTTTGACCAGTGGTGGTGGAGGAATTCCGGTGGGTCCAGGGTGGCCCTGGGTGACCCAGGGCTCAGACCTGGGTTCTGGGGTTGAAGGCAGGAGGCTGGAAGAGATGACCTCCCTTAGGCCCCCCAGGCTGCCCAGCCCCCTGAAGTGGGATGATCCTCCCACCAGGCTGGACCCACTGACCGTCAGAGTGGGTGCCACCTTCTTCAGGGCGGCATCAGCCCAGGCTCTCGTGTGGGTCTGCACACCCTGGGGGAGGCAGAGGGCCTCTTGGTAGACACGGTCATCTCAGACCTCGGTCAGTACCTCCTTCCCTCTGCAGGCCCCCTCCCTCTGTCCATCTGCCTCCTCCCTTGGGCTTGCTGCCTCTACATGCCCTGATCTGAAACCTGCCTCCCCTCCTCATGGAGCCCTCCAAGATGCTCCTAGCCCCAGCTCTCTGGTCCCGCAGCAACTTCTGGTGCCAGATTCTGCCTTCTCAGAAGTCTGGGAGGCAGGGCCCCACCTGGCCATAGCCTTCTTGGTCTGCTCTAGGCACTGCTAGCCTTGAAGCCTCCAGCCTGCTGGATGCCTCCATCCCCGGCTATGCTGTGGCTCTCCTCATTCTAGGCCTCCTGCTCGTCACATTCACCCTTGTCCTGGTGAGTGTCTGGCTGGGCCCAGGCTCCTTCCTGAGGGGCAGGCTGAGCCTTTGATGCCTTGAGCCTTGAGCCAAGCTGAGGAGTGAGCAGGCCCCTTTACACCCCTGATTCCCCCACCCAAGCCCAGCATCTCCTCATCCTCCAGCTGGGGCTGCAGGGTTTGGGGCCAGGGGGCTGGGCCTGATCCCAGTGTCCCCACCCTTCTTGTCAAGGTGCTAAAGTGGAGGGCCTCCCATGGGGTGTTCAGCCTGGGTGTGTAGAAGCACACAGTGTGGTACAGAGGACCCTCTCCAGACAGGTAAGTGGAGGGCGGTTCTCCCTGACCCCACCCCAATTGTTTGTTCTGGGTGGGGTCCACCGCGCCCCCTGCCAAGGCCTTCTGCAAACACTCCCCAGGGGCTGTTGTGGGCAGCACCTGGGTGGTGCAGTTGGTGTGCCAGAAAAGCTCCCCAGTACTGGGCAGTGGCCCAGGCAGTCAAGCAGACTCCCTCAAGCAGGCCCCACCTACCCCTCGCCTGTTCCCAGCTGCCTCCCACCAACCCTAGAAATGATGCTGGGAGCTGACAGAAACTGAACTTAGGAGCACAGGAGGCCAGGAGACCTGGGACAGAGAACAGGAGGTATGGGGAGGGAATCTTCCTTCCCCCACTTCCCACTGCATGAGGGCCAGACAGTGGCACCTCCAGGTCCTGGAAGGACATGTGTGGACCCAACTCAGTTGGCCCTTTGTCTTATGGCCTTTCTTCTCCCTCCCCCGGGGCCAGGTGGATGTGGGAGGAGACGAACCACCATCCTGGGTGCACTCAGACTCATTCCCCACTCCTGGCCTTCACTCCCTTTCCTCTACACACAGGTGACCCCTCATGCTGCTGCTCCCTCTGCTGAAACCCAAACTGCAAACCTCTCCTCTCCCTGCCTTCACCTTGCCCCACGGCTTCCACAGACAGTGCCTCAACCCCGAGGAATGAATCCGAAGTTCCAACACCACTGACTTTCCCAGGAACTCAGAGCCAGAGAGGGCCAAGGACCAGCTCGAGGACACACAGCCAGGGCTTCTTCCCTCCGAAACCCCCAAGGACTGGACTTGCAGGGCTGGGACAGAGGTGGGGTGGGGGAAAGCAATGCCTTGTCAACCCACGTGGGGAGCCCCACTCCCATCCCCAAGGTGCATAAAGTTGAGGAACACCCCTGCTCCCACGTCCATGCTCATTCAGGGCCCTGCTCCAAGTGCTTGGCACTCACACCAGCCTCCTGCCCTCCACAGGTATTGGTCTCGTTTACAGATGGGGAAATGGTGGCCAAGAGCCTCCCCCAGCACATATAGCTAGACCACACAGAGGACTTAGGCACAGCTGGGGGGTCCGCAGTCTCTGCTGCCTCACCTGCCACCAAAGTGTGGTCCTGCTGCCAGGTGGCAGGAAGGGGACAGAAGCCCGCCCCAAAGAGGGCTGGGGCAGGGGCACCCTTACGCCTGCCTGGTCTGGCCCAGTAGGGCTGGAGAGACTGTCAGTCCTAAGAGAAACACTGGCCTTTTGGGAGTATGGAAAAGTCAGGAAGCAATCCAAAGTTGGTATTTAAAATATTGATTTCTAGATATTTAGATGGTCATCTGGTGTGAGGAGCTGGGAGGGCCCCAGGGTAGAGTCCACAAGAGGAGGAAGATTGAAAAGGGGTCAGAGTGGAAATGGGAGCTGCTGAGGGCAAGGCCCAACCCCCTCCTTGACCCCCCAAAGCCAGCCACAGAGCCAGTCAGCCTCAGGCCAGAGGGTGTGAGCAACGGGGACCCTGGCTGCTCTACAGTGGATCAGAGCCACTGGGTGTGGGGAGTCTTCCAGGGCAGGTGTGGGGCCGCCGGGGCAAGGCAAGCTCCCAGGGCAGAGACTGAGGCCACCCCCTGCAGCCCCACTGCAGGGGGGAACACCGGGATAGGCAAGGGTCTTAACCCAGAAAGCCCCAGCAGCTCCCGGGCCCATCAGGACACCATTGAGGCTTGGCGGTGGTGGAACCCAGGAATGGTCTTTGAACCCATGACCTGGAAGGGGGAGCCAAGGATAGTCCTGGCCTGAAGGCTCCTCTACCTGCAGGCAGTGTGGAGGCCCAGCGAGGGGACCCCAGGAACCCAGACCATGAGCTTACGTGGCCAAAGACAGCAGCCAGCACCAAGACATCAAAGAGGGCGGGTAGAAAGATCATCACATAGGGGTTGACTGCAGCCGGCACCAGGTTCCTCTGTACTTCTGGAACACACAGGCCTCTCCTTCCTATCCCTGAAGCGCCCATGCCCCCACCCCGGCACCCCGAAAACCAGCCTAACATATGCATTTGTCCTGGGTCAGCCCCACTGTCCAAGCAACTGCAATTTCTGACTAGAGAGCCAGGGCAGGGCAGGGTGTAGGAGGGGTCCCTGGAAGATGCCCCCAGAATGCCCTGATGCCTAAAACATTCCCCGTTGGGCCTTCTCAGGGAGGGAGGGTTAAGACAGCCTTGTTCTCTCCAGCTACCTCCATCACCACTGGAGCCCTTACAGGCGTCAGGGGAGAGAATTGGCTCAATGGAGCCAGGAACAGCATGGACACAGCCCTGGGGCTGAGGCTAAGTGGGCTCTGGGAGACCGTCACTCTCTCTTCAAGCTTTGGTCTCCTGGCCCTCTACAAGCCAGGCTGTTTCAGGCTTTGCGTTAGGCCTTGCACAGAGACAGAGTTGAAACACAGCTGGTGGACACAGTGGGCTTTAGGGAGGGGGCACGTACCTGGGGGTGGGGGCTGGGTAACAGGGAACGGAGGCCCTGGGGCTAGCATGGCCTGTCTGGAGGTGGCACAATGGGACCTGCACCACCTGAGGACAGAGGGTCCACCTGGAAGACTGGACCAGCCAGATGGCCACCAAGCTGGATGGCCACCGTCAGAGCCTGCAGGACAGCAGAGGGGGCTGGGAAGGGACAGAGGACAGCTGAGGGGCAGGGAATGTGGGTTCCTCCATACAGACACATGAGTCTTCCCTAAGTGGGTCTTCCCCATGGGGGTGAGGGGGCATTCAAGACACACCTCCAGCCCACCTCAAACCATCTCAGGAGGCCACCACCAACTCACACAGGCCAGTTGCATTGTCACAGTGACCCCAGAACAGCACAGCCCTGTCCTTCAGATGAATAAACAGAGGGAGAGACGCATGTCACAGCCAGGAGCTGGGACTCAGACCCAGGTCCAGCTGCAGTGCTTTCTCGATGGCTCTGCCTGCACCTCCTCCAGGACTTAGTTCCTGCTAACAAGTGAGCACTTGAGTACAAGTGAAATAGGTGCTATTATCCCTGTCCAGCTGTCTGGCTGCTGGGGAAAGGGAAGCAAGGCACAGGTGACTTGCCCAAGGCCAAAGTGACAGGGCTGGTTCAACCCCATCTGTCTCAGCCAGCACATCCCCATGGCAGAGGCTTTACTGTGATCCAAACCTGGAAGGTGGAACTCCTTCCAATGTCCCACCCAGGGCACAGAGTATGCAGCCCCATGTTTGGGGAAGTGACCGGGTGGGGAGGTGACAGTGTGGGAAACAATCCAGCTAGGCCAAGGCCTCATGGAGCCCAGGGTTCCCTAGGACCAGGAGAGCTCTGGAGCCCACCCCGACACCCATTGGAAACCTGGAATCCGCACCTGCAGGAGATCAGGAGAGGGGTTTGGCCTCCGATGCACCTGCAGCAAGGTGAGACAGGCACAGGTGGGCGCCCTGCTTCCAACCAGCGTCAGGAGAGCAGGAAGCAGATCTCCTGCCTGACCTTCCTCTCCTGCCTCCCCCAAGCAGAGGAGAAGGGGCAGCCGCCCATCAGGCCATTGCCCAGATTGAAGCCACTGAAGCTAGGTCCCAACAGGTGAGTGTGACCCCTGACTATCCCAGGCCCGGCCCAATGCAGTCCTGTCTCTGGTGAGGACCTGGTAGACAGGAGATGTGACATCCCCAAGTGGCTCTATAAACCTCTTATTGAGGATAATCAAGGAAATGGGCAAGACCATCACGCTCAGCAAAGAACCTGGCAGGCACGAGGGGGACCAGGGGCAGGCAAAAGTCAGTTTGGGCCCAGGCCTGGCCCCTGGAAGGATGGTGGATGAGGGGCCAGCCACGGTGAAGGGGAATGGATGGCCACGGGCTGGGTGGTCAGGACTGTCAGCTCCTGCAGCCCCTGCGGAATGTCTGCCCAGGCCTGGCTCTGCGCTCAGCCTTCTGCCTGGAGCCACAGGTGCCTGGACACCAGCCTCAAGTAGGGATGGTGGTAGGAAAGGCACTTGTGGCCACACGTGGGCACCTAAGCATGGGACAGAGGGGTATTATGCCCCAAAGAGACTATAGAGGCCAAGAACTTAAGCAGGTCTGACACCATCAATAAACCCCCTTGTCCTGGGTCACATCAATTAAGTCAGCGCCTACCCTGACCCTGAAGCTGCAGCTCAGTCTGGTTGAGACTCACAAAGAGATGTTAGTGCTGGGCAGGGGGCCTGGCCCAGCCTGCGATGTCCAGCAAAGCTGTGGGCTGGACAAGAATCTCTGAAGATTAGTCCAGGACAAGGACAGCTGTGTCTGGGCAGGGAGTGGGGGCAATGCTCAGGGGGCAGGAGGCCTGAGGACCTTTAACTAGGTAGGATGCCAGGTCAGGACGTGCAGAAGGGAAGGTGGCATGACAGCATCCTGCCCGAGGCCAGGCTATAAACCTCGGGGCTGCCCTGTCTAGCCTAAACCATGCTGCCACCCAGATGCCATCCTTCAAATGTGAGGCTGGGCTGGGAGAGCCCCCAGACCCCTTATCCCTCCCGCCCCAAGCTGGTTCCCATCCCTCACCAGAAGGAAAGTGAACTCTTCTATGGGGCACATCCTGCCAGGTTCTCTATCACCTGGGGGAAGGGGTTGGGGGGAGGGGGAGCTGCAGCTGGGTGAGAAAGAGCCCAGGTCCACTCTGTCCCTACCTGACAGGTGACCTCGGGCAAGCTGCTTTCTTTGCCTGGGGCCAAGGAGAGTCACAGGGGAAGGGCCAGGTTAAGAGGGCTCCACCCTGGAGCCCAGAGCTACCCACAGAGAAAACCGCCCATCCTCTTGATTCTGCTCCCAGCTCATGCTGCTGGGATAACATCCCCCCCATCAGAGAGGCCGTGGGAGGCAGAGGCTGACCTTTGCTCCTTCAGGCACCTCAGCAGGTTTGGGTCCACCTTCATCATGATCAGGGAGTGGGTCCCTGGGATCACAAAGGTGAGGGGCAGCTTCTTGGGCTCCAGGTGCTCCAAGGTACACCCTGCAGGGCACCAGAGCTAGAAGGGCATTGGGGAGGCTGGGTGCAGTGGCTCATGCCTGTAATCTCAGCACTTTGAAAGGCTGATGTGGGTGGATCATGAGGTCAGGAGATTGAGACCATCCTGGCTAACATGGTGAAACCCCATCTCTACTAAAACTACAAAAAATAGCTGGGCGTGGTGGCACTTGCCTGTAGTCCCAGCTACTCGGGAGGCTGAGGCAGGAGAATCACTTGAACCTGGGAGGCAGAGGTTGAACAGGGCTAGGACCTGAGCTCTGCCTGGCCATGGTGACTCTGAGCCAAGTAACCCTACATTAGTCTCAGTCTGTCACTGTGTCTCATAGGGGATGTCAGCATTACCTTTGGAGTCAAAGTAGGTAAGCCAGGGTAACCAGAGTTCCCTGCAGGGACCAAGACCAAAGGATGCAGGGGTCAGGCCTGTCCCAGAAGGTCAGGCTGAACAAGAGGCTGTGTCAAGCTGGGGCAGCTGAGGTCCTGCCCTTCAGGTTATAGGCATCTGGGTCCTGGTCTAGACCCTCATATGCCATCCAGAGACCCAACCCTAGGGACAATTCCTCCCAAGCTGGTAGAAAGAGTAGATCATTGTACTCACCGCACCAAAAGCTCTGAAATGATAGGGCCTGTGGGTGGGGAGAAAGACTCTTCAGGAAAATGTTCTCAGGGGCAGGGAAGGTTTGAGCTGGATCTTAGGGCAGCCAGAGAGGTAGGTGACAGGCCCCCTCACAAAGCCTGTCAGATAATGCAGGAGGGACACAGGTGTAGTGGTGGGAATGTTCTGGAAGACAGCAGGAAGCCTCCCACTCACTGATGGGGCTGAGTGAGGTCAGGTCCACACACCAGGAGAAGCTGGAATCCGCACACCGGTGCACTTTGTTTTTTGTTTTAGAGACAGGGTCTTACTCTGTTGCCCAGGCTGGAGTGTAGTGGCACAATCATAGCTCATCACAGCCTGGACCTCCTGGGTTCATGAAATCTTCCCACCTCAGCCTCCTGAGGAGCTGGGACTACAAGTGCATGCCACCGTGCCTAATTTTATTTTTTGTGGAGACAGTATCTGGCTATGTTGCCCAGGCTGGTCTCAAGTGATCTTTCCACCTCAGCCTCTAAAAACACTGAGATTACAGGGACAAGCCAGTGCTCCTGGTCATGCTAGTGCATTTTGGCTGCCATGGTGCACAGGAGGTATGAGCTGGGGGGTAGAATCTGCTCCTGGACCTCTACCCAGGCCTGCACCCAGACTGACTCCTGGGCTGCAGGGAGCAGGTGTGGAGAGAATGCAGTGAGCAGAGCGGGCTAGCCAGTGATGGAGACCCAGGCTGGGACTAGGAGAGATAGGGCTGCAACCCTCGGCCTAGTGGCCCTGCCCAACCCACTGGGGCCAAGATGACTTCCTAGGAGCCAGGCATGGAGGCCAGCATGCACCTGAACTGAGGACAGAAGATTCTGATGAGAGGGAGGGGGAGGCCTCTGACATAGTTTGGATACTTGTCCCATCCACATTTCGTGTTGAAATGTGATCCCCAATGCTGGAGGTGGGGCCTATAGTGTGAGGTGTTTGGGTCATGGTGGGGGATCCCTCATGAATGGCTTAGTGCCCTCCCCATGGTAATGAGTGAGTTTTCTTATTTTTTTTCTTTTATTTATTTATTTATTTATTTATTTTTGAGACAGAGTCTTGCTCACAGCCCAGGCTGGAGTGCAGTGGCACGATCTCAGCTCACTGCAACCTCCACCTCCTGGGTTCAAGTGATTCAATGAGTGAGTTTTCTATTAGTTCACAGGAGAACAGGTTGTTTAAAAGAGCTGATGCTTCTTCTCTCTTGCTTCTTCTCTCACCATGCGACACGTCTGCTCCCTCTTTGCCTCCCGCCAGGAGTAAAAACTTCCTGAGGCTTCACCAGAAGCCTAGCAGATGCTTGTACAGCCTGCAGAACTGTGAGGCAAATAAACCTCTTTTATAAATTACCCAGTCTCAGGGCCAGGAGCAGTGGCTCATGTCTGTAATCCCAGCATTTTGGGAGGCTGAGGCGGGTGAATCACTTGAGGTCAGGAGTTCAAGACCAGCCTGGCCAACCTGGTGAACCCTGCCTCTACTAAAAATGCAAAATTAGCCAGGCATGGTGGTGCATGCCTGTAATCCAAGCTACTTGGGAGGCTGAGGCATGAAAATTGCTTGAATTGGGAGGCAGAGGTTGCAGTGAGCCGAGATCACGCCATTGCACTCTAGCCTGGGCCACAAGAGCGAAGCTCCATCTCAAAACCCTGTCTCTACTAAAGATACAACAAATTAGCCAAGCCTGGTGGTGCATGGCTATAATTCCAGCTACTCGGCAGGCTGAGGCAGGAGAATAGCCTGAACCCAGGAGGCGGAGGTTGCAGTGACCTGAGATCATGCCAGTGTACTCCAGCCTGGGCGACAGAGCTAGACTTCGTCTCAAAAATAAATAAATAAATAACCCAGTCTCAGGTATTCCTCTAGAGCAACACAAAATGGGCTAATACAGCCTCCACGCTTGGTGCCCACTGGACCTGACACTCAGGGAAGGGCTGGTCTTGACTCTGCCATTAACAGCCAGACTATGACAGAGTTGTTCCCCTGCTCTGCCTCAGTTTGTCCTCTCTCAGCTAAGCAGAGCAGGGATAATTGCTTCTCATGTGGGCCCCAGGACAAAACAAAGCCCTGAGTCCCACAGGAAGGTAGATGGGTTATGTCCAAGGGAAGACAGACCTGAGGCAGTATTTTATGTTCCCGAGGTGGCAGAGGTACATGGAGAAGATGCTTCCTTTGTGGGCCAGGGAGAAGGGAAGATAAGCAGAGAGGTGCCAGACACCTGCCTCACCCCTACCTCCCCCACCCCATGCCAGGCCCATTCCCACTTAGCCCCCAACTCAGGCAGCACCATTCTACTTATGGTCAGCATGACTTCCCAGCCAAGCTGATGAAAGCTGACAGCTTGGATTCATCAGGGACAGCATGTAGTATAGGTGATGTGCAGGACGGAAGTGGAGAGGGGACATGGGAGCCACGGTGTCAGGTCTGGGGCTGCCAACATGGTACCTGCCTTGGCTGTAAAAAAAAAAAAAAGTCACTGTTTTGGGGTTTTCTGGATGAAACCTCTGATTCCATTTTTTAAAAAAGGGTCGAGACAGTATGTATTATTGATTCAAAGTCATAACCAGATGCTTAGAGTAAATCATTGCATCTATTGTTTCAAAAACCAACCTCAGGATTATTAAAAGTTAGTTTTATTGGATTTTTCTTTAGCTGTGCTTATTCACTCAGGTGAGACTCACTCAGGTCTGTCATTTCCAAGCCCATGTTTTACTACTTTGTAACCCTATTTGGAAGGAAAACTGCAGCTAAGATTATGACCCATCCTGCCATGAAAAGTTTCACACATATACACCACATATACCCCCCACCACAGTATGATGACACAGCAACCCAACCTCGGGCAAATGGTACCACTGCCAGCAAATGCATGTTTTCTTTATTTCTTCAAAATGTTTTTTCTTTATTTCTTCTAATAGCAGCAAATGCATTTAACATTTTATTGAGATTCTCAACAGCTGTCATTTGGTTTGTATAGCAAATTGTTTACAAAGTAACCTTTTTCCATTTTTGATATTTTAATGAAAATTATGTTCTTCAGTTTTAAAGCCCCATCCCTCTCCCAAAGAAAGGTTAATAACTAACTACCAAGTAATGATTATTTAGGAAAAGAAGAAAAGCAAAACCAGCTTGTAAACACTTCTGGAATGTGGGTAAGGGGCCAAAGTCAAGCCCTTCTGGGCCCAGTGCAGGTGCTAGGCTTGCCTCGGGACACCATCAGCACTTCCCCATCCACAACATCCTCAACAGCTGGGAGCCATGTGTGGACCCAGGGGGCTTCCTGTTCCACAAGCTCCCCTCTCTTTTTCCTCTCCACGCTTGCTGTTGGGCCTCCCTTCCAAATCTGCCTAACAAAGGCAGCAGGATCTTTAATACTGTTCAGCTTTGTCAATGGAGACAGGATACTCTAGAAAGTTGAGAGATCCCTGGTCCAGTCTGGGGGAGGAAAAAATATACAGTGTAGCATAGATGGTTTTACTTGTCCATTCAGACACATGCTCATACTTATTAGATGGATGTATCAGATGCTTCAAAAGTCCTGATGTGTAGTAGCACAAAAGCTGCTTGTAAAAAAAGAAGTTGCAAAATGATAAAAATTTCTGCAGCAGTTCAGGCTCCTGATGACAAAGCTGGTTCTGATAAGTAGTTCTTTTGACATGCACAGCAGCTTTCACTGTAAGTCCTGTGTTCCAGCGGTTTCATTTAGACCATAGGAAGTTGAAAGTAAAGTTTAAATGTTCTCTGCTGACAAAATGTGGTATATATCCATCAATGGACTTCTACTCAGTAATGAAAGGAACAAACTACCAAAACCTGTTATATGTCATGGACCAACCTCAAAAACATTAGCTAAGTAAAAAAGCCAGACACTTATTGTATAATTCCATTGATTTGAAATGTCCAAAAAAGGCAAGTTGATAGAGACGGAAATGGTCTGATTTACCTCAAGAGGTAGGGATTCAAGCTCTCTAGAGTACATGTGATACATACATGAGAAAAAATAAGGAAAAGAAAATAAATTTATATGTAAATAAATGAAAATAATACTTCTCCCTGATTATAAAGAAAATCACTTTCTTTTTGTAATAATTTGGAAGACAAAATATGAAGAAAAGTCTTAAATTTTGCCACTCAAAACATTCTGGTTTGTTGCTTTTTGTATTTTTTATGCATATGAACATTTTAAAAAGTAGAATTGTAATATATAGTCTTTTGTCACTGTGTTTTGGGCATATTTCTATGGCAGTAAATATATCCTTGGCATCATCCTCTTTAAAAGCCCGATGTATATTAAGTTAATCATTGCCACCCCAGAAGTAAATTTTCTTATACAAATATAGTTTAATGGACGCAAGCAAGCATTTTTGGGCTGAATTCATAGAAGTAGAATTTCTGGAGGAAAATAACATAAAGCAGTTTTAAGATTTTTAATAGAAATTTTCAAATTATCCTGCAGAAAAATTGGTTCAGTTTATACTCCCAACAGGGGCAGAGCTCCAGTGTCCCCTTCCATTTGTCCTCTTTGCTGGTATTTAAGCAGAAAATCTCATTGTTTTCATTACATTTATTTGGTTTCTAGTGCTTTTGAACCTTTTTTTTTTTTTTTTTTTTTTTGAGATGGACTCTTGCTCTATAGCCCAGGCTGGAGTGTAACAGTGTGATCTTGGCTCACTGCAACCTCCACCTCCTGGGTTCTGGGTTCAAGAGATTCTCCTGCCTCAGCTTCCCGAGTAGCTGGGATTACAGGTGCCCACCACCATGCCTGGCTAATTTTTGTATTTTTTAGTAGAGACGGGGTTTCACCATGTTGATCAGGCCAGTCTTGAACTCCTGACCTCAGGTGATCCACCCACCTCGGCCTCCTAAAGTGCTGAGATTACAGGCGTGAGCCACTGTACCTGGCCTTGAATCTTTTTTATATGCTTATTGGCCATTTTTATTCTTGTGGGAAATGTCTGTTTCTCCATTGCCTGTTTTCTGGCCAACCTCCAAAGTCACATTTCACTTTTATCCTGTTGATTGAAAGCATTTTAACTTAGTGATTTTTTAACATAACCAGGAGCAGGACAGACTGTAATTATCTAGATCTTGCTCTGTCACCCAGGCTGGAGTGCAGTGGCATGATCATAGCTACTGCAGTCTCATACTCCTGAGCTGAAGCAATTTTCCTACCTCACCCTCCCAAGTAGCTAGGACTACAGGTGTGTGCCACCATGCCCAGCTAATTTTTTAAATTTTTTTATAGAGATGTGAATTCGCTATGCTACCCAGGCTGTTCTTGAACTTCTGACTTCAAGTAATCCTCCCACCTTGGCTTGTCAAAGTGCTGGAATTACAGGTGTGAACTACTGCTCCCAGCCAAGAGCTCATTTTGTTTGCTAGTGGTGTTCTTGGTATCTTTTTATATTTGAGGCTTTGGTGCTAGTGCTGAAGTATTACACTCACCATCCGAGGTTTAAAGGACTTTTGCGGTAATATTGAACAGATGGAACTGTTAAGTTCTGCATCTTTGCAGGCATACAAAATGTGCCTACCAGGACTCTGCTTTATAGCCATTGATAGCAAGAAGTAATACAGTAAAACTTTGCCTTACTAGAGGCTTTGAAAGAATGGAGTATTCTGATTTAATTCTATTAACTTGGAAGTATGAAGGTAAAAAGAATTCAAAACTTACATTTCCTGTTGAATGCAATTTGAAAATATAGCCAATGATTCCACTTTTCTTCTCTAGTAAGTTTGGACATTCTGATCTACTTGCTGTTTTATTATAGAACTGCTAGTGTGCCTGAGACTTACATTGTGAAGACACTTTTTAAAAAACTTGAGCGGTAAGAGGGTGTAAATGGTATTGTGTGAGATCAGGCTGGATGAGAACTGACACTTGTAAACATACTTTTTAGGCTGAATCTCTGATTGCCATTTGTTTTCTTATTTAACTCATAAAAATAAAACACATTGGATGGAGGGTGGGAGTAGGAAGGAGATTTATGTCTTTTAATTGCATGTCATTGTTTCATATCAAGACAGAACATATGGTATCCTTGGCTTTGGACCTACAGAGGAAACACATTTTTCTACCTGCCGTATGCCAGAGGTTCTTGAACACCTGGAGGGATGACTGCAGCACAGATTGCCGAGCCCTACTCCAGAGTTTCTGATTCACCAGGTCTGGGGTGGGGCCTGAGAATTTGCACTTATAAAAGGTTCTCAGGTTCTGCTGGTGCTGCCAGTCCAGAGACTACATTTTTGAGAACCACTCTTGTCTACTAACTGTAAATTGTAGAACTCTAGAACAAAGCTTAGTTTGGTGTAGGAAAAGACGCTCACAGGTTATGGAGCAAATCATGAAAGATTCAACCCTTGATCCCAGCCTAGTGTGGAATTCAGGTAACAATCAATACACAGTGACATAACACAATTCTTGGTTTTCATGATTGCAAGTCATAGCCAAGTATCAAGTGAGAAATTCAGTTTCATTTGCAAGGCTTAGAGAGGCCAGGTGATTCTAGAAAAATAGGCCTTGTATTTACTTTAAACCAGTAAAGAACTTTGAGTGCTTATTAAATGGCAAGCTTTGTGTTTTTATTTATTTTTTTACTATTTTATTTTTTTTGAAATGGAGTTTCACTCTGTCGCCCAGGCTGGAGTGCAGTGGCATGACCTTGGCTCACTGCAAACTCCACCTCCCGGGTTCAAGTGATTCTCCTGCCCCAGCGCTGGGATTACAGGTACCCACCACCATACCTGGCTAGTTTTTGTATTTCGAGTAGAGACAGGGTTTCACCATGTTGGCCAGGCTGGTCTTGAACTCCTGACCTAAGGTGATCCACCCACCTACGCCTCCCAAAGTGCTGGGACTACAGGTGTGAGCCACCACATCCAGCCCAAAAGCTTTGTGTTTTTAAAGATATTAGACATGTTTCTTGTTTTTTAAAAAATCTTAACAATGTAGGAGAATAAGAGAAATGTTTTTCCAAAAAAGAGAAATCATGGTGATCATTTTACCTTATTGGAATGTTGGATAATATAGTCCGCTTCATTATTCATCAAACATGCTATGGATTTTCCATTTTTATAGGATTTATGTCTCAATTGAGGTAATACTGGTAATTCTTATACTCCATCTGAAGATGAAAAATGTAGGCCACAATCATAGACCATGCATAGGAGCTGGATAATGAAGACAGCTCTGGAGGAACATGTAGACACACACACACTGACACACATATATATAAAGTATAAATACATATTTTTTAAAGTTTATTTTTAAAGTTTTAAAGCAAAAGCCGGCCCCTCCCCTCTCCCAGAGTAGGCAGGCCCCACCCCTCTCCCCAAGTGGGTGGGGACAGCATTTGCATAGGCAGCTTTCCCTGTGATGCCACAGGTTCCTCGGGACAAACTGCTGCCTGGCCATGCCTCCTTTCCCTTTCATCTTTCTCATTGACCAATGGGCTTGGAGCATTAAGGCCACACCCCTATTCTGTGTTCTAGTGGGGCCCTGGTTACGCCTCCTCTGGCTCAGTCACACAGGTGCCTGATACGTGACTGGAGGTGTTCGCTGATGTGGCCCCAACCCTGCCTTCCTCCCCACCCCACGATGTTAGAAGAAACTCAACAGAGTAAATTGGCAGCAGCCAAGAAAAAGGTAAAACACACGAGTTCATGGCCCCCCAACCCAGCCAGAGATCCCTCCAATGACAAGACCACTGCTAGAGTCCATACCACTCCTGAGGCATACCGGGCTGGGCCCCCCCAATTTGGGGCCTCTGGACTCCCCCCACCAAAGTCTTGTCAGTCAGCCCTGCCCCTTCAAGCAAGCAGCCCAGCCCCTGCCCTCACCAACCACCCCAGGGTGACTTTGGGTGGGTGACTCCTAGTGCTCCCTGCTCCACACTCTGCCCTCATGTCCTGCCACCCCAAGCCTGACCTCCCTGGGTTCTTTGGGCTCATCTCTCCAAGGACCTGGGTCCCCAGCCCCAGCCCCTCCCGTCACCAGTCATCCCTGGGTGACTTTGGGCTGGTGATTCCTGGGGTTCCCTGCTGCAGACTCTGCTCTCCCCTCCTGCTGACCCAAGCCCAACATCCCTGGGCTATTTGGACTGGAGTCTCCAAGGACCTGGGTCCCAGCCCTAAGTCCCCCTCCCCCATCGTGGATCGGTGACTCAGCCATCACACTGATGAGGTTTCCCCCACCCCCAGGAGGAGTGGAATGTAGTGATGTCACAGTCCCCCTAGGAACTGTCATTACTGCTGCAAGACCAGCCTTTGATCTTATGACCCAATCCCCTAAGCATTCTCCCCCCATTTCTGGTTCCTCTGGTTGCAGCACAAATTTCCAGCTGGAAGGGGAATGGGGACTATGGGACCTAAGAGCAAGAGGTTTCAGGCTGCTTTATTCCCTTCACATAGACGTTGACAGTGTGAAAAGCCTACACTTCCCCCGTGAGCTCAAAATGTTGACAGTATCTCTGGGTGACAATGGAAAATGGGTTTGGTTTTGTTTTCTCCCAGGCTTCTACTCTCCAGAGAGACTTCAACATTTTTTTCTGAGTTCTCCACCTCATATTCTAATTCTCCATGGTTCTGGGACCAGACTGCCCTTCAGTCAGTGGTCTCTGAAGTGAGATTAGCTCATCTTCTATGGAATAGATCTTGGAAAACTAAACTTGACAGCTTGAATCTTCCTCATATCATCTCAACTTGGGGTACATTGAGTGCCACAGGATAAATGCGGGAGATCTTTCTGAAGCATCAGTTTCCCTTGATTCTCTTGAGACAGAAAAAACATTAATATACTTAGGGATGACCCTCACATAGGTTTCTAAGAGTATACCAGACTTTT